>NC_000001.11:154434587-155684587 GCF_000001405.40 Homo sapiens
CCAGTTAGCAGTCCCGGAGGGAGACAGCTCTTTCTACATAGTGTCCATGTGCGTCGCCAGTAGTGTCGGGAGCAAGTTCAGCAAAACTCAAACCTTTCAGGGTTGTGGAATCTGTACGTAAGCTCTAACCCCCTCTCCAGCAGTTTCCTTCTCTTTTGATTTAATACTCCTTATCGACTTCTCAGAGTGGCAGGGAAGGGGTGGTTGAGGGGTTTGGTGAGTTGGTGCCTTTTGGGCGTTGCTTGCCGGGAGGTGTGGCAATGATAAAGCAGGCCCTTGTGGAGCTGTGCATGGGGAGTGAACGGGGCTGGGTGGGGCCCTGCTTGCTGGGATCTCAGCCTACATGGGCTTCTCTACACTATATTTGGTGCTGCAAAGGAGTCATGCTCACTTTTCCCACAGTGCAGCCTGATCCGCCTGCCAACATCACAGTCACTGCCGTGGCCAGAAACCCCCGCTGGCTCAGTGTCACCTGGCAAGACCCCCACTCCTGGAACTCATCTTTCTACAGACTACGGTTTGAGCTCAGATATCGGGCTGAACGGTCAAAGACATTCACAACATGGATGGTAAATTTATGTTTTACTTCTGGTCAGAGAGGCGCCCCTAGATGCTTAGGCGTAGTAGAAAGGGTACTAGAGGCCAGGCATGGTGGCTCACGCCTGTAATCCCGGCCCTTTGGGAGGCCAAGGTGGGCGAATCACTTGAGGTCAGGAGTTCGAGACCATCCTGGCCAACATGGTGAAATACCGTCTCTACTAAAATTACAAAAAATTAGCTGGGTGTGGTGGCGCACGCCTGTATCCCAGCTATTCGGGGGCTGAGACAGGAGAATCCCTTGAACCTGGGAGGTGGAGGTTGCGGTGAGCAGAGATCACACCACTGCACTCCAGCCTGGGCGACAGAGTTAGACTCCATGTCAAAAAAAAAAAAAAATAGAAAGGGTACTAAAAGGAAAACCATAGGCTCTAGTTCCTGCTTCACAATTGGCTACCTTCGTTGCTTTGGATAAATGTTTTAAGCTTTCTGAGCCTTGGTGGTATATCATTTATTAAATGAAAAGGATAATGCCAGGCCAGTCTCCTCTTCCCGGGCTTGTCTGTGAGGAGAGCAATGTGGGAAGAGATTTGGGCTGTAGACATGTCAAGGGTTGTGGCTTGCAGGATTCTATAGTGCATGGGTGGGGCAGGGACTTTCTGCTTCAGCTTCCGTGGGCCCTGAGGGCAACCCCCTCTCTAGCAGAGCCTCTGGGGTTGTGGGAGCCTCTAGAGGCCTCTGCCAGCTGAAGCACAGGGCTGGCCAAGGCACCAACCCACTGGGGTGCTACCTGCCCAGCACCATCCTGGATACCTCCCCAGAGTCACCGTGCCCCCGCCCTCAGGTCAAGGACCTCCAGCATCACTGTGTCATCCACGACGCCTGGAGCGGCCTGAGGCACGTGGTGCAGCTTCGTGCCCAGGAGGAGTTCGGGCAAGGCGAGTGGAGCGAGTGGAGCCCGGAGGCCATGGGCACGCCTTGGACAGGTACTGCGGTGGGCACTGAGAAAGGAAGGGATGTTTCAACTGTCATTGCATCAGGTATCCATTGCTATGTGACAAGTTGCCTCAAAACTAGTGGCTTAGGCCAGGTGTGGTGGCTCACACCTGTAATCCCAGCACTTTGGGAGGCTGAGGCGGGTGGATTGCCTGAGGTCAGCCTGGCCAACATGGTGAAACCCTGTCTCTACGAAAAATACAAAAAATTAGCTGGACATGGTGGCAGGTGCCTGTAATTCCAGCTACTCAGGAGGCTGAGGCAGGAGAATCTCTTGAACCCAGGAGGCGGAGGTTGCAGTGAGCCGAAATCGCGCCACTGCACTCCAGCCTGGGTGATAAGAACGAAACTCCGTCTCAAAACAAACAACTAGTGGCTTAAAAACGACCATCATTTATCGGCTTGAAATTTCAAAAATACAGTCAGTTAGGCAGCTCTTCTGCTGGTCTTGCCTGAATCAGGAATGCAGCTGCCATCAGATTGGGATGGTCTGAGATGGCCTCAGTCACATGTCTGACGATGGTGCTGGCTGGTGGCCGAGGCCCTGGGTTCTCCCTGTGGCTTCTCATCCTCAGCTGCCAGCCCAGACTCAGGGCAGGCGGGTGGGGATCCCACCACAGCTGGAGGGATGCACTGCAGAGAAGTTAGCCGTATTTAATCTAGGGCTTTTTATTTTTTTCAAATGTTAAAGGTAGTAATAATTGCCATTGGGGATTGTTGAAATTAGAGCATGAAAAATTCCAGAAAGATATGAAGAATAATTATCACCAGTACTTTTACTCCCTAGAGAAAACCAGTGAGAACATGTTAGTATGCTGCTTTCCTTTTTCTAGGTACATGTATGTGTGTGTGTATTTATATATATAAATGTAATATTCCCCATGTTGTCAATTACTTTTGGAAACTTATTATTTAGTAACTGCCTGATTAATACATATATTTTAAAACTCCATGGAAATTTGTTGTTGTTGTTGTTGTTTTGTTTGTTTGTTTTGAGACGGAGTCTCACTCTGTCACCCAGGCTGGAGTGCAGTGGCATGATCTTGGCTCACTGCAAGCTCCGCTTTCCAGGTTCATGCCATTCTCCTGCCTCAGCCTGCCGAGCAGCCGGGACTACAGGCACCTGCCACCACGCCCAGCTAATTTTTTCTATTTTTTAGTAGAGACGGGGTTTCACCGTGTTAGCCAGGATGGTCTCAATCTCCTGACCTTGTGATCCACCCGCCTCAGCCTCCCAAAGTGCTGGGATTATAGGCATGAGTCACTGTGCCCGGTCGGAAATTTTTTTTAACTTAAATTTTTTTTTTTTTGAAGACAGGCTTTCTCCTCGTTGCCCAGGATGGAGTACAGCAGTGCAATCACAGCTCACGGCAACTTCTGCCTCCTGGGTTCAAGCAATCCTCCCGCCTCAGCCTCCTAAGTAGCTGGGACCACAGGCGTGTGCCACAATGCTAATTTTTTAAAAATGTTTTGTAGAGACAGGGTTTCACCATGCTGCCCAGGCTGGTCTCGAACTCCTGGCCTCAAGTGATCCACCAGCCTCAGACTCCCAAAGTGCTGGGATTACTGGTGTGAGCCACTGCACCTGACTAAACTTTAAATTTTTTTTTTTAGACGGAATCTCGCTCTGTTGCCCAGGCTGGAGTGCAGTGGCATGATATTGGCTCACTGCAAGCTCTGCCTCTTGGGTTCACGCTATTCTCCTGCCTCAGCCTCCTGAGTAGCTGGGACTACAGGTGCACACCACCACGCCCGGCTAATTTTTTTTTTTTTTTAGTAGAGACGGGGTTTCACTGTGTTGGCCAGGCTGGTCTTGAACTCCTGACCTCGTGATCCACCCGCCTCGCCCTCCCAAAATGCTGGGATTACAGGTGTGAGCCACCGCGCCTGGCCTAAACTTTTAAAATTTTAATCAAATTAATACATGCACATGGCAAAGAAGTAATAAACAGCTTATAACACTGAGCAGTGGTCCCTTGTCCCATGCCTTCCATTTCTAGTCCTGCTTTCTAAGGAAGCTGCTTGACTCTTTCTGTTTCTAGTTCCTCTGTTGGTGCCCTCCTTAACTCTAAACAACAAGCTTATATGGCTTTTTTTTTTCCCTGATAAAACCACTTGAGACATTATCTATCAACACCCTGCTATGAAAGGTTAGGATTTAGCAGATCTAGAATGCAAGAATCTCCCTGACCACAACCCAGAGAGTGGTCAGCCAGCCTCTGCTTAAATGCTTCCAGAGACAGAGAGCTTACTACCCCTTGCAGCAATCTGTTTTATTGTTCCCAGTGTTTTTGTTGTAGAATGGCTTCATGGCTCACTTTGGGGTCAAATGTTTCTAGCCCTGTGGCGTAGTTGAACCAAATTAATCATTCTTAAATACTTGGCAGTTAGGAAAAAAAAAAGAATAAGATACCCATTTATTTGAGTAAGTATGGATAAAAAGGAAAAGGTAGAATTGACATCAGTCCCATCCCGACCCCTGCCACTTTCTCCCAGCCCTGGCCCCAGGGAGAGAAGGCTTTTATCTATGGGCTGCACATTCTTCCCCCAGATTGGATGGTGTGGGGTGATGGCTCTTCCTCCTGGCTGGCTTTGTACTGTGGGGTCCTTGTCCCTTGTCTTTCCTGTCCTGGGGAGAGCCAGAGGAGTATGCTGGGGCTTAGGGTGTAATCCTAGTTGGATGCAATAATATGAAGTGCCGGCTTCCATCTTTGTTGGCACTTTCCTTGTTCATCAAGGACAGGAGGCAGCTTTCTATTGGGCCCTCTCCTCAAAAGCTTTTTTCCTGCTCAGACCTGGACAAGGAGTGGGGCCTAACTACTATATCTTACTTAGGGAGACCATTTTAATAAATCAGTGCATCCTTCAGGGTAGATCGTATTGACCTGTCCATGGTTTTCTTTGATTTGTGTATACTTTGAGCCAAACACACTCATTTATCTGAATGCTGAGCATCAGTATGGCTTTGGGGGCCTTTTTAAGGGGGGAAAAATCAGCTCTAACATCGTGCAGAGGAATAGGAATTCCAAATATAGGCTGATCCCTATTTTACCTTTTATTCCAACCACTTAGTTCAGATAGTCACAAGCAGCTTAAAGCTTGTGACAAGCAGCTTAAAAGCAATCTTGCTTTTTTATAAAGTTTCTTCTAAAAATTTTCAAATTGTAAAATGTACATAAGATTTACCATTTATATTATTATTATTATTTTTTGAGACGGAGTCTCGCTCTGTCGCCCAGGCTAGAGTGCAGTGGCGTGATCTCAGCTCAATGCAACCTCTGCCTCCCGGGTTCAAGCAATTCTCCTATCTCAGCCTCCCGAGTAGCTGGGACTACAGGCACCTGCCACCATGACTGGCTAATTTTTATATTTTTAGTGGAGATGGGGTTTCACCATATTGGTCAGGCTGGTCTTGAACCCCTGACCTCAGGTGATTCACCCACCTCAGCCTCCCAAAGTGCTGGGATTACAGGCGTGAGCCACCGCGCCCTGCCCATTTATATTATTTTTAAGTGCACAGCTCTGTGGCATTAAGTATTGTTGTGCAACCATCACCACTTTACTTCTCCAGGACTTTTTTCATCTTGTAAAACTGAAACTCAGAATCTGTTAAACAGTAACTTTCCTTTCACCCACTCCTTCCCCCAGCTCGTGGCAACCACCAGTCTACTTGCTTTTTCTGTGAGTTTGACTACTCTAGTACTTCATTTGCTTGCTTGCTTGCTTGCATGCCTGCCTACCTGCCTGCCTGCCTTCCTTTGTCTCTTTCTGTCTCTCTCTTTTTCTCTTTTTTTTTGAGACGGAGTCTCACTCTGTCACCCACCCAGGCTGGAGTGCACTGTCGTGACCTTGGCTCACTGCAACCTCTGCCTCCCGGGTTCAAGCAATTCTCCAGCCTTAGCCTCCTGAGTAGCTGAGATTACAGGCGCCTGCCACCATGCCTGGCTAATTTTTGTATTTTTTGTAGAGACAAGGTTTCACCATGTTGCCCAGGCTGCACTCTAGGTACTTCAAATAAGTGGAATCAGAGAGTATTTGTCCTTTGGTGACTGACTTATTTCACTTAGCATAATGTCCTCAAGGTTTATTCATGTGGTATAACATGTGTCAGACTTTCCTCCCTTTTTAAGGCTGAATAATATTCCATTGTGTAGAGATACCACATTGTGTTGATTCATTCATTTGTCAGGGGACACTGGGTTTGCTTCCCCATTTTGGTTGTGCATAATGCTGCTATGAACACGGGTGTAAAATATCTGTTTAGATTCCTGCTTTCAGTTCTTTTGTGTATATACTCAGAATTATAATTGTGGCATTATATGGTAATTCTATTTTTAAATTTTCATGGAAATGCCATGCCGTTTTCCACAGTGGCTGCACCATTTTACACTTACACCAGAGTGTATAAGGGTTCCAGTTTCTCCACATCCTTGCCAACATTTGTTATTTTTCATTTTGCTGCAATAGTCCTCCTTATGGATGTGAAGTGTTATCTCACTGTGGTTTTGATTTGCATTTCCCTAATGATTAATGTCTTTTTTTTTTTTTTTTTGAGACAGAGTCTCACCCTGTCACCCAGTCTGGAGTGCAGTGGGGCGATCTTGGCTCACTGTAACCTCCACCTCCTGGGGTTCAAGTGATTCTCGTGCCTCAGCCTCCCGAGTAGTTGAGATTGGCATGCACCACCACACCCAGCTAATTTTTGTATTTTTAGCAGAGACGGGGCTTTGCCATGTTGGCGAGGCTGCTCTTGAACTCCTGACCTCAAGTGATCTGCCCATCTATGCCTCCCAAAGTACTGGGATTACAGGCGTGAGCCACCACACCCAGGCTGAGGATCTTTTCATGTGCTTCTTGGCCATTCATATATCTTTGGAGAAATATCTATTCAAATAGAAAGTTCTTTCTTATGTGAACCTAACTCTGGCCTCACTGGCCCTTGCTCTGTTCTCAGGGATAACCAATGACAAATTTCCTAGTCTGCTCTCTCTGAATTCTTTTGGAGTTCCCAGACCTGCATCTGCTTGGGCTCCTCTTCCCAGGCTGTTACATGAGATGGTCTGTGAATTCTTCACCTTTCTGGCCCCCTTCCCCTGAATCTGGTCTCATTTGTGGATGTCCCTCTTTAAGTTGCTGACACTCTCCTTCTATTGGAAGATGGTGTGGTGGGGGCTGTCTGGCCAGCACTGGGTACGGTCTCCACTTTCCAGCCTCAGGTGGATGTGCTTCTTTGGCATAGACACAGCTTCTGTGGGAGCTCAGATAGAACAGTCGGTTTCTTCTCATGTAAGGAGCGGAAGACTTTGAGCCCTCCACCCTATGCATGTGTGGTTTGAGGCAGGGGAAGTCTTCAAAACCCAGTTGTGAATATATCCAAGAAAGAAACCTGCTGCTCCCCTCTCTGCTGAGGGAAGAGCAAGAGGAACTTGGATGATTTTGACGCAAGAGGGGGATTCAGGTTGGAAATTGGCGGGCAGTTCTGAAAAATAAGGGGAAGGTTAGAGCACTAGGTGAGGTGTGTGTTATGGACCACGGTTATTTGGCTGTTAGGGACGCATCAGTGTACTAAACACTGTATCACCGTGTGGGGTGAGCTTACCCACCCCAAGGACCTTCAGCTCTCAAGGCCCAGACAGACAGGATGCACCTGCCTCCCAGACTAGGTGTGGGAGTGGTGGCCTTTGGGAGACACAGAGGTCCTGGGAAGCACCTGGGAGTCAGGTTGTATGACACTGGTAAAGTTAGTTCAGCTCTCAGAGCCTCAGTCTTGTCATCGGTAAAGTAGAGATGATAGCACCAATCTTGTTCCTTTCAGAGAGTTTTTGTGAGTCTGATGAAAAAATATTCTTTAGAAATGCTAAAGCATACTGCATTTGTAAGGGGATCAGCAATTACAGGACAGTGCTGGTTCTTGGGAGGAGAGTGGGACCAGGGGCATCCCAGAATCACTATCCTGGATGCCATCGTGAACTCACTGCATTGGAATCTGGAGGAGGAAGTAGAGTGGGTGGTTTGAGAAAGCTTTCCTGGTGGTTTTAGTATGTGCTTGAGGGGGCTGGAGGAGGGTGCGTGCCCCACTGTAGTATGTCTAATACGTAATAGATGGTGTTCACAGCACGATAAGGCCGTAAGCAGACTGTTCTGTTGGGGCAGTTTAGAGATAGCAGGAAAAGCTTCATGGAGGAGGTGACAATTGAATTATGTCTTGAAGGATGTGTAGGAGGGTCCCAGACAGAAAATGGGGATTGTAGGCAGAGTACAAAGGCACGGAGCTGTGAGCAAGGGGAGGGTGGCAGAGAGCTGCTTGGTGAGGCCGACACGTGTGTGGGTGGGTGGTCTGAGTGGGACAGGTGGAGGCCGGCCTTGGTGGGCCCCTGTAGGAGTGGAAGTGGAATGCCATAGAGTGGGGCTCTGGAGCCTGGACTTCAGCAGGTGCTGCCCCCTTGAGGCTGGGGCCTGGCCCCCCGCACAGACTGTAGCCCAGGATAGCCTTTTGTATGAAGTTGGGGGTCCCAGGGTCACTCTGTCTTAGCCCTGCTTTGGCCAGCAAGGCCAGCACGGTCGGCAGCTTTCTCTCAAGCGGGAGTTCTGAATTTATCCTCTCCTGATGGGAGTTCTCCCTGTCACATCAACATTGAGTCTGGGGGAATCACAAAATCATTTTCTTCTTTTTTTTTTTTTTCAGAGATGGTATCTCATTCTGTTGCCCAAGCCGGAGTGCAGTGGCATAATCATAGCTCACTCCAGCCTTGAACTCCTGCCTCAGCCTCTGAGTAGCTAGGACTATAGGCATGCATCACGATGCCCAGCTAATTTTTTAAAAAATATTTTACAGAGATGAGGTCACCCTATGTTGCACAGGCCTTGAGTGATCCTCCTGCCTCAGCCTCCCAAAGCTCTGGGATTTATAGCCATGAGCCACTGTGCCAGGCTGGAGCCCCTTTTCAAAGAGGGCGTGGGGCAAAATGCCTGGGAAAAGCCCATTAGGTATAAGGGGGTTATTCCTTGCTTCTCACAAATAATCCCTTTAACTCCCTCTCCTATTCCCCAAGAATGGGAATCACACCTGTTGGAGGAGGTGATACCAAAGGTTTGCATTTGCACATGAGGGGGTGCCCTGAAGCCAGGACTGGGCGGTCAGTGCCTCCAGCTACACGTTATCTTCTCAAACTCTTTGGCCATCCATTCTGGAGGAGTTTGTTTTGTTCCTCTCTGCAGCACTCCCAAGTGGGACATTCTGGGGTTAAAGAGCCTTGGTTACACATTTCCGGAGAGATTTTGCCCTGTTCACTTATCCATATGGCATCCCTGAATTCCCTCTCTGCCCTGTTTTCTGCAGCTTTCTGGAACATTCCACTGGGGCCCCGCCCACTTCCACTGCATCACCTGCCACTTTGTGCAGAGCACTGGCTCTGGAGTCAGGCAGCATTGGGTCTAGTTGCTGCCCTTGCCCTTGACTAGCACGACCCTGGGGAAGTACCTCACTGAGACTCAGTTTGCTTATTTGTCAAATGGGAATAATAATGCCTGCCTCAAAAAACCCAAACCCCAGCCTTGCTGGGTTGTGAGGCTTCAGTGAGGTGAGAAGCAATTAGCACAGAGCCTGGCACATGACAAGGGTGCAATAAATGCCAGCATGACTGCCTTTCACCCGTATCTCCTGCCAAGCCTGTCTCTCGAGCTTTGGATTCATGTCTTCAACTTGGCCCAGACTTCTGGCCAGATCCTCCCTCCTGTGCCAGGTGCTCCGCATGACCCAAACCAAACATATCACACCCCTCACAGATCTCCCTGCCCTGCTTGTCCAGGGGACACCCCACCCACCCAGCTACCCAGCCAGGAGCTTGCACATCGCACCAAATGTCTCTGCCTTGGTTTGGGTTCTTGCCACATCTCAATAGCATCTAGCAGTCAGCCATTCTGTTGCACTCCACTCTTCGTGCCCCTCTCCACGACCCTCCTCCCTCATCCTCGCATTGCCTATCCGCCTGACATCCTTGTGCACAACTGGGTGATTCCTAAACGTTGGGATTTCACGGGTCTGTAAAATTTCAAAAACAATTCTGGGGACCAATTAAAGTTGCTAGCTTTTTTTTTTTTTTTTTGAAACGGAGTTTCGCTCTTGTTGCCTAGGCTGGAGTGCAATGGCGTGATCTCAGCTCACCGCAACCTCCACCTCCTGAGTTCAAGCAATTCCCCTGCATCAGCCTCCTGAGTAGCTGGGATTACAGGCATGCGCCATCATGCCCGGCTAATTTTGTATTTTTAGTAGAGACGGGGTTTCTCCATGTTGGTCAGGCTGGTCTTAACTCTTGACCTCAGGTGATCCACCCACCTCGGCCTCCCAAAGTGCTGGGATTACAGGCATGAGCCACCGTGCCCGGCTGGTTGCCAGCTTTTAATTTTGCTAAGTAAGGACATAAAATGTAACAAGTAAGTGATAAATAACTATTAGCATTTACCATCACCATAATTTCATAAAAGAAAGGATGCTTGGTCAGGCGTGGTGGCTCAGGCCTATAATCCCAGCACTTTACGAGGCTGATGGGGGAGGATTGCCTGAGCCCAGGAGATAGAGACCAGCCGGGCACCATAAGGAGACCCTGTCTTTACAAAAAAAAGTTAAAAAAAAATTAGTTGGGCATAGCAGTGCACACCTGTAGTCCTAGCTAAGTGGGAGGCTGAGGTGGAAGGATCACCTGAGCCCAGCAGTTGGAGGCTGCAATGAGCTATGATTGCACTACTGCACTCCAGCCTGGGCAACAGAGGGAGACCCTGTCTTAACAACAAAAAGACTCCTTAACTGCCCCCCACACCCGCCCCCCCCAAATGAGGAAGGGTGAAACCTCAAAATGAGGGGCGCTTTTGGCACCCAGACACTGTGGAGATTTGTACACACAGCCTTTTCTGTACTTGTCTCCACTAGGCTTCTCTCCACAGACCATCCCGGGTGGCATTTGGGACCCAGCTGGAGGTGAGTCATTTCTCCTCAGGAGGCTCCTCAGTGAGGTTTATTTATTTGTTTCTACACGAATAGAGGAGCAGTGATGAGCTGTCTGTTGGGTGGTTTAAAGGCTGCGAGGAAAGGTGTGAAGTAGGGTCCCCTTGCTCAGCACGCAGGAGCTGCCTGGCGCCACTGAGCCTGTGGGTCCCACGGTCTCTCCTCCCCTCTTCCTGTGGCTTTGTGGTTCATTACCACTTTAACCCCAGAAACCTGAGCCGCCAGAGGTTACTGGGCATTCTCTGGGCCACAGGCTGTGTTGGGGGTCAGGACTGAGAGTAGAAACTTTCTTCCTGAAGCATCTGTCTTGAGTATAGTATGGGGAGCCTTTAAAAAACCCTAATGACAGCTGGGCGCGGTGGCTCACACCTGTAATCTCAGTACTTTGGGAGGCTGAGGCGGGCGGATCACCAGGTCAGGAGATCAAGACCATCCTGGCTAACACGGTGAAACCCCGTCTCTACTAAAAATACAAAAAATTAGGCGGGTGTGGTGGTGGGCGCCTGTAGTCCCAGCTACTCAGGAGGCTGAGGCAGGAGAATGGCTTGAACCCAGGAGGCGGAGCTTGCAGTGAGCTGAGTTTGCGCCACAGCACTCCAGCCCAGGCGACAGAGCGAGACTCGGTCTCAAAAAAAAAAAAAGCCCTAATGACTGGGTCCCATTTCCATGGTTCTGAGGCAACAAGCAAGGTGGAGCCTTCAAGGCTCCAGACGAAGCTGACTCTGGCGGGGTTTGGAAAACTGCTGAACTGCACGAGCATCCATGGGCAGCCATATTTTCTATTTAGGGCTGCCCCATCTTCTTCTTGTTTTCTTCTTTTTTTTTTAGAGATGAGGTCTCACTATGTTACCCAGGCTGGTTTCAAACTCCTGGCCTCATGGGATTCTCCAGCCTCAGTCTCCCAAAGTGCTGGGATTACAGGTGTGAGTCCGGCCTGCCCCCATCTTCTTTGTCTTCTGATTTTAGCTTTCATTCTAGTGCCTCCATGCCCTCAGGTCATCCTTTAGATACCCTGGGCTATAAGTGTGTAACTGTCCTCTGCTGGGCTGGGAAGAACGCAAAGGAACAATAAACTGGGTCCCTCCCATGAATTCTAGGTTCAATTCAGGTCGCACTTGCTGTGCGGCCTTGAACAAGTCGCTTTCCCTCTCCGGGCCTCTGTTTCCCCTCTGTACAATTGGAAGAGTGGATGCATTCTTATACTTCCTCTGGTGCTGCTGGTGTGTGGTTTCCCCCTTACTGGTGATGGCATACTCCAGGAATTCTGGAAACCCTCCCTGACGCCGAAGCAGGGTCACCCTCTCCCCGCCTCCTTGCTAGTCCTTACTCCTGGCCCAGCGAGGCTCGTGATTTTTGTTTAAACCATTCTGTGGAATTTTAGAATTCTTGATGGAAAAATGATGAGCTGACAAGAAAATGTTTTGAAATCCAGAGCATTCCACTCACTGCCTGTTACGGTTAAGGCCCAGGCTTTCGCTTGGATACTTAGCCTCCTCTTGCCTTGGGGTTTCCGCAGAAACACTGTTCCCGTGCAGGGGGAGGGAGCCGTGAGGGTGCCTGGTCCACATCCCTGCTGCTGCAATGTGTACTAAACCCATACAGGCAAATGAATATTTATTTGTTATATATTTTTTATTGCAAAAAGGTGCATAGAAGGAAATTGAAATAGTGCTTATCTCTGGTGATGTGTATCTTTCCATTTTCTTCTTCCTGTGTGCAAATATATAGTATTATGATATATACTGTGTTACACAATAATCATAAAAATATATTTCTTTAGAAAGTTTGAATCAAAATACATAGAATTTTTCTTGTCTTGCATTCTTCATACAGCATTATGTCATGTCTTCAATGTTTTTCTAAAATATTTTTGGCCAGACGTGGTGGCACACGCCTGTAGTCCCAGATACTTGGGAAGCTGAGATGGGAGGATCACTGAAGCCCAGAAGTTAAAGCTACAGTGAGCCATCATCATGCCACTGCACTCCAGCCTGGCGACGGAGCGAGACCCTGTCTCAAAAAATATATAATAATTGGCCAGGCACGGTAGCTCATGCCTGTAATCCTAGCACTTTGGGAGGCCAAAGCGGATAGATCACCTGAGGTCAGGAGTTCAAGACCAGCCTGGCCAATATGGTGAAACCCTGTCTCTACTAAAAATACAAAAATTAGCTGGGTGTGGTGGTGGGCGCCTATAATCCCAACTACTTGGGAGGCTGAGGAAGAAGAATCGCTTGAACCCAGTAGGTGGAGGTTGCAGTGAGCCGAGATTATGCCACTTCACTCCAGCCTGGGCAAAAGAGTGAAACTCCATCTCAAAAAAAAAAAAAAAAATATATATATATATATATATATACACACACACACACACACACACACACATATATATATACACACATACATATATATACACATACATATATATACACATACACATATATATATATACACATACATATATATATATAAAATAAATTTTAAAAGTTTCTGCATTATGTAGTTATGTCATAATTTCTACAGCTAGTCCCTTACGGTTGGATATTTGGTTATTTCCAGCATGCTGTTTTTTGTTTTGTTTTGTTTTGTTTTGTTTTGTTTTGTTTTGTTTTTGAGACGGAGTTTTGCTCTTATTGCCCATGCTGGAGTGCAATGGCATGATCTCGGCTCACTGCAACCTCCGCCTCCCGGGTTCAAACGATTCTCCTGCCTCAGCCTCCCGAGTAGCTGGGATTACAGGCATGTGCCAGCACACCCAGCTAATTTTGTATTTTTAGTAGAGACAGGGTTTCTCCATGTTGGTCAGGGTGGTCTCGAACTCCTAACCTCAGGTGATCTACCCATCCTCCCAAAGTGCTGGGATGACAGACGTGAGCCACCGCGCCCAGCCCATGCTGTTCTTTTAAATAACATTGAGATGAACTTTTTTTTTCTGATGCTGAAGCCCCTGAGACAGGACTCCAGGGCCCATGAATCACTAATAATGAGCCTTTCTTCTGTCCGCAGAATCCAGGAGTCCTCCAGCTGAGAACGAGGTGTCCACCCCCATGCAGGTGAGCTCCTGTTCTTGTAAAAGGGTCAGGGCTGCAGCACCTCGTGTTTAGGAGTGTGGGCTGATGCCAGACCGAATTTGGTTTAAATCCAGTTCTGTCACTAGTAGAAATGTGGTCGTGGTGAGTTACCTGTGCTTTTCAAACCTCTGTGAAAGGGAATCATAGAAATTATCTTGTCCCAGGACTGTAAGGAGTGGAGCAGCGCTGGCCTGGCGTGCAGAACTGCTCTGCGTCTAGCAGCTGCTATTTCATCTCTGAGCTTTTTGGACAACGCTAATGGCTTAGCTTGAGATTGGATTCTGTTTATCTGCATCCTTCCCCTGTGGACTCTTGGTGACATAATTTGCTGGAAAGAGGATTACCTCTGAAGCTGCTTAACAAATTCCTTGAGTAATCCAATTTCCTATCCAACTATATCTCCTCCTGTGGCCCTTAATTCCCTAAATGCTAAGCTGGGAGTCATAGCCACTTCTGGAGCTGTGCGGCACAGGGAAGGAGCCTGGGGCTCTTGAACCTTATCTGTGTTCCATGTAGGAACAGCTGCAGGTGAAGCCCATACCCATGGGGCTAGAGTGCTCCCAACACGGGTTCTGGGGAAACTGACACCGACTGAGGACTGGCCACATCCTGCTAAACTGTGAGCCTTGCATTTGCTGTTTCATTGGCTCCTTATGTTAACATTGCAAGGGAGTGCTTGTAAGGGCTTTTTTTTTTTTTTTTTTTTTTTTTTTTTGAGACGGAGTCTCGCTCTGTCGCCCAGGTGGGACTGCGGACTGCAGTGGCGCAATCTTGGCTCACTGCAAGCTCCGTTTCCCGGGTTCACGCCATTCTCCTGCCTCAGCCTCCCGAGTAGCTGGGACTACAGGCGCCCGCGACCGCGCCTGGCTAATTTTTTTTGTATTTTTAGTAGAGACGGGGTTTCACCTTGTTAGCCAGGATGGTCTCGATCTCCTGACCTCATGATCCACCCGCCTCGGCCTCCCAAAGTGCTGGGATTACACGCGTGAGCCACCGCGCCCGGCCTTGTAGGGCTTCTTAACGTGAGTTAAGTCTGAGGCCAGGGCCGGGCACAGGGGCTCACACCTGTAATCCCAGCACTTTGGGAGGCTGAGGCAGGCAGATCACCTGAGGTCAGGAGTTCAAGACCATCCTGACCAACATGGAGAAACCCTTTCTCTACTGAAATACAAAATTAGCTGGGTGTGGTGGCGCATGCCTGTAATCCCAGCTATTTGATAGGCTGAGGCAGGAGAATCGCTTGAACCTGGGAGGCGGAGGTTGCAGTGAGCCGAGATCATGCCATTGCACTCCAGCTTGGGCAACAAGAGTGAAACTCCATTTCACAAAAAAACAAACAAAAAAAAAGAAGTCTGTCCAAGGTGACATAGCTCGTAAGTGGTGGAACCAGCATTCCAGTCATGGTAGTACCTGCATCCTTGCATCGGACCTGTAAGGACAACAGCTGCTTCAGTGTATCCACTGAGCATCTTCTCTGTGCAGCTTTAAGCTTTTGGTGGAGAGGCAGGTGGAAAGAAAGCCCCACCTTTAGCAGGCATGGTGTGGATAGAAAAAATGCAAATAATAGTATTATTGATTTTTCCACTGTTATGAATGAAATGGAGAAAGGAATGCTTTGGGTGGATCAGGGAGGGCTCTGAGGAGGAGGTAACTCCTGAACTGGTTCTGAATGATGGTGCAATCTGCAGAAACAGGCTGATGGTGAGGAATGTCTCTTTTAGGCACTTACTACTAATAAAGACGATGATAATATTCTCTTCAGAGATTCTGCAAATGCGACAAGCCTCCCAGGTAAGGACTGGGTATTTTCATATTCCCAGGGTCCGAGGGACAGAAGATTTGTCTCTGCAGAAAGTCCTTTCTTATTTGGACATGTCGTCAGAGGATCAATCACAGATCAATCGCAGAAATGTTCTGTGTGTGTGTGTGTGTGTGTGTGTGTGTGTGTGTGTGTTGGAGAGAGTCTTGCTCGGTTGCCCAGGCTGGAGTGCCGTGGCATGATCTCGGCTCACCACAACCTCTGTCTCCTGAGTTCAAGCGATTCTCCTGCCTCAGCCTCCCAAGTAGCTGGGATTACAGGCGCATGCCACCATGCCCAGCTAATTTTTGTATTTTTACTAGAGACAGGGTTTCACTATGTTGGCCAGGCTGGTCTTGAACTCCTGACGTTGTGATCCACCCACCTCGGCCTCCCAAAGTGCTGACATTACAGGCATGAGCCACCGTGCCTGGCCAGAAATGTTCTTTTATTACTTTATATGTTGAACTTTGATATTGTTAGCTAAGATATAATGAGGAGACCGTAAGAAAAGTGGGACAAATCACTTCGAGATATTTGAAAAGTGAGATATTTCACAGTTGGCCCACAATACAAATGAATGTGCTGCAAACAAGATTATTGGAGTCTGAAATGGAATACCTGTTGAGGGAAATCTTTATTTTGGGAGCCCTTGATTTCAATGCTTTTGATTCCCTATCCCTGCAAGACCAGGAAAGCTTACCAGTATTTGAATCAAGAAAGATCACAAGTCCTGTGTTTGACTAGGTATATGGGACTTATGGAATCCAGACTCCAGAGGTTCAGTAGTTGAGCAGCTCCCCTGATGACTCTTGGGCTTCGTGAGGCAGTCCTTGCCCTCGTTCCCCATCCCTGGGTGGATTCCTGCCTGCACTGATGCTGGCTGCCTCTGCTACAACAGCCCAGGTACAAAGCCCTACCATGGTGCAGTGCACCTGTGGAGGACCTGCTAAATACCTGGGGCTGAGCTCTGCACAGTTGGGGACTCGGAGAGGATTAGAGCCATCCCTGTTCTCAAGGAGGCTACAGTCCAGGCTCTGACAAAGAGTAAATTGGTAACTGTGACAAAGACCAGCATGTGAGATGGGCCAAAAGGGAGGCACAGATAAAGCAAAGTGGAATTTAGAGATTTGAAAGAGTATATCAAGCTGAGCAGTCACAGAAAGCTCATGGAGGAAGTGCCATTTGAAATGGGCTTTGAATGGTATGGGTGGGATGCAAGAGGTTGGGTGTTCAAAGGTTGCTATGGGCCGGGCGCGGTGGCTTACGCCTGTAATCCCAGCACTTTGGGAGGCCGAGGTAGGAGAATCACCTGAGGTCAGGAGTTCAAGACTAGCCTGGCCAACATGGTGAAACCCCATCTCTACTAAAAATACAAAAATTAGCCAGGCGTGATGGCAGGTGCCTATAATCCCAGCTACTTGGGAGGCTGAGGCAAGAGAATCACTTGAACCTGGGAGGCAGAGGTTGCAGTGAGCTGAGATCGAGCCACTGCACTCTAGCCTGGGCCACAGAGTGAGATTCCATGTCAAAAAAACAAAACAACAACAACAAAAACAAAAGCTGCTATGGAGGAGGGGAACCTCCAGTCCTCTTCGTCCACCCTCACTGATGATTTTTTTTCTTTTTTTTGAGACGGAGTCTCGTCAAGCGATTCTCCTGCCTCAGCCTCCCGAGTAGCTGAGATTACAGGCATGCACCACCACGCCTGGCTAATTTTGTATTTTTAGTAGAAACGGGGTTTCTCCATGTTAGTCAGGCTGGACTCGAACTCCCCACCTCAGGTGATCTGCCTGCCTCGGTCTCCCAAAGTGCTGGGATTACAGGTGTGAGCCACCGCGCCTGGCCAGCATTCTCAAATTTAACATGTCTAAAAGAGAACACCTGACGCCTCCCCACCTATTCAACCCAGATCTGTTCTTCTCCATCTTCCCTATCTCAGTAACTGGTACCGCATTTGCTCAGGTGCGGGGGATCGGGCAGGCTTCCTCCCTACTCCTCATCCTGTGTCCAGTCCCTCAGCAAGCGTTGTCCTTGTGCTTTGAGACGTATCTAGGAATTGACCACTCCTCACCATCTCCAGTGCCAACACCCAGTCCAGCCCCTGCCGCCTCTCATCCAGCAGGGCTTCCTGGGCTGCCAACTGGTCTACCAACTTCTAGTCTTAACCCCCAACCAACTCTTTTCCAACCAGCACTTAGAGTATCCCTTAAAACACAAATCCAAGCTCTCTCTGGCTCAGTACCATCTCCCCCAGAGTAAAAGTCAAAGTCTTGACAAAGTCCCCAGTTTCTACGAGGAGTCCCAGCAAAGCCATGTGGTCCCCTATCTTTAGACGTTGCCTCTCCATTCTCCCTTTCCTCGCTCTGCCCCAGCCACACTGCCCTCCTTGCTCCTCCACACATGCTCTACCTCAGGGCCTTTGCACTTGCTGTGTGCTCTGCCTGGACACGCTTCCTCTGACATTCACTTTGCCAGCTCCTTCCTATTACTCAAGTCTCTGCTCAGATGCACCCTTCTCCGGGAGGCTTTTCCTGATAATTTTTTTAAAAAACATTTGTTTGGCCGGGCGCGGTGGCTCACGCCTGTAATCCCAGCACTTTGGGAGCCGAGGCAGGTGGATCACGAGGTCAGGAGATCAGGACCATCCTGGCTAACACGGTGAAACCCCGTCTCTACTAAAAATACAAAAAATTAGCCGGGTGTGGTGGCGGGTGCCTGTAGTCCCAGCTCCTCGGGAGGCTGAGGCAGGAGAATAGGGTGAACCCGGGAGGCGGAGGTTGCAGTGAGCCGAGACAGCGCCACTGAGCAAGACTCCGTCTCAAAAAAAAAAAAAATTCATTTGTCTGTCTCCCTTGATTGGATGTAAGATCCATTTAGATACATGATAGGCACTCAAAGAATATTTGTTGGATGAAAGAAGGAACAAATATATGGCCAGGCGCCGTGGCTCATGCCTGTAATCCCAGCACTTTGGGAGGCCGAGGTGGGCGGATCACCTAAGGTCAGGAGTTGGAGACCAGCTTGGGCAACATGGCAAAACCTCATCTCTACAAAAAATACAAAAATTAGCCGGGCATGGTGGCATGTGCCTATTGTCCCAGGTACTTGGGAGGCTGAGGTAGGAGAATTGCTTGAACCCGGGAGGCGGAGGCTGCAGTGAGCGGAGATCACACCACTGCACTCCAGCCTGGGTGACAAGAGCGAGACTCCATTTCAAAAAAAAAGAAGGAACAAATAGAAAAGATGATGAAATGTTAATAAATGAGCAAGCCAAGCATACTGCTTTCATTACACAGCTGCATCTCTCAAGAGACATGGGACATGCTTGGAGAAACTTGTCTTTGCAGCCAGCGCCCGCTCACCAGTCTGGGCTCTCTGCGCTGCCTGACTCTAGTAGGCATCTGAAGTGATGGCTGGCAGGCAGCCTCTTCGTCAGCAGTGGATTGCATTTTGGGTAGAAGAGCCTGAATGCTGGGTCCATACAACTGTGACTGCATTCCCAGCAGAAGGAGATGGTTTTGTTTAGATGTGCCCTCTGTCTAGTCCAGGGACTCTGGCAGTGGTAGGAAGAGCCTTTCTGTGGGAAGACATGGCTGCTTGCAAAGCTGGTTTGTTCTTTCCTTCATTCAAAGAAATATTTTGGCGATCCTACTTTGTATTCGGCACTGTGTAAGCTGCTGGCAGTGTTACAGTGAAAAAGACACATGTGGTCCCTGCCTTCAGGGAACTCAGTCTAGAGGTGGAAATGGAGAAATACTGGGAGGGGCACTTGCTCAGCTTGGAGTGGGGTCAATTCTCAAAGGAAATGACATCACCTCATCTGAGATCCAAAGGCCAAGTAGGGACTAGACCACAAAAGGGTGCAGCAAAGGTAGAGAAAACAGACAGGAGAGAAGAGGGAACGTGTGTGGAGAGCCCTGGAGGAAAAAGATCATGGCTTGTTGGAGAACTGAATGAAGTTCATATGGCTGGGGCTTGAGTACCAAATGCAGGGACAGGCAAGAGATGACACCCCCATGGAGAAAACTGCTTCCAAACACTTGATTTAAAGCATCCAATCCTCTCTGACATTGTCCTCAAAGGAACTGCCATCAAGGAGGTCCCCAAAGCCTTCCGTTTGTTGTACCCTCTTTGTGCCTTGTGGGAGCAGGTGGAATGTCACCAGAAAAGCCACTCTGAAAGTGAGTAGGAGTCTGTGGCTAGCCACAGGCGCTCAGAAACCCTGAGCTTGAGGTGTCTCTCTTGCCAAGTGGTGGAATCCTGGAATCTAGAGTGGGCTTTGTTAAGAAACAAACAAACAAACAAACAAAAAACAGTTAAGCTTGTCAAATGGCCTGTTGGTTGGCAGAGCTGTTTCATTTTCTGGGAGGGGGGTTGGAGGGGAAGGTTCCTTTGAGGCTTTTGACAGCACCAGCTAAGTGGTTTTCTTCTCCTCCTATTCCTTTTTCTCCATATTCTCCTCTTCCTCCTCTATCTTCAATTTTTTTTTTAACCTAGTGCAAGATTCTTCTTCAGTACCACTGCCCACATTCCTGGTTGCTGGAGGGAGCCTGGCCTTCGGAACGCTCCTCTGCATTGCCATTGTTCTGAGGTGAGATGGGTCCCAGGGGATGGCCCTGTGGTGTTCTCATATTTCTTATCTAGCTTTCCTTTGCCCATTCTGAAATTTATGGTGCATTTATTCATTCATTTATCCATTCATCAAATGAATGCACACACCACAACACACACAACACCTACTATTATGCCAAGCCGTGTTTTAGGTGCTGCAGGAGACAATGCTGGGCAGGACAGATACAGTCTCAGGAAGAAGTCAGACACGAAGAGGTAATCACTACTGTGGTAAGAGCTACAAAAAGCATGCCATGGTGAGGAGAACTGACCTGGCATTAAGGAGGAAGAGGAATTGGTCTGAGAAAGAAGAGGGTTCTTTTTTTTTGAGTCAGCATCTCACTCTGTCACCCAGGCTGGAGTGCTGTGGTGCAATCTCGCCTCACAGGACAACCTCTGCCTCCTAGGTTCAAGTGATCCTCCCACCTCAGCCTCTGGAATAGCTGGGACTGCAGGTGCACACCACCCTGCCTAGCTAATTTTTCTATTTTTTGTTGAGATGAGGTTTCATGTTGCCCAGGCTGGTCTCAAACTCCCAGGGTCAAGTGATCCGCCTGCCTTGGCCTCCCAATGTGTTGGGATTACAGGTGTGAACTACCATGCCCGGCCCAAAGAGGGTTCTTAGGAGAGAAGCCCAGCATGTAATATGGTTGACAGCGTGTGCATGCACGTGTCTGTGAAGGGGGCGCAGCACGGTTGGGGCAATATGGGGCAGGAAGAGTGGACAGGTAGGCTGGCACCAGGTCATAAAAGGCCTTGAAAGAGGTGGGAGGATTTTAGGCCTTCTCTTGAGGCTAAGGAGTGTCTGTTGGAGTTTTTTTCTTTTTCTTTTTCTTTCTCTTTCTTTTCTTTTCTTTTTTTTTTTTTTTTGAGACAGAGTCTTGCTCTGTCGCCCAGGCTGGAGTGCAGTGGTGCGATCTCAGCTCACTGCAACCCCACCTTCTGGGTTCACACCATTCTCCTGCCTCAGCCTCCTGAGTAGCTGGGACCACAGGTGCCCGCTACCATGCCCGGCTAATATTTTGTGTTTTTAGTAGAGACAGGGTTTCACCGTGTCAGCCAGGATGGTCTCGATCTCCTGACCTCGTGATCCGCCTGCCTCAGCCTCCCAAAGTGCTGGGATTACAGGCGTGAGCCACCGCGCCCAGCCTGTGGAGTTTTAAGAAGAACCTGGGCCAGGCGCTGTGGCTCACGCTTGTAATTCCATCACTTTGGGAGGCTGAGGCAGGTGGATCACCTGAGGTCAGGAGTTCGAGACCAGCCTGGCCAAAATGATAAAACCCTGTCTCTACTAAAAATACAAAAATTTGCTGGGCATGGTAGTGCTTGACTGTAATCCCAGCTACTCGGGAAACTGAGGCAGGAGAATCACTTGAACCTGGGAAGCGGAGGTTGCAGTGAGCCAAGATTGCGCCACTGCAATCCAGCCTGGGTGACAGAATGAGACTCATCTCAAACAAAGAAAACCAAAAAGTCACTCTCAATGCAGTTTGGAGACTGGATGGGGTGAGTGAAAATGGATGCAGTAGCCCAGGGTCTGGGCAAGAGATAATAATAAACTGTTTTAGGATGGTGGCAATGGGTTGGAGAGCCATGAATAGATTCTTTTTTTTTTTTTTTTGAGATGGAGTTTCGCTTTTGTTGCCCAGGCTGGAGTGCAGTGGTGCAATCTCAGCTCACTGCAACTTCCGCCTCCCGGGTTCAAGCGATTCTTGTGCCTCAGCCTCCTGAGTAGCTGGGATTGCAGGTGAATGTCACTACGCCCGGCTAATTTTTTGTATTTTCAGTAGAAATGGGATTTCATCATGTTGGCCAGGCTGGTCTTGATCTCCTGACCTCAGATGATCCGCCCGCCTCCGCCTCCCAAAGTGCTGGGATTACAGGCGTGAGCCACTGCACCCGGCCTCAAGATATATTTTAGAGGTAGAATTGACAAGGCTTGACAACAGATTAGATGAGGAGGATGAAGGAGAGGGAGGAGTCCGGGATGACCCTCCCATTTCTGGCTTCAGCAGTTGGGCAGATGATACTGTCATTCACTAAGACTGGAAACACCTGAGGATAGACAAGTCTCAGTGAAAAGTGGTGATTCCACTTTGGGACCCACTTGAGTTTGAGATGCCCCGAGAACCTCAAGCGGACACGCTTGGCAGGCAACACAGATCGTCACCAGCAAGTAGATGGCAATAAGAGTCATTGGGTGGGGGTTGGGGATAGGGCTGAACCCTGTGGGGATCCAAGGTGAAAAGTTCTGTAGAGAAGGAAGTGTTGGGAAAGGGGCTGAGAGGAACCACAAGATTCTGGTGTTGTAAGAACGAGAGGGAGGGAGTGTGCATTAGACACTGAAGAAACACAGTAGGTGTTGGAATTACAACATGAATATGACCTTTCCTCCCTTCCGAGAACCACATACTCAAATGATGAAAATACCATGTGAAGGTATTTTCATGGTAGCTAACGCCTGTAATCCCAACACTTTGGGAGGCCGAGGCAGGTGGATCACTTCATGTCAGGAGTTCAAGACCAGCCTGACCAACATGGTGAAACTCCGTCTCTACTAAAAACACAAAAATTAGCTGGGCATAGTGGCACATGCCTGTAATCTCAGCTACTTGGGAGGCTGAAGCAGGAGAATTGCTTGAACCCAGGAGGCAGAGGTTGCAGTGAGCCAAGATTGCACCACTGCACTCCAGCCTGGACAACAGAGCAAGACTCCGTCTCAAAAAAAAAAAAAAAAAAAAAAGAAAAGAAAAGAAGAAAGAAAGTAACATTGGAGAAGCACCACACAGTTAAATCCAAGGCGCCCAAGCAGGACCTCCTTAGGAATATTCCATGTATCAATCCAGGAACTTAAAGGTCACCTTTAAATGCTCTGCCCTAGTGTTCTTTTCCAGCCATGGTTAGGAAATACTCATTCAGGCTGAGTTGCACCCTGGCTGCTGTCTCATCATGCCCATTTCATCCCAATCATCTTCGCTCCATTTGGTCATTGGTTTTGTCATTCATTTCCAAGTCTGCAGAAAAGTCAGCCAATAGTGCCTTCAGTGAACAAGCAATAATGAAATTTTTCGGTGTTCACAATTTTACTGCAGGAACCGGCTTTTTTTCATAAGCTGAAACCCTAAAAGATGTCAGGCTGGGTCTTCTAGGCAGTGGTTAATCGCGATGATCTACAAGTGGAGGAGACATTGCACTCTGTCCTTTCTACATGTAGAGAGCTTTCTACACGTTAGCTCATCAGACCCTGCCAGTAGCCCTGACCTAGCTTGACTACCAAGTGTGGTGTGGGTTGAAAGATTAGCAAGATGACTACTCAAATTGGGTTCAGGGTTGTTTTCACTTTTTTTCTTTTTCTTTTTCTTTTTCTTTTTTTTTTTTTTTTTGAGACGGAGTCTCGCTTTGTCGCCCAGGCTGGAGTGCAGTGGCGCGATCTTGGCTCACTGCAACCTCCGCCTCCCGGGTTCACGCCATTCTCCCGCCTCAGCCTCCCGAGTAGGTGGGACTACAGGCGCCCACCACCACGCCTGGCTAATTTTTTGTATTTTTTTTTAGTAGAGACGGGGTTTCACCGTGTTAGCCAGGATGGTTTCGATCTCCTGACCTCGTGATCCACCCGCCTTGGCCTCCCAAAGTGCTGGGATTACAGGCGTGAGCCACCGTGCCCGGCCTTCACTTTGCTTTTTCAATGAAGTAGATTACAAGCCGTCTGAAGGGTGCGTGCAAGATAAGATTCTTAATGAGTAGAGGTAGCTCCTTGGAGGATGCAAAGCCTGTTATATTTTTTGGCCAGTGAGGGGCCATGTCAGCATCCACGGGTTCACCTCCTGCCTACCAAAGGATTCCTTGCCTCACCCTAGGTATACCCTCCTGTGTTCTGGCTCTGTGTCTACGTTAGGGCTTCAACAGACTTTTCTCATAACCCACCACAGGCCCTATAGAGTAGAGTAGATATGATATACATTTGACGGGAGGAAACTGAAGCTAAAAGAGATGGTGCGATAACAGCTAGTAAGAATAGGCCAGGCGCGGTGGCTCACGCCTGTGATCCCAGCACTTTGGGAGGCCAAGGCAAGTGGATCACCTGAGGTCAGGAGTTCGAGACCAGCCTGGCCAACGTGGAGAAACCCTGTCTCTACTAAAAATACAAAAATTAGCTGGGCATGGTGGTGCACACCTGTAATCCCAGCTACTTGGGAGGCTGAGGTAGGAGAATCGCTTGAACCCGGGAGGCAGAGGTTGCAGTGAGCCGAGATCGCGCCACTGCACTCCAGCCTGGGCAGCAGAAGGAGACTCCATCTCAAAAAAAAAAAAAAGATGAAGAAGAAGGCCAAGAATCAAACCAAAAACTCCTGCTATTTCTATAGGGCCTTAAGGGTCATCTAGTCAAACTCTTTCATTTTATAAATGAGGAAACAGCCCCCAAAGGTAAAATGACTTGCCCAAGGACAAGCAAGAACACACACCCTGAGAGTCCCTGCCCATGGTCCCCACCTGCTATTGGCTAAGAGCTGGGCCCAGCTGGTCCCATTGGCCCACCACTGGCCCTTAACATGCAGCACCATCTTGGTGTGTTGTAATGGCTAATAGAGGAGCATTAGGTTGGGAACAGACCTGGTTTGCTATTCTGCTGATGATGCTTGGACACTGGCTGGTTGCTAAACAACCAGAGTCCCTGCAGGCACAGACAGGGCCAGTGCCCTGTGCTGAGAACATGCCAGGAATTTATTTTCTAGCCTAGTGAGTTTCCATTTTCTTCTGTATAAGGCAAATTTGTTTGGAAAGAGGCCAGTTATTTCAAGTGATGAAGAAGCCTTCTATTCCCCAAATCCCCTCTGTCTAGCAAAGAGTATAAACTTAGAAATACTGTGGGGCTCTGGGCTGCCAAAATGGCTGAACCATGGTTACCATGGGATGGCCACATTTACAGTAGGTGAAGTGTGAGAGGTTGACTTCATCCTGCCAGTGTATACTATATTTTTTTGTATGGCCCTAAATCTTTTTCCAGCAATATCAGTGATTTTTTTCTTTGTTTTTTATTACTCATTCTTTTTTTCTGAATCATAGATGATTTTTTAAAATTTAAATATGCTATCGAAAAGGCTTGCCATCTTACAGGGGCCAATTCCTCCCACCCTATTCTCTGTCCCCCACTGATTCTCTGTATTTTAGGTTATCAGGCACTGGGAAAATAGAATTCTCCTAGTAGAGAATTATTTTTCTGCATATTTATCTAGAATGAGCTTACATCATTAAGTGAGGACTTCCTATGTGTATGCCTATGACTTAAACATCATTTCGTTTTGAATGTAGTGTATCATTCCGGTATTTTAAAATCAGAGCTTTTGCTACCTCCACAGCTGGGGGACGGGCAGAGGGACTTTCATGGTGTTCCGGGCCATGGAGGTGGCTGGGTGCAGTGGGCACTGTCTGTGGCCTTTGGGGTAAAAGGGGTGGCAACTTGGTTTCTACATATCTTTCTAAAAAAGAGTGAGAGTTTTGAGCATTTTAAAAAACTTCTTTTAGCTACAGAATCTTTTCTTTAAATGAAACTTTTTGAAGCCCAAATATGTAAAATAGATAAAAGGTGGAGGTCAAGGTGCAAAAGAAGGCAGCAGAGAGCTCATCTGTTTCTTCTTTCTGCCCACCCTGTGTCCTCTCCAGCCCCCAGGCCCTGCTCACACCCATCCAGGCCAGCTCTGGACACCCTCAGGTTGGCTGGTTTCAAAGTCCTCTTTGAGTTTAGTGATTTTCAGAAAAGAATTCATACTCGCCTTAGAATATTTCAAAAGGAAAGCTCACCTTTCTTTGTTACCCATTCAGTTACTTTGAAAAAAAAACTGAGGACAGAGATTGCTTCCATATTAGGTCAATAGGGACTTAAAAAATATATACATACACACATACATATGTATGTGATATGTGATTATTACTGGTGATTTGCTAAATAATGACAAATGGAAAAAAATATATGTCATCCAAAGAGAGCCACTGTTAATTTTCAAAATGTAAATGTGATTGAAGTCTAACAAACATACAGAAAAGTTCCCACATCATGTGTACAGCGCCATGAAGTGTACACACCCATGTCATTATAATGAGATGCACGTGGCAAGTCAAGATGCCAAGACACCAGGTTGCAGCAGAGAAAGAGGTTTAATCAGAGGGTCACCAAAGGAGGAGATGGGAGGAAACCTCTGTAGGGTCCAGCCGTACGGAGCTTAGCGGGTGTTCTCCCCGTGTGTGGAGACGAGAGATTGTAATAAATAAAGACACAAGACAAAGAGATAAAGAGAAAGCACCTGGGCCTGCGGGACCACTACTATCAAGATGCAGAGACCGGTAGTGGCCCCGAACGTCTGGGCTCGCTGATATTTTTTGCATACAAGACGAGGAGGCAGGGTAAGGAAGGTAAATCTTCTAAGTGATTGACAAGGTGAAGCAAGTCATGTGATTACAGGATCGGGGGCCCTTCCCTTTTAGGTAGCTGAAGCAGAGAGCAGGCAGCATATGTCAGGGTTTTCTTCTCTGCACTTATAAGAAAGATCAAAGACTTTTAAGACTTTCACTATTTCTTCTACTGCTATCTACTATGAGCTTCGAAGAGGAACCAGGAGTGCGGGAGGAGCATGAAAGTGGACAAGGAGCATGACCCTTGAAGCACAGCACCACAGGGAGGGGTTTAGGCCTCTGGATGACTGCGGGCAGGCCTGGATAATATCCAGCCTTCCACAAGAAGCTGGTGGAGGACAGTGTTCCCTGACTCCTCCAAGGAAAGGAGACTCCCTTTTGCCGGTCTGCTAAGTAACAGGTGCCTTCCCAGACACTGGCGTTACCGCTTGACCAAGGAGCGCTCCAGCGGCCCTTATGCCGGCATGACAGAGGGTTCACCTCTTGCCTTCTAGGTCACTTCTCCCAATGTCCCTTCAGCACCTGACCCTATACCCGCCGGTTATTCCTAGGTTATATTAGTAATGGAACAAAGAGTAATATTAAAAGCTAATGATTAATAATGTTTATAATAATGATTGATAATTGTTCATGATCATCTCTGTATCTAATTTGTATTATGACTATTCTTATTCTATTTTCTTTATTATACTGAAACAGTTTGTGCCTTCAGTGTCTTGCCTCGGCACCTAGGTAATCCTCTGCCCACACCTCAAATCCATCTCCCCAAGGAATTTGGGGCTAGGGTTGTAAAAATGTTGGACTGGGCCAAAGTGTGGAGATGGTTGACTGGTTGCAGGGTGTAGGGTGAGGTCCTGGGACAAGGAGATGAAGAAGCTGTCTTCTCATGCCAATCCCGTTCCTCTGTGAGGGTCTTCAAACTGGTTGCCGGAATTAGGGGTCCGTAAAACATCTTAAGTGATCCTTAAACAAAAGTCTTAGGATCCTAATGTCAGAAATCCTATCTACAGAAACAACGGGGATGCAGATGGTCAGTGTCTAGGGCTACGTGACTTTTTGCAATAAGGAAATGGGCCAAAGTGCAGCCTGATTACTGCTTCATTATAACTATTAATATATTTCTGTCCAGAACCCAGCATGCAATTTTTGTCAACCCTGTGGAGATGGTTTTACAATCAACACCCAGATCAAGAACACTTAATATTTAGACAAATCTCCTGAGTCTTTTTCCTCTGCCTAGTTTCTTGTTTGTTTTTACACAGCCATGATTATTCTGTATCCTCAGCTCTGCATCCTGCCTTTCACACTTAGCACTATAACACAGGCATTCTTTCACATTAGTACAAATTCTTGTAAATCTCAGACTTTTTTTTTTTTTTTTGAGACGGAGTTTCATTCTTATTGCCCAGGCTGGAATGCAATGGTGCGATCTCAGCTCACTGCAGCCTCCGCCTCCTGGGTTCAAGCAGTTCTCCTGCCTCGGTCTCCTGAGTAGCTGGGATTACAGGCGCCTGCTACCATGCCTGGCTAATTTTTGTATTTTTTAATAGAGGTGGGGTTTCACAATGTTGGTCAGGCTGGTCTCGAACTCCTGACCTCGTTATCTGCCCGCCTAGGCCTCCCAAAGTGCTGGGATTACAGGCGTGAGCCACCGTGCCTGGCCATAAATCTCACTTTCATTAGCTGTAGTATTAGGTGGATATACCAATTTCTCTTAATCAACCTCCTATTACTCCTAATTGGTGGCACCCAAACATTACCAATTATTTGGGTGTTATTTTGCTTTTATTTAATTAATTAATTAATTTATTTATTTATTGAGACACATCACTCTGTCACCCAGGCTGGAGTGCAGTGGCACAATCTCAGCACACTGCAACCTCTGCTTCCTGGGTTCAAGCAATTCTCCTGCGTCAGCCTCCCAAGTAGCTGGGATTACAGGCATGCGCCACGACACCCGGCTAATTCTTTTTTAGTAGAGACAGGGTTTTGCCACATTGGCCAGGCTGGTCTTGAACTCCTGACCTCAAGTAATCCACCCACCTTGGCCTCCCAAAGTGCTGGGATTACAGGCATGAGCCACCACACCCGGCCTTATTTTGCTTTTATAAAAAACACTGTGTTGAACATCTTTGTGCATAAAGGGTTTTTTTTTTTTTATAGCTATGTTCTTTCTTTTCCCAGAAGTAGAATTCCTGGGTCAGAGAGTCTGAATTCTTTGAAATCCAGAGTGTAATGATTCTCTCCTCAGTCCTTTCTTACAGGAGAACTCCATTCAATGACTCAGCATAGCTCCAGTCAGCAGCCCTGCTGGGCTCTCTTCCTGTGTGGTGTCCACATGGTGAAGCCCTAAATAATATTCTGCAGATTGTTTATTTCATTTGGATACCAAGCTAAAAGCCAGTGGCAGATTTGGAGCCAACTATTAATTATTTATCATAACAAGGACAGGAATAACCTGTCGATATAAAAAGAAACCCAAGGAAAATCCCCAAATCTTGTTTTTGACATTGGTTTCCCCTCCTCTTTCCCAGCCCTTCCTGGAGTAACTGATCTTCCATGGAATTGAGGGAGGCCACCTTGTTCCCACTTTGGGGTTAGGAGGCATGTCAGTCACAAAGTGGGAAGCAAGAGGGAGGGGCTGAGGCTTGGGGCACTGGCCACCCTGGCACAGTTGAAGGGCCCCTTTAGGAAGGGGACGTGACTGTGCTTTTGAAGATCCATGTCACCATTTCATCTTTCTTTGAGCTGTCAAGTGACTTTTCTCAGTTACTGAGCCCTGGCTTTGGGCCCAGAGTGGAGCACTGTGAACCAAGCTGTGATCAGAAAGATGTCTATCTCCTTCCTGTGTAGCATTGACTTTCCTGTCAGATGAGTCAAATTGTGCCCAGTGGTGCCGACAGTTGAGTCTGTGGGAACTCACCAGCATGGTGGGAGTGGACCGAGAGGCGTAGGGAGAACTGGGGAGGTCAGCAACATTAGGAGCAAGAGGAACAGGAAGGCAGTTGAGGGAGCAGTGGGACCCTTTTCCTGCTATTACATGGCGGTTGCAAATTATCTGCCTCCTGCCAGCCTTACTTTGACCGAGAGGCCCATTTTCTTTCCCTACTAAAAGAATGCTTTCTTTTTTTATTTTCTTTCCTTTTCTTTTTTTTTATTTTTGAGACAGAGTTTCACTCTTGTTGCCCAGGCTGAAGTGCAATGGCACGATCTCAGCTCACTGCAACCTCTGCCTCCCGTGTTCAAGCGATTCTCCTGCCTCAGCCTCCCAAGTATCTGGGATTACAGGTGCCTGCCACTACGCCTGGCTAATTTTTGTATTTTTAGTAGAGACGGGGTTTCACCACGTTGGCCAGGCTGGTCTTGAACTCCTGACCTCAGGTGATCCGCCCGCCTCGGCCTCCCAATGTGTGGGGATTACAGGCGTGAGCCACTGCGCCCAGCCTATTTTTCTTTTTTTTAAGTAAATGGATTTGGGACTGATGATGTGTACCTAATGAACAGCCTCTGCAATGGGACAATTAAGGGACTGTTAAGTGACTTTTTGGTGCCTCAGTTTCTTCACTTGTAAATTGGACCAACAATACACATCTATTTCCTTGGGAGTGTTTTGGAAACTCACCAACTCTTCAGAGTATGGTGAACTCCCTGGTGATAAAAACAGTCGGGTCGGGTGTGCCGGCTCATACCTGTAATCCCAGCACTTTGGGAGGCCGAGGCGGGCGGATTGCTCGAGCCCAGGAATTCAAGACCAGCCTGAGCAACATGGCAAAACCCTGTCTCTATGAGAAATACAAAAATCAGTCGGATGTAGTGGCACACACCTGTAGCCCCAGCTACTCAGGAGGCTGAGGTGGAAGAATCACCTGAGCCCAAGGAGGTTGAGGCTGCTGTGAGCTGAGATCACGCCATAGCACTCCAGCCTGGGTAACAGAGCAAGATCCTGTCTCAAAACAAACAAATGAACAAAAAACAAAAAGACAGCTGATAGTTATTGCTCCTTTGAGCCGAAACCTGGGCGCGCCAGGCCACCAGGGCAGCCAGCTGTTGGTGTTTTCCACTGTGGGCTTGTCACAGGGGGAGCTAAAAATCTGTGTGGTTTGTCTTTGTGTGTTTGTGTGAAGGTTCAAGAAGACGTGGAAGCTGCGGGCTCTGAAGGAAGGCAAGACAAGCATGCATCCGCCGTACTCTTTGGGGCAGCTGGTCCCGGAGAGGCCTCGACCCACCCCAGTGCTTGTTCCTCTCATCTCCCCACCGGTGTCCCCCAGCAGCCTGGGGTCTGACAATACCTCGAGCCACAACCGACCAGATGCCAGGGACCCACGGAGCCCTTATGACATCAGCAATACAGACTACTTCTTCCCCAGATAGCTGGCTGGGTGGCACCAGCAGCCTGGACCCTGTGGATGATAAAACACAAACGGGCTCAGCAAAAGATGCTTCTCACTGCCATGCCAGCTTATCTCAGGGGTGTGCGGCCTTTGGCTTCACGGAAGAGCCTTGCGGAAGGTTCTACGCCAGGGGAAAATCAGCCTGCTCCAGCTGTTCAGCTGGTTGAGGTTTCAAACCTCCCTTTCCAAATGCCCAGCTTAAAGGGGCTAGAGTGAACTTGGGCCACTGTGAAGAGAACCATATCAAGACTCTTTGGACACTCACACGGACACTCAAAAGCTGGGCAGGTTGGTGGGGGCCTCGGTGTGGAGAAGCGGCTGGCAGCCCACCCCTCAACACCTCTGCACAAGCTGCACCCTCAGGCAGGTGGGATGGATTTCCAGCCAAAGCCTCCTCCAGCCGCCATGCTCCTGGCCCACTGCATCGTTTCATCTTCCAACTCAAACTCTTAAAACCCAAGTGCCTTAGCAAATTCTGTTTTTCTAGGCCTGGGGACGGCTTTTACTTAAACCGCCAAGGCTGGGGGAAGAAGCTCTCTCCTCCCTTTCTTCCCTACAGTTGAAAAACAGCTGAGGGTGAGTGGGTGAATAATACAGTATCTCAGGGCCTGGTCGTTTTCAACAGAATTATAATTAGTTCCTCATTAGCATTTTGCTAAATGTGAATGATGATCCTAGGCATTTGCTGAATACAGAGGCAACTGCATTGGCTTTGGGTTGCAGGACCTCAGGTGAGAAGCAGAGGAAGGAGAGGAGAGGGGCACAGGGTCTCTACCATCCCCTGTAGAGTGGGAGCTGAGTGGGGGATCACAGCCTCTGAAAACCAATGTTCTCTCTTCTCCACCTCCCACAAAGGAGAGCTAGCAGCAGGGAGGGCTTCTGCCATTTCTGAGATCAAAACGGTTTTACTGCAGCTTTGTTTGTTGTCAGCTGAACCTGGGTAACTAGGGAAGATAATATTAAGGAAGACAATGTGAAAAGAAAAATGAGCCTGGCAAGAATGTGTTTAAACTTGGTTTTTAAAAAACTGCTGACTGTTTTCTCTTGAGAGGGTGGAATATCCAATATTCGCTGTGTCAGCATAGAAGTAACTTACTTAGGTGTGGGGGAAGCACCATAACTTTGTTTAGCCCAAAACCAAGTCAAGTGAAAAAGGAGGAAGAGAAAAAATATTTTCCTGCCAGGCATGGTGGCCCACGCACTTCGGGAGGTCGAGGCAGGAGGATCACTTGAGTCCAGAAGTTTGAGATCAGCCTGGGCAATGTGATAAAACCCCATCTCTACAAAAAGCATAAAAATTAGCCAAGTGTGGTAGAGTGTGCCTGAAGTCCCAGATACTTGGGGGGCTGAGGTGGGAGGATCTCTTGAGCCTGGGAGGTCAAGGCTGCAGTGAGCCGAGATTGCACCACTGCACTCCAGCCTGGGTGACAGAGCAAGTGAGACCCTGTCTCAAAAAAAGAAAAAGAAAAAGAAAAAATATTTTCCCTATTAGAGAAGAGATTGTGGTTTCATTCTGTATTTTGTTTTTGTCTTAAAAAGTGGAAAAATAGCCTGCCTCTTCTCTACTCTAGGGAAAAACCAGCGTGTGACTACTCCCCCAGGTGGTTATGGAGAGGGTGTCCGGTCCCTGTCCCAGTGCCGAGAAGGAAGCCTCCCACGACTGCCCGGCAGGGTCCTAGAAATTCCCCACCCTGAAAGCCCTGAGCTTTCTGCTATCAAAGAGGTTTTAAAAAAATCCCATTTAAAAAAAATCCCTTACCTCGGTGCCTTCCTCTTTTTATTTAGTTCCTTGAGTTGATTCAGCTCTGCAAGAATTGAAGCAGGACTAAATGTCTAGTTGTAACACCATGATTAACCACTTCAGCTGACTTTTCTGTCCGAGCTTTGAAAATTCAGTGGTGTTAGTGGTTACCCAGTTAGCTCTCAAGTTATCAGGGTATTCCAGAGTGGGGATATGATTTAAATCAGCCGTGTAACCATGGACCCAATATTTACCAGACCACAAAACTTTTCTAATACTCTACCCTCTTAGAAAAACCACCACCATCACCAGACAGGTGCGAAAGGATGAAAGTGACCATGTTTTGTTTACGGTTTTCCAGGTTTAAGCTGTTACTGTCTTCAGTAAGCCGTGATTTTCATTGCTGGGCTTGTCTGTAGATTTTAGACCCTATTGCTGCTTGAGGCAACTCATCTTAGGTTGGCAAAAAGGCAGGATGGCCGGGCGCGGTGGCTCACGCCTGTAATCCTAGCACTTTGGGAGGCCAAGGTGGGAGGATTGCTTGAGCTCAGGAGTTTGAGACCAACCTGGGTAACATAGTGAGACACCATCTCTATTATGAACAATAACAGTTAAGAAAAAAAAAGGCAGGCAGGCGGTTATGGTGGTTCCCTCCCATCCCACCACATAAAGTTTCTGAGACTTGAGAACAGCAAAATGCTGTTAAAGGGAAATATTAAGAATGAGAATCTGCAGTAAGGGTGATTCTGTGCCCACAGTTCTTCAATTCTTTATACCGTTTTACCCACATGTGGTGTTACCAAAGCCGGGCAGAACCATGCTAGCGGAAGATGTGAAATCCAGATAGCTCATTATTGCCAAGAGCTAGGCAGCTTTGATCTCCAAATTGTTATTGCTTTCATTTTTATTGTAATGGAATTGCTTTGTTTTGTTTTTTTGTTTTTGTATTGAAGAGGGTTGTTTTCCCTTTATTTTTCATAAGCTAATGTAAATGAAGAAAAAATGTCTTCTCTGGGCTGTAGGCCTGGCTCAGCGTACACAGGTATACATCCTAAGCTCTCTATGTTCTCTAATCTGTGGTGACTGAACATGTGTCTCAATGCACGGGGCATTTCTACCTGTGTTTCTGCAGCACCCCCACTGCCTTGAGTCCCCAGCAGTGCTGTTATTTGCCTAACACCTGTAGCCATCTGCCACGCAGCCAGACGTGAAACGCTGAGACAGAGACCATTTAGGTTAAATACGACAGCTTATCCTGCTGGGTGGGGAAAGTAAAAAATATGCTGGTTCAAGGCCTAAAGTAAAATGATCAATAATGTTTGTAGCATTAATGAAATATTTTCAAGAAATGTGTCCAGGGGTAGCACTGGCTATGTTGACGAGGCCTTTGGTAACTCAGAGAGCTCTTGGCCCTGATGGGGACTTGCCCTTACGCTTTCTTTATCAGGCTCTGAGTTCACACGGAGCCTCTGGCACTTCCCTGCTGTCTTGGGAGAAAGGAAACTGGTTGCCGCGGCAGGTTGTGGAATCTGTTGCTGGAACCAGGCTGGAAGCCCACCTGGTAGTGAACAGGGCCCAGTGGGGCAGGCTGGGCATGTTGTGGTCTATGGGTTTGTTTCCTGGAGAATGTTCAGGAATGTCTTCCCAGCTGCTTTGGTGCTGAGCTCTATTATCTCACAGCACGTCCAGAAGGCTAACCCAGGTGGGGAGGATGCTGACACCAGCTCCAGGTGGAGTTGGTGGTCTTAATTTGGAGATGCAGGGGCAACCTGTGACCCTTTGAGGCAAGAGCCCTGCACCCAGCTGTCCCGTGCAGCCGTGGGCAGGGGCTGCACACGGAGGGGCAGGCGGGCCAGTTCAGGGTCCGTGCCAGGCCCTCCTCAGTGCCCTGTGAAGGCCTCCTGTCCTCCGTGCGGCTGGGCACCAGCACCAGGGAGTTTCTATGGCAACCTTAGTGATTATTAAGGAACACTGTCAGTTTTATGAACATATGCTCAAATGAAATTCTACTTTAGGAGGAAAGGATTGGAACAGCATGTCACAAGGCTGTTAATTAACAGAGAGACCTTATTGGATGGAGATCACATCTGTTAAATAGAATACCTCAACTCTACGTTGTTTTCTTGGAGATAAATAATAGTTTCAAGTTTTTGTTTGTTTGTTTTACCTAATTACCTGAAAGCAAATACCAAAGGCTGATGTCTGTATATGGGGCAAAGGGTCAGTATATTTTTCAGTGTTTTTTTTTCTACCAGCTATTTTGCATTTAAAGTGAACATTGTGTTTGGAATAAATACTCTTAAAAAATACCCTTGAAATGTAATTATTGCTTTGGGCATCTGGGTCATCTAAAAAAAAAAGGCTTGCCTGATTCATGAGGAGAAAGGAGTGAGGAAGGGGGGATAATTAAGTAGAACCATTTTTGGGGGGGTATCCCCTTAATGCAGGATTAAAGGACCGCTCAAAAGTAGGTAAGTTCAAGGAAGAAGCAGCAATTTCTCAGAAGGCTTTAATTATGACAGTATTTCCCACACGAGTCCTGGGATTTCTGGAAGGGGTGTGTGGGATTTTGCCACGCTTACATCACATTACCAGGTGGTGGACAGGTGGGGAAGGAAAAGGAAGGGCCATTATTTGTCAGAAGACTGTTTATTGGACCTGGGAGGGGGTGTAACACTATCACAAAGGCCACCCTGAACTCTTGATCATCAGATAGACCAAATCCATCCCCTACTGAAAAGGATCTTAGGTAGGAAAAACTTGGGACACAGCCATCCACATCTTCCAAACAGAGGAAAAGCCATCATGCGGACTCTTTGTGGGTGAGAGCTACTGTGTAAACAGTTCAGGGATGGGGAGGCGAGAACTGCAGGGAAGCCTGGAAATTATGTAACTCCACTCAAAGCTGGACTGAGAGGCGCCGCCTCTGGGCCCCCACCTGGGCAGTCAGAGGAAAGCCACAGGACAGGTGATGGTGGCCGCCATCTCCTTCAGGACACCATGCTCTCCTCTTTGAGGCTGGTCCTTGTCTTGCAGAAAGTGACACAGGGACCAGATGTCACCCAGGTGGCCAGGCTGCGTGGGCCATGGAGGGGGCACGGGAGTGGGCACTGGAGCCAGGACGTGGAGGGAGCTGCCTCCCTTTCTTCATGGCATTGCTGTTAGGATGACATGGTTACGGTGCTCTTTCCAGAAGAACTTAGGAGAGCAGATGGTGATTTCTGTAGAGGATGGCAAGGAATATGCAGTTACTGGAGCAGCCTTCTAAGAAAGCATTTTCCTTATTTACTGAGGCACAGGGCAACCAAACCTTTCTGAATATCTGTGAGAATTACAGGGCAGGGGCAGGAAACAGTGTTTGCCATCCTCCATCCTCCAGTAGCAGAGGTGTGCTGGCGAGGTGAAAGGCCTTTTAAGGCCAGGTGCGGTGGCTCACTCCTATAATCCTAGCACTTTGGGAGGCTGAGGTGGGTGGATCACTTGAGGTCAGGAGTTCGAGACCAGCCTGGCCAACATGGCAAAACCCCGTCTCTACTAAAAATACAAAAATTAGCTGCATGTGGTGGCGGGCACCTGTAATCCCAGCTATTCTGGAGGCTGAGGCAGGAGAATCGCTTGAACCTGGGAGACAGAGGTTGCAGTGAGATGAGATCGTGCCATTGCACTCCAGCCTGGGCAACAGAGCCAGACTCTGTCTCAAAAATAAAAAATAAAAAAAATTTGCCTGGCATGGTGGCGGTCACCTGTGATTCCAGCTACTAGGGAGGCTGAGGCAGGAGGACTGCTTGAACCCGGGAGGCGGAGGTTTCAGTGAGCTGAGATCACACCACTGCACTCCAGCCTGGGTGACAAAGAGTGAGTGAGACTCCATCTCAAAAAAAAAAAAACACAAAAAAAAAATAAAAGAAAGGTTCAAATGCAGCACTGCTGTAAGGGCTGGGGCGAGAGCTCAGAGCAACTCCTTAGGCGGAGTGGTGAGCCCGCGGGCCACAGGGTGAGGGGCCTGTTGCACCATCTTTCAAACACTACCCAATCTCTAATGTCTTTATGGAAGTTCCCATCTTCTGCAGGTGTATGTCACTTAAAAAACAAAACAGGCCAGGCGCAGTGGCTCATTCCTGTAATCCCAGCACTTTGAGATGCTGAGGTGGGAGGATTGCTCGAGGCCATAAGTTCAAGACCAGCCTGGTGCACATAGCATGACCCTATCTCTAAATAAGAAAAAATAAAAATGAGAAAAGAGGAAGAAGTACATTTCCCTATATCTACAAAAAAGAAAAAAAATTAACCAGGTGTGGTGGCACCTGCCTGTAGTCCCAGCTACTCAAGAGGGTGAGGCGGGAGGATTGCTTGAGCCCAGAGTTCAAGGTTATAGTGAGCCATAATTGTGCTACTGCGCTCCACCCTGGGTGACAGCAAGACCTTGTCTCAAAAAAGAAAGAAACAAGCAAACAAAACACCACTAGTTCAGCCATGTCCTACTTCATACCCAGTTTTTGATGACAATCCACAACTTGAATAAAGTTAAGTTTTTCAGTACTCTCTCTCTCTCTCTCTCTCTCTCTGTGTGTGTGTGTAAGCATTCACACTATAGGTGTATGCATTATTAAATTAAGGGTGTTCTTTCTTCTAACTTCAAATTGCTTAATAAAGCTGCCCAATGTCCTGAAAAAAAATAGCTCACTGCATCATGGGAAGCTGCATTTTGATATGTCAGTATGATTTTTTAAAGAATGAAATGTATCAAGAAGCCAGGTACAGTGGCTCACGCCTGTAATCCCAGCACTTTGGGAGGCCAAGGCGGGTGGATCACTTGAGGTCAGGAGTTCAAGACCAGCCTGGCCAACATGGTGAAACCCCATCTCTACTCAAAATACAAAAATTAGCTGGGCATGGTGGTGGGCGCCTGTAGTCCCAGCTACTCAGGAGGCTGAGGCATGAGAATCGCTTGAACCTGGGAGGTAGAGGTTGCAATGAGCACTCTGTCTCAAAAAAAAAAAAATTATCAGAAGAGCAACTTTATTCTATTTTGGTTTTTAAATTAGTGTGCTGCTCTATAAGAGTTTTTAAATGATGGAGAGAGGTACGGCATGGTAGAGTCTGTTACCAGAGATAGATGAAGAGAGAAGTAAAAAGCAGAGGAAGCCAGCACCTGCACGCACCACTCACGCAGGCAGCGTGTTTTCCTGCAGAACATAAATGCACCTCAGCATGTAATGCGGCCAGCTTGTTAGAACCCCATTCCTGGCTTCACCCTCAGGGATTCCAGTTCAATAGGTCTGAGCTGGGCCCCTAGAAAGCTATATAAGCTGCCCAGATGGTTCTGATGAAGGTGGTGATCCATCCTGAGAGTGGCTGGACCGTGAGTTCCACAATGAGGTGGATGCTGGGGGTTCCTCATACTTCCGGACCTGGTGGGCTTCAGTGGATCCCTTCTGTGGGTGGGCCTGTGCATCAGAAGGAGGCCAGGTGCCAACCTTTGACCCGGGCAATCACAGTAGCATGAGTGTAAGTTACACAGGTGATGCTGCTGTACAGCCAGCTTTGAAGATCTCTGTGCTGGGGACCGCAGGGCTAGAGGTAAGATTCACAGCAACATGTTTCAGTGGGTGTTAACTAGAAAACAAAAATCTATGGCAGCAAAGCAGTACACCAACTGGCCTTACTGGTTACCTAGAAGTTCACAGGCCCTTTGTGGTAGAGATATCTACTAAAATTACCTAATAATAATGGCTACTGGCTGGGCGCAGTGGCTCACACCTGTAATTCCAGCATTTTGGGAGGCCAAGGCAGGGGGATGGCTTGAGGCCAGGAGTTCAAGACGAGCCTGGACAACATAGTGAGACCCATCTCTACAAAATAATTTTTTTTTTTGAGATGGAGTTTTGCTGTTGTTGCCAAGGCTGGAGTGCAATGGCACAATCTCGGCTCACCACAACCTCTGCCTCCCGGGTTCAAGCGATTCTCCTGCCTCAGCCTCCCGAGTAGCTGGGATTACAGGCATGTGCCACCATGCTCGGCTAATTTTTTGTATTTTTAGTAGAGACGGGGTTTCTCCGTGTTGGTCAGGCTGGTCTCAAACTCCCAACCTTAGGTGATCCGCCTGTCTCAGCCTCCCAAAGTGCTGGGATTACAGGTGTGAGCCACTGAGCCCAGCTCTACAAAATAATTTTTAAAAAACCAATTAACCGAGCATGGTGGTGCATGCCTGTAGTCCCAGCTACCTGGGAGGCTGAAGCAGGAGAATCCCTTTAGCCCAGGAGTTGGAGGCTGCAGTGAGCCGTGATAGTACCACTGTACTCCAGCCCGGGCAACAGGTTGAGACGCTGTGTGTTGGGGGGACAGGGGTCGAAGGGGAAGAAAGAAAAAAAAGAATGGCAGCTGGGCGCTGTGGCTCATGCTTGTAATCCCGGCACTTTGGGAGGCTGAAGTGGATGGATTGCTTGAGCCCAGGAGTTCGAGACCAGTCTGGCCAACATGGCAAAACCCTGTCTCTACTAAAAATACAAAAAACTAGCTGGGCATGCTGGCACATGCCTGTAGTCGTAGCTCCTCGGGAGGCTGAGGTGGGAGGATCACCTGAGCCTGGGAGTGTGAGGCTGCAGTGGGCTGTGATCACACCACTGCCTTCCAACCTGGGTGACGAGTGAGACCCTGCCTCAAAAAATAAAAAAAAAAAAAGTAAATAACGGCTACCATTTACTGCCTCTCCACCATGTGCTTTATAAACAGGATATTCTTCCTTAATGTGGCTGCCATGTAAGTATTCTCACCTGTTTACAGATGAGGCAACTGAGGCTTATATTGAAGATGGTGGTCCAAGATGCCCACGCTAGTTAAGAGGCTGAACTAGACTCCAAACCTGGGCCTGCTGGACTGGAAGGCTGGTGCTCTTTGCTTTTGCCATGGGGCTCCGGCCCCCAGCCACTGGTGACTACCTCATGGGCTTCTCTTACCAAGCCCTTTCTCAGGCCAGGTGCCCTCACCCTGTGTGGGGTGGGGCCTGACCCACTCACCCCGGGAGGAGATGGACCTGGTATCCTCATGTGGTTTGTCACGTTTATCAGTGTGAGCTGGGGCTGGAGGCTGACCCATGGGAGTCTGAGCGCACATACAAAGGCATGGCTTGGGGGCTCCCATAGGTGATCCTAAGGCAGTGGCAGCCAGAGATGGGTCTCAAAGGAGAGGGGCAAAACTAGTTCCTGACATAGTTAACTCTCTCTGATCAGGGACCAAATCAAGCCACTTCCCCTCCATCTATACCTAGCCACACCTCTGCACTGCATGAATGGTTTGGTTTTTTCCTGTTGGTTCCTTGGTATAAACTTTGATGAACTTCCTGAAAATTCTCAAATTGTGCTTTATTTATTTATTTATTATTTTTTAGACAGAGTCTTGCTCTGTTGCCCAGGCTGGAGTGCAGTGGTGCCATCTTGGCTCACCACAACTGCCTCCCAGGTTCAAGCGATTCTCCTGCCTCAGCCTCCTGAGTAGCTGGGATCACAGGCACACACCACCATGCCTGGATAATTTTTGTATTTTTAGTAGAGATGGGGTTTTGCTATGTTGGCCAGGCTGGTCTTGAACTCCTGACCTCAAGTGATCTGCCCACCTCGGCCTCCCAAAGTGCTATTACAGGCGTGAGCCACCACGCCCAGCCAAATTGTGTTTTACTGATGGTATGGAAGCCTTATTACATCCACTCCCTCTGAAAGGATGAACGGTCACCACTCTGTGAGTGGAGCTGCTCTCTGGGTGCAAGAATTCATTCAAGGAATGTTTACTAGGCCACTGTGCTGGGTGTGGGGTACAAGAGGAACCAATGTCCTCCTCCAGGAGTTGGCAGTATGCCTGGTCAGCCACACAATTAACAAGCAAATGCTGTGTCTGGGAGCAAATGACTAATCTGGTCTAGGGAGTGAGGGAGCAGAGTAGGAGGGTCTGGGGAGTGGGAGGCCTGCCGGGGGTACAGGGGAGGGCTGAGGGCAGGGGCCAGGTGGGAGGGAGGCCGCCTTGGATGTCTACTATGTTGAGCACCTCTGCAATGTTCTTTTTTCTTTTTTTGACAGAATTTCACTCTTTTTGCCCAGGCTGGAGTGCAACGGCGTGATCTTGGCTCACCGCAACCTCCGCCTCCCAGGTTCAAGCGATTCTCCTGCCTCAGCCTCCTGAGTAGCTGGGATTACAGGCATGCGCCACCATGCCTGGCTAATTTTGTATTTTTTAGTAGAGACAGGGTTTCCCCATGTCGGCCAGGCTGGTCCTGAACTCCCGACCTCAGGTGATCCACCTGCCTCGGCCTCCCGAAGTGCTGGGATTACAGGTGTGAGCCACCATGCCCAGCCAAACCTCTGCAATGTTCTAAGTGCATTTAGGAAGTCACTGAAGACCGGATTTGCTCTTTTTTCTTGTGTACATATTTAATTTTTTTAAATGAGCATTGCTTTTAGAATTAAAGATAGCTTTATTAAACAATTATAACCCTTCTATTTTGGAATAGTCCAATCATATTATACTGCCTATGAAAAATTGTTTATTAAAATGTACAAGAAGTAGGTGGGGATCACAGACAAAACAAAATTGGCTGTAAGACAGTAATTGTTGATGCTGGGTGATGGGACAGGGTGGTTCATTGTATTCATTTCTTTTTTTGAGACAGTGTCTCACTCTGTTGCCCAGGCTGGAGTGTAGTGGCACAATCTCAGCTAACTGCAACCTCCACCTCCCGGTTGGAGGTGGATCGCTCCTGACCTCAAGTGATCTGCCTGCGTTGGCCTCCCAAAGTGCTGGGATTACAGGCATGAGCCACTGTGCCCAGCCCATTGTATTAGTTTCTAAAAAAGCTTGAGATTCTCCATTTTAAAACGTGCAAGGGTTTTAGAAAGAATGTTTCTCTTGCAAGTACACCATCTGAAGCAGTCCAGGACGGTGCAGTGGCTCACACCTACAATCCTTGTACTTTGGGAGGCTGAGTCAGGATGATTGCTTCAGCCCAGGAGTTCGAGATCAGCCTAAGCAATATAGTGAGACCTTGTCGCTACAAAAATTCAAAACATTAGCCAGGTATGGTGGCGCACACCTGTGGTCCCAGCCACTTGGGAAGTTGAGGTGGGAGAATTGCTTGAGCCCAGAAGGTCAAGGTTGTGGTGAGCCATGATAACACCATCGCACTCCTGCCTGGGAAACAGAGAAGACCCTGTCTCAAAAATAAAGTAAAATCAGGCCGAGCACGGTGGTTCATGCCTGTAATCCCAGCACTTTGGGAGGTCGAGGCAGGCAGATCACAAGGTCAGGCGTTTGAGATCAGCCTGGCCAACATAGTGAAACCCCGTCTCTACTAAAAATACAAAAATTAGCCAGGTGTGGTGGTGGGCACCTATAATCCCAGCTACTCAGGAGGCTGAGGCTTGGACCCGGGAAGCAGAGGTTGCAGTGAGCCACGATTGCATCACTGCACTCCAGCCTAGGCGACAGAGTGAGACTCTGTCTCAAAAAAAAAGTAAAGCAATCCAAAATAATCCATACCGTCTCAGAAAAAAAAAAAAGTAGAATAAAGCAATCTGAAATAATCCACACCTTTTTTATCTTTTAAGTAAAATATGTTTCTTGCCAACAACATGCTGGTTGATAGCTTGATCAACAAATTGGCTTTTATGTGCTCATCAAGTAATAATTTATCTTTCCCTCAATCCAAATTAGTAAACCTGTTTATTTATGCACATAAATTAGAAGGCAATCATTTAAAAATGTCATGTAGAAAGTATTTTAAATTTGAATCAAGACATTACAGTGATTCATACTACATGATTCACAAAGGGGAAGTAATTCTGGTGCTACCTGTGGATTCTGGAAATGATAACCTCATGCCTCACACTGAATCTCCTCAAGGTATGTTTATCAGAGCTTAAATGACCTTCAGGACTTCACACTACCCAGTTCTACAGGCAGAGCCTCTCCCAAGCAGGGGAAAGGCTGCCTAGGCCCATGGACACAACTTGCCAGACCCAGCAGAGGATTGTCCTGGAGGTGGAGATGGATACCGAAAACCCAATTCCTTTTTCCCTTGCTCTGAGTCCATGTGCCCCTCTATGGGTAGAGAGCACATTGATCACACAGGTGACCTGAATGTCCAGTCTGCTAGATGCATTTCCATTGTAAGATAATAGACTGGCATTTTTGTGTGTGTGGTAAGAAATGCATTAACATAAAATTTACCATCTTAACCACCTATTTTAATTTTTTTTATAAGAGATGGGGTTTCACCACGTTGCCCGGGCTGGTCTCGAACTCCTTCGCTCAAGTGATCCGCCTACTTTGGCCTCCCAAAGCCCTGGGATTACAGGCATAAGCCACTACACTTGGCCTATGTTAACCATTTCTAAGTGTGCAGTTCAGCAGTGTTAACTACATTCATATTGTTGTGCACCCAATCTCCAGGACTTTTCATTATCTCATGCAGAAACTCTGGGCTGGGAATGGTGGGTCATGCCTATAATCTCAGCACTTTGGGAGGCCAAGGCTGGTGGATCACATGAGGTCAGGAGTTTGAGACCAGCCTGGCCAACATGGTGAAACCCCGTTTCTACTAACAATACAAAAATTAGCTGGGTGTTGTGGCGCATGCCTGTAGTCCCAGCTACTTGGGAGGCTGAGGCAGGAGAATTGCTGGAACCTGGGAGGTGGAGGTTGCAGTGAGTTGAGATTGCACCACTGCACTCCAGCCTGGGCGACAGAGCAAGACACTGTCTCAAAAAAAAAAAAAAAAAAAGAAAGAAAAGAAAAGAAAACTCTGCACTCATTAAACAACTCCCCATTTCCTCCTTCCCCAGCCCCTGGCAACTACCATTCTACTTTCTATGAATTTGACTACTCTGGGTACCTCATGTAAGTGGAATCATACAGTATTTGTCTTTTTGTGACTGACGGGTTTCACTCAGCGTAATGGTCTGTGTCAGGATTCCCTTCCTTGTTGAGGCTGAATGATACTCTGCTGTATTGCCAGCGTCAGTTATGGGAGTAGCAAGATAATGAAGCACACCCTGCCCAGTGGCTTCCAGAAGTTCCTGGTCTACAAGGTCAAGGAGCCGGAATGAAGCGCTGCTGATGTGCAACAAATTATACTGAGCTGAGATTGCTCACAATGTTTCCTCCAGAACCACAAGGCCACTGTGGAGCGAGCAGCCCCGTGGGCCATCAGTCACCACTCCCAAGGCCAGGCTGTGCAGCGAAGAAAATGAACAGACAACTCAGTCTATGTTTTGTTTTTAAATGAAATCATAAAAAGTGCAAAAAAAAAAAAAAAAAAAACACTCTAGAGTGAGACCTGGGCCGCAATCTGGGCTCTACCACTTACTATGACTGACCCAAGACAAGTTATTTCATCATTCTAAGCACCCGTGTTTTTATCTGAAAAACAAGGTTCCCACCTGGCTGAGTTGTGGCAGATTAAATGAGATGCTGTATGATGAAAAGCATTTGTTCAGCAGCACACCTGGTGCGGAAAAAGAGTCTATTCTCACTACTTACATCTTGGCCTTTCACAGGGTCAGAATCCAACATTCAACACTCAAACCCTGGGTGCTTGTAAACACGTGTTCAATCTGAATTCTGAAAACCATTACTCTAATTGCTCGGGTGGTGGGTGGCGGGAGCATTTCTTAATGCAAACTTCCTCTTCTCTTAAACACAGATGGGTTAAAACAATAGGCACTTGTTCCACCTGGTGGCAACTTACATAAATGTTTAATGGAAGTTAAAAACTTGAAACCATGTTAGGAATTTTGGAGGGGAAAACTTTTTGATAGCAGACTCAACAGTATGCCCTTCTAGGACCTGACGTGAATTTATTTGTGCATTTCCAAATAGGAGCTTCCAACAGGGCTTCTCCACCATTGGCTGTGTATCCAAATCACCTGGTACAATTTTTTTTTAAAATAGGTTTTTGAACTTTGCAACAGACTTAGGGCATCCCACAGATGGCATGGGACATTTGTATTAATAACAAACTGATAAAAACAGAAGCAGAGCCCAAATCTTCTATCTAGTGAGGGATGAGAACCAGTGCACTAACTTTCGACTCAGGAAGAGATGGGCCAGGAAATGGCAGTAAAACATCACTGTATTACTATTTTACTTGGGAAGAAAAACATAATAGAAGGACTCTAAATGTGAACAGAGTAAATAAAAGATAGAATCTGCTGGTTATGTTCCATCATGGTGTTTCTATATTTCATTAATGGTGACTGCAAATGAAACTCTGCTGTAGCTCTTACCATGGGAAGTATTTTTCTGAAGGAAGATGATTCTCAGAGCTAACTGAATTAAGCAAAACCACTGTAGTTTTCTTGGAATAATGTTTATTTAAAGTTACATTTCAGAGGAAACTATCTTCAGGAGGGCATGAAGCCTATATTGGCTACTGCAAAACAACCAGAAGTTTTATAAAATATTTCTGATTTAAATTACTAAGGCACTATAGATAGACACCTATATTACATACAATCTTCAAACATTTTTAAAAGTTGAAACTATGTATTAGTTGATATCTAAAATATTAAAGCCCCTGACAAACTGAACGGCTAAGAACTTGACAAAATGAGACGCCTGTTTCAATGATTCTGTTGCCAGCATATTAATTAAAATACAATTTGAGATTCTAAATTACACGATCCAGCCTTAGTCCAGGGACCTTGTGATGATAGTTGTATTAGACTTCAAAACACCCTTTCCGCAGGAAAGGGCATTTTTCAAGATGGCAACTGCTGTGTCATCATTTTCCCTTTTCTGGACTGTATCAGAAATCCTTCAGAAAGCCCTACCCTTAAATGCACAGCTGCTTTTCCCAACTGCAGTTTTCTCTTTTCCCATTAGATGGCAGTAACGCACCATCTCTCTTCACACAGGGTCAGCGGTGGAGGGTAAGTTGAACAGAAGGCCCACTGCACAGCAGGCCAAGTTTCTCTAGTCCACGTTAGTGGGGCACAAAAATTGGAAATGAGAATACAGAAGAGTGATTCTAACCAGGTCATAAGGCCAAACTAGTGCTAGTTATGGAAAAATAGGAGACAACTAGTGAACGAGAGATCTGTGAAGGGTTTCAGTGCAATCCTGCTGAGTGTCAAGGGGTGCGGGGAAGGGAAATGAAATCGACATCACTGCACTCCCTAAACCCTGGAAGGAGGGAGAAACAAGGGGCTAACCTTTGACTGAAAAAGGGCATCTGACAGAACAGAAACTAACCCCACTTAACCCGCAACTGAAGAATGCCTCACAGTTATTCTTCTGAATATCAAGATGCATCCAGTAACAACAGCCAATAACAGACTAGTAACAGAGTTACATAATCCAATTAACAAATTAGGACAATTTCCCACCACCTGCCTCAAAAACTCCTGGCTGCCCCTATCAGCTACCTGCCCACCTCCCCATCCTGCGGCAGAGGCTAGTACACAAATACCAATTCTGCAAAGTACGGAGACTTCCAACAGCAAAGAATAAAGGCTTTCTAAAATGCTTAAGAAAGTGCTTTGAATAACTTAAAATGACACTTCTGCCCCCAACAGAGAGTAGATATATCAATATTTACCTTTTTGTATACATATTAACACTTCTCCATTATTTTATTCCTAGCTTAAATACACACAAGGCCAGTGGTTTGCAGGCCATCCTGAGATACAACTATGGTATCAAAGTAAATAGCAAGGTCCTTTACTCTCTCTTCTTATAGGCCTGAAACTAACCAACTGAACTTGTCCAGTCATCGCAAGCAAGTATTTTTTTTAAAGAAGGTGTGATCAAGAAGAACACTGACACAGCTCTATGGATGCTAAATTCAAGGCAAATTCACTGAAAGACATTCTTCTCACCAGAGAATATCCTGGGAGATGGAATAACTCGAAGGAATGAGGACTACAGGAAAATACTTGTCTCAAGACAAAATGACAAAAAGCCAGAGCATTCAGAGCTCAGAGAACATGTCACAGAGCTTCAGATCAGCTGGCCATGGAGGTTTAACAAGGAAGCCATTAGGGACACCCTGCTGGGCCTAATTGTTTTTAGAACATATGGAACTTTGTGCCACCACACAGCTGTGAACTCCCTGGCTTTTGTCAGCTTGTGTCACAACCTCAAGAAGAAAATAGCTCACTAACGCCCCCACCTCTGACTTCCCACTAATTTACTATATTTCTTCTTATAACCTCCTGTACAACTGTAAAGCAACTGGACAATATGTAAACTCTGCCTCTCCTCTACTTTTAATTCTATAAAGAATATAGTATGACTTGTCACAGAGAAACAGTATAGAAGAAGCATAATACTGGGCATATGACAGAAGCTCAATAAATACTTAATGTATCTGGCCTGTTTTCAAGATGTTATTTCATTATACATTCATCACAGTTGCTGGGTATGGGCCAAAAATCATTTAGTGCACAAAGAAAAATTGTATAAAGCTTTTAGCATTTATTAAAATTAGAATAACTGCTGTATTCCCTTTGTAGAATAAGGTTAAGTAAAAACGTTTCATTTCTAGAATGTTAAACTAAAAATAAGTTTAACACAATGAATAATTTGTATAAAGATAATAAATATTTGTTGAATGGATGCTGAAAAAACCTTTTAAAATCTTACACTAAAGATATAGTAAATGAACCAATACACACTGAAAACATTCTATCAGTATCTGAAAAAAACATTCCTTTTGGTTTTTTGTTTGCTTGCTTGTTGAGACAGGGTCTCACTCTGTCACTCAGGCTGGAGTGCAATGGTGCGATCATGGCTCGCTGCAGCCTTGACCTGAGCAGAGGTGATCCACCTACCTCAGCCTCCCGAATAGCTGGAACCACAGGCATCCACCACCAGGCCAGGCTTTTTTTTTTTTTTTTTTTTGAGATGGAGTTTCGCTCTTGTCACCCAGGATGGAGTGCAGTGACATAATCTTGGCTCACTGCAACCTCCACCTCCTGGGCTCAAGTGATTCTCGTGCCTCAGCCTCCCAAGCAGCTGGAACTACAGGTGCCCGCCACCGTGCCCAGCTAATTTTTGTATTTTTACTACAGACAGGGTTTCACCATGTTGGCCAGGCTGGTCTCAAACTCCTGACCTCACGTGATCTGCCTGCCTCAGCCTCCCAAATTGTTGGGATTACGTGCATGAGCCACCGCACCCAGCCTACATTCTTTATTAATAAAATCATTGTGTTCCAGTGAGGAAAAGTTCCTCTTAAATTTTTAAAATCAAAGATCACACAACCTTTTGGCTGAGATCTTATCTGAATAAAGAAGCAAAAATTTACTAACCTCTAAATCTTACAGTCAAATGTAACTAGTAACTACAAAGGTATACTTTCCTAAAAAATTAACCAAATCAACATTTTGTGTGTATTTATAAGCTACAAAGGTTAACTTTTCATTGATGACAGTCAGTACATTTGCATATGGGGCAGTTTTGAGACCCAAATGACCAACCCCAGAATACAGACACATCTGCTGAATTTTAATTCTGGAGCCATTCACCATAGTACTCTTCTCACAGTATGCCATTCCCATGGTTTTTTTCACAGTAAATAAACTGGTGATATAAGCTCATGATAAATCATAAAGATCCTAATACTATGAATCTTAAGTAATGGTATTTAAGAGAAAACCTCTAGGTCTTTTCAAACACTTCTGTATAGTACAAGGCAGTCTGCTTGGTACAGAACGAGAGAATCTTTGTAGGCTTTAGAGACCCAGTTCATATAATCAGATCTTAGGGTTGCATTTTTAAAAAATTTACTACAAAGCAAATCTAATTTTAGAGACAAAAATTAAAAATTATTCCATAGCAACTAAAATGCCCAATGATGATGAAACAAAAGACATCGAAGTTCTATGTAATTAATTCAGTAAAAAAACAGTTGTGGAGCTTTGCAAATTTCCAGAATTTTAAAATTCAGAAATGAAATTTTTGTTGTACCTTTTATTCTATAATTCAGAATTCTAATAATGATGCCAATGCCTAATGATATTGGTGATTCTTAAACCTGGGGTATCTTCCTTCCTATTTATGCTTATCTCACTGATTTGCTAAAAAATGAGAAAATCCACAGAGATTGAGAGAACACACACTTTCTTGGAAAGGCTGACCAACAAAATAATCCTTAGGCCACACTCTGAAGTTGCGGATTTCCATGAACTCCAGAGCTGAATTAGGACTTCTGAGGGAGAAAGACCACCTTCTTGCCCGTCATTCACATTTTCTCCCGCTCATTCATTTCCCCAATAACGAGTCCAATATAACATCCTCTTCCAGTCTGCACCATCATGTGGAAAAGCCACGTGGATTTTTTGTTGGTTTGTTTAGAGACCAGGTATTCCAGGTAACAAGTAGGCACATTTCTAGAGAACTCTGATGCTCCTGAACTCCTGACTTAACCTTCCTGAGGGTCACACCATAAAAAGAACACCCTACCCCAGAGCTGGAGGCAACAGCTAAATCATGATTTCTTATTGTAGAACTACTTAGCAAGGAAACAAGGGACAGGCCACAAACAAAGTGTCATGGAATCACTTTAAGACCAAAGACTTGGCCGGGTGCAGTGGCTCATGCCTGTAATCCAGGCACTCGGGGAGACTGAGGTGGGTGGATCATTTGAGGTCAGGAGTTTGAGACCAGCCTGACGAAGACGGCGAAACCCCATCTCTACTAAAAATACAAAAAAAAAAATTAGCTGGGAGTGGTGGTGCGAACCTATAGTCCCACCTACTTGGGAGGCTGATGGGGAAGAACTGCTTGAACCCAGGAGTCAGATGTTGCAGTGAGCCAAGATTGCGCCATTGCACTCCAGCCTGGGCAACACAGCGAGACTTCGTCTCAAACAAAACAAAACAAATCACTCTCTGACTTTTCAAGGAAGACTCCCATTTTCTAGCAGTTGCTAGTCCAGCCTTGTCCTCTGAGATGCTGGTTGTGCGCTGATGATGCCCTTGAAGGTGCCAGAGGCCCAGGGCTTGCAGTGGCTGAATCTTAGTGAAGCTTGCTGTGCACTGGGTAGAGTAAAGTCATGTGTTCTGCCCCTTTGAAAGGCAACTTTTCATTGGAATAATAGTGTACCACTTCAGGGATGCTGTCAAACACAGCGCTTGTCTGATTCAGTGTGTATTTGTTGTCTTTGGTCTGAGCCACTATGATGTGGACACATCCTTGACTAGTCCTGGAATGAAAATCAAGGAGGAGACATGAATGAGTGGGCAGAGGATCCCTCCCCACTGAAAACAATTGCAGCCAGATTCACACTAGGTTGATAGGTTCTCATCCATCCCGTAATGGTTCTACACACACAGAAATGCATTCCACACTCTAGTGGTACTCTCAGAAATTTCACAGTCTAAACGCATGTAATCCTTGAGTGGTTTATCCTTATCACATATGAGTCATCAGGTAGTGGAACAAAGAAAACAATTAAAAAGAATGCCAAGTCCCTTCTAGCTCTCAAATTGCAAAACCAGTGCTTACGCCCAAGCACGAGGCTACTAAGGTGAGGTAGAAACTCATCCTCGGCTGGGCACGGTGGCTCACGCCTGTATCCCAGCACTGTGGGAGGCCGAAGTGGGCGGATCACTTGAGGTCAGGAGTTCAAGACCAGCCTGGCCAACATGGTAAAACCCCATCTCTACTAAAAAATACAAAAAAATTAGCCGGGCATGGTGGCAGGCACCTGTAATCCCAGCTACTTGGGAGGCTGAGGCAGGAGAATCACTTGAACCCAGGAGGCGAAGGTTGTAGTGAGCCGAGATTATGCCACTGAACTCTAGCCTAGGCAACAGAGTGAGACTCCATCTCAAAAAAAAAAAAAAAGAAAAAGAAAAGAAACCCCAAAAAAACTCATCCTCCTCACCACAGCTAAAAGGACGTAAGTAAGGGTTCTTCTTCTTTTTTTCCAAAAAGAACACATAAATAATAATAATAAAAACCATTTCCTCCCCTCGCATCTGGAAAGACCATTCCTGGTTGTATAAAATGAAAGCTGGCACCAAAAGCTCAAAGATTTAATCCACAAGCACCAATTTCAGGAACACAGTCGAGCTATTCCTGGTATTGTATATCTGGTGGCCTATCCCATTTTCTGAGCCATATTGCTCAACTCCCCCGCCCGACTCTGTTCTCCTCCAGCCTGATTGTTTCAGCTGCAGGGGCTCAGCTTCCTCAGGAAGGAAATGCTGTTAGGGCTCTTGACAATGATCCTCCAATACAGGGACACTGAACTCACGGAGCAGTGAGAATTTCCATGATACACACTCCACCAGGCCTACCAGGCAAAAGTGAATTTTCTGTGTACAATCAGACAGAGGGAGCAACAGGCAAGTCAGCATTTCCTTCTTCACCAGAAGAAACTGGTGTCAAAATTGCAGTTGGCATTTTGACAATCAGGGGGATCTTGATTTATTAAAGTCCCCAATACTAGGGAATAAAAGAAGAATGACTGTACTACCCTGTTAGAAATAATTCTTTTCATCAGGAATTATTTCTCTACTGAGAGGGCCTACTCCAGATTAGGTAATGTAAGGTAGACATTGACTAATGCACAAAGATAATGCAATAAGACCTTCATTATCATAATAGATAATGGAGGCATTTACCCAATACCAATTTTGCATTCTCATCCAAGTGTCTCATGTTCCATTGTCCAAACAAATGCCTCTTATTTTCTGCAATGCACACCCCTGTGAAACACCTTCACAGTATGTTTTTTTTGACTAGAAGACTGTCACACAGTGTTCCTTCCCCTTGGAGATGAGGAAAGCCATGGGGCTTACTTACTTTAGGGCAATGGAGTACCTGCTGTTCCCTGACTCACTATTTCGAACCAGGTAACCAGCTTCTTTGCAGGGCTGTAGTCGACTCTCAGCCTCAGCACGGCTGATGGCACCATGATACCAGCTGAAAAATGGGGGTGGAAGAGGGGAAAGCACCATGAGTGTCAAAATACAAATCCAGACTGGGCATTGCTCCATAAAGCGTTGTTTGAAATGAACTTCTGGCAGAGACGCAACAGCCTGAACTAGATCCTGCTTCACATTCAGAACAGACAAAATGCAGATCTGGGTGATCCCAGATCACAAAGCCTATCAATCATACAAGAGTGAGTTAACGGCGCTAGTGTCATTTGAACAGTTTTCACTCTCTACAGAAGAATAAGACTTACAATGAGCTTGTTGAGATGCAGTGCACTTTCCATTTTGCACAATGCACTGGGCTTTGAAGATGGGTTTTCATTAAAAACCCCATCCAGGCAAGTGTTCATTAACAAAAATAATCATGTGAAATGGGCCAATGTGCTCCCTGATACAAAGCTGTAAGCTCCCAGCTGTTGTCTGTTACAAGGATCTGAGGAGGAGACTCACGGCTGCTTCTCCAGGGGCAGGCCCGGGTCCACTTTCTCTCCCTCACTGTGGTCCGAGAGGGCTGGCTTCAGGATCTTCTGGGTCCAGCTCTTCTGCCGGTGGTGCTGCCTCACTGTCTCCTCCCTGAAGGAAGGTCGCTCAGCTCCTTCAAACTGGACTGGAAGGAAGACTCCATTTAACATCACAGGCCACTGCGGTGACCCATGTAAACTTCAAAGGGAAAAAACCTCCTTGCCTGCCTTGGCTCAGGAAAGAAGCATTTTCCCCCTTTAACATTAACTATAATATACTGCAAAATACCCTGGCTAGCTGAGCTCCTGCTGTCTTTGATATCTGATCACACTGCTAGCATCCCACAGACACTTTTTCTGTAAAATATTCATCAGTATAAAACAGTTTTAGATTATGAGAGGAAACCACTTTAATGTATTTCAACATGGACTTTTAAAAAACTTGTGGTTTTGTGGCCGGGCACGGTGGCTCATGCCTGTAATCCCACCACTTTGGGAGGCCAAGGCAGGCAGATCACAAGGTCAAGAGATCAAGACCATCCTGGCTAACCTGGTGAAACCCCATCTCTACTAAAAATACAAAAAGTAGCTGGGCGTCGTGGCTCGTGCTTGGAGTCCCAGCTACTTGGGAGGCTGAGGCAGGAGAATCACTTGAACCCGGGAGGCAGAGGTTGCAGTGAGCCAAGATTGCGCCACGGCACTCCACCCTGGCGACAGGGTGAGACTCCGTCTCAAAAAAAAAAAAAAAGCCAAACTACTTGTAGTTCTGCTATTTTTAGGATAAAAGATTAAACATAGTTACAGGTAATGAATCCTTGCAAGAATGTGTATCATCCTATAAAACCAAACCAATAGTTTTTAGTATGAAATAATAAAACAAAAAGAAAAGACAACTCAGAAACAGAAAGACTACCAAATAATACGAGATGCCATGACACCTAGGCTGGAGAGAAGGAGATGAAATGGCAGCACCTGGCACAGGACTGAGCAGGTACCCGAGATGACAACTCAAATCAAACGAAACTGACTCCAGGCTGGGCATGGTAGCTCTTGCCTGTAATCCCAGCACTTTGGGAGGCTGAGGTGAGAGGATCTCTTGAGCTCAGGAGTTCAAGACCCACCTGGGCAGCACAGTGAGACCCCATCTCTAAAAAATTAAAGAATAATCCGGGAGTGGTGGTGCACGCCTGTAGTCCCAGCTCTTCGGGGGGCTGAGGTGAGAGGACTGCCTGAGCTCAGGAGGCTGAGGATGCAGTGAGCCATGATCACACCAACGCACTCCAGCCTGGGTGACAGAGTGAGACCCTGTCTCAAAAAACAAAAAAAAAAAAAGAAAAAAACTGACTCAAATGCTTGCCATCAAATATATTACCTTCTCCCTTCACCCTTTACATTGGTTATACTTTTTTTTTTTCTTTTTGAGATGGAGTCTCACTCTGTCACCCAGGCTGGAGTTCAGTGGGGAGATCTTGGCTCACTGCAACCTCCGCCTCCTGGGTTCAAGCAATTCTCCTGTCTTAGCTTCTCGAGCTGTAGCTGGGACTACAGGTGCGTGCCACAACACCCAGGTATTTTTTGTATTTTTAGTAAAGACGGCGTTTCACCATGTTGGCCAGGATGGTCTCCAGCTCTTGACCTCATGATCTGCCTGCCTCGGCCTCCCAAAGTGCTAGGATTACAGGCATGAGCCACCACACCCAGCATAGTTATACTTTTGTATAATTATTATTATTATTTTTGAGCCAGAGTCTTGCTCTGTCACCCAGGCTGGAGTGCAGTGGCATGATCTCGGCTCACTGCAGCCTCCACCTCCCAGGTTCAAGCTATTCTTCTGCCTCAGCCTCTTGAGTAGCTGGGACTACAGGTGTACGCCACCACGTCCAGCTAATTTTTGTATTTTTAGTAGAGACAGGGTTTTACCATGTTGGCCAGGCCGGTCTTGAACTCCTGACCTCAAGTGATCCGCCTGCCTCAGCTCCCAAAGTGCAGGGATTACAGGTGTGAGCCACTGTGCCCGGCTTGGTTATACTTTTATTTATTTATGTATTTAGTTACTTATTATTTTTTGAGACAGAGTCTCGCTCTGTCACCCAGGTTGAAATGCAGTGGCACGATCTTGACTCACTGCAACCTCCGCCTCTTGAGTTCAAGCGATTCTCCTGTCTCAGGCTGCCCACTAGCTGGGATTACACGCGCCCAGCACCAGACCCAGCTCATTTTTGTATTTTTAGTAGAGATGGAGTTTCGCCATGTTGACCAGGCTGGTCTTGAACTCCTGGGGTCAAGTGATCCGCCTGCCTTCTCCTAAAGTGACTTGGATTACAGGCGCAAGCCACCGTGCCCAGCCAGGTGGTCATTCTTTCAATGGTCATTTCAGGCATTTCCAAAACAGTTGCACATTGAGAAGAGAAAGGAATATAAAGGTACCCACAAGGAAAAAAACAAATGTGGGGCTGATGCGGTGGCCAGAAGACTGAAGTCACACTGGGGCGGGCCTGGCCTGGCGCCCTCACCTGACAGAGCCCGCACGATCTGCTCCTTCTTCCACTCCCATGGCTGCTCGTACTCTGCCGCGGGCCTCTCGTCGTTCTCGGGCAGCCGGCTGTCTGGGGGCCGCGCCTTCCCCTCTGCCCTGGGCCCCCCTTCTGCAGGCTCGTAGGGAGTGTCGTATAGCTGTGGCGGCTTCCCCAGGAGGTCCTTGGAACTCCGTCTTTTGGCCAAGGTCTCTGATTTCAGGCCACCGTCTGCGGGTTCACAGGGACTGTCAAGCAGCTGGAGAGCCTTCACCAGGGGATCTTTGGAACCCCGTCGTCTAATTTCTGAAAAACACACACCATTTCTGAAAAACACACACCATACACAATGTCTTGAAAGCAAAGATGCCATAAAAGCCTGGTCATTAACCCAACTGCCTCAGCACCTCTGTCTGTCTGGGTGAAGGTGGCAGATAACTCCAAGATTGCTCCCTGATAGGTTGATTACTTCTCAGCTGTGTTACAAAAGCAAAATGAAGGTGCCTACAACTTCTTCCCTCCAGTTGCCTGAGTCAGATAATGGGATCCACATTTAAGGTGGGAGATTACATCTGAAGACAAGCACACCTCCAGGGTGCCACTTGCAGTTTGTAAGTAGTGGCCTCAGGGTAACCTGCTTCATTTCCAGGTTCTGGTGTCTGCTCTGAGTATAGCTCACTTTCAAAGTTTTTACATCTTGTCAGGAAGCCCAGATAAAAGAATTGTAATAAAATCGACTGCAAGTCAAAAATGCACTTAATACATGTAACTTACTCAGTATCATGGTTTAGCCTAGCCCACCTTAAACGAACACATTAGCCCACAGCTGGACACGATCATCTGACACAAAGCCCATTTTGTAATAAAGTTTTGAACATCTCATGTGATCTACTGAATGCTCAAAGTAAAAACCAGAATGGCTGTATGTGACTCGAAGTACAATTTCTACTGAATGCATATCACTTTTGCACCACTGTAAAGGTTGAAAATTATAGTCAAACCACAGTAAGTCAGGCACTGTCTGGATATTCAAAGCATTGCTGCATATACACTAAGGGAAAGCATTTATGTGCATTAGTCAGAGTTCTTGACTCCTATGCAGTTTCAATAAACTGGGGGAAGCCAGACACATTCACGAATAATATGTATTGGGCTAATAACTCCAGGATAAATCAAAGTAAAAGAAGTGTTATAGGGAAAACCAGTAATAACAACTCAGCAGCTAACATTTATCGATGGCTTACCATGTGTGAAGCACTATTCTAAGTGTCTAGTAACTTTCACAATCACTCTAAGATTATGGGATATCATTATTTCCCCATTATTACAGAAGAGAAAACTGAAGCACAAAGAGTTTAAGGAAATTGTCTAAACCAGTAAGTGCCAAAGCCTGGATTCAGAAGCAGGAAGTTGGGCTCTAGAAGCTATACTCTTAGCCACTACACTTGGATTGACTCCAAGTGGAAGAGAAATGGAAGATGAGTTGACTTTGATAGAGAAGGTCATTTCCAGTAGAGGAAGCTGCATGAGTGAAGATATGGAGGTGGGAACGATAGAGGGCTTGTTCCATAATGGGGAGCTGAGAGATGGGTCTAAAGGCCAGAAGGCCACAAAGGAGAGAGGCAATGGGTAATGGGAGAAGCAGCTGGAAGCATAGGCAAGCCAGGTGCCAAGGTGTAGACATTTTAAAAGTAAGGACACAAAGTTTAGATGGTTGTGTATGTAAAACAAAACCATTATAAGGTTTTTTTTTTTTTCAGTGGGGAATAACAATTATATTTGTGTTTCACTGGAAGGTAACTCTAACCATGGTGTACAGGATAGAGTAAATCAAAAAGGTATAGTCTGAAATGGGGCATAAAAATAGATGGAAAAAACCATATGCAAACCAACCAACCACTAGCTATCTAACCAGCCAACCAGCCACAGTGAGAAGGAACTAGCAGTACAGGGTGGTGAGCAGCCTGGGGTCAAGGAGCCTTGCCAGAGTTAGAGATGGCTGGAGTCTGGACAACCAGAGCTGGTGATACAGAGTCTATATTATAGACCAACAGAAATGTCATTTTGTGGCTCTTCTAAACGCCCATCAGGAAGCCTTCAAACCATCCTCTACCTGGTCATAGTCAAGGAGGAACTTTCTATATGCAGATACCTCATCTCTTAACACCTCATAAGCTCCCGACTGTTTACTTAAGAAGTGAAGAACACTGAGAACGGCATGGGAGGCTTACATGAGTAGGTCACTGTCTTTCTCCCCAATTTCTCAACACTACCCTGCCCCATCTCCCCATAATCCAATTCTTTGCTCTGACCAAGTGGAATTTCTGGCAGTTCCCTGCATACTACACTGTCTTGAGCCCACCGGTGTCCTGGCGATCTTGCAATCCTTTACAATCTAACTCAGCATCTTCTCCTCTCCGGAGAAGGCTTTCCTGCCCACCTTCTTCTCTGATACCCCACAAAGTTAAACAGGTGCCACGGCTGGACCAACGCACTCTCACCCTGCTCTTCTCCCACTGCATCCATTTATATGTTGATGTGTCTGTATTTTCAATTTGGTGGAGTCTGCCAGGGCAGAGACCACCATATCTTGTTTATTACTGTAGGACATATCATTGTGCTAAATAATGACTGGATGGATGGATGGGAGGAGAGAGGGAGGGGAGGGAACTCAAGAATGTCTCCAGGCAGGTGACAGTGTGGATCTGGAGGAATACGTCAAGGGGTTAACAAATGGATCGTTGTGAATACTGTGAGAATGAAAGCAATCACAAGAGAAAAGGACGGCAGATTGAAAACGAGAGAGGATCAAAGGCAGAATCTGGGACTCCTTCAGTTATGGGTGGCTGGAAGGAGGTGCCAGCAAAGAAGGCTGAGGGGTCAGGTGAGGAGGAAGAGGCTCAGGAGACCGCAGGGCCGCAGACACAAAGGGTGGAAAGACTTTCTATCTGTAACTTCAAAACAGGTGTGGGGATGGTCCGTGGAGAAATGCCACTGACTCATTAAGACCTCTATAACAAAAAGAGGGCAACAAATGAGGGAAACGTTATTAAAATCAGGACACCAAATTCAAAAGTGCAAAACTTAGGTATAGGCTGAGGTTATAGTTCTCTGCTGACTAGGGGCTGTCAGCAGCTGTCTCAAATTCTGTGCAGGGACAGCTCATTGAAATCACCCGCGGGCTTTCACACACACTGCTTTAACCACCAGAGGTTCAGATTGGATTAGTCTGGGGTACAGTGTGGGAGTCAAGAGTGTAAAAATCCCCCAGGTGATTCTAAAGAGCAGCTAAACCTGAGAACCACTTCCACACCTCCTGGGTGTCCACAGTCCCCATCTTGGTTCCTCATTCTCCGGAGCCTGTCATTGCTAGTCCCATCCTGAGGAGAAAGGTACTGCCTGTGTCTACCACTTCCACATCAGAATGTAAGAGTCGGAAGAACTGTCCCTGGCCCCCACCCCCAGGCCAGGCCAGGTATCTGGGGTTGTCTGAGGTCAGAGCTGCATCTCCTGAGTCCCTGGACTCTCAGTCCTACAGTTTTTCTTCTTCCTTGCTTACTCCAAACAGAGCTATGGAAAACAAGAAACAAAAACATACTCTGTTCTTGGTTCAATTAAGACAAGGCTGTAATTTTTTTAAAAGGAACTTTTCTAAAGAACTAAGAAAAGGGAAGCAGAAAACACAAAGGAGTTCAAAGGATGAATATAGAATACAATTTTAAGGTTTCTAATCATAGTTTACACTCAGTTGAGACCATCTGGCACAGGCTGGGGAAACCCTTTCCCAAGGTCCTTGCTGCAATTCTGCCCCAGCTAAACTAAAAGGAAAAAGAGGTGATTCTAACATTAAGACAGAAGGAGCCCTGCTCACAAGGACATTTCAATACATTTGGATTAAAATGTACAGGGTGGATGGGCAGTGTTCCTACCGGGCCTTCCAGCCCACCTCCCCTAAAATAAAATAAAATGATGTATAGTGATTAGAATCTTGAGTTCTTATTACACACGCGTTTGAGTTTTTACTTTTGCAACGAGGTCCTTCTATTTAGACAGTCTCCCCACACTTAGAGTTCTGGGAGATACACAAAGCATGGAGTTGAGAATGCTTTCTTGCAGGGTCCTGGGATTAGGCAAAATCTGCAAACTGCTATCATCTTTTGAAACAATGTTTAATTAGGGGAAGAAAGGGCTTGAGCACAGGCCTCCCCTCCCCACACCACCCCCCTCTTCAAGGGGAGTAACCTTCCAGTCCATTCCAACACCTGGCTGCCCCCAAACCTGAGGCGCCATAGAAACAGAAACAATCGTGGGGCTGCAAGCCGACCCTTCCTGCAGGGAGAATAGCCCCTGACGTGCAGAGCTGGCTCCAAGAGGAAACGAGCCTGAGAAGGAGGAAATGGCAAGAGGAAGCTACACCCTGGCTGCCGATAGAGGCCATTTACCACAGCAGACAACAGAATGCAGGGGACGGGCAGCAGATAAACACTCATTTGCAGCCTGGGGCTGAAGCTCAGCACTGACCTGCACCTACTAAAAACATGCAGTTGGTTGGTGTGAAACATTATAGGGGCCCAAAATTTTCCCTTCTCAATCCCCAACTCGCTGCAGGTAATTATGTCATTCACATGAAAACACAAAAACAAGAAAGTCTTAGCAGAAGACTAAGATTTTCTTTTACTAAATTAACTGTAGTTAGCAATAAGTATTGCCCTATATGGTCCAGAATGCTCTTTGGAAATATAATTGTCTCTGGAGTGTCTAACTCACGGCTGTACTGACTAGGTATACACCTGCTAGGTGTATTATGCCCAGAATCTCACTGATGCCTCACTAAGGCAGTGACAGATGTGTTACCCCATTTTCACAGGTGAATACACGGAAGCCACAGTCATGCAGCAGTTATGGTGAGGCCAATTATTACCAACTCCAGAGTCCATGCTTTATGCTCAAATGATTTCACGTAAAATGTTAATTCCAATTTCCAAATAATGTGCCTTTTCCCCTAATCCATTTTAACCCATTTCATGTTTCCAAAACATTAAACTTGGAGCCTCTTAAGACTCTATTTTCCTCCTGGAATCAGAAACAGGGCTGCCCGACAATTTTTTACTCATATCTTTGATCAGTGCTCAAGCTTTTAAAATTACTTTAATATTTTCTTATTGAATAAATCTAAACATCTGAACAAAAGCAGGTACAATTCAGAAACCCTGAAATTTAGCGAGGAGAATAAAGACAAATTAAATCAAAACCAGTCTTCATTTGCACTTTTTTCCATAAGAGGTTTTTTCTGTTTAAATCACAGGCAAAGACAGACATAACAGTTTTTTTTTTTTTTTTTTTTTTAGAGATGGGGTCTCACTATATTGGCAAGGTTGGCCTTGAACTTCTGGCCTCAACTGATCCTCCCACCTTGGCCTCCCAGAGTGCTAGGATTATAGGCATGAGCCACCGGGCCCGGCAGATGGAGTTTATAGTTTTTTTTTTTTTTTTTAATGGAGACTCGAACAGTGAGGTTCTCTTTTAGATTTGACTATTTAAACAAACCAACAAAATCATTTGGAAGTAAAAATAAAATTTTAAAAATAATCTTTGACTGGAGCTCAAAAGCTAAAACCACAGCTTGCTGAATGACATGGTATTTTCAGTTGTGTAATTTGAACAAATTATTTAATCTTTCTGAACCTAGGTTTCCTCAACTGTATAAAGAAACCCGCTTGCACGGTGGCTCACTTTGTGGCTGGCAATCCCAGCACTTTGGGACGCCAAGGCAGGAGGATGACTTGAGGCCAGGAGTTCGAGACCAGTCTGACCAACATGGTGAAACCCCGTCTCTACTAAAAATACGAAAATTAGCCAGGTGTGGTGGCAGGTGCCTGTAATCCCAGTTACTTGGGAGGCTGAGGCAGGAGAATCACTTGAACCTGGGAGGTAGAGATTGCAGTGAGCTGAGATTGCACCACTGCACTCCAGCCTGGGCGACACAGCGAGACTCCGTCTCAAAAAAACAAACAAACAAAACACTTTACAGGGTTGCTGCAAGATTTAGTGAGGTAATTTGGCCAGGCTGGTACCTAGTAAGCTCTCAATTTACAGCTGTATGACATCAACTGCAGAAAGAATCCTCATGCTAACTAGCCAATGGGAACTTTTAAAGACCTGTCCGATGCTAATGTTTCAAAGCGGTGGCTAAAACTCCTAATGCTAGATTATGTAGAATATTTCTGCCAAATATTTAGCTAAATATCTTAGCTAGAATATTTAGTTAAAATGTTCCTGTGAATTTAGCAGAAAAGCAACAGAGGTTTATATTAATATTGCCTTGTATTCAGTCATATCTTTTTATGAACAATCCTTTGGATAAATCTCAGTGATAATTTACTCATAAACTCATAAATTCTTAACTTTTAAAAGTTAAGAGCAAAGTTTTGGGGGGACCCAGGCTTCCTGGGTCCCATAGCGATTTGGCCACAGGAAAGCCATGGGCTTCTCTCAGTTTCCTCTGCCCCTGAGGTAGATGCTGGCTCCTATTCTCAACTTCATGGCACTTATCATGCTTTTCAATGACTTATCTTCTTTGCTGGTAGGTCTGTTTCCCCCTTAGGCTGTGAGGTCCAAGGGCAGAAATCATGTGGGTCTTGTTTCCTGTATGCCCAGAGCTCAGGACAGGGCCTAGTACATAATAAAAAAAAAAACCTCAAGAAATATTTGTTGGGTATTCTAAAACAACATATGGGCAGTATTCTACACGCCCAAGATATTGTTAAAACCAGGCCTGTAATTCCCATTTCACCGGTAGAAAAAAGGCAATGCAAAGAATGGCAACACAGATTTAACCACTCCACAGTTCAACTGTGTTCATTAAAATCCTTTCCATCTTCAGAAATGCTGAAACAAGTAAAAAAAACTCTCATTTCTCAAGAAAGACGGGAAATTTCCGAACTTGGACTTGACAATCAGGTACACAAGGAGCAAACTGAATAAAAAAGTAAAAGGTTTAAAAAACAAAAAACAAAAGCCCAGCAGCAAATCTTTTATTTCTAGCTTCCGATAAACTCACTTCCTGTTATTCTGTCCAGCTTGTAACCTACGGGTAGAATAAGAGGTAGAGTCTCTACACTGATTGAGAAGGTGCTTTGTGATATATATTCTAAATGAAGAAACTTTAAAATCCACGAGTACAACTTTTTTAAAGTTAAGACCAAAGTATACTTAGATCACTAGTTTAGAAAGTTAGTAATTTGGATTTTTAATAAATTTGAATTTATTTGCCAACTGAATATATTAATTTTGTATTCCTAAATGAATTTATTTTCAGAAATTGTTTAAAACAGAGCATGGAACTTAATACACACTCAAATATTAAATGCTAGCGATTATTATTACATTTATTCCATGTTGGACAATTCTGACTTCTGAAGACAACATTCTTGGTTGAGTGGAAAGGTGCCTCACTTACGGGTGAAGTTTACAGTGGTTTTGCAAACGGCATTTCAAGTGTGTCCTGAACGCCATGTGGTGTCAGGGGCAGACCACTCAATGTGGAGTGGGAGATCCGGGTGCTAATTCCTGCTCTGTCTCTTAAAATGTCTCCTTAACACAGGCAAGCCCCAATCCCTTTGATCTTGTTTTTTGTCACCCTGTCACAAGGGGGACAGCATTGTAGTCCCCTAGCTTATAGAGCTCTTGTGGGAATTACATGAAAAAAAAAACAAAAAAACCCCCCAAAATTATATTCATTTTTATAAAATCACAGCACATTTCCTCTTATCAGTGCAGCTCTCCAAATAAACAGATGTATGGTATAAACTACCTACTTCAGTTAAAGAGAAAGATAAGAATAAAAACCCAAGGACAAAGAAAGGTGAATCACAATTAAGCATAAAACTTTTTTTTTTAAGAAAATCCTTTTCCTCAATTTTATGTAAAAGTAAATTCTTTTCCCTATTCCTTTCAAGGCTCTGATGTTTTTTAAAACTCTGACAGTTCATTTTCACTTCCTTTCATTCACAGATTTCATTAGGGGTCACAGTCCAGTGACCTTCAGGGTCACAGCCTGGCCAGGGTACACCCTCCCCACACGGAGGGCCTTATCTCTGTAAGCAGAGAAGCAGGAAGCGGAGCCAGGCTTTCCTGTTCCAGCTCGTTTTCATTCTGAAGACTGTCTTGGCCCTTCCAGTGTGCTGCTGCTACTCTCTGCTCAACTCTTCTGAGACTATACTTAGAGAACCTGAGCTTGACAGCTCTTCAATCTGTTCTAAACAGAAGAGACAAAGTCTTTCATGTGGGACCAGTTACTCTTCCCAGGCATGAAACCCACAAGAGTCAAATAAGGCTCCCTTGAGTCAGCATTCAGCAATTACATTTCTCATTATGGATGGAAGACTGTTTAAGGAAAACTAGGTGAAGACATAAAGTTCACAAATAAATCTATATTATTTTTATTTAAGTATCATTTACATCAACTTAAGAGAATTATGACTAAAAGGGAAAAGTTTGACACTAAGAATGACAGAGTGACTGCTTAGCTCACAAACTGGAATTGTTCTGACTTGAAAAGTTACAAGATTAGTCTTTGGTTTTAGGTGGTTGCCTTGAATGGCTTGGTTTACACAGCAATGATTTTTTTTTCTTTTCTTTTTTTTTTGAGACAGAGTTTCCCTCTTGTTGGCCAGGCTGGAGTGCAATGGCACGATCTTGGCTCACCACAACCTCTGCCTCCCGAGTTCAAGTGATTCTCCTGCCTCAGCCTCCTGAGCATCTGGAATTACAGGCATGCACCACCATGCCCGGCTAATTTTTTATATTTTTAGTAGAGACAGGGGTTTCTCCACGTTGGTCAGGCTGATCTCGAACTCCCGACCTCAGGTGATCGGCCCACCTCGGCCTCTCAAAGTGCTGGGATTACAGGTGTGAGCCACCACACCCAGCCAGCAGTAATTTATAATTACTGCTTAGTAATTAAATTCTTGGCTCCAATATTGTAGAACTTGTTGAGAAAGTCTTCTACTACAAAATACAGAATCACATCATGTTTGCAGTTTTTGTTTGTTTTTTTTGAGACGGAGTTCCACTCTTGTTGCCCAGGCTGGAGTGCAATGGCTCAATCTTGGCTCACTGCAACCTCTGCCTCCCAGGTTCAAGCAATTCTCCTACCTCAGCCTCCCAAGTAGCTGGGATTACAGGCATGCGCCACCATGCCTGGCTAATTTTGTATTTTTTTTTAGTAGAGACAGGGTTTCTCCATGTTGGTCAGGCTGGTCTTGAACTCCTGACCTCAGGTGATCCGCCCACCTTGACCTCCCAAAGTGCTGGGATTATAGGCGTGAGCCACTGCGCCTGGCCTTTTTTTTTTTTTCCTTTTTGAGACAGGGTCTTGCTTTGCTGCCCAGGCTGGAGTGCAGTGGCGCAATCTTGGCTTGTTGCAACCTCCTCCTCCCTAGTTCAAGTGATTCTCGTGCCTCAGCTTCCCAAATAGCTGGGATTACAGGTGTGCACCACCACACCCGGCTAATTTTTGTATTTTTAGTAGAGATGGGGTTTCACTATGTTGGCCAGGCTGGTCTCAAACTCCTGGCCTCATATGATCTGCCCGCCTCTCTCCCAAAGTGCTGGGATTATAGGCACGAGCCACTGCACCTGGCCATCCTTGCATTTTTTAATAGATTAAAATCCCTTAAGTATGTATTTGCTTCTTGGTAAGATGTATGACTCCCATTATGAATGTTAAAGCTTCTGAAAGTGGCCCCAAAATGTATATAATCATGTTAAAACTGAACATCATATTCTGAGCAGATCTGCACTCATAAATGTCATCTTGCATAGAACTAGAAAAACTTTGAAGACTCCTGTAAATTCTAAAACTCTGAAGGATACTAAATCATACAGGAAGTTACCTAAATAGTCCGACATTAGTTTGGGGTCTAATTTCTGTTTCTTCAAGTCAGCAGGATCTGGGTAAATTGCTTTATCCCTCTTCCCCAATAGACACCGGTTACTATATTACAACACTCACTGAGTGTGAGATTTCAGTCTCTATTCTGTAGAGCCTGCTTACAAACCTGTTATCATTTGCTGTGCATCATATGGTTCCATGTAACCGTCGTTCTCTCCGACTCTCTCTGCATCCCTTTGACCCTTTGTCCGTTTGGCATCATAAGGGTCAGCATAGTCTTCTAAAATGATGACCTGAAAAAGAACAAGAGAGGACAGTTGCTAAGGGCCACCGTATACCAAAATGGCAATGGTATCAAAATGGCTACTGACATCTCCTGCATATCCAAGGAGGTCAAAATCTCTATAACCAGTTCCAGATAGCTTTTGCACTTGATCATGTGTCCCAGTTAGACAAACACCTGTTTTTTTTGGTTGTACAGTTGATTTGCAACAATTCATCTAACTCTTTCACTTATCCCCAAGGCTCTTTATACCTCCCTTTATTTCTCCAAGCAATAAAACATTTTCTGGGTTAGAGGGTGGCAGGGGTGGATGTGGGGAGTGAAGGCTACCTGTGGCTTTAGAGCATAAAGGGTATGTGGCTTTACCACATACCCTTTATGAATTGAGTTTTTTAAACTCCAATCAGCTGAGCAGTACAGTCATAATGAGTCAGTCAGTCATCCACCAGCACTGGCTAGGCACTGTGAAGGAGTCAAAATAAACCCAAGACATGCTTCCTGTCCTCAAGGAGTGGATCACAGCTCCAAAGACACAGGCTTCATAGATGAGAAGTAGGTCAGTACTAAACAGTATTGTAGGTGTTCTACGTTCAATAATTCACAGGCAAACTGACTGTCACAGGCTACAGACCAGATAGGGTTTTGATCCCTATCTGGGATCCCCTATTTTGTGTCAGAAAGCATCCATCTTTCCAAAAATAGAAGGCACCTGAGGAGGTGGTGTGTGACAACATGGGTGACAACACCAGAGGGTAGGGGACCCTTCTCAGGAAGGAAGCTCCAGGCCTTGCTCCACAACCTCTGTTACATTCTCCAAAGAGTTTAGAAGTAACACTGGAGTTGGTGAGAATTCAGATACATGAGGAGAAGCGAAGAGGAGGAAACAGCCTGGAAATAGCCTCAGAAACCTCAGACACCCAGAAGTGACAACCATAAAAATAACCAGACAACCACTGCAAGGGACTGTGACTGCGACTGCCATTCACTTAATCCATTTTTCTTGACTACCCACCATGTGTACCGCATTTGCAAGATACAGTGAGCCCTTGGCTTCAAGGTGCTTGTGATCTAGTCACACAGTCAGGTGGACCACTGAATAACATATGAGCTGGGTCCCCGTCCATCTTTACACAGCTCTCCACTCAGTGCCTGGCTCAGGGTGGGCATGCTGTATTTACAGCATGAAAAAATGAATGGAAGAATGAACAGAAGTGCCCAATGCAGACATACACAGCATGTGTTATGGGCTCTTGACTTCAACCAGGGAGGTAGCATGTTTGAAGCCTGGGCAAGAGAAAATTAAAGCTCCCATGCATGTTAGGAAGTGATTGCCTGGACCGGAGTCTGAAATCTCGATTTGAGCTCTTCTCTCTCCCCCTTTCACATCGGAGAGAAGATAAAAACAACCAGATCGGACCAACTCATCTCAGCAAGAATGGAGGGAGTCCCTTCCTATGTTCACACTCCTTTTCTTAACTTTTCCACATTGGACAGCACCCAGAAAACCTCCAGTGTGTCCGTCGCAGGAAACACCCTCTCTTCTCATCTGTAATTTCCTTGAGAGCATTTCCTTGTCATATTCTGTATCCTCCACAGCCCTTAATGCCCTGTGCTCCTTTCCTCATATGGCTGCTGCGCAACAAATGCCCATGGAATGAATGAAAGGGCAGCAGTCTTGGAGATTTGCTGAACCTCCGAGGAGCCCTTTACTCGGTGGAACCGCAGAAAATGATGGAACTTCCAAATCAGTGGAGAAGACTGTTGGTTAAACCATTTCCTGAAGCTTTGAAATGCATATCTACACACTTGAGAGGTTACCATTCCTTATGCTCAAGAAGCATAAAAGTCATACACAAGCCTAGCTTTGCAATTCCCCTGAATATCAAAATTAAAATGAACCACATCTATAAAGGGGTCAAATGTAACCAAACAGGAATATCTCATTCAACGACTCTTCTAAACTGCTAACAAAATTCAATGGCTAGTACATTTCTGCAAAACTCCCCACCTCTAAAATAAGAGTTTTTCAAGAATTAAAAAACAGTCTAAGAATTTTAAATGGTCAGGAATTCCCAAATGGTGGAGGGAGAAAGGACCTTAGGAAACCTATCCTCACTGCCTCTTAGGTCTAAAGAAGCCTAGGGCTTAGCAGGCGCCCAGGGCTCCCCTTCGACTGAGAGGTGGTCCAAGGGAGGCTGTATTCTTACCGTCTCTTGCTGCTTAATAATCTTGCCCTTGTCCAGCTCGGGCCCCAGGGAGGAAGGGGAAGAGGACGCGGAGGAAGAGGAGCTGGAGCTGGAGCTACTGCTGCTGGGGTAGTTGCTCTTCCCGTTCTTCTCCTGAGTGTCCACCTTGATGAGCCTGTTGATGTAGGTGCTGCAGCCCGAGCTCTTGGTTGCACCCCGGTGGGGCTCCTCCTCCGTGGCCCGGGAGTTTTTGCGGCCCTTGCCCGCGGCGGCCTGAATCAGACCCTGCAGGCTGTCGCGGGACAGCCGGCTGTCCTTGGGGCCGACGCCGGCCCTGCCGCTCCCCAGCTCGGCCGCCGAGTTCTTGCGGCCCTTGCCAGGACCCGGCCCAGCGCCGCCCGCCTCCGAGTTCTTGCGCAATTTGCCGCCGCCGCCCCCGGGCTTGGCCCGCTCCGACACGGTCTTCAGGTTCAGGGGGAACTCCTTGAACCACTTGGCCGCCATGAGGGGGCCCCGGCCGGCTCGGCCCAGGAGCGTCGGGGCCGTGGAGCAGGCGAGCGAGGAAGCCCAGCCCAGACACGCAGAGGCGCCAGGGGTCGGGGACCACTGCATTCCCCGTGACTGGGGCGCTGGAGGCCGCGGCGAGGCCCCGCGACGGCTGCTCCGTGCGCCCCCGGCCGGCCGTCGCCCACGCCCGGCAGGGTGGGGTTCTCACGGCTCGGGGCGCCGAGCGGGCGGGCGCTAGCCTCTGCTCCGGACACGGCAGGCGACAGGCACGACGCGCGGGGGGCCCCGCCCGGGCTCGTCTTCAACGCCTGCCCGGCCCGAGGACACCGTGGCTCTCGGAGGCGGCGGGCGCCGGGGGCTTCCCCCTGCTCTTTCCTCCTGCGGTGGGAGAGGCCAGGCCCACGGAAGCCCCCTGCGGCCCAGCCCACGCTCCCAGGGACCAGAGAGGACCGAGCGGAGGCGGCGGGAGTATCCCCGGCGCAGCGACAGACGGTGGACGGACGGCGAGCGGCCCATCAACTCCGCGCGCCCCTCCCCTCCGCGGCTGGCGCCTCCCAGCCCCGCCACCTCCTGCCCAGAGCTGGGGGCGGCGGGGTGAGCGCCATGGCAGAGGCGGGTCGGGCTGCGAGCTCTGGAGAAAGGGGCGGCGGCCGCACGTGCGGATCGGCCGCGCCCCACTGAGCAGAGAGCCCCCTTCTGCCGCCGACAGCCCGCGTCTGCACCGAGCCGGTCTCGGCCGGGCGCTGCCTTCACACGCGCCCAGGAGTGTCACGTGCGCCGCTCACCCCCGGGAAGGAAGCCCCTCGCCCACCCACTCCGCTCTACTCCACTCTTTCTGCAGACGTTATTTTTGGCGGTAGGGCAGAGGTTGCGGCCCGAGGTCCGGGCGCAGGGACAACGGTCGCCAGCTCCTGCGCTAGTTCCGTTACTCTTCGGTGGCACACGGTCCTGGGCAGCGCGAGGCTCTTCCCGCCGTGGCCGCCGGGGATTGGCTGCCGGCAAGCCCCGCCCCGTGCCCCCGGGCTCAGAGGGGGCGGAGCGCGGAGGGAGAAGGCGCGAAGGCTGGGCGTCGCGATCGCAGGTGCACGCGCGTGGCCCGCGAGACGAGGTATGGCTTGTCGGCCCCAGGTCCCGGGATGCCAGGCGAGGGTTGGGAGGGAGGGGCGTCGGCAGGCAGCCATGGGAAACGCCCTCGTCCCGACTGATGGGGGAAAGGGGTCGCTGTTCCCGCGGGGCCGTCGCTCGCTCGCGCCGGTTGGGAGCGGCCCTCCTAGTCTGGATTTGTGCGGGCGGGGAGTGCCGTGTGCAGAACTGTGGCCACTTTAAGGGAAAAGACGCCTCTGCCATTCCTCCCTCCCTTCGAAGCCCTTTAAAAGCTTTCTGAGGCCGGGCGCGGTGGCTCACGACTGTAATCCCAGCACTTTGGGAGGCCGAGGCGGGCAGATCACCTGAGATCAAGAGTTCGAGACCAGCCTGGCCAACATGGTGAAACCTGGTCTCTACTAAAAATACAAAAATTAGCCGGGCGTGGTGGTGCGCGCCTATGGTTGCAGCTACTCAGGAGGCTGAGGCAGGAGAATCGCTTGAACCCGGGAGGCGCAGGTTGCAGTGAGCTGAGATCAAGTCACTGCACTCCAGCCTGGGCGACAGAGCGAGACTCCGTCTCAAAAAGACAAAAAACAAACAAACAAAAAAACACCTTTCTGGTTTAAAAAAAGAAATTTAAACTTAGTTTACTGAACGGAAATCTTTTGGTTTAGCAAACTAAATGTGCTGAAGGGGCTGACCAACACTGAGTCCTCATATACAATGGAAACAGAATGATGGCGACTGTGGACGGCCTCATTTGTGTGGGTGGTGGTTTGTGAGGTGGGAAAGCTAAAATGAAGAAATGCGTGCTCATACTGACGTTCTTGAAAATGCGTAGTGACATTTTTTTAAAGCTTTATTGAGATATAATTCACATACCATAAAATTCACCTGTTTTAAGTGTGCACCTCAAGTGTTTTCAGTATATTTGGTGTGTTTACAGTACAACCATCGCAACAATCTAATTTTAGAACATCTCCATCACCCCCAAAAGAAATCTCCCGTCAATTAGCAGTCACTCCTCATTTCCCTCTCCGCCTTCCCAGTCCTAGACAGCCACTAATCTACTTTCTGTCTATATAGATTTGTCTAGTCAGGACTTTTCAGAGAAGTGGAATCATGCAATATGTGGCCTTCTTTCCCTTAGCATCATTTTTCAGATTCATCCAGGTCGTATAGCATGTATTACTACTACATTCGTTTTATATTGCCAAATAATATTCTATTGTATTGCTATACAGCACTTTATTCATTCATCAGTTGATGGATATTTGGATTGTTTTCACTTTTTGGCTATTATAAGCAACACTGCTATGAATATTTGTGGAAAAGTCTTTGTGTGGACACATATTTGAATTTCTCTTGAATAGTTACCCAGGAGTGGACTTGCTGGGTCATATCGTAATTCCCTGTCTAACTTTTTGAGAGCCTGCCAAACTTTTCCAAAGTGGCTGCACCATTTTACATTCCTACCAGCAATATGAGGGCCCCTGTTTCTTCATGTCCTCAATACTTGTTAGAGATAGAGGATGTTGTCTGTATCTCTTGCTTTTAGCCACCCTGATTGATATGAAGTGTTATCTTTGTGGTTTTGATTTGCATTTTCCTAGTGGCCAAAGTTGCAGAGCATCTTTTCATGTGCTTATTGGCCATTTGTATATCTCCAGAGAAATGTCTAGCAGATCCTTTGCTCACTTTTTAATTGGTTTATTTGTTGTCTTTGTTGGTGAGTTGTAAGAGCTCCTTATGTATTCTTTAGGTCTTTTTAAAAACACAGATAAAGCCTGGCCAACATGGTGAAACCTCATCTCTACTAAAAACACAAAAATTAGCCATCGTGGTAGTGTGTGCCTGTAGTCCCAGCTATCTGGGAGGCTGAGGTGGGAGAATCGCTTGAATGTGGGAGGCAGAGGTTGCAGTGAGCCGAGATCGTACCATTGCACTCCAGCCTGGGCGACAGAGTGAGACCCTGTCTCAAAAACAAAAAACAACAACAACAAAAAACTACACAAATAGGTTACTTCTCCAGACCAAACAATAGATTGGAAGGAAACTCAGGACTTTGGAATCATGTGGTCATATGGTTTGGATTCACAACGAAAACAGGCTTCTCCCATTTGTGAGCATGGATGCTAAGTGATCTTGGCCAAATACTAGATTATCATCTCTGCATCTCCGGGACTTCATCTGTAAAACGGGTTAACAATGTCTCCCTCTTAGAGTTTGAGTGAGGATTAAATGAGAATGTGTGTTAGCTGCTTAGCATAGTACCTGGCAGGCCTTAAAGGCATCTTGCACGGATTTATGCTGGGCCTTGGCTTGGGAGGTCTCAGTGCCTGTTCTGTTTCAGAAGCCCATAGGCTTTTCCAGAGATTACCAGGAACTGGGACTAACATCCTGTATCTCTGATTTTGCCCATAAACCTCTCTCTCCATTTTTATCCATCCATACCTGTCTTTTAATTATCTGAACTACTTTTAGTTCTATTTAGAATTGGTTGTAGCTAAAATGGTTGTTCCCTCCTACACCTGGGAATAATTTAGAGAAAAGAGTTACTGTTTTATTTTAAAATTTAATGTTTTAATTTATGTTTTCCCTAAAGTACAGGAAAAAAAAATCCCTTTAAAATGACTTTGACGCCTTGTTATCTGTAGAAAGAGAACCAATGCTTTGGAATCACAGGACTGAGTTACCTCAGTGTCTTTTATAATTTTATAAAATCACCTGATATCCTTGAGCTTTGGTTTTCTCATCTGTAAAATGGGAAGATAATACTCACGGAATTGTAGAAAAGTGCCCATAAAATCCATAAAAATAAACACAATAGCTACCATTTATTGAGTTCTTGACACATGGCAAATACTTTAAGTGCGGTATCTCACTTCACTGCCATGATCTATGACATGGGTGTTTTGATTCTGACTTGACAGATGAAATTTTCCCAGGGTCTCTGGGCTGGACTTATAGATGCATCTAACTCCAAAAGTTCTGTTCTTTCCACAGGCCAGCCACTGTGCAGAGTGGTGTGTGGTTTTAAAGTTGCCCATGCTGTCTGTATTAGTTTTCGATTTGCTTTCATAACAAAATACTACAACCTTAGTGGGTTAAACAACGCAAATATTATCCCATAGCTCTGTAAGTCACAAGTCTGACACATGTCTCAGTGGGCTAAAATCAAGGTTTCAACAAGGCTGTGTTCATTCTGGAGGCTTTAGTTGGAGAATCCATTTCCCTGCCTTTTCCAGCTTCTAGAGGCTGCCAGCATTCCATGGCTTGCGGCCCCTTCCTCCATCTTCAAAGCTAACAACAGTAGTAGAGTCCTTCTTATATCACATCACTTTAACTTTGTTTCTGTTGTCACGTCTCTCTCTTTTTTTTTTTTTGAGATGTTGTCTCACTCTGTCGCCCAGGCTGGAGTGCAGTGGCCCAATCTCAGCTCACTGCAACCTCTGCCTCCCGAGTTCAAGCAATTCTCCTGCCTCAGCCTCCTGAGTAGCTGGGATTACAGGTGCCTGTCACCACACCCAGCTAATTTTTGTATTTTTGGTAGAGACAGGGTTTCACCATGTTGGCCAGGCTGGTCTCGAACTCCTGACCTCAGGTGATCCACCCGCCTCGGCCTCCCAAAGTGTTGGGGTTACAGGCGTGAGCCACAGTGCCAGGCCTGTTTTGTCAGTTGATGGGCAACCTTAACTCCATCTGCAACCTTGCCGTGAAATCTAATACATTCATAGGTTCTAGGGATTAGGATGTGGACCACTTTTGGTTGGGGAGGCATTATTCTGCTTACCACAGTACCTATTCGGTGGTTATATGATGGTGAACTATCCTGGCATTCCTCTAACTGTGGCCGGTTGGTTTTGTAGGAGATCCTGTTGGAAAGCAACTGCAGCATGTAAGTCCCTTCCTTTTGCTGATGAGCAAGCCTCGCTCCATCCCCCAGCCTTCTCTTTCTCCCATTCCTGTCTCACCATGCCCTGGTCTTAAGAGTCACCCCTGGCATCTCTTGCCAGTTGATCCTAACTCTAAGTATACTTTAACTTTTAGTGATTTAAAAGGTCCAGTGGAGGGCTTCCTGGCTTGGAACCTGATTCTGGGAGGAGGAAGGGAAGCCTTTGGTCAGGAAGGGGAATGGAGGTTTATGCAAGGCCCCTCTGCTTATGCCTGACACGTTTCCTTTTGTCGGAGTCTGAGCTTGGGAGGTTCGATGCTGACACCTGTGTTTGACAGGTCCTGGAACATTAGTCACCCCCAACTCTCTGATAAACTGTTTGGGAAGAATGGAGTGTTGGAGGAGCAGAAATCTCCAGGTAAGTTAGGCTGGGGGATTCGCTGGTGCTGGGACTCTCATCCTACAACTTGGATTCCAGTTAATGGTTCCCAGTCTGCCCAGTTTCTGTTCAATGTGAAACTTGGGATCTGCCTAGATTCTGCTCTTCCTCCAGTCAGCCACCATGTTTCCTGTCTCATAGTGGATGTGGCGCCTGCCACTGCTGCGATGCAGACCCTTACTCCCTGGTGCACCCGCTGCTCCTAACCCCGTGCTTCTGTTTCATTTGTGCCTTCTTCCAATTTTCCCTCTACCATCTCCAAAGTGATCTTTCTGAAACCCAGGTCTATTGACACCTCCCCAACCCGGTTACAGCCCTCACCCGTATCACCCAGCCAGTGGAATAAACTGTGACTGCTGTGGTACAGCCTTTCATTATTTCATAGTTTGGCCTCACCTCCCTTTCTAGCCTCCTCTCTCACCACTCACTGCATGCAGTGTGCAATCCACCTGGCACCTAGTCCTGGCTATGAGCAATTTCCCAAATGTGCTCAGCTTTTTTGTATCTCCATGTCCTGGCATGGGCTGTTCCCTCTGCCTGGATTCCCTTCAGCCTCCCTCCTGCATTCCCCTGGGCCCCTGCGTGCTCCCCACTCTCAGCTTAGTGTTAACTCGGGAAGCACAACCCCGTGGGTCCCGAAACACTTCATAATACCTCTCGTTGAAAGCGCTGGATTCCTGGTGTGCCCATGGCTCTAGGTCCCTGCAGAGTGATCCCCTGCTGGGAAGGCAGGGGTATGCATGGCCAGCACTTCCCATGGACCACTTCTTAATATTGATAAGTATTGCTGAATGATTGGGTACAGTATAGCCATTCAGTGTTCATGGGGGTGGGAGGATGTTTGTAGGGGTGTATGTGCATGGGAATATTTTAACATTGAAGAAAAAGTGAAGCCAGGTACAGTGGCTCACGCCTGTAATTCCAGGACTTTGGGAGACTGAGGTAGGAGGATTGCTTGAGCCCAGGAATTTGAGACCAGACTGGGCAACATAGAGAGACCCTGTCTCTATCCTGTATTCTGACTCCTCTGAATCCTCTAACCGTATGTATGCCTGCCATTTAATGCTGTTTTTCTTCTTAGGATTCAAGAAAAGAGAGACAGAGGTGTATGTTGGCAATCTTCCACTGGATATTTCTAAGGTATTTATTCTTCACAATAGGCTGCTTATCTTCCTTGGCCTTCCCATATGACTTAGTAACCTGCTAGTAACTTAATTTCCCCAGTTTTTAAAGACGTTTGAGAGCTATGATAGTGCAGACAGTCACTCGTTGGTGACTAGGGTAACCAATGCATCACAGTTTGCCTTGGACTTTCCCAGTTTTAGCACTGAAATTCTAATTTGACATCCTGGACAGTTAGTCCCACTCTTTATCCCTGTATACCTGGATGGTTGGTCAGCCTTCTTGTCATTTTGGGTTGAGGTAGCTTCTTTTTAGGAAGGGACCTTGTTAGGGCTCAGCTGCTGATCCTTTGGTAATGGGGAGCAGTTGGTTTCAGCCAAAAAAAATGACACCTATTTGACTGTTAAATGAGCTGGTTCAGTCAGTGCTGTGTTAGTGGGACTTAGAGAGTAGAATGTAAGCAATCGTATTTTTGACCCCAGGCACCTTACTGTCTATTTGGAGAGGCCAGACCAACAAACCTGAAATAATTATAAAACAATATAAGTGCTTAAATTTTGTAGTAAGTGTATTCGAAATACAGATGAAAGGAGAATGAAAGTGTGATCTATTGAATTGAAGCACCTCCTGACTTTTTTTTTTTTTTTTTGGCATCTACTACATGCAAAATATTGTGCCTGCAGTCTGGCATGCTTAAAGATAAACAACCTAGTCCTTGCCCTCAAGGAGCTCAATCCTGGAAGAAGGATGAGAGAAACTAACCTTTGTGGAACCCCTGCAGCATGCCAGACATTTTTCAAAATTTTCTTGTCTCCATTTTCCCTTGCTAACCAGTTCCACTCAATCATCTCTGCCTCGTTGTACCTTATTCCTTTACACTATTTACTATATTTTAACTGTCAGGCATGCTCTAGGAAAGAAGCTAAATGCTTTATTCATGTGGTTTTATTAAATTATTATTGTAACTCTGGGTGGTGGTAATGCCCCCATCTTGGAGATGAGGCAGCCAAGGCTCTGAGAGGTCACGTCCCGCAGCTAAGTACACAGACCTAGTGAGTGGTCAGCCAGGAGTGGAATCCAGGCTCAGTTGCTCCCAAGTCCCATGTTCTTTGCTTTGTGCCAAATCATGTAACCGATAAGATATGGAAATAACTCACCAAATAAAAGATGGACCATTATGTTTTGTCTGACAGAAGAAAATGTTATTGGAGCATAGTAAATCATTGTGATCCAATAAATGAAATCATATTCAATCAAAGGGGCAGGTTGGGGGATTCCTGGCACCTGATAGACGAGCCTACTAGGGCTGGTTTTCCTCCCCCATTTTGGCAGGCTGGTCCAACCTGTTACTTGACAGTGAAGTGGGCAGAGGAGCCCTACATGTGGTTCCTGCAGTGGTCTGGGGAGGTAAGATGCTGAGCAGTTCTGCCACCTCTCTCTTCCCCCCTCCCCAGTAGACCCCATTCCAGAGCCCAGCACCTGGGGCTTGCTTGGCCATACTGTCCCACACCATGGTAAGGGAACGTTTCATCCTTGTCCCCTTCGCAGAAAGCGGCAGCCCCTACCCATAGTGCCTTCTTTCGACTCAAACTCAGCCTCATAGGAAAGATTTGAGCTGTGCTTTAGAGAAGGAGTAGGGTTTTAAAAAGAAATTTCTAGACCAGGCATGGTAGTTTACAGCTATAATCCCAGTACTTTGGGAGGCTGAGGCAGAAGGATCACTTAAGTCCAAGGAGTTCAAGACCAGCCTAGGCAACATAGCGAGACCACATCTCTTAAAAAAAAAAAAAAAAAAAATTTTGAATGGTAACATTAATGCCCTGTCAACTGTCAAGAACTGTGAAATGGGCTGGGTGCGGTCGTTCATGCCTGTAATCCCAGCACTTTGGGAGGCTGAGGCGGGCAAATCACAAGGTCAGGAGATCGAGACCATCCTGGCTAACACGGTGAAACCCCGTCTCTACTAAAAATACAAAAAATTAGACGGGTATGGTGGTGGGCACCTGTAGTCCCAGCTACTCGGGAGGCTGAGGCAGGAGAATGGCATGAACCTGGGAGGTGGAGCTTGCAGTGAGCCAAGATCGTGCCACTGCACTCCAGCCTGGGCGACAGAGCGAGACTCCATCTCAAAAAAACAAAAACAAAAACAAAAAAACTGAAACGTCTAAGATTTTACCCTGATTACAAACTAACAAATTGGCCTGCAGCAGTTTCCAGGTTTCTGGTAGAAGACACGAGAATCTTGGGTCAGAGTTGAAAGATCATCTACTACAGTAGCCAGTATTTTAAAAAAACTTTTCAGGCCAGGCGCGGTGGCTCACGCCTGTAATTCCAGCGCTTTGGGAGGCTGAGACGGGTGGATCACGAGTTCAGGAGCTCGAGATCATCCTGGCTAACACGGTGAAACCCTGTCTCTACTAAAAATACAAAAAATTAGCGGGGCATGGTGGTGGGCGCCTGTAGTCCCAGCTACTCGGGAGGCTGAGGCAGGAGAATGGTGTGAACCCGGGAGGCGGAGCTTGCAGTGAGCTGAGATTGCGCCACTGCACTCCAGCCTGGGAGATAGAGCGAGACCCTGTTTCAAAAAAAAAAAAATTTAAAATATATATAATATTTACATATCTTAAAATTTACCATTAACTTTTTTGTTTGTTTGTTTGAGACAGGGTCTCATTTTGTCACCCAGGCTGGAATGCAGTGATGCGATCTCAGCTCACTACAGCCTCTGCCCTCAAGGCTCAAGCAATCCTCCCACCTCAGCCTCCTATGTAGCTGGGACCACAGGTGTGCACCACCATGCCTGGCTATTTTTTTGTGTTTTTAGTAGAGATGGGGTCTCACCATGTTGCCCAGTCTGGAAAATTTATTGTTTAAAAATGTACAATTCAGGCCGGGCGTGGTGGCTCATGCCTGTAATCCCAGCACTTTGGGAGGCCGAGGTGGCCGGATCACTTGATGTCAGGAGTTTGAGACCAGCCTGGTCAACATGGTGAAACTAATAATACTAATAATACAAATATTACTAATAATACAAATTATTACTAATAATACTAAATAATACAAAAATTACTAATAATACAAATAATACTAATAATACAAAAATTGGCCGGGTGCAGTGGCTCACACCTGTAATCCCAGCACTTTGGGAGGCTGAGGTGGGCAGATCACAAGGTCAGGAGTTCGAGACCAGCCTGGCCAACGTGGTGAAACCCCATCTCTACTAAAATACAAAAAATTAGCTGGGAGTGGTGGTGCGTGCCTGTAGTCCCAGCTACTCGAGAGGCTGAGGCAGGGGAATCACTTCAACCCGGGAGCTGGAGGTTGCAATGAGCCGAGATTGCGCCATTGGACTCCAGCCTGGCAACAGAGCAAGACTCCATCTCAAACAACAACAGCAATGCAACAAAAAACAAAAATTAGCCAGGCGTGGTGGCACACACCTGTAATCCTAGCTACTCAGGAGGCTGAGGCACAAGAATCACTTGAACCCAGGAGACAGAGGATGCAAGTGAGACGAGATCATGCCACTGCACTCCAGCCTGGGTGACAGAGTGAAACTGTGTCTGAAAAAAAAAAAAGTACAATTCAATTATTAATATATTCACAAGATTGTGCAGCTATTAATCCTAATTCCTGAATATTTTCATCACCCCCAAAATAAACCTCATACTCATTAGCGGTCCTTTGCCTTCGCCCTTCCTCCCAGCCCCTGGTAACCATGAATCTACTTTCTGTCTCTTAAGGATTTCCTATTCTGGACATTTTATATCAATAGAATCATACAATGTCGAATTTTGTGTTTTCTTTCACTAAGCATGTTTTCAGTGTTCATTTGTGTTAGAGTGTGTCTTAGTACTTTGTTCCTTTTTTGTTGTTGTTGTTGTTTGTTTTTGTTTTTAAGACGGAGTTTCACTCTTGTTGCCCAGGCTGGAGTGCAATGGCTCGATCTTGGCTCACTGCAACCTCCATCTCCCAGGTTCAAGAAATTCTTCTGCTTCAGTCTCCCGAGTAGCTGGGATTACAGGCATGCACCACCATGCCTGGCTAAATTTGTATTTTTGGTAGAGATGGGGTTTCTCCATGATGGTCAGGCTGGTCTTGAACCCCTGACCTCAGATGTTCCGCCTGCCTCAGCCTCCCAAAGTGCGGGGATTACAGGCGAGAGGTACTGCACCCGGTGACTTTTTCCTCTTTTAAGATGCATATCTTCTAGCTGTGTCTACTGAGAGACATTGGAGCTCTGATTACCCAGTAGCAGTAACACTCCTGGCCCATAGATTATGTTCTTTCCTGCTAAAGAGAACCAGGCCTTCTTAGAGAAATGGCTGATTCCAGATCTGGAGCTGTTATACCAGAAAGCTATCAAAGACTATTGAAGTTTGAATGAAAAGACAGAGGAGGTTTTATTCAGGGGTGGTTTATTTAGAGGTGGTGTTCTTAATTCTTGGAGTTTGTGCTGAAGTGTTTGCATGTGAAGCAATGTGGTGTTTGAGATTTGTTTCAGAATAGCCTAGTGGCCGGGAGAGATGTTATGATGAAACGGGAATGGCCATGAATTGAGAATTGCTGAGGCTGCTGAGTGATAGGCATATAGGGATTTGTAATACTATTTTATCTATTTTTGTTCTGATTTGAAAGTTTCCAAATAAAAAGACACAAGAGCAAGCAAAGAGGGTGTCCCATGCACCAAAGACGGAGCAATTTGAGCATCACGTACTACATTTGATTAAAATTCACCAATGATTTTAAAAAGCATTAATTTGTAGTGGTGTCTAAAGAAAAATAACACTGGACACAACTGAAAATGGAAAGATAATGGTTCATTAACATAAAACTTGATAATTAAAGAGAAGGAAGAAGTATTTATCTTGCTTTTCCAACACCAATGTAATAGCATTTTCAGAGCAAACAATCCTAGTGAATGAGAGAAAGTTCTTTACAGAAGAACTCTAGCTCATAAATGCAGAAGAAATGATAGAATTAGAAAATGACCATTGTGCAAACCCCAGTAAGATACCTGTTTCAGACAGTGGTTATCTGAGCTTGCTTAATTCATTAGGTAAAGTATTGATGGGCAGTTTTACAATGGATGGATTAGGATGTTACCATTTGAACTTGCTGACTAATTTTAGCCTCACTAAAAATGAGATAACCAGATATGAGCCCCCTAAAAAGTGATGCAAGATAAAGGCGACCACAGCATTTTAAAGTATTCCTATACTTTAAAAACCACCTATACTTTAAAAAACACCTATGCTAGTCAAGCTCTATAGCAGATTTGTAGTCAAAAGGAAATATAGGGAATAGAAGACCAAAATAATGCCGCCATAAAGCAGCAGCACTCTTGTCTATAGAACAGCTGACCTGATTTCTAGAACAATTCAGTCACGGAAAAATTAAAGTAGATCTGATAGAGATTTAAGGAGATTTAGAAGAGACTTAGGGGCTGTGTTTGGTGGCTCACGCCTGTAATCCTAGCAGTTTGGGAGGCCAAGGCGTGTGGATCACCTGAGGTCAGGAGTTTGAGACCACCCTGGCCAGTGTGGTGAAACCTCGTCTCTACTAAAAATACAAAAATTAGCCAGACACGGTGGCGGGTGCCTGTAATCCCAGCTACTCAGGAGGCTGAGACAGGAGAATTGTTTGAACTGGGGAGGCGGAGGTTGCAGCGAGCTGAGGTCACGCCACCGCATTCCAGCCTGGGTGACAAAGCAAGACTCTGTCTCAAAAATAAAATAAAATAGAAGAGACTTAGAAATGATAACGAAATACAATGATAGCCTTTGTCTTGATCCCGTTTTGGACAAAACAACCACAAAAAGACATTTCTGAGACAATTGGTGAGGTTTACCTGTTGATAGTAAGACATTATTGTTTTTCTTAGTTTGATAATGGTCTAGTGAGAAAATGCCTCTTTGAGGAGTAGGCTAAAGTATTTAAGGGTGAGATGACAGAATGCCCAGGATTCTGTAAGACACTGGTGAACAAGGGGTGGAAAGACAGGGGAAACACACGGAATGGGGGTGCTGGTAGAAGCATGGTGATGGGCTTGTGGGAGTTCATTGTACTCTCTACTTCTGTGTATGTTTGGAATTATTTTATAACAAAAAGTTACCTCCATCCAGAACCTGGCACCTATTGTCATGCCACTGCTCGCACCCCGGCCAACCCACTGCTGTCCCACCTGTATTACTGCCAGGGATCTTAGTTCATTTGTTTTTTTGTTTGTTTGTTTGTTTTTTGAGACAGGGTCTTGCTCTGTCACCCAGGCTGGAGTGCAGTGGTGCAGTTATGGCTCACTGCAGCCTCGACCTCCCGGGCCCAAGCAAGCCCCCTATCTCGGCTTCCCATGTAGCTGGGACCACAGGAACACATCACCATACCCAGCTTATTTATTTATTTATTTATTTATTTTTTTTTTTGAGACGGAGCCTTACTCTGTTGTCCAGGCTAGAGTGCAGTGGCGTGATCTCGACACACTGCAGCCTCCGCCTCTTGGGTTCAAGCGATTCTCCTGCCTCAGCCTCCTGTGTAGCTGAGGTTACAGACGTGCACTACCACACCTGGCTAATTTTTGTATTTTTAGTAGAGACGGGGCTTCACCATATTGGCCATGCTGGTCTCGAACACCTGACCTCAAATGATCCACCCACCTCAGCTTCCCAGAGTGCTGGGATTATAGGAGTGAGCCACCACGTTCAGCCTCTGGCTAATTTTTATGACAGGATTTCGCCATGTTGCTCAGGCTGGTCTCAAACTCCTGGGCTCAAGTGATCTGCCTGCCTCGGCCTCCCAAAGTGCTGGGATTACAGGTATGAGCCACCGCACCCAGCCAGCTCTTCTTGCTTCTTCCCTGCTCCCCTGCAGTCTAATCTTAACATAGCAGCCAGAGTGATCCCATAAAGTGGCAAGCAGGTCTTGGCCCCCCTCCACTCAGAAGCCTCCAGTGGCTTCCCTTCTTATTTAGGAAGAGCAGAATCCCTTGCGGCCCTGTGTGAACCGCTCCCTGTGCCCGCCTCACTCCTGCCTTCTTCCTTGTTTGCTCCACAGCAGGCTCTCTGGCCTCCTTGTTCAGCCCAGAACCTGCCATAGGGCCTTGCACCTATGGCACTGCTCTGCTTCGGAGGTGGCCTTCTCAGAGGCCCTCCCCGGCTCTTCTCCCTCAGTTGCAGCCCCCATTCTTCCTGTCCTTCCTGCTCTGTGTCTCCTTAATACTTTCCACCATCGAACTCACCACACCTGCTGCTTACTCCTCTTTTTTATTTTTTGAGATGGAATTTCGCTCTTGTCACCCTGGCTGGAGTACAATGGCATGATCTTTGCTCACTGCCACCTCTGCCTCCTGGGTTCAAGCGATTCTCCTGCCTCAGCCTCCTAAGTAGGTGGGATTACAGGCACCTGTCACCACACCCAGCTAATTTTTGTATTTTTTTAGTAGAGGCGGGGTTTCACCATGTTGGCCAGGCTGATCTCAAACTCCTGACCTCAGGTGATCTGCCTGCCTCGGCCTCCAGAAGTGCTGGGATTACAGGCATGAGGCACCGTGCCTGGCCACCTGCTACTTACTCCCCTTAGTGATGATCTCTTCCCCATAAAAGATGAGCCCAGCAGGGCTCTGCTTTCTGCACCTAACACATTTCTAGCACAGAGTGGGCACCTAATAAGTATCTATTGAATGAAAGAGTGAGAGGAAGTGAAGATAGCATAGATGACTTTTTCAAGGATTTTAGTCAAAAAGAAGAGTAGGAAGATGAAGTGGTAGCAGGAGGGGTGTATGGGGTCCAAGGCGTTATGTGTAATAAGTATTAATATGGCGAGTTTGTATGCTCATCCAGTGGAGAGGGAAACAGGTGCTGGAAAGAGAGGAGCTGATTTAGCGGCAGAGGCTTCGAGAAGGTGGGAAGGAAGGGATCGGGGCAGGGACAAGTCTTCCACATAGGGGGATGAGTACAGATATGGGGGTGGTGGGAGAATGGAAGTTCTCCTTTGGTTGCTTCTCTTTTCTCAGTGAAGTAAAAATCAGGGTTCTCTGCTGAATAGAAAGGATGTGCAAAGTGTGTGCGGTAGTTTTTTCTGGGAGACTGGGGGGCTGATGATGAGGAATAGGTAGTAGGAATGCCATGAAGTACTGGACATCAGGTAGTGATTGCAGTGATAGACCCTGGCACCTAAGCTGGTTAACGAGCACAGCAGGGGCCAGGAGCATTGCACGGTAGCTCACGCCTGTCATCCCAGCCCTTTGGGAGGCCCAGGTGGGTGGATTGCTTGAGCTTAGGAGTTTCAGATTAGCCTGGGCAACATGACAAAACCCCATCTCTACGAAGAATACAGAAGTGAGCCAGCCATGGTGGCACATGCCTGTAATCCCAGCTACTTGGGAGGCTGAGGTGGGAGGTTGGCTTGAGCCTGGGAGGCAGTGGCTGTAGTGAGCCAAGATCATGCCACTGCACTCCAGCCTGAGCAACAGAGCCAGACCCTGACTCAAAAAAAAAGGCACAGCAAGGACATTGTAGGTTCGGGTGGGACAGGACGGCTAGGAGAAAAGGGTCAGAGTCAGGAGTTTGCAGGAGGGTGGAAAGTGGTGGAGCCTGAAGGGTCACAGTACTGGGGAGTGTAGTTGGAGAACCAGAGGTGTGAGTGGGAAACATAGGAGGGGGTCAGAGAGCATGGGGTTCAAAGCTGTCATTTGGGGGTAGGCATTGGGAATGACCATGTCTGGGGTATGCCCTGGAAATCAGGGAGCTGAGGTGCTGGGCAGGTGGTTGTTGATCCCTTACCTTCTGTCTGCATATTTGTCTGTGGCTTGCTTTGATCATGTCCATGTTGGCATGTGCAGCTCTAGGCAGTAATTTTGGCTGTTACAATATTCTTTTGTATGAACCTACCACAGTGTGTTTACCTGCAAATAGACATTCCAATTCTTAGGTTGTACCTTATGAAATAGCTGATATTAGACCTTTTTTTTTTTTTTTTTTGAGACGGAGTCTCGTTCTTGTTGCCCAGGCTGGAGCGCAATGGTGCGATCTCGGCTCACTGCACCCTCTGCCCCCTGGGGTTTAAGGGATTCTCCTGCCTCAGCCTCCCAAGTAGCTGGGATTACAGGCATCCGCCACCACGCCTGGCTAATTTTGTATTTTTAGTAGAGACGGGGTTTCACCATGTTGGTCAGGCTAGTCTCAAACTCCTGATCTCAGGTGATCTGCCCACCTCAGCCTTCCAAAATGCTAGGATTACAGGCATGAGCCACCGCGCCCGGCTTGGACCATTTTTTTAATCTGCAAAATCATCAATTTCACATGGCTCACACTAATATTTTCCTAGTTTTTGCTTCCTCAAGCAGAGCTTCAGTGAACCGGCTTGTACGCATATCGGTGTGCGAGGTGCGAGTGCCTCTGGGACCTGTACTTAGGTGCAGGGCATCAGGGCCACACGGTCCTCACCGCTGGACCAGGAAGGGGACTGACTTGCACTCCCACCAGCAGCACAGGGTTCCTCTATCATGAATGTTTGGTGTTGTCCAACTGTTAAATTGCTGCCAGTTGGACGGGCATGAAATTACTTAGCACATAGGTGAGTGCAGTAACCTCCTGCCTGTCTGGCACAAAGTCAGTGGTCCATAAATGCTGATGCCTTAACTAATAGCAGGCTATCGATCCCTTAAACCATGTGGTTGGCGGTGATTGACTGGAAGGGATGTGTCTTTAAGTGAAATAGGTTAAAAGCAGAAGGTGCAGTATGATTTCATGATATTTATAGTAGATGTGCAGTGTTCATATTTTGGTGGCAGAATTATGGACAATACTTCTAGTTTGCTTATCTGTGTTTTTAAAAATATTCTACAACAAACATTCAATGTCTTTGTAATTTAAAAAATCCTAATAAGTTACTTTTATGATTTAAAATGAGATATGCACGAGGCAATTTTAGCTTAATGTACCAAGCCTCCTTTCAAATCTATAATTGATCAAAACTTTTTTTTTTTGAGACGGAGTCTTGCTCTGTCACCCAGGCTGGAGTGCAGTGGTGCGATCTCGGTTCACTGCAAGCTCCACCTCCCGGGTTCACGCCATTCTCCTGCCTCAGCCTTCTGAGTAGCTGGGACTGCAGGTGCCCGCCACCACGCCCGGCTAATTTTTTTTGTATTTGTAGTAGAGACGGGGTTTCACCGTGTTAGCCAGGATGGTCTCTATCTCCTGACCTCGTGATCTGCCTGCCTCAGCCTCCCAAAGTGCTGGGATTACGGGCAGGTGAGCCACTGTGCCCAGCCACATAGTAAGTACTTCATGCGTTGAAGGCCACTGTAGCCTGAAAGCAGCTGTAAACAATGAGTGAATGGATGTGCATGGCTGTGTTCCAATAAAACTTTATTTACAAAAAAAGGTGGTGGACTGGATTTGGCCCAAGGTTATGGTTTACTGATAACTGCCAAAATACTAGTTTTCTATTTTATTTTAGTAATGGTAAAACCTGAGAAGAAAACTATGGCTTTGCACAATATAATGGAAAAAAAATGTAGGATTTGAAGAGTCTGGAGTTCAAGTCCTAATTCTAAATTGGCTATATAGCCATAGAGACGTCATTTAACCTCTCTGATCCTTATTTTATGCCTCTGTGCAATGAGTATAGTAATAATGTGTACTTTATAGGGTGGTTGTGAAAACCAAATGGAATAAAGGATATGAAAGTGCTTGGTAAACTGAAAATGCTAAGCACACATTGCTCGTTCTCACGAATTGCTTGTTCAGCATCTTTTAGATTCATGTGTAATAAACATTAAATATTTAAGAGTAAAGCAAATTAGAAAATTTGCATGTAAATATAATATAAACATGAAGACTGAGAAAAATGAGTTATACATAATGCATTTCTATTTTCCTAAGCCAACAAAGTGACTTTGGAAGATGGTATAAATATCATTTTTTTCCAAAATAGGGTTTTCCAGAGAAAAATTGGTTTTCATCATGGTTGTGAAATTTTATAATCATTAACACTCTTGTGGGGAAGCCAAGGAAGGAGGAAGTATTGAGGGGTGCAGGCAGGAGGTGAAAGAGCTGAACCTGAAGTGAAGCCATCACAGTGGGCAGCGAGTGCATGTCTGTGACCTGCAAGAAAGCATTTCAGTAGGGCTGGAACCAGCCTAGCGCAGGCAGTCAGGAGGGAGTGGGCAGGGAGGAAATGGAGGCATTAGGTGGAGACGGCTCTTTCTACAAGTTTGGCAGAAAAGAGAAAAAATAGGGTGTAGTTCAAAAAGGCCTCAGGGTGGCATAGACCTTATCATAAAGCGGGGGAGGTTGGTGCCTCTGTGGAGACACCAACCCAAGCCCGCGGAGCAGGATGGGGAGGAGGGGATGGGGTGAGGAAGACGGCCTGAGGGCAGACTAGGAGAGGAGAAGGGTGTGGGGAAATGTTCCGGGAAGAGGAAGGGAACCATATCCCCGGGCAGAGGCCAGGCAGGGTTGAGAAGCAGTGAGGAGGAGGTACTCGCAAAGCTGTGGAAGTCACTTCTTCCTGGGAGCATACCCTGACCACCTCCTTTCCCTCCAAATCTGGATTAAATGACAGGCCGTGTGCGCCCATAGCCAGCTGTATGTGCAGTGATGAAACGGTGTGTTTAGTTAATTGTCTTGTCTGCATCGCTGCTTGGCTGGTGAGCTTCACTGAAGACAGGGCTGTGGCCTTTCTTGCCTATCCTACAAAACATGGCACGTACAGCACATAATAGATCCTCATTAAGTATGAGTTAAATTGAGTCCAGACTAGCTGGCTGGGGATCTGAAACCTTGAGAAGTGGTTGTAAGTTATGTCTCTGGGTCTCTCTCTTTTAAACCCTGCTGTTGTAGGAGGAAATTCTGTACCTTCTAAAGGACTTCAACCCTCTTGATGTCCACAAAATCCAGAATGGCTGCAAATGGTAATGACTGTTCTTTCTTTGTTTTCTTTGGGAAGCAGCTCCTTTCCTCCCTGTCCATTTTGCTGATGCACTCATGTTGCAGACTAGCCCAGCAACCGCCACGTCCACACCCACTCTGACTTGGCAAAGGAACATTTGGGAAACCCCCTTTCCATATTTAACCCTGTGACCCAGCAGCGAATACTGTCTTATCAACACAACCCTGGCTTAGAAGTCCAGAGACCTGGGTATATTTTTGGTCATGTCCTTGCTGTATTTTCTGACTTGAGATAAGTTACTATACCACCCTAAGCCTTAGTTGTTCCTGAAAACCAAACCTACTTATATTTTCCCTTTCTTATTTTCAAGGCAGTAAAAAGTGCTTTGAACGTTTGTTTGTTTGAGACAGGGTCTTGCTCTGTCGCTCAGGCCGGAGTGCTGTGGTGCAGTCTCGGCTCACTGCAACTTCCACCTCCTAGGCTTAAGCAATCCTCCCACCTCAGCCTCCGAAGTAGCTGGGACTACAGGTGTACACCACCACATCCGGCTAATTTTTGTATTTGTTTGTAGAGATGGGGCTTTGCTATGTTGCCCAGACTGGTCTGGAACTCCTGGGCTCAAGCGATCCGCCTGTCTTGGCCTCCCAAAGTGCTGGGATTGCAGATATGAGCCACCACACCTGGCTTGCTTTGAACTTTTGGGGCAGTAGTATTAAACTCAAAGTCATAGACATACGATGCATAGTGAAAGTCAGCTCATTTCTTCTGCTCCTTAGAGGCCCATGACAGTATCTCACACTGGCCCAGCCCCAAGTCTGGACATACTTGTAGCTTGCTTGTGAACAGTTCATCTTCCATCACTGCAGAGAGAAAGGACACTGGCCTTCCAGCTTGGGCTTGGTGCCTCCCTGCAGCTCTGGGCTTCTCTGGAGATGTGCTCAAAGCCTCCCTCTCTCTCTTCCCTTTTCAGCTTTGCATTTGTAGATCTGGGCTCCATGCAGAAAGTGACACTTGCAATCCAGGAGCTGAATGGTAAACTCTTCCACAAGCGAAAACTGTTCGTGAATACAAGCAAAAGGCCCCCCAAGAGGACCCCTGATATGATCCAGCAGCCTCGGGCCCCGCTGGTATGTCTTCTGGCCTTTCTGCTCTGGGGCGTTCCATTTTCACCCTTTAGAGCGTGGCTGACTTTGCTTTCAGTGCTTTCATCCTCCTCCAGTCCAGTCTGACTGTGGAGAAGAAGGCAGGGTCTCGGGTGAAGTCAGGGAACTTTTATGACCTTTAACAGTCAGAGGTAAGGTCAGATGTGGAAAACTTGGAATTTGTAAATTAAGGAGACTATATTTTTGGCAAGGATAAAAAGGGCCATTAGGCAATTCAGTCAGGGCTTTTTCAACCTGGAATATTGAAACTTAGGTTTTCATTGTTAATGTAGCAGACATTGAGTGTCTACTGTTTGTACAGCCTTGTTCTGGCTGCTGGTGTGAAGTGTAAGACAAAAGTCAATAAAATCCAGCTCTTCCTGGCAGGAAGATAAACGTTGCCAAATATGAGGTATGGGGGGCAGTTAATGGTGGAGGCTGCCTCTGCAAGCAGAGAAGATAAGGTCCATAACTAACCCCTGGGAGCTTCCCTCAAAAGGAGGAGGGCCCATTCTCCGTATGCAGAGGTGAACCAGGAGAAAAAGATCCCATTCCAGAGCCTGAAGTGTTAGTGCTAGAAGCCGACTTGGCTGCACATACGAGGAAATCTGAACAATAGTAGCTTAAACAAGTTAGCGATTTGTTTTTCTTTCCTATAGAAGTCAGGAGGTAGGGAGTCCAGGGTTGCTATATGGTGGTATCAGGGTTCTAGGCAGGAAGAAGGGGAGAAGCAGAGGGCAAAAGGGGCCTGTGTCCTCTTAAAAGGTGCATTTTCCAGAAGCCCTGACCACAGTTCTGCTTGTGTTTCACTGGATGTCCCCGTAACTCATGGCCTTAAGTGCACAGATGCTGAGAGATGTAGTTTTAAAAGATAGACACATTGTTGCTAAACTTGGGGTTCTGTCAGCAAGGAAGCAGAGCATGCATATGGCTGGCAGTTAACAAGGTCAGCCACAAAGCTGGAGAGGTTGGAGGTGGAAGCCGAGAGATGGGTTGGAATTATTGACTACAGTCAGATTTTCAGAGGTGGCCCAGGCGCACTGGCTCACACCTGTAATCCCAATGCTTTGGGAGACCGAGGCAGGAGGATGGCTTAAAGCTAGGACTTTGAGACCAACCTAGCCAACATAGCAAGACCCCATCTCTATAAACAGGAAAAAAAAAGATTGTCAGAGGTGACTCCCTTTGCTAATTTCAAACTCTTTCTCTTCCTTTCTCTCTTAAGCCCTCTTTGAAAGGGCAGACTGTCAGACTATACTGCTTAGGAACCTTCCTGGCAGCAGTTGTCTGCTCTTCTCTGTGTTATGCCCTTCACTGAAAACTTCAGCTTCTGGCTCATTATCTTTCTGTCTTATTATCATGCAAATTTAGCATCCATGTGGATGATTCGACTAAGAGTCCAGTCACTTACTTCCTGGACCATTGTATCTTTTTTTTTTGAGACAGGGTCTCATTCTGTTGCCCAGGCTGGAGTGCAGTGGAGTTATCTCAGCTCACTGCAACCTCTGCCTCCTGGGTTCAAGGGATTCTCCCACCTCAGCTGGGACTACAGGTGTGAACCACCATGCCTGGCTAATTTTTATATTTTTTCGATAGAGACAGGGTTTCACCACGTTGACCAGGCTGATCTCGAACTCCTGACCTCAAATGATCCGTCCACCTCAGCCTCCCAAAGTGCTGGGATTACAGGCATGAGCCACTGCACCCCACCTGGATTGTTGTGTCTTCCTAATGATTTTTTCTTCCACTTGGTCACAGTTTCTCATCCCCCTAGCTGTATTTCAGACCTTGTGATTGCTGTAACCATTTCAAGCATCCCACTCTGCGCTGTCCCCCAGTCTTTGCAGCTCTCTTACTCTGGAAGAATGGTTCTCAAGCTTTAACAAGCATCAGAATCAACAAAAGGGTTTGTGAACACAGTTTTCTGAGCCCTAGCCCCAGCGATTCTGACTCAGTACATGTAGGGTAGGGCCTGGGAATTAGCACAAGCTTCAGGTGGTGCTGATGCTCCTGGCCCTGGGACCACATTTTAGTAGCAAGGCTCTACAGCCTCAGTCCAACAGTTGATGCATTGGCTCACGTAGGCACACAAAGTCTGCTGACCCCACCATTTCTTCATTATTCAATATTCTCTTTGTTCTCTCATTTCCCTCTTAGCCTAGATTCTATAGTCAATAACTACCTTAGTTCAAACATCTTTAACTCCATTGCCCTTTTCTCACTAGGTTATAGCTTGCAGAACACTAATCCTAGTTGGACCCAGCCCTCTGCCTGTTCTGAACTCACCCTCTGAGCCCCTGAAGACATTCACACAACCTTGCTAACTGGTCTCAGTATATGTGCATGGTCACAGGCTTTCCCACTCTTCCAAACTGACCTGTTTTGGAATTCTCTGATCTTTTCTCCTCCTATGTCCAATCTGCTCTTAAGCCCATCTAATGAATGTTCTATTTTAGATATTTTTCAACTTCCATTTTATTCTTTTTTCCCATTTCTCTGCTGGACTTTTTCATCTTTTCACCTATTTTGTCTCTTTTTTAAGATTAACATTTTTATAATAGTTATTATAAAATCATTTTCTGCTAATTCCAACATTTGAGTCATTTGTGGATCTGCTTCTGTTGACATTTATCCCTTGATTATGGGTAAAATTTTCAGGCCCCTTTACAAATAGTTTTCTGTTTTTTCCTGAGACAGGGTGTTGCTTTGTTACCCAGGCTGGAGTGCAGTGGCTCAGTCATAGCTCACTGCAACCTCCACCTCTTGGGCTCAAGCCATCCTCCCACCTTAGCCTCCCTAGTAGCTGGGACTACAGGCATGCACCACTATGCCTGACTAATTTTTGTATTTTTTGTAGAAATGGGGTTTCGCCATGTTGCCCAGGCTGGTCTCGAACTCCTGGGCTTAAGTGATCTGCCCACCTTGGCCTCTCAAAGTGCTGGGATTATAGCCATGAGCTGAGCCACTGCACCCAGCCTATAGTAATTTTTTATTGTATGTTGGATATTATGGATGCTATATCATGGAGACTTCTATTACTGTCCTCTAAATGGTGTTGAAATTTTTCTAGCAAAGATTAAATTACTAGCAGATCTTTTATCCTATTAAGGGTTTTTGTGTGTGTGTCATAGTTAGGATTGGAATGTTCCATTGTGAGTCTTTTTCTTGGGTAACACCATTTTTCCTAAGACTTGGCTTTTGTAGGGTCTCAGGTGAGTGCTCCGGGTGCTTGCCAAGGTCTGTCCCCCTTGCTGGGTTGGAACTCCATTGTCTCCAGCACTGTGAGACCTCTGGCATCTGTGTCTCTCTCAGAGCCCTCTCCCCCACCTTCACAGCGACTGTTCTCTTTAAGGCCTCCCGGTACTTGTCCCACACCACGGACAGCTTAGGCCTCAACCAAGGACCTGAGGCAGACACCTAGATTCCTTGGACTTCTGTGTGGCTCCTTCCTCTCTGGTCCTCTGTCCCCAAATTCCTGTCACCTAAACTCTGTTGCTGCCCAATGAGACTGCCACTTTCTGCTTGGGCTCTGTTTCCCTTTGCTGTGGTTTGGGAAAATGCCCCCAGGCAGAAGGTCAGGGTGAATGTGGTGCTCACATGCTTTCCTTTGCTCAGGAAACAGCCCTCTGCCATTCACTCTCATTAGTCCTGTGCTGGAAATGGTGAGTTCCTGTATTTTGTCTAGTTTTAGAGTTGTTTGGGGTGAGAGTTAAGTTGTGTCATGCCAGAACCAGATACTGGGAAAGAGAATCATGGCTCTCACCTTTTTTTCTCTTGGGATAAAGATGATTTCCCAGTATTCCCACTGCTTTTAAATTAGAAATAAGTACACAAAAGCTGAACATAAAATCCCCATAAATGTGGACATTTAAAAGCATTCCTATGTAAACAACACATGGGTCAAAGAAGAATTTATAAAGAAACTTAAAAACACTTAGAACTGAATAATGAGGAAAATACTACCCCTGAAAAGTTTTGGGATATAGTGAAGGCAATATTTAGAGGTTCATCCAATCTTAGATGAGCAAAGAAGAAAGGTTGAATATTAATGAGCTAAGAGTTGATTGAAGAAGTAGGTAACAACATTTTAAAATCCAAATAGGAAGTAGACATTAATGGCCAGGCACGGTGGCTAACACCTGTAATCCCAGCTCTTTAGAAGGCCAAGGTGGGCAGATAATCTGAGGTCAGGAGTTCAAGACCAGCCTAGCCAACATGGCGAAACCCCATCTCTACTAAAAAATACAAAAATTAGCTGGGCATGGTGGTGGGTGCCTGTAATCCCAGCTACTTGGGAGGCTGAGGCAGGGAGAATTGCTTGAACCCCGGAGGCGGAGGTTACAGTGAGCTGAGATTGTGCCACTGCACTCCAGCCTGGGCAACAGAGCAAGATTCCGTCTCAAAAAAAAAAAAAAAAAAAAAAAAGAGGCTGGGCGTGGTGGCTCACGCCGGTAATCCTAGCACTTTGGGAGGCTGAGGCAGGTGGATCACAAGGTCAGGAGTTTGAGACCACCCTGGCCAATATGGTGAAACCCCATCTCTAATAAAAAAAATACAAAAATTAGCCAGGCGTGGTGGCGTGCACCTGTAGTCCCAGCTACTCGGGAGGCTGAGGCAGGAAAATTGCTTGAACCTGGGAGGTGGAGGTTGCAGTGAGCCAAGATTGTGCCACTGCACTCTGGCCTGGTGACAGAGTGAGACTTCATCTCAAAAAAAAAAAAAAAAGAAACTTGACATTATTGAAATAAAAAAAAAATCTAGCCAGGCCTACAGGCACTTTGGCAGGCTGAGGTGGTAGGATCACTGGAGCCTGGGAGGTGTAGTGAGTTATGATAATGCCACTTCACTCCAGCCTGGGCAACAGAGTGAGACCCTTTCTCTAAAAACAAACAAGCAAACAAAACCCAAAACAACTTTCACAGATTTTTTTTTTTTTTTTTTTTGAGACAAAGTCTTGCTCTGTCACGTGGCTGGAGTGCAGAGGCGCGATCTGAGCTTACTGCAACCTCTGCCTCCTGGGTTCAAATGAGAGCTTACTGCAACCTCTGCCTCCTGGGTTCAAACGATTCTCCTGCCTCAGTCTCTCGAGCAGCTGGGATTACAGCCACACGCCACCACGCCCAGCTAATTTTTGTATTTTTGTAGAGACAGGGTTTCACCATGTCGGCCAGGCTGATCTCAAACTCCTGACCTTGTGATCTGCCCTTCTTGGTCTCCCAAAGTGCTGGGATTACAGGTGTGAGCCACTGCGCCTGGCCTAATTTTTGTATTTTTTGGTATGGATGGGGTTTCACCATGTTGGCCAGGCTGGTCTGCAACTCCTGACCTCAAGTAATTACCCACCTCGGCCTCCCAAAGTGCTGGGATTACAGGCGTGAGCCACCGCACCTGGCCTGAATTTTTTTTTTATTTTTTTATTATTAATTATTTTTTAGACAGAGTCTCGCTCTTGTCACCCAGGCTGGAGTGCAGTGGCACAGTCTTGGCTAACTGCAACCTCCGCCTTCTGGGTTCAAGCAATTCTCCCTGCCTCAGCCTCCCAAGTAGCTGGGATTACAGGCACCTGCCACCACGCCCGCCTAGTTTTTGTATTTTTAGCATGGACAGGATTTCGCCATGTTGGGCAGGCTGGTCTAGAACACCTGACCTTAGGTGATCCGCCTGCCTCTGCCTCCCAAAGTGCTGGGATTACAGGCATGAGCCACTGCGCCTGGCCCTGAATTTTTTTAAATATTTGTTGAGTCTGTGGATGCAGAAACCACAGATACGGAAGACCAATTGTATTGGCTTAAGGCCAGACAGTTTGACCAATAAAATATAATCGAGAACTCAAAAAGAGGCTCATTCGTACACAGAAACTATTATTCAGGTAGAGTGGTAGATCTCTGGGGAAAGGATACACACTTCAGTAAATTGAACTGGGACAATTGCTTATTCATGTAGAAAACTGTGAAACTGTATCCCTACCTTATCCCACGCACAAAAATACTAGGTGGATTATAAACTTGGCAGTGAAAGGCAAAACTTAAAAACTTTTAGAAGAAATGTAGCAGAATATCTTTACGATCTCAGTGAGGATGATCTTATCAGATGTCCTACTGGATATGATCTCAGATAGAATGAGATTTGTCAAGGCATAAAGCATCAGGTGAAAAAAAAAGATGGATAAGTTAAAATAAAGACCACCTCTTTGAAAGTTGATGTATAAAGAAAGATAAATTCAAGCCAAGAACTGGGAGAAGATATTTGCAATAATATAACTAACAAAGGATCAGGAAAGGTGTCATAGACTTTGGCCAGTGATTCAAATATGGCCTACTGCCCATTTTTATACTGCTGGCAAGCTAAAAATGTTTTTTTTAATTACACTTTTTATTTTGAGATTAATAGCAGATTCACATACAATTGTAACAACAATACAGAAAGATCTGGTATACTCTTTATCCAGTTTCTCCCCAGTGGTAACATCTTACAAAAACTATCACAACCAGGATAGTAACATTGACCCAGTCCAGATACAGAACATTTTACTTTTTGTCTTTTGTTTGTTCTATAGTTTTTGTTTCTTTGTTTTCCTGAGGCTTACTTGAACATTTTTTAGAATTCCATTTCTTGGCTGAGTGCAGTGGCTTCATGCCTGTAATCCCAGCACTTTGGGAGGCCAAGGTGAGGCCAGAAGTTCGAGAACAACCTGGTCAACATAGGGAAACCTCGTCTCTTAAAAAAAAAAAAAAAAATTTTTTTTTGAGATGGAGTCTTGCTCTGTTGCCCAGGCTGGGAGTGCAGTGGCGTGATCTTCATTCACTGGACAACCTCTGCCTCCTGGGTTCGAGATTCTCCTTCCTCAGCCTCCCTAGTAGCTGGGACTACAGGCGTGCACCACCACGCGCAGCAAATTTTTTTGTGTTTTTACTAGAGACGGGGTCTCGCCATGTTGATCAGGCTGGTCTAGAACTCCTGACCTCAGGTGATCCGCCCACCTCAGCCTCCCAAAGTGCAGGATTACAGGTGTGAGATGCTGCACCCTGCCAAAAAAAATTTTTTTAACATAAAAATAATAAATAGACCAGGGACAATGGCTCACGCCTGTAATCCCAGCACTTTGGGAGGCTGAGGCAGGCGGAGACCAGCCTGGCCAACATGGTGAAACCCTGTCTCTACTAAAACAAAAATTAGCCTGGTGTGGTGGTGCATGCCTGTAATCCCAGCTACTCGGGAAGCTGAGGCAGGAGACTCACTTGAACCCGGGAGGCAGAGGTTGCAGTGAGCTGAGATTGCACCACTGCAGGTCAGCTTGGGCTACAGAGTAAGACTCTGTCTCAAAAAAAAAGTAATAATAAAGATAAATAGAATTCCATTTTTATTTACAGTGTTAAGTGCATCTCTTTGTATACCTTTTTAAATAGTTGTGCTAGATGTTACATTATTACATTATATACACATAACTTATAGCCTACTCTTGTTGGTTTTATCAGTTTGAGTACATCTATTTACTTCCCTTTACCTTTCCCTGTTAATAATGCAGTTGTATTTGAAATTAAGTATTTACTCTATATACATTTAGATCCAAGTTGGAAAGAATTATAATGTTGTTTTTTTTTTGAGACGGAGTTTTGCTCTTGTTACCCAGGCTGGAGTGCAGTGGCACAATCTCAGCTCGCTGCAACCTCCACCTTCCAGGTTCAAGCAATTCTCCTGCCTCAGCCTCCCAAGTAGCTGGGATTACAGGCATGTGCCACCACACCCAGCTACTTTTGTATTTTTAGTAGAGACCTCGCCATGTTGGCCAGGCAGGTCTCAAACTCCTGACCTCAGGTGATCCACCCATCTCAGCCTCCCAAAGTGCTGGGATTAGTGAGCCACCATGCCTGGCTGGAAAACATTATAATTTTTGCTTCAACTGTCAAATATAACATCGAAAACTCAAGAGGAGATGGAAGATGTATTGTATTGGTTGGTGCAAAAGTGTGGTTTTTGCCATTAAAAGTAATAGCAGAAACCGCAATAATTTTTGCACCAACCTAATATTTACCCATATTTTTTCTGTGTTCATTTTTTTTTTTTTTTTGAGACGGAGTTTTGTTCCTGTTGACCAGGCTGAAGTGCAATGGCATGGTCTCAGCTCACTGCAACCTCCGCCTCCCAGGTTCAAGTGATTCTCCTGCCTCAGCCTCCCAAGTAGCTGAGATTATAGGCGCCCACCACCACACCGGCTAATTTTTGTATTTTTAGTAGATACGGGGTTTCACTATGTTGGCCAGGCTGGTCTTGAACTCCTGACCTCAGGTGATCCGCCTGTCTTGGCCTCCCAAAGTGCCGGGATTACAGGTGTGAGCTACTGCGCCCAGCTTCTTTCTTACTTTGTAATGTCCCAAAGTTCTACCTTTTATCATTTCTTTACTGTTTAGAGAACTTCCTTTGGCTGTTCTCTTAGGGTAGGTCTGCTAGTAACAAATTCTTTTCCTTCATCTGAGAATGTCTTAATTTCCCCTTCATTCCTAAAGAATATTTTTTTCTTTTCTTTTTTTTTCTGAGACAGAGTCTTCGCTCTTGTTGCCCAGGCTGGTTGGAGTGCAATGACACGATCTTGGCTCACTGCAACCTCCGCCTCCCGGGTTCAAGTGATTCTCCTGCCTCAGCCTCCCGAGGAGCTGGAATTACAGGCACCTACCACCATGCCCGGCTAATTTTTGTATTTTTCGTAGAGAGAGGGTTTCACCGTGTTGGCCAGGCTGGTCTTGAACTCCTGACCTCAGGTGATCTGCCCGCCTCGGTCTCCCAGAGTGCTGGGATTAGAGGCATGAAGTGTCTGGCCTAAAAACATTTTCATTAGATAAACAGTTTTTTTTTTCAACACTGGAAACATAATTGTACCACTTTCTTCTGGCTTCCATGGTTTCCTTCTTTTTTTTTTTTTTTTTAAGTTTTTTTCATTAAATTTTTTTTTTCTTTTGAAACAGAGGTGGGGTTTCACCATGTTGCTCAGGCTGGTCTTGAACCCCTGGACTTAAGTGATTCACCTGCCTCAGCCTCCCACAGTGCTGAGATTACCGAGCTGAGCCTCCATGGTTTCTGATGAAAAATCTGTTGTCATTCAAATGGTTTTTCTCTGCATTCAAGATTTTTGCTTGGTTTTTAGTTTTCAGAGTTTAATTGTGATATGTCTTGGCATTTCTTTGTATTTTTACTGTTGTGGGTTCACTTGCCTGTTTGAATCTAGGTTTTCTCGGTCTACTGTCTTTCTGTTGCTCAGACTGCATAATTTTTATTGCTGTGCCTTCCAGTCACCGGTTCTTTCTTCTGGGCCTCCAGTCTGTTGTAGAGTTTACCCACTGAGCTTTTTATTTTGGTTATGGTATTTTTCAGTTTAAATTTTTTTTTTTTTTTTGAGACGAGTCTCACTCTGTCACCCAGGCTGGAGTGCATTGGCACGGTCTTGGCTCAAGCGGTTCTCCTGCCTCTGCCTCCCAAGTAGCTGGGATTACAGGGACCTGCCACCACGCCCAACTAATTTTTTTGTATTTTTAGTAGAGATGGGGTTTCACCATGTTGGCCAGGCTGGTTTTGAACTCCTGACCTCAAGTGATCCGCCTGCCTCAGCCTCCCAAAGTGCTAGGATTACAGGTGTGAGCCACCACGCCTGGCCTAAAATTTCCATTTTTAAATACTGTTTTTGGCTGAGACTTGGTTCATTTGTTTTAAGGGTGCTTGTCATTGCTCCTTGAAGCATTTTGTCGTGGCTGCTTTAAAATGTTTGTCAGGTAGTGCCAGCACCAGTGTCGTCTTGGCATTGGCAGGTATTGTCTTTTTGTGTCTGGAATTGGTGGGTTCTTGGTCTCACTGACTTCAAGAATGAAGCCGCGGACCCTTGCGGTAAGTATTACAGTTCTTAAAGGCAGCATGTCCAGAGTTTGTTCCTTCTGATGTTCGGATGTGTTCAGAGTTTCTTACTTCTGGTGGGTTCGTGGTCTCGCTGGCTCACGAGTGAAGCTGCAGACCTTCGCAGTGAGTGTTACAGCTTTTAAGGCGGCACATCTGGAGTTGTTCATTCCTCCCAGTGGGTTCGCGGTCTCGCTGGCTTCAGGAGTGAAGCTTCAGACCTTCGGGGTGAGTGTTACAGCTCATAAAGGCAGTGTGGACCCGAAGAGTGAGCAGCACCAAGATTTATTGCAAAGAGCGAAAGAACAAAGCTTCCACAGTGCGTAAGGGGACCCGAGTGGGTTGCCACTGCTGGCTCGGGCAGCCTGCTTTTATTCCCTTATCTGGCCCCACCCACATCCTGCTGATTGGTCCATTTTACAGAGAGCTGATTGGTCTGTTTTGACAGGGTGCTGATTGGTGCGTTTACAATCCCTGAGCTAGACACACAAGTTCTCCACCTCACCACTAGATTAGCTAGATACAGAGTGTCGATTGGTGTATTCACAAACCCTGAGCTAGACACAGAGCGCTGATTGGTGTATTTACAATCCCTTAGCTAGTCATAAAGGTTCTCCAAGTACCCACTAGACTCAGGAACCCAGCTGGCTTCACCCAGTGGATCTCGCACCGGGGCCACAGGTGGAGCTGCCTGCCAGGCGGGTGCTGTGCGCCCACACTCCTCAGCCCTTGGGTGGTTGATAGGACCAGGTGCTGTGGAGCAGGGGGCGTTGCTCATCGGGGAGGCTCAGGCAGCGCAGGAGCCCATGGCGGGGTGGTGGGGAGACTCAGGCATGGCGGGCTGCAGGTCCCAAGCCCTGCCCTGCGGGGAGGCAGCTAAGGCCTGGTGAGAAATCAAGCGCAGCACCAGTGGGCCAGCACTGCTGCGGGACCTGGTGCACCCTCCGCAGCTGCTGGCCTGGGTGCTAAGCCCCTCACTGCCCGGGGCCGCTCTGAGTGCGGCCCGCAAAGCCCACGCCCACCCAGAACTCTAGCTGTCCTGCAAGCACCGCGCGCAGCCCTGGTTCCCACCTGTGCTTCTCCCTCCACACCTGCCTGCAAGCCGAGGGAGCCAGCTCTGGCCTCGGCCAGCCCAGAGAAGGGCTCCCACGGTGCAGCGGCGGGCTGAAGGGCTCCTCAAGCGCGGCCAGAATGGGCGCCGAGGCTGAGGAGGCACCGAGAGCGAGCGAGGGCTGCGAGGGCTGCCAGCACGCTGTCGCCTCTCATTTTTTTCATTCCATGTGAAATTTTCCTGGTTCTTGGTATGATGAGTGAGTTTCACTGGAAACTTGGACATTTTCTTGTTACGTTGCTAGACTAGATTTTGTATACACCTTGTGTTTTAACTGGCTTCCTCTGATGCTGCTCCCACAGGGGAACACGGTACTGCCTCGCTGCTGCCAGGTGAGGATGGAAGTCAGGCTCCCTACTCAGCCTCTAAGGCGGCAGCGAGCCCCTTGTTACTGCCAGTTCTAGTTTGTGGTCTCCACTGACATCTTGGCGTGGATGGCTTCATTACCGCTGAGGAAAGTCTTGACTCTCCACTACACTTCTGACACCCCCCCCAGTAGGGAGAGAGAGGGGGGCTTTCTCTCTGTGAGGTGGGTATGGAAGTCCAGGATTCCCAAGTGGTTTCTATTGACACCCAGGCAGGGTGGTGGTAGGGAGAGACCGGTTTCTTTATTGGGTAGGGGATGAAATTCCTGGCTGCCTGCTTGGCCCTTTGTGACACCATCAGGGTGGGGGTATTGGGCGACTCATCCCAGCCCCATGAGGGCAGAAGTCTGGGCCCTGCATGCTGTCTTTGTTGGCATGCGTGGAGGTGGGATCTCCTTGTTGGTGGCATTTAGCTGGAGTAAAGGAGTTATTATCTACAAGCTTTCTGTCTTCCTAGCCTGTCTCTTCTGGTGCTTTGGCTAGAAAGAGCAGGCTTTTGTTGGGTTTTTTTTTTTTTTTTTTCTGGACCTACTGGTGTTTCTGGGTTGCTGGCCTCTTCAATTCTAAGTTTGGAATATATAAAGCAAAAGGAAAACCCAGAGAAGTCATCACCACGTTGTACCCTGGGTTCCAAGGTCTCTGGTCAGCCTGTTCCCTTCTCTCCATCTTTCAGAGTCTTCTTATGTTTGTTTTACATGTAATGTCCTGGGCTCTTAGTTGTGTTTAACAAAACTAAGATGAAGTATGTATATTTCATCTTCTCAGAGTGGAGGTTCTAAGAATGGTTTTTATTTATTTATATTTTTAGAGCAGGGTCTTGCTCTGTTGCCCAGACTGGAGTGCAGTGGTGTGATCTGAACTTACTGCAGCCTCGAACTCCTGGGCTCAAGCAGTCCTGCCTCAGCCTCGTGAGTAGCTGGGACTACAGGCGTGTACCACCATGCCCAGCTGATTTGGCCTCAAGCAATCCTCCTGCTTTAGCCTCCCAAAGTGCTGGGATTGCAGGGCAGCCACTGTGCCCAGCCATATATATATATATATATATTTTTTTTTAATTTTCTATTGTTTGTAGAGATGGGGTCCCACTATGTTGCCCAAGCTGGTCTTGAACTCCTGGCAAGCAATCCTCGTGTCTCCACTTCCCAAACTGCTGGGATTATAGGCGTGAGACCCCCCAGCCGTATTTTTAAATGGGAAAAAAAATGAAGAATATTTCATGACACATGAAAATTGTATGAAATTCAGTTTGTGTCCATGAAACATTCCTGGCATGCAGCCTCAGCCATTTGTTTACAGATTGCCTGTGGCTGCTTCCTCACTACAGCAGCAGAGTGGACTCATGACAGACAGTAAGGCCCCCAAAATCTAAAATATTTACTATCTGGCCCTTTGCAGAAAAAGTTTGCCAGTTCCTGGGTTAAGATCTAGGCTATTTTTTAAAAAACAAAAATAAACAGGATGAAAATGCCTGGAAATCAATGCAAGAAAGAAACAACCTAATAGAAAAATGGGCAAGAGCTAGGAATAGGCACCTTTTGTAGGTGAAGATGCATAAAAGCCAGGCTGCAACTTTCCCGTTGCTTACCACGAGGTGGCAGTTTCTGACAACACCTGGTGGTTTTCCATAGCCTGCTCCGATCAAGTCAGCCACCTTTGATGCTCCTGGTTTCCATGGCTTTGCCCATCCTGGTAGAACTATCCGCTGAAGGAGTGGGGAGTGGGGAAGCCCCAGATGCTCACTGTTTTCGTACAAAGGTCAGTCGTTGTTGTTATTGTTTTCTTTTTAATAGATGTTTTCAATTTCTTGTATGCTTCAGTCAATTTCCAGAGTCCTGAAGTGATTGTTTTTGACAATTTGTCAAGATTTGTTATTGCTTTTTGGGGAGAGGATTTGTTGATTGAAATATTTTGTAGTGAAATTGTTTTAAAGAAAAGAAAAGGTAAAATTAGAAGATAAGCTTACGTGGCACAACACGCATCCAGGCAGTGTTCAGGTCAGCGTGGGGGAGAGATTATCAAATGATATAAGATAATTTCCCATGGGTGAAGGATGTGAGTTTTCAGATACAAAGCAGCCAATGAGTGCCCAGGATAATGAATGGGAAAATAAAAACCTACATGAAGGCACTTTACAGAAGTATTTTAGAATACTAGGGATAAAGCTTTAGGAAGAGAATCCACATTGAAGGATATGGAATCAGGTGGTGTGATTGAATTCTTCAGGAAAATAATATCCAAGCCCAAACAAGTCAGTCAAGAATAAGGGTAGCACTTTGGGAGGCCGAGGTGGGCGGATCACTTGAAGTCAGGAGTTTGAGACCAGCCTGGCTAACATGGTGAAACTCCATCTCTATTAAAAATACAAAAATTAGCCAAGCGTGGTGGTGCACACCTGTAATTCCAGCTACTCGGGAGGCTGAGGCAGGAGAATCCCTGGAACCTGGGAGGCAGAGGTTGCAGTGAGCTGAGATCATGCCACTGCACTCCAGCCTGGGCATCAGAGTGAGACTCCATCTCAAGAAAAAAAAAAAAAGAGAGAGAGAATATAAGGGTAAGCCATCTGCAGTGGTGTGTACCTGTAATCCCAGTGCTTTGGAATTTGGGATTTGGGAAGCTGAGGTGGGAGGATTGCTTCAGGCCAGGAGTTTGAGAACATCCTGGGCAACCCTGTCGACAAAAAATGTGCCGGGTGTGGTGGCACACACATGTAGTCCCAGCTACTGGTGAGGCTGAGATGGGAGGATCACTTGACCTGAAGGAGTTTGAGGTTGCAGTGAGCTATGATTGTGCCAGCACTCCAGCCTGGGTAACAAAGTAAGACACTGTCACTTTTAAAAAAAGGTTGAAAAAGACTTGCTCAGAAAGATAGGGTCTCAAAAAATGTGTGCCCCATGTACCTGTTCTCAGAAAGCTATGAAGGAGTGTGTTCCAACAAAAATGAATCAGTAAGCCAAAACAAGACGGGATCTGGTATCCAACCCAGATCCAAGAGGAGAGAGATGAGAGGCTTCCCAGATTGGCCAAAGGCAGTCCTGGAACAGTTGCTGTGCAGCAGGCAGTCCAGGGCAGAGCAGGACGGGGTGAGACTCCAGCGGTGACGTTGGCAGGAAGAAAAATGTAAAATTGAGAGGAGCGGTATTATGAAGAGCCACTGGAGGTTATAGGAAAACTTAGCCAAAGATTCAAGGAAATCCAAGTAAATGGACTGGGGAAAAAGCAGCAGTTAATTCCTAAGAAAAGGTTGCAGGCCGGGCGCAGTGGCTCACGCCTGTAATCCCAGCACTTTGGGAGGCCGAGGTGGGTGGATCATGAGGTCAGGTGTTCGAGACCAGCCTGGCCAACATGGTGAAACCCCGTCTCTACTAAAAATACAAAAATTAGCTGGGCGTGGTGGCACATGCCTGTAATCCTAGCTACTCAGGAGGGTGAGGCAGGAGATTTGCTTGAACTTGGGAGGCAGAGGTTGCGGTGAGCTGAGATTGTGCCGTTGCACTCCAGCCTGGACAACAAGAGCGAAACTCCATCTTAACAAAGTTGCTTAAGAATAAAAATAACACATAACTTGATTCAATAGGATTTGCAGTCACATAATAATGAGAACACTGGAGGCTTTGAGCAGGGGGTGACATAGCCAGATAGAACCCATTCTTATATTTTAGAAAATCAACTTTGTTGAAGTATTCGATATACTTACTGAAGTATAATTTACTTAAAGTGAACCCATTTAAGTGTACAGCTTGACGAATTTTGACCAGTGCGTGCAGCATGTAACCACTGTCACAATCAAGATAGAGAACATTTCAGTCGCCCAAAAGATTCCCCCTTCAGGGCCCCCAGCAGCCCTCAGCTGTTGTCCATCCTTTCGATGAGATGGAGCTTTTCCAGCGTGTCCTGTAAATGGCATCAGGCTGTGCGTGCTTCTTTGTGTCTGGCTTCTTTCATTCAGTGGAATGTTATTGAGATGCATCCATGTGGTTGCACCATCAGCAGTTCTTTTTTTATTGCCAAGTGATATTCTGTTGTATCATGTGCCACCATTTATTCGTCCTTGCACCTAGATTTAACTTTTAAAGGGACCCTTTAGAACCCACTGGAGGAGGCCAGAATGGAGGCAGGAAGACCTGTTTCTGGCAGTCCGGGGAAGAGATGAAAATATCTTGTCACACCAGCCCTGGGGCGGCCCCCCAGACAAGCCAAGTACATCCCCACCTTAGGGCCTCTGGACCTACTATTGTCAGCCCAGAAGGCTCTTCTCCCAGGTGTCTATAGGGTTTGCTGTCTCCCTTCATTCCGGGCTCCACTCAGCAGTCACCACCTCAGGAGGACTTTCCATGAGACAGCACCCACCCCTGGCACCCTTCATCCCCTGTCTCTGACGTTTGTCTCTTCATCCCTCTTGCTGCCAGCCAAAGACATTATTCCTCTTTGTATACTTATTTAGTGTCTGCTGCCCCCACCAGAACGTGAGCTTTGTGGTGGCGTTTTATATTTGTGGGTGACTAAAGGGGGGCTCCCTGAGGAGCCCACGCAGAGGTCTTTGTCTTTCATCTTTGTCTTTTTGTGTCTAGCACATAGAAGTGCAAGTGATTAAAGAATGAGAAGGAAGCAGTTGAGGTTGAAGCTGCACATGCAAAATTTCCACCAGGATGGGCCCCTCAGGTGTTCCCAGGTGCAGTTCCCCAGGTTGGTGGAGGTGAGGGTGGGTGTAGACAGCGCTTAAAGAGAGATGGCCCAGGGTTGTGGCAGCGAGCAGACTTGGAGGCTGCAGGTTGGGACACTGCCTGTGTTCTGGGTGTCATGAGGCTGTACCCTGCTGAGTGTATGCAAGAACTTCTCCCTGGTGTGTGGAGGGGACTGGATGGATGGTCCCACCTCCAAGCCTTCTGGCCACCAACCTTTGTATTTTTGTTTCTCCTCTCCCACTGCACGGACTCCCCAGCATCACTCTGGAGCAGGCGCACCTCTTAGAACACTTGACCACCTGGTAGAAATGTCCCAGAACAAAGTAAAGGGATAATTAAGAGCTGTTGATTGATCTGGGCATGAGGGTGACCATGCTTGTAGCAACAATGGAACTTAATTAAAATTAACTGCTCTTGCAGCTATTGAGGTGCTGCCTTGATGTCTGTGGCTTCCGTGTGGCCACCTTTGTATTACAGACACGTCGGAAATTGGAGGTCTGTGTTTAGGTGATGTGCCTGCTGTGGCTGTTGGATGATAATTATGTAGATTTTCCTCTGGAACTTAATTTTACAAACTGTCAAAACGGGCTTGTTATATTTATCACTTAAATCATTAGGGAATAATAATTAGACCAAAAATGATGTGAAATGCTTCTGTATTAATAATCATTTTTAGCTTGAAACCACTAGTGATAATTGGTTTGTGGGGTTGGTATTTAGAACTGCCTTAGGAGAGGCCAGGCACCGTGGCTCACGCCTGTAATCCCAGCACTTTGGGAGGCCGAGGTGGGCGGATCACCTGAGGTCAGGAGTTCGAGATCAGCCTGACAACCAAGGGGAAACCCGGTCTCTACTAAATACACAAAAAATTAGCTGGGTATGGTGGCGCATGCCTGTAATCCCAGCTACTCAGGAGGCTGAGATAGGAGAATCGCTTGAACCTGGGAGGTAGAGGTTGCGGTGAGCCGAGATCATGCCATTGCACTCCAGCCTGGGCAACAAGAGCGAAACTCTATCTCAAAAAAAAAAAAAAAAAAAAAGGCCAGGCGCGGTGGCTCATGCCTGTAATCCCAGCACTTTGGGAGGCTGAGGCGGGCGGATCATGAGGTCAGGAGATGGAGACCATCCTGACTAACACGGTGAAACCCCATCTCTACTAAAAATACAAAAAATTAGCCGGGTATAGTGGTGGGCACCTGTAGTCTGAGCTACTCGGGAGGCTGAGGCAGGAGAATGGTATGAACCTGGGAGGCAGAGCTTGCAGTGAGCCTAGATTGCATCACTGCACTCCAGCCTGGGTGACGGAGCGAGACTCCATCTCACGGTGCTTTGTTATGGGTAAAGAAGAGAGGCAGAACGTGGTTGGTTTAGCGAGGAAAGGTTCAATTTGGGTCTCATTGATTGACAGCAGTAGTTAACTTGCACTGAGGACTCACTCTCTAATTGTTTTACCGTATGAACTCATTTAATTACAGCAGTAGGTGCTGTTAACTCTCCTGTTCTGCAGATGTGAACACCAAGTAACTCACCCAGACTTAAGCAGCCAATCTCCCAACCAGGATTGGGGTCCAGACAGCCTGACTCTTGAATCCGCACTTGTAACTGCTGTGTTGTGCTGCTTCTGTTTCTTAGTACCAACTGCATGTCATTGTCCTGAGCCCAACTAAATCCTCACATCAAGACAGGTGGGATTCCTGGTGTAGAAGAGGAAACCAAGATTTAGAGAGTGAAGAATTTGCCCTAGGTCATTTCTTTCTTTCTTGTCTCTCTTTTCTTTTTTCTTTTTTTTAAACAGAGTCTCACTTTGTCACCCAGGCTGGAGTGCAATGGCACAATCTCGGCTCACTGCAACCTCCGCCTCCCCGGGTTCAAGCAATCCTCCTGTCTCAGCCTCCCTAGTAGCTTGGATTACAGGCACCCGCCACCACGGCCAGCTAATTTTTTGTATTTTTAGTAGAGACAGAGTTTTTCCATGTTAGCCAGGCTGGTCAGGCTGGTCTTGAACTCCTGGCCTCATGTGATCTGCCCACCTAGGCCTCCCAAAGTGCTGGGATTACAGGCGTGAGCCGCAGTACCCAGCCCCTAGGTCATTTCTTATTTGATTCTTTCATTCAGCACATATTTACTGAGAGCTTAATATGCACCAGGCATTTCCTAGGCCCTGGTGTTACCTCCACGATCAAGGTAATTGTTGAAAGACACTTGTCATTCTTGTTCTTGTGATGTTTACATTCCAGTGGTAAAAGAGACAAACAAGAAAATACCAGATAATGAGTAGCAGCCGGAGAACTAAAATATGATGATGTGATGAAGAGTGAGAGGTCACTTCTTTAGATGGTTCTTAGGGGGGCCCCCAATGCCAGCTCAGAGCCAGCCACTTGGAAGACCAGACTAAGAACATTCCAGGCAGAGGGAGGCCTGCAAGTGGCCCAAGGTATGAGCCTGGTGGGTGAAGGGGAGGGGAGTAGGCAGAGAGGTCACTGGGAAGGGGCATCCATTGGTACAGCCTTGAGAGCCAAGGTCAAGACTTTGGGTTTTATTTGTAAGCACGATGGGGAGATGTTGGAAGATTTTAACCAGTGATGTCATGTGATCTACTTTTTGTTTGAAAAAGATCACAGTCCTCAGGTGATTGGATTGTGGGGGCAGGTGCCACAGCAGGGCTCCCTGTTTGCTGTCACTGTTATTCTGGTAAGAGATGGTGAGTACTGGGGTGGTGGGTATGGACACAGAGAAAAATGTTCATGGGCTCGGGTGTGTCTTGGAGGAGGAGGTAGCTTGGCTTGCTGATGAATTTGACGTAGGGAGCTTGGGAGAGAGAACTTGGGTGAACTGCTCTGTAGGTAGTGATGCGGTAGGCTGAGCACAGTGGCTCATGCCTGGAATCCCAGCACTCTGGAAGGCTGAGGGAGGCGGATTGCTTGAGCCCAGGAGTTCAAGACCAGCCTGGGCAACATGGTGAAACCCCATCTCTACAAAAAAAAAAAAAAAAAAAAAAATGCCGTTCACTCAAATGGAGAAAGCTAGGCTGGGGAGGGTCTGCTTTATTTGTTCATGATTGCAGGCTCCTTGGGCGGGTCTGTTGCAGACATGCTAAGTCTGTGTACCTCTTCACTGTCCTGTCAAGTGGACATCACATGTGAGTGGAATTCCAGAGAATGATGAGGGCTGGGGCTGCAGCTTTGAGAGTCCGTGGTACATTGTTGATACCTAAAACCGTTGCACTGGAGATGGCCTTGGAGAGAAGGTGGATGGGGAGAGGACAAGTCCTGGGATGTGCCAGTGTTGAGCAGTTGAACTGAGAAGGCCAGCCAGGGAAAGAGAAGGAGAACCAGATACATGTGATGCCAAGAGATGCGTTTCTGCAAAGAGGGAGCAGAGGGAATACTGCAGGTGGATTCAGAACAGGGGAGTGACCATTGGATTTGGCAGTGTGACTGTTCATGCTGACTTTTGCAGGGCCATTTTGGGGAAGCCTGAGAGGAGATGTGAGTGTGGAGGTAAACAGCACAGAGACCGTGAAACTGTGGAGTTGCAGTGAGAGGAGCACAGAAGCAGGAATTGGGGGAGCTGTGAGGTCAGTCAGAGTCTTTCCAAATGGGTGTCAGAGCCTGCTTGTTTCCTGTGGAAAAGGCTCACACGGGAGGGAGACAGTGCTGGAGGAGCAGCAGGGTGGGTCTGCAGGGTGAGGGCTTGAGCCAGAGCGGGAGGGAGCAGGTCCATGCAGGGGAGGGATGGCGGGGAGGGCAGGAGCGGGAGAGGGGTTGGTGGTGGGGGTTGGGAGAAGAGGGAGTCCTGTCTCATTGCTTCCTGTTTGCCCTCTGATGAAGAGGCAAGTTAATGGGCAGGGGTTGTGGGCGTTTTGAAGAAAGGAGAGGACGTGAGGTCCTTTGGAGAGAAGGAAAGTCAAGGTGCGTGGGTGGTGGTGGTAGGATGGAAAGGCCTGGATGCAGGGCAGTGGGAAGGGGGATAGATACTTGGGTTTCCCCAGGGTTGGGGGTTTTTCAGGTGAGAACAGTGGAGAGAGGGAGACCAGCATGGGTTGGGGGCTGCAGGGCTGTGGGGAGTGGCAGGGCACCCAGGCTTTTCTGTCCCCACCCAGCCCTGCACCAGGTGACCGCTACTACTTCTTTTCCTCCCTGCAGGTAGTGCCAGCAGGGCACCAGGATAAGCGTTCTGGTGGTGCTTTCTGCCCCTGTCTGGGGAAGGCTGCTGGGCAGCTCATTCTGTGACTGTAGCTCCAGATGAGTGCTCCCTGGCAGCAGCCCTGCTCCCTGCCTTCCCTGCTTCTGATCGTCTTTTCTTTGGGTTGGCTCAGGATGCCGTGAGGATGGAGAGAGTGGACGGATGTCTCAAAAGTCAGCTCTAAAGTCGGAGTCAGAACAGGGGCTGCCGATGCTCTGTCTCCCAGTCTACCTGGAGTGATTCAACATAGAAATCAATAAAACAAATGCCACCATGGCTGAGTGAGACCTTTCATTTTTCTTCCCAGGTGTTGGAGAAGGCTTCTGGTGAAGGATTTGGCAAAACCGCCGGTGAGATTCTGCGCTGCCATCCTTTCCCAGGATGTGGCTTTGCAGCTCCTAATGGACCTCTTCCAGCCCCTTCTGCAGCCTCCCTTCCAGCTCAGTCCCCTGATGACCCTTAGTGTAGAAATATCCCTTTTCCCTTTCTTCCTCTAGGATGCTTGCTTGCTTGCTTTCATTTTTTCTTTGAGACAAGATCTTCCTCTGTCACCCAGGTTATAGTGCAGTGGCATGGTCATAGCTCACTGCAGCCTCAAACTCCTGGGCTCAAGCCATCCTCCCTCCTCAGCCTCCACAGTAGCTAGGACTATAGGTGTGCATCGCCATGCCTGGCTAATTGTTAAAATTTTTTGTGAGATGGAGTCTTGCTGTGTTGCCTAGGCTGGTCTTAAACTCCTTGCCTTAAGTGATCCTTCCACCTCAGCCTCCCAAAGTGCTGGGATTACAGGTGCAAGCCACCATACCCAGCCCTAGGATGCTTTCTTAAAGAATATCATCCGACTGACCCTTCCCGCCCAGATGAGAATCTAGAGACTGAGAAGTTGGAGGGTGCAGCTTCTTGGCCCATTTTATGCTTCCTTGGAGGGCAGGGCCAAGGCCTCTTGTGGGTTAGGGGAGCAATTCCTCTCTGGGTAGTTCTGGTGCCTCCAGGACTTAGTCTTCTGCTTTCTAGCTATTATACAGCTCGCTCCTAAAGCTCCTGTTGACCTGTGTGAGACAGAGAAACTGAGGGCAGCCTTCTTTGCAGTCCCGTTGGAAATGAGGTGAGCAAGGTATAGAAAGACCACCAGGGCAAATGGCGATTACAGACATCCTCTGTCCCCCAGAGAGTGGGGACAAGGATAGTACTGGGGTGGGGGATAGTTTTCGGGAACTCCTGTGTCAGACCCAGGCTGTAAGGCTGTGACCCACACTGACTTATAAAATCAGCTTCCCAGCCGGGGGCAGTGACTCATGCCTGTAATCCCAGCACTTTGGGAGGCCAAAGTGGGTGGATCACTTGAGGTCAGGAGTTCAAGACCAGCCTGGCCAACATGGCGAAACCCCATCTCTACTAAAAATAAAAAATTAGCCGGGCATGGTGGTGGGCATCTGTAGTCCCAGCTACTTGGGAGGCTGAGGCAGGAGAATCACTTGAACCCAGGAGGCAGAGGTTGCAGTGAGCCGAGATTGTGCCACTGCAGTCCAGCCTGAGTGACAGAGTGAGACTCCATCTCAAAATAAATAAATAAATAAAACAAAATGATAAAATCAGCTTCCACTTATGTACAGCAAAGGCCTGTGACCGTCCCCTGCCCTGGATGCCATGAGATCATCATGCCCACCATGTCCCCTGCTTTGCTTTAACAGCGGATACCGTTCTTAATGTCAAGAGTGCCAGAATACTCAGTTTGACTTGAAATGCTGTAGGGTGTCATTAGCCCCGTGTGGTTTAGGCAGGTAATTGAGTTAGTGGAGCAGCAGGGTGACATTTGGAATGTGCGTAGACGCAGGGGAGGAGCAGCTTTGGGATGGAAGGCATATCCTGCATGGTGGACAGTCCACACCTGCATCATTTAGAGGCTCGTGAATCACTTAGGAGGCCCCAAATCTACCCATTGAGGACTTTTATCCACCTCTCTCGGAGTTTCTCAGTGTGTTTTTGTTTCCCTCTGCTGCTTCCTTTTCCTGAACTCTTCAACCCCTACGCCCCCAGAATGGCCCTTCCTTTCCTCTGCCGTGGACTGGGATTACTTGGGAACTGGCTTTAGCTCCCACCCTAGAGGGGGTGGGCACAGCCTTTCTGCTTAGGGGACTCATCCCCCAGGCAGTTCAGCCTCCTGCAGGACAGGCGTTGGTCCAGTCGTTCCTTTCCTTGCGTTGGTCCAGTCGTTCCTTTCCTTGCTCCCCTTGCTCTTCCCGCAGAGGGTCCTTCCTGGTGCTGCTCCTGAGGGAATGCTTCCGAGACCTGAGCTGGCTGGCACTCATCCATAGCGTCCGTGGGGAGGCGGGGCTGCTGGTGACGAGTATCGTCCCGAAGACCCCGTTTTTCTGGGCTATGCACGTCACTGAGGTATGGACTGGTTGTTGGCCCCCTCAGGCTCCTGTGCCTTCCTGCGTGGCCTCCCTAGGGTGGGCATGGTGACGGGGCCGGTCAGTGGTGGAGATGCAGGGTAACTACGGTCTGATCCTGGGTTCAGTCTCGTTCTCTCTCCCACCTCATACCTGATGGCCTTGGGACGGATTAGCGGTGCTAACATAACAGGTGACGTCTACGGAGGCAGATTTGTAATGCAGTGCAGGCAGTGGGGCCGTTGCGTTTTGCACCCCACAGGCTCTGCACCAGAACATGCAGGCTCTGTTTAGCACCCTGGCTCAGGCGGAGGAGCAGCAGCCCTACCTGGAGGGCTCCACCGTTATGCGCGGGACTCGCTGTCTGGCAGAGTACCACCTGGGGGATTATGGACACGCCTGGAACAGGTGTGTGCCTGGGCAGGGGTAGAGTCTATGGGAGAGGCGTGCAGGGAAAATGCTCCCTTCTTGCATTCTCTTCCTTTGGGCTCTGGTTTTTTTTCCTGTGGCTTCTTCTCTCAAAATCATCTTTATCCTTATTTCCTCACTCAAGGATTGGGGAGAAACAGAGCAAACTCGCTCTTCCTCCCTCCTACCTCCACTTTCACATCCACTTTGTTGAGGACTGCTGTGCATGGCACTAGGCGGAATGATTGTCCTCTGTCTTTCTCTTTTCCTCTGCCAGGTGTTGGGTGCTGGACAGGGTGGACACCTGGGCTGTGGTCATGTTCATTGATTTTGGACAGTTGGCCACCATCCCTGTGCAGTCTCTGCGCAGCCTAGACAGCGACGACTTCTGGACCATCCCACCCCTGACTCAGCCATTCATGCTGGAGAAAGGTGAGACATCTTCTATCTTCCTCCCAAGGGTTTCAGGGACAGGAGAAGCCATGGTTGCTTCTGGGACCTGAACAGGAAGCAGCATAGTGGGCGGCCAAGGTGCTTCAGTCTCTCTTTCCACCCAACCCCAGTTTTCAGCATATGACCCCTGCAAAGCTGCCTCTCAAGTGTTGGTTTTCATGCCTGGGATCTGGAGCCCAAGATCCCAACAGGGACCTCAGATGCTGCCCAAAGGCTGAGTTCTCTGGAAGGGGAGAGAAGAGGGCAGATTTCCCACCCCTGCTTCCACCAGAGCTGCTCAGCTTTCATCTGTTTTACATACTTGGCGTGTTGCTTCAGATTTCACTGGAAAAAGATTCTGCCATAGAAGAAAACTAGCACTCGAATGCCAGTGCTAGACGCCAGAGCACAGCACTTAGCACTGCACTCTCCTAATGTGATTCATTTAGCTTCAGACACCTGTGGGTTTCTCCATAGGTGGAAATGAAGAGGCCCCTTCTCAAGATCGAAGTTAGGTGAAATGTAAAAGGATGAAAGAATGTTTTAGGGGGCAGTCAGGAGAAGTGGAGGTGAAGAAGCATACATACACATACACAGGAAGTAAGATGGAAAAGTTTTATTTAAAAAATTTCTTTTTTTTTCAGAGGCAGGGTCTCACTCTGTTGCCCATGCTGGAGTGCAGTGGCATAATCATAACTCATAGCAGCCTCAAACTCCTTGGCTCAAGCAATCCTTCCACCTTGGCCTCTCAAAGTGCTGGGATGACAGGCATGAGCTGCCGCGCTTAGCTGAGATGGAAACGTTTTATAGACAAACTAAGTCTTTTTTTTTTTTTTTTTGAGATGGAGTCTCGTTCTGTCACCCAGGCTGGAGTGCAGAGGCGCAATCTCGGCTCACTGCAACCTCCGCCTCCCAAGTTCACATAATTCTCCCGCCTCAGCCTCCCAATTACAGGCACGCACCACCACACCCAGCTAATTTTTTTTTTTTTTTTTTTTTTTTTTTAGTAGAGATGGGGTTTCACTATGTTGTCCAGACTGGTCTCGAACTCCTGACCTCGTGATCCGCCCACCTCGGCCTCCCAAAGTGCTGGGATTACAGCTGTGAGCCACCGTGCCCGGCCCTCAGACAAACTAAGTCTTGAGATGGAGTCTTGCTCTGTCGCCCAGGCTGGAGTGCAGTGGCGTGATCTCAGCTCACTGCAACTTCTGCCTCCTGGGATCAAGCGATTCTCCTGCCTCGGCCTCCTGGGTAGCTGAGATTACAGGCATGTGCTACTACGCCTGGCTAATTTTTATATTTTTAATAGTGACGGGGTTTCACTGTGTTGGTCAGGCTGGTCTCGAACTCCTGACCTCGTGATCTGCCCTCCTCGGCCTCCCAAAGTGTTGGGATTACAGGTGCGAGCCACCGCACCCGGCCAAAATATATATATATATAAAATATATGTATAATGTAATTTATATATTACGTATATATTATATATATCACGTAATATATATTATATATTATGTAACATATATAATATATAATACGTGATATATATAATATATATATTTAAAGATGGAAAGGCATCTCCCAATTGTGCAGGGCCAAGGCTTCCTGGGAGGCTGGTGGGGCTTGTGCCCAGTGGGCAGGGAGCACCACCCAGAGGTTGTCTTGGGTCATTGCATGAAGAGGGTCCCTGCTGCCCAGGCTGGGAACAGCCAGGCATCAGGAGCTTCTTCAGGTGACCCAGGGAAGAGGAGCTTCCTGTTTCAAAGTGCAGCTCCCAGCCTGTCAGAAGGGCCAGAGTCCCCAACCCAGAGATAAGTCAGACAAGCGTCAGTTTTCCTCCCTTTATGGATGAGGAAAATACAGCTCAGAAAAGTGAAATGAACTCATACTTAATAGCAAGAAAATGGCATAGCTGGGGATGAAACCTAGGTCTGACTCTTAGTGATTCAGTGTCATACATACAAACAGTCCCAGAGTTTGGGGACTCTGGTGGGATGGTGGGAGTTGCGTGAGGGACGACATCCTGGGGAAAGGTGGGTTTTTGATGAGCTCCCTGCCTGGTTCCAGCATGTAAGAGTGCTTGCGTCTCATGGTGAAAACCTCTCTGGTTTTAACCTTCTTCTATCCAGCCGGAACTCTCAGAGCAGAGTTCAGTGAACGTGATTTTCTGTCCCCAGTAGAATTTCTCATTAAAAATCCCAGATCCCTGTAATTATTTTAACAAGTGCCTCCTCCCTTTATCTGCTGTTATTTTGCCCTCCCCCTATGCTACCTTTTCAGCATTTATCATCTCATTTGATCCTGGCAGCAGGGATTTAGCAGGAACTAGCAGAGACTTGCTGGTTGGAGCTGGTTGGCGGCCAGAGCACTTTCCCTGCAGCCCCCGCCTTTTGCTTCCCTCCTTTGCTCCTCCTGCCCAACCCCGTGCCACTGAGGTTTTGTTGTTGTGTCTTGTTTTGCAGACATTTTGAGTTCGTATGAGGTTGTCCATCGAATCCTCAAAGGGAAAATCACTGGTGCTTTGAACTCGGCGGTAACTGCTCCTGCATCTAACTTGGCTGTTGTCCCTCCACTCCTGCCCTTGGGGTGTCTGCAGCAGGCTGCTGCCTAGGCCTGGACACAGTATTTACCTGGCATTCTTTTAGATCAAACGAACTGGTTATCTGAGGGGTTGGGTGAACTGGCTCGGGTGGGCCTTCCTTCCCACCAAGGCTTTGTCTTTCTCTTCCAGTTGCACATCCTAAAGTTTGAAGAGTCTAAATAACGGGGCTTCCCTCAGCATGTTCCCTCTCCTGTTTGCCACGGATCCAGAGGCCACCTGCCCTGTCTTCTCGTACCCCTTTCACTCTTGAGGCCTGGGAGGTGAAAAAGGCCAGACTGTGCCCAGGATTGATTCAATTTTGCTTTTACTCCCAGCTTCCCTCTCAAAAGAGAGTGAAGTCTCATTTGTCATGTGTCTTCAGTTCCCCAACTTGGCATGAACATTTGAACCAAACATAGGAAACTACCATTAGGTTGAAAGCCTGAGGCAGCTGGGATGGTCTTTCTTGTGTCTCTTCTTTGCACCCCAGAGCATGATATAAGTGGTCCTAACAGATTCTGGATAATGGAGAAGCCCTCTGCTGGTTTTCCTGGCATTCCATGTAGAATAGGTAGAGAATATTTAACCAATGAGCAAATAAATGTTGGCATGTTTCATGAGTTTGGAGTGATTGATACTTCTTTCCAGCCACCCTTCCACTGCCCTGCCGTGCCCTCTAAAACTGCTGCAGTGAGATTAGAGCCTGCCAGTGTGGGCTCTGGGCCATGCAAACCCTGCCTGGGATATAGATACATGTTTGAAGTGTAGGGGAACAACCTAAGAGTTAGTTTCATTATTTCTCCTTGCCTTCTAAGTGGAGAGAAGAAAATTGTTTCATGATGATATGGCCTTGTTTCTTTTTTATACTTTGTACTTTATTAGAACCCTAAACTTAAGGTCATAAAAGGGAGTGCTGGGTTTGGCAAGAAAAATGGAGGATTCTCTTAGAGTTAGTTGGTGTTATGCAACTCACAGGGGCAGGCATTTCCCTCTATGTCAAGTGAACAGGAACCCCACTGTTTCTTCAAATAATTTTATTAGAGCCAAACTATTTAAATAATTTTATTTGTTTCATCCTTTGGTAGATGAGAAAAATACATTACAAAATACATTATACAGAAGACAGCTCACAGTACACATTACTAAAAACACAATCTACATTCCAGCCAGGGCTGGTGGTAAGTTCAGAAGAAAGCCACAGAGGCCTTGAAAACCAGATTTCAGCTCTATGGAATGAATTTTCCCCTTATGTCCCGTCTTTATCTCAACCTCAGCATGTTTTATTAGCACCCCTAATTAGGTGGGTGTGGGTAGAGTTAGAGCAGCATTGAGTGGGACTGGTGGACTCTCCATCCACCTAAAGCAGCAAACATTAAAAGTCCCTCAAAAGAAAAGGGGTAGGGGAGGGGAAAGAATGGCCAATGTGAAAATTGCTGTGTCTCAAAGCATTACAGAACTGCTCTAGCATCCTAGTTCCCAGGCAGTTGTCCCAAGTCTGGGTTTTCTGAGACTTGGGTCTTCACTTGGCCATCTTTGGCCTCTGTCATTTCACTGTTAATGAGAGCTGCTGGCATCGTAGGTCCTAAGAGGCTGAGTCCCAGAGCAAGCTTACAGACAAAGAGATGCAGGCAGCACCCGCTAGATGCAAAGTCATGCCCAAACTTTTACAACAGCAAGTACATACAACACAGCACTGACAGTTCCATCTCAGTACAGACTCCCCACCTCATCTTCCCTCCCTGGCAGTTCCTGAGCCTGGGGTAAGGACACAGGTGTATAGAACAACCCCCCTTAAAATGCTAACCCTTTCTAGTAGGACCCACCTTGTGGGAGTGGCTTGAAAGAATCCATAATTTCCCAAGCCAAACAAATTCAGAGCTAGGTCTGTTCTTTTTGATAAAGCCAAATGAAGCAAGAGAGAGGGAGGTGAGCAAAGCTTACCAATGATCACCATCCAGTGCTGGTTAGAAGCCACTTTCCAGGAGAGGAACCAATGAACAGCGAAGAGTTGCAGCCACACAGCTGAGATCAGAAAAGACCACATACACACTTGGAGACTGTGTCCCCATCCCCACTCAATTCATTCAAAAGGAATTCTACGAAGCAGCCTCTTGAGCCTCATTTTCTTTTTCTTAGAAATTTGAAAACATCTGTGACTAGAAAAGTAGTCCTAAGAATTAACACCATCGTTTCAGCCTACCACATTGTAGTTTGGCAGGCCAGGCTCTGCATTCCAAGGGGGCAAGTGCTGGTTGCTCCAGAGGCCTTGAGGAGAAATCTAGGGGCAGACCAGGTGTGTGCTTCAGCTCCAAGTTTCTCTTGCTTTAGCAGCAAAATGCGGCCTCTCATCTCTACCAAAGCAACAGTGGACTCGTACCCCTCCCCACCTCCCAAGTAGTTCAGGGGATGGGGTGGGATGTGCGAATAAAAATAAAGATGAGTCAAGACCAGCATCTTCAAATTAACAAACTGTAATTGTTTTCCCAAAGATACATTTTTTTCATACACATCCATCATACACTGTAACCAAAAAAAGCAGTGTACATGAAATAAGAGAAAATAAATTAAAAATCCATAGCATAGGTAAGGAGGCTCTAGTCTGGAGCACAGCTGAGTTTCCAGCAATATAAGGAGGCTCGAAAGTTTCTTTTATAAGAATGCCTGCTAGCAAGGGTTCCAGCAAGGTGGTTGGTTGGTCTGTAAGTCAGTCTTGAGTACTTGAAACAGTTCTGTGTTTGTTTTTTTTCCTTAGCGTTTAGAATAGCCATCATTGTCCTGCAATAGGCAGAGCTATCACGTCCAGGAAAAATGAGGGAGGGAACCACAGAGGCAGCGTGAGATCCAAATACAGCATTCAAAGGTAATTGGTCCAGTGGTGCCTGGGGAGGGAGGAAGGGTGATACTCCAGGGTTAGCCGTCTTCTTTTGGGGGTGTGTACCAGCCTGCAAAGAAATGGAATGGTCAGTGAGGTGAAGGTTCAGGCCCACCCTCCCTGTCCTGCCCCAATCCCTGAAGACGTCTCCAGTGGCAGAGATAAGAGGATATTGGGGAGGGCTATGCTGTGTGGGGAGAGGTGTATGGGAAGCTGAGAGCCTGCATACCTGGAGATGAGAAGGGGGAATGATGTGCCCAACCTGAGATGATGGGAGAGTTAGATGAGCTTTTTCAAAAGGTGGTCAAGAAGGGGGTAGCACCAAGTTTATCGGTGATACGATCATTTTGGTGTGTTTCTGGAAGAGGTTGTGAATGTTAGCCACCGCCAGTCCCTCCTGGGAGAACTGGGGCAGGTGCTGTGTTAATGGGTGGTTGAGTATCAGAAACCAAAAGAAGGGGTTCTTGCTCTGTGGCTGGAAGTGAAAACCTGGGTGTGGCAAGTGTCCGAATCTCCTGAGTCCTGGCTCCAGCCTCACCGTTTTTTTCGTGGATCTGCACCAAGGACTTGTAGGACTGCTGTGCTCTTGTCAGACTGTATTGAGACTGGGGAGAGGAAGCCACCAGATCAGGCCATGGCTAGCTGTGGCCTTACTGCCCCTCACCTTCTGCAGGCTGTCACCCAGAGACCCCAGAGTCCCAGCTCCCAGCACTGTGGTCTAGTAAAACACTAAGTACCCTCCACCTTCGAGGTCCCTTGGAGGCATAATCCCATAGTCTTCCTTTTCCAGACCCGAAACCTCCCAAAAGTCCTAGGGGTGCCCCTAGGGGCCAAGGCACAGTTGTTCCATTGTGGGCACCCTAGGCCCTCTCATCCAATGCCACCAGCCCGGGGGCCTTATGCTCATTCCTCTAAAGAAGGCAGCCTTGGCCTGCTAGTGGCCCCAAGTGTACTTGGCTCCACCCAGCCCCACCAGCCCCAGGACCAGGATCCTTACTTTGTTGGCTCCAAACTGCACTCGTGCTTTCCCCTTCACCAGTGTGGCACTGATCTGCATGATCACTGACTCTATGGAGTAGGCACTGCTCCAGCCCTGGGTGAAGGGAAGGACAAGGCAAGCAGGTCCAGATGGAGCTTCCAGAGAACCCTCATGCTTGTCCTCTGGGCAATCAGCTGTGTCTATAGGAGGGCCCTTGCCCTTTGCCCCCAGCACTGCCACCACCTGTCTGTCTAGGTCAGTGGGTGCAGACCCAGCCCAGCAGAATGAAAGGGCCACATCATGTCTATCACCCAGCCCGTAGGGGTGTGTGCTGTAAAGCTCAGACAATCCCCGCCCAGGCCGGCCTGGCCAAGGAGGAGAGACAGGCTCACCTGTTTGGTGAGAAGTTCCATGCAGATGGCCCCTCCGCCCAGAACATACCTGCATGAGAAAGGTTAGTCAGCTGTGCCTGACAAAATCTCCAAGTCTCTTCCCCGCCCTCTGCCAGAGGAGATGCCCTCTTCCGCATGCCAGCCACTCACCCTCCAGAGAGGACTGGAGACACAACCCTGACAAATGGTGGGTCAAAGGGAAAGTTATCCTGAGAGAGAGAGAGACGACAATCAGGGGAGGGAGGCCAGCATCCTCCACAGGACTGTCAGGCAGACTGGGCAGCCTAGGCCAGAGGGAGAGACTGGAAAAGAAAAGTCTTACTTTAAAGGAAAAGTTAAGTAGAATGAAGTCGGCTCCTTCTTTCTCTTTGAGGATCTGGAGATCGTTGTGCAAAGCGCTGTCCTGGTCAACTCTAAGAAGCAACAAGCCTGGGCTCAGATGCCTGGTTCCACCTCAGGAGCTTCATAAGGGCTCCCCTGCCCTGGCTGGCAGCAGACCACGAAACCACTGCCCACACCCGCTCCGGGACCCTGAATGAAAATGCTGGATGGGGCTGCCCTGGAGATCCCACCACAGTAGCCCCACTCACACTCCTCCTCAACTTCCTCTCCAATCCCAGAGTCCCCACTCACTTGAGGAGTTTGACATTCCAATCATACAGACTGTCATTCACGAGTTCGACTGCATAGTTTCCTGGAAGGAGGGAAAAAACAGGTGTTAGTAGAATGGTCCAGGTGGTGAGTGGTCTCTAATGCAGACCCCTTTCCCAGACTGAGAGAAAAAGATCAACAGCTCTAGGTTCACCACAGATGGACATGCAACCAAGCCACTGGCTTGAGGAGCTCCATTCTTGGCCTGAAAAGTTCATAAGCACTCCTGGACCCCAGAACCTCTTGGGCCCCTTGCCACCATACCCTTCTTTATGGGTGACTCTTGTGCAGGCCCCTCTCTGGGGCAAACTCACCGCCTTTGAAACTCTGTGATCGGTATATATCCCTGAGCTCCTTCATCAGCCGGTCAGTGGCCTGCACCGAGCCAGACACTGCACCCTGTGAGGGACGGATGACAGGAACATTCCTTGGTCGTGTGGTTTATAAACACACGTTAGACCTTAGGGGCAGTCTGGCAGCTTGCCCAGGATTTAAGAAAGGATTAGGCACAAAAAAGGAGTCTGCTCTCCATACTGAGATGCGATGGCCTACTACTTCCCAGCCATTTCCCACCAACCCCTTCACCAGCCTCTCTCTAGAAGGCACGTACATTTAAGTAATCTTGCCTCTGGTTCTTTTTAATTTTCTCTAGGATGGCCAAGTTTTCTTTTCCAATGCCATCATCTTCAGATTTCTTGCCCTCAGCTGGCTCTTCCTCTTTCATTTCATAGTGATCTAAGTCTTCTGTGTCCTGGAGGAGGTGTGGGGTGGGAGTGAAAAGAAAAGGAAAAAAACCGACACAGGTTAGAGAATGACCATCACCTTCCCAGTCCCATTTGGCGAAGAGCCAAAAGTTAAAGTGAAGCAGTCCATCTAGCAGTCTTATAAACGCAACGTGCTTTCCATTTTTAGAACAATTTCCAGCCCCATTCCCTCCACAGTCTAAATCTTCAGCTCTCAAGCTACAGCAAGGACTTCGGAAACGAGCAGAGCTGCAGCTGAGATCGAGGCAGGGACTTAGCCCTCTTGTTTCCTGGACTGACCCTGCTCCAACTGTTCCTAAAACTCCCTTGGCAGCAGAAACTCTTCCCTAATTCCTAGCAGAAATGACTTGGGCCTGACCCTGTGACTCAAAGCTCATGTTTCACCAGGTGACTATTGCACCCGGGAGTTCTCAGGGCCCCAAGCCTAAAGGAGAAACCTGAATCATTACATCTCCTCTCCTCGCTACAAATGCAAGGCATGAATCAGGTATGCAGAGGCACGCACTGCCAGATGGAAATGAGAAAGGATGTCCAGAGAGATATATGGAAGAGGTCAAGAACAGAATTAGCCCCTTATTCATCCTGCTCTAAGTGAGCAAGCAACTAGCTCACTGAGCATAGGGAAGGAGGAGAACCTATGTAGGGTTGAGCCCCTCAGCCAGATGTTGGGGGTGTGGCCCAGAGGGCTGTCCACTATCTGGGAGGAGTAAATTTCATGTCGTCAGCCCTTTGCCAGTCTCAAGAACCTTACACGGTTATAGAACCTGGGATATTAATCTAATGCTAGGAAATAAAAGTAATCAGAGTGATCTCCCCATTTCTGGCAGGACATACCTAATTACCACACCAGCAGGTAATGTCTACTGAGTGTTTATTACATGCCAGGTTCTGTCCTAGGTGCCGCAGATACTAGCTCATTTCATTCTTACCACCATCACTCATTATTCTATCATTATCCATTTTATAGATGCGGAAGCTGAGTCTAGTGAGGTCAATTATCATGCCCAAAGTCACAGCTCTTAGCAGAGCTAAGATTCAGTCAAGTTCTGTCTAGCTCTAAAGCTCAAATTCCTAACCATGATTTTATATTCTGTATGTTTTTAGAGAATATATCAGATAGATTGTTTAGCATTTATCATGTATCATCTGAAGCATTTTATATATAACACCTCATTTAATCTCAAGACAACCATATGCAGTAGGTATTATAATCCTACTTTATAGATAAGAAAACTGTAGCTTAGTGAGATTACATAAAATTCCTCAATTAGGATAGCTAGGATGCAAACACAGGTTTGTTGGACTCCAAAGCCATTTGAAATTAACTTACCCAGTATTTGGTTTGAACCGCGCTGCACCTGTCTTCAGTGGTTGGATATGGGTGCCCTGTCTCCTCTACTACACTGGCTATTCCTCCAGGTCAGTAAATCTGTCTTTATTCCTTTGATATTTTTCTCTCTCCAGTTTTAGACTGGAGTTCTGGATATGGGTACCAATGTTGCTGACTGCAAGAGCTTCCAGCCAATGCCACCTCAGGGGGCAAGCCTACCTCAGGCATCTCCTCATCTTCATCTTCTGAAGACACGTCTTCCTGTGTGCACTGCAGCAAGGAAGGGAAAGATGGAGATCAGAGCCCCAGTGGCTTGCTAGAATGCAGCCTCCAACCTACTCCCCTGAGCCCCCAGGTCTGGAAGTTGTGCGCCTGCCTGTAATGCTGCCAGTCTCTCCACCAGCCAGATCTGAGTGGAAGCAACAGCCCAGGGAATGGCTTTGCTACCAGCCCATTATTTTTCGCCTATCACTGCCAAAGAATAAAAGAAAAGCAAAATGGCTGTCTCTGTCACCCACCTCCTAAATCCTAGTTTAATTCTCCTAAGAACCCCTCCTTTACTTGATCTTCTTTAGACTGATATTGCATTCTTGGTTCTCACCAAGGGGCCTGGGTCCCCAGTGGCCACCAACTGTTATTGCTAAGATAATGGTAAAAATTCCCCCGCTCCCTTTCAACATCTGGGATGCTGCCCATGAGAATGAATTTTGATATCAGAGATGAAGCTACCAGTGCCCCATTTAGCAAAAGAAGATTCCCATCTGGAGAAGAACGAGGGTGAGAGTCATAAGACGTGTATGTTTTTGGGAGCCGGTGGGGATGGAGAGAAACTACTGATTTGTCTCAATTATTTACTGAGTACCCTGTGGGGCAACTCTGCACAACAGGGCCCGAGGCTCCTCAGCTGCTCACCTGCTCTGCTGGCAAGGGTTGATCCAGCATCTCCACATCTGGATGCTGAGGGAGGTTATAGAGTTTACACAGGTCGGAGATGATCCTCTTCAGATGCTGCAATAGCTACAGGTAGGGGAGCACAGAGACATCAAATCCTTCCCCACTCCGATCTGGATAAGTGCATGGATGAGCTCTTAGTTTGGGCCCCACACCAATAACTAGTTCTCTAAGCCTTATGGGCCACGTGGCTGTGGGAATGAGTCTCCTGATGGACCAATCCCAGGGCCGATGCAGGGTCTCCCTCTGGCTTCAGTAAGCAACTCCCCCGAGAGGTCATCCCCTAAATGTTTAGCTGTGTACCGTCCACTTTTCAGGATCCCTTTCACAGGATGCCTTTGTGGCATGGGCCTCATAAGAACAAAATGTACCCCTACCCTGTGGCCCCCTCACCAGAGTATTCCCTTTCTTTATGTCCACCAGCCTCTCCAAGACAGCAGCCAAGTTAGGGTCATCAGACTCCACCGACCAGATGGGGGGCACAGCAGGGTATGACTCCTGAAGGGAAAAGAGCAATAAGAGCAATCAAAATGGGTGACTCTGGGAAAAGCCAGATTTTGCCTGTCCTCTTCCCCCCAAGACTTCTAGCCCCTTTGCTTCCCACCCCCACCCCCTACACACACATAAAAGCCCAACTTAGGTCAGCATCTAACCAAGCAGCTTCACAACAAATTCTAAACTGGAAGAAAAACAGTCCCTGGGAAGACCCTTTCCGAGAAGCAGACTGAAACCTTTTCTTTCTTTCCTCGAGAGTACAAACCAGGAAACCTAGCACAGCCAAACTTGGCTAACAGCGAAGGGGGACTCCTCATCTCCTGCACTGCCTATACAAGTTCTAGACTTCAAGTTCTCCCTGGACCCAGAACAGTCCTCCAAGCTTGCTTTTCAAACTCCAGAATCGGCTGAGGAAGGGATCACCTCATCACAATGACACTGAAGTGAAAAAAGCAGAGTTCAGTAGGGAAGAAGTATAAAAACTAGACTGTATCTCCAGAACCCAAGAGTAAAAGGGTACTGGCAAGAATCTACCCACACCACTTCCAGAAGAGCCCCTCAAAGACCAATTCTCCCCACCTCTCCCTTGGGAACCTGCCACCTTCTCAGTCCAGGCGTGGGCTGTAGGGCTCCACATGGCAGGCTGGGAGAAAGAAGCCTACGCTACTGACATTCCCAGCATTCCTGAGCCACGGTGCCAAATGCAGCCTGACCAGACTCCCTCTCTGCCCAAACCAAGGGGGCTAGTTTAGGCCAAGTCTCCTTTATAGCCATGGGGAGTCTGGCTGAGGACCCCCTAAATTTAACTTCCTGCCAGGGACAAACGCAGTAAATGGCCTCTGGCAACAGAAAGAGCAGCTGGATAGGGGCAAACCTACCCTTAAGGAATTAGAAGCTTAATTCAGGAACAAAATTAACTCGAGGTTCCCACACAAGCCAGGGAAACCTTATCCACCTCTACTGGGTATCTTAGCATTGCCATGACTCTAATCCTCAATGCTGGAGGAAAAATAATTATCAAAGATGCCCAAGTCTTCACTTAACTAAGCCACTCCTAGTCCTTCAATTTTAACTTTCTAGCAGGAAAAAAGAAAGGAAATGAAAAGAGAAATGGGACATATGAGTTTTGGTGGGGCACCAATCAATCCAAACTGAGGCTTTACCTCACCAAATCTTAACTTGGTTTGATTGAGAAAACGGACAGAAAACACCAGTAAGTTGAATTCAGGCCCCCAAGTAGCAGAGAATTCACAACTCTGCCTTTCCCCAGGCTACTCCGATTAGGTCTGCCTGCCTGGATAAAGTACTGTCTGCTAGCATTTCAGCTACTGCTCCGGTAGAGAGAATACCATCACAGCAGGTAACATCAACCAATATAAGTGCTATAGCATGCAGTACCAGACATTCCCAAATTAGCAGAAGCCAATTCTCTGTTCAAGGGATGTCTGAGGGTAGACCAGGCAGGAGACATGTAAGGTGTATGCCTAGGATGGAATGACGCTCACAGGGGAGAAATGCAACTGTTACTGCTTAGAATAAATGGGGGTAGCCCTCGCACATCACATCACTATCATTACCAGGAAAAGCAACAACCCAGGGCAAATGGACATATCCATAGGGAACAGGCAGGGGAGTGGCAGAACTGCTACCAGCTGAGGCAAAAAGAGGAGAGTTAGAGGTTACACCAGAAAAAGAATCCAAAGGAGAGAAGGAAGAGGAGTCAATGAATTGCAAACTATCACTTGGTGAAGTTGAGAGAGCAAGAGGGTCTGCATGAGGGATGCCTAGGCGGGGATCCCACAGGTGGCAACCTCCTAAGTCAGAGGTACTACTGAGAAGGGGGCATCGCTGAAATGTGCAGTGAGTTTCAGGCCAGGTCTTTGCAGTTAGGGTCAGTGCCGAGGCCTAAAACCTTGAAATAAGAGTAAGGGGAAGAAAGACGCATTCCTAGGTGGCAAGGTAAAGTTGTGGAGGAGTAGCCAAAAAGAGCCAAAATCATGAACCTTGGGATGTGGGTGGGTTCGTGGAAACGGGTAGTCTAGGCGCCATATGTCGGGGTGTCCCTTGCTATTGGGGTCAATGGTAGAGATTCTGGGTGCACTGCATAACCTCAAGCAGCAGAAACAAATGTAACCTGGAGAGAAAGAACTGAGCCCTGAGAGGGGCTTCGGCCTCCCAGGTCCTTCGAGAGCAAAAAGCTGGATGGAGTGATCCTGGGTCCCTGACAAGGGGCCCCCACAGAGGCGCACGCGAGGGGGTCCTCACCGTGATGTTGCAGTGGATGCGGACAGGATCCCCAGGCACCGACCCCCGTGGGGGGAGATGCGGTCCGGGCGCGGCCCCCGCCCCGGCCCCTCCGGCCCCAGCCAGCAGGAACTCGCAGCTCAGCTCGTCCAGGCAGGCGCTGGCAATGCGGAAGCGCTCGTGGCCGCGGTGGAAGATGGACTCGAGCAGCTTCAGCTCTCGCCTCAGGCAGGGCCCCGGCCCCGGGCCCCCCCCTGGGCCGCCCCCGGCCCCCGGCGCCGCCCCCTGGCCCCCCAGCTGCTGCCCCGGCCCCGGCTGCTGCTGCCCCTGCGGCTGCGGCTGCTGCATCCTCCGCTCCGCTCCGCTCCGGGGCCGGCGGGCCGGGAGCCTCCGGCCTGCGCTCCGGGCTCCGCCGCCGCCGCCGCCGCCGCCGCCGCCGCCGCGGTCCGCACTTCCTGATCCCCCCTTCGCCAAGATGGCGCCGCCGCCACCTCCGGGACAGGCCCCCCCCTCCGCTCGCTGGCCCCCCCAGCCGCCGGAAGCCGCGCGCCCCTCCTCCTCCTCCTCCTCCTAGGCGGCCCCGCCTCCGTCCCCCTCACGTGACTTCCCTGCTCTGGCCTCCTCCACGTGATCTCTCCGTCTTTCCCGCCCCCCTGTTCTCGCCTGCCACCCTCCACATGTGACCCGGGGCCTGGGGCTTGCCTCTGTGGGCGCCTCAGTGCGAGTTTGCGTATGTCGTGCGTGCTTGCGCGCGACGCCCCTTCGCCTGCGCTCCCCTCTCACGTGACTCGGTGCCGCGTGCTCCCAGGGGCTACCCGCGCAGGACGCTGTTTCCTGCCCCGGGCGCCGCTTCCCCCGCCCCCGAGCCGTGGCGAGCGTGCCCGGCACTCCATGGACAGAGAAGAAAGAAGTGCTGTCTTCCCCGTGCAGTCTTTATCCTGCTCCCACATGCTGGTCTTCGGCGCAGGATCCTGGAGCCTCTGCTCCCCGTGGGGGTGGGCATGCTGTGTCTTCACACTCGGGTGGGTGGTCGGGGTAGGAGCCGGGAACCGGAATGGAAGAGGCGTGGATTCTCGTCCCAGCCCTGGCTCTCATGGCGTTTTGTGACCTTGGGTTAACCACTTTCCCGCCGAGTCTCAGTTTCCTCATCTGTACAATGGCTCTCATGAGAATGATGCCTGTTTTTCCTATTCCCAGGGAGGGATTCGATGCGAGGACACCATAAAATGAGGAATGATAATAGATCACTGCTGTGTTATGTACAAGTGTTAGTTAATATCAGGCCTTTCGCGCTTTTCAGACCCCATGGGTCTGGACGAGGTTGGGGGAAGGACAGCATGGGCTTCCTCCACAGAGTCATGGAAGGAGTGCTGACTCGGGTGGTCCCCATTCCCTTTCCTAGGCCTAAATGGCTAACACCTTGTCGCAGTGGTCTTGGCAGCTGCCAGGAGTAGGTAGTGCCTCCGGACCCTCGCTAGGTGGCACTATCACAAAGGACAAAGCTGGTTGAAGCTACAGAAATCCCGAGCTGGCGTTCGTTTTGCCAAGGGCAAGTGTTATTAGCCTGTGGTAAGGCCTAGTCAATTCTGCTGGGCCAACTCAGCCCTTAAACCACTGGTCAGATTGCCCCGTTTCTCTCCCACTTGTACTAAAATGAGCTAGCCTTTGCTGGAAGACTATTCAATTGCCTCTGCAGAGGCCTCCTTTGGTCAAGTTGGGGTATGGGTATTTAAAGACGATTATAGTCTGTTCCTGGTCTTCGTGGGGCCATTTATCTGGTTTAGGTAGCCTGAACAGTTTGCTACATGTTGACTTTGTGTCTGTGTGTGCAAGCTGATAGCATAAAAGGCTGTGGTGGGAATTCCTGTTAATTATTTCCTGAGCGAAGGTGTTTTGCAAATATATATATATATATATATATATATATATTTATTTATTTATTTATTTATTTATTTATTTTAAGACAGGGTCTTGCTCTCTCGCCCTGGAGTGCAGGGGCACAATCTCAGCTCACTGCAGCCTCGGGAGACCTCAAGCTATCCTCCCACCTCAGCCTCCCAAGTAGCTGGGATTACAGGCGCATGCTACCACAGCTGGGTAATTTTCGTATTTTTTTTGTAGAAAGGGGTCTTGGTATGTTGCCCAGACTGGTCTCAAACTCCTGGGCTCAAGTGATCTGCCCATCTCGGCCTCCCAAGGTGCTGGGATTGCAGGTGTGAGCCACTGTGCCCAGGTGCAAATATTTGTAAATCTCCCAACAACATTGCAAGGTAAGTATTTTTACCCCTGTTTACAACTGGGGAAAAGGAGTGACTCTGTAAGGATATACAGTCTGTAAACAGAGTTCCTAGGCCTGTCTCCAAAGTCCATGCCCTTGTACCCTACTCTGCCTTTTTTAGTGTGTTGAACCCCAGCTCTGCCAACTACTAATGATGTGACTGTGGGGAAATTACTTAGCTTGTTTGTGCCTTAGTTTTCACACCTGTAAAATGGAGATCATAATAGTACTTACTTGTTAGGAGGATTATGTAAGAACACACGTAAAGTGCATAAAATAGTGCCCATGGTAAGAACTCAAACATTTTTTTAAAAATTGGGGCTCAGCAAGGCTTGTGTCTAGTGAAAGGAGAGAAGGGTAGGAGATGAGTCCAGTGAAGAAAGCAGGGGCTAGATTATGGAGACCACAGTACATTGTTTGGGTTTTATTTAAAGCACAGTGGGAAACTCCTGGAGGATTTTAAGCAGGGAGTGGCATGAGCTGATTTAAAAATTTAAAAGATCGGCCGGGCGCGGTGACTCACGCTTGTAATCCCAGCACTTTGGGAGGCCGAGGCGGGCGGATCACAAGGTCAGCAGATTGAGACCATTCTCACTAACGGTGAAACCCCGTCTCTACTAAACAAAATATAAAAAATTAGCCGGGCGTCGTGGCAGGCGCCTGGAGTCCCAGCTACTCGGGAGGCTGAGGCAGGAGAATGGCGTGAACCCGGGAGGCGGAGCTTGCAGTGAGCTGAGATCGCACCACTGCACTCCAGCCTGGGCGACAGAGCGAGACTCCGTCTCAAAAACAAAAACAAATTTAAAAGATCACTCTGGCTGTTCTGTGGAAAATGGATTGTAGGGATTTTTTTTTCCTCCAAAAAATCATTCATTACGGGTGCCCATATTTGGAGTAGAGTGAGCAACCTTCTCCTTTGACTTGCTCCCTGAGCATAGAATTCTGTCATTGACTCAACAAATAATGTCCTGAGCACTTAGTCTTTGCAGGAATTGTAGAGGGCACTGGGGATGCAGAGATAAAGAAGATAATGGTCCCTGTGAGAACGTGATTTGTGGTACAGAGGAGAGGCTTCTTACCGGACAGTTCCTACTTATTAGTTTTGTTGTATTCTTGCTCCAGCCCTTAGGAGCACACAGTGATGGATGAAGTGGAGCCAAATCTCACCAACAGTAATACAATACGATGAACACAATAATAGGGATCAAGAAGGGGAACGGCCTTGAAGGGTGATATTATTAATAGGATTAACTCCAAAAAAAATGTGAAAGTAAGAGTTTCTTAGGTGGAATGGGAGAACATTCTGAAAGAACTGGGCCCTAAAGTAGAAGGAGGTTGGGAAGAAAGGTCTAAAACAAAGAAAGAATGACTTAAGAAGGGGGCTGGTGCAGTGGCTCACGCCTGTAATCCCAGCACTGTGGGAGGCGGCCAAGGCAGGCAGATAACATGAGGTCAGGAGTTTGAGACCAGCCTGGCCAACATGGTGAAACCCTGTATCTACTAAAAATACAAAAATTAGCCGTGCGTGGTGGCGGGCGCCTATAGTCTCAGCTACCCAGGAGCCTGAGGCTCGAAAAATGCTTGAACCCAGGAGGCGGAAGTTGCAGCGAGCCAAGATGGTGCCACTGCAGACCAGCCTGGGTGACAGTGAGACTCTGACTCAAATAAAAGGAAGGGAAAGAGACAAGGAGGGAGCTCAGCATAGGCAAGAGTTGTAGAGGTGTTGGTCGTTGGGGCTATTGCCTGAGATCCCAGGGTAACCCTGATAGCCTGGTAGTATCAATGCTTCTGAAAGTCAGTTTAGCAGTTAATATTCAAAACACGTTAAAACTTTAACCCAGCAATTACACTTGGAAAGAAAAGGTACGTGCACAAATTTGCCTAAAAGGGAAAACTGTAGCTGTGAAAAATAGTTATCAAAAATACTTATTGGTATGGAGAGTTGTTTGAGAAATAGTAAATGAAAAAAGATTAGACTGAAGTGAGCTGAAGATTTAAAAAAGAAAGGTGGTTACAAAGCTATGTTACAGTGTGCTCCATTAAAAAAAAAATATGCGATTTAGTTATGTACCCAACAGAAATGCATATACAGTCATGTGTCAGTTAATGGTGGGATACATTCTGAGAAATGTGTCTCAGTGGTTTTTTTGTTGTGTGAACATCATAGTGTACTTACACAAACCTAGATGGTGTAGCCTACTACACACCTAGCCTATAGGGTCTAGACTATGGCTCCTAGGCTACAAACCTGTACTGCATGTTATACTGTAGTGAATACAGTTGCTGCATTCCCCGTGCCCACTAGAATTCCTGCAATTACTGTAGGCAGTTGAAACCCAATAATATGTATTCATGTATCTATCTAAACACAGGAAAGGTACAGCAAAAATACAGTGTTATAATTTTATGGGGGCCACCTTTGTATATTGCAATCTTGTTGACTGAGAAGTCATTACATGGTACATGACTGTATTTGTATACCAAAAGTATGAACAAGAGTGTTCACAGCAGTATTATTTTTTAATAGTCCAAATAGGAAACAACCAAAATATCCATCAATAGTGAAACGGATAAATGATAGTGTATTCATACAATGGAATAGTCCACAGCAATGAAGATGAATGAACTACAACTATATTCAGCAGTGTTCACGATTCTCACTAACATGTTTTTTAAAAAAACAGACACAGGCCGGGCATGGTAGCTCACACATGTAATCCCAGCACTTTGGAAGGCCGAGGCAGGTGGATCACCTGAGGTCAGGAGTTCAAGACCAGCCTGACCAACATGGTGAAACCCCATCTCTACTAAAAATGCAAAAAAATTAGCCGGGTGTGGTGGCACATGCCTGTAATCCAAGCTACTCAGGAGGCTGAGGCAGGAGAATTGCTTGAACCCGGGAGGCGGAGGTTGCAGTGAGCCAAGATCATGCCATTGCACTCCAGCCTGGGCAACAAGAGCAAAACTCCCATCTCAAAACAAACAAACAAACAAAAAAAACCAGACACACACTGAAGATGATGATTCCATTTTTCCATTTATAAAAAGTTCCACAGGCAAAGTCGATCTATGCTATTAGAAGACAGGACAGTAGTTATTTATTTTACCTTCAGTCATTTTTTTAAAATTGTGGTAAAATTACACATAAAATCTGCCACTTTAACTAATTTAAAGTGTATGACTCAGTGGCATTCAGTGCATTCACAAGTTGTATAACCATTACTACTGTCTAGTTCCAGGTAAGTAGTCACCACCTCCCATTCCTCCCTCCTCCCAAGGTGTTTTTTTTTTGAGATGGAGTCTCGCTCTGTCGCCCAGGCTAGAGTGTGCAGTGGTGCGATCTCGGCTCACTGCAAGCTCCACCTCCCGGGTTCACGCCATTCTCCTGCCTCAGCCTCCCGAGTAGCTGGAGCTACAGGTGCCCGCCACGATGCCCGGCTAATTTTTTTTATATTTTTAGTAGAGACGGGGTTTCACTGTGTTAGGATGGTCTCGATCTCCTGACCTTGTGATCCACCCGCCTCAGCCTCCCAAAGTGCTGGGATTACAGGTGTGAGCCATCACGCCTGGCCCCAAGGTGTTACTTTTGAAGAAGAGAGAGTAACTGCTGGAAGGGTCATCATGGGGACTTCTGGATATTAGTTATGTGTGTTTCTTTAAAAAAAAAAATCTAAATTGCGGCTATATGGCTGTGTTTATGTTGTGAAAATTTAGCTGTACACTTGTATATACTTTGCTGTATGAATGTTATATCCGAGTATATATAGATAAATTTGGAGGGGTATGTGTGTGTGTGAAATATATTATTGCTAACACTGATTTTTTTCCTGGGAGGTAGGAGTATGAATCCATTTTGTACTTACTATGTTTTGCTGACTTGTTTTCCAATTGGTATTCATGACGAATACATGTATTACTTTTGTAATAAAAATTTTAAAATTTAAAACATCTTTTTTTTTTTTTTTGAGATGGCGTCTCATTCTGTTGCCCAGGCTGGGAGTGAAGAAGTGGTGCAATCTCGGCTCACTGCAACCTCTGCCTCCCAGGTTCAAGCAATTCTTCCTGCCTCAGTCTCCTGAGTAGCTGGGATTACAGGCATGCGCCACCACACCAGGCTAATTTTTGTATTTTTCAGTAGAGACCGGGTTTCACCACGTTGGCCAGGCTGGTCTTGAATTCCTGATCTCAGGTGATCTGCCTTGGCCTCCCTAAGTGCCAGGATTACAGGTGCGAGCCACCACACTCAGCCTAAAACGCCTTAAATAAAGGACAATAACATTGATTTTAAGCCTTTCCCCCCAACCTTTTTTTTTTTTTTTTTTTTTGAGACAGGGTCTGGCTCTGTTGCCCAGGCTGGAGTTCAGTGACATAGTCTCGGCTCACTGCAACCACCTCCACGGCTCACGATATCCTCCCTCCTCAGCCTCCCAAGTACTGGGAGGTGTTGCCCAGGCTGGGAGCACGTGCCACCACACCTGGCTAATATTTTTAAATTTTTTGTAGAAACAGGGTTTCACCATGTTGCCCAGGCTGATCTTGAACTCTTGAGCTCAGTCCATCCACCTGCCCCAGCCTCCCAAAGTGCTTGGATTACGGACGTGAGCCACCGCTTTCCACCAATTTTAAGCCTTTCAAGAGAAAACATTCCTTATCATCAGTGGCAATGGGAGTGTCTCACCAAAACTTTGCCCAATTACTCTTTAGCCTCAGGATTGATACTTCTGCATCTGTTCATCACCCTCTGTGGTTCTGGACCTGTCCACTCTTCCTGGCTGCCTTTCTTCTTGGTGGGTATGGAAGGAGTATGTGTGGGAGAGATGAGGAAGGAGGTGTTCCCGCCCTGCTTGGACACTGGGTGGTTGTGCTCAGAAGACTCACTCCTTGCCAGGCTGGAAGTAAACTTGAAGCAAAAGCTGGGGGATTTGAGAAGAGAAGGTAGACTGGCCTGGAAGTTGCATCAGGAGAAGCCAGAGGCTTTAAGCAAGCAAATGACCCCCTAGTTTCTCATCCCATAAACAAGCAACCATTACAGAAAGAGATTTTTGTTAAGAGAAGACTTTCACAGCCTTCCTCAATCATTCTGCATCCACCAAAACTCCCTGTATTTCTTAGGAGTTTGGAATACCTTTAAGTCATCCTTGTCTTAATGACTTTCTCACCTTTCAAATCTCAATTTTCATCTTCATCCCTTCTAGGTTCTTAGACACTATTAACCTCTTCTTCCTCTGTGCTTCCATCCATAGCACTTCCTTTATATGTCTGTTAGAACAGCCATCACATTCTATAATAATTTGCTGCCAAACTGTGATCTCCTTAATAGCTGGGACTAAGTCTTTTTGATCACTGCATCTTCAACACATATGGTCCACAACACACATGCAGTTTCCTGGCAAACCACATATACCTAACAAATGTTGATCTAAATTGTTGAAGGAAGATCTTCCCACCCTCTATCTTTTCCTTAAGCAGAGGGACTACACACATTCCTTCTCTTTTCCTTAAGGCTTTTCTTCACTACTTTTCTTTGTTACAAGGTTTCTTTAATTCTTAAGAGATTATTGTGCGCTTACACATGCGCATGCCCCGGAACAAGTCGTGCAGATTTACGCCCATTTCCATGTGCATCATGGGGTCTGTAGTCCTTCTACTTCTCCAGTCCTCTTCTAGAACTTTTCTGCTTCTTCCCTTAATTCCACGACCTGGGGACATGGTCAATAAGTTGCTTTTAGCTGGGCTTTTATTTATTTATTTGTTTAGTTTTTGAAATGGGGTCTTGCTTCATTGCCCAGGCTGGAGTGCAGTTGCGCCATCATGCCCCAAACTGCAGCCCCGACCTCCCTGGCTTAAGTGATCCTCCCACCTCAGCCTCTCGAGTAGCTGGGACTATAGGCACACACCATCATGCCCGACTAATTTTTAAACTTTTTGTACACACGTGATCTCATTATGTTGCCCAGGCTGGTTTCAAACGCCTGGGCTCAAGTGATCCTTCTGCCTCAGCCTTTGAAAGTGCTGAGATTACGGGCTTAAGTCACCTCTCCTGGTCCCTAGCTGAGCTTTTAGAGAGAAATTTTCCCTACACATTAAAAAGTGTCAGTCCAGTACTAGCCCTTTTCCTTACCTGTTGAGCCCTTATAATAATATGCCAGGCACTGTGTTGATTCATAATCTAGAGAGGCAGCCACTGCCTCAGGTGGATTCATTTATTCATTGGACATGCTCTGGAAACATATAACAAAGTATCTGATCTAGTTCTTGGTCAGGCGCAGCTTCCTTAAGGAATTGACATTCCTGCCAAATGCTCAAAGTTAAGTAGAAGGTGATGAGGGGAACATGGGTTATAAAAGAGCCCAAGAGAACCATGCATTTAAGTCCCTGAAGTGTGGGGGATGATGGGACGGATAAGATGTTCAAGGATCCTGAAGACCTTGCCAATAGTTGGAATGTGGAGCTGGGGGTGGAGTGACCCAGATGAGGTTGAAGTAAGCAGGGACAAAACAGGACAGAGCCTTGCTGTATGCTAAGTCTGCTTTAGTCAGGAATCTTTTGGTTGAAAGTGACAACGAACCCACTGAAGGAAAAAAAGGGGCTAAGAGTTCAGGGTTCTCATCTTTGGTCTCCTTTGTGTTAGCTTCTCTCTTGATCAGGCCTCTGTGAGTGGTCTCTGATCTCCCTAGTCACACAGAAGCCAACAGCTGGAGTCAAGAGAAGGGGGTGAGGAAGGCCGATGAATAGGGGCTACTTGTCTTTCCACTATTACCCTCAAGTCTACCTTCTTTGCAGGCAAGTCTAGACCTCCTCAGGTAGACCCTCAGTGGGAGGGCAGGAAGCTTAGCCTTTTAGACTCCAAAGCCGTTTGCTTTCTTAAAAATAGCAAACCCACAGCCCCCTATCTCTTTAAGGGGCTAAACACATTTTCTCTGCTGTATCCTCAGCCTACCTGGGGAGCAGGACCATTTGGGTTTGGTAAGAGAAAAAAGGAGGGCGAAAACCCCGGACACTCCTCCTGTCTCCCGACGCTCGTTCTGGCCGTCTGGCCCTCAGTACTAAGCAGGCCCTGACCTACTTGTCTTACTCTTGCTGCTTCTTCCCGCCGGGCCTCTTGCCCCTTCTCCGACCATGCTGCAGGTCCTGCCCCAACTTTAGGACTTCAGAACTCCTCCACCGTGCCGTGGAGGAACAGCCCTTCTTCCACCTCACGCACACCCTACCACGGCAGAACCAATCGAAGACTATCCCAGCCGGGGACCCCCCTTTTTTTTCCTGGGACCCAGCGTTTCCGCCTCCGGGGCGCAGACTCCTCCCCCTCACCGTCCCAATTGTATTCCCTGGAAGAGCAGCCGGAAAAGCCTCCGCCTGCTCATACCAGGATAGGCAAGAAGCTGGTTTCTCCTCGCAGCCGGCTCCCTGAGGCCCAGGAACCACCGCGGCGGCCGGCACCACCTGGACCCAGCTCCAGGCGGGCGCGGCTTCAGCACCACGGACAGCGCCCCACCCGCGGCCCTCCCCCCGGCGGCGCGCTCCAGCCGGTGTAGGCGAGGCAGCGAGCTATGCCCGCGGCATGGCCCGGCGCTGCGGCCCCGTGGCGCTGCTCCTTGGCTTCGGCCTCCTCCGGCTGTGCTCAGGTAAGGGAAAGACGGGCACTGGCCAGGTTCTCCTACCCCAGCCAACGGCCCAAGACTCGCCGCCCTCTGACTCACCCCTGCTAGGCCGGAAGGTGGAAGAAGGGATTCCCTAGAGGTGGGGGAGTCTGCTGGAGGTTAGGGGAGAGCCCCCCGGGACTGCAGAGAGCACCTGGGAGGCTGGACTGGGAACGAGACATACTCGAAGGAGTAAGTGAAGCAAGAAAGAGATGGAAACCTGGCCAGCGGTGGTAGGGGTGGTGCAGGCACAGAGAGCAAGGAGGCAGGGGATCTCCCCAGGCGTCCTGGGGTGGCAGGAGGCCGGCTCTGAGGGCGCTAAGATGCCATCTGACTTTTTGTGAAACATTATCTCAAGAAAGGTACCTGGACCAGCACCCCTCCCCGGGCTCCCCATCGTTTCCCATCCCCCACATTGGGCTCCAGATTCTCGTCACCCCTCAGGGGCAGAGAAGGGGAGAAAACGGAACGGACTTTTCAACCCTCCTGTAGGGTGGGACAGGAGGCTTGGAAGGGAAGAAGCTCTGCCAGGCTGAGGACTAGGAAGGAACTCTCTGAGGGGATGGGGAGGGGTGTGTTCGTGCAGAGTTGCAGAGGGGGATGCAGTGTGCCGGGGAGGGGCAGGTACAAAGGGAATGCACAACTGAATGAGCTTTCCACACCTACAGGCCACCTCTAGGGGTGGGCTGCTGTGTGTGTGAAACTTGGGGCTACATATATGCCTGACCCACAGCTTAGGCAGCCCAGCTATTCCACTCCAACCCAGTGCCTTTAGGGAGAGGGGAGGATGGCATCGTGACCACAGTCACATGTCATTACGTGAGGCACATAATGTCATTTGCACATGTAAATGGTGAACGGGAACAGTTATTTGTGTCCCACCACACATACACTTTCTCCTCAATCGGCAGGAGAAAGGATGTGTGTGGTGGGACACAAATAACTGGGACAAATAACTGTTCACCTTCACTGCCCTGCTAAACCTCCCTTGAGTCATAGGTATTTGCTGGGGAAGCCATGGAAGCAGAAATCTCAAACTGCCCTCTGAGACTTTGGGGGAAGAGCAGGTCTCCATGAATCCTTGCAGAGTGGGTTCTTAGTCTCAAGTCATCTCTGTGGAGCTGTGTAGACTCTTTGGTCAGTGGTCTCAGAGAGGGGCTTTTCTATGAAGACATTAATCTGGGGCCTCCCTGGGGTTAATCTAAGCATTTTGCAGTATCCTTAGGGATGTAGGGAGATACTGGTTGGGCCTGGATTGTCCCATTTGCCTGGGGAGGGTGGGATGCTGGGTGGGCTCTCCTTGCCTGCTTACTTTCGTCCTGCCTTTCCCCTGCCCAGGGGTGTGGGGTACGGATACAGAGGAGCGGCTGGTGGAGCATCTCCTGGATCCTTCCCGCTACAACAAGCTTATCCGCCCAGCCACCAATGGCTCTGAGCTGGTGACAGTACAGCTTATGGTGTCACTGGCCCAGCTCATCAGTGTGGTGAGTAGAGGTCCCAGGCTCTCTGCCCAGCTACTGAAATCAGCCCCGCCAAAATGTGTTAATGCTTGTGTGCTTCCTCCCCTGGTGTTTCCAAGGCTTGGGGAGGTGTGAGAGGGACCCTGGGTGGTGGCAGTGACCCCACAGGCTTAGGGGCCTTCTCGGCAGCCTCTCTTCCTCCCTGCAGCATGAGCGGGAGCAGATCATGACCACCAATGTCTGGCTGACCCAGGTAAGCGTAAGTGCTCTCTTCCACCCACACCCCTGGCCTTCTCTCTCCTCCTTTTTCCCCATGTGCTTTTTTCTTTCTTAATCTCTCAAAACAGGCAGAAAGGTATAGAGTTTGGAGTCCTAAACAATTGGATTTGAATCTTGGCACTCACCAGCCTTGTGACTTTAAACATATTAAACTCTCCAAGATTCATTTTCTCATTTGTAAATGTAGATTCTAATACTGTACCTTGGCCTAGCTGTGCAAATTAAATGAGAAAGTACCACATGAGCCATACCTGATGGGCAGAGAAGTCACTGTGGGGAAGAGGCTGGCTTTTAAAAGGTCCCTCAAGCCATATGGGCCCCCTCTAGTTCGTTTCCTTAACCTTGAGCCCCACCCAGGGCACAAGTTGGTACTGCCTCCCTCTCTCATTTCCCAGGAGTGGGAAGATTATCGCCTCACCTGGAAGCCTGAAGAGTTTGACAACATGAAGAAAGTTCGGCTCCCTTCCAAACACATCTGGCTCCCAGATGTGGTCCTGTACAACAAGTAGGTGCAATGGGAAGGTTGGGGGAGACCATTGGAGGGCTCAGGGAGGGAAGGGGTTCTGGGGAAAATAAGAGAAATTACTTATGCTGTGGGAGGGGAGGGACTTATAATAGATATGTAGTCACTACCTAGACAGACAGACCCAGACCAGTGAGGTACAGCGTGGACAGCCAAGGTGACCTGGGCAATGACCAGCCCACTCCCAGCCGGTTAGGACTCCCAGTATGTATTTGATGATGTGGTGGGGATACAAACAAGTATTGACAGCCCCCAGCGCCTCAACTGATTCAGGAACAGGCTTTCCTGGAAGCCTGGGAAGGATCAAAGAACTTTAAGGTCCCAGTTTCTCCTCCAGGTTCTATCCTGTCTCCTGCAATAATCCATCTTATCTCTAGGGTACAAAGCCACCTTCCTCAACTGATGGGACCATGCCCTGTCCCCTTCCATTGCTTGGGGCTCCTCACTCTGGCCTCCTGGCTCCCCTGACTTCTCCACCCTCATGAGGATCAACCAGCTTATACAATGTGTGACAAGTAGCAGATGTGTCCCCTTCCTCCACCCACCACCCCCTTCTACCTGCAAGGTGTCACACAGGCCTTCTGACCAGGACACTTCTTCTGGTCACTAACCTTCCCCCCCCTCCCCATATCCCCTTCTTGCTCAATTCCACCTCTCTATACTCCTGGATGGTTACTCTCAGATCTGGGTGTCCCCTCCCCATGTCTCCCTCTGGTTTTGCTCTCCTCCCATTAGGGGCTGGGTTGATGGGTAAGGAGGAAGGAACGCTTAGGCCAGGGCTGACTGTGCCCATCCTTTGGCAGTGCTGACGGCATGTACGAGGTGTCCTTCTATTCCAATGCCGTGGTCTCCTATGATGGCAGCATCTTCTGGCTGCCGCCTGCCATCTACAAGAGCGCATGCAAGATTGAAGTAAAGCACTTCCCATTTGACCAGCAGAACTGCACCATGAAGTTCCGTTCGTGGACCTACGACCGCACAGAGATCGACTTGGTGCTGAAGAGTGAGGTGGCCAGCCTGGACGACTTCACACCTAGTGGTGAGTGGGACATCGTGGCGCTGCCGGGCCGGCGCAACGAGAACCCCGACGACTCTACGTACGTGGACATCACGTATGACTTCATCATTCGCCGCAAGCCGCTCTTCTACACCATCAACCTCATCATCCCCTGTGTGCTCATCACCTCGCTAGCCATCCTTGTCTTCTACCTGCCATCCGACTGTGGCGAGAAGATGACGTTGTGCATCTCAGTGCTGCTGGCGCTCACGGTCTTCCTGCTGCTCATCTCCAAGATCGTGCCTCCCACCTCCCTCGACGTGCCGCTCGTCGGCAAGTACCTCATGTTCACCATGGTGCTTGTCACCTTCTCCATCGTCACCAGCGTGTGCGTGCTCAACGTGCACCACCGCTCGCCCACCACGCACACCATGGCGCCCTGGGTGAAGGTCGTCTTCCTGGAGAAGCTGCCCGCGCTGCTCTTCATGCAGCAGCCACGCCATCATTGCGCCCGTCAGCGCCTGCGCCTGCGGCGACGCCAGCGTGAGCGCGAGGGCGCTGGAGCCCTCTTCTTCCGCGAAGCCCCAGGGGCCGACTCCTGCACGTGCTTCGTCAACCGCGCGTCGGTGCAGGGGTTGGCCGGGGCCTTCGGGGCTGAGCCTGCACCAGTGGCGGGCCCCGGGCGCTCAGGGGAGCCGTGTGGCTGTGGCCTCCGGGAGGCGGTGGACGGCGTGCGCTTCATCGCAGACCACATGCGGAGCGAGGACGATGACCAGAGCGTGAGTGCCGCAGGCTGGGACCCCGGGCGTGAGATATGGGGTCTGCCAGGGCCCGGGTATCTGGAAAGCAGCGGCGTTCTATAGACATGCAGAGGTAGTAGGAGTGTAGGGGAGGAAAATGTGAGTCAGGCCTGTGTTGCGGGCCTGGGTGCTGGCTAGGGCCCTTCTGGGTTGGCTTCCGGGAGATTGTGCGGCCTAAATTGGAGTCGGTGGAAGATGACCTTGCTGCTTCCTGAGGGCTAGCACCCAGGGCAAAATGCCTGAGCTGGGGCATCGTTATATGGGCAGGGAGGCCTGAAACACGAGGAGGCCCTTTAGGGTTGGCAGCCAGCCTGTGGCCGTGACCCCGAGAGTCCCTCCCCACCCCCCGCTGCTTGCATGCCCACATCCAAGTTGTTAACCTGCAGCTCTTAGCACAAGTGATGAGTCTTTTGTGCACCACACAGGCAGGAGGGGGCAACATTGAGGACAGTAGGAGTGGTGTGTATTGGGGGAGGGGTGGCGTTGGTGGCGGGGTTAGAGATTCCAGGAGCCTGCTTGTGGTGGAGAGCATGGAGTCCTAAATCAATATCCCTGCTCTTCTGAGTCCCAGGGGATGGCCTCCTGAAATATTTATGGAGATGGGGGTGGGTGAAGGGGAAGGCTCCTTGGCCCCTTCCTCAGGCTTTCTGCATACCCGGCTTTTGGCTTCTTCTACAGGGTTCCCTGAGAGCTTCTTTGAGACTGAGCCAAGAGTTGGGGGGAGATATGATAGGCTGACATCCCCCCGACCCCGCACTTTGGGTAGGGGCCGGCCCCACCCTGTGGTCAGTCTCTGGCTACCTGGCTGGTTCCAGGCTGAGGCTCAGCTGTTGCCATGGTGACTGGCCAGGTTTCCTCTAGGACAGCTGCCATTCTGGCTGGGGGATGAAGAAGGGCACTGCGGTGTGGGCCTCAGAGATCTGTTTCCCTGGACAGCAGGAGATGGGTTGGAGCTGAAGCTTGGACCAGGGAGCATACACTAGAGGAGATGGGGTGGGAACCTTAGAGCCAGCTGAGGCCAAGTGGGAGATGCTGGGATTCAGGGACTCAGCAGGCTGTGGTTACCGCCTCCACCTCTCCTGCTGCAGTCATGCATGTATTGTGCATTTACCGAGCTAGGTGCTGAGGATGTGGTGACCTACTTGGATGCTTCACAGGCACCTCAAACTCAACATGCTCAAAACTGAGTATTTGGTCTACATCCTAACCACCAACTTGCTCCTCCACCAGTTTTTAGTACACGGCATCACCATTCACTTAATGGCTCAGACTGAAAACCCAGAGGGATCCTTGATCCTGTCCTTTCTCACCTCCCTCTCTGTCCAATTCATCAGAAGTCTTGTCCTGTCACAACCCCAAAGTCATTCTCAGCTTCATCTGTTTTTCAGCATCTCCATGCTAACACCCTGGTTCTAGGACATCATCAGCTCTTGCCTGGCCTAGGGCAGAAGAGTCTCCTAATAGTCTCCCTGATTCAGCTCCTGTGCTCCTGCATCCAAATAGATGTCTCCCTCACGGCTCATGCCTTTCCCTCCTTGCCCAGGTCACTGGTCACTGGCTTATCTTTTATTTATTTATTTTTTTGATATGTGTTTCGCTTTTATTGCCCAGGCTGGAGTGCAGTGGTGCGACCTCGGCTCACTGCAATCTCCGCCTCCGGGGTTCAAGCGATTCTCCTGCCTCAGCCTCCCGAGTAGCTGGGATTATAGGTTCCCGCCACCACGCCCAGCTAATTTTTTGTATTTTTAGTAGAGACGGGGTTTTACCATGTTGGCCAGGCTGGTCTCAAACCCTTGACCTCAGGTGATCCACCCGCCTCAGTCTCCCAAAGTGCTGGGATTACAGGCATGAGCCACTGCGCCCAGCCTGGCTTATCTTGTCTTAAGCAAGCCAAGCTCTTTCGTGGCCTCAGGACCTTTGCACACATGGGTCCCTCTGCCTGGGATGCCCTTTTTCTTTAAAAAAAAATCATTACAATTATTAACTTTCACTCTACTATTTGAGAGTAAATTGTAGACACTGTGACCCTTTATCCCAAATAATTCAGTGTGTCTCTCCTAAGAACAGGGACACTCTCTTGCATAACCCAGGTTCAGTGATCGACTGCTGGAAATTTAGCATTGATATCTGTATCTCATATAAATTCAACATTTAAATTTTCCCGATTGTCCCAGTGATGTCCTTTGTAGCATCACCCCCCACCCTCATCCTAATCCAGGGTCTCAAATTACATTTAGTTGTCATGTCTCTAGTTTCCTTCAATCTGGAACAGTTCCTCAGCTTTGTCTTTCATGGCATAAACGTTTTTAAAGGGACCAGGCCGGCTGAATGTCCCTCCGTGTGGGTTTGTCTGATTGTTTCTTTAACTTTTTCCTCATGCAGCTGGTTCTCTCTCACTCATCAGACCTCAGCTTAAATCTCACCTCCTCAAAAAGGCATTCCCAGACCACATTCTAAATGATATCTCCTCCTTTTATCTCAATCCTTTGTTTGCCAGTGTGGAATTTTTAAATTTGTGCTTATTTTTGCTCCACCTCCCTCAGTAGACTGTAAACCACTGGCTGCGTTTCTGTTGCTCATTTGCATCCCCAGTGTGTAGCATGGTGCCAGGTATATAACAGGCACAGTTGCCAAGCGAGTGAGTTCTTCAGCTGCTGACTAAATAAAGATGCTCAGTGGCTGTCTCCCCACCCCCTGAGCTGGCCTGGCTCCAGATAAACACGTGCACAAAGGCCCAGACTCAGGCTGGAGTAGAGCAGCTCTGAGGAGATGCTGGCCGTTTGTGCAAGCCTTGTGACTGGCTCTCAAACCCACAGACAGCATTATCTTTTTGACCGATTTGTTCACATCTGGGACCTGGTCTCACCCTCTGGGGACGTAGTGTGGTTGGATGGGGCTCAGTGTGTGATCATAAAAGGAGCCAGGCCGGCTGAGGCAGCCACTTAACTCACTAAAGCATCAGCCATTTACTTAACACTCTTGTGTTCCAGATGTTGAGATGACAAAGATGAATCAGGGTCCTTGTTTAGGAACTTGTAGCTTAGTAGGGGGACAGGCATGCAAATTGAAACAATACAGTACAGTAAATATACTGTGATGGAGACGTGTACACAGTGCAGAGGGAACCCAGAGCAGACAGCAGTTCATGCTGATCTGGGGATCAAGGCAGCCTTCAGAGAAGGTGATGTTTGATTTGGGCTTTGAAAGATATGTAGGAGTGCACCAGGTAGAGAAAGGGAGCTCAGGATTTCCAGACACAAAGGAAACCCAAAGACACAGAGATCTGGGAGGACACACTAGGGTTTGGTAGGGCTATGTTATGGGGTGGGAGGAGGAGGAGATAGGCTCATATTTGTCGTGGGTGGTCTTGATTCCAGACTGGGGAGTTTGGATGGGCCCTGAAGGCAGTGGGGCCACTGGAGGCTTTTACTAAGATCAGAGCCATGCTTTAACAAGATCATTCTGGGATCACTGCAGGAGAGGAGTGGGGTGTGTGTCTGTGTGGTGGGACCCGCTTATACTCGTTTGTCTCCCATCCTGCATCATGTGACCTGGGCCTCCTCCGTCTCCTCCATCCAGGTGAGTGAGGACTGGAAGTACGTCGCCATGGTGATCGACCGCCTCTTCCTCTGGATCTTTGTCTTTGTCTGTGTCTTTGGCACCATCGGCATGTTCCTGCAGCCTCTCTTCCAGAACTACACCACCACCACCTTCCTCCACTCAGACCACTCAGCCCCCAGCTCCAAGTGAGGCCCTTCCTCATCTCCATGCTCTTTCACCCTGCCACCCTCTGCTGCACAGTAGTGTTGGGTGGAGGATGGACGAGTGAGCTACCAGGAAGAGGGGCGCTGCCCCCACAGATCCATCCTTTTGCTTCATCTGGAGTCCCTCCTCCCCCACGCCTCCATCCACACACAGCAGCTCCAACCTGGAGGCTGGACCAACTGCTTTGTTTTGGCTGCTCTCCATCTCTTGTACCAGCCCAGGCAATAGTGTTGAGGAGGGGAGCAAGGCTGCTAAGTGGAAGACAGAGATGGCAGAGCCATCCACCCTGAGGAGTGATGGGCAAGGGGCCAGGAAGGGGACAGGATTGTCTGCTGCCTCCAAGTCATGGGAGAAGAGGGGTATAGGACAAGGGGTGGAAGGGCAGGAGCTCACACCGCACCGGGCTGGCCTGACACAATGGTAGCTCTGAAGGGAGGGGAAGAGAGAGGCCTGGGTGTGACCTGACACCTGCCGCTGCTTGAGTGGACAGCAGCTGGACTGGGTGGGCCCCACAGTGGTCAGCGATTCCTGCCAAGTAGGGTTTAGCCGGGCCCCATGGTCACAGACCCCTGGGGGAGGCTTCCAGCTCAGTCCCACAGCCCCTTGCTTCTAAGGGATCCAGAGACCTGCTCCAGATCCTCTTTCCCCACTGAAGAATTCTGCACCCTCTGGACTTCCCTCTTCTTCCTTCCTTTCTCAGGCTCAAGGTGTGGGGGGCAAGGCTGAGTATTAGGGGAGCTTCTGAGTTCTGAATCTTTGGGTGACCTGCTTGGAGTCTCAGGTCCAAATACTTGAAATCTGTGAGAAGTCCAAGTTCATGGGCTTTTGGAACTGGAAGAACTTTGTACAGCCATGGATTCCAACATAAGCCATGTTGCAGATGAAGAAACTGACCCACACGGTGAGACAAGCACAGGTGGGTCTGACTCTTCCTCCCTGCCCTGAGATCCATCTGTCGAGTGCCCTGTTTTTTCCCCACTTTGAACTGACTGGTTACTCTAAGGAAGTGAACTGAGGATGTTAGCTTTAAGCCAACCCAGCCTCTTTGTCCACAGCAGAGCTGAGGTGAACAGCTGGAACCCTGCTACATCCGTGCTGCTCCAGTCTGTTCTGCTCATGGCTCCATCCTTCTGGCTGTCACTCTTCCTCTTCCCCTTCCCAACCAAACCTGAGCAGCTTTGAAGCAGAACTTGGGAAGGACAGGGCTGCTGCTGCCAGCGACACCTCAGAAAGCATAGCCTCGGCTTCCTGCCCCATGTGTCCCTGGAAGCTGTACCCTGACTCTGCTTCCAGAGGCCAGCAGATGGTGGGTTACAGACGGGTCAGCCTGCCAAGTGCACCTGAGGGACCTGACCTGACACAAGCCATTTTGTCCCTAGAGCCCAGCTGGGACTCCTGCTTCTCTAGGCAGGGCAGAGGGAGGAGACACAGCACAGGCACAGAGCATGGGACAGGGACCCCCGAGTCTGGATTCAAGTCCTGGCCCTGCTAGTAACTCATGTGAGCCAGCTTGAGCAAGTCCCTTCATCTTGCTAGAGCTCAGCTTCCTTGCCTATAAAACGTAGGTGGCAATGCCCTCTTCCTGAGGTTGCTGGGAGGATAAGGCAGTGCTTGTGAAAAAGTCTAGCGCTGTACCTGGCACAGAGTAGATGCTTCATGAATGTTGAGTCTGACAGGCAACTGGAGCTGGTGAGAATGGGGTCCCCTGACTGTCATGCCAGCCTCCCTCCCAGGCCCACTCTTCCCCCCTCTTCCCTGAGGAAACCAAGTCTCCCTTATCAGGAAGAGCTGGGGGAGCTGGGAGGAACATTACAGGAACACCAGAGGGAGTCTAGCGGGTGGGCAGGCTTCTCTCTGCAGCCCCCTCAGCAGTTTCATTCCATTCCTGGGCTGAACCCTTGCCCTGGCCCTGCCTCCCTTCTGGGTCAGCACCTCCTGACACAGGTGTGTGCTCAGGGACCCCAGGCTCTAGTCCTGTACTGGCTGTGGAAGCCTATCACTGGGACAGGAAGCCAGTGGCTGCAGGAGACAGGCCTCAGCGCATCTCGTCTGTCAGGATGGGCTCACGGACACCTTTTCTTGGTAGCAGGGAGTGTCTCTGCACTATGGAAACTTTCCCTCTTCTAGAGCGGATTGGGAGTTGCCTGTATTATGCCTGAACCCTCCTTGAACTCATGGTCCTGGGGAAGGCGTCTTGGAACCAGAAACAGCAACAGGAAAGGAGCCTCCCTCTGAAGGGTAGGATGCCGGCCTGAGGCCCTCCCTCTTGGCTCTCCCAGGGCCTGGGCTACCCCGAGGCCCCAGCAGCTGCTGCTGTGGCTGTACTTGCTTTTAATATTTCCCATACATGGCTGTTGTCCAAGTTAAGTCACCAAATGGTGCTAGAGGGGATGGCAGAGAGCAGCTTGTCCAGCTCCTCTCCATGACCCGGTTAACACACGAGTAAACAGGCCTAGAGCTTGTCTGCTGTTTGACCTCTTTTAAGACCCGGCTGTGCTGCATCTACAAAATGAAGATGACAGAGCTAGCCGAGGTCTTCAGCAAGGAAGAAAGGGGTCAGTGTATATGAAAGGGTTACCTGGGCAGTGTCATTCCCTCCATCTCTGTACGCAGCCCTTTGGGAACCATCACAATAAGGAAGAGGTGAGGGCAGAGGTGAAGGATCCACTGCCCAGGCAAGGTGCTACCATGTGGTGGGAGAGTGTGAACCCTCAAGTGCACTGGGAAGCTTTGGGGAACCACAGTCTCTTCCACCCTTGGGTCGTGTGTCGTCCTCTTCTCTTGATGTCAGGGAAGCCCCTATGCCTCCTTCCCGTGGTGGGGCTATCTCTGCAGAGAATCGGGTGCCCAGCTTAATGCTGGGCAAGGACTGGAGGAAGCTCCAGATCTGGAGGTGGCAGAGATACTGGATGGAAACCTGGAGCAAGGGTTTGGGAGGGGAAGTGAGGAAACAGGTTGAGACTATCTCCATCAGAGATGGCAAGGCCACAGGTGATCTGAGAACTATTTTTGTCTGAAAAGAAGGCATGCACAGGCTCTCTGCTTTTGACAGGTGGCGTTGCAGTGGGAGGAAGGCAGCTTCCTGGCGGGGAGATAGAAATACTAGAACAGCTGGTACCAAGTTATTGAAAATTTAAAAGCAAACAAGACACAGCAGCCCCCAGGTGGTGTGTTCTACTGAGGAAGGCTACGGCAGAGGAAGGGCAAGACCGTTTCCCCCAATGGTCTTGAAACGGAAGAGGAAACAGGGAGGGCTCTTTGGATGGTTTGGGGACCTGGGGCTGTTTGTATCCCAGTATTAGCTCCTGTTACTAAGGGTCTGCTCTGCGCCAGGTCCTCAGCATGCGTTGTCTTTATTCCGCGTGACAATCCTATGGGAAGGGGCCTCCACCTACGTAACAGAAATGCGGCTCAGAAAGACCAAGTGACAGCTAGTGAGTAGTGCTGGGCCTGAACCCCAAAGTCCACACTCTTGCTATAGCCGCTGAGGCAGGCAGAAGAGCTCCTTGGGAGGAAAGTAAGGGGCATTCAAAGCCTTCTCTGAATCACTCCCCAAGCCAGAGTAGACCTGGTTCCAGTTGTCCCCCCCTTGTTTCCGGGCAGAGTCAGGCAGGTGTCATACCATCCCTCCCCGCCCAACCAGTGCTGGCCAGACTCCCATTCACCGACCTTGACTAGACAGCGAACAGCCACCTTTTAGTATTCATCCCAACAGGTCCAGGCGGTCAGTGTGATAGCCACGCAGTTCCTAAGGGACTGTAGGTCTAGGAATCATTAGGACACTCACTCAGCCACCCTCGATGCCCCCATCTTCCCCACACTGCCCTTGGCCTCCCCGCTCTGCACGCCTGGAGTATTTGCACTGGTCTAGCCTACTCCAGGTCAGACTCATTAGGAACTCAAGATTCTCGTAAAGAAAGTTGTTTCCAAAGTTGTCTTGTCACTCTATTTGGGGGTTGGGAGAGAGCCCGTGGGGGCCAGCGTTGGCGAATACAGGAAAAAGGGAGAATGCTGGAGAAACTGGACTCGTGAGAGCTTAAAGACATCACAAGAATCCAAAGAAAAAGTGAGTGGTGACAGTCTGCCGAATCACTGTGATTTGCTGCTTTACAAACCCACTCAGATGGAAAAGAAATGGCCAAATGACTGGGCCTGGAGTAGGCAGAGTCCAGAAAAGGCCCCCGGGAGTCCTTTGTAAAGGGCTGGGCGGAGGTGAGGACCACTCTCCTGAGGCGGGGATGGCGGGGGTTTCCTCTCACAGCCCCCGTGCTCTGGGAAGTCAAGGCTGCAGTTTGCATAAGGCCAGACCTGCAGATCTGGGCCTACATCCTGGAAACAGTATTAAATTGTGAGCCCCCTAAATGAAATGCCAGGTAGACAGCAACTGAAATGAGCTGAAGAAAATCCCTCTTGCGCTCCCTCAGGGCAGCCCTACTTCCCAGCCCACTCAGGGAGCGTCGTGGGAGGACAGTGTTGTTCCCTCTGGACACAAAGTGGCTGGGCACTTGCCTCAGGCTGAGGAAACTGTCCACTTTTCAAAAGACCTGGCACTACATTTCTGTCCATGTGGAACCGGAGCTGTCTGAGAACAGAGAGGACAGAGGCACTCAAGGTTCCTGGTACATCACAGCAGGCAGAGACAACAGCCTTCACTGTCTTTCCACTTAAAAGTGTTGGCCAGGTGCAGTGGCTCACGCCTGTAATCCCACCACTTTGGGAGGCTGAGGCAGGTGGATCACCTGAGGTCAGGAGTTTGAGACTGGGCTGGCCAACATGGTATACAAAACATTAGCTGGCCATGGTGGCGGTGCATGCCTGTAATCCCAGCTACTCGGGAGGCTGAGGCAGAATCGCTTGAACCCGGGAGGCAGAGGTTGCAGTGAGCCAAGATCGTGCCATTGCCCTCCACCTTGGGCAACAAAAGCGAAACTTCGTCTCAAACAAAACAAAACAAAAAACCAACTTCAGCTTACCCAGCAATGTAGCTCAGTAGGCAATGAATGACACCTGTGGCGTTGTGGTGTTCTGGTCCTCAAGAAATATGCCCACAAACAACATGTCACTGGCCCTTCTAGCCTCAGTTGTTCCTTCTGTGTAATGGATGAGGCAGGTTTAATTGGAACTTAGCCTCACTGTTAGGTACTTTAGATCCTCTGGTTATGATATTATTAAAGGGTCCAGGATGAGTCTTCTAGAAATTCTGATGTAAATTACAATGTGAAAAAAGGTACATTCTCTCTGAAATTCAAGATGGAGAGATAATTTGGATGTCATCTATGATGTAAAAAGAAAATGGTCTGTCTCCTAAAACTACAACCAAGCCTGTCCTGGTCCTGGCTGCAACTTTACTCCAAATATGCACATTCCTGGAAGTCAAACAGCTGGTAGTAGTGGGGTTTGGAGGAGGTAGAAAACACCCCTGAAGGAGAGCTGGAATTATGTACCTAATAGGTGATCCTCTCTCAAGGGATGTTTTCCTACTCTGGGCCTTGAAATCTTGCGTCTCAAGTCCCGTGGGACAAGATATTTAATAGTGGGCTCTGGCTGGGAGCAGTGGCTCACGCCTGTAATCCCAGCACTTTGGGAGGCTGAGGTGGACCTCACGAGGTCAGGAGATTGAGACCATCCTGGCTAACACGGTGAAACCCCATCTCTACTAAAAATACAAAAAAATTAGCCAGGCGTGGTGACAGGCGCCTGTAGTCCCAGCTACTCGGGAGGCTGAGGCAGGAGAATGGCGTGAACCCGGGAGGCGGAGCTTGCAGTGAGCCGAGATCGCGCCACTGCACTCCAGCTTGAGAGACAGAGTGATACTCCATCTCTAAATCAATCAATCAATCAATCAATCAATCAATCAATCGTGGGCTCTGCTGGGGAAGGGCCCTGCTGGGTACGTAATCAAAAGGTGCCTGATGAACCCCACCCCACCCAGACGCAAATTTACCCACAAAGGGAGGTTCTTTGAAATGGCTCCTTTCCAAAGGCTGAGGGACAGCCCTGTCCCCCACAGGTTCATGTCAGATGCCACTGGTGCTGTTATCAGAAACCCCAGGGCCACAGGTCCCTTTGTTCCCATTTTCACCTCCCCCAAGAAACCAGGACTTAAAACTTTCTAAGAATTCAGATTCTTGTTTTTTTTTTATTTATGAGGAATGTATATTGTTAAGTCACTGTTATCAAGGGACACATAAAAGCAGAATCATAAAACTGGACTGCAGCCATCATCACAGTACCCGAGTCTATGCTTGGGGGTCTTCCTCACTCTGCTCTTGGAGTCACAACCAAGACTCCAAAAAACCAACGAAGTCCCTTCAATGTGAGTAAAGGAAACAGCTTCAAGCACTGACAATTTTTACAAGTGATTATTCAAGGAATGCACAGTAGCCACAGTTCAGACAAATCAACTACAAAAATCATTAAAAAGAAGAGTAGGGAGGGTCACTGCTTATTAAAAACAAAAGACTGGACAAAGAAAGTGAAGATAACAGTGGGCAGAAGCTCTGCCTCCTCTGTCCTGTGTGACTCAGAGGGGCATGGGGGCGCAGGGATGTGCGATCTGACACGGCTCGTTTCCAGCAGATGCGTGGAATTCAGGGATGCCTCGCTCTCTTCCTACAACAGAAACTGAATACTACAGGCTTGCTAGATAAGATCTTGGGGGTGAGTGGGGGTTCTGATCTTGTGAGAGCCTGTGTTCCCAGTTAAAGAAGAGGCAGCTGGCCAGAGCTCTGCTGGAGAACCTAATGCCCAAGATGGACCAGAGAGGCCAAACAACCTGAGGACTCAGCAGGTGACAACCCTGTAGCCTGAAGAGGAGAGGGGCTGCGCTGCCTTCTGATGCTGAGAACCACAGACCTCTCTGCCCTGGATGTGGGTGCCAAGACTGATTTACTGTGCCCCCAGCAGACCCAGAGCCAGGGAGCAGGCCTCTTCCACTCCAGGAGACAGGCGCCACTTCCCTACCAGTTCCTTGGGATGCTTTGGTGTTCTGCAAAGGCATCCTTAGTCTATTTTTAGAACTTGCATTTTCTTACTTTGGTCAATTTTTGGTCAAAAGTACAGAGAGCATAGAATAAAAGCAAAGATGTGAATGTCTCTACCAGACAGAGGATGACCTAGTCAGCAGTTTGGAGGGAAATCATCTGAGGGTGCTGGCTCAGCACGTTCCCAGATGAAGGTCTGTCATCTAAAGGAGAGAGGCAGGCTCAGCTCCTGAAGGTCGCAGAGCCTCAGTAGTCCTCCTGAGTGTGTCTAGCTGACTGTTATCGAGGGACACGTAAAAGCAGCATCACAAAACTGGACTGCAGCCATCACCACGGCACCAAGTCTATGCTTGGGCTCTTCCCTGCTCTGCTCTTGGAGTCATGACCAACACTCTAAAAGCCAACAAAGTCCCTTCAACATGAGTAAAGGAAACAGTTTCAAGCACTGACAGTTTTTACGAGTGACTATTCAAAGAATGCACAGGAGCCAGAGAGCCAGACTCCACAGAGAGGCCAAAGGCTCTGAACACACGAGTCAATGTTCATGGAGGTATAGACAAAGGATTCTACCTCACAGAGTTTGAAGACAACCTGCCCTTTCACCCACAACTACTGCTTTCTATGTCAACCCTATAAAGATCAGGTCTGCGCCCTGCCCACGAGCCTACTTCTGAAGCCATCTGGAAAAATGAAAGCACTTGGATAAATGGAAAAGTATGCCTGAATTTTAAATCTGCTCAATTACAGGTTATCTGTAGCAGTTAAGAATCAACATCTATGGCATTCTTTAAAACACTCCTAATTTACATGTGACTTAGTCAACTTCCCTTGGTGTCACTGTCATGAGAGATATTACACCGGGTGGAACAGTGACGTTAAGCCAACAGGATTTTTTGCCCTTATTCTTGCTAAGTCATGATTATCTGAGCAGAGATGATTTTATACCCTCTAGGATTTGTCCCGTTGGCTAGGGTGTACGCCCAGCATTGGCGGGGAAAATATTCCTAGGAATGCTTTAGGAGAAGAGGCAGCTGGAAGCTTGGCAATATTCCAAGGCATGCCCGTGCTCCCTGGGAAGTGGTCTGTGTCATCCTGCCGGGTGAAACCTCTGCTATTGCTTGAGCAGCTCCCTTAACCCAGTCTGGCTGGTTCTAGACTTCCCAGCTGCCGGAGAAAGTGATACACTTCCAGGGAAGCAGCTTTCCTTGCCTTGCCCGCCCTGCAGCTGGCTAAAGTGCAGGATGGGAGGATGGCTGGGCATTATCTGCAGGCTCCAATCACACTTCCGTGGCACTGGGAACTGCAGTTTTCAACTCCTACCCTTACAAATGTTTCACCAAATCCTTTATGTTCACCTCTTTGCCCTCTGAGGGGGAAAAGGAGACATTCAGATCACAAGGAAAGAATCTCAGAAGGGAAAGAGGGGAAGTAGAGGGGTCTGCGTAATCCACAAATGAAATTATCAGTCCCTGACATGATCCAGAGTTGACTGAAACCTAATCAAGACCGCAAGAGGTCAGTGTAGCAAACACAAAGGGAAAGGAAATGGAAACAAATCAAAACAAAACTTTTAAGAGGAAATGGACCGCAGGTGCTCAGTGACTATGTATGCTTTGGGTAGAAAGAAAAGATAACTTCTTAGGTTTCTGCCTCTTCACTTGGGGGAAAAAAGGGGGGCCTGGCCAGACCTTGCCTAGCAATCCCAAAGAAAGCAGGATAAATGGGAACCCAAAGTTTTCAGTATCACCAATTATGGCTTAAAAAGAAAAAAAAAGGAGAAAAAAAAATCCCCTGACCATGTGATGAGGAATGCTACGACCTACCTCTCTCACACCCTAGTATGACACACCCTAATCCATCTGTCACTGGAGCATACTATACTGGGCAGAGATAAAAGTTCTTTTCCTCCTGGGGTTTGCTAATCCAGTTCCCATAGCCCATATCCTTCAGGCCTTTTTTGAAGTAGTTCTTGGCCGTCTCGTAGTCACGGGCAGCTTTCTTGGCCTCACCATAGGAGAGTCTCAGTAGATCCCTGCGGTAACGGAAGGAGCAGAGCTTCTTAAATAGAAGAAAAATGTTCTTTTTGGAGACCCGGGACAATTCATTCCGTGGCCTAGAGAAACAAAAGCACTCATTATTCACCTGGGACCTGTAAGATAAGGAGCTCACAGTGGAGACACCGTGGGAGGGGAGGCGGCTCTCAAGCCCTGAGACTGCAGAGGTATGATGCACCCTTGCAAGTCAGGGCAGAGGCTTGGTCCTCACTGCGCTCTCCTGTCTCCTTACCCATCCACAGTGCCTCTGGTACCGTCCAGGATCTCCAGGTCATAGCCATCAGCCAGACACCAGTTGACGCTTGTCTCCTTAGTCTTCCCGGATTGCCTTTTGGAATCATATATGCTGACTCTGCCAACCTAGGAATCCCAGAAGCAACGGGAGAAAGATGGAAACCTTTCAGGAATAAGATTCTGAAGCAGGGACTCAAGACTCATAGGAGAGAGGAAGTGTGGGGTCATGATCTTTCCCCTGTATTTAGGGTTCTGTTTGGCTAAGACTGAGCACCCTCTAGACATACTAACTCCACCTCGATTCAGATTAATTCCAGACTAAGAGAAGAAAAGCCCTTGGCATCCAAAAGGAAGAAAGTTTAAGTTCTTGGGAGACCAACCAATGTTGGTGGTGGGCCACTGTGGGCAATGTTCCCTTGTGGGCTACCACTGTGGGCAATGTTCCCCTTGCCCACAGTGTACATTTTTCCTCTGTTTACATGACTGCTTGAAAAGGAGGAAAATGTCAGGGAAAATAGAAGGGGGTTATAGCACCTTGGGGTGGTTGACAATAAAGGGATGTCGTAGTCCATCCTCAAATGCACTCCCATCTCTTGTCACACGACAGCAAATAGCACGGGTCAGATGCCCTTGGCTGAAAAGGTAACCTGAGTACAAAAAAGAGAAACATATATACCTGTGTTTGCACCAAATGCTGTTAAGAGGCAGAAGCATGTGGGGATTTTGGAGGTACAAGATATAGTTGTCAAGAAAGAGAAACAGCTGCCTTGTTAGGAAGCACCTTCTGACTGGGGCTACCAGGATCTTCCTACCACAGCAGACTGGACACTCAATCAATTACTGAGGAGTGAATCATGCTCACTTTGATAAGGGAGACAAAACACCTGGCAATAAAGCATGCAGTTTGGGATCTGGGCACAAGAAGGACAGACCAGTTCCAGATCCCAAGGCAGGCCCCTTACCCAATGTGACAGATTTGAGATAAATGGGCTGCAGGAAGTGGGTCAACAGTGCCCCTTGCAGGCCCAGCACGTTCCAGCGTAGGATTTTGTCACTACAGGACATGGTACGGAGTCTCTCCCCGAGCCGAATGCCATCCCACGTAGGCACAATGTCACTGGATTCCACAGGGATTGTGCCTTCTCCTGTGTGAGAGACTTGGGTCAGACCCACAGGCGCCAATGGACCAAACCACTCCCTGGCGTGGTTTCTATCCTCCTTAAGCTTGGGCCACAGGCTACATTCATTCATTCTTCACATATTTCACAGCCCCTGCTATGCGCCAGGCACTATGCTTGGTGCTGGGAAAGAACGGTGAGCAAAACCAAGTAAGATCTTTGTGCTCTTAAAACATCTATGGTGGTGAGGAGATTGAAAGGGAAGAGAATAGACACTAAACCAGTAGCCAGTACATACGGAAGAATTCCAGATGCTGACAGTGCTCTGAAGGCTCTGAGGCAGCTATGACGGAGGACCACAGGGGACACCTCCTGGGACAGCAGCAGCAGGGGAGCCCAGACATGGAGGAGGACAGCTGGAGTAAGTGTTTCAGGCACACAGGACAAAAGCAAAGGCCCCAAGGCAGCCAGCGGATTGGCTGTTCAGGCGCCTGACAGAGAGCCAGTGTGGACAGAGCATATGCGAGGGATGGGGAAAGTGGCATGAGAGGAGGCCGGGTGATCACAGCAGGTTTTGCTTGTATATGCAGTGCAGTGGGAAACCACTATCGGGTTTAAAAAAAAACAAAAAAAAATGCTTTACTGAGATATAGTTCATATGCCATACAGTTCACCCATTTAAAGCATACAATTCAGTCATTTTTAGTATATTCACAGAGTTCTGCAACTGTCACCACAGTCAATTTTAGAACATTTCATCGCTCCAAAAAGAAACCTTCTACCCATTGGCGCAGTCACTCCTCATCTCTCCAACTCTCCCACTCCTGGCCCTGGCAACCACTCATCTACTTTCTGTCTCTATGGATTTGTCTATTCTGGACATTTCATATAAATGGAATCATACAATATGTGATCTTTTGTGACTGGCTTTTTTCATTTGGCATCAAGTTTTCAAGTGCATCCATATTGTAAGCATGTATCAGCACTTCACTTCTTTTTATGGCCAAAATAATATTCAATTTATGGATATATTTGATGTTTTATTTATGAATCCATCAGCTGATGGACGTCTGGGTTGTTTCCACTTTTTTGGCTCTTGTGAGTAATGCTGCCATGAACATTCACATATTAGTTTCCGTGTGGACACAGATCTCCATCTCTCTGCAGCATATACCTAGGAGTGGAGCACCGGCTCCATGGTAACTGTGTCTATACTTTAGGGTATTTAGCAAGGTTTCAGGACCACCATGATGACTGCTGACGTGGCCTGAACGCAATGGAGTGGATGCGAAGAGACAGTAAGGAGACAGGAGAGGATAGGAGAGAAGGAGCCAGTGGACAAGGCAGAGTCAACTGCCAGCTAGACAGGAGGGGACCCCAGCATTTGGCATCCTCATCTGTCAACTCCTCAGGGCTTGGTTGTGCCGCACTCTTCATTTCCTCCCCGCTTTCTTGAGGTAATCCTATGCATTCTCATGGCCATGAAGACCCTATAGGGGGATGACTCCCATATTTCTATTTCCAGCCAAGCTCCCTCCTCTGAGCTCCACATGGGAACCCCCACCTCCTATTTGACTTGGGGATCTCCCAGATCTCCCAAACTAACACATTCAAAATAGAACCCTGATCTTACCACACAGCTCCCTGACCCAGGTCTTCCCTTTCCTGTAAACAGCACCTCTGTGCCCAGTGACTAATGGTAAAATCCTAGCAGCCTTGTAGAGACTTGGGGTCCCTGGACCTTGCAGAGCCTTTTGAGGAAAGGAGGCGGGGGCATGTATCACTCACCGTTCTCCACCTTGGTGCGGAGCTTTCCTTGTTTGGGATTCTCGAAGACAGGGTAGTGGCGGGATTCTGTGCTTTCCATAGCACGGTCGCTGCAGGACTTGTCAAAGAGGGCGCCATCTCCACACGGAGCAGTGCTGAAAAACAGGGGTGGCTGTTAAAACTCACCTGTGGGAAATCTGCAATTTCGTGGGGCTCCAAAACAGTCAGATGTGACAGAAGCAAGGGATGTTTTCTAAGGCCTACCATGGGAGACTGGAGGTGGACAGCAGTACATGTGAGTCATCTACACCTGAATATGGACCTCAAACCCACAGTGGAGTGTGGCTTATTGTATCAGGTTCGATTTACAGGCCAGGAGAGCATTTGGATACCCAATTCTAACAGCCTGGCAGGGCCCACCCTGGCAGCAACAGGAACTGTACAGACCTGATATACAGATGGAATGACACAGTCTTTTTTATTTGGAGCTTTTCTCCTCCCTTAGCAGGTTCAAATATACTATCCTTCGCAGTCTGGGAGTTGTATTTCATTAACTCACTGTAGAGAAACCTACAAAAAGAAAGTCTGGTTAGGAAGGCAGGTTCAATTCTGGGAAAAGCAGTTGTTTCTATAATCTGACCTCCAAATGAGAAAGTAAGGAAAAGTCTCAATGTTGCAGACGTTTCACAGTTTATCAGGTGGAAATTCTCCAGGGGAGACCTCAGCATTTCATAAAGCATAGTTAGCCTTTTGGGTCTCCTTCATTTCTGCTGAGGGCTCCTCGCTATGGCGGCTACAGGGATTCTAGAGCAGAGCAAACTGATTCAAGGACTACAGGAAGCTGTTGCTCCTTTCTAAGTCTCTCCCTTCATAAATTAAAGAAAAGGTGAGCTAGAGGAGAAAGCTGGCAGGGGCATCAAGGTTGTGTAGGTCCTCAAACGGAAATGGAAAGCTGCCTCATCCTCAAGGCCCTGAGGACTAAAAGGTCATTTTGTGTTTTTAGAAAAGAACATGAAGCAGCAGAGTTAGCAGAAAAAAGGACAGCATTTAAAAACAGGCCGAGCAGTGGGAGGCAGCTCAGCTCACAGAGGGGATGGATTCCATCAGACAGGTTCAAATGGACGGGTGAAAAGCAAAGGCTGCCACTGCCACATCATGACCCGTCTGTCTGAGGGGGATTCAGAGGCCGTGTCAGAGCCATGTGGGGCAGGGAACTGGAGCTCTCCACAGCCGGGCAGCCGGGCCACAGCTCTGACCTCGCTCACCTGATGAAGCCTCTCCGGGAGATTATTTCTGCATGGCAGTCATTGACAGTTTCTCCTTTTAGGCTGAGAGAATCTCCTTTCACACAGCGATTCCCTAGGAAGGTGTTTAAAACAGAAATAGAATAATGGAAGGAAACCGATGGAAAACAGGATGAAGGCTATTTGTTCTGAAAGCTTCAAGGCAGAAACAGCCTCAGTTTCTCAGATCCTAGACTCCCATATTCTCTCCTCTAGGAACTAAGAACTCATTCCTCACTCTGAATTGACTGTAGCTAAAATGAAGTCTCTTCTCCCTGCCTTGGACTTACATGCATGGACTCCAGGGGAGGATGAGAGGCACCCGCTTTCAGGCGCCATGGGAGGCGGCATGTCTCAGAGCCTCACTCACCTGTTCCCAAGCTGACGACGACACCCATGTCCTCAGAGTCTTTTTTCATAATGATGGCGGCCAGAATCTTGCGGCCGAGCAAGGAGGGCTGGAAGCTGTTAGTCAGAGTGTTGAAGCACCGGTGGCTCAGCATGGCTATCTGGTCATGGAAGGTGCTGCCAGTGAGAGGGAGCTGTGGGGAAAAGAGGCTGTGTCAGCACCACAAAGCTGAGGCTGTGTCCACCATATTCACCGTGGGCAGGGAGATCAAGCTCTACTTGTCGTGTGAGTCATCTTTTCCTTCTTACATCTAGTGTCCCAGTTACTGCTCTCTCGAGGCTAAGAGTAAAGCCTAGGAATAACTCGCATGACAGCAAGAGCCACCTCCACTTAGGAGTTAGGAGGACCCCCCCGCCCCAAAAAAGGCACCAAAAGTAGACGTCTTAACTGTCTTTGGCTGTGCTTCTGGGGACCTTGAGAGGAGGAGCATAGTTCTTCTGAGACTGGCCCCTGTCACTGGGGTTACCTCTGTGAAACCCATGCGTTCTGCCTTCTCGTTCTCCCCAATCAAGACACGGAGAGCCGCATCTGCTGCTTCCTGCTTGCCTTGCTTCTTGCTGTGTGCGCAGACGGCTGGGAACCAGCGACCCCCAACTTTTGCTTGGTAAACGAACCTTTGGGATGAGAAACAGAGAATGAAGACAAGTGCCAGACCCTGACATTGTTCCAAGGAAGGGTTAGTTTTGCTGAAGATGTGGCCAGTCTTGCAAACATATGGACCCGTCAAACAGAAGCTGTTTCTAAGGCAGCATTTCCTAGATTTTGGTCATTCATGAATCACCACATGATTTGTGCCACATCCAGGTATTACTTGGACTATTAATTAATATTTTTCTCTAAATTGACTTCTTAGAGCCAGCCATTGTGGCTCACACCTGTAATCCCAGCAACTTGAGGAGCTAAGGTGGGAGATCACTTGAGGCCAGGAGTTCAAGACCAGCCTGGGCAACATAGTAATCCCCCAGGCAACATAGCGAGACCCCTGTCTCTTAAAAAAAAAAAAAAAAATTTAGCTGGGCACGGTGGTCTGTGCCTATAGTCTCAGCTACTTGGGAGGCTGGGGTGAGAGGATCACTTGAGCCCTGGAGGTCAAGGCTGCAGTGAGCTATGACCATATCACTGCACTCCAGCCTGCGCGAGACAGCAAGATCCCCATCTCTAAAATAAACAAACAGACTCTAAAAATGTAAATATCCGTAATACTAGGTATGAAAAAAGAGATAAAAATGTAAACACACTGAAATAGGAAACTTTGTTTCACTACTGTAAATGGAAAACCAGTATCACTTGCCACATATTGAAGGTGGCTGTAAAACAGAATATGATAAAATCATGTTATAAAATTCTGACTAGATACTGTTACCTGCAAAGGCTCTGAGCCTGTCCTTACTATAAAGGAAGATTATGAAGTATGAGGAAGGCTTAACGAAATGCTAGCACCAACTTGGACTCTCTTCTTAAGCAGAAATCAGAAGGGACTACCTTTCTCCCCACAAGTCACTGTTACTTCATACACTGTCTGATTTTTAAAGCGCCCAACTCCATTCCCTCATTTACTTCCTATTAGCTCAAGGGGACTTGACCTGGAGAGGTCATTAGGTCAAGGTCGGCCTTAGGCCAGGGACCCAGGTTTTGCTGGGAGTTGTTTTTTTGACTCCTGGCAGGCTTAAGCTAACTCTGGGGTAAGGAATGGATCTTGGGCGCATGAGCTGCGCTGACAATAAAGTGCCCAAGTGGAGCAGGGAGGTGGCTTCTACCGCTCCGGCTGGTAATTTCCAAACACAGAGGGAAGAGCATGGTGGAGCAAAACAGCTTGGAAATGTACCAGACAAGGCATCAAGAATCCTAGCTTTCAACCAGATCCTAATCTACTGGCTGAGAACCCAGCTTTGGATACTCTAACTGCATATAACAGAGGCTTCAGTTTCAAGACTTAGCAGCTCAGGCAGTAAAAGGAATCAACGTTTATGTTCAACCACATGGAGTTTCTCACTGTTCCTTGATGATCCGAAGCAACTAAATGCCTTCACTCTTTTCTTTGTCCATGCTGGCAGGCCCGTGCAGGCCAGTGGGCTTAAGTTCAGAATGAGAGGGACAGTGGCATGAAAAGAAGATGGTGAAGGCGGTCAGGAGGGACAGATTGTGTAGTATCTTTACCTCAGGGATCCAGGAGAATTTCATGACTGCCCCATGTGTTTGAAAAGAATATGAACTCTTACGTGCAAAGTTTTATACTGATATATTTACATATATGATAAAGTTTGTTAATTATGCAACTAGAATCCTTTAGAGCTGTGCTATCCAATATGGTAGCCACTAGCCAAATGGGGCTATTGCCATAAGTGCCTCCTCTCAGCCTCTTTGCCAGCTCTGCGCTTCTCCCACCACAGGATTTAACAGTGTCCTTCGCCTAGAACCCTCAGTCTTTCTCTCTTCATCATCCTTAAAGTCTCAGCTCAGGCAGTACTTCTTGGGGAAGCCCTTCCCCCTCTCCTTCCTAAGTCAAACTGTGCTATAATTGATTCTCGCTGCAACTCCAGCCCTTTGGAATACTTATCAAATATGAGATCTTACATTTCTTTAGGTGACTATTGGTTAATGTTTGGTTCCTGTTCTAAAAAAAATAGAAGATACTCCATAAATAAGTGTTGAGTAAATAAAGTATAAAGATCAGTTAGGAGGCTATTGTGACAGTCTAGATGAGACAGTGGCTTGGATTAGAGTGCTGACGCTGGAGGTGGAAAGAAGAGGAAGGGATTTGGGATAGAAATTCTAAGTATAACCAATAGGACTTAAGGATGAGTTGACGAAGGAGGTAAAGGAGATAGAGGAAAAGATGATCCTCAGGTTTCTGACTTGAGCCACTGGGTAGACAGTGGTATCACTTACTAAGCTGGGAAAGACTTGGGGGAAATGAAGCGAAGGGGGCAAAACCCAAGAGTTCTGCTTTGGACATGTCATATTAGGGATGTTAATCCAAACAGAGGTGACAAGTAAGCAACTAGATGGAGGAATCGGGAGCTCTGAGTGGTCTCCAGCATTTAGATATTAAAGGTCATGGCTGTCGCGGTGGTTCATGCCTGTAATCCCAGCACTTTGGGAGGCTGAGGCGGGTGGATCATCTGAGGTCAGGAGTTGAAGACCAGCCTGGCCAACATGGTGAAACTCTGTCTCTACTAAAAATACAAAAATAGTCAGATGTGGTGGCAGATGCCTGTAATCCCAGCTACTCGAGGAGCTGAGGCAAGAGAATTGTTTGAACCCAGGAGGCGGAGGTTGCAGTGAGCTGAGACTGCGCCACTGCACTCCAGCCTGGGTGACAGAGTGAGACTCCATCTCCAAAAAAAAAAAAAAAAAAAAACAGAAAAGAAGTCATAAAATTAGTTAACGTCACCAGCCACAGTAGACAGAAAGGAAAAAAAGACCCAGCATAATTCACATTAAGAAGCAACTAAAGTATATTATTGTACGAGATAGTTAATAAACGTAGTTACTCAATTAGCATTTCCCCTCTCTATGCAACCTTCCTCAGCTCCCTGGCAGACAGTGGCAGCAGTGTCCTCTGTGTCCCCACAGCACTCTGCATTCACCTCCAATGGCACATTTCAATACTGCTATGGCTATATGTCTGCTACACACTCAGGGGCAGCAATTTTTTGTATCTTCCATCTAGTTCATAGTAAGTTCTTACATTCTCAATGAATGGCTGACTTGAAGTCCTAGAAAGGATTTCACAGAAGATTTCACAGAAGAGAAAGAGGAAATGCACTGAACCTATCATCTGAAGGACTGTGCTTAAAGATAAGGAGGTGCTTATTGAGATGAAGGATATGAATTAGTAGAAGAGCAGCTGGAGGGAGACTGGGCCTCTCCTTTTCCAGATGGCTTAAACAGTGGGCAGATGTGTGTTCTAAATTGGGTCATGTTGGGCAAAGGGCTACTTTTAAAAATTATGTTAAAAGTTCTTACATATCCATGAGAGTAACAATCTGAAAGAAAACTGGAAAAGGACAAGAACAGGTGGTTCACAGAAAAGGAAATGCAAATAACACATAAATATGAATAAATGAAATGCCATTACTTCTGATTTTTTTGTTTTTTTTTTTGAGACGGAGTCTCACTCCATCACCCAGGCTGGAGTGCAGTGGCACAATCTCAGGTCACTGCAACTTCCGCCTCCTGGGTTCAAGTAATTCTCCTGCTCAGCCTCCGGAGTAGCTGGCATACAGGGGCATACCACCATGCTCAGCTATTTTTTGTATTTTTAGTAGAGATGGGGTTTTACCATGTTGGCCAGGCTGGTCTCAAATTACTGAGCTCAAATGATCCACCCACCTCGGCCTCCCAAAGTGCTGGGATTATAGGCGTAAGCCACTGCGCCCGGCTGACATTACTTCTATTAAGGAGAGACAAATTTAAAGTAACAAGATAGCATTTTTATAAGCTTTTTTCCTTAATGACTTTAAAATGGACAAGTTGGATGCCAAACATGTGAAAATTCAAACAGTTAAGAGTGTACAATAAAAGTGTCCCTCCTTCCCCAGAAGCAAACACAGTTGCCAGTTTTTTCGATCCTTCAAGAAAATATTCTAGACATATACAGACAATCTTCACCTCTCCCCTCACTTTACACCTTGCTTTTCCACTTTGTGATAGACCTTAGAGATTAAGAAAACATGCCGGTTGCATGGCAAGAGTGATGCCATCTTGATGCAAAACCACTATGACCACCAATATCTGACTCCCGCATCCCAAAGTGTTGGGTAGCATAAATAATTCCACACAAAGATGTCTACCAAGCCTCCCCACCAGCTAGTGCTCATAAGTTTCACAAGAAAGTATAATGTGTGACCAGCTGCATGTTTAACCAAAAAAGCCTCTATAGAAAGCATACTTTCTGGAGGGTAAGTGCAGGGATCCACCATCTTGCAGCCACCCAAGACATCATTTCTGTTCCTAAGTCCCTATTAAATGTTTACTTCTGAGAAACTGAATTTGTCAGCTTCTATTCAATGAAATACTATGCAGCTATGCAAGAAGTCTGGTAAGTAAAGGAGTCAACGTATAAAACAGAAGATATACTTGTTTAAAAAGACAAAAGGGAAAATGTGCTAGTTATGCACAGCAATTTCTAGAAGGACTCAAGAAACTGGTATAGTCATGTACTGCATAACAGTGTTTTGTTCAATGATAAATCACACATATGACAGGGGCCCCGTAAGATTATGATGGAGCTGAAAAATTCTTATCACCAAGTGCAGGGCTCTGTAACCTGTTAGGAACCTGGGCACACAGGAAGAGGTGAGTGGCGAGCAAGAAAGCATTCTGGTCCGAGCTCCGCCTCCTGTGGGATCAGCAGCAGCATGAGATTCTTGTAGGAGTGTGAACTCGACTGTGAACTGTGAATGCGAGGGATCTAGGCTACACGCTCCTTATGTGTTTACTATATTTTTATCATTATTTCAGCGTATACTCCTTCTACTTCTAGAAAAATAAGTAACTAAAAAAAGCCTCAGGCAGGTATTCCAGAAAGCACTGTTACCATAGGAGATGACGGCCCCCATGCATGTTATTGCCCCTGAACACCTTACAGTGGGACAAGACGTGGAGGTGGAAGACAGTGATACTGAGGATCCTGACCCTGTGTAGGCCTAGGCTAACAGCTAATGTATTTTCATCTTAGCTTTCAACAAAAAAGTTTAAAAAGTTAAAAAAATAAAAAAATTTACAAACAGAAAAAAGACTATAGAATTAAGGATATAAACAAAGGAAATATTTTTGGATAGCAGTACAACATGTTTGTGTTTTAAGCTAAGTATTATTACAAAAGGAACAAAAAATAAAAAAGTTAATAAAGTAAAAAATAAAGTAAAAATAAAGTAAAAAAGTTACAGTAAGCTAAGGTTAATTTATTAAAGAAAAATATTTTAAATAAATGTAGTTAGCCTAAGTGAACAGTGTTTACAAAGCCTACATTAGTGTACAGTCATGTCCTAGGCCCTCATATTCATTCTCCACTCACTGGCTGACTCACCCACAGCAACTTCTAGTCCTGCAAGCTCCATTCATGGCAGGCGCCCTATACAGGTGTAGTATTTTTTTAATCCTTTATGCTGTCTTTTTACTGTATCTTTTTGCTGTTTAGATAGACACCAATACTTACCAGTGTGTTGCAGCTGCCCACAGTATTCACTACAGTTACATGCTGTACAGGTTTGTAGCCTAGGAGCAACCGGCCATACCATACAGCCTGTACGTGTGTAGGAGCCCATGCCATCTAGGTTTATGTAAATACACACTGATGTTCTCACAACAACAAAACCATGCTTCTCAGACCGCATCCCAGTTGCTAATGCAGGGCTATAGTAATATATGGGTCTAGGGAGGGAAACTAGAAGTCTGAGACGGAAATGAGACTTTTCATTGAAATGACTACTTTTTCAATCAGCTTGAATGATTTTTTTCAAGATGGAGTCTTGCTCTGTTGCTCAGGCTGGAGTGCAGTGGTGCGATCTCAGCTCACTGCAACCTCCGCCTCCCAGCTTCAATCAATTCTCCTGTCTGCCTCCCGAGTAGCTGGGATTACAGGCACCCGCTGCCACGCCCAGCTAATTTTTGTATTTTTAGTAGAGACAGGGTTTCCTCATATGGTCCGGCTGGTCTTGAACTCCCGACCTCAGGTAATCTACCTGCCTCAACTTCCCAAAGTGCTGGGATTACAGGCGTGAGCCACCATGTCTGGCCTGAATGATTTTTTAATGTACCTATACATTTCTTTAAAAATTAAAACTAGTCAAAAAATTAAAAAGGATCATGCTTACTGGAAGAGTGAACGCATTCACTCTTGGCAGGTCTATTGTCTTCTAAGAGGCCGTGGAGACAGGGCTGGACTTGTTTCCCTCAACTCGCCCCTTCTGTCCTACACAGCTAAAGCACACCCTTGTTTTCCCTGGGTTACAGACCATCCCCAACTGGTGACACATGCATTAGCCAGGACTAGGACACTCACTTGGGCTCGTGAGGAGGTCCGGACTGGTCGACCAACTTGAATTCAGCAGCAAAGCCATGGGAGCGGGCGTACTCCAAAAGGCCACCCACAGGGTTGGTGTTCAGGTATCTCACGAGCTCGCCAATCTTCCTGACCTTGTTGGGCATCATGGATTCCAAGTTATCAAGTGACTCTGAGATCATACCTTCAGGCTAAAGGAGAATCCATCAAACAGAGGAGCCATAAACACTTCAGGAAATGTTGAGGGAGTCACTGGCAATCTTAAACCACTCAGTTGCTAAAAATGACCTGTATCTTTTGAGTAGGAAAACGCCCTACCTGGTTATCAGAAGCCATGGAGTTGGTCGCCTCCCCATGCAGGGCCTTCATGGCTTCCTCTGCGGCCATCTGCTTTGCCACTTTCTTGCTGGGAGCACTCACACTGGGGAAAGTTTGGGCTCCCACTGCAACACAGTATTGGAACCTGACAGGAGATGAAGCACGTAGAAGGATTAAAATGGTTTTGACTGAGGAGCCTGACCTAGCCTCTGCCAGGCTGCCATCCTCCACTACTGGTAATTTCCTTGAACACATCACCTCTGTGCAGTCACATCTCATGCAGTCACTTCTGCCTTGAACAGCCAGTGTCTCTTAGCCTGGCTGACCCCTTTCAACATTTAAGCATCAACCTAGTTTCACCTCTTCCAGGAACACTTCTCTTGAACATGTGAGTCTATAGACCCACAGGCAGAGAGCTTCTCAGGTCCTGTACCTTTCTGTCCCACCAACAGTGAGTGACCTCCAAGCCGTGAACCTCCCTAGTGCTTATAGAGGAGATAGAGGGTGGGCCAGGAATTCCCTTTGAATTCCTAATCCCTAATTGTCTGCCTCACAAGCAGCAACCAGGACCTCAGAGCCCTCCTTTCCCCATTTTGAAACAGGAGAAATTGGTCAATCTGCCATCCCTGAGGAGGCAAGGAAGAAAATGTGTCTCTTTTTCTTTCTGAGAAAACCTCAGCTGGACAGAGGACACGTAGGACATACTTGGGTTCATGGGCAGGGCCTTCTTTGGACAGGAGACGGAATTCGCAGGAGTTCCCCAATTTGTGCATACACTCAAGCAGTGTGGTGACGGGGCTCTTCCCAGAAAAGAAGGATGTGGCTGAAGGGGTGGGGGTCTGGGACTCTGCAGTCTAGAGAAAATGAGAGACAAGAAGAAAACAAAACTAAGAAAACACTGGTTAGTCCATCACAGAAGAAGGGATGGGGATGGGGGACTTTATTCCCACCACCTGTCAAGGGGTTGGCTTCCCAAAGTTAAAGGGGCTGCTGGAGCTCTCATTCCGCATCTTCCAAGAGAGGAGATTGGCCTCAATAAACTTTCAGGTCTCTTTCAAGTCCGAAATTCTGTAAATCCAATTATGTTGGGACAGGAGCAGACAGAGGAGCTGGGTATGAGAGGAGGAAAGGTGGGCTGGCGAGATAGGGTAGAGGGAAGAGTGGGAAGCTGACTCCGAGATGGTGTCAGTTGTTTAGGCTGGGATTGCCTCAAGGGAGTCAGTTACAATCCAGACACTGACAGGGAACTGATCCTCCCAGATGGCAGGAGGACACCTACCTTCTCTGATTCTTTCTCTGTGGAATAGTGGGATGATTCTTCTGATTTTCCACTGTCCTTGGCTTTGGCTTCCTCTAGCAGAATTGTCATGGCTTTCATAGCTGCATCCTGCTTGGCCACTTTCTTGCTTCCAGCTTCAGCTGGGGGAAACTCTCGGCCATTGATGACAACCTGGAATTTAAATCTTGACGGAAAGTGATTAGATGTGTGAACAGGAGTCTAGGTCACTCCTTCTGCCTTCTCCAAAGAGACCTTCAACCTGGAATTTTCTGCTACGCTAAGGGGCTTTTCACTTGTGGAGATGAAGGGTAGGCCAAGGAACTCCTTCCTACTCCTTAAGGCTCAGCCTGTCCTTTCTTTTTGTAAACAAAGCAGCCAGTGACTCTTTCCCCATAGCTCAGTGAAGCAAACATAGGCACAGATGATAGGAAACTAGCTCAGGGGAAACCCACTATCTCTTTAACAATGAATTAAGATAAAACCCACACACACAAAAATGATGAGCCAAAAATTACCATTATAGTCTTGTGAGCAACCAAAAGACCTTCATTCTAAAGCAATTGTGGTAGACTGGCCTCCTCAAGGGAGGGTCCTAAAAGATAGTGAAGGCTTCTTATAACCCAGTCTCACACTCCCCACTACCTAGGGGGATCAGGCATCTGCCACTTATCAGTGGCCTGCTTTTGTCCCTAGACCTATATCACCGTAGTTTGTTATGAGTCACTCTATAGCACCATTTGTCTCCAGCTATTTTCTACATAACAAGGAATTTCCCCTTGTTATGTAGAAAATAAAAAAGCATTTGTTCTAGGCCTCTGGACTTAGCCTAGGCCCCCTTTGTTCAAGCTTTCAAATGTGGTGAGCTCTTTGCTCAGTCTGGGATTTCATTTAGAAAAGTAGGTCAAATTTCTTATTTCCTAGGTCTTCTGATATATTTGAACATGGCACCAATGTTTCTTTTAGTGTGAGTCCAAAGAATGACTAACCACAAAATCCACTGCTTTCCTCCAACTCTGGGGAGGAGGGATGGAGGCAAAAGAGAATGACGGCCATCCAGTCTCTACCCCAAACAATCCAGCTCTGGCCTTGCCAGCTTTTGGACAGACACAACTCCTTTTCTTAACCGCTCTCCTGAAATGCCAAATTGGTGTCATGAAGACAGTCAAGACAAGGAATAAGGGCCCTAGCCAGGAATCTACACCCCTAGAAACCAGGCTAGGTAAACATAAAGGTCAGTGGAATTCTCCCCCATCCTACTGGCTCTTTCCCTGGCTGCAGCTGCAGCCACTCAGCTTCAGTGGTTTTGCTCTCTGTTATGCCCTTCAGAAGCTCCTGTTTTCCTCAATCTGTCCACTGGCCTATTAGGACCTACAGTGCAGGGCCTGACCAGCTATCTGAGTGAGGTAAAGGCTGACTTCACAGCTCAGGAGTGGCAGCAAGTGCTAGCCTACCCATCTGTGCAGAGGAGGTTTATAAAATTAGAACCACCACCTTCAACAGGCAGGCAGCCGTGCACACGCTCCTCCATCCTTTCCCCCCAGGAGCTATGCAGAGGGGGGATTGTGGACCTGCTGCTGCTTAGCAGCACAACCCACCCCCACTGTGTATGCAGCCTGCCCCAACCCACCTGCTCCTGCACCTCTCTCAGAAAACGGCTTAGGGAGGAGGGGAAGGCCTACAGAAGGGAATTAAGTCTTCATTACCTCTGCCTTAGGAGGCAGGCATGATATTGATGCATGGAGATCAATCATGTTTTTCTTTTTTCTTTCTTTTTCCAAGATGGAGTCTCACTCTGTCGCCCAGGCTGGAGTGCAGTGGCGCCAATCTCGGCTCACTACAACCTCCACCTCCTGGGTTCAAGTGATTCTCCTGCCTCAGCCTCCCGAGTAGCTGGGATTACAGGCAAGCACCACCACCCCCAGCTAATTTTTGTATTTTTAGTAGAGATGGGGTTTCACCATGTTGGCCAGGCTGGTCTCGAATTCCTCACCTCATGATCTGCCTGCCTTGGCCTCCCAAAGTGCTGGGATTACAGTCGTAAGCCACCGCCCCGGCCCCCAAGACCAATCATTTCTTTCTTTTTTTTTTTTGAGATGGAGTCTTGCTCTGTGGCCCAGGCTGGAGTGCAGTGGCGCAATCTCAGTTCACTGCAACCTCTGCCTCCTGGGTTCAAGTGATTCTCCTGTCTCAGCTTCCTGAGTAGCTGGGACTACAGGTGCACGCCACCACGCCCAGCTAATTTTTGTATTTTTAGTAGAGACAGGGTTTCACCATGTTGGCCAGGCTGGTCTCAAACTCCTGACCTCGTGATATGCCTGCCTCGGCCTCAAAAAGTGCTGGGATTACAGGCATGAGCCACCGCGTACGGCCAAAACCAATCATTTCTAAAGAAGCTTCATTACAGCCAACAGAGTCAACCTCCCCCTTGTTCAGCCAAGATTCTGGCTGGTCCAAGGTCTATATTCCCTGCTCAATATCTGGAGAAAGGGCCAATCAAGGGGAATTTAGCTAAAAGGCAGAAGGGAAGGAGGAAAAGATAGGCGCCACCAAACAGCACTGCTCACAAATCAGCCAAGACTGCGTCAGGAGCAAAAGCACCTGACCCCAACCCTAGGTACAGTTCCTGGGTGGTCTCTTACCGAGGTTCATGGGGTGGTCCACTCTGCTCTATCATGTTGAACTCACAGGTTTGACTAGCGAACTGGGCATATTCTAACAGCCCGCTGATGGGGTTCTTCAGCTGGCACTCTGTCAGTTTCTTGTAGGGTGAACACCGTGGCAAGCCATGACTGTAGAAGGAGGGCATCTCCATGATGGCTCGAAACTCACCTGGTGCTGCGCGGATACTATTCAAGTCATCTGGGATGTCATCTGTGGCCCACTGGCCATTTTCAAAGTCAACATACCCTGCTTTTGAGGGGCCATTGTAATGAACAGGTGGTTTCAGTCTTGCTGGTTCTGGTCTGGCCTCTTGCCTGTTTTCTAACTTTATGACAGGTTCCTGCCCATTCTCCACTTTTTCTGTGGTTACCATGTTATTTGAGGCATTTGATGTGGGTATATTACAGGTGAGGAACTCTGCGTTTCTTTTGGTCTCAGGGATTGCAGCTGGAGCGGTTTCAGGAACACTGTTCGTATTTCTCTTGATTTGCATCCTCTCTCGCTTCTTGTCTGTCAAATGCCATATGGGAGGGGTTGTCCCTTGTCTATAGACATCCCCCTGCCTTTCCATGTCAATTAGCACAGCATTTATATCTCGGGCCTTGGTAAGGCCAATATTTTTAGCCAAATTCAGGGCAGAGGAGTCAGACACATTGAAGAGATAGTCGCAGATTTTCTCCTTGATCTCGGCCATGTCTAAAAACTCAAGAGGATCTTCCAAGGCAGATGTGGAGTTGCTGTCTTCAGGTTCCAAACCTGGGTCTGAGTTTGGGGATCCTTGGCTATGACTGTCTGGTCTTACCACTCCGCTGTGCTGGTTCCAAGCCTGAGCTGAGACTGCAATAAAAGGCTCAAGAAGATCTTCTGAGACAGATGTGGAGTTTCTGTCTTCCGGTTCCAAACTCGGGTCTGAGTTTGGGGCTCCTTGGCTATGACCGTCTGGTCTTACCACTCCGCTGTGCTGGTTCCAAGCCTGAGTGGAGACCGCGATTTTCCACAAAGGGGGTGTTCCTGCCTCTTTCTGTAGCTTGCCCTTCTTTGCCAGGGAGTATAAAACTCGATTGATTTCTTTCTTCGGAGTCCCAAGTTTCCCAGACAGATCATGTGCTGTGGTGGCCTTCCCTTCCCCAAGCTCTTCCAGGAACTTTAAGATCCTTTGTTCCTGATCTTGGTAGATACTCAGTTCCTGGAAATGTGAGGAAAGGCAATCAACACCTCTCTGTGGCAGACTCCTGCCACGTGGTGAAGGATGCTGGAACCCTCTCTGGAGCCCCTGACTTCTGAGATGCACGCCCCTGGGGACACCCCTGATGTCCACTTGCCTGCCTCTGGTACTGGAGGCAAGTAGTACTGGAAACCTTGGCCGGAGTCCTGGGAGGGAAGGTGGCAGTGACGGTGTCTGCTTTCCAATCACCGGTGCTTCTGGGAGCTGCCCCTTGAGAAATTCTATTTGCTTAAGCAGGAAACTACTGGGGGAAGATCCTGGCCCAGGCTGCTGGTACCTGAGCTGTCTGTGCTCATAGCCTTGAAATGGATGGGTGTAGTATCCGCTGAGGGAATACCCCTGCAGAATAAGACAGTGGAAAAAGAAAATGAATTAGGGCTGCAGTGGTGAACCTGTGGAGGCCCCTCCCTTTGCTGCCTGTGGAACAGCCCTTGAAGGGCTGAGAAGGCAATTGAGCCATGGGCTTATGACTTGGCTAGGGTGACTTGCCTACCTCCTAAATCCTGCCTAGGGGCCTGCCAACAGGAACACAGAGAGGGGAGCAGGAGGCAAAGCACGCAGAACTTCCAGGAATACAGAGGTTCTGAGGCCTCAGCATAGCCTCTCCAGCAACCTAACTTACTTTTCCCTTTGACAGAATTTAAGGGAGTTGAGAAGGTAATTTTCTAGTTACCAAAACAATTACCCCTTTAAAATCAGAACAACAAATATATGTTATTGTTTTGAAAACAAAAACAGAATAACCTGAAATAACCAGAACAATCACATGAAATAACAATAACCAAGGGAGATGGGACTAGGGAAGGGACGAGATGACCTCTCCTTAAGTCAGGCTCACCAGTGCACCCCTTGCCCACCTGTCTCTAAGATCTATCGTTTAGATGACTATGACAAAAGAAGAAATGTGATTGGATGAAACTGAACCCCAGTCCTCCAAGGCTGTAACAGCGCAGTAACGAAAACAATCTCCAGGTGGGAAAAGGCCACGGGACCTCAGAGTCATCTCTGTGGCTCTTCACTGCCATCCCAGGAGGATCAGAATTTGGTCTTCAGGGAGCTGGAGGGTTTCCTGATAAAAATGGCACACTGTCCTCACTCTTCAGTGTGGTACCCAGGCTCAGAAGGGATGCCAGAGACTTTTGCCCAAACCACCCAGGCTCTCCTGGATGTGTGGAGCTGGCAGCATCTGCTCCTCACCACCTCAGACCAGTCCTACCTTCCCTAGCTACTTCCCCATAGCTGCTTCCACTGCACGTTCTTCTGAACCCTGACGGACAGGGCACAAGCAACCCCATGTTCTCATATGCACATTTACCAGAACACCAAGCACCTGTGACCCCTTTCCCCACCCACCCACCTGCAAACCAGTACTGTCTTCTCCCCAGGGCTGTTCACTGGAGGGTGATGGAGCCAGGAAGTACTTATAAGCCTGGGGGTGTCAGTAAACACCTTGCTTCCTTTCCCTGGGGCTTGTAGACTGGGAGGAGGGATTCTGACAACATTTACTCACACTCACCGCCCCCTCCTCAGACTCTCCTGGAGGCTGCACAGGTAGAGGTGGGACCCTTTCTTCCATAACTCTAGCCTTCTACTCTTCCACATCCTGACACACTTAGGGGATTTCAGCATTCTTGTCAATCACTCTCATGGTGTCCTGGCTACAAGGATCCTTAACCCAGTGATCTCCATCCCTACCTTTCTGCCACACAATTGGCTTGTCTAGCTACTCCTTCAATCTCACTATGACTCTAACCTAGGCCATCACACCAAGACCTCAAATCCTGCAACTCTTTTCCAGTGGCTGATAAACTTTTTCTATAAAGGGCCAGACAGCTCTGCCACTGTAGCACAAAAACAGCCTCACACAATATGCAAAACTTTATTTACAATTCATTTACCATGAAGCTTTATTTATAAAAACAGGTAGTTTGTACCTGTGGGCCATAGTTTCTTGACTCCTGCTCTTTTCTGATGGTGACTTCCCTGTGTTTCTACAACTTCACTCCTTACTCTGGTGGAACCTGCTCCTCGCATGACCCCGGTGAAGCTGCCAGTAAGCCACCCTGATTCTTCCCCACTCTGACTTCACACACCTCCTCACCCCACCTGGATCTCATGGTCAGTTCCCTTCTCCACCCAAGGCCCACTGTCCCCCTTTTCTTCTCCAAAGCTTCCCAGTGGTACTGGAGAAGGACCTTGACTTGTGCTAACAGGGTCCATAAAAATTCCTTCTCTTGAACCTCATTTGGGTCTTCGCTGTGTGGTGGTCAATTGTGTTTAACAAACATGCCTTAGTTCACTGTGGATTGAGTACTCTTCTTTTAAAAAATTCTCCTCCCAGGGTTTGGTGACACAGCAAAGGTCTTTCACCTCTTTTTTCTTCTTTGTCCCTTTTTCCCACCCCTTATAATTTTTTAATAGCTACTGTATTAACGGATCCACCCTTTATATAATCAGTCTCCAAGGTTTTAAGGACCTCTTCTTCCTTTATAATTTATTTCCTAGGTTGCTTTAATCACTGCCCCAACCTAAACTAGCCCTCTGAAGCAAGAGCACTCAAATCTACTATGTCCAGCCACTACCTTGTGTGGGAGCTTAAGATCTGAATTTCCAACTATGTCGACAGTCTGTCCACTTAAATATCCTGCCATAACTCAAACAGCACATATTCTGAACCAAATTAATAGTTCCCTCAAACTCAGCTCCTTCTCCTGTAGTTCTTATTGCTAATGGCATCACTCTCCTCCTAGCCTATTAAGGCTAGAAACCTGCGTCATCTTTGCTGCCCGCCTCCTGGCCTCATCTCCTGGATCTCATCAGGTAGTTGCCAAGTCCCACCTTGTCTGCCACCTCTGTACTGTGTCTTAAATGTGTTTTCTTCCAGTTCCAGCCCCTCATTACCTCTTACTGGGCCATTGCAAAGGCCTATAATCTTTCTATCCCTCTACATGCCAATCCAGGTGGCACATCTCCCTCCACAGCCACCTATCACAACTCTGACCCTTTCCTTATAGAGCTCCTTAAATGCCACTTGCTTCAGGAGACTCCTGACTCCCACCTTCTTCAGCCCTTGGGGTTTCCTCTCCTTGAGCTTCTCCTACTCAGCACCTGTTAAACCATTTACTTTCCCTCGTATCAGAGCTACTGGATTTTTTTTTTTTTTATGGCACACACACATTGCAGTGTCTGAAAGGTAATTAACATTAGGTGTCCTATAAGTTATACTCAACTCTCCACTCTCAATATTCCCAACACAGTACTGATGAGGGGCTTCAGTTGATTCCATGGTGAGCTCTTGGGGGTCAAGGACTATGCTTCAATCATCTCAACCTCTCTAGCACTTGGCACAAAGCTGATTCTCAACAAACATTTGTTGAATTAATGACTGCATGAACAAGACGCCACTATGCAAGCAATCATTTCTTTCTTGTTCCTCTTGCTGCACCCTCACGCCCACCATATTGCTAGGGACAGAGGCAAATGTGTGTACAGAGTGAGTGCTGGCTCCCAGAGCTGAATTATGGGACTTAGGGGTTCTCCTATTAGCTCTTTGAGTGACCTTGGGAAAAAAAAATTGTGTTTCAAAGTGGCTAGAGTCAGTTAAAAGCTAAATGTTTTTTAAACTGCTACTCTTGGCCCAAATCTGGAAAATATTTTAATGTCTGTCTATAGAAGAATTAAATTATGAAACATTCATTCTATGGAATAGTACTCACACGGTTATTTTTTTTCTTGTGAGACGGAGTCTCGCTCTGTTGCCAAGCTGGAGTGCAGTGGCATGATCTCGGCTCACTGCAATCAGGCTGGAGTGCAGTGTGATCTCAGCTCACTGCAATCTCCGCCTCCCGGGTTCAAGTGATTCTCCTGCCTCAGCCTCCGGAGTAGCTGGGATTACAGGCGCACGCCACCACACCCAGCTAATTTTTGTATTTTTAGTAGAGATGGGGTTTCACCATGCTGGCCAGGATGGTGTCGATCTCCTGATCCGCCCTCCTCGGCCTCCCAAAGTGCTGGGATTACAGGCATGAGCTACCACGCCCGGCCAGTTATTTTATTTTTTTAAAATGTGTCATATCTATTTGTATTCACCTGGGGATAATTTAGGAATCATATAATGTTCAATAAAACAACAAAAAGTTGTAGAATAGTATGTACATTATAATTTTTTTCCCTAAACAAAAAGAGAAAATCCATGAATGTGTATGTGTGCGCACAATGGAATGAACACAGAGAAAAGAAAGGAGATGTAAGTTTGCTAAGGATATCTTAGGGCAGTAGGGTTAGAGGGAGAGGAGGAGATTATTAATCTTTCTTTTTGCCCCCCTTAAATCCCCTAAACACCAAGCCACCGTTGAGTACAGCCATTTGGAAAGCTACGGAATAGGAGAGCAAGAAAGTGAGCAAGCAACCCACAGTGATCCTTTCTAAATCTCTCAGCATCACCTCTATGCAAATTACATAACAACTCATTTAACATTCATTGCCTCCCAGATTTCACTTTAATCTGGTCTCACATATTTAGGATCAAGAGATAAGCACTACCCCCTTTGCCTTTACCACACAGGTTCCACAGTGCAATACACTGACACCTGTGCAGAAATGCTTTTCCTTCAAGTTAGGCGTCCTTAATCCTTTCAAAGGAGTGCTTAAAAAAAAAAAAATATATATATATCTTAACAAAATTGAGGTATATAATTTAGATACAGTAAAATTTATCCTTTTAAGTGTATAAATCTATGAATTTCGACAATCGCCACCACAATCAAGATATAGAACATTTCTATTTCCCTAAAAAGCTTTTTCATGCCACTCAACAATCAATTTCTTCCACGATACCCAGTCCCTGGCACCCACGGATCCACTTTCCATCCCTATAACTGTGGTTTTTTTTTTCCAGAATGTCATATAAATGGACTCATACAGTATGCAGCCTTTTGAGTCTGGCTTCTCGTGCTTAGCATAACGCACTTGCGAGTCACCCGTGTTGTTACTTGTAACAGTATTTCCTCTTCACTACTAAGCAGTATCCCATTATGTGGATGTATTTCAGTTTATCTGTTAACCTGCTGAAGGCCATTTGTGTTTTCCCAGTTTTTAGCTATAAAGTGGTTAACAAGCTTTCTCCTACAGCTTAAGTGCCATTTTTAACTCCCAGAAGGCCTTCAGGAGGTGGATAAGGTGAGCTGAGGATAGTGTGCGCTGCTCAAAGTCCGAACGTTGTTCAAGTGGGGCTAAAGCGGGGGTAGGGGGTTCCACAAGGGGCCCTAGCAGAAAGGGAGACGATGTGTCTGCCTTGACATGGGCTCAGGCCTTCCTACTCAGACGGGGGCGCATTTTCCCCCAAGCCCTCTTCACGCACTGCTCCATTCTGCAGAATTAATGAGCAGGATACAAATTCACAAATTCCTAAACCAGCAATGCTGCTTGGCAAGACTACACACACACGCACACACACACACACACACTCTCACAAGACGCACAAATTCCTAAACCAGCAATGCTGCTTGGCAAGACGACACACACCCACACACACACACTCACAAGACGCACAAATTCCTAAACCAGCAATGCTGCTTGGCAAGACGACACACACACACACACTCTAACACTCACAAGACGCACACGCTACGCACTGCAACACAAAGCCTGTGAGGTTGTAAACGAACCCAGACGGCGGCGAAGGTCCAAGGCCGGCCCGGCTTACCTGCCGCGGATTCATTGCGCCCGCGAGGCATTGCCCGGCCCGACCCGCCGGCGGCACGACCCTGGCCCGACCGCTGGGCCGCGCCAGCCCCTCGAGGCCCCCACGCCTCCGCTACTCCGCACTGGAAGTGGCCCCGGGGCGTCGGCACGGGAAACTCCGCGGGTCTGCGCGCCGGGCCCAAGATGGCTCCGGTTCAATTTCGCTTTCGTTTCCTCGGAAAGCCTTCCCCTCCGGAAAGTTTGGCCAAGAGGAGGGGCTTGAGCAAATCTTGCGCCACGCTTGGTTTCAGGCCGGTTACAAGTCGAACCCCTCCGCTGCATGAGAACTACGGAAGGTACTTTTTTTTTTTTTTTTGAGGCGGAGTCTCGCTCTTTTTGCCCAGGCTGGAGTGCAATGGCGCAATCTCGGCTCACTGCAACCTCTGCCCCCCGGGTTCAAGCGATTCTCCTGCCTCAGCCTACGGAGTAGCTGGGATTACAGGCGAGCGCCATCACTCCTGGCTTTTTTTTTTTTTTTTTTTTTGTATTTTTAGTAAGAACAGGGTTTCACCACGTTAGCCAGGGTGGTCTCGAACTCCCGGCTTCAAGAGATCCGCCCACCTCGGCCTCCCAAAGTGTTGGGATTACAGGCGTCAGCCCCCGCGCCCGTCCGGTACTGTTTAGGAAAACCGCCGTTTCAGTACTGAGCTCCTAATTCCCCGCACAGGCCGTAGGCAGGAATACACGAATAGAGCAAAAGGAAAACAAAGGCACACAAAACCTCAGGCCAGAAACAGCATGACGCCCGGTCCTCCCTCTCTCCGCGCCAGCGCGGTGGTGGCCGCGTCTCCAATGTGGAGGGGGGGGGGAGGGGATGGGCGGGAGCGCAGATCTCGTCAAACGACCAAGGTCCCCACCGTGGGACCTTGTTAATGCTCCTACTATGTTATAAACTTAAGCAAGCAGATGCCAGCCAGTAAAAAGTACCAAGAGTAGCAACAGCAGCAGTGAACAATTTAGGATCTAGGTCATAAAAACTACCCCACCAGGCAAATGGTTAAGTACTTTACATGTATTATCTCCCTTAATCTTCACAACAGCCCTCCAAGGTAGGCATTATTCCCACTTTGCAGGTGTAGAAACCGAGGCTTGACTAAGGCCACGCTGCTGCCAAATCCAGGTCTGAAGGCTTTAGTAAAGCTCAGTCTTCAGCGCTTCTCTACACTCATTCAAATTACACCATTACTTTCAAAAAGATAACTTTTGTTATCTAGAGGGACAAAAGTCAAATTTGCTTCATGGTCAGGCTTCTCTAACTGCTGGATTTTTGTTCAAGGTATCTGGGAAACGATTATTCTAGGGTTCAACACCATCCTCACCTGTGAGAATGTTCTTTCCCTGTGTTTAATCTTAATTTTACCCCCATGCTTATGAAATTACAAGGCAGTCCCTTTATAGCAGTATCTCCAGCTGATGCCCTTTCATGGTGTTAGTCACTCCAAATTAACATTCCCTTGCAGGCTGGGCTCTGTCTTCCTTCTGGGCCTTTGCACATTCTATTCGTTGGCCTAGCATGCACCTCCTCCACGGCTTCCCGTGAATCAACCTTTCAAATTTACAAGGGAGGCCTTCCCCACAGCAGGTAGGGGGAGAGGAGGGGGAGCAGGTGCTGTTTGTGGTTTCCTACTCCATGCTTCTCGAGTTACTGGGCGCCTACCCCTAATAGGGCACTTGCACACTGCGCTAAAAACGCCCCATTCGATCATTTAACAAAACTTTACTAAGCACCTAATTATGTGGCAGATACTGTGTTAAGCACCCAGGATATGACACAAATAAGAGCGCCATCCTTTAGCTAGTCTGCTAGGGAAGATGGATGCCTCAGTAATCACAATTATCATGTACTTCTTGTTCATATATCTGCCTCTAGAATTGTCAAGTCATCTCCTCGGGGGCAGGAAGCATGTTTTGTATCCTTATATTCGCCTTCAGAGGGCTGGTTAGTTGAAAGAATAACAGACCCCTCAGTAGGTATAACAATGGGCAAAAACAATCGAAAGACAACTTCACAGGAGATAAAAAATATCAAACATATGAAAAGGTTCTCAACCCCATCACATCAGAGAAATGCACAGTATAGCTACAGTGAGCTACTGTCCATTCACCAGACAGACAGCATTAGCCATCTGATTAGACCAGGTGGCAGCAAGGATGCAGAGCAGCTCTTAGTCACTACAGGAAACCAGTTTACCATTATCTAGAAAGGTAATGGTAAACCCCAAGAAGTTCATGGTTGCATTATTTGTAATTAATAGCCCCCAAACTGGAAACAACCCAAATGTCCATCAAAAGTAAAATGGATAAATGGTGGCATATGCCCATGATGGAATACAATACAGCAACAAAAATGAAAGATCTACGCATGCAACAAGGTAGCTAATTATCTAAATATGATACTGAGTGGGAAAAGCCATATGTATACTATATGATCCCACTTACAGAAAGTCCCAAGCCAGGCAAAACCAAACTATAGTATGCTCTGCATAAAAGACAAAATGAGGCCGGGCGCAGTGGCTCATGCCTGTAATCCCAGCACTTTGGGAGGCCGAGGTGGGCGGATCACGAGGTCAGGGGATCGAGACCATCCTGGCCAACATAGTGAAACCCCATCTCTACTAAAAGTACAAAAAATTAGCTGGGCATGGTGGCGTGTGCCTGTAGTCCCAGCTACTGGGGAGGCTGACGTGGTAGAAACGCTTGAAGCAGGGAGTCGGAGGTTGCAGTGAGCCAAGATTGTGCCATTGCACTCCAGCCTGGAGACAGAGCAAGACACCGTCTCAAAAAAAAAAAAAAAGAAAAAAAAAAAAAAAAAGACAAAATTGTGGTTAATCACTTCTAGGGAGAAAGGTGGGAGTTTTGACTGGGAAGAAATCTTTTGGGTACCGGTGATGTTCTAGCTCTTGACTTGGGTAGTGGCTACATATGTTTGCTTTCCAATAATTTCATTATACATTTACGTTTTATTCATGTTTCTGTATATATATGCTGTATTTCACAAATTTAAAAGGTAAAAACAAACAAGAACCACAACAAACTCTTGCTGTTGCAATTCCAGTCCACTTCCCCATGTTTTTTTTCCTCCGTTTAAGTAACAGGAGTTATATCTTACCTCTGCTTTCTTGTCTTCAGGCAAGACAATCTGAAAGCCTTTACCCTTCTTCAGAAATGATCCAGAAAAGCTTTAATCACAACTACTGTGCGAGGGAAGCTGCACCGCTGCTCCCCCCACCCCTTTTAATCTAACATAGGACACAGTGGCAAAGCAGTGAACTTTCCTCAACAGAAGGTCAGTTTATGCCTTGAAAGAACAACAACTCCTATTGTCATTTAATCTTAGCAGCTCAAGTAACTGCAGACAGTCTTATTCATAAACGTTTCATCTCCTCCCCCTCAGTAATTGTTTTAACTCCCCCATGGTTGTGAGGTGATGATGTCTTTTTTTTTTTAACTGTTCTATTGTAGGAACTTGACGAGTTGGATGAAAGTCTTTAAAAAAATTAACCAAAAATAATAGGTTTATTTCAGAAAATACAGACAAGCAAACACAATAAAAATCACCCATTGTTAATTCATCATTCATCCGTGCCTACCCTTCGAGCATTTTCCCTGTGCGTAACTTCCCCGTGCGTAACGGCACTGCCAACACATGGGTGGTCAGTCCTCTCAAGGGAGGAGCTCTTCCTATAAAGAATGGCTCACCTCCCCAGGGGCCTGTGAAATGACCCCAGATGTATCTATACCACCTAGGTCTACTTATTAAAAACCACCTAAATGATTAAGAGTTACTGTCTAAAAATGAAGTACTCAGAAACTCAGTATTCTCAGAAGTCTGGCTTCCACATAGCAGTGCCAAGCTCTAGCTCTATAGGTGCATTCAGGGGGTGAGACTTCCCCACCTATAGGAAAGGACATGCTATTATCAGGGCTCCTGAGTTGGTTTTGTTTTCCAATCCCTGCTATTCTTGCTTTTTAACTATAAGTAACTGTTAGTCTGACTTAGTAATTGTTAATTTGGTTTGTTGTGGATCTTCTGTTTAACCTTACTGCGTGCAGGGATACATGTTTACAACAACAGTCTTTTTTAATCTGTAATTTCCTATAACCAGACTTTACTACACACATGGGCTATATCCAATTGGAACATCTATCTCCTGTCTACTGTAAAGCAGATGTCTGCAAACTCCTTCAGTATTTGCTCATACAGTGATACTGGGACAGAAATGTACTGCCTGTGAATGTATTCTAAACAATTTGCAACATATTATCAAAGAAAGTAATAAATTACTCAGTTTTTTTTTTTTTTTTTTTTTTTTTTTGAGATGGAGTCTGGCTCTGTCACCCAGGCTGGAGTGCAGTGGTGCAATCTTGGCTCACTGCAAGCTCCGCCTCCTGGGTTCACGCCATTCTCCTGCCTCAGCCTCCCGAGTGGCTGGGACTACAGGTGCCTGCCACCACACCCGGCTATTTTTTTGTATTTTTATTAGAGACGGGGTTTCACTGTGTTAGCCAGGATGGTCTCGATCTCCTGACCTCGTCATCTGCCGGTCTTGGCCTCCCAAAGTGCTGGGATTACAGGTGTGAGCCACCACGCCCAGCCTGCTCAGTTATTTTTAAGTACCAGGGCATCATTTTAGAATAACTCTTAGGAAATGTATAGTAAGCAATTCAGAGTTGCTAGGCACAAATTTATTGCCCTCCTTTTTTGTTATCGTTGTTTCTCCTCAATTCTTTATCACTGAGTTTTTATTCCACTACAACAGTTCCTAACAACATTAATTTTCTTTCTTTCTTTCTTTTTTTGAGATAGAGTCTCGCTCTGTTGCCCAGGTTGGAGTGCAGTGGTGCGATCTCAGCTCACTGCAACCTCCACCTCCCAGGTTCAAGTGATTCTCCTGTCTCAGCCTCCCGAGTAGCTGGGACTACAGGCACATGCCACCATGCCTGGGTAATTTTTTGTATTTTTAGTAGAGACGGCGTTTCACCGTGTTAGCCAGGATGGTCTCAATCTCCTGACTTCGTGATCCGCCTGCCTCGGCCTCCCAAAATGTTGGGATTACAGGTGTGAGCCACTGCGCTAGTCCCTCAACATTAATTTCCAAAATTCACAGTAGCCTCCCACAGTAAACCCACTTGCTTTGATAACCTGTAAAGCTTTTGGTAGAGAAGAGTGAGTTGCCCAACTGGCTGAGTAGTGCTCTGTGGCAGTATTTATGCTGACATATATTCTATTGATGTTAATGATCACAAATGGCTTTTTTTTTTTTTTTTTTTTTGAGCCAGAATCTCACTCTGTTATCCAGGCTGGAGTGCAGTGGCATGATCTCGGCTCACTGCAACCTCCACCTCCCAGGTACAAGTGATTCTCCTGCCTCAGCCTCCCAAGTAGCTGGGACTACAGGCACGCGCTATCATGCCTGGCTAATTTTTATATTTTTAGTAGAGGTGGGGTCTCACCATGTTGGCCAGGCTGGTCGCAAACTCCTGATCTCAGGTGATCCGCCTGCCTCGGCCTCCAAAAATGCTGGGATTACAGGCGTGAACCATTGCTCCCAGCTAAAACTGGCTTTTGAAGTTACAAGAAAGCAAGAAATGTGGCCAGGCGCGGTGGCTCATGCCTGTAATCCCAGCACTTTGGGACACCGAGGTGGGTGGATCACCTGAGGTCGGGAGTTCGAGACCCGCCTGACTAACATAGAGAAACTCCGTCTTTACTAAAAATACAAAATTAGCCGGGTGTGGTGGCACATGCCTGTAATCCTAGCTACTAGGGAGGCTGAGGCAGGAGAATCACTTGAACCTGGGAGGCGGAGGTTGCAGTGAGCCGAGATCGCACCACTGCACTCCACCCTGAGCAACAAGAGCGAAACTCCATCTCAAAAAAAAAAAAAAAGAAAGCAAGAAATGCCTCAGGTACCCCCAGAAGAAAAAGAGGTCTCCAAAAGCTATTAAGTGCATTTATCCACTCCAGTAAGTTATCTAGTAACAAAGAAAAAAAGTGGTATTTATCAACTAGCTATATGTGCCAGGCTTAAGTATTATATAATAAAGATATAACATTTGCAATAATATTACATATGTAAAATAATACTAATAATAATGACTAACAGGCCTGTGTGCAATCTTTTGCAAGTATGTATAACTAATAAATGTACATTCAGTCGGATAACTACCCCACGGGGTGACCCTATACAACTTGTGGTTTTATACATTATATTCTGACACCCTTAAGCCGCTTCTCCGATGCTAGATTGTTCTTGGATGCAGCACCTGACTGACTTCTGGCCTGACTCTGGCTAGCACAGAGGTTCCGCTACTGGCCTACATTTGGGTTCTATTGAGTCAGGACCCAAAGGGGGAGATCTCCCATCTTCTTCTTCCCTAGGATCCAGATCCAGCCTGTAGGGGGCTGCTCTCAGCCCCAGCCTCATGCAAGAGCAATGCCCCTATCTCCATGGCTTGTAGAAAGCAGGAGGGGACAGTCACAGTCCTGTCCTGGGCAGGCTCAAGGCAGCCACTGCCCTGCCTTCTGCAGTGTTTCTCAGGGAAATAGGCTGATTTCACCAACAGCCAATTTGCCGAAAGTCAGTTTGCCAAATGGTCAATTCCTTGGATAACCAATTTACGAAACAACCAATATGTTGCATTTACTTTTTTCTTAAATCTCCCTAGTCTTAATTGACCAGTTTTTATTCTGTCTTCTTAATAGAATTTAGAGGAAATATGCTCTGCTGTCTCCCTGCTGCTGTAGAGCAGAAGATTGAGGAGGAAACTGAGGAGGCAAAGGGGTAGGATGGAGGGGCTTTTGTAGAACTGACTTTCAGTGAACTGGTTTTCTTGGAATTTGACAGAGAGCCATTTTCAAGTGAACACTGGTCTTTAAAAGTGTTTCTTTTAGTGTTGGCAAGTTCAAAAAAATTTCCACCTACACACACAGAGGAAAAGGCCATGTGAAGACAGAGTAGAGAATGATTCGAAGATGCTAGCCTTGAAGACTAGAGCGACGCAGCCGCAACACAAGCGATGCCAGCACCCACCAGAGGTTGGGAGAGGCAAGGAATGGATTCTCCCCTACAGCCTCTGGAGGGAGCACAGCCCTGCCAACATGGCCCAGTGATACTGATTTCAGATTTCTGGCCTCCAGCACTGTCAGATAATAAATTTCCATTGTTTTAAGCCACCTAGTTTGTGGTTATTTTTTTACAGCAGACAGCCACGGGAAACTACTACAGCATCTTTGCTGGACAATACAAACCAGGGAGCTCCAAGTCCAGGGCTGCCAGAGGCTTTGCTAGGCGAGATAGGAGTTTCTGCATTTGGGTACATCAAAGGGAAAAGGCCAAAACAGACTAGCTGTCATAGATGTACTTATGCACAGCCATGATGTCCTTTATTTATTTTTTAAAAGACAAGGTCTCTGTCACCCAGGCCAGAGTGCAGTGGTACAGTCATGTCTCACTGCAATCTCAAACTCCTGGGCTCAAGCAATCCTCCTGCCTCAGCTTCTTAAGCAGCTGGGACTACAGGCACATACCACCATGCTTGGCTAATTAAAAAAATTTTTTTTCGTAGAAATAGGGCCGCACTATGTTGCCCAGGCCAGTCACGAACTCCTGGGCTCAAGCAATCTGCCTGCCTTGGCCTCCCTGAGTGCTGGAATTACAGGCGTGAGCCACCATGCCTCACCACATTTTTTAGTTAAGCCAAACAGTACAGCCTTCTCATTATTGTCCAACAGAATTAGAGCTTTTAGTTTTATCTGATTTTATTTTTTTCTAGGAAGATACCATTAATTTATATTTTTAAAATGATGAAAATAAATCATCTGTGAAAGAAATAAATTTCCAAGGCAATAAAATAAAATGCAGACAAACTTTTAGTAAGATTGTGTTTTGTGATTACAACCTCCAAACTGGTTTCCCCGCATGTACTTTGGCCTCTTTTCTATCCAGTCTTCTCGACACAGCTTGTGTGATCTCTGAAAACCAAAATCTGATCATGTCATGCATGGAATTCAAGAAAATTCTAACCTAGCAATTAAGGGGGGAGGGGGAACACAGGCAGATGGGATCCAAGAGGCGACAAGGGAGGCTTCAGCAATACAGATAAGGTTCTCATTCAGGGGAAGGTGTTAGGTTCACGTGCATTCGTTTCATTGTTGTATTTCAGTGATACATATATGCTGCAGGAATCTTTTATGCATATCAAATATTTACATTATTAACAAAAAATACTTTGATGGCTTCCTAATGCTCTTAAGATAAAGGCAAACATCTTTACACGATGGCTCCAAAGCCTTACGTGGCCTAGCCCTGCCATCCTTCTCCCTTCTGTTGGACCATGCCCCATCTCTCTGTCCCCCAGCCTCCCTGAGCCTTCTTTTCCTCCCTCTAGATTGCCATGCTCCCTCCTGCCACATACTTGCCCCTCTCTCTGGATTATTTCTCCTCCTTTCCACTATCCTATGATTTGCCCTTCAGATCTCAGGGTAGTCAACACTTCTGGAGGAAGAGCTTGAGCTCTAACCCCTACCCCCTCCCATCGCATGATTTCAAGACCCCCTCCTCTCTTTTGGAGCATATTTACACTTGTAATTTTACATTTCTTCATGTGGTTTTTTGGTAAATATCTGTCTCTCTTACTACAAGTTCCAAGAAGCTAGGGCTATACAAGTGTTTTGCTTTCAGCGTGCTCAAAAATATTTACTGAAAAACGCAACATGCGCATTTCCCTCAAGAGACAGCCCATAGCTTTCAGACTCCCAGATAGATCTGTGTACCCAGAACGAAGGTTAAGAGGCACTGCTCCAAAGACTTTGTTCTTTCCACTGTTGTACTTCAACTCTGGCTTATGTCTTCCTGACCTGGCCCACTGCCCTCTCCAGCACTTCTGTCTGGAGTTCTAGTGGACAATGGGTATCTCAGAGGAGGGCTGAACTTTCCAATATGGAATACAGTAAAAAGTTAGAAACTACAAAGTGATGAATCCCAACATGGCTGCCTAGCCAGTGGACTGGACTTCTACCAAAACAATGACTGGGGCACTATTATCCTGACTCATAGACATAGTGAGAGATAACTTATCAAAAACCCCTGCAAGCGTCCTGTCCTGCTTGTTGCTTAGACAATGCCTAGTCCAGATAACACTGGCCAATAAGTAGCATTTGGAGACTTTGATTTCCTAATATGGGATGGAGACCATGAGTTTTAAAAACCTACCTCATCCCTCATTGCCACCCTCAAGGCTTAGATCTCAGAGCCTAACTTTTGCACTCAACTGGTTCTCTGCTGGGCAGTAAACTTCTGCTTAGCATATCAATCTTTGATGCCAGAGTCTAGATTCTTACTTTAACAAAGAAAGTTCAAAGAAGGCAGGAATTGTGGGCAGAGGTGGGATTCTGCACGAAAGTGACCCTGATGATCACCTTTCCCTCCTAAGCTGATTAAACCAACACAAAACCTCTTCCAAACAGGAAGATGTGTGAGGACCCCTTAATAATAAAGACTGTCTATCATAAATCAACAGCCAATATCATATGTAGAATGGAACAGTTAGACACTACCACTCAAACGAGAAAAAGGAGGGCTACCATTACCATTGTTATTTTCCTTAATTCTAAGATGCACTGCTTTTTACATCCTAACATTTCTGATATTGGAATATGAATTACAGTGTAAGTATACATTTAATATAGTGCCCCCCAAATCTGTTATTAAATCAATAGCAAGTCTTTATGCTCAGTGGTCTTAAAACAAATATGGTATTTAACACATGTTAAATATATATATTTAATATCTTTTCTACCTATGGAAATTCTTACATATTCTACATTATGAAACAAAAATAAGAGATAAACTATTAAAAAGAAAAATAGATTATTTGCAGATGATATCATCATAACCCTAGTTGATTCAAGAGGATCAACTGAAAAACTCTTAGAACCAATACCAGTCAAGGAATATGGTTGAATATAAGAGAAACATATAAAACACAATAGCTTCTTTATATGCATATGTATATATGCATCTAAAGTATATATTCTTTATATAGTAATATATACATTACTATAGTAATATATAAGTATACCTTCTTCATATAGTAAGTATATATTCTTTATATACTTTAATGTTTTATTTGCTATTAAGAATACCATATTCTTAATAGCAAATAAAACATTAAATTAAAAAAAAGAAGTATCTAGGACTAACCCTAAGAAATGTGAAGAGCTTACATGTGGAAAATTACAAAACTCTGCTGAGGAATATATGTCTTAAATAGAAGGACATACCAGTCTCAAATGTGATGGCAGAATACTTTATGAATACTAATTAATATCAAATTAAATAACGATTTACTGCAAATACTATGAGGTTGGGGCAGTAAGGAGTGGATACCTGACAAAATGATTACTCTAAAGTTCAGATGCAATTAATAGGTCATTGGATGGGAATAAATAAAGTTCAAGTACAAGAACAAACAAAACAGTTTTTTAAAAAGAAGACAGCTACGCTAATTAAACCAAGGCAGCACTGGTATAAAGCAAGGGTAGAGCTTCAGACTAACAGAAAAGAACCACCTCCCTCCAAACAGAGCCTAGTATGTGCAGAAATCCAATGCATGATGAGGAACCAAAAACAGCAGTGAGAAAAAGCGTTATTCAACAGATGGAGCTGGGCCAACTGAATGGCTATTTGGAAAAAAAAAAAGTCTAGAGTCTAGCCTTATATTAATAAGCCAAAACAAATTGCAAATGTATTGACAGACTAAGTGTAAAAAAATTAAATAAAAACACCAAGAAGCAGGCCGGCCGTGGTGGCTTATGCCTGTAATCTCAGCACTTTGGAAGTCCGAGGCAGGTGGATCACCTGAGGTCACGAGTTTGAGACCAGCCTGGCCAACATGGCGAAACCCCGTCTCTACTAAAAATACAAACATTAGCCGGGCGTGGTGGCAGGTACTTGTAATCCCAGCTACTAGTGGGGCAGAGGCAGGAGGATCGCTTGAACCTGGGAAGCAGAGGTTGCAGTGAGCTGAGATTGTGCCACTGCACTCCAGCCTGGGCAACAGAGTGAGACTCCATCTCAAAAAAAAAGAGGCAGATAATGTTAGTGGCCTACGCTAGAACTATGCCTCCCTTTCTGAGAGTGCCCTGATTCTGTCCACTTTCCTAAGAAGGCCAGGTTCCCTCCCCAGCCCCAGAGGAAGGATGTTAATTAATCTAATTTAATCCAGTATTGAGGATTCTACTTCTTTTGTCAGTGATACATGTGATACATTTGTGGCCAGCAAACCACAAAAACAATCTGTCTGGGGCTGTCTGAGAAAAGGGCTCCTCGCTGGGAATAAGTGATGTCCAGAGGATAGCAAGGCAGTGGGCTGGAACAATGCTGGGTTGCTGAATCAACCATCATGGGAACTGTTCTGTCTGTACGAACCAACACAGCACTGCCTGAAAGACCAAAATACTCCTGATGATGTCTGAGAGGTGGGCTAACCTGTGATTTTATTGGCTTTTTAATAGCTTTCTATAATTTTTAAGTTCTTTTTAATAATAAAGCATGTATCACCCTCAAAATAAGAAGAGGAAGGTTAATAAGAACAACAACAAAAAAAACAAAACTACTTACTGCATGAACCTTCCCTTATGAAGTTCACAGTCTAGTAATGGGAACAGACATGTAAATAACTGACTAGAACATGTAATAAAACCACAATGGGATGCCGCTTCACAGCTACAGAATGGCTAAAATAAAAAAAGACTCACAATACCTAATGTTGGTGAGGATATGAAGCAAACTAGCATTTTTGTATACTGTGGGAACATAAAATGGTACGACTAACTATTCGAGAAAACTGTAAGGCAGTTTCTTCTAAGGCTAGACCCAGCATTTATACTCCTGGGTACTTACCCAAGAAAAATGGCCACAAAAAGACTTGTACAAGAATGTCCATAGAACCAGGGGCTGGAGGATGGGGGAAAAGAGGAGTTGTTAATGAATATAGTTTTAGATCTGCAAGATGAAAAAGTTCTGGAGATTTGTTGCACAACAATGTGACTATACCTAACACTACTGAACTATACACTTAAAAATGGTTTACGGGCCAGGCGCGGTGGCTCATGCCTGTAATCCCAGCACTTTGGGAGGCCAAGGCGGGTGGACCACAAGGTCAGGAGTTCAAGACCAGCCTGGCCAAGGTGATGAAACTCCGTCTCTATTAAAAATACAAACATTAGCTGGGCATGGTGGTGGGTGCCTGTAATCCCAGCTACTTGGGAGGCTAAGGCAGAGAATTGCTTGAACCTGGGAGGTGGAGGTTGCAGGGAGCCAAGATCGTGCCACTGCACTCCAGCCTGGGTAACAGAGCAAGGCTCCGTCTCAAAAAAAAAAACAAACAATGGTTTAAGATGGTAAATTTTATGTTGTGTATTTTACTACAATAAAAAACAGGAAAAAAAACTGTTCATAGAGCTTTATTCTTCTTAATAGCCCCAAACTGGAATAACCCAAATGTCAATCAACTAATGAATAAATAACTTGATGCATATTCACACAATGGATACTGACACATGCAACATGGTTGATCCTCACTGAAAGAAGCCACAAACAAAAGCACATACTGACATGAAATTTTAGAACAGGCAAAACTAATCTAATCTATAGTGATAGATATCAGACATCAATAGTGTTGGCCTTTGGGGGTAGTGGTGACTACCACAGGGGAGCTTTCTGAGGTAATGAAAATGTTTTATTTCTTGATTTGGATAGTTAAATGGATATATTTTTGTTAAAATACATTGAAAGGTACACATAAAATCTGTGCACAGAGATACACATAGTTATGCTCCCATGAAAAAAATCTTAGGGAAATAGTGAGGAAGAGGAACTGGAAGAGGCTGAATTTGTCATCTTGGCTACATGCTGAAAAGCTGTTGCCAAGCACGAGTGCCTCTTTAAACCAGACAGCCACACATAAATATCTTTTCATGCAGCAATTTATGGAAACGCTAAGAACACTAAAATTATGATTATCTATATATGTGAATCTTAGTTTTGTCAAGCAAGCTGTTCGCTATTCTGATAAATTATTTAAAAAGAAAAAATATAAGTACAGTAATATAAACATCCTTAAAACAAAACATAGACCTTTAATTAAAACTGATTTTATTTAAAATATTACACTATTTTCATCAAATATCTTATTAAAATCTGAAATAAAACTGAATGCTAGCTTTTTAAAAGTCATATGTAAAAATGCAAACCATAAAAAAAACTAGAATATAGAATAAGGAAAAAAACCTTTTTATGCTCACAAGCAAAAGAAATCAAAAAGAATAAAATTTGTCTAAAAAAGAATGAAAAATAGATTTGTATTTTTAATGATAAAGCCAAAATTAGATGGCAAACAATAAACTAAAAAGAATTAACTGCAAATAAAATTGTTTGCTTTTTACCATGAGGATAAACTCATGTTTTTCAGAATATTTGTATATTTTAAAAATCACTTAAACACAATAAGTGAATAGACAAAACATTAACCAAAAATTTAAAAAGTAGAAATAAAAATGGCTCAGTATGGGTAAAAAGGGCTCAAACAATTATAATAAAAAATGCAAATTAAAATGAGATGCTATTTCAAATTTAGCTAAGATTTTCCTTTTTTAGTAAAATACTCAGTTCTGGAGAGGAGGGTAGGGTGAGGGAGAGGCACAGTAAGTACTCAGGCATTGCTGATGGCAGTGGAAACTGGTATTCACTTCTTAGGAAGCAAATCAGGACTAAGCACTACAACAGAGTACTGCAGCTAGGCTGAAACTGCCGCTTGGATGTTTGGAGTAAGAGCGGGGTTAAATAATAACCCTGTCATTTCAAGTCTCTATTTGTAGGAGAAGTACTTTTTTGTTGTTGTCAAAAGAAAGAAAGGGGTATTTTTTCCCTTTCTTCATGTGTTGAGGTGTGGGTGTGGCGTGGCTAGGGTTCCCACAGATAAGGCATAACATGTAACCAGGAAGATGGATGTGCTCTGCAGGGGCCTGAGGATGTGGGTTTAGGCCCTCCCTGGGAGAGGGCTGAAGACAGATGCTTGAGCAGCCTATGTCCTGAAAAGCAGAGTGGGCTCTGAGCCACTGATTCCCCACCTGGCTCTGCCACATATCCTGCGGCAGAGCGTGGCTGCGTTTGGGTGAAGACCAAACAAAGGCGATGAGATGCAGTATGTTATATTTACTAGCTATGGCTGTAAAAACCTGAGGAAAGGGCAGGGACAAGACCTGTATCAGGCTGTTAGATAGCTCTACTTCTGGAGGGCAAGATGGACTAGATGCAGAGTAGTCTTATTTCTGTTCTTGAGTGTTTTGGTACTTAAAAAGAAAAAAGTTTTAAAGTTGACAACCCTTGGTCCCCAAACTCCAGTCCAAGAGTGAGTTGCTATTTATAAAGGACTAAGAACAGTGCCTGTCACCTTGTAAGTGCTTAAATAAATGTTTTAAAAATAAATACTCCAAGGAAAGGGCCCCAAAATATGGAGAAGGCCTTAATATACAACCTATCAAAGTTCAGAAAAGTTTGAGAGGAGTGAAACATCACACAGGGTAGAATTTCCAGCTGGAGGCTCCTTGGGCCTGACCTCTGCAGGTTCAAACACATATGGGAAGAGGTGTGCTACCTTCCTGGGATGCCATGGTACTCAAGTTTCAGATCTTTACAGTGAGAAGTGTATCTATCATGCAGACTGGAATGTTCATCAACATAATGCCAGTGTTTTCTTCCTGTGGGAAGATTTCCATTCATTCATTTAATAAACATTTACTGAACATATACTATATGCCAGTATGAGGCACTGTCCTAGGCCTCAAGGTAGTTTTGTTTTGCTTTGATCAAAGAAAATTCCTTTCCACATTGTTCTCATGAAGCTAATGAAAGACAGTCAATGAGGAGAGACAGGCAATAAATAAACAAATAAATATACAATGTCAGTTATGAGTGCTATGAAGACAAATAATACTAGCTAAGGGTAGGAGATAAGGAATACAAAGCAAAGGACACTCTGTCCTCAAGGGGCTCTCCGTCTAGTGGAGACATGACCAATAAACAGATAATTATCAAACAGAAATAACATCTACAAGGGGGTTGTGCTCAGGTGTTTATGGGAGCAGAGAGAAGGGATGCCTAGCTCATTAAGGAAGGTGTCAAGGAAGGCTTCTGGGAGAAGCATGACCTGAATCTAGAAGGATCAGCCAGATGAAGCAATGGGGAAGGGCAACCCAAACAGCAGATGCAAAGGTACAGAAAGGACGGAGAGCACATAATGGATGCCACAGTGGGAGTCAAAGTTTGATGGACAAACACAACCCACTGGATTCATTCCAGTTGGAAGGCTCTAGAAGGACCCCAAAGAAGTGAGATAAGAGCACACATGTAAGCACACATGTGTGCATACACACACCCCTGCAGTAGTCATGTGCTGTTTCTGCCTGCCTAGGACCTCTGAACTTCCCCATCCCATAAGGTTATGGACGGGCAGTTTACTTCCTCATCCCAAGAGTGAGCCTATGATGTAGACCTCTCCAATTGTGGTCTCCCTATTTCCTTGTCAGCAATGGTTAATTTACAACGCTAAAAGACAGCCATCAGGTCATAGGCTTGGGGTTGCTGACAGGGAGCTTTTTCAGTATGCATAGAGAAAGCAGCAAGAAGGCCGGGCACAGTAGCTCATGCCTGTAATCCCAGCACTTTGGGAGGCTGAGGCGGGTGGATCACCTGAGGTCAGGAGTTCAAGACCAGCCTGGCCAACATAGTGAAACCCCATTTCTACTAAAAATACAAAAATTAGCCGGGGGTAGTGACGGGCTCCTGTAATCCTAGCTACCCGGGAGGCTGAGGCAGGAGAATCACTTGAACCTGGGAGGTGGAGGTTGCCGCCAGCCAAGATCGTGCCACTGCACTCCAGCCTGGGGGCGACAGAGCAAGACGAGCAAGACTCCATCTCAAAAAAAAAAAAAGAAAAAGAAAGCAGCAAGAGAGAATGAAGTCAATAAAGAAAACGGAGCCGAAAAAGGAAGGGCCAAGAAAGCCCTCATGACATCATTTTAGCCCCAGGATCCAGCCATGCCTGAAGCTTGCCTTTGGACTTTCTAGTTAAATAATCAAAGGGAGGAAAAAACCTTTTTTTGCTTAAGTTAATTTACACTGGGTTTGTGCCACTTGCAAGTAGATTAATATACAGTCCTTTTGGAGAAGAGCTTCATTCTGTGTGCATGTGGCAAGGGGTGGTACAGAAGGAAAGGGAGGCTGATGTCAGAGGGTCTCACCTATTAAGTCTGATAAAGTCTGATAAAGATGGTGAAATAGGTAGCTTCAAGGTAACCAGAGGGTATAGAAGCAGCAACTAGACCTCCTTGGGTGGAGGAACTGAGGGGGGTGTAAGTCACAGTCTATATGGATGGGTTATATAAATTTTGTATGTTCCTAATAGTTCACTATACAACTACAAGTCATCTTTAAACATCTTTAAGACACAGAATAGCTCATCAAAAATACCAGGAATATCATCTGTTTAAAACTAGTGTACTATTCCTACAATGAATGCACATCAATCACAGGTCTTTCCCAAATATTTAATTTTGAGACAAACTTAATATTTTGAACTCTTTATCCCTGATGTCAAACAATCATCCAGTGTTCTCCAGAAAACTCAAGCAGTTGTACCCATTAAGGTCCAAGTCTAACAGATGTTATAGCAAAACAAATTGCTCTATCTCAAGAGATTACTACAGAAGCCCAAAAGCTCAGATTCTGTTGTTCACATATTTGAGAACTCTAATCAGTTGGTCACAGATAATACTACCAATCTTGGTCTGAAACAGGGCTTCAAATCTTTAAATCCATGAATCAGAAAAATGCTCATATTACAGTGTGTTATAGTATAAAAATAGCTGGCTTAAGGAGCCTGTGTGTAATAAGCACTGGGCCTCCTTCTGGCAGAAATAACAATGCCTCAGGATTTCTTTTTTCCACAAGCATTTTCCGAATACCTACTTTGTGCCCGTCATCCCAGCACAGTGTACCCATGAGCCTGTCCTTTTTCTCTGGGTGAAAAGGCCAAACCTTGGTTCATATCTGGACAATGCTGAGTAAAAAATGTAAAATAAAAGATAATGTATCATTAGACAATTTGAGATGTTATTCTTGCAGCCAATCCTGGCCCACTAAACTCTGTCTGGGCCTCCTTTCCCCCACTGCACCAGGTTTACATTGCTGGGATACTAGTCACTGAGAAAGAGCAAGACTCAAACCACATAGCCTGATGAGCAAGGGCAAGAGCAAGACTTGCTAGACACTGAGAAAGAGCAAGACTCAAACCACACAGCTGGCTTCAAGTTCCAGCTTTGCCGTTAATTAATGTCAGGACCTTAGCCAAGATTCACTTCTGCATCTATAAAATGGGGATAATATTTAGTGCACTCAGTTGTTAGAGGGATGAAATAAGTTAGTATATGTAAAGTGCTCAACACCGTGTCAGGTACATAGCAAGTGCTAAAGAGAAGCGAAAGGCCTGGCGCGGTGGCTCATGCCTGTAATCCCATCACTCTGGGAGGCCTAAGTGCGCAGATCACTTGAGGTCAGGAGTTCGAGACCAGCCTGGCCAACATGGTGAAACCCCATCTCTACTAAAAATACAAAAATTAGCCGGGCATAGGCCAGGCACGGTGGCTCATACCTGTAATCCCAGCAGTTTGGGAGGCCGAGGCAGGTGGATCACCTGAGGTCAGGAGTTCGAGACCAGCCTGGCCAACATGGTGAAACCCTGTCTTACTAAAAATACAAAAATTAGCCAGGCATGGTGGCATGCTCCTGTAATCCCAGCTACTCGGGAGGCTGAGGAGGGAGACTCACTTGAACCCGGGAGGTAGAGTTTGCAGTGAGCTGAGATCGCATCATTGCACTCCAGCCTGCGCGATGGAGTGAGACTCTGTCTCAAAAAAAAAAAAAAAAAAAAATTAGCCAGGCATGGTGGTGCACATCTGTGATCCCAGCTACTCGGGATAAAATTGAAAAATAATAAAATAAAATGAGAAGCTATAATTAATAAAGTGAGTTTTTTTTTTTTTGAGATACAGTTTCGCTGTCGTCCAGGCTGGGGTGCAATGGTGGATATTGGCTCACTGCAACCTCCACCACCTGGGTTTGAGAGATTGTCCTGCCTCAGCCTCCCAAGTAGCTGGGATCACAGATGTGCACCATCATGCTGGTCTAATTTTTGTATTTTTAGTAGAGACGGGGTTTCACCATGTTGGCCAGGCTGGTCTCGAACTCCTGACCTCACATGATCCACCTGCCTCGGCCTCCCAAAGTGCTGGGATTACAGGCATGAGCCACTGCACCCGGCCTAAAGTGAGATCTTCACCTCTTTGCAGTTCTAGAATTTAATGAAGTGTACAGCAGAGAGATTATGGATTTTGAGATTTCCCCTCCACTACCACCCCCAAGTCTGCATATCATATCTGGCAGAATAGCAAACATCTAAAATAGCAAAAAGTTCCCCTGCTTCTCAAGCAGCTGTACCAATAGGAAACCTTCAGCAAGGGAGCAAGTCCAAGCTCCTGGGTACTGGGCCCTTACTAATAATAGCTAGACACTTCGAATTCTGACACCTCGGGCAAGGTAGATATAATTATCTTCATTTTGTAGATAAGCCCAAGTAGGAGTGGAGAGGTTAAATAACTCATTCAATGTCAAACAGCTGCAAAGTGGCAGACCTGACTCCAAAGTTCATGTCCCCTTTCCACTCTATTTCCCTTTTTCCCATATAGCAAGCACTAACTGTTTGTAAATAACGACCAAGATATTTCAAGAGATCTTTAAAAGGATGGGAACAAGGCTTCTCTGGTGGAGAAAGAAGTTGGCATCACAACTGCTGACAGTTTGACGCCCCTGCCTTCTCTGCCCCCAATGACCCGCTCTAGCAATCCTGCCTCCCTCTCTAGCAACAAGACACTGTGTAGGCCTCTGTTTGCAAGTCTCCTCCCGTGGCAGCCTAGACTCTGCTCCCTCCGCTAATTGCATACTTGGGCTCCTCCACACAACATTCAAAATCCAATGACAGGTATCCCTTTTTGGAAGGCAAGTTTCCCAAACTCTGATACCAACACGAAACACCTGGGGCCGGATTACCCTCTAGTGGGGCCCCCAAATCAAGCTAAACAGAGAAGGAAGAGGAGGTGACGCAACTAGGCCTCCTGCACCAGGCCAGACAGGCTGAGCGCGGCGGCCGTGACCCCGCAGTGAGCTTTCCACAGTGGCCTCCTACGCCTTCCCTGTGGAAGGCACGCCAGGGCGGCGATGTTATCTCTGGGATAAAGGGCCGGTCCTAACGCAGTTTGTGGTAGAAGGCGCAGCAAAAGCGCCTACCGCGGCGAGTCCCAGGCAGCTCACTCTCCAGTCACTCTCCGAGGCGGGGGAGCCGGCGAGAGGGAAACAAGGGCCTTTGGTACCCAGCTGTTGGGCCTTTGGTACCCAGCTGCTGGGCTCCGGCTGGCACGAGCGCCGGAGCATCCGTGCGCAGCCTCTGCCGCCCACACTCGCGCACACACGGGCGCGCACACACGCACAAAAGTACACCGGCCCGGGCGTCCGCCTCCTGGAAGGCTGCCGAGACCGGCCACTGTGCCCCTACCAGCTGCGTCCCCACCCAGCCCTGCGGCCACCCTCAGTGCCCTGCCGGGGCGCCCCCACGCTTCCTCTAACATCAACGCCAGAGACTGGAGAGGCCGCATGGGCCGCGCGTTCCAGCCCAGGCAGGTGTAGCCGAGAAGGACAGAGGCTCTTACCGGGTCTTGCACTTCCTCGGGACACGGCCGGACACCCGGAGACTGCCAGTGCGGCCGCGACCCTCCCCCCACCCTCCCCCACCACGTAGCCTTCTCTACCTTCAGTCGGGAATCAATGGTCTGGTCGCAGATTGGTGACATCATTGGCGCGCCGGGCGTGGGAGGAAGAACCACGTGATTCAACCTCTTTTGTTTGCGCTCTAGGAAATTAAGGTTTTTGTTGCTACGTCTTCCTTGGTTTTTTACGTTGTGTTAATGCCGCTGTTTTGGGTACAGTGGGGAGTAGGTACATGGGTTTAGGATGCTGCATTTTTGCCCATGGCCTTGATTGAACTCCTTAGTCATTTATAACGTGGTTGGGCCGGAAGGCCTGAGAAGATACGTAGGTACAATCCTCTTTTAAAAAGACCACAGAATTAGCCAATAATACATTATAACCAGTAGTCTTTGAATGGCCCGTTTAAATTAAATTAAACGAATTCATTTTTAAAATAATATAATGAACACCTTCTTTAACTTGACATGCTAACCAAGAACTAAAATATTATCAATTAACTTTCATCAGCTTGTAAGTGGTCCCCATCTTGTGCCACTGCCTCTCCATCAGAAGTAACTCCCATCCTGAATTTGTGTTTACACAACTATTATATTGCTTTAATTTCTTTTCACATTTATATATATTACTAAGCAATGTATTTTTACTTTTCTTAGTTTTGTGTGTATTTCCAAACTCTCATCTAGAGGCCTGGGCCTGGTACATTTTTCTTTACTCATCTTTATTGACCGAAGTTACATTTTGTTCATTTTCACTGCTACATAAAAATCCATTATGTACCATAATTTATCCATTCTCCAGCTGCCAAGTCTTTGTGCAATTTCCAGTCTTTTGCTCTTTCCAACAGTGTTGGAAATCAGCATTGCTTTCTGGTGCCCCTGTGCAAAAATGTCTCTTGGGTGTATTTACCTAGGAATAAAATTGATAGGACTTTGGAATGCCAGTATTCCACTTTATATGATAGTACCAAATTTTTATCCAAAGTGGTTGTACCAGTTTATACTCCTACCAGCATCCACATCTTCTCTAACACCTCAGATTTCTTGGCTTTTGCTAATGCATGGTCTCAAACTGCCCTTATTGAGGTTAAGCATCTCTTTTAAATATGTATTGTCCATCTGTAGTTTCTCTTCTGTGAAATGTCAGTGTAGGGCATTTGAGGGATTTTTAGGGCTGAGCAAGAAAAAATATATGACCAGGAGGTGACAGTAGCACACTCAAGCTTTATTTGTGTGAGCTTTGACAGGTTTGTATTTAGGGGAAGTCCTTGGCAGCATGAGAAGATCCAGAGATTGGGGGTGGAGAGGAACCATCCAAAAGGGGAAAAGAGAAGGAAACTTCCAGAAGAGAGTGGCCTTACCATGTCCAGGTGATGTTGTTCAGCGGCCTGTGGGAAGTCTCTGTTTCAGAAAGCTCCCAAGGGCAGCAGCAAATTGGAGTCTTCATAAACCACAGATTTATCTTATCTATGACTAACAGATGTTGGGCACAGTTTCATGAGGTATACAAAGCAGGCAAGCAGCTCTAAATGCCTAAAAATCTGCTTAGTTGTGTTATATTTAAAATGCCTGGATGTATAAACATTTGAGTTAGGTGCTGAAAGGCTTTTGAGATAATAGATACCAGCTTGCTGTGAAGAAATAAACAACTCAGGGACCCAGATACAGAGGCCATCTTTGGCTCTTTATATAACAGTCAGTTTGAGTCTTTTATTATTGTTTTAGTGGATTGTTTGCTACATTATTCACAAACTTAGGGCACTGATTCTTCATCAGTTATATGTGTTGCAAATTTATCCTTCCATATGTATCCTTTCATTTTCTATTTTGGTAGATGTTCTTAACTTTGAATTTATTAATATTTATCCTGTTTTTCTTTTCCCCGTACCCTAATATTTATTCACTTACTCTTACTCCTAAAAATCTTTAAATCCTTATTCTCTCTGGAATTTACTTTTGTATATGGTGTGAGGTAGGGATCCCATTTTACTTTTTACATACAAATGACCTTTATTTTTCCCCAGGTTTGTTTATTGACTAGCCCCACCTTTCCCAACTTTCCCACCTTTCCCAACTTTGTTATATATCAACATTCCAGTTACTTATGGGTCTATTTCTGATCTATCTATTCTCTTCCACTGGAAAATTTGTCTATCTTGATGTCAACACCACATTATTTAATTACCACAGCTTTATAAAAAGTCTTGATATTTAGTAGTGCAAAATCTCCCTTTTATTCTTCATCCATCTTCTTTTTTTGGGCTATGCTTGGTCTTTAGTTTTCCCATATTTTAAGGCAAGCATCTCAAGTTGCACACACAAACAAGTTGCACACACACACACGCAGCAGTAACAACAACAAAAACCTGTTGGCATTGCATTGAATAATAAATAACTAATATATAAATTTGGAGAGAATTGACATTTTATGATTCTGAGTCTTCCATAAGCAAGGGATAACTTTCTTTTTATTAGGTCTTCATTAATGCTTTAATTTGGATTTATTATTCTCTTTGTCCAGATCTTGCACATCTTTTGGGGATTTTATTCCTAGATTCTTTGTAGTTTTTGTTGCTATTATAAGTGATGTCCTTTAAAAATATGCTTTCTAATTTTTTGATGATCATATAGAAATAAATTTGATTTTTGTACATTGATATTGTATCCAGCCACAATGCTAAACTCTTGTTTGTAGTAATTTATTTATTGATTCTTTTGGATTTTGTATGTAAACAATCATTATCTGAAAATAATGCCAGTTTCCCCCTTTCCTACGCCCAACCCTTATTGCTTTTTATCTATCTTAAAGTGTTACACTGGTTTGGCCAGGCTCAGTGGCTCATGCCTGTAATCCCAGCACTTTGGGAGGCCAAGGCGGGCAGATCATGAGGTCAGGAGATTGAGACCATCCTGGCTAACATGGTGAGACCCTATCTCTACTAAAAATACAAAAACTTAGCCGGGCGTGGTGGCGGGTGCCTGTAGTCCCAGCTACTTGGGAGGCTGAGGCAGGAGAATGGAGTGAACCCGGGAGGCAGAGCTTGCAGTGAGCTGAGATTGCACCACTGCACTCCAGCCTGGGCGACAGAGCCAGACTCCATCTCAAAAAAAAAAAAAAAGTGTTACACTGGTTTGGGGGAGAAGGCAGTGCATTGTTCCAGTACAGTGTTATTGGAAATGGTGATAGTGGGCATTCTTGATGCTCTTGATATTCGAAAGGGAAACTTAGTATTATTTTTGTATATTTTATGATAAAACATTTAGAATGATATTTTTGTAGGCGTTTTGTAAATCTCCTTTATCAGGTTAAGGAAGGTACCTTTTATTCCTAGTTGAATAAAATTTAAAAATCTTGAATGGATTTGAATTTAATTTATTTCTACATCTATTGAAATCATCACACAATTTCTTTCTCCCTTTAATATGTTAATATGGTAGATGACATTTATAGATTTTATATTAAACTACTTATCCTTGCATTCCTAGGATAAACAACTGGACCATAAAGTCTCAATTTTATATGCTATTGTGCTCTATATATTCTATGTCTATGTTATATTCTATGTAGGATTTTTGCGTTTGTGTTTATGAAAAACATGGACTTGTGATATTCCTTTCTCATTCTGTCTTGATCTGTTTGGGTTTCAAGGCTCATAAAGTGACATAAGGAGTATTCCCTTTTTTTGTATCCTCTGGAAGAATTTTAATAAGATTGGAGTGATTTTCCTTTCAAGCATCAGTAGAATTCACCAGTAAAACTGTCTGGAGCTGGGTGCAGTGGCTTACACCTATAATCTCAACTACTTGAGAGGCTCAAGCAGGAGGATCACTTGAGGCAAGGAATTCAAGACCAGACTGAGCAACAAGACTCCATCTCCAAAAAACAAAAACCAAACAAAACAGAACAGAACAGCACAGCAAAACCATCTCGGCTGGGTATTTTCCTTGTGTGAAGTTTGTAAAATACGACTTTGGTTTATTTAATAGTTATGAAACTGTTCAATTATTTTCTTTCTCCTTGAGTCAGTTTAATAAAATAATAGGTTCTAGAATTTTTTCCATGTCATCTAAGGGTTTAAGCTCATTGGCATAGTTATTGATTGTATTATCTTCTTAATCTCTGCTGTATTTATAGCTCTTTTTTCATTTATAATATTACTTGTGGTAGACTGTGTTATTGCTCTCCAAATATTTGTTCCTTTTCTTATAAGAGGACTATACATTTCTACCTAATGCTATGTGACTTGAGGTGACTCTTGTGACAGAAGAATGCATACCCAACCAGCTGTCAATGGGCTTGATCATCGTACATGAACAGAAACTTTAAAAGATATCGTACATGTTTCTACCAGCTTTCTTGCTCTTTTCTCTCTTCCATGAGAATGGCATGTGCGTGATTGGGGACCCCAGAATGAAGAATACATGTGGAGGAGAGCCCAGCAGAGTCAACATATATAGCAAATAAGAAATAAACACAGAGATTTGGGATTTTGTAGTTACCAAAGCATATTATAGTGAAAACTGACTGATAAAAATTATTTGCCTTTAACTTCTTATCATTTTTTCTTAGATAAATCATTGCAGAGGTTTATTTATTTTGTTGGTATTTTTCAAAGAACCAACTTTGTCCTTGTTGATTCTCCCTGTTTTCTATTTCGTTTCTATCTCTAGTTCTGCTCTTATAATTATCCCCTTCCTTCCATTTTCTTCGAGTTTATTCTGTTATTTCTTAAAGTTGTGTGTTTAGTTTATTAATTTTCAGCCATGTTTTTCTTGTCTTTAAAAACATTTAAGGCAGTAAATTTCCTTCAAAGCACTGCTTTCTGTATCCCACAAGTTTTGATATATAACATTTTTATTATTATTCAGTTCAAAAATATTTAAATTTTTATTGTAGTTTCTTCTTTGACTCATTATTTAAAAGATATGTTCTTGCCAGGCATGGTGGCTCGCACCTGTAATCCCAACACTTTTGGAGGGTGAGGCTGGAGGATCATTTAAGCCCAGAAGTTTGAGACCAGCCTGGGCAAAATAGTGAGACCCCATCTCTACTAAAAAAATAAAAATAAAAAATTAGCCAGGCATGGTAGTCCTAGCTACTGGGGAGGCTGAGGTGGCAGGATCACTTGAGCCCAGGAGTTTGATGCTGCAGCCTGGGTAACAGAGACCTTGTCTCTTCTGACATATTTGCATTGTTATCATAATTTTTATTATACTTTTAGGTCGGGCATGGTGGCTCATGCCTGTAATCCCAGCACTTTGGGAGGCTGAGGTGAGCAGATCACCTGAGGTCAGGAGTTCGAGACCAGCCTGGCCAACATGGTGAAGCCCCATCTCTACTAAAAATACAAAAATTAGCTGGGCATGGTGGTGCCCGCCTGTAATCCCAGCTACTCAGGAGGCTGAGGCAGGAGAATCGCTTGAACCCAGGAGGCAGAGTTTGCAGCAAGCCGAGATGGCGCCATTGCACTCCAGCCTAGGCAACAAGCGCAAAACTCAGTCTCAAAATAATAATAATAATAATAATAATAATAATAATAATGTTTATTATACTTTTATTTAAAATGTAGTGATATTTGCCTAATTGGTTAATTTATAATCTAATCTGAGAAATACAAGCTTGATAAGAATTTGTATTCTCTCATTGTTAGGTACAAAATTGATATATGTCCATTATTACAAGATTGTTAGTTTTGTTGTTCAAATATCCTGTATCTTTGCTTTTTGTTTTCTGCTTGAATTACCAGTCACAGACAAAAGCATGTTGAAAAATCTCCCACAATGATGGTAGGTTTGTCAGCCTCTCCAGTTTTTATCAATTTATGCTCCCTGTACTTGGAACACATTTTGTTAGGTGCTTATGTGTTTAGAATTGTGTTAACATTTTGGTGAATTAAATTTTATATCATGACACAGTTATCCCTTTATATCCCTACATTGCTCTTTGTCTTAAAGTCTGTTTTGTCTGATATTATCATAGACAAACCAGCTTTCTTTTAGTGAGTGTTTACTTGTAATATTTGCAATCCTTTTACTTTCAACCTTTCTAAGTTCTTTTGCTTTAGATGTATTAATGTATACAGCTGTATTAAAAAGTCCTAACTGATCACGCCTGTAATCCCAGCACTTTGGGAGGCCGAGGTGGGCGGATCACAGGGTCAGGAGATTGAGACCATCCTAGCTAACACGGTGAAACCCCGTCTCTACTAAAAATACAAAAAATTAGCCGGGCGTGGTGGCGGGCGCCTGTAGTCCCAGCTGCTGGGGAGGCTGAGGCAGGACAATGGCGCGAACCTGGGAGGCGGAGCTTGCAGTGAGCCGAGATTGCGGCGCCACTGCACTCCAGCCTGGGTGACAGGGCAAAACTCCATCTCAAAAAAAAAAGTCCTAACTGATCATCTGTCTTGTTACTATTAATTTTGTTCCATGTATATTTATTATGATTTTTTTTTTTTTGAGACGGAGTTTCGCTCTTGTTGCCCACGCTGGTCTCGGCTCACAACAACCTCCACTTCCCAAATTCAAGTGATTCTCCTGCCTCAGCCTCCCAAGTAGCTGGGATTACAGGCATGCAGCACCACACCCGGTTAATTTTTGTATTTTTAGTAGAGATGGGGTTTCTCCATGTTGCTCAGGCTAGTCTCAAACTCCCGACCTCAGGTGATCAGCCCACCTCAGCCTCCCAAAGTGCTGGGATTACAGGCTTGAGCCACCATCCCTGGCCTATTATGATTCTTTATATATTTAGACTTTGATTCTTCCTTTTTTATTTCTATTTGTTCTACATTTTCTAGGTCTCTGGGCTTTTTTTTTTTTTTTTTTTTGGCTTTTTTTTTTTCGGGCTTTTTTATTTTTTATTTTTGATTAACTGAGTTCTTTTTGCACCTTTCCCCCTCTTCCATGTTTTCACTAAAGATTTGGAATTATACTTTATTTTTTTAGAGGTTACTTCAGAAATGTGTCATGTATTTTAATCTAACAAGGCATAAAGTTTAAATATGTTTACCATTCTCTTCTAGATAGCATAAAACATTTAGAATATTTTAATTATTTTCTTACCTTTTCTGACTTATATGGCACTGTTGTCTAATTTTTTGGTTCTTTCTTTTCTTTCTAACTCCACAAATTAGTAATTGTCATTTTATTTTACATAGGCAATGTTAGGATTTATATACAGGGAAATAAACAAAGCTAATATGAGGATGTGTTTGCAAAGTAGCTGCCACTAAATGCATCTGGGCAGCTCAATCTATGGGGCTATCCTCCAAGAAGTTGTATTAAGTGTGTCTCGGGAAACTATGCTTGAGGGAATAGTTTAAAGATATCTTCAATCCCTCAACAAACTGCTTTGGGAAAAGAAGGGAGGAATTTCTCTACTGGCTTTTGTTTTTCCTGTTATGAGGGTTAACTCTCCTGCTCTTCTGTCTCATACATATGTGTCCCCTGGTGTTTGATGACTCAGCATCAACAGAAGGGTGGAAATAAGCATGTGGTATTGGTATGGAATAAGGTCTCATCATCATGTGCCTGCATGAAGGTGAATGCAATCCATGCAAAGTTAGTCCTGTGAACTCCAAATATCAGAGACAGGTCTCAGTCAATTTAGGAAGTTTATTTTGCCAAAGTTAAGGATGTGTGTCCGTGACACAGCCTGAGGAGGTCCTGACAACATGTGCCCAAGGTGGGTGGGGTACAGCTTGGTTTTATATTACATTCTATATTAAATTTTATATATGCATTCTAGGGAGACATGAGACATCAATCAACATATGTAGGATGTACTTTGGTTTGGTCCAGAAAGGTGGGACAATTTGAAGCAGGCTTCCAGGTCATAGGTAGATAAGAGACAAATGCTTTTGAGTTTCTGATTAGCCTTTCCAAAGGAAGCAATCAGATATACATTTATCTCAGTGAGCAGAGGGATGACTAAATTCTGTCTGTCCTTTGTCCCCAAGGAATTTCCTCTTGGGCAAATTGTGAGGGAGGTGTGTAGGTTTTTTATCTTGGTAGTTATCATTTTTTAGGAATAGAATGGGAGGCAGGTTTGCCCTCAGAAGTTCCCAGCTTGACTTTCCTCTTTGGCTTAGTGATTTGGGATCCCGAGATTTATTTTCCCAACAGCAGTGACTGGAGCTGGATTCAAATGTCCTGGAGACAGGTGAGGCCAAGAGAATCTGACGTGGGGCATATGATGAGAAATAAAGAAAGAGAATGTTCTCAAAAGAAGGAGCAGCATTTTAGAGATACAGATATGGAGAAAGCACTATTACTTTAGTGATATGCAAGAATAGTAATTCATTTCTGATGAAGGAGTCCTATTATATGAACTCTTATAATGTATTTTCACTTCTGTGAGCCTTTTTTTGCAATCTCCAAAATTTAAGGTTAGAAACACATGAATTTGAATTCCTAACATTGGGAATAATTAGAAATAGAGGCCTAACAGGCTACTGGGAAAGCGTAAAAGAGGTTTGTACCTGTAGATGTTTTGTTTTTTTTTTTGCTTGATAGTTTGGGAGAGATAAAGAAAGCCAAGGGAAAGAAAAGGCTTTAGAATGGTCCATCTCAGCATCGCTGCCAGGAGCAGTGCTGAATTATGTGTCACAATGTCTTGTTTTGTTCCGATGGGTTCTCAAAGTTATTACTGGCAGAATTTTACATTTGAGAAGTTTTGAGAAATACCCTGGGTACTGTTAATGGCTTCCTTTTTCAAGTTCACTGAGCTAGGCAGAATAAATAGAAATCACCCAAAGACATTGCAAACCAGACCAAGCCTCCCATCAAGAACAGTTAGGAAAGCTGTTCAAAAATATTTTTAAAATATCTGTTTGGAAGCATTGGAGAACTACCGAGATAGAAAAGAACTTAGGGGTCAAGATTCTGGAGAAGGGGGAATTCCACAGAGGTGAGACAAACATCTGGCACCACTGAGGTGTTCCTAGTTTCAAAGTCAAACCTGAGAAAATGAGAAGCTGAGCAGAGTGTTTGGAAGTCTCTCTGGGCAGAGGAAACAATAACAGTGGTTCAGGGCTCATCAATAAGAAGGAGTTCTAGTAAACATCCCAGACTTTCTTTCTTTTTTTTTTTTTTTTTTTTTTTGAGATGGAGTCTTGCTCTGTCGCCCAGGCTGGAGTGCAGTGGTGTGATCTCAGCTCACTGCAACCTCCGTCTCTCGGGTTCAAGTGATTCTCCTACTTCAGCCTCCTGAGTAGCTGGTAAACATCCCAGACTCTCAATTGGGATTCCTAAAGGGCTATATCCTAGGAGTAAGGATGATCCAAAATTGACTAACTCTCAAAGACTGAAATTTGGTTTGAAGCAACTAATTTTAGATTTATTCTGGTGCCATGCCCCTACCTTAACCGTTCTTATAAATAAGAATAAGTCCTCTCTGGCTGAAGATAATATTGTCCAGTGCCTCAAATTATTGCTATAATTTTTCATACACAATGTCCAGCATGTAATGAAAAATAGGCACACACAAAAAGACAAGACTACCAAAAATTCAGTTACAAGACAGACAATAGAGACCTATGGAAGATCCAGATAATGAAAAATAGGCATGCAAAAAAAGACAAGACTGCCAAAAATTCAGTTACAAGACAGACAATAGAAAGAGACCTGTGGAAGATCCAGATATTGGAGAAATCATACACATAATTTAAGATAACTGTGATTAATGTGTTCCAGAAATTAAATTACAAGATGCAGAATTTCAGGAGAGAACTACAGACTATAAAAAAAAGAATCAATGGAAACTCTGGAACTGAAAAATTCAATAAATGAAATTAATAATTCAATAATGGGTTTAACAGTTGATTAGAAGCAGTTGAAGAGAGAATAAAAGAAATAAAAGATTAGTCAGAAGAAAATATCTAGGCTGAAATATGGTGAGACAATGAATATAAAGTACATATAAGAGCATAAGAGATGTTTGAGGCTGGTTCATAAGAGAGGTTTGTGGCACATGCCTGTAAATCCCAGCACTTTGGGAGGCTGAGTCAGGTGGATCACTTGAATCCAGGAGTTTGAGACCAGCCTGGGCAACATAACAAAACCCCATTTCTATAAAAAATACAAAAATCAGCCAGGCGTGGTGACACATACCTGTAGTCCCAGCTACTTGGGAGGCTGAGGTGGGAGGATCACTTGAGCCTGGGGGTGAAGTTTGCAGTGAGCTAAGATCATGCCACTGTACTCCAGCCTGAGCGACAGAGTGAGACCCTATCAAAAAAAAAAAAAAAAAAAGGCTAGTATCTTCTACCTAGCTAGAAAAAAAAGGTGTGTGAAACAAGGTGAAAACATCTAACATGTGTAACTGGAGTTTCAGAATGAGAAGAGAGAGAATGAAGCAGAGGCTGAAGAAATATTCAGAGAGATAACAACTAAGAATTTCCCCATACTGTCAAGAGATGTTGATCCATAGATTCAAGAAGTGCTAGTTCAACCTCGACAGGGATAAATACAAAGGAATCTACTCCTAGGCAGATTACAGTAAAGCTGTTGAAAACAAAAGCAACAATTAGACTGAGTTAAATTTTCTTTTTTTTGAGGAGTCTTGCTCTGTCGCCCAGGCTGGAGTACAGTGGCGCGATCTTGGCTCACTGCAACCTCCACCTCCCTGGTTCAAGCAATTCCCTTGCCTCAGCCTCCCGAGTAGCTGGGATTACAGGCATGTGCCACCACACCTGGCTAATTTTTTTGTATTTTTAGTAGAGACGGGGTTTCACCATGTTGGCCAGACTGGTCTCGAACTTGTGACCTCAGGCAATCCACCCGCCTCGGCCTCCCAAAGTGCTGGGATTACAGGCATGAGCCACCGCGCCTGGCCTGACTGAGTTAAATTTTCAGTAAAAACTATGAAAGCTAAAAGACAGTGAATTTTAACTTAAAAGCACTTAAAGACAATAACTAACATCCAAGAATTCTACACCCAGTGACACTATCCTTCAGGAATGAAACAAAAATACAGTTTCAGAGAAAAAAAACCTGAGAGAATTTATCCCTAGAAGAATCACAGTAAAGAAAATACTGAAGAGAGTTATGGAGAAGGAAATGATTTCAGATGGAAACATAATAATTCAGGAAGAAATAAAGAGCAATGGAAAGGGTAAAACTCCAACAATATTTTGTGGATTAAAATTTATAGAAAATTTAAATATATATGACAATAATTTTACCAAAAAAAGGAGTGGGGTCAATAGACATAAAGTTCTAAGGTCTTTGCATTGTCCAAATGTGGTAAAAGTACTAATTTTTATTATACTTTAAAAAGTTAAGGATGCAGGCTGTAATCTAGAGTAACCATTGAAAGAACAGTAAGAGAAGATAAACTAATAAGCTAATAGATAAAGAAAACAGGATTTGAAAAATTCAAAAGAAGGCAAGAAGGAGAGAAAAAGAAATACAGAATACAGAAACAATAAGATAGATTTTAAGCCCAAATATGTCAGTAATTACATTAAACATAGATGGACTAAAAAGTCCAATTAAAGAGGAAGATTGTCACACTGGATTTAAAAAACACACACACAACTATATGTTGATTATAATAAACACACCTTAAATATAAGGACACAGAAAGTTTGAAAGCAAAAGAATGAAAAAAATATAGATACAACACAAATTCAAAACAAAAGAAAGCAGATGTAGCATAAAGACTTTAATGTATAAAGCAAGATAAGAAGTGAATAACCAGCCTGGCCAACATGGTAAAACCCCATCTCTAAGAATAAATACAAAAATTAACTGGGTGTGGTGGCACATGCCTGTAGTCTCAGCTACTAGGGAGGCTGAGGTGGGAGGATCACTTGAGCCCAGGAGGTGGAAGTTCCAATGAGCTGAGATCACACGGTTGCACTCCAGCCTAGGCAACAGACTGAGAGCCTGTCTCAAAACAATAAAATAAAATAAAATGGAATAAACAGAAATGTTTCATAATAATAATGGGGTCAGCTCACCAAGAAAATACAACAATATAAAATTTGTATGTACTTAATAACAAGACATCAGAATATAGAAAGCAAAAAAAATAAAAAAGTCATAACTAAAATAAGAAATAGAGAAATCCTTAATCAGAGTAGTAGAGTAGATTTCAATATACCTCTCTTGTTAACTAGAAAACTATCAGACAAAAAAATCAGTAGAGATATAAATGATTTGAATGATGCAATAAATATTACTGAAATGTTACATATAGAACATTGCAACAATTGTTGTTGAATATACATTCTTTTCAAGTACACATGGAACATTTACCAAAATTGACTATATGTTGGATCATAAAGCAACTCAATAAATTTAAAATGATTAAAATCAAACAGAGCATGTTCTCTGGCCACACTTAAATTAATTTAGAAATCAATAATAAAAAAGGTAACTAGAATATCCCTGAATGTTTGGAAATTAGCAACATACTTCTAAATACCTAATGGATTAAATAAATCACAATATACAGGAAAAGATATTTTGGACTAAATAATGTTAAGAATAGCTAAGCTTGCAAGATGCAACAAAAACTGCCATTAGAGGAAAATTTATAGCCTTAAAATTGAAAATGTGTCAATTGAACCATAGAATATATATAGAAATAATGACATAGTTCAAAAAAGAAAGCCTGAAAATAGTGATGTAAGTATCCATCTCAAGAAGTTAGAAACACACACACACACACACACACTCACACACACAGAGTAAATTAAACACAGAAAGTAGAAAGAAAGGAAATGATAAAGATAGGAGTAGACGTACTGTGAGTTAAATAAAAAATGAAAATAAAAAATAAAGATAAGAGTAGAAACAAATAAAATAGAAAACAGGTTTATAACAGAGACTCAATAAAGGCACAAATTGGTTTTTGGAAACGACTGATAGAAAAACTGATAAAACTGATCTAGAATAAAAGAGAGGAGGCACAAATAAAGTCAGAACCAGAAAGGGGACATAGCTATAGATCCTGTTTAAGAGTAGTAAGAATTATAGATATTTGGGTTTTATTCCCAGAGTTACATATTGAATTGGCGTGGGATACAGCCTGGGCATAGAGGTTTTCAAAAGGACCTTGGAAATCTAATGTGCAGCTGATTTTGAGAACATCGGCTGTAGGGTGATCTGGTTGGGCCATTGTTGGAGAACGCCTGATGTTGGTATATTTGGTTTTTTTCTTTTCTCTTAAGCTGTTCAAATTCCCCTGTGAAAAACCTTCCATTTTCCTGCCTAAAGGATATAACCCTGGTTGATAACTCTCTGATAACTGAGCAGAGGAGGAGGATTGAGGGGTCTTAACATTTAACAAATAAGCATTCCCTTTATCCTGTTTTCAGAACAATAACCTTAATCTCAACTGTATCTGATCCCAAACTAGAGGCCCTAAGTCTTACTTTCTTCATAGACTAGGCCTAAGTCTTTCTCTGGAGCAGGAGAGGAGCCAACACAAGGCCTCACAGTATGGAGAAAGGGGATGGATACTCATGCTGTTTCTTTTTTGTTTAAAAAAAATCATGTTCGATTCAAGGGGTGGGTACATGTCAGGTTTGTTACATTGTCATATTGCACAATGCAAGGTTTGTGCTTCTATTGATCTGTCTATTGATAGCGAACATAGTATCCAATAGGAAGTTTTTCAGCCCTTGCCCCTCCTGCCTACCTCCCCACTTTTGGAGTTCCCAATGTCTATTGTTCCCATCTTTAAATCCATGTGTACCCAATGTTTAGCTTTCACTTATAAGTGAGAACATTCAATATTTGATTTTCTGTTTTTGTGTTAATTCACTTAGGATAATAGCTTACCGTTGCATTCATGTTGCTGCAAGGACATGATTTTGTTCTTTTTTATTGCTGCATAGTATTCCATGGTGTATATATACCACATTTTTGTTATCTAGTTCCCTGTTGATGGGCACCTAGGTTGATTCCATGACTTTGCTATTGTTTGCAATTATTATTATAGCACACCCTTCAGTTTAGTTAGGCCTCCTCCCCCTCCTCACCCTCTTCCTCCTCCTTTTTGTTCTTCATAGACTATTTTTTAGAGAAGTTTTTGATTCACAGCAAAACTGAGCAAAAGGCACAGAGATTTCCTGTGGGAAACCCCATTCCCCCATACATGCATAGCCTACCCCCTATTAACATCCCCCACCAGAGTAACACATTGGCTATAATTAATGAACCTACACTGACACATCATTATCACCCAAAGTCCATAGTTTACATCAGGGGTCACTTTGATGTTGTACATTCTGTGGGTTTGGACAGATGTATAATGACATAATTACCATTACGTTATCAAACAAGGTCATTTCACTGCCCTAAAAATCCTTTGTGCTCCATGGATTTATCTCTCCCTCACTAATAACCTCCAGCAACCACTGACCTTTTTACCATCTCCATAGTTTTGCCTTTTCCAGAATGTTATAGATTTGGAATTATACAGAATGTAGACTTTTCAGATTGGCTTCTTTCACTTAGTAATATGCATTTAAGTTGCCTTCATGTCTTTTCATGGCTTTATAACTTCTTTCTTTTTAGTGTTGAATAATATTCCCTTGTCTGTATGTATCACAGCTTATTTATCCATTTATTTATCTACTGATAGACATGTCCACTTATTTATCTACTGAAAGATATATTAGTTGCTTCCAAATATTGGCAATTATGAATAAAGCTGCTATAAACATCTGTGTGCAGGAGTCTTAGTCTGTTTTCTGCTGCTCCAATAGACTACTACAGACTGGGTAACTTACAAACAATATAAGTTTATTTGGCTCATGGTCCTGGAGGCTGGAAGGTTCCAGAACATGGCATCAGCATCTGATGAGGGTTTTAGGGCTGCATCATCTCATGGTGGAAGATGAAAGGGCAGGAAGGCACACACAACAGTGAGAGAGAAAGGTGGCCAAACTCATTCTTTTTATTTTATTTTTTATTTTCATTTTTTTAGAGATAGGGTTTTGCTCTGTCACCCAGGCTGGAGTGTAGTGGCATAATCATAGCTCACTATAACCTTAACACCTGGGCTTAGGTGATCTTCCTGCCTCAGCTTCCTGAGTACTCAGCTGGGACTAAAGGCACATGCCACCACTTTTGCCAATTTTTTTTTCTTTAATTTTTTGTAGAGACAGGGTTATATTGCCCAGGCTGGTCTTGAGCTCCTGGCCTCAAGCAATTCCTCACTTCTTGGCCTCCCAAAGTGCTGAGTTTACAGCCATGAGCCACTGCATCTGGCCAAAATCATTCTTTTATCAGGAACCCACTCCCATGATAACTAACCCATTCCTTAGATAATGGTGTCCATAAGAATCACCTCTTAAAGGTCTCACCTCTCAACACTGCTGCATTGGGGAGGAAATTTCCATCACATGAACTTTGGGACATATTTATACCATAGGAACAGATTTTTGTGTGAACGTAAGATTTCAGTTCATTTGGGTAAACACCAAAGAGTGTGAGTGCTGGATTGTGTGTTGAAAATGTTTGGTTTTGCAAGAAACCACTACACTGTTTCCAAAGTGACTATACTATTTTGCATTCCTGCCTGCAATGGATGCAAGTTCCTGTTGCTCCACATCCTTGTCAGTATTTGGTATTGTCAGCGTTCTTGATTTTGGCCGTTCTAATAGAGGTATAGTGGTATCTTGTTTTAATTTGCATTTCCCTGATGATACGATGAGCAGCATCTTTTCATATGCTTATTTGCCATTTGTATATCTTCTTTGGTGAGGTGTCTGTTGAGATCGTTGGCCCCTTTTATATTTCTTTATTTTTAATTGACATATAATAATTGTACATATTGGCTGGGCACAGTGGCTCACGCCTGTAATCCCAGCACTTTGGGAGGCCGAGACGGGCGGGTCACGAGGTCAGGAGCTTGAGACCATCCTGGCTAACATGGTGAAACCCCATCTCTACTAAAAATACAAAAAAATTAGCCAGGTGTGGTGGTGGGTACCTGTAGTCCCAGCTACTCCGGAGGCTGAGGCAGGAGAATGGTGTGAACCTGGGAGGTGGAGCTTTGAGCCGAGATCACACAACTGCACTCCAGCCTGGGCAACAGAATGAGACTCTGTCTCAAAAAAAAAAAAAAAAAATAATAAAAATTGTACATATTAATGAGGTACATGTGATATTTCAATACATGTTTACAATGTGTAATGATCAAATAAGGGTCCAGTTTTTAGCTGGGTTGTTTACTTTTTTATTACTTAATTTTAATAGTTCTTTGTATATTTTGGATAACAGTCCTTCATCAGATATGTCTTTTGTAAATATTTTCTCCTAGTGTGGTTTCTGTCTTTATTCTCTTGACAGTGTCTTTCACAGAGCAGAAGTTTTTAATTTCAACAAAAGTCCAGCTTATTAATTCTTTCTTTCAAGGATTGTGCCTTTGATGTTGTATTTTTTTTTTTTTTGAGACAGATTCTCGCTCTGTCACCCAGACTAGAGTGCAGTGGCACGATCTCGGCTCACTGCAACCTCTGCCTCCCGGGTTCAAGTGATTCTTCTGCCTCAGCCTCCCGAGTAGCTGGGACTACAGACACACGCCACCACACCCAGCTAATTTTTGTATTTTTAGTAGAGATGGAGTTTCACCATATTGGCCAGGCTGGTCTCAAACTCCTGACCTCGTGATCCACCCACCTTGGCCTCCCAAAGTGCTGGGATTACAAGCGTAATTACAGGCCTGGCCTGATGTATCTTAAAAGCCATTGCCAAACCCTAGGTCATCTAGATGTTCTCCTATGTTATCATCTAGGAGTATTACAGTTTTAAAAGTTTTTATAGCTCTGCCTTTTGTATTTAGGTTTACGGTCCATTTTGAGTTAATTTTTGTTAAGTCTGTGTCTAGATTTTGTGTGTGTGTATGGATGTCCACATATTCCAGTATCATTTGTTGAAAAGGCTATCTTTTCCCCATTACATTGCCTTTGCTTCTTTGTCAAAGATCAATTGACTATATTTACATGGGTCTATTTCTGGGTTTTCTATTCTGTTCCACTGCTGTATTTGCTTTTTTTTTTTTTTTTTTTTTTGCTGATATCACACTTCTTAATTAAAATATTATGGGCGCGGTGGCTCACTCCTATAATCCCAGCACTTTAGGAGGCCAAGGCGGGCAGATCACCTGAGGTCAGGAGTTTGAGACCAGCCTGGCCAACATGGTGAAACCTCATCTGTACTAAAAACACAAAAATTAGCTGGGCCTGGTGGTGTGCACCTGTAATCCCACCTACTTGGGAGGCTGAGGCAGGAGAATTGCTTGAATTGGGGAGGCGGAGGTTGCGATGAGCTGAGATGACGCCACTGCACTCCAGCCTGGGGGACATAGCAAGACTCCATCTCAAAAAAAAAAAAAAAGTATTATGGGAGGAAGTCTTGAAGTCTGGTAATATCAGTTACACAACTTTTTTCTTCTCTTTCAATATTGTGTTAGCTATTCTGGTTCTTTGGCCTCTCTGTAAAACTTAGGATCAGTTTGCCAATATCCACAAAATAACTTGTTGAGATTTTAATTGACATTTCATTGACTCTATAGATAAAAGTTGCTTTCATTTTTGAATGTTGGGCTTTTACTGAGCTACCTTTTTTTTTTTTTTTTTTTTTTTTTTTTTTTTTTTTGAGACGGAGTCTCGCTCTGTCGCCCAGGCCAGACTGTGGACTGCAGTGGCGCAATCTCGGCTCACTGCAAGCTCCGCTTCCCGGGTTCACGCCATTCTCCTGCCTCAGCCTCCCGAGTAGCTGGGACTACAGGCGCCCGCCACCGCGCCTGGCTAATTTTTTGTATTTTTAGTAGAGACGGGGTTTCACCTTGTTAGCCAGGATGGTCTCGATCTCCTGACCTCATGATCCACCCGCCTCGGCCTCCCAAAGTGCTGGGATTACAGGCGTGAGCCACCGCTCCTGGCCTTTTTTTTTTTTTTTTTTTTGAGACAGAGTCTCACTTTGTCACCCAGGCTGGAGTGCTGTGGCACAATCTCCGGGGGCCGCCACCTCCTGGGCTCAAGCGATTTCCCACCTCAGCCCTCCAAATAGCTGGGACTACAGGCATATGCCACTACACCTGGCTATTTTTAATTTTTTGTATTTTTGGTAGAGACAGGGTTTCACCATGTTGCCCAGGCTTGTCTCAAACACCTGAGCTCAAGCGATCCTCCTGCCTTAGCCTCCCAAAATGCCATGATTGCAGGCGTGAGCCACCACACCTGGTCTCAGATACCTAATTTAATTATCTTATTAGTCATCGTAATTTTTAATGGATTCTTTTGGTGTTTCTGTGTAGACAATATTGTCCAGAAGTAGTGATTATTTTGTCCCTTCCAATTTCGCTTTTGCTCTCTTTCGTTCTTACGTCATTGTCTGCGATCAACAGTAAAACTTAGCAGTGATTTCCTTGTCTTGTTCACTCCATTTATTTAGCAGAATTTATTGAACCCCCATTATGTATTAGGCATAGTTTTACCTGCTGAGGATACAGCTGTGAAAAAAATAGTCAGAGTACCTGCCCTGATGAAAATTGTACTTTGGTTTGGAGAAGAAAAAGACAGAAAAAATAAATGAGCATATAATTTCAGGTAGTATAATAAAGAAAAATCAAGCAGAGGAAGGAGAAGGACAGTTGTATTCCTTCATTTTGTGTTGCTATAAAGGAACTTTAACCTAAGGTTGAGTAATTTATCAAGAAAAGAAGTTTATTTGGCTCATGGTTCTGCAGGCTATATAAGAAGCATACCATCAGCATCAGCTTCTGGCGAAGGCTTCGGGAAGCTTCCACTCATAGCAGAAGGTAAAGGGGCAGCAGGCCTGTCACATGGTGAGACAGGGAGCAAGAGCGAGAGGAGGAGGTGCCACGCTCTTTTAAACACCCAGCTTTCACGAGAACTAAGAGAGTGAGAACTCAGTCATCACTGAGGGGATGGACCCCAGCCATTCATGAAGGATCTGCCCCCATGGCCCAAACACCTCCCACCAGGCCCTGACTTCAACTTTGGGGATCCAATTTTGACATGAGATTTGAAGGGGACAAATATCCAAACTATATCAACATTATATCAATTTTCTTCTTTAAAAATAGCTTTATGGAGATATGATTTACACTTCATAAAATTTATCAGTTTAAAGTACATAATTCAATATTTACATAGTTGTGCAACCATCACTCATAATCTAGACTCAGAAAATTTTCATCAACCCTCAAAGAAACCCCATACCCTTAGAGATCATTCTCTGTTCTCATCAAACCAACATTTCCCCAGTCCTCAGCAACCACTAATACAGTTTTTGTCACTATAGATTTGCCTATTCTGAATGTTTCAGATAAATAAAATTACACAAGATGAGGTTTTTGTTTGTTTGTTTTTTGTTTGTTTTTTGAGATGGAGTCTTGCTCTTTTGCCTAGGCTGGAGTGCAGTGGCGCAATCTTAGCTCACTGCAACCTCCACCTCCCAGGTTCAAGTGATCTTCCCACGTCAGCCTCCTGAGTAGCTGGCATCACAGGTGTGTGCCACCACACCTGGCTAATTTTTGTATTTTTAGTAGAAACGGGGTTTCACCATGTTGGCCAGGCTGGTCTTAAACTCTTGACCTCAGGTGATCCGCCCGCCTCAGCCTCCCAAAGTGCTGGCATTACAGGTGTGAGCCACCGTGCCCTGCCTGTTTGCTTGTTTTTGACACAGGGTCTTGCTCTGTCACCCAAACTGGAGGGCAGTGGTGCAATATCAGCTCATTGCAATCTCAGCCTCCCCCAGCTCAAGCAATCCTCCCACCTCAGCCTCCCAAGTACCTGGAACTACTGGTGCAGGCCACCACACCCAACTAATCTTTGTATTTTTTGTAGAGACAGTGTTTCGCCACATTGCCCAGGTTGGTCTTGAACTCCCAGACTCAAGCAATCTGCCTGCCTTGGTGGATTTGTAATCCCAAAGTGCTGGGATTACAGGCATGAGCCCTACACCAGGCCCTATGTTAGTATTTCATTCCTTTGTAATACTTAATAGTATTCCATTGTGTAGATATGCCAAATTTTGTTTAGTCTTTCATCTGTTCATGGAACTTTGGGTCATTTCTACTTTTTGGCTATTATGAATAACGCTGCTACGAATATTTGCGTACTACTTTTTGCATAGATATGTTTTTATTTCTCTTGGAATAGATAGCTAGGAGTAGAATTTTACAGTCATATGATACGTCTATGTTTATCATTTTGAGGCCGGGCACGGTGGTTCACACCTGTAATCCCAGCACTTTGGGAGGCTGAGGCGGGTGTATCACTTGAGGTCAGGAGTTTGAGACCAGCCTGGCCAACATGGTGAAACCCCATCTCTACTGAAAATACAAAAATTAGGCCAGGTGCGGTGGCTCACGCTTGTAATCCCAGCACTTTGGGGAGGCCAAGGCAGGCGGATCACGAGGTCAGTTGTTCAAGACCAGCCTGGCCAACATAGTGAAACCCCGTCACTACTAAAAATACAAAAATTAGCCAGGCATGGTGGCGCGCACCTGTAGTCCCAGCTACTCGGGAGGCTGAGGCAGGAGAATCACTTGAACCTGGGAAGTGGAGGTTGCAGCGAGCCAAGGTCGTGCCACTGCACACCAGCCCAGGTGACAGTGGGAAATTCCATCTTAAAAAAAAAAATACAAAAATTAGCTGGGCATGGTGGTGTGCGCCTGAAATCCCAGCTACTTGGGAGGTTTAGGCTCAAGAATCACTTGAACCTGGGAAGTGGAGGTTGCAGTGAGCCAAGATGGCGCCACTGCACTCCAGCCTGGGCAACAGAGTAAGACTCCGTCTCCAAAAAAAAAAAAAAAAAAAAAAGATAACATTTTGAGGAACTGCCAAAGTGTTTTTCAAAATGTTGGCACCATTTTACATGCCTACTAGCAATGTACAAGTGTACTAATTTTTCCACATTTTTGTCTGTCTTTTTAATTACAGCCATTATAGAGAGTGAAGTGGTATCTCATTGTGGTTTTGATTTGCATTTTTCTAATTGATACTACTGATGTTGGATATTTGTATATCTTCTTTGGAGAAATGTTTATTCAAAATTGTTACCTATGGTTTTAATTGAGCTATTTGTCTTCCTATTGAATTATAAGAGTTATTTAATACTCTGAATTTAAATCAGATATATTATTTGCAAATATTTCCTCCCAGCTTGTGGGTTGTCTTTTCACTTCCCTCGTGATGTTCTCTGAAGCTCAAAAACTTGGTATTTTGATAAAGTCTGAGTTATCAACATTTTTTTTTCTGGCTTGATGTGGTGGCTCATGCTTATAATCCCAGCACTTGGGGAGGCTGAAGTGGGAGGATCACTTAAGTCCAGGAGTTCAAGACCAGCCTTGGCAACATAGTGAGACCCAGTATGTACAAAAAAGTTTAAAAATTAGCTAGTTGTGGTGGCACATGTCTGTAGTCCCAGCTACTTGGGAGGCTGAGGTGGGAGGATCCCTTGAGCCCAGGAGGATGAGGCTGCAGGGAGCTGTGATCATGCTACTACATGCCAGCCTGGGTGACAGAGTGAGACCCTGTCTCAAAAAATTTTTTTCTTTTGTCACTTTTGGTGCCATACGTAAAAAAAAATATTGCCTTCTGGTCCTATGATTTCTTCTAAGAGTTTCATAGATTTAACTCCTACATTTAGGTCTATGATCCATTTTGAGTTAGTTTAGTGTATGGTATGAGGTAGGGGATCCAGCTTCATCTGTTCGGATATAGATATTCAGTTATCCCAGTACTATTTGTTGAAAAGATGATTTTTCTTCATCGAATTGTGATAGTGCTTTTGTCAAAAATCAGTTAACCATACATGTAAGGGTGTATTTCTGGACTGTTAATTTTATTCCACTGTCTATCATACCAGGCCCACACACTTTTTTTTCTTGTTCATTGTTAGTATATGGACGTATAATAGATCTGTATATTTATCTTATAAACTACAATATTGCTGAATTTATTCATTTTAATAGTTTTAGTAGATTCCTTAGGATTTTCTATACACAAGACCATTTTACTGGTGAAAGAGATAGTTTCCCTTCTTCCTTTCCAGGCTTATTGCCTTTTATTTCTTTTTCTTGACTAATTGTACTGCCTGGAACTTCCAGTACAAGGTTGAATAGTGGCAAGAGCAAATATCCTTATCTTATTCTCAATCTTAGTAGAAAGGCATTCAGTCTTTTCCCATTGAATAGTTGCAAGATTTGCATACATGCCCTTTATCCAGTTGAGGGAATTCATTACTATTGCTAGTTTGTTGAGTGTTATTATAAAAGAGTTTTGGATTTTATAAAATGCTTTTTTTTGTATCTATTAAGATGATCATGTGGTTCTTCTTCTTTATTCTATCAATATGGTGTATTACATTAATTTATTTTTGAATATTAAACAAACCTTGTAATCCTGGGATAAATCTCACTTGGTCATGATATATCATCCTTTTTTATAAGTTGCTGGATTTGGTTTGCTAGTATTTTGTTGAGGGTTTTTCATCTATATTCACAAGGGATAGTGTTCTACAGTTTTCTCGTGATGTCATTGTCTGGTTTTGGTATCAGGGTAATTCTGGCCTTCTAGAATGAGTTGGGAGGTGTTCTTTCCTCTTCTCTTCTGGAAGGCTTGGTGAAGGATTACTGTTTTTTGTTTTTTTCTTTTCTCTTTTTTTTTTCTTTTGAGACAGAGTCTCACTCTGTCACTCAGGCTGGAGTGCAGTGGCATGATCTCAGCCAACTGCAACTCCTGCCTCCCTGGTTCAAGCGATTCTCATGTCTCAGCCTCCTGAGTAGCTGGGACAACAGGCGTGCGCCACCACACCCAGCTAATTTTTGTATTTTTAGTAGAGATGGGGTTTCACCATGTTGGCCAGGCTGATCTTGAACTCCTGGCCTCAAGTGATCCACCTGCCTCAACCTCCCAAAGTGCTGAAATTACAGGCGTGAGCCACCGCCCCCCACCTGTTAGTTCTTTTTTAAACGTTTGGCAGAATTCACCTGTGAGGCCATGTGAACCTGGGCTTTTCTTTTCTTTCTTTTTAGTAGAGATGGGGGCTTGCTCTGCTGCCCAGGCTTGGACTTTTCTTTGTGGGGAGTTTTTAAATTACCAATTCAATCTCTACTCATTTTAGGTTCCTTTAGATTTTCTATTTCTTACTGAGTTAGTTTCAGTAATTTGTGGCTTTCTAGGAATTTTTCCATTTCATCTAAGTGACCTAATTTGTTGGCATACAGCTGTTTATAACACTTTTTCTAATTTCCATAAGGTTGGCAGATATGTTCCCATTATGGTTTGAATGCATGCATCCCTCCCAAATTCATATTTTGGAACTTAAACCCCAGGGTGATGGTAATAAGAGAGGAGGCCTTTTGCAAAATGATTAAGTCATGAGGGTTGCATCCTCATGAATGGATTAGTGCTCTTTTAAAAAGAGGGTAAAGGGAATGCCTGGGTGCCTTTTGCCCTTCCATTTCTTTTTCTTTTTTTTTTTTTCTTTTTGAGATGGAGTCTTGCTCTGTCCCCCAGGCTGGAGTTTCATGGCGCGATCTTGGCTCACTGCAACCTCTGCCTCCCAGGTTCAAGCAATTCTCCTGCCCCAGCCTCCCGAGTATCTGGGATTACAGGCACCCGCCATCATGCCCAGCTAATTTTTGCATTTTTGTAGAGACGGGGTTTCACCATATTGGCCAGACTGGTCCTGAACTCCTGACCTCAGGTGCTGTACCCACCTTGGCCTCCCAAAGTGCTGGGATTACAGGCATGGGCCACCGTGCCTGGCCTGTCCTTCCATTTCTTCTGCCCTGTAAGAACACAGCGTTAGTCTCTTGTTGTCCCCTTGCAACATGTGAGGACACAACAAGAAGGTGCTATCTTGGAGAAAGCAGCTCTCACCAGACTCCAAATCTGTTGGTGCTCAATCTTGGACTCTCAAACCTTCAGAACTGTTCTTTATAAATGTCTGTTCTTTATAAGTGATCTGATCTCAGGTATTTTGTTACAGCAACACGAATAGACTAAGACAATTTGCTTTTGCACTTTTGATTTTAGTCATTTGAGTCTCTTTCTCAGTCTAGCTGAAGGTTTGTCATTTTTGTTGATCTCAGAGAATTGACTTTTGGTTTTATTGATTTTATTAGTTTTTTTCTTTGTACACCCCATTTCATTTATTTCTGCTTTAATCTTTATTATTTCCTTCTGCTTGTTTTGGGTTTAGTTTTTTTCATTTTAATTTCTTGAAATGGAAGTTTAGGTTATTTATTTGAAATCTTTCTTCTATTTTAATTTAATTTAATTTATGTATTTATTTTGAGACAGAGTTTTGCTCTTGTTCTCCAGGCTGGAGTGCAATGGCGCCATCTCAGCTCACTGCAACGTCCACCTCCCGGGTTCAAGTGATTCTCCTGCCTCACCCTCCCGAGTAGCTGGGGTTACAGGTGCCAGCCACCATGCCCGGCTAATTTTTTGTATTTTTAGTAGAGATGGGGTTTCACCATGTTGGCCAGGCTGGTCTTGAACTCCTGACCTCAGGTGATCCGCCTGCCTCAGCATCTCAAAGTGTTGGGATTATAGGCGTGAGCCAACGCGCCCAGCCTTTCTTCTATTTTAATACGGGTGTTTACAGCTATACATTTTTCTTAAGCACTGCTTTCACTGCATTCCACAAGTTTCAGTATGTTGTATATTTGTTTTGATTTGTCTCAAAGTATTTTCTAATTTCCACTGGAATTTCTTTTATTGGTTATTTATGAGTGTATTATTTAAATTTCACATATTTGTGAATTTCTGAATTTTGTTTTGTTATTGATTTGTAATTTAATTCCACTGTGGTCAGAAGATGTATTTTGTATATCTCAGTTCGTTTAAATTTATTGTGACTTGTGTTATGGCATAGCATATGGTCCATCCTGGTGAATGTTCCATTCACATTTAAATAGAATGTATATTGTGCTATTGTTGAGGGGAATGTTCCGTGGATGTTAGGTCTAGTTGGTTTACAGTATTGTTCAAATCTTTTATACCTTTGTTGATTTTCTGCCTGGTTGTTTTAGATAATTTTTGGCACTCTAATGCTAACTTAAAAAGCCACCCCAAACCTCAGTTGGCATACAACAATCCACAGGTGGCTCACAAGTCTGTGGGGTTCAGCTAATCTGGGTTGGGCTTCCTTATGTGTCTGCAATTAGCTGTTAGCTGTGGGTTGTCTGAAGGCTCAGATGATCTTAACTAGGCTTGCTCACATGTCTGAGGTTCAGCTGGCTATAGACTGATCTAAGATGGCCTCAGCTAGAACAATTGAACATTTATTATGCTGAGGTAGTTTCTGTCTAATCTTAGTTTGATGAATTTGTTTGTTTGTTTGTTTGTTTGTTTTTTGAGATGGAGTCCTTGCTCTGTCTCCCAGGCTGGAGTGCAGTGGCGTGATCTCGGCTCACTGCAACCTCCACCTCCCGGGTTCAAGTCATTCTCCTGCCTCAGCCTCCCAGTAGTTGGGATTATAGGTGCATGCCAGCACCCTGCTAATTTTTGTATTTTTAGTAGAGACGGGGGTTTGCCATGTTGGCCAGGCTGGTGAACATCAGGTGATCCACCCGCCTCAGCCTCCCCAAGTGCTGGGATTCCAGGCGTGAGCCGCCATGCCTGGCTGGTTTTTTTGTTTGTTTTGTTGTTGTTGGTTTGTTTTTTTTAATCATGAAAGGGTGTTGAATTTTATCAGTGTCTTTTCTGCATTAATTGAGATGATCATGTGGTTTTTGTTTCCCTTATTCTGTTAATGTGGTGTATTGCATCAATCAATTGTTGTATGTTAAACCAGCTTTGCAACCCAGGAATAAATTCCACTTTGTCATGGTATGTAATCCTTTTAAAATACTGCTGTATTCAGTTTGCTAGTATATTCCTGAGGATTTTTGCATCAATGTTCATAAGGGATACTATAATGTAGTTTTTCTTTTTTGCAGTGTCTTTGCCTTTGATGTCAGGGTAATGCTGGTCTCATATGTCAAATTAGGAAGTTTTCCCTTCTCTTCCATTATTTGGAAAAGTCTAATAAGGATTGGCGTTAGTTTTTCTTTAATGCTTGGTAGAATTTATCAGTGAAGCCATGAAGTCCAATGTTTTTCTTTGTTGGGAGATTTTTTAAATTACTGCTTCAATTTCCTTACTAGTTATAGGTCTATTCAGTTTTTTATTTCTTCATGATTTAGTCTTGGTAGGTGGTGTGTTCCTAGGAATTTTTCCATTTCATATAGATTATCCAATTTGTTGGCATACAATTGTTCTTATAATCCTTTTTATTTCTATGGAATCAGTAGTAATGTCCCCACTTTCATTTCTGATTTTAGTATTTTGTCTTTTCTATTTTTTTCCTTAGTCCATCTCACTGAAGGCTTGTCAACTTTGTTGATCTTTTCAAAGAAACAATTTTTGGTTTCATTGATTTTTCTCTATTGTTTTTTCTATTCTCTGTTCTGTATATTGCTCTAATCTTTATTATTTCCTTCCTCCTGGCAGTTTTGGGTCTCATTTGTTTTTCTTTTTCTAGTTCCTTAAGTTGTAAAGCTAGGTTGTTGACTTGGTATCTTTCTTGTTTTTTTAATGTAAGCATTTACAGCTATACATTTCTCCCTTAGCACTGCTTTTGCTGCATTCCATGTTTTGGTATGTTGTGATTTTGTTTTTGTTTGTCTCTAAGGATTTTTCTAATATTCCTTTAGTTTATTCTTCCATCTAATGGTTGTTTAAAGTGTCTGTTTAATTTCCACAAATTTGTAAATTTTCCGGTTTTACATCTGTTACTGATTTCTAACTTTATCCTGTCATAGTTGGAGAAGATACTTTGTGTGATATATATCTTTTAAAATCTATTGAGACTTAATTTTTGCCCAAACATATGGTCTATCCTGGCAAATGTCCCATGTGCACTTCCAAACATATGCATATGTTCTTGTTGGGTAAAGTGTTCTTTATATGCCTGTTAGATCTAGTTGGTTTATTATGCTGGTTAAGTCCTCTGTTGTCTTACTTATCTTCTGTCTGGTTGGTCTAGCCATTATTGAGAGTGGGGTATTGAAGTCCAACTACTATTGTAGAACTGTCTATTTCTTCCTTCAGTTTTTGCTTTATATATTTTGCTTTATATATTTTGATGTCATCAGGTGCATAAATGTGTATGTGTTATGTTTTCTTGCTGTTTTGAACATTTTATTAATATATTAATATCCTTCTTTGTCTCTTGTAATCTTTTTATAATCTGAAATCTGTTTTTACCTGATATTAGTATAACTACCCTTGCTCCCTTTTGGTTACTATTTGTGTGAAATATCTTTTTCCATTCTTTCACTTTCATTCTACTTGTGTCTTTGAATCTAAAGTAAGTCTCTTGTAGACAGCATATAGTTGGACCATCTGTTTTTATTCATTCTGTCAATCTCAGGTGTCTTTTGATTGGAGAGTTTAATCCAACTTACACTTAATTACTGGCCGGGCGCGGTGGCTCACGCCTGTAATCCCAGCACTTTGGGAGGCCGAGGCAGGCGGATCATGAGGTCAGGAGATCGAGACCATCCTGGCTAACAAGGTGAAACCGCATCTCTACTAAAAATACAAAAAAAATTAGCTGCATGTGGTGGGGGGCACCTGTAGCCCCAGCTACTCAGGAAGCTGAGGCAGGAGAATGGCGTGAACCCGGGAGGCGGAGCTTGCAGTGAGATGAGATCACGCCACTGAACTCCAGCCTGGGTGACAGAGCAAGACTCCATCTCAGAAAAAAATAAAATAAATAAAATAAATAAATAAATAAAGTAATTACTGATTTGGAGGACTCAGTTCTGTCATTTTGCTATTTTTTTTCCACATGCCTTATAGCTTTTTTGTTCCTCATTTTCTGCCTTACTATCTTCTTTTGTATTTAATTTTTTGTAGTGAAATATTTAAATTTCTTTCTAATTTCTTTCTGCATGTATTCTATATCTGGTGTTTTTTTGTTTGTTTGTTCGTTTTTGTGGCTACCATGGGGATTACATGTAACATCCCAACATTATAATGCTCTAATTTGAATTTATACAGCTTCAGTTTAGTAACATACAAAACCTCTGCTTCTTTACCATTCTCTCCCCACCCCTTTTGGTTGTTGATATCACAGAATCGTGTCTTTATACATTGTGTGCCCCAAAACATAAAGTTATAATTATTTTAAATTTATTAGTCTCTTACATTATGTAGAAAACAAAATGTGAAGTACAAACCAAAGTTATAATAACATTTAGACTAATAATTTCTTAAATCACATAGAAAATAAAAAGTGGAGTTATAAGCCATTTTTACGATAATACTGGCTTTTATGATTTCTTATGCGTTTGCCTTTATTGAAATCTTTATTTCTTCATACAGCTTTGAGTTACTGTCTAGTGTCTTTTCATTTTGCCTTGCAGGACCCCTTTGAGCATTTCTTGTAGGGTGGATCTACTGGTAATAAACTTTCTTAGCTTTGGTTATCTTGAGATGTCTTAATTTCTCCTTCACTTTTGAAGGATGCATTTGCTGGATGTAGGATTCGTGGTTAACATTTTTTTTTTCTTTTAGCACTTCAAATATATTGGCCAGCTGCTTCCTGGACTCCAAAGTTTCTCATGAGAAGTTCTCTGATAATCTTAATTAGGATCCCTTGTGTGTGACAAGTTGCTTTTTTCTTTCTGCTTTCAAGATTCTCTCTTTGTCTTTCAAAAGTTTGATTACAATGTGTCTCAGAGTGGGTCTCTTTAGTTTATTTTACTTCTTGGGTGTCTATATTCATGTCTTGTATCAAATTTATTATGTGTATATATTTGTGTAACCACCACCAAAATCAAGATAAAGAACAGCTTCATCATTGCAAGGCTCCCTTGTGCTACCCCTTTATAGCCACAACCAGTCCCCCTTCCCCTCATTCCTAATTCTTGACAACAATTAACGTGTTCTCCATCTCTATAATTTTGTTATTTAAGTAATGTTATATAAATGAAATAATACTGTATGTAGCCTTTTGAGATAGGCTTTTTTTTTTCAACTCAGCATAATTCCCATGAGATTCATCTAGATTGTTACACGTATTAATAGCCCATTCCTTTTTATGACTGAATCCTAGTCCATGGTATGGATATACCAGTTTGCTTAACCACTCGCCCATTGAAGTATACTTGGGCTATTTTCAGTTTTGAGATGTTATGAATAAAGTGGCTATAAACATCTGAGCATAGGTTTTGGGTGACTATAACTTTTCATATCTCTGGGATAAATGCCCAAGAATGTAATTGCTGATTTTATTCTTTTTTAGAGAGTACCTTGGATCATCTTGGCTCTTTGCTCTTTCACATATATTTTAGAATTGGCTTGTCAAAATTATGAAAAACACTTTAAAGTTTTGATAGAAATGGCACTGAATCTATGAGACATTTGGGTGAGAATTTAGGATATTGAGACTTTCTAGCCATTGATAATATTTCTCTCTTTTTACTTAATTCTTCTTAATGTATTTCAATAAAGCATCATGATCTTCTTTGTATCAGTACTGCAATTATTCCCAGGTGCCCATACCAGTCAGGAAAGACTGGTTGTGTTATGGCAATAAAACAACCAAAAAAGTTTATTTCTTCCTCATGCTACATGTTCATCATGAGTCAGGGGGCTCTATTCCACATTTTAATTTTTTTCTATCTGTTTTTTCACCTTCTAAAATCCTTAGAATGTTCCACATTTTCATCATTCTTACTTTGAGGCTCAGCCTGAAAGGGAAGCTACTGTAGAACATTGCCAGTTGTGGAGGGAAAAGGGAACTTGGAGAAGCATGCACTGGCTCTTAGGCTTCTGGCTGGGAGTCTGTCACTTCTGCTCACTCTGCATTGGCTAAAGCAAGTCTAAGGCTAGCACTTCTCATATCATGTCTCTCTCTCTCTCTCTCTCTCTCTCTCTGTGTGTGTGTGTGTGTGTGTGTGTGTGCGTTTCTGTCTCTATCTCTCTCCACACGTACACACACCCTCTCCAAGCATCTTGGGAGACCTGAGCCAACACATAAGAAGTCTAGCTACCCTGAAGCCACCATACTAGAGAGATCATGTGTAAAGACCTCACAGAAATAGCGAGAGATGCCTCCAAAACTGAGCTGGCAAGTATTCTCTCTTTTTCTATCGTCCACAAAAACTCCTATAAGATTGGAATGATCTTCTCCTTGAAAATTTCATATAACTCACCTGGAAAATATCAGGGCTTGGTATTTTCTTTGCGGGAACACTTTAAATACTGATTGAATTTCTTTAATTATTATAGAGCTATTCATTCTGCCTTTCTAGTCTTGAATCTGTTTTGGTAAATTATATTTTCTAGGACGTTTTCCATATCATCTAAGTTTTGAATTATTAGCATTGATTTGTTTATACTTTTATGTTTAAATGTTCACTATAACCATAGTTATAGATTTTTATCTCGTTTTCAGTTTTCAGTATTGCTTATCTGTACATGCTGTTTATCTCTGTCTCTTAAATTTTTCCAGAAGTCTTTCAACTTCAAAGAATCAATTTTGGCTTTGTTGATCCTCCGTTTTCAGTTTCATTACTTTCTCTACTTATTGTTATTTTTTTCTTCCTACTACTTTCCTCATGGTTATTCTGCTGTTCTTTTTCTGATTTCCCAAGTTGGAGATTTAGCTCATTATTTTTATTCTCTCTACTTTTTAAATTATAAGCATTTAAAGTTATTAATTTCCAACCTTTTCGGTGTTGAAGTCTTAATTTCGGCAATTTTGTTTTTTATTTCTACAATTTATGTTTGACATTTTTTCATATCAAGGTCATTTTTATAGTCTTGTTCCTCTATCATGTTTTAAAATCTTCTTAAAAACCTGTCAATTCCTCATTTGTTTTACTTCATATGGTCACGTCAATGCTGAAGTCTTTGCGAGTCTGATTTTGCTGTTAATTTCTCTGCTGACTTTCTTTCTTTTTCTTTTTCTTTTTTTTTGAGATGGAGTCTCGCTCTGTCGCCCAGGCTGGAGTGCAGTGGCGCTATCTCAGCTCACTGCAAGCTCCACCTCCCAGGTTCACGCCATTCTCCTGCCTCAGCCTCCCGAGTAGCTGGGACTACAGGCGCCTGCCACCACGCCCGGCTAATTTTGTTTTTGTATTTTTAGTAGAGGCAGGGTTTCACTGTGTTAGCCAGGATGGTCTCGATTTCCTGACCTCGTGATCTGCCCCCCTCGGCCTCCCAAAGTGCTGGGATTACAGGCGTGAGCCACTGCGCCCGGCCTCTCTGCTGACTTTCTCACATGGTGTCTTTTCCTCATATGTATCCTGTAATTTTCATTGTGATCTCATGTTTGTTGGAACTGCACCTGTGAATAATCTTCAAAATTTACATTAAAGGTGTATTCCATTAGAAAGGATTTGTTTTTCCTCTGCTAAGTACATTAGGGACACACCAAACTTGGGACCACTTTACATTCTTGGCTTGGAATTGTTTTGACCAAACAGGTAGCATGAATTTTGGCACCAATGCTTTGTGAAGGACAACTTAATGCTTATGAGTTATTTTGGGGGAGATTTTATTTCATTTTATTCAGAGGTATGTCCTTCTCCTTTATGAGACAGGCTTTTCTTTCTAGTTCATTCTTTCACTGAGAGGATAGCCCTTTGGGGGCCCTGACTTTATGGAAGATTTTACAACCAATTCTCCAGCTTGCAAGGGCACTAAGCTTTGCCTTTTGGTTTATAAAATAGTTGATAGTGATAGGTTACTGGGGCTCATAAGATGCCCATTGGAAAGCTGCTGGATTCAGTGCTCATTCACCCACTGGATTTGTGCTGTTGATTTATTTTGGACTCTGAGGAATTCCCTTACTCTTTGCCAGCTCAGCTATGCATAAAAAGAGATTTTTAAAAAGATTTTATTCAGTACTTTAAGGAGTTTTTTTAGTAGGAGGGTTTTTTGTTTTGTTATGTTTTTAATGATAACTTGTCTTCTACGTTGCCAGAATGGAAGTCCCATTTATTCTTCAACCCACTCCAGTCTAGTTTCTATCTCTACCACTTCATTAAAACTGCTCTTGTTGAAGCTATCAACCATCTCCATGTTGCCGTATTCAGTGAACCTTTCAGTGTCTTTACCTTATTTAACCTATTCAGCACATTTTATCACACCCTTTTTCTTGAAACATTCAAAAAGTGGTTGCAAATGATATTAAAATTCTCTTTATGGCTTCAAAACATATTGTTTATTTCACTGCATCATGATGCATCAACATTGATACTGAATACGTATGTATATTAAGTATTTAATAACATTGGAATCAATATAATTCATGATAAAAGTATTTTCAAAATCTTTAGGTTCCTTATGTGACATCTGACATTTACTCATACAAAATGAGATCAAAACAATATACTGAGGTTAGAATAAATATATAACTAACTTTCAGTTTATTATGAACATATCTATTCTGTGAATAGAATATTCACAGAATATTATGATGTAATACCTATTATGTAATACTATTAGGATGTGATACCTCTCCTTATAGTAATAATCATCCTGAACCATCAGTAAGTCATTAATATGTCATTACTAGAAAAGAATAAGTTTTTGGTGAGGATATCAATTAATAAGCATGGCTAGCCACTGCAGATAATAAACTTAAAATTCCTTAGGTTGGCATTCAGGTCTTAACTTATTCCTCCAGCCTTATTACTCCCAAGAAAAGTTTACCTTTCCCAACAATATGGTCTAGTTCTGCTCTGAATATGCTTATCTGCTTTTAAAAAATTATTCATAGAGATGGGGGCTCACTATGTCACCCAAAGGGAAGATCACCTGAGGTCAGTAGAGTGCAGTGGCACAATTATAGCTCACTGTAGCCTTGAACACTGGGCTCAAGCAAGCCTCTTGCCTCAGTCTTCCAAAACACTGGGATTACAAGAGTGAGCCACCACGCCTGGCCTGCTAATTTACTTTTCTACCTATGCATCTTCATTTATGTGCTTCCCTTCCATACTCCCCTCTACTTTTCTCTAATTCTGCCCAATTTTTCATTCTTTCAAATTGTACCTGTTAAATTCCTCCACCTTCAGGAAACCTTCCAGGCCATTTTAATAGTCATAGGAAGCTCCTGGCCTAGCTCCTAATGGTCACCACCTCTGGTATTAGTGCTCTTGTATAATCCTGTCCCCCTGAGTGTGGGCTGGACCTAGTGACTTGCTTCTGTAAGCAAATAGAATACAACAGAAGTAATGAGATGTCACTTCCACGACTCCTATCTTGCTAGTACTCTCTCTCTTGCTGGCACTCTCTCACCCCTTTTGCTCACTCTAATATCATGAGATGCTTCACAGACAGGCTTACCTGGCTATGACCTGAAGGAGGCCTCAGTACAACAACTCTTGGGGAACTGAATCCTGCCAATAACCATGCAAATGAGCATGAACGCAGATCCTTTCCAGCTGGGTCTTCCAATGAGATCACTGCCTCAGCCAACACCTTGATTGCAGCCTTGTGACAGACTCTGAAGCAGGGCACCCAGTTAAGCCATGCCTGAACTGTGAGGTAATAAGTATACATTATTTTTAGCCACTACACAGCAATAGATAATGAGAACACCAATGTATATTGAACATCCCTTCCTTCAAACTCTAAGAACTGATTATCCTTACTGTTCGTTATTATTACAAAAGATATACATGTGCATGGTGAAAAACTCAAACAGTACAAATGATATAAAGTGAACAGTAAAAGCCTTCCCTCAACTTCTTTCTGCTTACCCTCTAGAATAGGCATTATCAATCATTTCATAGATATCCTTCAGAAGTGTTTTAACACAAGTAGGATCACACTATACATACTGTCCTACAATTTATTTCACTTAACACTTCATCTTTCCATATAGATCTATAACACTTTTTGAAATACAAATTATATTCATTGCTTTTTTCTGCTTATGAAAACAATACATGGTCTTAGTCGAAAATTTGACATATACAGAAAAGCATTAAAAAATTGTGCCTCAGCCAGGCACAGTGGCTCACACCTGTAATCCCAGCACTTTGGGAGGCTGAGGCAGGTGGATCACAAGGTCAAGAGATTGACACCAGCTCTACTAAAAATACAAAAATTAGCTGGGCATGGTGGCAAGCGCCTGTAATCCCAGCTACTCTGGAGGCTGAGGCAGGAGAATTGCTTGAGTCTGGGAGGCGGAGGTTGCAGTGAGCTGAGATCGCACCTTTGCACACCAGCCTGGGTGACAGAGCAAGAGTCTGTCTCAAAAAAAAAAAAAAAATACATAAGTAAATAAAATAAATAAATAAAAATAAAAAGAACAAACATCATTTAAAAAGTAAACCCTAAGCCTACATTTAGGGCCATTCTTTAAATTATTCAGGGAAGAAATTAATAATGAAGACTGAGCTGTAAGCAAAATGTCCTTTTATATGAAAAATCCACTTTTTAGGAAAAATAAAAACACCTAATGCAGGAGAAATAATGATAGCTATTGCCTATCATAGATTTGAACTTAATGCAAATGGTTCTAATGCATCAGTCAAAGTATTCCCTTATCACTCTTGTATTTAGCCAGAGTAGATTAAAGCCAGTTGTTATTGTGTACTTGGTTTCCAGTTTCTCTTAATGTCCCAAAGGTAAAAAACACAACTCTTCTTAGAGTATTTGGAAAAAGATTTAAGCTAATTTGGTTGCTGGCAGCAGATATTCTCCAGTGCATTTTTATTCCAGGAAGAACCATTTAGTCTATATTCTACTAGAAGTAATGTAGTTATCACAGGGAAGAACCTATTTTACCTAATGGCATATTTAATAAAAGTGAAGCCCACTTTATATAACTGTCTTCCCATCTCAAGAATCAAGGATGTGCGCAATGAGAGTTTGACCTGTTCACAGTTTCATGAACTTCTTAAAGATCAACCCCGATCTGAGCAGTTGTACATGGCTTTAGGGAGGCCAGCCAAGTCCCTGCTCAGTGAATGCTATTGGTGATCAGAAATGCCAGGAGAGGAAGACTTCCCTTGTGCTCACATCTCTTGGCCGGTTTGCTATCCTGAGAATCCCTTTCGTCATATGCTTTTCCATGACTTCATAATAAATGGGTAAAACACTGAATTATATTAGCATAAAAACTGTAGGTATATTTCAATCTATCTTTCAGTTTATTTCTTGTCCCCCACCCCCTGTTAATATTTATGTCCAATTTTCAAACTGGCAAGAGACCTTGAGTAGCTGAAAGTAGATTTCTAAATGACACTCAAAACTAAAAGGGCAGTGTGGAGTTGCCAAAGGCCTGGTGGCCTAAAATCAGGCCTTTGAGTCCTGACTCTCCTGGGTGACATCTTTATGACCCTCCTGGGTCATGTCCTGAAACCACCTGAGCTTCAGTTTCCCCATCTATAAAACTGGTCTAGTAATATCTTTCTTGCTCACTTCATAGGGTTGTTATGAGGATTAAATAAATAGAAAAGGGCTTTGGAAATGGAAAAGGGTGAGATAAAAATGTTGCTTATTACCCACATAGCATTCTGAACTGTTTCTGAAAATTTCCTTTATTCTTTAGAATTTATACACCTAATACCATTTGTATAAGGCTCAGTTACTTCTGTGCAAATTCAGTAGAGCAGCTTCCTTACTTAGTTTCTAAGTAAACAACAAGAGCAACAAATGTACAATTTTAGATATCTAAGGGTAATGTGCTTCCCTTATGCGTTTGGAACTCTGTTTTAAGCCAAAGGCCTTCCTTGTTGCCTGCTGTTCATGATAAGCTACATGTTAACAAATAGCACACCACTTCCTGGACAGAAATCTTTTAGTGATCTGCTCTTTTTCCTGGGTGTTGGCATTTTCTTCACAACCCACCTTGGAGTTTGAGATCAGTGCTTCCCTGGGCACGGATTACAGCTTTGGCATCCACTAGGGGCTGGAGTTGCAGTCCTGCTGTCTTTGAGGAAAGGAGCCAGGGAACCAGCTCAATATGCTATTCAGCCACTTGGCTGCCACCCTGGATGGTATGGTTCTTTTATTATGTGCTAGAATCCCAAAGTGGCTGGGCATTTGGCCCAAAGATAAAACAGGCCATTTTGTTAATAGCTGTGTTTCAGCCCATCAGCTTGGGAAGGAGAATCAAGGCTTTAAGATACCATTTACAATAGCGAATCAATATTCATTATATATAGGAATAAAGAAATCTCAGTCCTCTGTGAAGAAAATTATAAAACTATTCAATGACAATTTAAAAAAAACTTAAAAAAAGATGAAATATGATCATGGATAGGATGATTCACTCTCATGTCAGCTGCAATCCCAATATAATTCCTTTCTCCCTCTCCTTGGCCCCCTATTTCTACTCAAAACGCTAAAGTCCTGTTGGTTCTGCTTCATTTTTTTCCATCAGCCCACTTACCTCCCATTCTAATTTATTTTGAGTCAGGTTTATTTCTTTCTGAATTACTGAGTCTAATTTCTTTAGATTCATGTGTATTTCTTTTTGAATTACTGAATCAGCCGCTAACTGTTCTTTCCAACCCATTGTTCCACCACTGCAGCCAGCTTTAACTTTTGAAATGCTCATCTGAGCACAAGTCACTTCCTGTCCACCACCCTCCAGTGACTTGGCATCACCCTTAGAATAGAGCCCAAATTCCACAGCAAGAGATCCCAGGCCTCTTCTCAGGGCCCTCTCCACTTCCACTGCAGCTTTCCCCAGAATGAAGTACTTTACTTCCCCAGGAGGACCCTGCTCCTTTTGCTAGAAACACTTCTTCCTGCCTGTAGGAAAACAGACTGTTGCATGGCAAGAGCAATAGTGAAATAGGAGGTGGGACTTGACTCGGGAGTTGGGGCTCAGACACCAGACCACATTGAGGACGCTAAAACAGGGTGGGACAAAAGCAGCTTCCCACAAGACACACCCATCAGTGTGCCATGTCAGTTTACCAGTGCCATGGCAGCATCTAGAAGTTACTGCCCATTTCCATGGCAATGACTCAATGACCTGGAAGTTACCTTTTCTTGGAAATTTGTGCATAAACCACCCCTTAATTTGCATGTAATTAAAAGTGGGTATAAATGCCACTGCTGAGCTGCCTCTGAGCTGCTAGTTTGAGCCCACTGCCTATAGGATGTCCCTGCTCTGCAAGGAGCAGTACCTGTGCTACTGCTGTATGTGGCCACTTCAATAAAAGCTGCTGTTTAACACCACGGGCTCATCCTTGAATTCTTTCCTGGGTAAAGCCAAGAACCCTCAAGGGCTAAGCCCCAGTTTTGGGGCTCTCCTGTCCTGTATCAATACCATCGTGAAGCAAAACTGCTCTGATGGCTGCTTGACTCCTGCATACCAAGGTGTTCTGCAGCAGCGTTTTTAAGTGATGCCTGTAGCACAGATAACCCTTCACAGCTTACCTGGGCCAGGTGCGGTGGCTCACAGTGCATAAGTGCTGTAATCCTAGCACTTAGGGAGGCTGAGGCGGGTGAATCATGAGGTCAGGAGATCAAGACCATCCTGGCCAACATGGTGAAACCCTGTCTCTACTAAAAACACAAAAATTAGCTGGGCATGGTGGCGGGTGCCTGTAGTCCCAGCTACTCTGGAGGCTGAGGCAGGAGAATTGCTTGAACCCAGGAGGCAGAGGTTGCGGTGAGCCGAGGTTGCACCACTGCACTCCAGCCTGGCAACAGAGCGAGACTCCATCTCAAAAAAAAATTGCTTACCTGAGCTCCCCAGTGGTCATGAGTTTCAGCAGGAAAATCTGAGATGTGACCAGCTCAACATGTCTTTACCCTAAAAGCTTCCTGTGCGAAAGATACTTTTTGGAGGGCCACTGTGGGGAGCCACCATCTTTTTTTTTTTTTTTTTTGAGATGGGGTTTTGCTCTTGTTGCCCAGGCTGGAGTGCAGTGGCATGATCTTGGCTCACTGCAACCTCTGCCTCTCGGGTTCAAGCGATTCTCCTGCCTCAACCTCCCAAGTAGCTGGGATTACAGGCTCCCACCACCACTCCTGGCTAATTTTTTGTATTTTCAGTAGAGACAGGGTTTCGCTATGTTGGGCAGGCTGGTCTCAAACTCCTGACCTCAGGTGATCCGCCCGCCTTGGCCTCCCAAAGTGCTGGAATTTACAGCCATGAGCCACCACGCCAGGCCAGGGATCCACCATCTTGCAGCCACCTGAGACATGGCTTCAGTTCATAAGTTCCTATTAAATATTTCTTTCAGAGAAACTGAATTTGTCAGCCTCTTTCTTCAGAGGCTGTCACCTCCCTTGTGCTTTGGCAGCAGATTCACTCACCACAGAACACTGCCCCACTCTACCCCATCTGTTCACCTCTTCCCTTTGTCACCTGATTAATTACGTCTTGCTAATTATTCAGAACTACACTTGGCTTTAATCTCCGCTGATCTGCCAAAGCTCAATTAGTTGCTCTTCCTAATGGCCACAAGCCTCAATTTCCTTATCTGGCAAGGTGGAGATAATAATACGGATACTATATGGCTTTGGTGTCTGCCTGGTAGTAGGTAGGGTGACCATACATGCTGGCTTATGTCTGTTTTCCCTAAGTATTGTCTGGTTACAGTCCTCTGAGAATGGAAACCATCTTTAGCCACATCGTTTAATAGGATTAAGAGCTAAGATGGAGTTAACATGTCTTCAATTCCAGGAAATTCTTGCCCAAGAAGATGAAGTGGCAAATTTATCGCAATATAGACAACTCAGCTGGCCTTCATCAGGTTAATAGCCTGCTTCTCAGAGCAGGAGGTCACTCAACTGGCTTATCAAAGGGCTGTTTACTCCTCAAGGCTGGCTTCAAAACCCTCGCCTCCCTGTATCCACCAATCCTAAACTATTATATTAATATCATGAATTTTGCTCAATCGCAGTCATCCCCCTGCCCCAGGCCCCTGCCTTGAAAGACCCACTTTAACCCAGACCCTCTAACCCATGTGAATATCCCACCCATGATCTCCTCCTGAGACACTACTAAGGCTGTCAAGGTAGTAGTCTTCCTTGCCCCATTAAACAATACATTTAGCTTTGCTGATAAACAAGTTTCTTCTATGATCTCTTTGGGGAAGGAGCAGCTGACACATATTATACTCTCAAAAGTATATAGTTTGGATGATAAATTAAATGATTCCTATTGTTGTAAATTATATGTTAACATATTAATATGTAATATTTATTGTTCTCATTTAATCCTCACAATAATCCTATGAGCTAGGTATTATTATACTAGCATTGTACAGATATGAAAATTAAGGCACAGAGAACTTAAGTAACTTACCCAAAATCATGTAACTACTAAGGGGAAGAGGTTGGATTACAATCCAAATAATCTGACTCCAGAGCTGATACTCATTTTTAAAAAATAGTTTTACTGTTAATCTTAAAATCACAAATTTACAGAAAAGTTGCAAGGATTGTATGAAGAAATCCACCACAGGCCTGGCATGGTGGCTCATGCCTGTAATCCCAGCACTTTGGGAGGCAGAGGCGGGTGGATCATCTGAGGTCAGGAGTTCGAGACCAGCCTGGCCAACATGGTGAAACCCCGCCTCTACTAAATAAAAATACAAAAATTAGCACCTGTAATCCTAGCTACTTGGGAGGCTGAGGCAGGAGAATTGTTTGAACCCAGGAGGTGGAGATTGCAGTGGGCTGAGATCACGCCACTGCACACTCCAGCCTGGGCAACAGAATGAGACTCTGTCTCAAAAAAAAAAAGAACTCCACTACCAAAATCACTGGAGAGTAAGTTCTCAACCTGATGTCCCTTTACCCCCAAATACTTTAGTGTGTGATTCCTACGAACAAGGTCACTCTCCTATGTGACCCTACTCCAGCCATCACCATGAGAAACTTGATATTGATATGTAACTACTTATAGCCCTCAGATCCTATTCAAGTGTTGCCAGTTGTTCCAATAATGGTCTTTACAGTAGAAGAATCCAGTGCAGAATCACATGTTGCATTTAGTCCTAAGTGTCTTTACTTTCTTTCAGTCTGGAACAGTTCCTCAGGTTTTCCTTAACTTTCATGACTTTGACACTTTTGAAGATTACAGGCTATTTTGTAAAATGTCCCTCACTTTGAGTTTGTCAGCTGTCTCTCCATGATTAGATTCAGCTTATAATCTCTGAGAGGAGCATCACAGAAGTGGTACTGTGTCCCCATCACATTCCATCAGGTGGAACAAGATTCTGATTTGTTCCATTATTGATAACGTCTGCTCTGATCACTTGATTTAGGTGGTGTCTCCCAAGGCTTTTCACTGTAAAGTTACTCTTACTCCCTTTGTAATTAATCTTTTGCAGAGCAGTATTCCAAAACTACGTAAATAACCTATTCTTCATCAAACTTTCTATTTACTTATTTAATTGATTTGTATCACTTTAGACTCACATTTCCTATTCATTCAATGGGTTGCTATCTGTTATTACTTCATTACTTATTTTTGTTTTATTTTATTTATTTATTTATTTTGCTCTGTTGCCCAGGCCGGAGTGCAGTGGCATCATCTCGGCACACCACAATCTCTGCCTCCCAGGTTCAAGTGATCCTCCCACCTCAGCCTCCCAAGTAACTGGGATTACAGGCACATGCCACCAGGCCTGGCTAATTTTTTGTATTTTTGGTAGAGACAGGGTTTTACCATGTTGCCCAGGCTGGTCTCCAACTCCTGAGCTTAAGCAATCTGCCCACCTTGGCCTCCTAAAGTGCTGGGATTACAGGCACGAACCACCATGTCTGGCCTACTTGATTACTTGTTTTGATAACTTAATTGTTCTAGATTTGGCCACTGAGTGTGCCTGCAAACTGGCTTCCATATGATTTTGACATGCTCCATCATTGTTTTCTTTTCTTTTCTTTTTTTTAGACTGAGTCTCACTCTTGTTGCTCAGGCTGGAGTGCAGTGGTGAGATCTCAGCTCATTGCAACCTCTGCCTCCTGGATTCAAGCGATTCTCCTGCCTCAGCCTCCCAAGTAGCTGGGATTACAGATGCTCGCCACCATGCCCAGCTAATTTTTGTACTTTTAATAGAGATGGGGTTTCACCATGTTGGCCAGGCTGGTCTGGAACTCCTGACCTCAGGTGATCCGCCCTCCTCGACCTCCCAGAGTGCGGGGATTATAGGTGTGAGCCACCATGCCCTGCCACTCCAACATTGTTTTAAGCAATTTCTTGTTTTGGTAGGTGAATAAATATTTTTTACTTATATGAAAGGCCGAATTAGGTGTATATATAGAATTTAAGTTAATTGCATTTGCTCAAAGGATGGTATTTTGTGTTAAAATGAAATATCCTCCCAGAATTTTAAATCATGCAGCATGAACAGACATAAATGACAGCACCTATTTCTCAATGGGAGCTCTCACAGAGCGTCTGTTACAGCAAGAGAAATGAATTGGTTCCATGTTTTCTCCATTAGAAGACTATAATTAGAAACTGAGTCTTTGAATAGCATTTTTATCACCCTTAATTTTCAGTTTCTCATTTAAAAAATCCGTATATTTGTTGTTCTGTGAAAAATGTATTAATAGCTCTGCAAATGCTCCACTGCCCTTAGGAAAAAGATTGTATATTTAAATAGTCTTGGCTGGGCGTAGTGGCTCACACTTGTAATCCCAGCATTTTGGGAGGACACGGTGAGAGGATCACTTGAGCCCAGGAATTTGAGACCAGCCTGGGCAATATAGTGAGACTCTGCTTCTACAAAAAAAAAAAAAAAAGTCCTTTCAGGCACTTGAGATTGAGCACCTCCCCGCTCTGGCCTCTGCACTGGGGACGTACTCATCTGCATGCAAGCTCATCTCCGCTATCCTGTAGCGAGCACCTCGGGGTATGGCCTTTATACCTGCCTGGACCCCTCTTTGGGCCTGGTGTGCTCCAGATGCCTGGTAAGTGCTAATTGGACAGACTGGGTGGCCATGCACTGTGTCTCACTTCTGCCCACAGGATGGCAGCATTTGCTCAGAGCTCTGGCCCCACTAGGTGCTTGACTCTGGGAGTTCGTAAGACCTGGTTTCTTCCTGAAATGAAAACAGTGCTTTAGGTCTCTTCCTATGAAGGAACCCTCCATAAACTAATAGACAGTGTTATTTGCCCACCCCCTCTTCAATGTGCTTCGTGGAAAATGACATCTTTGAGGTGAATGACATGATGTTTTTGGACTATAGGCATCCATCCTCAAAGGGCTATCTAGCTCCAGAGTTGGTGTTAGCTAAAACTGAGCAAGCAGGCTGAACTCAGCAGCTCATTTTGTGTACAAGTCATTTAATGCAGAGAATTACTAGTTTTATTTAAAGATAATAGAGGAAAAAGGAACTATTAAGCACTTGCTGTATGCTATATGTTTTAAACCAGGGGTTCTCAAATTGAGTGGGCATCAGAATCACCTACAGGGACTGGTTAAAACAGACTGGCTTGGCACGGTGGCTCACACCTATAATCCCAGATACTCAGGAGGCCGAGGCAGGAGGATCACTCAACGCCAGAAGTTGGAGATCAGCCTGGCCAACAGAGTGAGACCATTGTCTGTACAAAAACTTAAGAAATTAGCCGAGCATTGTGGCATACGCCTGTAGTCCCAGATACTCAAGAGGCATGGGTAAGAGGACTGCTTGAGCCTAGGAGGTTGAGGCTATAGTAAGAGACGATTGCACTGAGAGGTAACAGCGTGCTGGCAGTCCTCACAGCCTTCGCTTGCTCTCGACGCCTCCTCTGCCTGGGCTCCCACTTTGGCAGCACTTGAGGAGCACTTCAGCCCACCGCTGCACTGTGGGGGCCCCTTTCTGGGCTGGCCAAGGCCGGAGCCGGCTCCCTCAGCTTGCAGGGAGGTGTGGAGGGAGAGGTGCGAGTGGGAACCAGGGCTGCGCCTGGCGCTTGCGGGCCATCTGGAGTTCCGGGTGGGCGTGGGCTTGGCGGGCCCCACACTCGGAGCAGCCGGCCGGCCCTGCCAGCCCCGGGCAATGAGGGGCTTAGCACCTGGGCCAGCGGCTGCGGAGGGTGTACTGGGTCCCCCAGCAGTGCCAGCCCGCTGGCGCTGCGCTCGATTTCTCACCGGGCCTTAGCTGCCTTCCCACGGGGCAGGGCTCGGGACCGGCAGCCCATCATGCCTGAGCCTCCCACCCCCTCCATGGGCTCCCAAGCCTCCCCGGTGTGTCCGGAGCCTCCCCGATGAGCACCGCCCCCTGCTCCATGGTGCCCAGTTCCATCGACCACCCAAGGGCTGGGGAGTGTGGGCGCACAGCATGGGACTGGCAGGCAGCTCCACCTGCAGCCCTGATGTGGGATCCACTGGGTGAAGCCAGCTGGGCTCCTAAGTCTGGTGGGGACGTGGAGAACCTTTATGTCTAGCCCAGGGATTGTAAATACAGCAATCGGCACTCTGTATCTAGCTCAAGGTTTGTAAACACACCAATCAGCACCCTGTGTCTAGCTCAGGGTTTGTGAATGCACCAATCCACACTCTGTATCTAGCTACTCTGGTGGGGACTTGGAGAACCTTTGTGTGGACACTCTGTATCTAGCCCATCTAGTGGGGAGGTGGAGAAACTTTGTGTCTAGCTCTGGGATTGTAAATGCACCAATCAGTGCCCTGTCAAAACAGACCACTTGGCTCTACCAATCAGCAGGATGTGGGTGGGGCCAGATGAGAGAATAAAAGCAGGCTGCCGGAGCCAGCAGTGGTAACCCGCTGGGGTCCCCTTCTACACTGTGGAAGCTTTGTTCTTTGCAATAAATCTTGCTACTGCTTACTCTTTGGGTCCACATTGCTTTTATGAGCTATAACACTCACCGCGAAGGTCTGCAGCTACACTCCTGAAGCTAGCGAGACCATGAGCCCACTGGGAGGAAAAAACAACTCCAGACGCGCTGCCTTAAGAGCTGTAACACTCACCGCGAAGGTCTGCAGCTTCACTCCTGAGCCAGCGAGACCACGAACCCAACAGAAGGAAAAATCTCCGAACACATCCAAACATCAGAAGGAACAAACTCCAGTGCGCCACCTTAAGAGCTGTAACACTCACCACGAGGGTCCGCGGCTTCATTCCTGAAGTCAGTGAGACCAAGAACCCGCCAATTCCAGACACGTTTTGGCAACCCAGATGGGACTTTCGCCTATCGCCAAGTGGTGAGACAATCGCCGAGCAGTGAGACCATCGCCTATTGCTGAGCAGTGAGTACCATCGGACCCCTTTCACTTGCTATTCTGTCCTGTCTTTCCTTAGAATTTGGGGGCTAAATACCGGGCACCTGTTGGCCAGTTAAAAGCGACTAGCATGGCCGCCGGACTAAAGACATGGGTGTCAGGCTTTCTGGGAAAGGGCTCTCTAACAACCCCTGACTCTTCTTCGGAGTTGGGACCGTTTGCCTAGAACCAGCTTCCACTTTTCCTGTACTTCTGGGCTGAGCCGAGGGTCGACAGAGAGGAAAGACATGCAGCTCCGGGGTCCCAACAACAAGTTGGTTGACCCTGCGGTCATGAGCGGAACTCTCAAAGGCATGTTGCCCAAGCGAGACTCACCCATCTATCCTATCTATCCTGACCCTTGCCCCCTGGGTCCTAATGCCTTCCAGACAAACTTCCTTTTGCCTCTCTTCTCTGAGGTTAGGCCCACTTCTAAAAATTGCTACCTGTCTCTGGTGCTTTTCTAGTTTCTCCTATAAGAATGATTTCTAGTATAAACTCCAGGACTCTTGTTACCTTCTTTAGGCACCCAGGCTCACCAATCAGAAAGACATAATTTTTGCCCAAAGCCCCATCGTAGTGGGGACTACCTGGAATTTTAGGATCCCTCCTCAGACTAACAGGCCTAATAAAAGCTATTCCTGAAGCTAGGATATGGGGAGCCTCAGAAATTGTATCCTTCCTATTCATATAAGTGAGGACAAAAGGTGTCACTCTTCCAACCCTGAAGATCCCTTCCCTCCCTCAGGGTATGGCCCTCCGCTTCATTTTTGGGGCATAACATCTTTATAGGAAAGGGGTAAAGTCCCAATATGAACAGGAGAATGCTTAGGACTCTAACAGGTTTTCGAGAATGCGTCGGTAAGGGCCACTAAATCCGATTTTTCTCAGTCGGTCCTCCCTGTGGTCTAGGAGGACAGGCAAGGGTGCAGGTTTTCGAGAATGCATCAGTAAGGACCATTAAATCAGATCTTCCTTGGTCCTCCGTGTGGTCTGGGAGGAAAACTAGTGTTTCTGCTGCTGCGTTGGTGAGCACAAGTGTTCCGATCAGCAGGGTCCAGGGACCATTGTGGGTTCTCGGGCAGGGGGAGAAACAAAATAAGCCAAAATTGTGGCTGGTTTTGTCTTTCAGATGGGAAACACTCAGGCATCAACAGGCTCACCCTTGAAATGCATCCTAAGCCATTGGGACCAATTTGACCCAAAAACCCTGAAAAAGAGGCAGCTCATTTTTTTCTGCACTGCGGCTTGGCCCCAATATTCTCTCTCTGATGGGGAAAAATGGCCACCTGAGGGAAGTACAAGTTACAATACTATCCTGCAGCTTGACCTTTCCTGTAAGAGGGAAGGCAAATGGAGTGAAATACCTTATGTCCAAGCTTTCTTTTCATTGAGGGAGAATACACAACTATGCAAAGCTTGTAATTTACATCCTACAGGAGGACCTCTCAGCTTACCCGCATATCCTAGCCTCCCTATAGCTCCCCTTCCTATTAATGATAATCCTCCTCTAATCTCCCCTGCCCAGAAGGAAATAAGCAAAGAAATCTCCAAAGGACTACAAAAACCCCCAGGCTATCGGTTATGTCCCCTTCAAGCTGTAGGGGGAGGGGAATTTAGCCCAACCCGCGTACCTGTCCCCTTCTCCCTCTCTGATTTAAAACAGACCAAGGCAGACCTGGGGAAGTTTTCAGATGATCCTGATAGGTACATAGATGTCCTACAGGGTCTAGGGCAAACCTTTGACCTCGCTTGGAGAGATGTCATGCTACTGTTAGATCAAACTCTGGCCTTTAATGAAAAGAATGCGGCTTTAGCTGCAGCCCGAGAGTTTGGAGATACCTGGTATCTTAGTCAAGTAAATGATAGAATGACAGCCGAAGAAAGGGACAAATTCCCTAACGGTCAGCAAGCCATCCCCAGTATGGATCCCCACTGGGACCTTGACTCAGATCATGGGGACTGGAGTCGTAAACATCTGTTGACCTGTGTTCTAGAAGGACTAAGGAGAATTAGAAAAAAGCCCATGAATTATTCAATGATATCCACCATAACTCAGGGAAAGGAAGAAAATCCTTCTGCTTTCCTCGAGTGGCTACAAGAGGCCTTAAGAAAATATACTCCCCTGTCACCCGAATCACTCAAGGGTCAATTGATTCTAAAAGATAAGTTTATTACCCAATCAGCCACAGATATCAGGAGAAAGCTCCAAAAGCAAGCCCTGGGCCCTGAACAAAATCTAGAGGCATTATTAAACCTGGCAACCTCGGGGTTCTATAATAGGGACCAAGAGGAACAGGCCCAAAAGGAAAAGCAAGATCAGAGAAAGGCTGCAGCCTTAGTCATGGCCCTCAGACAAACAAACCTTGGTGGTTCAGAGAGGACAGAAAATGGAGCAGGCCAATCACCTGGTAGGACTTGTTATCAAGTGTGGTTTACTAGGACACTTTAAAAAAGATTGTCCAATGAGAAACAAGCTGCCCCCTCGTCCATGTCCACTATGCCGAGGCAATCGCTGGAAGGTGCACTGCCCCAGAGGACAAAGGTTCCCTGGGTCAGAAGCCCCAAGTAGATGATCCATCAACAGGACTGAGGGTGCCCGGGGCAAACACCAGCTCATGTCATCACCCTCACTGAGCCCCGGGTATGTTTAACTATTGAGGGCCAGGAAATTGACTTCCTCCTGGACACTGGTGCGGCCTTCTCAGTGTTAATCTCCTGACCTGGACGACTGTCCTCAAGGTCCATTACCATCCAAGGAATCCTGGGACAGCTTGTAACCAGGTATTTCTCCCACCTTCTCAGTTGTAATTGGGAGACTTTGCTCTTTTCACATGCCTTTCTTGTTATGCCCGAAAGTCCCACACCCTTATTAGGGAGGGATATATTAGCCAAGGCTGGAGCTATTATCTACATGAATATGGGGAACAAGTTACCCATTTGTTGTCCCCTACTTGAGGAGGGAATCAACCCTGAAGTCTGGGCATTGGAAGGACAATTTGGAAGGGCAAAAAATGCCTGCCCAGTCCAAATCAGGTTAAAAGATCCCACCACTTTTCCTTATCAAAGGCAATATCCCTTAAGGCCTGAAGCTCATAAAGGATTACAGAATATTGTTAAACATTTGAAAGCTCAAGGCTTAGTGAGGAAATGCAGTAGTCCCTGCAACACCCCAATTCTAGGAGTACAAAAACCGAACGGTCAGTGGAGACTAGCGCAAAATCTTAGACTCATTAATGAGGCAGTAATTCCACTATATCCAGTTGTACCCAACCCCTATACCCTGCTCTCTCAAATACCAGAGGAAGCAGAATGGTTCACGGTTCTGGACCTCAAGGATGCCTTCTTCTGTATTCCCCTGCACTCTGACTCCCAGGATCCCACAGACCACATGTCCCAACTTACGTGGACAGTCTTGCCCCAAGGGTTTAGGGATAGCCCTCATCTGTTTGGTCAGGCACTGGCCTAAGATCTAAGCCACTTCTCAAGTCCAGGCACTCTGGTCCTTCAATATGTGGATGATTTACTTTTGGCTACCAGTTCGGAAGCCTCGTGCCAGCAGGCTATTCTAGATCTCTTGAACTTTCTAGCTAATCAAGGGTACAAGGTGTCTAGGTTGAAGGCCCAGCTTTGCCTACAGCAGGTTAAATATCTAGGCCTAATCTTAGCCAGAGGGACCAGGGCCCTCAGTAAGGAATGAATACAGCCTATACTGGCTTATGCTTGCCCTAAGACATTAAAACAGTTGAGGGGGTTCCTTGGAATTACCGGCTTTTGCTGACTATGGATCCCCGGATACAGCGAGATAGCCAGGCCCCTCTATACTCCAATCAAGGAAACCCAGAGGGCAAATACTCATTTAGTAGAATGGGAACCAGAGGCAGAAACAGCCTTCAAAACCTTAAAGCAGGCCCTAGTACAAGCTCCAGCTTTAAGCCTTCCCACAGGACAGAACTTCTCTTTATATGTCACAGAGAGAGCCGGGATAGCTCTTGGAGTCCCTACTCAGACTCGTGGGACAACCCCACAACCAGTGGCATACCTAAGTAAGGAAATTGATGTAGTAGCAAAAGGCTGGCCTCACTGTTTAAGGGTAGTTGCAGCAGTGGTCGTCTTAGTGTCAGAGGCTATCAAAATAATACAAGGAAAGGATCTCACTGTCTGGACTACTCATGATGTAAATGGCATACTAGGTGCCAAAGGAAGTTTATGGCTATCAGACAACTGCCTACTTAGATACCAGGCACTACTCCTTGAGGGACTGGTGCTTCAAATACGCACGTGCGTGGCCCTCAACCCTGCCACTTTTCTCCGAGAGGATGGGGAACCAATCGAGCATGACTGCCAACAAATTATAGTCCAGACTTATGCCACCCAAGATGATCTCTTAGAAGTCCCCTTAACTAATCCTGACTTTAACCTATATACCGATGGAAGTTCATTTGTGGAGAATGGGATACGAAGGGCAGGTTATGCCATAGTTAGTGATGTAACCATACTTGAAAGCAAGCCTCTTCCCCCAGGGACCAGTGCCCAGTTAGCAGAACTAGTGGCACTTTCCCGAGCCTTAGAACTGGGAAAGGGAAAAAGAATAAATGTGTATACAGATAACAAGTATGCTTATCTAATCCTACATGCCCATGCTGCATTATGGAAAGAATAGGAGTTCCTAACCTCTGGGAACCCCCACTGGATGCCACAGGGAAGTTACGGAGTTATTGCCCACGGTGCAGGAAACCAAAGAGGTGGGAGTCTTACAGTACCAAAGCCATCAAAATGGGAAGGAGAGGGGAGAACAGCAGCATAAGTGGCTGGCAGAGGTAGGGAAAGACCAGCGAGAAGGAAAGAGAGAAAGAGAAAGTCAGAGAAAGAGACAGAAAGAGGAAGAGACAGAGAGACAAAGTCAAAGAGGGAGTCAGAAACAGAGACAAAGAAAAGGAGTCAGAGAGAAAGAGGGACAGACACAGAAAGTTAAAGAGAGAGTTAAAAAGGGAGGAAGAGACAAAGAAGAAGTCGAAGAGAGAAAGTGACAGATGGAAGTAATAAAGAAAAAACAGTGTACCCTATTCCTTTAAAAGCCAGGGTAAATGTCTATCTACCCAGCCAAGGCATATTCTACTTATGTGGATCTTCAACCCATATCTGCCTCTCAGACAGTTTGCAAGAAATAACAAAATCTATCCTTACTTTACAATCCCAAATAGACTCTTTGGCAGCAGTGACTCTCCAAAACCACCGAGGCCTAGACCTCCTCACTGCTGCGAAAGGAGGACTCTGCACCTTCTTAGGGGAAGAGTGTTGTTTTTACACTAACCAGTAGGGGATAGTACGAGATGCCGCCCGGCATTTACAGGAAAAGGCTTCTGAAATCAGACAATGCCTTTCAAATTCTTATACCAATCTCTGGAGTTGGGCAACATGGCTTCTCCCCTTTCTAGGTCCTGTGGCAGCCATCTTGCTGTTACTCACCTTTGGGCCCTGTATTTTTAACCTTCTTGTCAAATTTGTTTCCTCTAGAATTGAGGCCATCAAGCTACAGATGGTCTTACAAATGGAACCCCAAATGAGTTCAACTAACAACTTCTACCGAGGACCCCTGGACCGACCCACTGGCACTTCCCCTGGCCTAGAGAGTTCCCCTCTGAAGGACACCACAACTACAGGGCCCCTTCTTCGCCTCTATCCAGCAGGAAGTAGCTAGAGTGGTCATCGGCCAAATTCCCAACAGCAGTTGGGGTGTCCTGTTTAGAGGGGGGATTGAGAGATGACAGCGTGCTGGCAGTCCTCACAGCCCTCGCTCGCTCTCGGCGTCTCCTCTGCCTGGGCTCCCACTTTGGCGGCACTTGAGGAGCACTTCAGCCCACTGCTGCACTGTGGGAGCCCCTTTCTGGGCTGGCCGAGGCTGGAGCCGGCTCCCTCAGCTTGCAGGGAGGTGTGGAGGGAGAGGTGCGAGTGGGAACCCGGGCTGTGCGCGGCGCTTGTGGGCCAGCTGGAGTTCCGGGTGGGCGTGGGCTTGGTGGGCCCCGCACTCGGAGCAGCCGGCCGGCCCTGCCAGCCCCGGGCAATGAGGGGCTTAGCACCCGGGCCAGCGGCTGCGGAGGGTGTACTGGGTCCCCCAGCAGTGCCAGCCCGCTGGCGCTGCGCTCGATTTCTCACCAGGCCTTAGCTGCCTTCCCATGGGGCAGGGCTCGGGACCGGCAGCCCATCATGCCTGAGCCTCCCACCCCCTCCGTGGGCTCCCAAGCCTCCCCGGTGTGTCCGGAGCCTCCCCGATGAGCACCGCCCCCTGCTCCATGGTGCCCAGTTCCATTGACCACCCAAGGGCTGGGGAGTGTGGGCGCACAGCGTGGGACTGGCAGGCAGCTCCACCTGCAGCCCTGATGTGGGATCCACTGGGTGAAGCCAGCTGGGCTCCTGAGTCTGGTGGGGACGTGGAGAACCTTTATGTCTAGCCCAGGGATTGTAAATACACCAATCGGCACTCTGTATCTAGCTCAAGGTTTGTAAACACACCAATCAGCACCCTGTGTCTAGCTCAGGGTTTGTGAATGCACCAATCCACAATCTGTATCTAACTACTCTGGTGGGGACTTGGAGAACCTTTGTGTGGACACTCTGTATCTAGCCCATCTAGTGAGGAGGTGGAGAACCTTTGAGTCTAGCTCTGGGATTGTAAACGCATTGGGATTGTAAATGCACCAATCAGTGCCCTGTCAAAACAGACCACTCGGCTCTACCAATCAGCAGGATGTGGGTGGGGCCAGATAAGAGAATAAAAGCAGGCTGCCTGAGCCAGCAGTGGCAACCTGCTTGGGTGCCCTTCCACACTGTGGAAGCTTTGTTCTTTTGCTCTTTGCAATAAATCTTGCTACCGCTCACTCTTTGGGTCCACACTGCTTTTATGAGCTGTAACACTCACTGTGAAGGTCTGCAGCTTTACTCCTGAAGCCAGCGAGACCACGAGCCCACTGGGAGGAACGAACAATTCCAGACGCACTGCCTTAAGAGCTGTAACACTCACCGCAAAGGTCTGCAGCTTCACTCCTGAGCCAGGGAGTCCACGAACCCACCAGAAGGAAGAAACTCCAAACACATCCGAACATCAGAAGGAACAAACTCCAGACGTGCCACCTTAAGGGCTGTAACACTCACCGTGAGGGTCCGCGGCTTCATTCTTGAAGTCAGTGAGACCAAGAACCCACCAATTCCGGACACAGCACCACTGCACTCCAGCCTGGGTGACAGAGCGAGACCCTGTCTCAAAAAACAAAAAACCACAGATTGCTGGGCCCCACCCCCAGAACTTCTGTGTTGGGAGCAGGCCCCCCAAAATCTGGCCATAAACTGGCCCCAAAACTGGCCATAAACAAAATCTCTGCAGCACTGTAACGTGTTCATAATGGCCCTAACGCCCAAGCTGGAAGATTGTGATTTTATGGGAATGAGGGCAAGGAACACCTGGCCTGCCCAGGGCGGAAAATGCTTGAAGGCGTTCTTAAGCTACAAACAATAGCATGAGCGATCTGTGCCTTAAGAACATGCTCCTGCTGCAGTTAACTATCCCAACCTATTCCTTTAATTCGGCCCATCCCTTCGTTTCTCACTTTTTAGTTAATTGAATATCCATAGAAACAATGCTAATGACTGGCTTGCTGTAAATAAATACGTGGGTAAATCTCTGTTCGGGGCTCTCAGCTCTGAAAACTGTGAGACTCCTGGTTTCCCACTTCACACCTCTATATTTCTGTGTGTGTGTCTTTAATTCCCCTAGTGCTGCTGGGTTAGGGTCTCCCTGACCGAGCTGGTCTCGGCACTTCTGATTTCGTAGGTCTAGGTTGGAGCCTGAGATTTTGCATTTTAAGAAGTTCTCAGAAGATGCTGATGCAGCTGGTCCAGAGAATCACTGCTTTAAGCAATCACATTTAATTCTTAGCAGTCCTTTTAATGGATATTTTTGTCTCCATTTTGCAGATGAGAAAACTGAGATTCAGGAGTTTAAATAATTTGCCTAATGACACACCCTACTCAGGGAGGGCTGGAATGTGGACCCTGGTAGGTCTGATGCCAAACTCTTGCTCTGTCCACTGCACTGTCCTGTAAGAAAAAGGGAATAAATCACACTTTGGGGGTTTCTCTGAATCATATGGCTCCAGAAAACATGAAACAATGCCTAACACCAGTGTAGTGCTTTTAATCTTTAAGAGGTTAGCAATAATAATTAATCTTTGCAATTCATCTGGTATGAAAGTAATAAAGCAAACTGCCAACCTGAAATAAACAGCTGGACTTGTGTGTCAGGGGACATGATTCTCTGGACTATTCACTTAAGATTAAAATGTCTTGGCCGGGCGTGGTGGCTCACACCTGTAATCCCAGCACTTTGGGAGGCCAAGGTGGGCAGATCACTAGGTCAGGAGATCGAGACCATCCTGCCTAACATGGTGAAACCCCATCTCTACTAAAAATACAAAAATTAGCCGGGCATGGTGGCAGGCACCTGTAGTCCCAGCTACTCGGGAGGCTGAGGCAGGAGAATGGCAGGTGAACCCGGGAGGTGGAGCTTGCCGTGAGCTGAGATCAAGCCACTGCACTCCAGCCTGGGTGACAGAGTGAGGTGCTGTCTTTAAAAAAAAAATAAAATACAATAAAATTTTTAAAAAAGATGAAAATGTCTTTGGAAATGAAATATTGATATTACAGGTATTTCAATCACTAAACTTCAATTTTGAAACTGGAATATAATGTGAAAAGAAAGCAGAAGTGAGTAATTATAAAATCCATTAGCTTGTCCATGGAGAGAGGGCACCATTTATCTATGGAAATAAATGAGGAAATTAAAGTTGGTGGGCTTTCTCTAGAAGTGAATCAGCAAATTAATGACTCGTCTGCAGGGCCTAGCAATTGTTGAGCTGCCAATGCATCAGCCTGTGATGAGTTGAGAGAATCTGTTCTGTATTTATTACTTGGCAAAACTTTCCTCCAACACCCCCGCCAACTTTATATCAAAAAGTAAAGCCTGATCTCTCAGAGACAGGGATGGATTTTTTCTAAACATTTGGAGAGAAGGGGGAGGACATGGAAGAAGAGAATGAAGAGAGCAAACCTGGTCAAAGCTGTGGCTTCCAGTCCAGTTGAACACAGTGGTCTCCTCCCTTTGACCAGGCTCCTGCTCAGCTCCTCTTTCTCCTCTGCACTCAGGTCTCACCTGGTTGGTCCAAACTGAATAGGCTTGCTCATGCTGGGCTTTCAAATGCACCTAAAGAGGCCTCCATGGAGGGAGAGAGGTGGGTAGGCAGGAGGCCTTCACATTTACAGAAGAGACCAGCTGTGCTGGCCACTTCCAGTCCCAGGTGAGTCTCACCTGTTACTTGGAGTAGCCGTCTGTAAAGAGAAACTTAGACTGGACATGGTGACTCATACCTGTAATCTCAGCACTTTGGAAGGCTGAGGCAGGAGGATCACTTGAGCTTGGGAGTTCCAGACCAGCCTGGGCAACATAGTAAGACCTTGTGTCTACTGAAATCCAAAAAAAATTAGGCGGGCGTGGTGGGGCACGCCTGTAGTCCCAGCTACTTGGGGGGCTGAGGCAGGAGAATCTCTTGAGCCCGGGAAGTCAAGGCTGCAGTGAGCCCTGATTGTGCCACTGCACTCCAGCCTGGGTGACTGAGCAAGGCCCTGTCTCAAAAAAATAAAAATAAATAATAAAGGAAACTTGGTTATTTTAATCTAATTGATCTGAATTTCCATAGCCTGCCCCAGACCCAAGGGTCCAAGGGTTCCTGAATATTTTCTCCCATCTTCTTCCTCAAAAGGGATTGCTATAACCAACCACTTATAAAAAAGACGTGCCTCTGTCTGTCACCTGGCAGAGTGCTAGGAATAAGGAGTGTGGAGCCAGACTGGGCACCAGAGAGGCCTGTGACCCCAGTGGGTATGACCTACCCTTCCAGCCCACCTGCCGCTGCCCCAGCTCACCAGGAAGATCGCAGGTCAAGGGCTGGGCTTCAGCTGCTCACCCTTGTGATGTGCACATTACACTTCCCGGGAAATGTGAGCTCACAGGGAAAAACAGAGGATTTTGAGAAACAGAATGACAAGAAAGAAAGACCATAGACCAAAAAGCTTATACAGACAAAGCCAAAAGAATACTTAAAAATACGACCGGGGTCTGGGGGTTGGGAACCACGGCTTTCCCCGGCTTTGATGATGGGGTGTGATCTTGACCCCTGGTCCCTCACTTGTAACTAGCAACTGAGCCTAACACAGGTCCCTGCAGCACAGAGCATCCACGGGGCTGGGTTAGGACAGGTAGCTCAAGCTGCTTCCCGCCCAGGTGGAGGCCGTTGTTGCTCTTCCAGCCAGCAGGAGCTGCCGTCACATGACGTCTATCCTCCAGAGAACGATTTGTCTTCATTGGGGTTGGTTGCTGCTGCTGTTGCTGCTGCTACCTTCGCCAGCTACTTGGCTCCGTGGCAGCTCGACCCTGTGCCTCCTCCATTTGACAGGTATCCTTTAAAACAAACATATTCTTCAACAAACATATATTCCAAATGTTTGCATTTCGTTAATTAGAGAGCAGCAGAAAATAGGAATTTCACTCCTCCACCCCTTCTCTCCAGGAGTTAAATTTGAGTAAAAACGACATCATTGACAAACATTGTTAATAAATCTATATACTATCTCATATGTACTTAATGTTTGTGTCTCCCCCAAATCCATATGTTGAAGCCCTAATCTGCAATGTGATAATATTGGGAGGTGGAGTCTTTGGGAGGTAATTAGGTCATGAGGGTGAAGCCCTCATGAACAGGAGTACTGCCCTTAAAAGAAGAGACATAAGAGAGATGCTCGCACACTCCTTCTCTTTCTCTTTCTCTCTCTCTCCCTCCCCCACATCAGGGTAAAGCAGGAAAGTGGCTGTCTGCAAACCAGGAAGAGGTCCTTCACCAGAAACCAAATCTTGGACTTCCCAACCTCTAGGACCATGAGAAATCAATTTATGTTGTTTGAGCTACCCAATCCATGTTATTTTTGTTACAGCAGCTCAAACTAACACACTATTTTCATAAACAATTTGGAAGTGTCTTACTATATTAAAAGACATATAGACTAGAAATATATATAATATCACATTTAACACATAGAATATATAAAATAAAGATTAAAAAAATCAAGCAATTCACAAACTGTAGCCATTCTGTGCCTCCATTTAACTTATTTCTATTTATTTATTTATTTTATTATTATTATGTTTTTTTGAGATGGAATCTCACTCTGTTGCCCAGGCTGGAGTGAAGTGGCATGATTTCGGCTCACTGCAACCTCCACCTCCCAGGTTCCAGTGATTCTCCTGCCTCAGCCTCTGGAGTAGCTGGGACTACAGGCGCATGCCACCACACCCAGCTAATTTTTTGTGCTTGTAGTATAGACAGGGTTTCACCATGTTAGCCAGGATGGTCTCGATCTCCTGACATATGATCCACCCGCCTCAGCCTCCCAAAGTGCTGGGATTACAGGTGTGAGTCACTGTGCCCAGCCCATAATCTGTACTTCACAGAACATGGAGAAGTTGAGTCTGGCCCAAGGTTAGGCAGCTGGTTAGCAGCACAGCTGGCCTTTAGACCCACAGTGCTTGGCTCCAGAACCCAGGATCTCAGTTGCTGCCCCACACAGCACAGCTTCTTAGCCATGGCCATGCATTAGAATCACTTGGGAAACTTTGGGAAAAAAACAGTGCTTTATTCCCACCATGGGAGATTCTGACTCGGTAGTTCTGGGATGATCCTTGGTAGTTCCAGCGATCCTGATGTGCAGGTTGAGAATCAGTGGGTGTTTAAATAAATGGGAGCTGTTATCATCAGAGTGAGGGAGATAGGGAGGGCTTTATAGAGTGGATCTTGAAGGATGTGGTAGAGTTTTCTAAACAAAATGTAGATAAGAGCCATTCAGGCAGGGAGAACAGCGGGTGCAAAGCCACAGGGAATAAAGGTCTGTGAAACAGGTTTCTGAAACCCGATTATGTGTGTGTAAGTGTGAGACAGGGTAACTGAAGTGGGGGGGGGGGGATGAGGAAGGAGGGCAGAAGGCAGAGAGGAGAAGGCTGGAAAGGTGGATTGGGGCTACCATGTGACAGGCTTAGAAATCATGCCAAGGCGTGGTGGCAGGCACCTGTAGTCCCAGCTACTCGGGAAGCTGAGGCAGGAGCATGAACCCGGGAGGCGGAGCTTGCAGTGAGCCAAGATCGCGCCACTGCACTCCAGACTGGGGGTCAGAGTGAGACTCCACCTCAAAACAAACAAACAAACAAACAAAAACTAATCATTTAAGCCAGGTGTGGTGGCTCATGCCTGTAATCCCAGCACTTTGGGAGGCCGAGGCGGGCGGATCATGGGGTCAGGAGATGGAGACCATCCTGGCTAACACAGTGAAACCCCGTCTCTACTAAAAATACAAAAAATTAGCCGGGCGTGGTGGCGGGCACCTGTAGTCCCAGCTACTCAGGAGGCTGAGGCAGGAGAATGGTGTGAACCCGGAGGCGGAGCTTGCAGTGAGCCGAAATCGCACTACTGCACTCCAGCCTGGGTGACAGAGCAAGACTCTGTCTCAAAAACAACAACAACAACAAAAAACCTAAAACAAACAAAAAAAAGAAATCATGCCAAGGAATCTAGACTTTATCCCGCAGGCAGGGAGAGCCCCTGAAGAATTTTCAGGCAGAGGAGAGTATAATTTGAGCTCTAGATGGTTCTTATTTAAAAGCCCATCTTTTTGGCTCCAAGAATTTTGACATATTGAAGAAAAGAGAGATCATAATTTATAATTCATTTAGCCAGAAGCATCACAGCAATTTTGGTGAGAGAAGAGAGTAGATTGTTGAGTTGAATGCATGGTGGTTGTTATTTCACAGACTTACCTCATTTGGGGGGAAAGGAAGAAAAGAGAGTATTTTCACAGTGCAGGATATGGAGGCACGACTGGGGAGAATCCATTTCTGTGCCAGTCCCCACTCGGTGGAAGATGGCAGAGGGGCCTAACTAACTAGCGGGTTAGGTGGGCAGAAGGGCTGAGAGCTGTGGGGAGGAGCTGTGCACCTGCCGGGGTTACAAGTGTGGGGGGCGCTCTGTAGGGGTGAGGTGGGGAGGCAACGCAGCACACACAGGCCTCTGAGAGCCTCCTCAGCAGCAACAAGGGGTTGCCACCTCCCCAGGGCCGCAGAGTTTTCCTTTATGTTCCAGGCTCGATTTTTTTTTTTTTTTTTTTTTTTTTAGACAGACAGATTCTTGCACTGTCGCCCAGGCTGGAGTACAGTGGTGCGATCTTGGCTCACTGCAACCTCCGCCTCCTGGGTTCAAGCAATTCTCCTGCCTCAGCCTCCTGAGTAGCTGGGATTACAGGTGCCCGCCACCACGCCCAGCTAATTTTTGTATTTTTAGTAGAGACAGGGTTTCACCATGTTGGCCAGGCTGGTCTCAAACTCCTGACCTCGTGATCCGCCCTCCTCGGCCTCCCAAAGTGCTGTGATTACAGGCATGAGCCACCATGCTCTGCCTGGGCTCAACTTTTTAATGGCCTTCTTTTAAAAATTCAGATTTCTGCAAAATTATATTGGGATATTTGTCAGTTCTAACGATTTCTTGATGGTTGGGAGGATGATCAAGATTGAAGCAGTAAAGCCTCTTTTTAATCACAGTGCATGATGTGCTTAGATTCCATGGGTATAATATGAGCTGTGCCAGCCACATTCTTGATTTGCAGGCCTTGGGACACTATGTTGAGATTTCCGGCCCTCCTTATTTTATGCTGAGAATCAGTTGGAGCTAGATATGGCAGAGACTAGAAATCGCCATCATTAGATGAAAAGAAACAATGGTTAAGTAAGTCAGCTCCCTCTGGGTAAAACACAAAGCTTGGAAATAACAAGCAGCTCTACACAAGCAACATGAGGCTCGGCTGTGTGTGCCTGTAGGAGGTGACCTCACATATGTTCTCTCATTTAATCTTCACAGCAATCTTCTGGCAAAGGTCCCATCATTATTCCCCTTTTGCAGATGGGGATACTGAGGCTCAGAGTTGAAGCAACTTTCTCCAAGAAGGTTACTAGCTGGTAAATACCTAAGTCAAGATAAGAATTCTGGTCTACATCCTGGCTAACACAGTGAAACCCTGTCTCTACTAAAAATACAAAAAATTAGCTGGGTGTGGTGGCGGGTGCCTGTAGTCCCAGCTACTCGGGAGGCTGAGGCAGGAGAATGGCGTGAACCCGGGAGACGGAGCTTGCAGTGAGCCGAGATTGGGCCACTGCACTCCAGCCTGGGCGACAGAGCAAGACTCCATCTCAAAAAAAAAAAAAGAAAAAGAAAAAAGAATTCTGGTCTAGCTGACTCCAATCCCAGACTAAGCAGGGCTCTTTTTCCTCATGGAAACTTGCAGGGACTGTTTTCTCCTTTGTCCCTTCTCAGTTTGTAGGAGCTTCTGTCATATCTTCAACATCAAAGTCCTCTGGAGATAAAGGTCTGCTTCTAACTGAAGTGTGGACGTCTTGTCTTCTGAACTCCAGATGGCCAGAGGCTCCAGTGTGCCCTGCAGCTCTGCCAGCTTCACTGGTGTCAGGTCATTCCTCCCAGCGACCTCAGATGCAAATACACTCTCTATGCCAGTCAGCCACACTGGACCAGAGGGAAAACTGCATTTTTAGGATGCTGCTTTATTAAGAAATTTTAAAACCATAAAGTATAGCAGGCATATGAAAGAGTGTATAAACACATCCTTATCCAAGTTAAAGGAGAATAAAGTGAACACCTGTGTATTGCCTACCCTGATTGAGAACTAGAACAGTTTCAGGAGCTTAGAATTCCCCTGGCACCCCTCCCCAACCTCATCCCTGTGCCTCCCCCATGAGGTCCAATATGTGTATCTTTAAGCCTATTATTTACTTTTGCCTGTGTTTGAAGATCACACCACTGGAACATGCAGATTGTATGCAAAACAAGCCATCTTCCCTGGCTTGCTTCCTCCCTCAACATTGTGTGACTGAGAGTCACGGCTGCTGATGCACACACCTGTAGTTCATTTATTTCATTTTCGTTGTTGCATCATATTCCTTTGGATGACTCTTCATCCAGTGAATTATTATCCATCCTATTCTTGATTTGGGTTAAGTCTATTGGTTTTGGGGTTTTGTTTTGCAAATAATACTGTGTCTTTAGATAGGCACATATTTAACTTGTCTTAATAATGCCAAATGGTTTTCCAAAGTGCTTATACCAATTACACATCAACTAGTAGTAGGTGAGAGGTCCCGTTGCTCCATATACGATGTTTGGTATTGTCTGATTTTCAGGAGTTTTTTTGGTCACTGTAGTGGTTGGGAAGTGGTACTTTGTGATTTCATTTGCATTTCCTTGATTGCTAATGAAGTTGACCATCTTTTCATGTTTATGGCCATTTGTGATTCCTTTACTGTGAAGTCCCTGTTCCTTGCTTTTGCCTGTTTTATTTTTCCCTCGGAGGGGGAATTGCTTGACTTTGTAAGTTATATGAATTGCAAACATCTCCAAATTTGTGGCTTGTCTGCTCACTTAAAAAAAAATTATGGAACAGAAGGGCTTAATGTAATCTACGCAAATTTGTCAATCATTCCCCTTAGGATTTGAGCTTTTGGAGTCTTCTTTAAGAAATGTTTTCCATTGCCTTCTGAAAAGTATCACAATTTTTCTTTACATTTATGCTTTTAATTCAACCAGAGTTAATTTTTGTATGTAAGTTTAGGTAACTACTGTTCCAACATCATTTATTGAATATCCCACTTTTCTTCCCCACCTGATTTGCAAGGCCAGCTCAATAATAAATCAAGTTTCCATCAATGTGTGAGTCTGTTTATCAGCTCTCTATTGTGTTCCATTGTTCAATTTGCCTCTCTCTCTCTACACAAAGACCTCATTACCTTAATTATTAAAGCTTTATGACAAACACCCGTGATATATGGTAAGGCAAATCCTTCCACCTTGTTCTTCAGAAATATCAAAGCCTCGGCTGGGTGCTGTGGCTCATGCCTGTAATCCCAGCACTTTGGGAGGCCGAGGCGGGTGGATCACCTGAGGTCAGGAGTTTGAGACCAGCCTGGCCAACATGATGAAACCCCGTCTCTACTAAAAATACAAAAATTAGCCGGGTGTGTTTGTGGGCGCCTGCAATCCCAGCTACTAGGGGGTTGCTGAGGCATGAGAATCACCTGAACACGGGAGACAGAGGTTGCAGTGAGCCAAGATTGTGCCACTGCACTCCAGCCTGGGTGACAGAGCGAGACTCCATCTCAAAAAATAAAAATAAAAAATAAAATAAAGAAAAGAAAAGCAATGTCAAAGCCTCTTTTGTTTTTATGTAAATTTTACAATCGGTTTGCCATTTTCCATTAAAAAGTATGTTTGGATTTTGACTGGCATTGCATTAAATTTATAGATTCATTTGGGGAAGAATAAACTCTTTATAATCCTGAACACGGATATTTTTCCATTTATTTAGGTTTTCTTTATTATCCTTTCACAATATTTCATAATTTTCTCTGTAAGGCTTTAACAAGCCTTTTGTTAGTTTATTGCTAAGCTTTTAATATTTTTGGATGCTATTTTAAATGGTTTCTTTTCTTAAAAAATTCATTTTCCAGCTTCTTATTGATAGGGTATAGAAATGTAATTAATTTGTATGTGTTGAATTTGTACCAGCAATCATACTGTCTTATTAATTCTAATAATCTATCTTTAGACGCTTTTAAGTAGATGGGTAGATAAACATAGCGGCTGCCAATAATGACAAAATTTTCTACCGTTCTAATCCTTTTCCTCTTATTTATTTTTCCATCCTTATTACACCGCTAGACCCTCCACTGTGGAGGGGTAATAACAGGCATCTTGATTTTACCGGTAAGAATGATGTGTGCTTTAGGAAGATATCATTTTGCAGATGCCATTGATTGTGTTAAGGAAGTTCCCTTTTGTATTAACTTTCTATTGCTGCATAACAAATTACCACAGGTTTAGTGACTCGAACAACACATATTTATTACCTCAGTTTCCATGGTTCAGGAGCCTGGGTACAGTTTAGTTGGGTTATTTGGTCAGAGTCTCACAAGGATTAGTCAACATTTGGCCAGGCTGCATTCTTGTCTGGAGGTTCAACTAGAGAATATTCTTTTCTCTAAGCTCATTCAAATTGCTGGCAGAATTCATTTCCTGGTGGCTACATGACTGGTGGCCCTGGCTTATTACTGGCTGTTGGTCACTCTCGGCTCCTAGTGGCTGCCCACAGCCCCCTGCCGTAGGCCTTGGCAGTTCACAACAGATCTGTTGCATCAAGGCCAGTAGGAAAATCTCTCCAGTCCATTAACATGGAATCTTATTTGAAAAAAAAAAAAAAAAAAAAAAAAGCATAATCTTGGGAGTGACATCTCATCACCTTTGCCATATTCCTGGCCAGAAGCAATGCTCAGGGTTTGTTTTTTATTTTTAATTTACCAATGTTTAATTAATCTTTTAAAAAATCTATTATTGTTAGATTATTTTTCTTCTTTGGTTCATTGGTAAATTTTATTTTACTTTTCTAAGATTAAAAAAAAACTTGTATTCTTTGGGTCAGATTTAATTCTGGTGTACTCCCCCACCTCCCACACCTATTTCTAGATTTGGTTTGATCACAGCATGTTTAGGATGTTTGAATCAACAGTCTTAAGTAAAACTTGTCTATAATTTTCCTTCCTTGTACTGTCCTCATCAGGTTCTGATATCAATCCTTTGCTAGCCTCATAAAATGACTTGGAAAGTGGTCTTTTTCTTTTCTTTTTTTCTTATGATCTAGGAAAAAAATATGTGAATTGGATTTACTTTGCTATTTAAATGTTTGGTAGAATTTGCCAAAATCATCTAGGCCAGTTTTCTTTGCGACAGAATTTTTATTTTTATTTTTATTTTTAGACGGAGTCTTGCTCTGTCTCCAGGCTGGAGTGCAGGGGCGCGATCTCGGCTCACTGCAACCTCCACCTCCCGGGTTCAAGTGATTCTCCTGCCTCAGCCTCCAGAGTAGTTGGGATTACAGGCACATGCCACCATGCCCGGCTAACTTTTTTTTGTATTTTTAGTCGAGACGGGGTTTCGCCATGTTGGCCAGGATTGTCTTGATCTCTTGACCTCATGATCCACCCACCTCGGCCTCCCAAAGTCTAGGATTACAGGCGTGAGCCACTGCACCCAGCCTCTTTGTGACAAAATTTTGAATCATTCATTCATTCATTTATAGTTTAAAAAATGATACTATGATTATTCCATTTTTCTATTTCTTCTTGAGTCCGTTTTGGTAAGTAATATTTTTCATTTCCAAATATCTTCTTATCTTTTTAGCATTTGTAGCATCATTCCTAATATTGTTTTGTGTTCTCTCTCTCTCCCTTTTCTCCCTTTCTCTGTTTTTCTGTCTCTTGTTTAATCCTGCTAGAGAATTATCAATTTTATTAGTAAATTCAAAGGAAGAACTTTTGACTTTTAAAAAACCTCATCTAGTGTGAGTTTACTTTCTATTAATTGTTTCTGCTCTTGTCTCTATTTGTATATTCTACTTTATTTGGAAATCTCATGTTACTCTTTCTAATTTCTTTCTTCCTTTTCTTTTTTTTTTGAGACGGAGTCTCACACTGTCTCTCAGACTGGAGTGCAATGGTGCGACCTCAGCTCACTGCAAGCTTTGCCTCCCGGGATCACGCCATTCTCCTGCCTCAGCCTCCTGAGTAGCTGGAACTACAGGCACCTGCCACCACGCCTGGCTAATTTTTTTTGTATTTGTAGTAGAGACAGGGTTTCACCGTGTTAGCCAGGATGGTCTTGATCTCCTGACCTCGTGATCCGCCCGCCTTGGTCTCCCAAAGTGCTGGGATTACACGCGTGAGCCACCGCACCCAGCCTAATCTTTCTAATTTCTTAAAATTTCATTCAACTCATTTTGAAACACAGCATTTTCCTTAATGTTCTGTTTTACATATTTAAATTTTTATGATTTATTCTTTGATTCATAAATTATTTATGTTTCTTAACTTCCAAAGGTATTATTTTAGTTACGATTTTTTGCTTACTGAATTTTATTTATGTATTTATTTTTTTCAAGTTCAGCTTCCACCAGGTATGGTGGTTATTTTGCTTTTTTTTTTTGAAACGAAGTATTGCTCTGTTGCCCAGGTTGGAGTGCAGTGGTGCAATCTTGGTTCACTGCAGCCTCTGCCTCCCAGGTTCAAACGATTCTCCTGCCTCAACCTCCCTAGTAGCTGGGATTACAGGTGGGCACCACCACTCCTGGCTAATTTTTGTATTTTTAGTAGACACAGGGTTTCACCATGTTGGCCAGGCTGGTCTCAAACTCCTGACCTTAAGTGATCCACCTGTCTCAACTTCCCAAAGTGCTGGGATTACAGGTGTGAGCCACTGCGCCCGGCCTGAACTTTGGTATATATTACACTGAAGTCAGAGAATTTTGTTTGTATGGTACCATTCCTTTAAAACGTGTTGAACTTGGCCGGCACGGTGGCCCACACCTGTAATCCCAGCACTTTGGAAGTCCGAGGAGGGGGGATCACGAGGTCAGGAGGTTGAGACCATCCTAGCTAACATGGTGAAACCCTGTCTCCACTAAAAAATACAAAAAATTAGCCGGGCGTGGTGGTGGGCGCCTGTAGTCCCAGCTACTCGGGAGGCTGAGGCAAGAATGGCGTGAACCGGTGAGGCGCAGCTTTCAGTGAGCCGAGATCGCGCCACTGCACTCCAGCCTGGGCGACAGAGCAAGACTCTGTCTCAAAAAAAAAAAAATGTGTTGAACTTGCTTTAGTGTCCATTATGTGGTCAAGTTTCATTAATATTCAATGTACAAGGAAAAAGTGTATCCTACAGATTTGATTATGTCATTCAATTTTTCTATATCTTTTTAGATTTTTATTTTGTCTACTTGATCAACTACTTCCTCAGAAAGATGTATTAAATTTTCCTGCTATGGTTGTAGGTTTGTCTGTTTTGTTGTAGTTCTGTAAATGTTTGCTTTATATATTTTAAGGCCATATTATTAAGTGTATTCTATATACTTTAAATTGTTATCTTTTCTTGGAGAACTCAGTGCTTTTTACATTAAAGCCTCCCCCTACCGCCCAGTATTTATTAGCTATACCCATATTTTTTTGATTAAAATATACTTGAATCTTTTAAAAATTCACACTTTCAATTTTTCTTTATGCTATGCTTTAAATGTGTTTCTTGTAAATAGCATTTATTTGAATAATTTAAAACATTTGGTCTGACAATCTTTTTCTTTTGCCTGGAGTCCATAACTTTCATTGCGATTATCGAAATATTTGGATATATTTATACCATTTTGTTTCATCCTTCCAATTTGTTCTTTTACGTGTTTTCCCATCCTTTCTAACCTTCTTTTGAATTGATTTTTTTTCTCTATTTTTCAAACTCTACTAGTTTGAAAGTTGTAGGCTCTGTTTTAATTATATTATTGATTGTAATTTAAATGGTCAAACTCTGAAGTTATCAATATTTACCTTCCTTCCAAACAATACTACTACGGTCTGAATGTGTCTCCCCAAAAGCATGTGTAGAAACCTAACCCCCAATGCAATAGTGTTGGGAGGTGGGTCTACGGGGATATTTTAGGTTATTATGGCAAAGCTCTCATGACTGGAATAATGCCAACTATTAAAAGAGCTTGAGGCTGCAAGTTCACTCTTGTGCTCTCTCTTGCTCTTCCATCTTCCATCTATGGGATGATGGAGGAAGAAGGCCCTTAAAAGATGCTGACCCCTCAATCTTGGACTTCCTAGTCTCCAGAACTGTGTGCCAATAAATTTTTGTTCATTATAAATTACCCAGTCTCAGGTATTCTGTTATAGCAGCAAAAAATAGATAAAGACATATACTAAGATCTTAGGTCACTTTTATTCCACTCATCACCCCTTCCTGACTGATAGATCATTTTCTGCTTTAGTCTTTTTTTTTTTTTTCCCCCAAACCACATTGGTTCATTTAACAGAATCTCTTGCTGTGGTTCTTTCTTTCTCCATCACTCTGCTAACTTAGTGGTCAAAGTACACTCTAAAGTCAATTTTGACATTCCACATTTTCTTGTTATCCTACTTAATTTTTGTGTTTTAAACTTTTTAAATGTCAGAACTATTGAAATGGCATTTCTCTTTAATTCTCATTCTGGTCACTCCTCTGGGAGATTTGATGTGTGCCCAGGAGGTTGGTTCTTCTCCACCAGGACTCTTTATGTTGGATATGACAGAAAATTCATCTCCAAATGGTTGCAATATAAAGCAAAGTTACTGGTTCAGGTAATTAGGAGATTCAGTGGCTCCAAGGATATTACCAAGGGGGGGTGTTCTCCAACATCAACGACCAATTCTCTGAGTCTCCAGAGAAGAACAGGCGTTCAACAATTCAATTCAATTGTGACACTAACTATCTGGAGTTAGCACGGACCCCGTAGGTGAAGGACTCAAAGTCTGCCCTCCACTTCAGATGCCAGTCACAAGTCCTGGCCTCTCATACTCCTGACTGACTGGCTATAAATTAGGGGTTCTCACAACTCCCTCCTCAGGTTCAACAATTTTCTAGAATGGCTCACAGAACTCAGGAACATGTTTTACTTATGTTTATGGATTTGTTTTAAAGGATATAAATTAATAGCCAGGAGAAGAGGCATATAGGGCAAGACCCAGAAGGGTCCCAGGCACAGAAGCTTCTATCCCATTGAGCTGGGGTATGCCACCCTCTTGGCACATGGATGTGTTCACCAACCTGGAAGTTCTCTAGACTCTTTTGTCTAAGGGTTTTTATGGAGGTTTCATCACATAGGCATGATCAATTTTTTTTTTTTTTTTTTGAGATAGAGCCTCGCTCTGTTGCCCAGGCTAGAGTGCAGTGGTGCGACCTTAGCTCACTGCATCCTTCGCCTCCTGAGTTCAAGCAATTCTTTTGCTTTGGCCTCCTGACTAGCTGGGATTACAGGCATGCACCACCATGCCCGGCTAATTTTTGTAGTTTTAGTAGAGATGGGGTTTCACCATGTTAGCTAGGCTGAAGGTTCCAGGTTTCTAATCAGAGCTTGGTCTTTCTGGTGACCAGCTCCAATTTTGGAGCTATCCAGGAGCCCAGCAAGAGTCACCTCATTATAACAAGAAGTGGGTCCTATCATCCAGGAAATCCCATGGGATTTAGGAGCTCTGTGCCAGGAACAAGGGACAAAGACCCAAAATATATTTCTTATTATGCCACATAATGTCCCCATTTCTCTCCTCTCCCCTCTGCCTTTGGTGGTCTTCATCCTCATGTTCCACATGGTGGCCCTCTGTCAACTCCTCCCTCTCCCCTCATCAAACAAAAGGGTTGCAGCAGCTCCTGATCAAGCAGCACCTCACCCTCCTGGGGTAGAGGGTCTTTTCTGGTTGCTCTGGCTCAAGCCCTGGGCTCTGGGGTTCACTTGCTCCCATTGGCCTGATTTGGGCCCTGTGCCCATCCGTTGGCTAGGGTGATGAGGTACTCTGATTGTCTTAAGCCTGCCATGGCCCACCAGAGGTCTGGAAGTTGTATTAACCCCACCCAAGTGCATAGTTGGGATGGGAGAAGGGCAAATTCACTAAAGAAAACTCTGCATGCTGTTGGCAGAGAATTGGGGAATGGGTGCTCTAGAGATAGTGAATAAATGTCCTCTACAGTTTTCTCACATCTTATTTCCAAGTACAGAACTGAGAATGTCAGTTCCTCTTATTGATGATCTGACCATACTCGTCGAGCATTTTCTCAATTAAACTGCCACCAAACAGGGTCCTATGTTCCCAAATTTGTGAATCAAGTAAACATTGCATTGTTATTATTGAAAAAAGTCTGTAGGAAATCCTAAGGGTAAATTTGTTAAGATTCCCAAATTCTGAAGTTTAGGATGAGTTATGTATCTACCTTCTCATTCCAAGAGGTGGGAGGTGAGGAGGGTGTTCTAAGAAAGGGCAATTGAATCACAGCTTACAGGCACTTACAGAAGACCTGACATTTCCCTTGATGAGTGACTGGGATGTGGGTGCCCCATTACTGTATGCATTCTTTCTTGAGAAGTACTTGATTGCTTTTAAGTGATACCCCAGTGTTTGAAAGTAGGAAGCAGAAGAGGTTTGGAAAAGCGTTTTACCTAGGTGAAGAGGAAATCGCCCTCAGGTATTGCATGCGTGTTTTCCACCTTTGGTTTTCCGGGGGGGAGGAATGCATTTTAAGAGAGGCTATTAAGTGTGACTTGTTCTCAGAAAAAATAAAGTGTAAATTTCAAATTCATGCTACAAGCAGATTAAGTTAATTTTGGCTAATCTTCATGTATTATTTGCAGTGGTGACGGCAATGAAGATTAATAACCTTGACCATCATTAGCATAATCCACTGTAATGCTGGATATAAAATCACATCATTTTAATAATCGAATTTAATGTTTCCTGACCAGTGGGGGTTCTTGTAGCTTTGCAAGTATTAGCTGTAAATTCTTTAAACTAAAGGCAGATAACTTTGAAAATGATCAATGCCTCTGGAATATAAAATGCACTATGAATTATTTTAACCAGTCGCAATATGCATATCTTTGTTTTCTTTGAGATATTGCTAATGCGGTGTATGCATTAGCGGTGTATGCGTGTGTTGAGAAGCAGGGGCTTTTCTTCTTAGCAAACATTTGCAAAATGGATAACCAACTACTTTATGAGGATGAATCAAGAAAGAGCATGGAGAGGCTATGGGCAGGCCTCAATTTACCACATCAGCCCAGAAGGCATTCTCAATGTGGCATGAAAAGGTTCCAGTTTACTTTCTGCCCATAATTCTCCATTTGATTCCAGGCAAATCACTTCTCTTGAATCTCTGTCTCCTATGTGTAAGGCAAGGGCCATGACCTAGATGAATGTCTCTAACAGGCATGGCCTGCCTTCTCATCTGCATCCGCATACAGTGCCAGCACCTTGTTTTTGACAGCCATACAGATGAGCCTTTTCCTGGATGCCAAGTGACATTTCTTTTTCCCTCAGATTGCCCTATTCCCGTTGGTCTGCAGGGGGTGTTCTTACTCAGAGTCTCCTGAATTCTGAATTAGCAGAATTGTCCATTTTGGAAAACTGGGCCCACCTTTGAGTTCTAATGTCTTGTTTTTCCAGCTTCCACAGTTATGCATGATGTAATAATGGATCAAATTTTCTTTATAATAGGAGACAACATTTTATCTAGTGGTTAGATATAGTTTGGAAAAGATCAATGCGTATAACATAGCAGGTTACCCAATTTTTGTGCGTTAGGTTTAGTGAGTTACCTGCTAGCAAGGACAATGTGTTATGTTTAATTTTAACTTTTTTCGTCTAGTGAAAAATGTCAGAATAGCCCTCCCTCAATCTTCACCCAGAGCTAAGGCCAAAGAAAGACATTACACCCAGACAGACTGTGTGCCAGGAGAAAGCAGCAGCCAGCCAGAGAAATACCATGTGAGGGAAGAGTAACCTGGCAGCATTGTTTGCCAATACACGTAGAGCCAGCATGCAGATCAGCACAGTCTCATGGGGCCAGGACTGAAGAGACATGAGGGCAAGATGAAAAGGAATCAAGCTTCGAGTAAATCACCATCTTTATAAAAACCTTGCCCCCTCCTACTCTCTTCTCTTCCCGTCTCCTCACCAACTAGGGGGAGGGGAGAGATCCTGAGGAGGGCTGTGCCAGACTAGGCACCGGTGGCCTCACTTCAGCAAGCTCTGGATCAGTGGTGCTCAACTTGGGGCACCCCTTAGAACGACCTGTGGTGCCTCAGGGACATGCCCAGGTGTCACCCATACTCTGCTTCTGAGTCTCCATGGGTTGAGAAGCCTGGCTTGGGGTTTTCAAAAGCTTCAGAGATGAGTCTACTGAGACCCTCTGCTCAGCTAAATGGAAGGAGTGCTGTGTGGAACTGCCCGATACTTTACTTGAACATAGTTGCAAGTTTGCCGTATCACACATCAGTGTGTCTAGATATTCTCGTTGATGAACAGCCATTCACCTTAGGAGCGGCTCTCACTCTCTCTGGGTGGTTAAAACTGGGTTTGGTATTAAGGCCTTCCATGTGTCTCCATGTTGGGGGGGCCAATCTCCTGAGTCAACACTACCATGAAAACCACGGCAGTTCTGGCCTTGCTTAAAGAAGCAACCTTTTCCAGGGGACGCTGTTTCCGATCTAAATTAAGATTTCCTCTTTTAAAAAATCTTGCTTTCACAACTATACATGTAGGGAAAGAAGAAGATAAAATTAAAGGAAATCAGTCACTTGCATTTTTGGTTTTTTGGTTTTAGTCAGTTCTCTTCTTGTTTTTATTTAATGCCATAATATTATATTAGCATATGCCGTAACATTTAAAAATGCCCATTCTCTCCAGCTTCAGTTCAAGCAGGAGTGGGGAAGGCCATAGACTAAGCCCACCTTCAAGGTCACACTTCCATATTTTGCACAGAGAAGAAAATGCAGTCTCCCATCCAGATCCTCAGACCCACACACCAGCCCACCACTCTCATTCCAGATGCCCTAAGCCTGGGTCTGGACACATGTGGTCAATACACATCCTGGATCTTACAAATCCAATGGTGGCCAGCAGTAGAACTGAAGCCTGTAAGTTTTCATTCACTCCTAAAGTGTGCTGAGAAATCCTAGCCTGTTTTTTCCATTTAATTCCTGTAGATGAGTCATTTGCTCCTCAGTTTTCTATGGCCCAATTTTCCCATTGGAATAATGGGAATAATATGTCATCCACCTTACAGGGTGATGACTAATATATTGGCATTTGAGATCCTTAGATGAAAGGTATTACTGTGTATAAGTATAAAGTACTATTATTTAGTAATCACTGAGTTGGTAAATGTATTCATTCATATGGAGTTTTTGGAGGAAGAGCTTTAAGGAATGACAGCAGTAGAAATGCAGCTAGATATATTTTTGAAAACATTTTTTAGGTCTACCAACTTAGAAAAAGTCCCAGATATTACATACTCCTTCTAAAGCACCTAATTTGCATTTTTATTATTATTATTATTTACCTAGAACTACAGAAAAATTTATGGGAAGGAAAGTAAGGGTACAGGGTTTTCAACTTGGGGAAATTCATTTCCCATCCCCTGGCTGCCAAGCCTTCCTACTCACAATTCCACAAATGTGCCTGCAGCTGTGAGGACAGCTGGAGAGATCTGTTGTCTTTCTGGTCACCTCTGACATTTTGCAGTGTCTCTTCTGATTGACACTGTATACAGGGCATGACCTCTCTGACTTGGCCCTGCCTATTATGAAAGTGTCACCATGGGGGCAGGGAGCTAGAGAGATTTAGTTGGTTTAAAGAAGTATAATGTGTCCTTGAGCTTTGAGCACAGCAATGGAAACCTGGCGACTCTTCCTGGAGCTCTAGGGACTTCTAACCAGAGCAAGTTGGTTCATTACAAGCTGTCACACCACAGAAAGAGAAGACCTTTGGCTAAGGTAGAGAAAGGCTGACTCATACAGGCAGTTGTATAACTGTAGACAGGCAGGGCCCATGGAGCTGTGGAGAGTTCACTGGGACTCCTCTGCCTTCTAAGACACAGGTTCCCACCTGCTTCAGGGAGAGAGACTTCCCACTAGTCCACCTTCTGTGTGTGTTACCAAAAGGAAGCCATATTTGGAGCTGGTCTAAGCTCCAGCCCCTGCAATTTCATTTGCCTTTCCTTAGTAAGGAACACAGTAACAACGCGAACAAAACCACACAGAGCATGTGAAGACCGGGCCCTTCTGATGCTGATGTGTGGAGAAAACTGGGCACTAGACTGAACAAATTTTTAGCTATTGCCTTATGGGAACCACAGAAATGGATTGAAATAAAACTTACAAAATCACTTTAACCACTCTTATTTATGCATTACCACCAAGGGAAAACAAAGTCACTGAAACAGAAAAATGTTTTCCAAAGGAAAAATGTTTCCTCTTTGGTGACCTGAGAAAGTTTACCGTAACTCCATTCAAAACCTTCAGGCACTTGACTTTTTTTTTTTTTTTTAATATCCTTTACCTTTTTAATAAAAAGTAAAAAACAAACAAAAAATACATCAATGTTCCGAATAGAACCTCTCTATGTAAAGGTCTCACTAAACAAATAAACATAGGACCAGACAAAAGAAATGGAGCTGTGAATAGCAATATGATATATTATGAAGCATTTATATATGTATGTATATATTATATATGAATGTGCGGGTATATGTGTGTGCACCTATGTATGTATAAATCTGTAAATATTTGCCTACATACACGTCACACACACACATACATATTTATACTGACCTCTTTAGATTGAAGTCCAAGGCACTTTTTACAATGAACAGGTTAAAGCCATTAATTTAGAACATAACTGTTTCTGGGTACATATCGAGTTATGGCGCCAATATCAGAATTCACGTCTTTCCTTGCCCACCTTGGAGTGTTTCTTGTTGGTGCAATGAGTAAGAGAATTGGCTTTCAAGGAGATTAGCAATGTTTCTAGATGGTTAAACTAACTTCTCTTGCTATTTTCCTCTAGGGGAGGGGAGTTCTTACTGGTGAGATGCTGAGTTCCTCAAGGGAAGAACACAAGGATCGAGAAACACAACAATTTCTGTACTATGCTAAGCAGAGACTCCTGTAGCCTTCCAGAGGACCTGCCCTGAGGTTCCACCTGATATTCTGATGGCTTTGCTAGTCTGGTCTAAAAAAAAAAAGACTAAAACTTAAAAATGGGGGCTTTGAGGTGGCTCAAGGATATGGAGTGCTATTTAGGTAAGACCGGAAAAAGACTATCTCTTATTGACTTTATTATGTTTGATGTAGACCATCCAAGTTATATAACCTCAAGTGGAATTTAAAGATGCATTTTTTTAATCCTTATGATCATTCAGGACCTTCACATCTTCAAATAATTCTGTAAATGAGACTCAAGGAAGAGATAGCTTCATTCTCTAATTATTAACGAGGTTAGTTATCACTACGGTGAGGTGAGGCCAGTGCTTATCAATATTTCTGGTGCATACAGGTCACCTGGGGATTTGTTAAAAGGCCAATTCTGATGAAGAAGGTTTGATGTGGGGCCTGAGATTCTGCATTTCTAACAAGCTTACAGATGATGCTAACGCTGCTGGTCTGTGGACCACACTTTGAGTAGCAAGGGTTAGCATATAGCCATGGACTTGAATTACTGTCAAGAGGTCTGCTTTCCCCAAATGATGAATTTGCATTTGTTTCCTTGATTCTAGATGGAATACAACTTTGAGGGGAAAGGTCAGAATATATTTGCTCTTTATAAATGTAAGTCTTGGTCTGAGCAGTGTTAGAAGGAAAAACCAAAAGAAAAAAGCACTTACTGGGCCAGGCACAGTGGCTCACTTTGGGAGGCCCAGGCAGGTGGATCACGAGGTCAGGAGATCGAGACCATCCTGGTTAACATGATGAAACCCTGTCTCTACTAAAAATACAAAAAAATTAGCTGGTCGTGGTGGCACGCACCTGTAATCCCAGCTACTCGGGAGGCTGAGGCAGGAGAATTGCATGAACCCAGGAGGCAGAGCTTGCAGTGAGCTGAGATGGCGCCACTGCACTCCAGCCTGGGCGACAGAGTGAGACTCCATCTCAAAATAATAATAATAATAATTTTAAAAAAGAAAAAATCATTTAGTAGCAAAAAAAAGTGAAGAAATAAATCAATTACCACCAATACATTCATCAGTCAATTGTAAAATTGAAAATAAGCCAATTTCCATTATCCGGTGAGTAAGTAACCTGATAAAAACAAGTGCCCTGGAGTTCAGATGGCTTTAGTGGAGCTCGGCCTAACATATAACTGAGGAGTAATACAGGCACTGAGAGAATTTAGCTCCATAACAAGAAAACTTGTGTACAAGTTAGGGCTCAGCTACACAAACAGACTGAAAACGGGCATTTAGACATTTCTCTTTCAAACAGCATGAATACCTAATGTCAGTGAGCCCCATGACTTATATACCTTTAAGCTCATATAAATTGAAATTTGAAGGATTCCAGCCTTTTCCCAGGAGAAAACTTGTTGTTTTGCACTATCTGTAAATCTATGTGAATTTTCAGGGCTTGGGAAGGGAAGAGACACATAGGCTCAGTTAATCTGCCCCGATGCAACCTGGTTTGCACCTGTACAATATTGCACCAAAGCAACAACAGCAAGTGAGGGTCCCAGGTGAGAAGAGGCTCACTGATTCTAGAAAATCTTTATTCTGTAACCGAACACATCCTGTTTTCATCTAGAAGTAGTGCCTTAGCCATATGAAGGAGGGAACTGAGAACTTCTACATGTATGTCTCAGCTGCTCTGTAGAGAAAGAGGGGTGTAGATTCCATGAGTTGCTTAATTTTGCTATAAAGGACAATATCTCAACGGGAACCCTTTATTTCCTCCCAGCTAGAGGAAGCTAGCAGAAAAGGCAGCCCGGCTCTTTGCTGGCTCTGGCTGTTCATGTCCTGCCGGCTCCTCCCATCACTCCCTTAGGAGCTGGGCTCCATGTCCTTGATAAACATGTGGGAACCTTGCTCCCTCAAGGGTATTGCCAATTTAGAAAAGCACATCTGCACACTGGACTCTTGTTGGGCCTTGTGTAGTTTGGAAAGCCGACCCCGGTTTCACGTACATGGAGAAACTCAGAATGCCTAGGATTTTGAGTATTTTAAGTTACAGGAAAACAGGACTCTTTCTTATGTCCAATTCTGACATTGTCAAAGGAAAACTGGTTGGCTAGGTTTGAGACTTATATAATTTATGTAATGAGGCCTTTGAATTTATATAGAAAGAGCCTGAACTTTTATTAAACTGGCTTTGCAGAGCTACTAAAGGAGTGATGGCTTTTAAAATCTCTTCTGAAATGGCTTGATAGAATTTAGGGTAGAATTATTCCTCTACTCTTGGAATAATGTTCTTTTGTCTCTAATACCCAGGCCTTGGAGAATTAGAATATGGCAGTTCAGTAGGCTGTGGTAGGAGGACCCTTTTTCTGGGTGCCCGGCAATCACTAACAGTGATGTGTACTCAGAAACAGTCATTGGGAGAGCAGGCTGACAGTGGACCTGCTAAACACTAGTTTGATACAAAATGTTAATTGAAAGTTACAATATATTTTATAATATATCAATATATTTCATATTTAAAATAAACTGTTATGCTTTCTCCTATCATTAAAAAATAGCAAGCAGTACAGAGGCAAGATGCAAATTCATATTAAAGCTCATCTGATTCTGAATATAAACACTTCAGTTTCTGAGCTTGCCATGAAAATGTTTCCTCCATTAACATCCTGTCATTCTCTTGTTGTTCTCGTGGCCAGTGCAGAATGGAGAGTCTGGGACCAAAATTGAGTTGTTGCGCCATTAAAAAACGTATCTGATGAAGGTGGATCAGTCCTGGTTGAGATTCAAAAACTGAGACAACATGACACAGCTAGAGAATGTTGTTTATTCCTTGTCCTTCTTGAGTGAAGCTGGACGTTGGCTGCTTCGATCTGATTCAGATATATATATATATATATATATATATATATATATATATATATATATATGTACTTTTTCTTTTTGGCTATAAATGTCAACATCTCTTTGGGATCCTAACTGCAGGTTGGAGTTGAATTTTGTGCTTTTCCTCCACCAGCTTGGTTGGTCACGATGTGTCTCTTTTGCTTGTTTCAACACATAGCCCAGGCCCAAGATTACAGCTTCCAGGATACATTTTTCAGGTGTGTAAACAACTGTCACAGGGCACTTGGCACCTAGATTTGGAGGTCATATGTTGAAGATTTGACAATGGTTTTGTTCAGAGGGAACTCCAGTTCACGTTTGGGTGTTTCCAGTAATGGCGTAAGACAAAAAGATCACAGTTATATTTTTTTCTATCTGTATATATGTATATACCATTGCACTGAGTACTTTTTAATAAGCTGTGGTCTGTTTCAATAAAAATCTACATATTACTCGTCTAACAGGAGTTTAACATTAATTTCTATTCATGCAGCCTGGCACAAGCTTTCTACTACCACAAGCAGACAGTTACTATTGCGATCCCTGTAAACTCCTTTCTCAGTGGTGTTAATGATCCCATTTCCCTAATGTTTATTTTGGCGGCAGTAGAGAAGGAAAGGATACTGTCTGGGGCGTCATCAAGCCCACCGACTGCAAGGGGAGAGAAGGGGTTGTTCGTGCCTACTGGGAAGTCACCAGATAGCTGTCTAAGGTACTGAAATCAAACCCTGCAGAGTCAATAGGGATCCTTCATCTGCTTCTAGCAACTCTTAGGGGAAGAAGAATGAATGTAGAAAACTGGGGACATATTTTAGGATTTAAAAACAGTAACTTCAAAAGAGTAGTAACCTACTGGTAGTGCAATGACTTCACAGTATCTCAGTTGTGGTACTGTGATGGGAGCAACACCGTTTGTCCTGGGATGAAACATTGATTCTTAATTTGGAGTGTACTGTTTGTTGAGTTGCACTCTGGAGGAGGAGGAAGGTTCTGGAACTACGTGCTAATCCCATATTTCTCCCTGCTGATTTTACCACTATTTAATGTGCACTAATTACTTTTTGGTAACTACTGACTGCATTCAAACGTAACATCAAGGTGTGATCTAGATACAGTCAGTCTGGGCTGCTGTTGATGACAAAGGTGATTTCATTTGTTCTCTATTGAAAACATTGTACTTAAGAATATTAATTATTCTCTTCATTTTAAGTACAGAGAAATTGATGTATTAGGTGCTTATATGAATTGGCCAAAGATGTGGATCCAGTCTTAAGATTTTTATTTATTCTGATTTTGTATGACTAGGTTTCTTCTTTTCCATGATTGTTTATTCACAAGGAAATTATAAAAATTTAAGGGGGAAATCCCCCACTATATTAAAATCATTACTTCTTCAATGCTCTTCCTTCTTGGCTTTTAATAATAAAAATAGCTTGTACATGCTCAGCGCTTGGAATTTACTTTTGCGTACATTTTCTATGTCTCCTAATTCACAAGATTGTTGTTCTACCACTGGCCCCTGCTGAGGTCGGTCAGTGGTGACTTGGGGCCTTCCCCCCTTGTTCTTTTGGATTGTATTAAGCACTTCTAGAGACATGATGTCATGAAGTTACGTATTAGGAAGATGGCAAGAGCAGTTCATAGACACTTTATGACAATTTATTGATGATGATCATATATATGTGGCCTTTGATCCAAAGGTGAAGACTTTTATTTGGACTTCAATCTAAGGAGGAGTGAGCCCCTAGTCTGGTGTAATTTACCAACTAATGCTATGTCCTGAAATTCCACTGAGATTAGTGGTCTTAAAGTATCACAGTACATCCCTGACTTTACAGTACATGAAGCTTTAATATGGCTTAAGCAATGGCAGGGGTGGGGGTGGTTCTGTATTTCTAATTCAAGTGTCTAGATATTTTAGGAATATTAGAGTGATTTTACCTGTCACTGAGTTGTCAGAAAGATTATAGTAGGGGATCTGCCATTGGGTCAGTCCTCTAGGAGTGGGCAGATCTTGATCAGTACAGTATTGGAGTGAGGTTACATAATTAATAGTTTTTACATATAGCCGATTTTTTTTTTTTTTTTGAGACGGAGTCTTGCTCGGTCACCCAAGCTGGAGTGCAATGGCACGATCTTGGCTCACTGCAACCTCCACTTCCGGGGTTCAAGTGATTCTCCTGCCGCAGCCTCCCAAGTAGCTGGGACTACAGGTGTCCACCACCAAACCCAGCTAATTTTTGTATTTTTAGTAGAGATGGGGTTTTGCCATGTTGGCCAGGCTGGTCTTGAACTCCTGACCTCAGGTGATCCTCTCGCCTTGCCCAAAGTCCTGGGATTACAGGCATGAGCCACCGCACCTGGCTATATATACCAGATTCTTGAGCAGATAATTAAACCTCCTCCACCACAAAACTTGAAAATAAGGTACAAGAAGGCATGACATGAGAATCCACCTGCCCCTTTTCCCATCTGACTGTGATGCTGAGGTGTGGTGGAATTAGCCAAAAGATGTAGGAAGAAAACTTGGGTGAGCTACACCCAGAATAATTAATACTTAAGTCATCAAGGGTTGATTGTACTTGCAGGAGAACGGGTAACTTTCCCACATAAAGCTGAAATGCTAGTACAGAGAAATAGCCTTCCATTTGCTATTACAGGATCAATGTGCAGGTTTGATCACTTTTTTTTTGAAGCATTTTCTTTTGCCAAGAATAAAAATCATGTATAGCTATTGCACTACCAATAGGTCAATTCATGCTACAAATGTCCATGTGTTTCTAGGATGCCAGTGGCTACTGCTACCAGAAATAACTCCAGTCACTCCCTTGACTAGTGTTGCTAGTTTGGTCTTTAGGGTTTACCTAAGTGAGAGCATCAATGATGGGTTAAAGTCACAGACCACAATGAATAAATCACAGTCTGTGCACACTTTTGGCCAGGAAGAGTGGCAGTGGAATCTTGCATGTCATTTGGTTGAAATTAAGACTAAATCTCTATATGTGCACACACCCACACTCACACCCACACGCACACATATCACAGGGTTATAGCAGAATGAAAACGGTGGGTAGGAATCACCAGTTGAAGGCTGTAGGTTTAAATGATCAGGATTGGCACACTCAGATCAGCCCACCAGTGGTCTTCACTTTGTGAAATGGAACTAATGCCACAAGGAAACTGCATGGTTACTTCATCTGTTTACACATCTGCTTATATGTTCAGCTGAACTGTCACTGAAAACAGGAGCACCATTCTTGGGACATGAAACAAGGAGGAGGGGAAACATTCAGATAATCAACAGTTAATAGAACAAGTAAAAAAATAAGCCAACAGCAGGTGCGGCATCTCTGGTATGCAAAACAACTAATGAAAGTGTTCAAAGGAATTATCAAGGCAGGCCATTAAGACTATAAACCATCAAAAGAGCAGCAGCAATAGCAAGAGAGAAAGAAGAGGGTTAGCAAGAGACTAGATCTTCCTGAAAAAGTGGCCTTGGCTCTACAATTGTCTACCTTGTGCTGTCCTTAGAAGAACAGGCCCAGTGCTACAGAATAAAAATCTCCATGCCAAGCCACTGCCTTCAGAATGGTGATGATGTCTTCTTACAAAGGTAAACCCAAGATGACAACCACAAGCAAAAAAATCACCCTTTTGTTTTACCATCAACAGATGAAATAGTCCATACAGTGCCATTCAATTTCCCACAGGCAGAAACCAAAGACCTCAGAATGAGAAAGTCATGGTTTTCACGTCACAAATGTTACGTGTGGTCAGATTATGGAGCAATGAAAACATTTTTCTGCGCCGCTCATTACACTAAATCTTGATGTTTCTGAAGTCTCTTGGAGTTTGAGATGTATTGGAATAGTTTTTCGCACCAAGATTAACATGGCACAGTAGGAACAGGCTACTGACAAATCCATGTCCACTTACCTTACCCACAAGGTTCCCTAAGGGTTCCCTTCATTCTCACAATATTTCATTTTGAGATGACTTAAGGTCAGGTAGAAGGGACCACATAGGCCACTCTTCATCACTTCTCCTCCTAGCTCAGAGGCTCACAATTGAGGCACTTGGCCCTTTTGCACTACTAACATCTGGGGCTGGAAACCTGTTGCTGGATAAATACAGCTCAGCAAATCCCCAACCATATTTCTATTCACTAAGGTGTTATTGGATTGCTCCTGTTTGTGCATGTCTGCACACACATGCACAATTTCTTGTCCTCTCCCTCCACACTTACAGACATACACCTGGTCATGTGGACCATCGAAACACAACTTGTTTGGATGGAAGAAGAAAACTCTGCAGATGCTGTTATTTTTAGAAGCCTGCTTATCCCTCCTGAATGCCAACAATTTTGGCTTGGCATCCATTTCAAATCAAGCAAGGTGCATATCCAGGACAAAGCAATGTGCATTATGTCTGAAGGGATCCACATCTTCAGTGAAACTCAGAATGTGGCCAGAACTAGCTAACTACCTGAACTGAAAGCACCCCATGTTCAGATTCAGACCAACTCAAAACACATGTAAGGGGTGCCTATTGTATGCAGGGTAAGGTGTCAAGTCCCTTTTTATTTGGATTAAGCTCAAATAAGAAAGGACCTGAAGCGAACGTGGGATGTGTATGTGTGTACATGTACACGTTTGCAAACACACAGGTTTATGTGGGTATTAATATCGAGTGGAAAATCTGGCTTTTTATTTGTCTGTGTCTTTTTTTTTTTTTTTCAGTCTGATTCGAGTATATCTGTTTTGGCAAGTTGTGGGCAGCTCTCTTTTACTTTTGTCACCCAGAGGCTTCCGTAGACAAAAGGAAAGGAGAGAGGTGTGTTCAAAGACCCCCATGGCGAAGAGCCCATCCCCCAAGCCTGACACAACCCTCCCTCCCAGCGGACCCCTCTTCTGGACTGGCTTCGCTGTTGGCTACTTCAGTGCATCTGACCCCCACCCCCCGCGTGAAGACCTGAGATTGAGCGTGGATTTCTGTTCTCCACCAACTCTGCAGCAAGGGCCCTGCCAGAGGCGTCGCTTCCTGTCATCTCCTCTTCCCGCTCCCAAGTAGAGGCACCTAAACAGAGATTAGATTTCTGGTTTCAAGGCATGTCGGACCAAGCACGCTGAATGAACATGAGTTAGTTAATTAGCTCGGTCTCTCTTCTTTCCGTTCCCTGGTCTGAATGTTTCTTGATGGCAAAGCGACCAGGAGAGAGTTGATTTGCATCTTAAGACCTATGGGTAATGCTTCTGGAGTGGGGAGATTTATTTAGCAACTGCTTGAACTTGTGTACGGGGTCGGGAAGGAGGTGGAGCTGACCCCAATGGGGCTATCGGAGATTGGGGTGTGGGTGGTGCCCACTGCCACGCTGACACCCCGGGCCTCGATGATGGCAGACAGGAGCTGCTGCTGCTGCTGGCGCAGGGTGTCGGCGATGAGCAGCGGCAGGGAGTTGAAGCTGGCGGTGAGATGCTCCAGCTTCGACTCCAGGCTGCCAATCTGCTTCTCCAGGTCTTCGCTCCGGTCATTGAGTTCTGTGATTAAGTCATACATGACATTCTGCATCTGTGTGGAGAGAGAGAGGCGAGAGACAGGGAGATGACAGGTCATCACAGAGGAATCTGCAATGGGAGAAATGAAACGCCCTCCACAGTATGACAGGAGCCACTTCCACACCAGCTGATCTGGTCAAGGAAGGATACAGGCTTCTTTCCTGGGGATGGGGATGCTGAAGTGTGCACATTTTTGTTTTCTTATTACAAAAGTAATGAGTATTAATGACAGCATTTTATTAGAAAATATGCACCAAGGGGAAAAAAATGGCCCTTTTTTTTTTCTTAAATAAAGTGAGTCTCTAAACTGTCTCATGTTCTCACAGGGCCACAACCTCTCAGCTCACATGGCTGCTGGCATCTAATGATTCCAGAGAAGACGCTGGTGGGGAATGGACAGTGCAGTGGGTGTATAATTAGTAGGCCAGGGCTCAAGTACACATCTGCAGCTCACTAACAGTGTGCCCTCTGCCAGGCGCCTGGCCTCTCTCAATCTCGGTTGCCTTATAAAATTGGAGTTAATAATAACTGTACACAGTTAGGAGTTATTGCACATCTCCCAACCTCTATTTTAACCCAGCAGACAGGATGTAAAGTGAATTAACTCTCAGGCACAGTGCTTAGCCAAAGGAGGCTGCCTTGCTGAGGTGTGGCCCTTCGCCTGCCTGATCCACAATGCCTCAGGGTGGGACATCCCTGAAGGGCCACTCTGAAGGGCTGAGGTCTTTGTTGACTGTATCACAGTTCAAACCCTCCCACTGACCAATCCTGCTTCCCTCACTCCTTGGCAGGGGTCCTGAGGGTGCTCCCCTGAGAGCTCCCCAGTACCCCTCCTGCACTCAGCACTGACTCCCCGTGTTCCAGGGGTGCCGGCCGATTACCAGTGCTCCTTCCCCAACATCCTGTGGCCCCCTTGTTGGTCTGCAGAGTCCCAGTCTATGCAACAGATATTTTTCTCCCAGCAAATTAGCAAATGCCATCTTGGCTGTGTACATCAGACTTGGGAACAAGATTCACAAGCATCTTCAGCCTCCCACGTGTCAGGGAGTGAGGCTCCTGGGGCGGCAATGCAGAGGGCCAGGCCGGTGGTTGCTTGGTCATCCCTGAGGTACTGTGGCTCTTTGGGTTTCTGATGATCTGCCAGTGACACCCCGATCCTATTTCACGTGAAATTTCAGGTTACTCTAGGAAGATATGGACATGATTTATGCCCCAGGGACCAAAGCAGCAGCAAGTAAGGTGAGAGGAAAAAAGAAGAGTAAAAGAAGATGTGAGAAGCCAGAGAAGAATGAAGGGGAGCAGGGGCACAAAATGCAGTGAGGCCTCCCCAGCAGACTACAGGCCCCATGAGGAAATTCACTGGGGCAGCATAAGGAAAGGTCACAAGGTGGCATGGAGATGGCCCCGCTCCCATGAGCTCTGCTGTTGCCAGAGCAGGACACCGTGTCGTGGATGCCCTTGGAGGACAGGGTGACTTTAGAAGTGAAAGTACTCCCTTTATTAATCAACATGACAGAACCTCCTCGAGGCAAACATTCTTCCCGGAATGTGCAAAATCACCCATTTCATTTGACCGCAGGGGCACCCTGATGAGCTCTGGACTCAGAGTCCAGGCCCCTGGGTTGTGGCCCCCACGCTGGTGCTCACCAACTGCCTGACCGTGGGATGGTCACTTTGTTCCCTTGGATCTTGGTTTCCTCATCTATATTGATAATCAGAACTACCAATTGCAAAACCTTTATAGTTTACAAAGCATTTTCACAGATATCATCTTATTCGATCACCTGAGCCTCCGATGGTAGGAATTATTTTTATATTTCAATTGAAGTAATTGAAGCAATCGGGGAAAGACTCCAAGCCCTCCCAGCTCTGCCAGCCTATAGGACAGCAATTCAATACAGACGTAATATGTGGAGGCCACATGCCATATTCTTAATTTAGAGAGGACCAAAGGGCAGGAGTGGGAAGGCGCTGACTTGGGAGGCTACAGCACAAAGACAGAAAAGAGAGAGAACACAGCGTTATTGTCTCCCCCTGTTCCGTTGCTTGGTGACAGGATGCCAGGGGGAATATGGACCAGTGTGAAGTGTGCTAAGCTGCTGCCAGGACCTTGGGTGAGTCTCCTGGGAGGAAAAGATAAAGACTGGGCGAATGTCAGAGTTCATCTCCTCCCCAGATCTCCCCACGGGGGTTCTGCAGATTTTTCCCTTAACCCTTTCCTGCACACTCTTTCTTTCCAGGTAACTTGCTCCTGGGTTATTTACGGCTTAGTTCCCCCACCCAATTCACAGGAGTGTCTTTCCAGTTCACTGAGGGGTTCGCTTCACCCGGTCTGCTCCGTGGGCCCCATCTCTCCAAGAGGCCGTGGGTGGCACTGCAGAAATGCAGGCTTGAAAGTTTGGTTTGCCCAAAAGTGGGCGAAGGATATGAACAGACACTTCTCAAAAGAAGACATTTATGCAGCCAAAAAACACATGAAAAAATGCTCATGATCACTGGCCATCAGAGAAATGCAAATCAAAACCACAATGAGATACCATCTCATACCAGTTAGAATGGCAATCATTAAAAAGTCAGGAAACAACAGGTGCTGGAGAGGATGTGGAGAAATAGGAACACTTTTACACTGTTGGTGGGACTGTAAACTAGTTCAACCATTGTGGAAGTCAGTGTGGAGATTCCTCAGGGATCTAGAACTAGAAACACCATTTGACCCAGCCATCCCATTACTGGGTATATACCCAGAGGATTATAAATCATGCTGCTGTAAAGACACATGCACACGTATGTTTATTGTGGCACTATTCACAATAGCAAAGACTTGGAACCAACCCAAATGTCTGACAATGATAGACTGGATTAAGAAAATGTGGCACATATACACCATGGAATACTATGCAGCCATAAAAAATGATGAGTTCATGTCCTTTGTAGGGACATGGATGAAACTGGAAACCATCATTCTCAGCAAACTATCGCAAGGACAAAAAACCAAACACCGCATGTTCTCACTCATAGGTGGGAATTGAACAATGAGAACACATGGACACAGGAAGGGGAACATCACACTCCAGGGACTGTTGTGGGGTGGGGGGAGGGGGGAGGGATAGCATTAGGAGATATACCTAATGTTAAATGACGAGTTAATGGGTGCAGCACACCAACATGGCACATGTATACATATGTAACAAACCTGCACATTGTGCACATGTACCCTAAAACTTAAAGTGTAATAATAATAAAACTAAAAAAAAAAAAAAGAAAGTTTGGTTTGCCTCATGTCCCCAGGGAACATCAGTCACAGCATGTCCTGCAAGGTGAGAGGAGAAACAGGAAATACTGCTACTCATGGAAGAAACATCCTGGGGCAGTTTGTTGGGCTATTCCTGAAGCTCACAGGTGGGCCCCTAGCCCTGTTTGCTCCATATGACCCTCTTCCTGGCCAATGCTGATTGGTCCCAGGGTGGATACGTGGCCCAAATTGGCCAATCATTTCTTCTATTCTGAGAATTTAGAATTAAGACTAGTAGGGGGCCAATTAGTCTTTACCTGTGGCTAAAACTATTATATGTACTCTCTGAATTGGAGCCTGTTACAGTCTGTCGCGGGGACAGGAGGCAGAGAGGGAGAGAAAGAGAGGAAGAGAGAGGGAGAGGAAGAGAGAGACAGGGAAAGGGAGAGGAAGAGAGAGACAGGGAAAGGGAGAGGAAGAGAGAGACAGGGAGACGGAGAGGAAGAGAGACAGGGAGACGGAGAGGAAGAGAGAGACAGGGAAAGGGAGAGGAAGAGAGAGACAGGGAGAGGGAGAGAGAACTGAAGCAGTCACTTAAACAGAAGGACAGAGAAGAAATGGTGAGAGACCTCCTGGTTGTGGGGGCTTCCCAGGTCTAGTTCGAGTCAGTTCCTTCCTGCAGTCTGGCCACATGTCTCCTTTGAGGTTTTGCCTGGAATGAGACTCCCTTATATCCTTAGAATAGATTTCTCCATTTTTAAACCTAGTCCCAGCGGGTTTCTGATATTAAAACCAACACACCCAAAAACCTGAGGGAGTTCTCTCCTGCATGCCCACGTTCCACTCCCACCCCAGGCTCCTAGGAACCACCCTGCACTCCACGTGAACGCCCTCCTCCAAAGGCACGCGGGCCTGGAGGCTTCTCCCCAAATGTGCCAAGCCACTTACTCCCCGATTGAAGTCCTCACAGGTTTAGAAGGCCCTTTCTTTGGTTCAATCCCTTTATTAAACAAGGCACCTGCACGTGGCCCGACAACTAGTGATTTCTCTGATTGCACTCTTTTCAAAGGGTGCTTAATGTGCCTGAGGGAGTTTCTCTTGCTTACCCAGGGAATGTGTTCCATTATGATAATTGACATCTGCTGGAATGTTCTGCCAGCCTGGCCCTGGGCTGTACACTTAATATACAATTCCTATCAAGAGGCAATGAGGAGAGGGGGCTGAGGAGGGGGAGGCCCTTTCTTCAGTGGCACCGACTCTCAGCTCTGCCAGCAGTGTGGCCTTCGGCTCCCTCACCTGGGTGATTTGCAAGAGGAGTTTCCTTACAGTATTTATGGCAGCTCAGGGCCAGAAACAGAGTGGCAGAGTGATGGCGAGCCTTACACCCTAGGGCTCTCAAAAGAGGGCTCTCTTTTTGGGTATCTTCATGTTCCTTGTAGGCTATCTGCCTCTTGAGAAGTAAAGAAATGCACCCCCCCACACACACCACTGCCGCCAATTTGAGGCCAGCAAAACTAGTTGGTTAAGGACTGGAGGATGTACAAAAATGAACTTCCAAGTATTACAGCAAACCGGTGTGACCTGGGCAGTTACCATGGCCATCGTTACCGTCTGGTCCTTGCTAGCATGCTTCACAGCCGTGCAAACTCAAGCCCAACCTCAGGAGTCCCTCAATGTGCAGCTCATAAAATGACACGGAAAAGGTTTAGTCAGCTCATTAATTTCACGCAGAGACACACCTGAGCGATTTCACTTAAGAAACAAACACCAAGTTTCAAAAGCCCACAAGACATACCGGTAGATTGCAAATGAAACAAACTTGAGCCTAGGTATTTTTGAACCAAGCAGAAATTTTTCTTTGCTTGCCTGGTCCCGCGCTGTCCAGTGCGAACCCAGCCAGGACTCACAGGTGAGCCTGAGAAGACTCAGTGTCTGCGTGTTCTAGGGGATGTCTCCAGACACTGCCACTCACCTTGGAAAGGTCCACCAGAGTGTTGGCTTGGTCACTCAGCTTCCTCTGTTCCATCTTGACGCTCCTCAACCTGTGGGGAAGAATGGTAACAGGCAAGCCCTTCAAGTCCATGCAAAGGTTTAGCCCCACCAGCAGATCCTCCAGCCCTACCACTGCCTCTGATTTTGGAACCCAGCATGGGGACCGTGAACCTGGGGAACAACTGAGGCTTTTACTTTCCAGGGGCTTGTCACATCCCCCCAGAAAGCAAACTCTTGTCTCCACGCATGCTCACCTTCAGTCACTGGTTTCTTGCTATTCCCAGATCATTTCCCTGCCTCTATGCCTGGGCTGCACCTTCCATGTTGAGTGCCTTATTCTCAACTTTTCAGGGATTCCCCAAACCTCTCCATCAGAATGAATGTTTTCATCCTTTGCTTTTCCACTATACTTTTAAAAACTCCTCCATCACAGAAAGCATCAGCCACGGTTTGTTTTGATTTGAGTTGCAATGCATGGTGTGTGTGATGTGTGGTGTGTGCGGGGTGTGTGTGTGTGTGGTGTTTGTGTGTGGTGTGTATGGTGTGTGTGATGTGTGGTGTGTGCGGGGTGTGTGTGTGTGTGGTGTTTGTGTGTGGTGTTTGTGTGTGGTGTGTATGGTGTGTGTGATGTGGTGTGTGTGGGTTGTGTGTGTGGTGTTTGTGTGTGGTATGTATGGTGTGTGTGATGTGTGGTGTGTGGTGTGTGTGTGGTGTGTGTGTCGTATGTGGTGTGCATGGTGTGTGTGGGGTGTGTGCGGTGTGTATGGTGTGTGTGATGTGTGGTATGTGGTGTGTGTGGTGTGTGGTGTGTATGGTGTGTGTGTGGTTTGTGTGAGGTGTGTGTGTGTGGTGTTTGTGTGTGGTGTGTATGGTGTGTGTATGGTTTGTGTGAGGTGTGTGTGGGGTGTGTGTGTGTGGTGTTTGTGTGTGGTGTGTGGGATGTGTGGTGTGTGGGGGGTGTGTGTGTGGTGTTTGTGTGTGGTGTGTATGGTGTGTGTGTGGTTTGTGTGAGGTGTGTGTGGGGTGTGTGTGTGTGGTGTTTGTGTGTGGTGTGTGTGGGGTGTGTGTGTGTGGTGTGTGTGTGGTGTGTGTGTGTGGTGTGTATGGTGTGTGTGATGTGTGGTGTGTGGTGTGTGTGTGTGTGTGTGTGTGTGTGTGTGTGTGTAGAATGTGAAAGCTCTTAGAGGTTCTTACTCTAGTTTTTACCTTCCATAGCAGCCTGCCCAATTCCTGGCATGTGGCTGGTGCAGTCAGTGAGTGATCAGACCCAGTTCACCACTCCACTTGTTGAGTGGAACAGAATGGATTTCTTCTGTGCTACTGACAGAGTTGTAGGAGTCCCGCCACTCCCAGTCTGGTCATCTGATGGCTGAACCGCTCTGGCATACTCACTGGTGGATAGCTTGGAGGAACTTCCTCTGGTGTTTCCTCACTTTGGCATGGTCAATCTTCTTTAGCAGCTTTGTGTGTTTATAGATTAACCATGTTTCCCGAAGGACATTGGCTGCAGCATTCTTGATCTAAGGAAGAATAAATAAAGTAGGCTGCTATCAGGTTCATTTTCTTAGGTTCATTTTTGTGGTTGCTACTGTAGTCTACCTCATAAGGAAACGATTTTGCAATGATCTATTTTCTTAACCAAAATCACGGAACTCCTAGAAAAGATGATTAAGGCCGGGCACGGTGGCTCCCGCCTGTAATCTCAGAACTTTGGGAGGCCGAGGCGGGTGGATCACCTGAGGTCAGGAGTTCGAGACCAGCCTGGACAACATGGTGAAACCCGTCTCTACAAAAAATACAAACTTAGCCAGGTATGGTGGCACATGCCTGTAGTACCAGCTACTTTGGAGACTGAGGCAAGAGAATCGCTTGAACCTGGGAGGCAGAGGTTGCTGTGAGCTGAGATCACGCCATACTCCAGCCTTGGCAACAAGAGTGAAACTCCATCTCAAAAAAAAAAAAAAAAAGGAAAAAAAAAGGTGATTAAAATTCATCTGTTCTTAATCTTGTGTTGGACACTGCAGACCAGAGCTTGAAGTTGGAGGGTCTTTCTTTCTTTCTTTCTCTTTCTTTCTTCCTTTCTTTCTTTCTTTTTCTTTCTTTCTCTCTTTCTTTCTCCTTCCTTCCTTCCTTCTTTCTTTCTTCCTTCTTGATTATTTCAATACTATCTCTTGACTGCTGTTGCTGATGCTATATTTAGACAGGCTGCATGAGCGAGACCTTGAGTCCCGGGGTCCCCTTGGAAAATAGCTAGCGATATACCATTGCTGCCCTTACATGCAGACTTCCGAGCTTTGCCTGAGATTGCCACTTCGTGTATACGGTACATTGCTTGGGTTCAGAGAGTAAACAGATTTCCTATCAGCTGGAGATTTTAAAAGACTTCTTTGAGAAAATGTCTTTCCCACTGATTGGAACTATAGGTACCAACGAGCCCATTGTCTCCTTTCCCAAATGGCCAAAAACATTTGCACTGCAATTGTACATGTAAATGTAATTGGCACAAAAAAGAAATAATTTCAGAGCAATGTCTGAAAATCAGTGAAGATATTTAGGTGTGAAACCAGAGCTTCCTCTTCCCCAGGGCTGGCTCCTTCACTGTGCACTGCAATCACACGTTTCAACATATGACGCTGTCATCCATTGACATGGAAACCACTGATATCACCAGGCTCATGACTGAGCTGAGACATATCAATGGCATCCAGATGGCAGGGGACAAAGTTTTAATCCAAACACAGACATCTTCAGCAATTAGTAACAAGAGCAACAGAAAACATTCCTTATTAAGCACATGCTAAGCAGATTTTTGATTAACCATCCCCATTTCTGTCAGCCATGCAGACTGGCATGTGTCCACAGGCCTGGGGCCTGGAAATAAGTAGGCCAGCCTAATAGAAATCAGGTTACTAGCCAGAAAGGATTTTAATAAAATTAGAGAATATAGACCTGCTTCTTCAGACTGACATCAACAGATGGGATGTTGTTAAAATACTGAGATGTGTGGGAAGCCTAGGAAACATTGTTTTGCAGGCTGATAACTTTTGTGTGTGTATGTTTTAAAAATTTATTACTAAGGCTGGATTATATTTTTCATTGGCGCTGAAGTGATGTTTTTAAAAGAACAGCTAAGTCTTCTCAGAAATGTCTAAGGGACATAAATATTGCTTTTTAAAAATTCAGTAAAGATCTGCTGTGAAAATAGTTTTAAATGACTTAACTGCCCACCTCTAGTACTTTCTTGCCTGAAAGGAAGCAGGTTGTGGTGGAAAGTTGGAAACGGTGGATGTCCAGGAGAGGACACTGTGGTCTCTGGGCTTCTGCTCAGGGAACTAGAGTGAACAGCAGCCTCCTGGCAAAAAAGGCGGCACGGAAGGGAAGCCTTGCTCTCTGCAGAGCACACATTTAATACTACTGCCCTCCTCTTGCAGGGAGAGGAGGCAATTGGATGTGTCATTTCTTCAGTTTCCCTACGCACTTAGCCTCTTAGGAAAGCCTCAAGGAAACTGGAAAGTCTGCAGGTGAATCCCTGCTCTGTCAATTATTAAGCAGTTTAGGAGCAAATGCTTCATTATCTGTAAGATGGGAAAAATAAAGAGGGCTGCTATGAGGCAGTGATGATGGTGCTGGGGGCAACACTTAACATCTACCAGGTGCAGCCACAGGTCTGAGTACTTCATATGTCTAAGCTCCTTTAATCCTCACCACAACCCCATCAGGGAGGTGCTAACATTATCCACATTTTACAGATGAAGAAACCAAGACACAGACCAAGACTAGACAATTATTAATGGCAAACTGAGTCAGTGTGGGTGTGAATGCTACATAAAATGTAAAGTACCATACAGATATTAGTTAATATTATCTAGCTCAAACCCCTCATTGAACATACGAGGAAACCACTTCAGAGATGGGATGTGAGAGCCAGAATCACACAGCTAGCTAATGGCAAAGTCAAAACAAGAGCCACGTCCAGGAAGAGCAGAAGGTTTTCATGTGGACTGAAGGAAAGACAAACAAAATCATTTCCTGTTTTCCAGGATCAAGGAACTGGAAAGAGCACTGGATTTTTTTTTTTTTTAAATCATCATGGCCCTCACTTAGCAATGTGACAGAACACGGAGTCCAGGTCCTGCACTTAACGTCAGCCCAAATGTAAGATACTGAAGTCACAGCACGGCCCGGGTAGCTGAGAGAGGCAGTCACATCATCTTTATGAGTTTGGAGGGAGGCCTCCGTGCATTCGGGAAAGTGATGTTAACTGCCAGCCCTTGCACTGACTCTGAAATTAATTACCAGCAAACAGCCTGGCACAAAGCTAAGTAGATCAATATCTGCGAGAGAAAAAGAAATAGGCTTTTAACTGCACTGTGCTTTCCCAGGTGGACAGTAAATGCTATTGTGGCCAGGGTCTCCCTCCAGTTCACCTGGCTGATTGATCTAAGCATTGTTGGGGTCGGGAGCACATGAGGTCATGTGCCCTTCCTCAGATTTGCCGAGCCTCCAAAGGGCTCCATGCACCCTTCCTTGAGGGAGGCTTGGGTACCACCTGACCTCTCCTGGTGGGCAGAGGCACCAGGGCCAAAAGATGCTCTCAGGGTGCAGCAGTGCGAGAGGGCAGGGCTTAAGATGAAAGCAGCAAGCCAGAAAGAGTGGCTCAAGGTTGGCCACAATCGGATGGGTTTGGGGATGGTTAGGAGAGGACCCTTTGTGAATGGAAGTCCAGCTGTCCTGCCTCCAAAACCCATAAACAAATTGGCTGATTGTTTTCTGCAAGCCCAAAAACTCTCTACCAAAAAATTGCTTTCACTCTGATTGGGGCCAGACAATGGGCTCTATGATCTACTTTAGGAAAGGCTCTAAGATTAATGGGCCTGGGCAAGAAAGTGGTCCAATGAAGACCTTGCAAATTATGGTGACAGCTAACATATACTGAGTGCTTACTACGTGCCAGGCTTTGTGCTAAGCACATATGTCTGCACTGGTTCATTAACCCTCAGAAAAACTTGATAAATAGACGTGATCATCAGCTCCACCTTGGACCCACTGCTGAACTCTCTGAGACTCTCTTTGTTCATACATTTGAGGAACAATTAATGAGCACCTATGATGGGCCAGACATTGTTGTAGCAAGTGACGGTACCACAGTGAACAAATCAATAACATTGCTGCGCTTACGGAACTTACAATCCTGCGGAGAAGACGGTATGCAGTTTGTATGATAGCATCAGGTAACAAGCGCTTAAAAAACCACAACAACAAAGCAGGGTCCAGGGCTAGAGAGTGATGCAAGTACTACCTGCATCTGTGAAATGGGATTACTGTGTTGATTAAATGAGAATATACTTAAAACATTAGCACAGATCCTGGCCATATGCCTCAATACATGGTACCTTTGTTAATATTCTCTCCTTCCAATAAATGTCAGCTTCCTTCCCTCTAACTTCCCCAGCCAGCAAGAAAACATACAACAGAACACACACCTCTTCCTTGAGCTCTTGGCCGCAGCATCCCATGTCAATGACTTGCTCTGGCCACCTCTCTGCCCAGGTAACCTGCTACTTGCTATTACAGAGGGGCTGTCGGTTGCGGCAAGAATGCTTGGGGCAGGAGTACAAGGGGGATGAAAGGAGCACCTTTCTTGGGCACCCTAAGCCTCCAGCAGCCCCAGGAGCCCTGGGAAATTCCAGGGGTCCCATTAGCAGAGCCCCCCAGAGAAGAAATCACTAGCATGCCCATTATGCTGCCAGGAACCCTTGCCAGGGAAGTATTCTACTTGGAGGTTGGAGACGGGGAAAGGGAGGCCTGGCCGGTGGGTGTGATTTAAATACACACATCTTGGACAATTTCTTCAGTGTGTGAACATCACAGAGTGTACTTAAACAAACCTAGATGGGACAGCCTACTACACACCTAGGCTGTATGGTATAGCCTATCGCTCCTAGGCTACAAGCCTGTATGGCACATTCCTGTACTGTAGGCCACTGTAACACAAATCACTAGGGGAGAGGAATTTTTCAGCTCTGTTATAGCCTTCTGAGACCACCTTGGTATATGTGCACCATCATTGACTGAAACTTGTTATGCAGTGCATGACTGTAACTTCAAGGAGTTACACAGGTTGAAATTAGGCTGAGTGATGATCAGATCACTATCGGAGAACCTGCAAGCCAGCCCTTGACTGAAGGTGTCCATTACACACAGGACTAGAGAAGGGGGCTGGTTCCTCTTTCCCATTTGCCAAGCCCACTCTCCCCTCATCACCACCCTGCAGACTTGCTCTGGCTTCCCCGGCTGCCCTCTCTTTCATCACCCTGCTTGCACCTCCTCTTTTTCCTCCCCCTGTTCTATTCCACACTCCCTTTACAGGCTTCTCTGCCTGCCTCACCCAGAGGCCCTCACTGACCACTTAGAACTGGGAGCTCCACCTCTCTGGCTGGCAGGAAATTGGGTAGAGAGAGAGGAGGTGTATTTCCGTTGTTCAGAGTTGGAGCTTGAGGTTCTCCCTGTAGCAATATGGTAATGGGTGGTGGATAATTCTATAATGCTATTTATGTGATACTCAGTTAGGGTGGAGTTAAGCTGGCTTTTCTTTTCAGCAGGTCTGGGACCCTAACCCCATGCTGAGTTCCAAGGAACTGACCGCCCTAAAGCTGCCTGCCTGATGGTCTGAGAGCAAAGTGGATCTTGCATAGGCCGGGGGCCCACCCTCGCCCCTTTCTGGGCCTTCGTCTTCTCATGTGGGTTGGAGTGGCTCTTCCCTAAGGGTCCTTCCAGCTTAAACGCACATTGTTTCTGTGACTATTGCTAAAGAAAACCTGCACCCAATCTGTCTGGGACAGAACCTTGTGCGTGATGTAATTTATAATCCTCTTCTGGGGAGAATTAGCATTCCTGATAACTGCCCTATTGATTATCTGATCCATTGTAAAGACTTGAAGACTTGTTCTGGAAATCCACTGTTGAGCCCAACCAGCTGTCCATTAGCAGTCTTTAGCTAAACCTTCTATAATCTGGCATAACAATGACTACCATTGTTTTTCCTACGAAATACCACTACTAAGAGTAATCTTTGAATTAGCCTGCTGAAGAAAATTTTCTTCTAGCAAGATTATGATCAAACTTTGGCATATGCTTGTAATTAAAGAAAAGTTTTCTTCAGTGTCATTCAGGAGATAGTAGGTGGGGAAACTACTTAAAGGTTTTTGAGCAGGAAGTAATTTGTTCAGAGCTAAGCCTGAGAGTCTAAGGAGATCCATGGGGAAGCAGAGTGCAGGATGACTGGGGTAAGGGACGCCGAAGTGAGGAGAGCAGGTAGCAGGCTGCTGTGATAGTGCGAGACAGAAGATGGCGGCTTCAAGAGTGGCGGGGCCGAGGCCCTGGAGAGGCGGGCATGCGTGAACAGCCACGGCAAGGTGAAATCAGACACAGAAAGTGCTCAGACCCTCGTGGGGTCCAGGGTCCAGAGGAGTCAGAAATGGGGCTAAGTCTTTAGGCCTGGCGTCTGGAAGAACACGATGTCAGGAGCACACCAGGGAAGTTAGGAGAAGGAAATAGTTTAGGGAAGTTGTGGGTTTAATTTTGGTCTTATTCATTGAATTCATGGGGAAGTGTACTTGGGTGAGCTACTTGGGGCAAGAAACCCCTGCAGCAAGAAGGAGATAGGATCCTTAGCACACTGTGCTGTCTGAAGGTTCTGCTCACTGTGGCTTGATGTGGAGAGTAGGTACCGCAAAGAAAATATCTCCGGTCCATGGTGCCTCCCAAGCCAAGTGTGTCCATAGCAGCCCACTCTGCCTTTTTTTTCTTTTTCTTTCCTTTTTTTTTTTTTTTTGAGATGGAGTCTCACTCTGTCACCCAGGCTGGAGTGCAGTGGCACGATCTCAGCTCACTGTAACCTCCGCCTCCTGGGTTCAAGCAATTCTCCTGCCTCAGCCTCCCGAGAAGCTGGGATTACAGGCACCCACCACCATGCCCGGCTAATTTTTTGTATTTTTAGTAGAGACGGGGTTTCACCATGTTCGCCAGGCTAGTCTTGAACTCCTGACCTCAAGTGATCCGCCCACGTCGGCCTCGCAAAGTGCTGGGATTACAGGCGTGAGCCACCGCACCCGGCCCACTCTACCTCTTATAAGAAGAAGTGCTCTCTGAGGGCAGTCAGCCACCAGAGGTTAGGGATGGAGGTGAGGACCACCTCTTACCCATCTTGGTGCCCCCAGAGTACAGAGTGTGGCACCCAGGGAGTGGCCTCTGTGATGGATCTGTTTAGCTACATAAAACAGAAAGATGGGGACATGAAAACACTAAGTGGCAGAAAAGATGGGGCTCTAGTATCTTTCTTCCAGTCCCTCTGTGAATCATGTACTTAAATATTATCTAGTAGCCCAGAGATTAGCAATAAGTTATAATTACAGAATAACAATGGCAGTGACACTGCGAAGTCAGTGTGGGAAGATCTGATTGAATTAAATACAGAAATGACGTTGCCACCAGAGTTGATAAGTCATACGAGGAAAGAAGATAAGCATGGGACTCAAGAAAAGCAGAAATTGAGTTCTTACCCAGTGCTATCAGACCCTCTTCCCTCCCTACAAACAAATAAATAAAAATAGTGCTGGCTCTCATGGCAAAGGCTAGGCTGCAGTCTTTAGAGCAAGACAGGATGAATAAATACTAGAACAATTTGAGTATTTTCTATGATTAATAGCTACAATTCCTTTTTTCGTTTTGCGTAGGTCTTTGAAGCATCAAGGTTGCATATACCGGTAAGAGACTGCTTTTATCTGTCAAATCTACTAATTGCCCACTCCGAAGAGGTTGCAATTATGCCACAGTCAACTCCTTCATGTTGGATCTTTCTCTGAGAATTCACTGAGATGTTATGAATAGACTGAGCTTAGCATTTTTTTTTTTTTTTTTTTTGAGATGGAGTCTCGCTCAGTTGCCCAGGCTGGAGTGCAGTGGCACGATCTCGGCTCACTGCAACTTTCGCCTCCCAGGTTGAAGCGATTCTCCTGCCTCAGTCTCCCGAGTACCTGGGGCTACAGGCACGTGCCACTACGCCCGGCTAATTTTTTTGGATTTTTTTTTAGTAGAGACAGCGTTTCACTGTGTTAGCCAGGAAGGTCTCAATCTCCTGACCTCCTGAGCCATCTGCCTCGGCCTCCCAGAGTGCTGGCATTACAGGCATGAGCCACCGCGCCCGGCCAAGAGCTTCTAAGGATCATGTCTGAGAGTGAGTATTTCTTTTTTTTTTTTTCTTTTTTTTGACAGAGTCTTGCTCTGTTGCCCAGGCTGGAGTGCAGTGGTGGGATCTCGGCTCACTGTAAACTCTGCCTCCCAGATTCAAGCGATTCTCCTGCCTCAGCCTCCTGAGTAGCTGGGATTACAGGTGTGTGCCACCACGCCCCACTAATTTTTGTATTTTTAGTAGAGTCAGGGTTTCACCATGTTGGTCAGGCTAGTCTCGAACTCCTGACCTCATGATCCACCCACCTCGGCCTCCCAAAGTGATGGGATTACAGGCGTGAGCCACCGCACCCGGCTGCTTAGCATCTTCTTGACCAATGAGCCACTCCAGCTTGATACAATGGACCATTTCAAGAGGACAGAAGGCAGGCCAGGCATCCCCAGGGGAAGAGAGGTGGGGTTCTCTTGTGAGCAGGTCAAAGTCAGCTCAAACCAGAGCAGGCCAAGGATGCACACATCCAGTTTCATTTCAATTAAGGTTATGTAAAAGAACCTTCAGAAGTTCTAGTCCTGCCAGCTTTGAAAACCTTCTCTCTGTAAGAACCATCCCTTCTGTGTTGTTTATTTCCTTGAGAAAAGATATTAGATATTAAAGAGACATTTCAACAGATTTAAGTGTTCTCAGAAAAGTGAGATGTTATTCGATTAAAAAGCTACCTTAGATTCATGGGTGAGCAATAAATATTTGTTGATTTGATTTTCAGTCCTACTTTTCAAGAAGTGGAATTGAGGAGGATGTTAGGGAATCATTTTTGAAAGATTAAAATTAGCAACCACAGTCTCATCTTCTACAATTATATTGCAGAAAAATTGTTTATTTTCCTGGCATACAAAGGAGCTGGCTTTCCTCAGCTTTATTTTCCTCTAGCGTCTGATCTACTTGGTGAAAAATGGAGAGGACAAAGGAATAACACCAAATACAAAGAATATTCTTGGCTTAAAAAAGAAAACCAGAATAAACAGAGAGACTGCTAATGTCTCTACTCTTGGTAAACAGCTTATGAGAAGGCTTTGGAGGCAAAACATCTCCCTGCCCTCACTCCGGCACGTAGTTTCAATCCAGTGAAACCTCAGTAAATTGCTTCAGGAAAATAGATGCAAGTGGATTTGCATTTAGGTGTTTCAATAACTTGAATAATTTCCTCAATACTGAGCATGACTTTTGCACCCATTATTAGAGGGGGCTGAAAGAGAGTGGCCAAGTGGCAGGGTTCCCGGCAGGCCTTACTGTGATAACAGCCTTCAATCACTGCCATCGTGATGTGACAAATCATGGCTTTTTTTGGTGCAGCTGATAGCTCAGGGCCATGATGTATCAAGTACAAACACTTGAATGTCAACAACATAAGAATATTTGCCCGTACCAGTTCCTTTTAATGTCTGTTAAGGCTCTTTACAGAATCCAATAAATGTAATCAAAGACCAAACAATCAAACACCATAAATAATTCTGCTGAGAAACTGGAGAGGCCTTGGCCGCTGCACACTCTCCCACTGCCTTCCCCAAGAGCTCGCTCGCAGCTCCCTCTGTCATTCTCTCTCTCTCTCTTTTTGTTCTTCCTTCCTGCCGTTGTCTCTATTTCTAACACATTTTTGCTGCTGTGCAACATTAATCACTGAATATTTTCTCTAGCTTTCAAAAACCCAAATCAAAATTTGGTTGCTCATGGGTCCCTTAACCTACTTCAGTCCTAAATGAAAAAGACTATGGAGGCCGAGACACGGGCACAGGGTTTTAATTCTGTCTCGTCTCAGAAAGAGGACAGTCTTGCAGGAAATCATCTTACTGACCTTCCTTCAGGCTGTAGTTCTAAAGAATTTTCCATAAAAGCTGTCCTTGAATAAACAGCTCCTGCCTTGCCCATTTGGCCTGCTGTTATTCTGGAAGGCTTGTATCTGTCTATTCTAAATGGGTCTTTTCATCTCAGACAATTCAGTGGGGTGTCCAACTTTCAGCAGCTAAATGGTCTACCCATTCCTGCATATTTTCAGATTTTCATCTTCCATAACCACTTCCATAATGGTTCAAGTGAGAAACATTACCCGGAAAACCCAAAAGGGAAAAATTGGATGATGATGTTTTGATGAACAATTTTATTTAGGGATGTGGGCTCTACTAGAATGATTCTTTTTTTTTTTTTTTGAGATGGAGTCTTGCTCTGTCGCCCAGGCTGGAGTGCAGTGGCGCGATCTCGGTTCACTGCAACCTCCGCTTCCTGGGTTCAAGTGATTCTCCTGCCTCAGCCTCCTGAGTAGCTGGGATTACAGGTGACTGCCACCACACCCAGCTAATTTTTGTATTTTTAGTAGAGACGGGGTTTCACATGTTGGCCAGGATGGTCTCGATCTCTTGACCTCATGCTCCGCCCGCCTCGGCCTCCCAAAGTGCTGGGATTACAGGCGTGAGCCGCCGCTCCCAGCATAGAATGATTCTTTAAATGATTTTTTTTAAAGGATTAGACTTAGGTACATTTTCAATATACTTTTATAGTTTTAGGTATATTTTCAATATAGTTTTGCCCTTCCTAATGAGAATCCTGAAAATATTTGAGCATAAACAAAAAACATTGCCTCATACCGTGATTTATTTGGTATCATCAGGCAAAGGGGCAGGTTATACCATTGTAGGCTATTAATTAAATTACCAGGAAAATTATTTGGCTGCCTGAACCATGCACAGTGATCGAACAGAAGACAGGAACCCGGCGTATGAAGGTGCTGTTTCCATTTTGTGTCTGGGGTTCCCTCAAACACACCCTTTAAAAGCCTGGTGCAAACCCATACGACATGACCATTTGCTTCCTTCCTTCCTTCTTTTTTTTTTTTTTTTGAGATGGAATCTCTCTCTGTCACCCAGGCTGGAGTGCAGTAGTGCGATCTCGGCTCACTGCAACCTCCGCCTCCCAGGTTCAAGCAATTCTCTTGCCTCAGCCTCCTGAGTAGCTGGGACTACAGGTGTGTGCCACCATGCCCAGCTAATTTTCTGTATTTTTAGTAGAGATGGGGTTTCAACGTATTAGCCAGGATGGTCTTGATCTCCTGACCTTGTGATCGACCCTCCTCAGCCTCCTAAAGTGTTGGGATTACAGGCGTGAGCCACTGCACCCGTTGGACCATTTGCTTTCTGATTGGCTTCCACTGTGGCCTTAAGTCCCCCATAAGACATGGCTGTGTGGCATCTTACCCGCTTGGTGAGCTGAGTGTCCATCATGAAGTTATGAACGTGCTTCTCCGCTTTGGTGAGTTCCAGCTTTCGGGCCACCACGGCCACCACAAGGGCAGTGCAGCCTGCACCCTGCGGGGGGACATCAAGAGGACCAGAGGGGAAAGAACATATCATTAAGAGGCAAGATGAGAGACTCAACACGCCTGGCGGCCACGGGGGTAATTTCCTGGGAGTGGAGTGGGAACTTGAGCTCTCTGGCTGGTCACGACCAAGCCACAAAAATCTGTTGAAATCTGTCAGGACTCTGATGTCCTGACCCACAGAGGGGTCTGCAGTGCCTCTTGGGTTGTGCTCTGCAGCTGACCTCTGGGAGGCTGAGCTAGCCAGTTTCAATGGAGAAGGATGCTGGGTGGCGCCGAGGCTTTGGGGGGTTTAACCAACAACTAAGCACCTGGTCAGCTGCCAAGCTGTGCAGCGGAAGACAGAGGGGCCAGCACACACGGGCCCTCTCTCCCTCAGGCAGGTCTCCATCCCACTGCCAGCTCTAGACCAGCAGGCCTGGGAGGAAAGAAGGTAGGCCATCAGCTGGGGTGCAGATGGAACACCTGCCAGTGGCTGAGAGTGTTCCTGAAAATAATCGAATGAAGAGGCAATACCTTTCCCCAGGGCTTGTTTCACAGAGGGCACCCAGGTTGGCACGAACACGTGCACTCAGTGACTGTGCCTGCTCTACACTTGGGCTTTTTCACCTCAAGGTTTACGCTATGACTCAGCACAAGGAATCGGTTCCTTCCTGCCTTCACCAGGAGGCTCATGAATTCACCGTCATGCAGAGATTTTAAAGACAACACCACTTCTGCTGGATCAAAACCGGGATTTTAAGTGAGCCCGCAGCAGACCCTTGGGATTTTCTGGAACAGCGATCCTAGTCTGCTCGGTAGGTCCGTGCCAGGGGAGCCCGGGGGAGGGTGGGCAAGGAAGCAGGCTCTGCTGAGCCCCCAGAATGGTGGGACTCACTTTCTCTCTCCTAATCCTCTGGGTGCATACTTGACTGTCTGGGAAATAAGCAGGGAATTCCCTGCACATTCCAACATTCTCCCAATGCATTTTAAAATCCTCTTCGCTAGGCTTCTTGGTTGGCTTGTGAGCATAGGGGGAATTCAGAGACTCACTACTCCCCTGGCTCTTCGGCAGGCAGCGGGAGTCAGCTCCATCCTTCTGCAAGCGGACTCCCGTCAGAGACCATCGCCCTCTGCCTGCATGCTGTGCCCTGCGCCGCCCTGACCACCACTCATGGAAAGAGATGATGAACTTATTAAAGCCAACAACCGAATCCTGTATGTCAAACAGTAATTCTAGTTGCCACAGAACCCAGTCTAGCAGTTGAGGTCCCAGAATGGAAGGAATCTGTCAGTAACATTTTTGGCTCATCAGGTCTTACAAAATGTGTGAGAAGCAGAAAAGAATGTTTTTCAAAGGTACTATAATCTATAACCGACTTGGAAGGAATGCATATGGGTGGATCCATTCCCTACTCTCTCTTTTAGAAGCTATTTCTCTCTTTATCCCACAGGCTGACAAAGGCTAGCCTGTGTGAAGTTTCAATGTGGTTGAAGTTCACAATGCTTTCTCCTCGTTTCCCACAAGGGTCCCCATTAAAACAATCTAGTGTTTCTCAGTACATTTGTTGGCCTTGTCACAAAGTGAAAAGAACCAAGTCTGTGTGAACTTTCCTTTTCTGACCTCATTTTCCTCTTTTGTTCGAGGACGGCTGTGTTTTTTCAGCTTCTGTGACTTACAGGAGACTCTGTGCCCAATTTTCAAAGGATCTGGGCAGTTGCACAGCCTGGTCTGTAGCTGTAATCAATTTAGCCATGCCTCCAAAAGCAAAAAATAGCTTAAAAGAAGCCATCCTAGAGGGAAGATGTGTGCTCCCTTCCCCTCGACCGGACGGAGTATCATCCCTCTCCTTTATATGGAGTTCCAAAAGTACTTTGGGCTGAAAGCCCAAAAAGAGGGCTATATCATAGCGTTAAAAATGGAACATCAGATGGAGAGGGTTCTCCCCAGGTTCCATTCTCCCTCCTCTCGCTAGGCCCAGGCAAAACTCTACTTAAATCATCCCTGAAAGCTGGGGTCCAATAGGCCTGAAGAGGGAGCTTCCCTGTTCCATGCTATTTTGGGAATGTAATCACAACAATCAATCATCCACCATTCCAAATTTCCAGGGTCTAGATGGGGTGTTTCACAGCGCTTGCCATGGCCCACATTTTAGCTGGCTGATTGCAGGGGGGGCTTTTAATGAGAAGCTAGAGTGTTTTATCTAATGAACCACCTGTCTCACATGATGAAGATAAATTTCTCTCTGGAGGCAGGACAGTGGACTAGATGACACTTCCCAGTTTCTTTCAACATAGAGATGTTATGACTCCCTTGTGAGTATTCCTCTAGAGGATGCTGCATTCTTAACCCTTAATTCCAACTTAAATGGATGCTCTCAGCTTCATTTTTCCATTGACTGGATGTAATTAGGGCAGTCACCAGTAATGACACCTAACCTGGTCTTTTCCATTAAGAGGCAACCTAATAAAGATGGGGCCAGACATCAGCAGCCTTCATAAAGTGGTGGAGGAATCCTGAAGCCTAGACTGCTGAGCCTCTGCAGACTGTGCGGGGTGCGGGGCGGGAAAATGAAGAAGGGAGAGAAGACAATAGAACAGGAGGGGAGGGGAGGAGAGAGGAGAAAAGAGAAGAGAAGAGGAGAAAAGAGAAGAGAAGAGAAGAGAAGGTGGGTGCAGGGAGAGGTAAAGCTGGGCAGAAAATGAGATGGGGAACAAGTTGCGTTGCATCCTAAACAGCAAGGGTCAAGGGGGGAAAGAGAGAAGGAGGAGGCTGAAGAATAAGAAAAAATGATGGGCTGATGGGATTGAGAGAGGAAGGAAGAACAAGGAGCCTAAGGCTTGAGCCAGAAGTCAATGGTCCATTTTGGCCCTTTAGAGGACATGAAGGAAGTGCCAAGGGATCCCACCCTGCTGTGTCCATCTTCAAGTGGTATAAGGATTGCCTGTCCCCTGGGTCCCCTTTGGGATGCTGGGCCCTTTCACTTAGGTGAGTTAATAGTCTGACAGGCCACAGTGGCAGCCTGGCAGTGCTGTGTCACATGGCAGTGATGCAGGTTAGTTTTAAGAGACAAATCACCGAGGGCCTGGCTAACTGTGGAATCTTTGAAATGGCTGGTGGGTAGAGGGGGTGTGTGAGGAGGGAGGAAGCAGGATGGGAAAGGGTAAACAGCTGCTGCTATGACTTCCCTGGGGTCAGACTGGGGGGAAGAGCCATGACTCAGCCTTTTGCTTTCAGATATGCCAAGTCCTGAACCACAGGGGACATCAACTGGAGTCCCTGGATGTGCTCTGTCCAACTTCCAGTTCCATGGGGCGAGGGGAGTGGATGGGGTCCACTTCTGATGAGCTGGAACTTCCCAAGGCACGTGGGCGAGAGGGAGCACCGAGTGCATGGAGAGAGGGTGGCTGGGACGGGGTGAACACGCCTAACTCTAGAGATTCGGACCCAAATCTGGACCGAGACTCCTCCACACCAGTCCTCCCACCTCTTGTTTTCAAGAAACATTTTCCAGCTGGAAAACCTTAGAAGCTGGAAAAACAAGTATCCCAAGGGGAAAAGTATGAGGTGTTCTTAACTAAAGAAGCATAAAATAAAATAAAACACAAATGAAAGTGACAAATGGAGGAGGGAAGCCTGGAGGATTTACAGTTGGATTCTGTTTCTGCAACAGATTCCATGCAACAACTAAAATAACATCAATTGGTTTGAAACCAAGGTGTTTCGGGAGAAGCTCATCTTCTAAAACTGACATTAAGCAGATGTCTTGCTGAGCCCTCTTTTTGCCTCCTCCCGAAATGACTCAATTTGTGCTACCTTTTACTTCATCATCACTTTCCCTTGGCAGTTCAGAGGCATCTCTCATGAGGCCATTGGGGAAAAGCTCAGCGTCCCTGCAGATATCCAGAAGCTTTTGCCTGTTTGTCCATAACTGATGAAGGGTCTACAGAGAGAGTCCAGCTTTAGAAAGAGGCTAGATTGAAACAAAGTTATGCCAAGCAGCCTTGGGGGCTTTGGGGTCTTCCAGATGCCTACAGAATCAGAAGGTCAGCATTGCACATCTTTTAGGTTGCACTGTCATTTCCAATTCTGGATACTAAATATTGACAGCTTTCTCTCTACTGTGTTGTCACCATGATCATGAAAAATCCTTATGGAAAGATGCTGGACTTTAATGTAGCTGCTTTTGTGGGTGAAATCTCTCAAACACACCAGGTCTGTGCCAGCCATGGCAAGTTGTTCAGACAATTATATACCCTGCTTAATGGTTGATAATTACATTGTTACTGGGATTGCCAAGAGAAAACAATGATTAAGACTATTTACAGGCCACACACACACAAATCCTTCCTTTCCCTTCCCAAGCAGGCCTTGCCTTGGCCTTCCTGGTGTCCATGGTAACCAAACAGGAAGCCCTACCTTTAGTAAAGGCACTTGCAATAATAATTGGGAGCTATACATAGTGTTGGGAGGTTGGGAGGAGGAGGGGAAAGGATCCTCAGCAAAGTGAAACCCTGGCTAGGAGTGACTCAGCTAGAAAAATCACATTTGTTAGAAAAATGCCACCAGGGTTCCTCACTGTGGCTGACCCCAGAGTGAGGCGACTGACTTTAATTTGGGTGAAAAACACTGACAATAAATAGAGGAAACCTCCCTGTTCCTGTATATAGAAAGGTGTATATTTATGCACAGGGTTTTGTACAAAAAGAGATGAAAGGCCTGGGCTGTATTTTTCATATGGAAGGTGGGAATTGGCTCCTCATCGTCCGTTTCTTCTTTCCACTTTGATCACACCTCAATCCACAGGGAACAGAACGCTCTCTCTGGGGGAGCACTGCACACCCAGACAGCAAAAGGGGGTGCTGAAAGACAAACAGCCTCCGGACCCCAAAGAGAGGCAGGGGTGGGGCCAGGGTCTCGCCTGTTCCGCTCAGCTGTGCCAGAGTAGAGCCAGGAGATGCGGAGTCCAGGAACCAGGAAGCCAGGTCTTTGGGGTGCTGCTTCTTGGATGGGGACAGCTATGTGCTGAGAGGGGAAAAGGTCGGTATTTTAAAATAACAGAGGCTCCCGGCAGGGCCCATCCACCTACTGGCAACCCTGCTCTGTGCCAGCCCTGGCTGAGAGCTGGTTCTGAGGCACAAAGCCCCAGGAGTGACTCTAAGAAGGAAAGATTTGGCCTTCAGTGGCATTTCATTCCTTTCTGGTAAGAAGCGTCTTTCCCCGGTTTCCTCGTGACAGTTGGTGCTATGCCAAGACAGACTCCTACTAACCGATGGGAGGTATTTGTTCTAAAGCCTTGCACTTACCCGTGATTTATCACAACCCCAGCGCTAAGCTTTTTGTCATTAGCTGCTGTCGTAGGACCTGCCTGCTAATAGGGACCTGCCCTGGACTGGAGTCAGAAAGGAGGAGAGAGCCTGGCCCCTCCTGCTCAGCAGGCTGACTGCCCCAAGCCTGGGTCTGACCGTCTGGTCCACCAATATCAGCCCCAGGAAGCCAACAAGACGGAGTGGGGTGGGGAGTGGGGGCAGCCCCCAGCCGCTGTGAGGCGTTCACTCAGACCCTGCAGGAAGACCTGCGGCCCTCCCTTTGCACTGCAGAAAGGGGTCACTGCCCTTCCAGAAAGAGGGTCTTCATCTCTTCTGGAGGCAACGGGGGTGACAAATGGAATCTGAGGGATCACTGCAAGGAAGGATTTTCACAAAGGTGTGAGGGGGGCTGTGGACGGGGGGCTGTCCTTGGGAGGGTTGCGGTCTCCAGCCATGGAGACCCAGAGCCACACCACAAGCAGCCTGACCACTTCTCACCCCGCCACCTCCCCCAACACTACCCAGGCTTAGATGTGCTTTCCTCTTTCAGCCTCAGTTTCCTCCTCTGAAAAAAGTGTCCAACCCTGGTCTGACACTGTTCTAGGATTCCAGGACGAAGGCCAAAGAGCAGCAGCTGCCTGTCCTGGACCCAAAGTGCAATGAGGCCCAGGGAACACTTCACCAATTTGCAACTGAAGGACACTGAGGACACCACCAACACTGACCTGTGTGTGGCCGCTTCTCGTTTTCAAAGCACTTTAACATAAATCATTGCATTTGGTCCTTGCACAAACCAATGGGGAGGGCAGGGCAGGCCCTCCATCTCCACTTTCCCCTGGAGGATGCTCAGGTCCAATATGCAGAGTGCCTGGCCCAGGGTCCACAGTGAGCAGAAACTCAGACCCCACATCCCTCTCATAAGCCACACTGTGATGGCCATGTGACAGGTGAGAGTGTGTGCCTCCGCGAGAGTGTCGAGTGTGGGTGGTAGGGCACTGGGCAGGAGAGATACACCTTGAAAGGGCACGGCACACCTGCTGGGCACCTGGAGATGGGATCACAGCCTTGCCAAATGCCAGTGCTGCAAAGCACTTGGCACTCAGAGCCCAGCCCCTCCATAGGCAGAGGTGGAAGCAGAAGCCTGGGAAAGGCAAGAGCCAGCCCAGGGCCATGTGGACAGCCCCGTCCAGGACTCAGGTCCCAAAGGCCGACTCAGTGCTCTTTCCCCAGTCCCTGCTTCTGTGAGTTCCAGCTAAACATGATCAGAAATGGTGCCAAGGTCAGTGGGACCAAGGCAACAGGAAGGAGGACAATAAACTGCAAGCTCCAGTGCTCACTGGAGGTGAGCAAACTGGGTGGCTGCACAGCAGTGGGGTGGGCATCAGAGCATTGGGCCAGGACCAGCTTCACCCAGCCCATTTTGAGGGAGCTGTGAATAGACCATTAACTGCCAGGAGTCCAGGTCTCATTCTTACCTTAGAAAAGTTAACTGAAAAGTGAGAAACCATTGCAGATTTCCCACCTGACATTTTATGTGTAGGGGACACACATGCAGGTCGGTTAACTAACAGCCACCCCCCGCTCTGCGGCTAGGAAGGCCCCTATGTGCTTGCAAGAAAGAGTTCAGCTCTTTGCCACATTTTAAGGGTAGGGAATGGGGAGAGGCGGGTACTCACCATGATGCCAGTGAGGAGACAGACACCTTTCCCACAGTATGTGTGGGGCACCATGTCCCCATAACCAATGGAAAGGAATGTGATGGAGATGAGCCACATGGCACCCAGAAAGTTACTAGTTACGTCCTGCTGGTCATGGTACCTGCCAATGGGAAGACAGGAGTTAGTCGATGAACAGCCATTCCTGGGAGTAAGGGCTGTGGGCAAACCTAGAGCGGGGAAGGAAATGAGATATTTTGCTGAGGAAGAGGCAGCAGTGACGGTGGCTCACACAGATCTCTTTAGGCTACTGAAGGGGCTGCAACTGTGCCCACCCAGGTCCCACCTGCAGCCCCCCGTCCCGTTGGCCTCCCGCCATGAGCTTGGTCCCAGAGATAAAATGTTTTGTCATGATTTGCACCTCATTGTAGACATCCTTTTAGTGTTGGTAAGATAGCTTTGGATGAAATCATGCAGTAATAAAATTCAAATTTTCCCTTCCAAGCCGACAGTCTAAATGTATGTGGATGTGATTAATCTGAAATCACAAGCTCCTGAACAGGGAAAATGTCAAAAAAAAATTACCAAACATATTCAGCGATTTCCTCTAAGAAAGTTGAAGCATCTCAAAGACTGGCATCTCCCGGGGGTCTGGAGGGAAGCTGTGGTGGTTGGGGCTCTCGTGGAGCTGTCTCTAGAGGGGGCTCTGGGGTGTCCACAGAGGCCTCCCTTTCTGAGTCAGACAGGGGCTTGTAGCTGCCCCGCCCTGGGAGGAACCAACTGGAAACATCAGCACCATTTCCTCTGCCCGGATGCCTATTCCACCCCATCCCCTTCCTCCCTCCCTTCATCCCCAACACCAAGACCTGCTGCATGCCAGGCTCTGTGCCAAGTACTGAAATACAGAGATGAATACCACACAGCCCCTGCCCTCAGGGACCCAGCCCAAGAGAGGGGTTTGCCAAGGAGGCAGACATCTGCAGAGGGGTGCAATCAGGGGGTGGACAAGGTGCCCTGGGGATGGAGGCAGAGGGCAATGACCTTGACCCAAACACATGAGGGTCCACAGAGGTGCCACAGAGGAGCAAGGCTTGCATTTTCCAGGCAGGCCCAGAGGAACGGGTGCTCTGGGCAGAGAACCCTAATGAAAGCCCAGGGCTTATACAAAGTGCAGCAAGGGAGCTGGTTGCAGGCTGGGTGGCAGGGCTGGTGAAGGTGAGTCCTCTTCCAAACCGTTCTCTAATGGGATCAGCCTGAACAACACACAATAGACTCTGTATTTTATACTGTAGGGCTTCACCTCTTGATAAAATCTCCTCTTAACCACTTGGAGGCCACTGGATGGGGAAAGCTAAGAACAAAGGGCCAGGGAGACCAAACCTACTAGGCTGGATAGAGCAGAAAAGCCATTTAGGAACCTTAATCTATGGAAGTCAGTTACCATTGGGGCTTCCGTGAGTTAATGCACACAACGTGCCGGGACAGGCCTAGTACAAGGAAGCCCCCTGGAAGGATTCGCTGCCGTCATCAGGAATCTCCATGCCCCCACAGGGTCTGTGCCCAGCGAGTGATAGGCAAATGCTGCTTTTCCTTCCCTTGGCGCCTTAAGTGAGGCGTGCAGGGCAGGCTGCATGTGTAGATGCATCTAGAGATGGGCCTGGAAGGAGACAGGAGCTCAGCCAGTCAGAAAGGGACAGGGCCATCAAGTCAGGGAGCAGCAAGAGCATGGTATGACGGATACTGTGCATGTATTGAGCACCTACTGTGTGGCTGGCACTTTGTACGCAAACATTCTCATCTCACAACAGTCTTTAAAGTATTTCCCAGGTAAGCAGCAGGAGGCACGGAGACACTGGGTGACTTGCCTAAGGACACACAGGAAGCAAAGCCCATGCTCCTTTCACTGTTTCACTCAACATCAGAGAGGCAAAAGCGACTGGCGTGTGTCTTGGGAATAATGAGGAAGCTTCAGTGAGAGGAGAGCACCTGGGCTCCAGTAGCAGGTGACCAGGGGGCTTCAGAGACCAGGGGTCAGATTTAGGAAGGCCTGGAATTCTGGGAGAAGAAGCTTGGATCTTGTCTTAGAGGCCTTAGAAGAGATTCTGGGTTCTTGAGCACAGGAATGACAAGATAACACAGCTTGCTGGGAAGAATGGTCGGCGGGTGGCGAGCAGGGTATCTGAAGAGACAGGACACAGAGGTGGGGTGACCAGGCAAGAAACAGGTGTGCAAAGCTGGGACAGAGACGCAGGCCACAGCCTTTCTCACCCACCGGAGCCCGGCCCTAGCAGATTCCCGCGAGCACATCAATGGTGGGCTCTCCAGCCCCACTTGAGTCCTTGGCCAGCAACTGGAGACCCAGTGGGTGGCACAGCATTAGCCTTTTTGTGGCTGTCTGCACAAGGACATGGGTGTCTGGTACTTCTGGGGACATCTGAAGAAAAGATACCCCCTCCCCAAAGCTCTGCTAATGAGATGGCCTTGCCTGCCCACTCCATCTGCTATACTTGCTCCCCAGGGATGCTCTGTTACCACCCTAGGGGCCCCTGGCTGGCTGCGTGGGCCTCATTTCCCTGGGCTGGGCCTGCCTTTGCTCCCCTGGCTATCCTTGAGTAGCACAGGCTGGTGGCTCCCAACTCTGATTCCCAGGATTGCGTCTACCCCTGACCGTGACCCAGCGCATCAGCCCCCTCCCAGTTCTGCTGTGGCCTTGGAAAGGCAGCTGTCTCCCTGGCCTGCTCACTCTGCCCTGCTAGGCCCTCAGGTCAATGCAACCCCTCCCTTCCCAGCAGGTTGCTTTCTGGCTGGAGGGATGGTGGCAGACCCTATCCTCAGGCCCTGTGCTGAGGCAGTGGTGGAAAATCAGACTTTAGCTTCTCTAAAGCAGCAAGACTCAGTGACTGTGGGAGGGGACACAGAAGGGAGAAGACGTAAAGGCAGCTCCACGCCACAAGCCTGCAACACATAAATGTAATACAGTCACAGCCAGGGTCCTCAGTTCTTCCGAAAAACATTTCCTGGAAGATAAGTCTTGGGTAAGGTCTGAAGAAATGTGGTTGAGGCAGTTTAGCAGTGAGGAGTTGAGCTGAGCCAGTGATCTTGGGCTGGGCTGGGCTTGCCTGGCTTGGAGCTCCAGCTCCAGAGTTAAGTAGCTCCATGGCTGTGGGCAAGTGACGTGCCCTCTCTGTCAATCAATTTCCTTATCCAATGATGGGAGGATTAAGTAAAATAACCCACAAGCAATACCAGCACAGTGACCCAAATTAAGTGCTCACTAAATGTCAGCCATTATTGTTGCTGAGAGGGCGCAGGTGTTATCAGTCTGAGAAACAATAGACAGAAAAATACAGGGGCATGGATTTACACGTGCAGTGGAGTGGTGAGGCATTCATGAAGATGTCTTGAAGTTTAGGCTGGAGAACTATTTGATACAGACACAAAAGAAATCAACTGTAAGTTCTTGGACAAAGAAAAGACATGAGATACTTAGTATCTGAAAATGATTCTTCTACATGAAAGACTGACTAAAGGGGTCAGGCCCCAGATAAGCAGTGCTGCTAGAAGCTTTGCAGGTGTCCAGGGAGAAGCAATGGAGAGCCTTGAATACCGAACCATGAAGTTAGGATTAATTTGTAGCCTGCCCTCTGTGCACATCATGGATTTTCTTGTGCACGTGGGTCTCCACAGTCCTCCTTTCCCTGCAAACCCTGAGGATTAAACTCGTGCTCCCTGGCTGTTTGGCTGCCCTTAGGATCATGGACCATCCTATTCATATGTGGGAGGATGCCAAGGTAAAGAGATTAGAGATCAAAGTGGAATTACATATAAATTATGTTCTTGTGGGTTTCTTTTTTCATTCACCATAATAAACTCCTGTGCGTGCTAACTGTGTGTGCTGAGGAGAGGAGTGAAGATCTTGAGAGTGTCCTTCGTTGTTTGTCAGCCTTCAGTGATCGCTTCTCTGGTGGGGGCTACGGAAGATGCTGAGATGAATTGGACATGCACCCTGCTCTCCAGTGGCTTGGAGCTTCGTCATGGAGATAAGACATACATGCAACTCACCAAGCAGGAAGTGATGAGCCAGAAGGCTGGGCTGGTGATTCAGGACTGTGGGAGTAGAGAGGAGGGAGAAAAGGTTTCTAAACCTATTCACAATTTTAGAGCGGTTTACACATGTCACAAACTCACATACTAATCTTGTGCTATTTTTTGCAATAGAAAATTTGGGGGGGGGGGATAGCTCCATGTTTTTCTTTAAAGGCTGAGGAGGAAAAGATGTAATTTTTCTTTGAGCTCAAGGGTAGTTATTACAGTTACTGATTTATCTTTCAGGGTGTGGACTATGGATTTTTTTTCACTTCTTAACATGAAATAAATGAGAGATACAAAAGACTGTATGACTTGGCAAAGATGGTAGAGACATATGTCTACTTTTGCTCACTCAAATCCCTTACAGCTCAAAGTTGTTAGTCTCCTACTTTTAAAAATAAGCAGGCAACCAGGAATCCCCAGACAGTCAGGAGTCTCTAACATGAAAGACACAGATCAAACCAGTCAACTAAACAAACAAAAAGAAGGAACTCTGGATCAAATACAGACCATTCACAGAGAGAACTCTTGAAGGAAAAATCCTATAATTAACGTAAGAGAGAGAAAATAAGATACTGGACCCACGAGACAAGAATGGAATGCTGTATGAAAAAAGTCTTCCTAGAGGGGCTGGAAGATGATAAATCGAGGAATTCTCCCAAAAAGCAGAAAAAGACAAAGAATGAAAATGAAAGAAAATATGAAGTTAGGCATTGTGGTGTGTGCCTGTATCCCCCAGCTGCTCGGAGGCTGAGGCAGGAGGATTGCTCGTGCCCAGGAGGTTGAGGCTGCAGTGAGCTATGATTGTGCCCCTGCACTTCAGCCTGGGGACAGAGCAAGACCCCCATCATCTCTTAAAAGGAGAGAGAGGGAAAGAAAATATGAGAAAATTAGTGAATCAGTCTCCCAATTCAAACAGTAGAAGTTACAGAAAGAAACAACTGGGGGGAAAAGAAGGAGAAAGAAGGAGAGAAGTAATTATTTTAAAAATCATTCAAAAACAAAAATCCCCAGAACTTAAGGGCATGAGTTTCTAGATCAAAGGCTCACTGTCCCCAGCACAGTGGATGAAAATAGATGCACACCAAGGCACATTATTGTGAAATTTCAGAACACCAGGGGAAAGGAGACAATCCTACAGAGCTTTAGGGGTTTTGGGGGAGGGTATAAAAGAGGCCAAATACAAAGAACCAGAAATTACAACAGCTTCGGACTTTTTGACAGCAACACTGGAAGCTAGAAGGCCATGGAATAAAGCCTTCAAAATTCTGGAGGAAAATTATTTCCAAATCAGAATTCCAAACCAGAGACCAGAAATCTGAATTGGCCAAAGTATTAGTTCAGTCTGAGGGTGGAACGAAGACATTTTCAGATACGTAAGGTTGTCACGGGTTTGCCTCCCATGCACCCTCTCTCAGGAAGACACAGGAGGTATGCTTCACCAAAACAAAGAAGTAAACCAAGGAGGAAGACAAGGAATAAAGGTAACGAGCTCAGGGTGATGCTACAGGGAGGCCCTCATAGGACAGGTGCTCACCAGGTGCGGAGGACAACCCGTCCGGGCTGGAGCAGGTCAAGAGGCTCTGGGAGACACTTCCAAGGAGATGAAATTGATAGGAAACTTAATGTGCCTGAACATCCTGAAAAGAGGTTTAGACAACTGCCAGAGTTTGCACTTGCATTAATGACGAATACATAGAAAACTAAGCAAACAAACAAACACGATCATTAACAACTCCAGGAAAAATGAAAAGTTCTGCAGGAAGGGAAAAGTTATCATATTTTTTACTACAAGGCTCAACTATGAATAGAGTCAAATTAGTGTTGACTGAGTAATGTAAACACTGATTACTGCTTTAACCAAAATTATGATGTAATTATAAAAGGAAGATGAAGGGAGAGGAAGAGTTGGAGGAGAGGAAAGGGAGCTAAATTTTCATCTCCCAGAGTGGGAAGGGAATAGATAATACCTAAATAAACCAAAGCATCAAAAGGTAGCAATACACACATATTACTTACAGACATGGAGGTAAATACTAAAATTAATTAGCAAAAGAAGGTAAAAGTAGCTGCCTCTGGAGAACAGTAAATGGGAAGAGCTGGTGGAAGACAGCAAATACCACGGAAGGATTGACTCTACAGTGTATGCACATGTAACTTTGATCATATCAACAGAACACCAAACCAAAGAGAAAAAACAAAACTACATGCAACATTAAATGACATCAAGAAACACAGAAAGAAAATAAGCACCATGAACTCACCATCCAGCTCCAACCTGTGGGATCTACTTGTATGTTCTCTCCATTCTTAGTGCCCCCCACCCCAGGATCATCATTACCCTGAATGTCATGTTTATCATTTCCTCGTTTTTCTTCATAGTGCTTCCATGTAGGCAGGATTACCTAAGCAATATGTAATTTCATTTTTCCTATTTCCGACCTTCATAAGGATGAAATCATACCACAAGAGTATGGTAGGAAGCTTCTAAAATGACCTCGATATCCCCCCTCCTCTTGAGGTCTTCACACACTTTTGCAATCCTTTCCTTTTGAGTGTGGGCTGGACCAAGTAACTGGTTTCTAACACATAGAGTATGGCAGAAGTGATAGACTTTCATTTCTGAAGTTAGGTTATGGTAAGATCATGGCTTCTGTCTTGGGTGATCTCTCACTAGTTATCTTTTGGATCACTCTCCCTGGGAGAATCCACAGGCCATGTCGGGAGGCAAGCCCGTGGAGTGCCACATGGCAAGGGACACAGCCTGCCAACCACCACATGAGTAGCTTAGAAGCAGGTGTTCTTTAAGTCAAGCCTTGAGGTGAGACCACAGCCCTGGCTGACAGCCTGACAATCTCATGAGAGAACTTGAGGCAGAGGTACCCATTTAAGCTGCACCTGAATTCCTGACCCACAGCAACCCTGAGATGGTAAATGTCTGCTGTTTTTAGCTGCTAAATTTTGGAGCAAGTTGTTATGTAGCAACAGATAACTAATACAGTGAACTCTTCTATGAATTGCTTCTTTTCTGTTCAACATATATATTATATTGACATATGTAGCTATAGTCTATTTTTATTCCTGTATTGTATTTCATCATATGAATATGGCATGATTTATTTATTCATTCACCTGTTGATGGACAGTGGGATAGCTTACGGGTTTTTCCTCTAATGAGAAATACTGCTACAAACATTATTTTTTATTGACTTATTGTTATTGTATTTTTAGAGACAGGGTCTTACTCTGTTGCCCAGGCTGGACTGCAGTGGCACAATCATAGCTTACTGTAGCCTCAAACTCCTGGGCTCAAGAGATTCTCCTGCCTTGACCTCCTGAAATGTTGGGATTACAGGCATGAGCCACCTCACCCAGCCCAAACATTCTTAATCATAGCTCCTGGTACACTGCATAAGAGTTTCTCTAGGACACATACCTAAGACTGGGTTTGCTGGTTTGTAGGATATGTACATATTTCACTTCATTAGGAAATGTCAAGTTGTTTTCTAAGATGCCAGTGCCAATTAGGCTTCCACCAGAGGTGGATAAGAGTTCCTGTTTCTCCATATCCTCATTAACACTTGCCATTGTCTGACTTTAATCTCTGCCACACTAGTGGGTGAATTGGGATCTCATCAAGACTTGACTTTACGTTTCCATGATAAAAGCTTAAGTAGCCTTTCATATGTTTCTTTGTCATTCATACTTTCTCTTCTGTGGCGTGTCATTCATGACTTTTGTCCACTTTTCTATTGGCTTGTTTTTGTTTTTTCTCATTGATTCTAAAAGTTATTTATATATTCTAGATAATAAGAATTTTGTCAGTTTGTGTGTTGCAAATATCTTCTTCCAGTGTGTGCCTTGCCTTTTTCTCTACAGTATTTTTGATGAATAGAAGTTTTAAATTTTACTGTAGGTGACTTTATCATCCTTTAATTTATAATTAGCAGTTATTTGGTTTTTGCAGAAATCATTCCCTCCCTGAGATTGTAACATTTTTACATATTTTAAAATGTTGCCTTTCTAAGTCTTCAATTTGCCTGGAATTGATTTTGCATATGGTGTGAGGCAGGGATACAACTTCATTTTTTTCACATGGGTAAGCAATTATCTCAGTTTCACTTAATGTGCAGACCATCCTTTCTCCTACTAGCTTTCAATGCTCCCTCTGTCTCATAAATTATATGTGGAAGTGGTACTATTTCTTGGTTCTCTATTCTGTTCCATTGGTCTATTTGTCTAACCCTGAAGTTATATTACAGTATTCTCTGTAGCCTTTCCTTGGTACCTTCTGAGGGTCTAGCACATAATAGGGGCTCACTAAAATACTTGTGGACTGACTAAGGCCTGCATGCTGCTTTTCCTGTCCCTCTACAAAAGTGAGGCTTGCTTCAGTAATTCAGTGAATCATGTTAAAATGATTTCAGCTGTTCTCTTCAGCAGATTAAACCTTTGTCAAGGTGGCTGCCAAATTCCTTGAGCTTGGAGTCAGTTCTCACTATTAATAAGAACTCAGCTTCATGACACTAGCTGTGATCTGTTACAGCACTAGGGTGACAGAAAATAAGCCAAAGTGAAATGACTGCCTCTTCTTCCTTATTCTCCAAAAGAATTTGAATACTTTTTAAAACTAGTTTTGTAAAAAAAAAAAAAAAAGGATTCTTTTCACATGGATCTACATGATATGACGGCTCTAGCCATTTGTCCTGGGTCTGATTTGTTTGTTGGAAATTTGCAGGCATTGAGCCAGATCCTCTGCAGAACTCCAAAGCAGCCAAATGGACTGCTTCGTCCTTGCCTTCCGGTCAATCTTCAGAGTCACACAGTCAGACCTGCCCACTGAGCTGTGAACCCTGTGCTTGCGAATTTCTCCAATGAGGAAGCCAACAACACGTACCTGGCTTGGCCCCCTGGCGGCCTCTGACCCCACCGGTGCCTCTCTCCTCGGAACACTGCCCTCCTCTGGCATCTGCAGCGGCTCACTGGCCTGCTTTCCTCCCGCCTTCGACTGTGCCTCCTTGGCTTCATGCTCTGACCACCGCTTCAGGGTTGCTGTGCTCCAAGCTTGCCTTGCACACATGGCTCTCTTGCTCCTGTCACTCCTGCCCTGTCCTCCCTGATGCCTTCTAACTGGCCCTTCAGGACCCACTTCAAATCCCATCCTGACCCACCCAGCCAACCCCAGCTCTTTGCCTGTGTCTCCCACACGTGGCATCAGCACCATCCACCTACTGCCCACACACTGGCTTGCAGAAAGGCCGCAAAGCTGGCTGGGGTATAGCTGAACCTACAGGTTCCAGGGCCAGAACACCTATGTTTGAATCCGGGCTTTGCACCTTAATGTCTGCATGAACTTATCCTCAGTCTTCCCACCTGTAAAAGAGGATAATACTTGTACCACCTCACAGAGAGTTACTGTGAGGGTTAAAGGAGCTGATATGTCTAAAATGATTAGAGCAGTGCCGGGCACATAGGTGCACTAAAAAAAAGTGCTATTTTCATCTCGTGTGTCTATGGTTAGCCTTGGCATAGCAGAAAGAACACAAGATCTGGAGCCCAGAGACTGCCTTTCATGCCAAATGGCTCTGTGACCTTGAGCAGATCACTCCACGGACTCAGGGCCTGCTGCTTCTTCGGGGAAGCAGGGTGTAATGATGCCGTCCTGCCTGCCTCGCGAGGCCGCGGTGAGGAGTGAATGTGCACGGGCTCCATCAGCCTTCAGCAAGTGATACAGATAGAGGTATGTCACAGCCTCTGCAGGAGCCTCTCACCTGGGGCTTCGTCCTAGTGACAAGGGCAGCTGCACGGATGTGGAGAAAGAACAGGCAGCAGATGCTGCTGTGTAGGAAAACAGAAACTCCTCCCAGCTTCTCCTTTTAATCTTCGCTGTTCTTCTGGGTGGCTGCAGCCCCTTCTCTTCATTTGGTGACTTGCAGCTTAAACCCCTTATCTCCATCAAATTCTGTCACCTCTGCTTTCAAAATATCTCCAGAATCGGAGCGCCTGTCATCCCTGGTCTGTGGCCACCCTGGACCAGCCCCACCCTCTCACCTTGTCCAGCCCCACCCTCTCACCTGGACCAGCCCCATCCTCTCACCTGGACCAGCCCCACTCTCTTACCTGCTCCAGTCCCATCCTCTTACCTGCTCCAGCCCCACCCTCTCACCTGGATCAGCACCGCCCTCTCACCTGGACCACTGCAGTAGTTGCCTCACTGGCCTCCCTGCTTCTGCCTGGGCGACGCTTGCCTCAGGCTAGTCCTGTTACAGTAGTCAGAGAGGCCCTCTAAAAAAAGTAAGACAAAAGTTCCTGTATCCCTCAGAAAAAAAGCCGAAGTCCCCTGGGGCCCCCAACCTGGGGGCCTCTCTGAGCCCATCTCACCTTCGCCCATTGGCCCTGCCACCTGGGGTTTCTGCAGCTCCTTCACCCAGCCAGCTTTACTCCTGCCTCAGAGCCCCTCACCTGCTGTTCTTTTCAGAGATGGCCCTGACTTACAATGGTGCCACTTTACAATGGTGCAAAAGCAATACACAGTCGGTGGAAAGCGTACTTCAAATTCTGAATGTTGATCTTTTCCTAGGGATCTGTGATGCAATTCTCTCTCCTGATGCTGGGCAGCTCGCAGTTAACCAGGTGATCATGAGTACTCTACAAGGTCCTCTACAGGGCACTGTGCTGCCGGGTGATTTTGCTCAGCGGCAGGCTGACATAAGTGTTCCCAGCACGTTTAAGGTAGGCTGGGCTAAGCTATGATGCTCAGTAGGTTAGGTACGTTCAGTGCATTTTCAACTTATGATATTTTCCACTTACTGTGGGTTTATTGTGAAGTAATCCCATCATAAGTCACGGGACATCTCTACTTAGAAGGCTCTTATCCCAGATAATTTCAGGCCTTTGCACAAATGTCAGCTTCTCAGTAAGGTGTTACCCGCCCACCCTGTCTCCAAGTGCACTACTGCCCCACACCCAGCAGGCCAGCTTCTCCCGAGTCATTCTTCTCCACAGCGCTTATCACCACCTGACATAATAGATATGTGGCCTATTTTTGTATTTATTGACTGACAACCCCTATTACAATATAAGGTTCATGGAGGAAAGGACTTTTTCTGTTTTCTTTACTGCTGTATCCCTAGTACTCAATAAATACTTGTCCAATGAATGAATGAATGAATGAATGGCTCCACTTCGTCTTTCTCACAAGCCAGTGGGACAAGACCAGCAGGATAAGAGCTGTTACCTGATTTTACAGTGAATCAGTGCAAAGCTCCAGTGCGTAACTGACCTAACTAACTTCTCACAGCAACTAAGCGAAAAGACTGGGACTGAAACCTGTATTTTTTCGGCTGCTAAAGATGGCAATTGTAGTGAGCTGGGCACAGGGTGGGGCGTGGAGGCAGCACCCGTGTGCCTGGGCAGGAACCATTCTAGCTTGGCAAAATACCCGCTCAGCCACTGCCAGTAGGTGATGGCCGGGAGGCTCTGTATGTGACTGGCATTCGAAGCTATTAGAAGCCTGAATTAGAAGCTATTATGAAAGGAAAGAGACTTTCATGGAGTCCTGGGTTTTATTCCCATTCCCAGCTCTGCCTTTGTCCAGGTCCCCAATATAATCAACTTCTAATTATCAAGTACCTTCAGCATGCTAGGGCATGTGATTCCAGCTTTATGGAGAAAATGGGGTGAAATCATCATTTCTTAAGGGTATTATGAGTTCCTTTAGTTTAGGAGCATTTCAGAAATGCTTGAGGCGTGTGAAAGAATCCCATTGAAATTCAAAGGCAGCTGAGGAATAAATGGCCTAGGGTGACTTCAGGGCTATTACTGCTTGTGCCAGTGGGTGAATTCACATTAAGGCAAAAAAAAAAAAAAAATAGTTCGTTCTTTTCTCAAAAACAATTTCCCTTATAAACATCTTAAAATGTAAAATAAATGGCTTTGAAGACTCAGGGCTGATCACAAGCCTATCAAACCACGTGCCCAGGACACCACATGCATGTATAAAGCCACCCCTCCATCCACTTCACCTCTGTGTCCTATTTTTCAAGAGTTGGCTTTGAATTTAGGAAAATAACGACGTTTTCCTCTACCAGGTAATTCAAGGTAACAGCCCTGGATCTTTCCAAGGCAACTCTAAATCTAGTCTTTTATTTCCAGCCCTAAGAACTAACAGCATGGTGCAAGGCCTCCAGTTATTTTTAAAAGGAGAGAAAACCAGCACCACCAGAGCACAATGGCTCCAACAAACAAATGCGACTTGCCGCCAAACAACCACAGCTTGTTCTTGCTCTGTGAAAACGAGAGTTTGGTTGGTGTGGCTTTTTCTCACCGAGGTGGTGGCATCTCTGTCTCCATTAGTGGTTTCCTGTAGAAGCTTCTGAGAAACTCTGGAAGAGGTGGGACAGCTGGCTGGTGTCACACAGCTGGATGCAACCTCTGCAGGCCTCAGCGGGGAAGCTTCAACACCAGCACTGGCCAAGCTTTTCTTGGAGTGTGTTTCTCTTCTCTTGGGTCTCTTGGTCTTGCTCAACTTCTCCACCTTGCAAATGGATGCACCATTTGAGGGAAGCCAGCTGCCATTCCTTCCACAGTCCATTTTCTTCTTAGAGGGAAGCACTGTCAACCTCTTTGAAATTAAAAACCAGATGGCTCATCTGGCAAATCCTTCTGAGTCAGTTTCTCAATTTGCAATGTTTTCTTTCTTCTTATTAAAAAAATATTTCCATGTTTCCTGATTTGGAAATGTTTAATAAAATGCATGAAAATGGAGAAAAATAATATGCTTGGAAGAAGCACTGTTCCCATGGGAAGCATGTCTTCCACGGTATCTGGAGATGGCGTGGCAGAGATGGCATGGGCAGAGAGTCCAACAGACGGGGGTTTGGATCCCAGCCCTGCCACCTGTTAGCTGTGTGGCCTAGGGAAGGCGCTTACCTCTCTGTGTCTTGGGCTTCACTTCTGTAAAATGAAGCAGTAAAACCTTGCACGGGACTAGTGAAAAATATAAAACTCTGCATAGTGCCTGACACAAATTTTGGAACTTAGTAAATGAGTTCATTTGGTCAGCAATAGGAATGAGCCCCCTCCTGTGTGCCTGGCTTGGTGCCTACTTGGGAACTTAGAGTTCTAGGAAGAAGGCAGACACCAAGCAACACCAAGGCAAAAAAGGGCCGCGTTACAATGGAGACAAGTGATGCCAAGTTGGGGCACGGGGCCACTGCGCAGGGGACACACGGCTATCTCAGAGGAGCAGGTATGGGTTGGGATGACAGTGCTGCGGGTGGAGTGGCAGGCTCAGGAGAAGGCTGAGGTGAGTTGGAGGGAGAAGCAGGGCGGGGAAAGAACTCTGAGCATCTTCTCAAAGTTGCCAGTGCTGGGGTTTAATAAGCAGAACCCCGTGAACTCACAGGCACAGCTGGCCTGCACTGTTACTCTTGCCCCAAACCCCTCCATCTTCTTCCTCCTTCTCCTCTATTTTTCCTGCCTTTGCCCCTCTCTGTTCTTTCTTCTTCTCTTTCATGCTTCTTTTTCTTTTTTTCTCCTTTGAAGCACTGTCTCCACCTCCCTCTCATCTCTCCTCTCTTGTTTTCCCTTTCACTTGTTCAGTCTCTCTCCCACCCTCCCCTGTGAGGACCCACAGAGGAAGCTCTGCCCTAGAGGGAAAGGGTTTCTGCCTCCAAGGAGCTGGCTATCCCTTGGGGACATCAGTCTTTGTTTGCTTCAGGTTGATTTTGCTTAATCAGCAAACTTGCATTTTGCACCCACTGGGTGGCCAGATACAGATGGCATCAAATGTCACCAGGCAGAATCCTGTGCTGTAAAGTGGGGAGGGTAACATCTGGAGTAGGTGCATGGGTCCCCCCAACGTGGGACATCTCTGGAGGGGTGGCAGGTAAACTAAGCTCAACCGATCCCCAACTCTGCTCATTACCTGCCCTCTCCCTGCTGCCCAGGTCCCCTGCAACCCCGGCCCTCTTCCTCCTGCACCTCCTATTCGTGGGCAGTCCCACCAGCTATCCAGCCAGCCACACTAGGACACCAGACACTGTTCCTGAGCTTCCTCCCCATCACTCCACATCCAGTGAGTCAGTCCGGTGGAGGTTGGCTCCTCTAGCTCTCTCAAAACTGCCCTTGCTCTTCATCCCAGCCACCACTGTACCCAGGGGTGGTGGGGGCAGCATTCTGTTACTACAGCAGCCTCCCCAGCTGGTGTCCCGTCTTCCCCTCAAATCCCCCTTCCACACTGCAGCCAGGGAAATCTTTCTGAAACTCCAGACCCTCCCCTGCTCCCAATCTACCAGTGGCTCCCCCTCTCCTAGGTGTGGGAAGAGGAGAGGGGACGTTCTCAGCCTCTGCACAGCGACACACTGGGGCAGACAAACAGTCTCTCTGGGGCTAATAGTAGTTGAAGGATTGACATTTGTGAACGATTTATTTTTTTTGTTATGGCAGTTTCAAGGCTATCCTGTGATAATATCACTCTCGCTATCTGGTACTCTGATTTGCTTTCTTCAGTGGAAAGGAAGGGCCGGGACTCCAGCTAGCCTGATGGAAATGATTTATAACCTGGGGCACACCCACAGCAGAAGTCGGCTGTCTGAATATCATCTCTCCTGCATCGCTGGAATCAAAGAAACAAGTACATAAATAAGGTTGGAAACTGTTGGCTGATAGAAGAGTCATTCCAAAATCCTTAGGCTGGTGAAAAAGGCCCGTGCCTGCTCCTGTAGCGTTGAGTGCACTGCCGCATCTTATGACACCCCAGCAAGCAACTGCTTATTCTCTCCTCCAATCCATGCTCCCCCACCTCCGAGCTTCCCTCATGCTGGCCCCTCTGCCCGGAGGCCCCTTAGGCCTAGGAAATCACCTCCTCCGGAAAGCCGTCCCGGATCAAGTGCCCTCTGTGGAGCCCCTTCTTCCCCATTCTCCCTCACTTCTCACCACCGGCTCTTGGCCATCTCCACCCCCAGCACCAGCCTCCATTGGTTGGTTGGTTTGTCGGTCGGCAGGTGCTGAGAAAGCTGGTCAGAGCTACTGAAGGAAGCTGTGAATGAACAAGGACTTAGGGGAAAGTGACGTTTAAACCTGGTCTCATCTCACTCCCTGCTGTGGGCCTCTGCTTTCTGTTTAAAGCCATTCTGGGTCTCTGCTTGCTCTCACAGCTGCTGTCTGTCTGTGGTTTTCATTGAGCTCCACCCGCCCGGGGCCCTCAGTCTGCCGCCCGCGCCTGCAAGCTTTCTCTCTCCTGGTTGAGCCTTTCCCGACATCTGCCATCAGTCACAGAGCGTGACTTGGAAGCAAAGGGGCTTCACAGTTCATCGTTTTTTATATACAGAGAGAAGAACAACAGTAGTTGGGATTCTTGCAAAATACTTCCTCAAAGATCTTAGAGATGATCTACTTCTCATTTCATTTTATTTCTGGGGCTATCTCTGTGTGGTAGGTAAGACTGGATGCTAATCTTATTTGAAGAGATAACAATAATCACTATCATTTCTCAAGTGCCAATCACGTGCCATGTGGGCCAAAGCTTTATGCGCATTACTGAATTTAATCCTCAAAAAACAAGACTCATAACTGTCACTTCCTATTTTACTGAATTGGAAAATTAGACCAGGTGCAGTGGCTCATGCCTGTAATCCAAGCACTTTGGGAGGCTGAGACAGAAGGATCCCTTGAGCCCAGGATTTCAAGACCAGACTGGGCAACATAGTGAGATGCTGTCTCTACAAAAAATGAATAAAATTAGCAGGGCATGGTGGTACGTGTCTATAGTCCCAGCTATTCTGGAGGCTGAGGTGGGAGGATCACTTGATTAATTACTAGATTAGGAAACTTGCACAAAATAAAACATCAATTGAGTGGCAGGGCCCGAGTGTGTGCTTGGACTTGCCTGCATCCACAGCCCTGTCTTTGACCATATTGCACCTTGGAGGAGCCCTGTCTTTGACCATATTACACCTTGGAGGAGGTGGAGACCTAAAAAGGGAGGTGAGATGAGTGGAGAGACTGGTGGGGATTCTCTCTCTCTCAGGTATCTCATCCTGGATCTGTGTTATAATGAGCCATGCTTCCCAGGAGAGTAAGACAGAGCCAGGGCTGCCCTGTTCAGCAGCATAGGTTGCGCACTGTGCAACTCCAAGGAGTGCCAGTCACGAAGACTTCAATGTGAATGGCACCCCCTGGAGGGAAGTGCTGCATAGGCAGTGCTCCTGGCAAGAGCCCTAAAGAAAAGACGGGTGTCTTGCTCTTCTCAGTTATGCTTTCCAAAGATAATTAAAGGCAGGCAGCTCCCCAGGCAAGCAAATGTTGTGGAAGGCACACAAAGCTGCAGCCTCACCTAGGCAGGGTTAGTGTGGGAAGGACGTGGGAATCACCCTGTGACCAAGAACAAAGAGGAACAGCACAGAACAAGTACCCTGGGAAGGAATTTTCTTGTTTTTGTTTCCCAGAGCAGTGGGGTTCCCAGGGCAGGACGTGGGAGCTCTGGTTGGGCGTCTTTCCCTGCCACAGAGAAGACAGGGTGCCAAGGAGGAGCCTGGGACGTCAGGGCGAGTGGGAAGAATTCTGACTCAGCAGAGGTTGCAAAGTAGCCCCCAGGGAATCAGAGAGAGAGGAAGATAGAGAAAGAGAGGGACAGGGATGGAGACAGAGACAATGGCTGGAAGGGGAGGAGTCTGAGGGCAAGGGCACCTGGGTGAGGGTCTGGCCTGAGCATGAGGGGCCTGAGGACAGGGATATGCACAATAATGCCCTGACCCGGGGTCCCCACGGCCGTGGGGCTTGGGGAGACTACGGGATGCTCCCGGACCACAAGCAGCCTGCCCAGGGAGTGCAGCTGTCCCTGACCTCTCGCCTCTTTCCATAGGCCTGGGCTACGCAGAAAGGCACATTTCCCTGCTTTCTGGGAGTGGGCTCTGGCCAAGTGAAGCGTCACGAAGTCTGGGATGGGAGTAGTTTCTCAGGGGCTGGTCCGGCCCCAACTGCCCACAGCCAAGTCACCTGAGCCTTGGTTTACATGATTAACTGAAAATTCTGGTACACGTCAGGAATAAAGCTAATTCCGAAGGTCAACACTATATGGAGAAAGGAATGGAGACAGCCAGTCGCACACACTTTTCCCTCAGAAGGGCCTTTCTTGCTGGAGAAGCTTCTAAAGCCTCGAAGCTGGTGCACCCCAAGCTCTGGAGAGCAGCGGCTGGAAGGGAAGGCTCCAGGCCTGGTGCTCAGGCCAAGGGCCTCCTGCACCCCTCCTCACCCATTTCCTCGGCCCCAGGAGCAGAATGAAAGAGATATGAAGAGACAGATTGCCTTCAGCAATCCTTTTCTCTGCCTCTTGAACTGAGAGATTCTTACTTAAGGAAAGGAAGGAGCAGGATAAAGAGATGACCCATCTGGAGATGCCTTCTCACCTGTGGGGTCTGAAGGGAATAGAGCAAAACCCCCTTCGCATCAACTCTCACAGCTCTGGGCCTCCCTCTCTTCATCTGGGAAGGGTGGGGGGCTGGGTCCATGTGCATTAGGGCCCCTTCCAGCTCTAAGGAGCTGTAATTCTCAGAGAATGTTTTCTTACCCGTTTCCCACACTAGATGGAGAGCTGGTTAGGTAGGGGAGTGGGCAGCTGCAGCCCTGATCCTTGATAAGGGTCTTAAGAGACCATCTTTGAAGACACAGATGCCCAGGAGGCTTGCCCTAAATCAGCCTCATGGTGACAAGTGTCGTGGCTGTGCTCGGGGTCTCTGCATACAGTGGGATTCTCCTGGGGAGCATCAGCTCAGAGGCCCAGGACCCCCTCAGCTTCTGAGCTTTCCTGGGGCGGTGAGAGCAGCCCTGGACACGTGGCTGAAGGCCTGGGCAGCAGGGGCCTGCCTGCTGTGTCAGCTTTACCATCAGAGTCACTGAGTCTTGGGGCTCCCTCTAGCCCAGTTCACCTCATTCTTTTTAGATAAGCAAATGGAGGCCAGAAAGCGGAGAACTGGGCATCTGGTGCACTTCTCACCACATGCTGCCTCTTTCTAGCCACAGGGCATCAGATGTGTGAGCTCGGCAGAGTCCAGTCCCAGGAGAGAGACCCTTGGCTGGGAGCTCAGACCCGCCCAACTCGCGGTGTGAGTCTGGACAAGTTGCTTCCCTTCTTTGGGCTTTGGTTTCCTCGTGTGTACAATATGAGGATTTGGCTAAAGAAGCTCTAAAGCCCCCTCCAGCTCTAAGTCAGGTGTTTTTTTGGATCACATTCTGTCCCCCTTCTCTCTCCCACTCCCATTCTCGGGACAACTAGCAGCTGGGCTGACTGCAGAGGCAAAAGCCAGGTGTCTTTCCAGACAGGAGGCCTGTGGCATCCCGTGCAGACAAGATGAAGCAAGAGTCAGCACCAGTGGAAACCACCTAGCAGCCTTCATCCAGGCTGGCCATGCCTCAGGGAGCTGCAGCAGGTGCCTCTCAAGTTACACAGAACTTCTGATGGCTCCTAACCCAAGGCTTTTCACCACTGGACACCTGGGGTGCCTGAAATGGGGCAGGAGAGGGCGTGCCAGTGCCAAGGCTATTATAAAAGAGTAAGAATGGCAACACTCAGAGTCACCATGGAAGCCAACCTGTCTGTCTGTCCCCCTCCCCTGACTCCTCCCCATGACCCCAGAGAAGCTCCCAGAGACTCCTTCGTCCACTGCATCCCCAGCCTGGCTCTGTTTTAAGGGAAGCAGCCACCACAGAAGATGCTTGTTACACGTTGCCAGGCAACAAAAATGCTGCCTGAAAACTAAAACCCACCTCTGACTCTTCATAGGACTGGAAACTGGCAGATGAGAGGAGCCTGCCAGGGAACAAAGGAGAAGCATCGAGAGGGAAATGATGGAGTTGAGCAACCACAGAAGGCAAAATGAAAGAGCCCAGACAGTTGTGTAAAGTGCCAGAAAGCAAACAGATGGGGAGGAAAAACTGACTCACTGAAATTAGGAAGACAGACAGAGAGAGGAGGCATGGAGGAAAGTCCTCCGGGTGTTAAGTCCTCGAAAGGCCTCCTTTATTTTTTTTCTTTTTGGCCAAATCTGTCATGAGTAGAGATGAGGCTGTTGATAAGGAAGATGATGACAATGATGACGATGATGATTCCTTAGGTGAACTCTGGTCTGCTTTTATCCAGTGCGTGATTTTTATTAGATATCCCTCAAGCAATGGCACAATTCTCCACAGACTTTCAGAAAACATAATTATCCTCTAAAACGAAGATCTACACTGCCATTAGCACCATCAGCTCACCCAAATATAGGGACATCAGCTTGTTAGCTGAAGTGACCTTGGGCTCTGGGATCTTCAAGCACTGAGCAGATGAAGGAAGGAAGGAGTGATGTTCAGTCTGGACAGCCATGCCCAGCTGGCAAGGGAACCTCGGAGAATGGGAGTGCTCCAGGTGGAGGACTCTGCGGGCAGCAGCCCCGGGCCAGCAGTGAGACCCTGGCTCGCTTACCTCCCAAAGCCTCCATTTCCTAATTTCTAAAATGGGAAAATTGCTCCTGCCCTGCTTACTTCACAGAGTGCTGGGCCACAGAGGAGAACCTGTGTAGAATGAATGGCCATGAACGAAGATAGTGCTCCTTATTTATTAAAAAACAATTCCTAGCCTCCTACAGAGGCTGGGCACTGTAGCAGACATTATCACACAGACATGCCCCCTGCTGGGGGCGAGGCAATTAAGCAACTCCACACTATGGTGGGGGAGTTACCCCACTGCTCTTGGCCTCAGTTTTTCCATCAGGGAAATGGAGATAACACCACAAAGCATTCCTATGAGGACACTGCATGTCAGAAGTTTCTCCTCCCTCGGCCTGTGGTCACCCTTGACTAGGCTCCGAGCACCCGGCTCAGACTCACCTGCCTCCAGTTCTGCATCACGTGGCCTCAGGGACAGGCCGGGCACCTCAGGAATCTATCCTCTAATTTCTGAAATAATGAAAAGCCTCCAGACACATTTACTCTCTAAATAAAATGCACAGTTTAAATTATAAACAAGACAATTTAAGAATACTGGTAACTAAGTGGGAACAATTTCACATGTTAAACTTGACAAAATAATTCTAAAGCTACTACTCAGTTAACTATATTCACATCTACTTAACTCAGTAAGTTTGACAACATAGATGTTTACTTTATTAAGTTTGTTATACATTTTCTCCAAAAAAGTCTAGCCAGTCACCAGACCCCACCCCACCCCTCGAAAACAGACATCATGGCATTCAAGGACAATGAGCCGCTTCTGCCTGTACTTACTAATAGGCAGTGGCTTCCCCCTAAAAATCACTGTTTTTCTAGAACACCAATCACAATTCCTTTCCTAGGTACCAAACAGCATGACCTCAAAGAAATTAGAAAATGACTGCACAGTCCAAGCTGAAAGAAAAACTTTGCGTCTTATGTTCTTTCTCCTTTTGTCTCAACACAGACTCACTCTGTAACACACCTCCCCAGTGGAACACATACCCCAAAAGCCCTGCCACAGGCGATCGGGGTCCCAAGGGCCCAGGCCTCCTCCACTGCCCTACAAGTCAGGGCCAGGGCAGATCATGAGCCTCCTTGAGCCACCACATCCTCATCCACGAAATAGGGACCGTGGGTTCCCCGTCCTGCCTGCTCACTTCATAGGGTCGTGGTGAAAAACAGAAGAGGATGTCCAGTGTTTTATGTTTCCCCCAGCTGTTCAGGTCTCCTCTTGTTTGAACTTCCTAATCCCCTGGGAAGCAGGTAGACCAGGCTTACTTCCTATCTACAGATCCCAAGAAAGAGGCCCAGGAAAGGAAAGGGCTCAGGGTTTATCAGGAACCAGCCAGTCGCAGGTGCTTATTTAATAGAGGGCAGGTGACTTGCCCAGGATCGCACAGCTGGTCCGTTGTCAAGCCAGGCTATGAGCGCACGTTTCTGACTCCAGGGGCCATGTGCTGTCCCTTCTGTGAGCAATAAAACCTTCCATGTAGGAATGCAAAGTATCATTATTACCATTGTTGCTGATGTTACTAAAATTGAACCAAACCGGTTTTATCATGGGTTGACTGGAATTGCATGATGGAGGGCCTTGGTCACTAAATTTAAAAATATGGACTTAATCTTCTAGAGGGAGCAATTGAAGGTTTTTGAGGGGTAATAGTAGGAACGGTAACTGGAAGCCAGAAAAGCTACTTCTGTAAACTGGTGTAAGATGACAGGGATCTGTGTCAGGGAGGTAGCAGGAAGAGATGACTTCAAGCGACACCGCAGAATAAGAACCATAGAGCTTGGTGCCTAAATAGAGGGCTGGAAATGGGGCTGGGAGTGGCATAAGGATGGGGAACGATTTGAGCCTGAGAGATGGTTGCAGCCCAACAGCACGTCTCCTCTTCTTCATTAGTAAGAGCGCCCAGGAAGGAGCAATGATTACCAATAATAAAGACTACATTTTCCCGCCATGTGAATGACCAACGGATGTAAATGAAAGTGACATGTGTTACTTCGAGGAAATGTCCTTAACAAGAAAGAAACAACCTTATTTTGTCCATTTCTCTTTCCTGATGGCTAAAAGGTAGGTGGGATGGCTGGAGCTCCAGCAGCTTTCTTGAAGTATGAGGAAGAAGCCACGTACCAACGATGGCAGGGCAACAAGGGAGAAGGAGCCTGCGTCCCTGATGATGCCATAGAGCAGCATACCTGCTATAGACACCTTTCCGGACTTCTTTGGCGTCAGACAGAACTTCTGTTTTGTTTAAGCTATTGTTGTTTTGGGTTTCCTATCACTTGCAGCCTAAAACGAATACTAACGGGTAAAGTTCCTGAGAAAAAGAAGACACAAACAGAGAAGCAGAGAGAGAATTTAGGGGCAACATGATGAGTTTGATCACAGATTTGATGCGTGGGACATCAGTACAGGAGAAGATGTATATAAAACTTGGCATGGTGCAGGGATGTATTCAAGAACTCTACACCGCCACCACCGCCCTTCTAAGTCACTTTTGTCTGTTGCCTGGCCTGCTGCAGTAGCCTTTTTAGTCCTCCTAGTAGTTTTCTTGCCACCTCCAATTTACTCACAAAGATGCCAAAGTAATATTTTTAGAAGCAACCATATTGTATTACTCTCCTATTTAAAACCCTTCAAAAGCACCAGGCATGGTGGCTCACACCTATAATCCTAATACTTGGGAACCTGAAGTGGGAGTATTGCTTGAGGCTGGGAGTTTAAGACCAGCCTGGGCAACATAGAGAGACTCTGTCGCCAAAAAATTTTTGTATTTAGCCAGGCATGGTGGCTTATGCCTGTAGTCCCAGCTACTCAGAGGGCTGAAGTGGGAAGATTGCTTGAGCCCAGGAGTTAAAGCCTGCAGTGAGCTGTCATCATGCTATTGCATTCCAGTCTGGGTGACAAAGTGAGACAAGAAAGAAAGGAAGAAAGGAAGGAAGAAAGGGAGAAAGAAAGGAAGAAAGAAAGAAAGAAAGAAAGAAGAAGAAAGGAAAGGAAGGAAGGAAGAAAGAAAGAAAGAGAGAGAGAGAAAGAAAGAAAGAAGGGAGGGAGGGAGGGGGAGGGAGGGAGGGAAGGAAGGAAAGAAAGAAAAGAAAGAAAGAAGAAAGGAAGGAAGGAAGAAAGAGGGAGAGAGGGAGAAGGAGAAGGGAGAAGAAGAAGAGGAAGAGGAAGAAGGAAAAGGAGAAGAAGAAGGCAAAGAAGAAGAAGGAGGAGGAGAGGTGGAGGAGGAGAGAGAGAGGGGAGGAGGAGGAGGAAGAAGAAGAAGGCAAAGAAGAAGAAGGAGGAGGAGGGGGAAAGAAGGAAGAAGGAAGAAGAAGGAAGAGGAAGATGAGGAGGAAGAGGAGGAAGAAGAAGGAGGAGAAGAAGAAGAGAAGAAGAAGAGGTGGAGGATGGGGAGGGGAGGAGGAGGAGGGGTTGGGGAGGTGGAGGAGGAGGAAGAGCAAGAAGAACAAGAAGCCAAAGGCAAAGAAGAAGAAGACGATGATGAAAAGGAGGAGGAGGAGGAAGAGGAAGAGGAAGAAGAAGGAGGAGGAGGAGGGGGAAAGAAGGAAGAAGGAAGAAGAAGGAAGAGGAAGATGAGGAGGAGGAAGAGGAGGAAGAAGAAGGAGGAGAAGAAGAAGAGAAGAAGAGGTGGAGGATGGGGAGGGGAGGAGGAGGGGTTGGGGAGGTAGAGGAGGAGGAAGAGCAAGAAGAACAAGAAGGCAAAGGCAAAGAAGAAGAAGACGACGACGATGAAAAGGAGGAGGAGGAGGAAGAGGAAGAGGAAGAAGAAGAAAAAGAAGAAGAGGAGGAGGAAGAAGAAGAAACAACAAGTAAATAAAAAGATAAAACTCTTTAAAGGCTTTCCACTGCACTTAGGTTCAACCCCACAACATGGCACTCAGGGCCCTTCACTTTCAGCCTCCTGCCCCCTTCTGCGGCTCAGTCCCTGCCACACCCCCCTTCATCTGTTTACTCTCCTTCCAGTGACTCCTTCCCCCCGGCTCCTTGCCAGCTCAGGGCCTTGGTGCAGTCTTCTCATTCTTCTCAGAAGGCTCACCCTCTTGGTCTGTGAAGGGCTCATTTCCTCTCATCCTTCAGACCTCAGCTGAAGCATCACCTCCCCAGAGACACCTCCAAGCAGGCCCCAGATGAGTAGGATCCCAATCCAATGCCATAAATTTTTTTTTAAAAAAGAATCATTGCAAACTTCTTTTTTCCACTTTCACAGTATATGTCATAGATTTGAAATTATCTACTTTTTGTTTCCTTACTTGTTACCTGTCTTCCCTGGTAGACTGTAAGCCCATGAGGGAAAAAATCATGTGTGTTTTATGCTTTAAGATATATTTAATTCCTAGCACAGTGCCTGGTGAATAGCAGAGCTCCACACCTATACATAACAGTATTATTATTTAGCAAGTCTCTCATGAGAGCACTGCAGCTCAGAGAGAGGCGTGGCTCAATGCTCCACTTGGGATGCATGGATGCATTCCTGTGAGAGTGCCTGCATTCTCCGGGAGCAAGCATGATGAAGGGAAACGGCAGAGGAGGGAGAATGTCCAGGTAAAGGACAGACCTGTGTAGGAAATAGGGTATGGGGGGAATCAGTATGAGATGTGTCCAGAGAGCAGGAGAGATCTCAACTTCAGTGCTCAAACAATCTGTTGAGAAATCTGCGGGAGCCTGAGAAACTAACTATTGCTTTTATCAGCAGGAAAACTAAGGCAGAGAGAAATGGACTTCAGGCCAGCCCTCAACTCCCTTGCTAAAGCTGGAAACAGGACAGGAGCCTCTTGTCTCTTTGAGTCCTGGCTGGTTCCCACGTGGCTGAACCACTCCTCTGGCCTTACTGAGCTGTGGCTCTTATCTGGTAGTGGCCATGTGGAACAAGGGTGCAAGTTGCTCCCTGCAGGATTCAGGCTAAACAAGGCCCTTACAATTGTATTGAAGAAAAGTTAACAATAGAGCATGGGGCTATAGAATGGAACTGTCAAGAGTGCCCAATCTAAACAGAGATGGGCCCTGGGTCTCGCTCCCTAATTCCCAGGCCATTATGCCTGGGAGCCCTTTGCCCTAAGAATATGGGCCACTCTCAGGCTGCATTAAAAGGAAAATAATGCCGAGGAAATGGGAGGATGCCTAACACTTGGGGCACTATGTTCGTTCTGGGGCCTTCGCTTCATGAGGACACTGATGACCAGGGGAGGAGAGTGAGCGAGAGGGTGGAGTCTGACCAGAAGTCCTGTGACAATGGTTGAGGGGACTGGAGACCACTGGGTTGGAGCAGAGAAGATTCAACCTGACTTTGGATACTCAAGGGACCTTCAGTAGAAAAAGAAATACCTGGCTGCTTCACTGGGTACTCACCGTGTGCTAAATGTTCTACACTGTGCTAAGGGCTTTTTGTGAATTATCCCCTTTCCTGGCCCAACGTCACCTGCTAGTAAGAGCATAAGCAAGGCTCCACGCTCACATCTTCCCAGAGGTCAATGGCTTAACCGCCAGCCTATGGTACTTGAACTTCTTTCGTGCGGACCCAGAGAACTGAGTTAGGACCCAAGACAGAAACTACACGTTTTAACCAATATTAACCAATAATAGGAAGAGATTTCTAAGTCAGAGCTGTCTGCAAATGGATTGGATAGTCTTTTAAAGTAGTGTCCCAGAGGGTGTTCAAAAGAGGCTGCATGACTCTGGTCAGGTTAAGTACAAGTGCAAGGTTAATGGTAGAACCAGGGGTCAAACCGAGTTTTTCCACCCTGAGTTCAGGCAGTCCTGATCACAGGATGGATCCTGTGCTGGTGCGATTGCCACTGTGTACTAGGTGTTTTCCCCTTGGCTCAGCTGAAACATGTTTAAGATATTTAAAAGGAGTTTTACTAAGTTCTGTGCCCCCTCTATTGTGGGAGTGTCAGAGCCCATCTGGGCCCGTTGCAGCATGTCTGGCCCTGTCTGAGAGGGCCCGCAGGGGCTGTGTTACCAGGCGGCTCCCAGGCGCCTTTTGGGAAAACAAAATGACCAGGTGTGTTAGGGCCAGCAGGCTTCCAGGGCCACTACTCAAAGGCAGCCAGGGGACTTTGGCTGCCCTTAAACTCTCTGTGCAGTGGGGGGCAAGCAGGCATCCAGACCGAATGGAACGAGGTGGGGTACTCAAGGAATATGGCATGTCTCACCCATATTCCCTCTCAGCTCAGCCTCTGGGGGACTGGGGCCAAGTCTCAGGGAACAGAGGAGTCTGTATTAAATGGAAGGAGAACATCGTTTTGTTTTTGTTTTTGTTTTTGTTTTTGTTTTTGAGATGGAGTCTTGCTCTGTTGCCCAGGCTGGAGTGCAATGGTGTGATCTCGGCTCACTGCATCCTCCACCTCCTGAGTTCAAGCGATTCTCTTGCCTCGGCCTCGTGAGTAGCTGGGATTACAGGCGCTCACCACCACACTGGGCTAATTTTTGTATTTTTAATAGAGACAGCGTTTCGCCATGTTGGCCAGGGTGGTATGGAACTCCTGACCTCAGGTGATCTGCCCACCTTGGCCTCCCAAAGTGCTGGGATTACAGGTGTGAGCCACCATGCCCGGCCAAAAAAAATCACATTTTTAAAAACCCTTCTAGCAGCTGCGCTATGTGAGCCAGGAATGCAGGGCTTTACCCCAGCCTGGCGCGGGGGCCCCAAGCTGGCAGTGGAGGGCAGGGGAAACACAGGGGGGTGAAGAGCTGCGCTCCTGAGAGCCAGCCTAGGACACCAAACTCATGGAGAAGGGGCCCTGTGGAGCTGAGGTGCCCGTCCTTTGAGGGAGGGGTCTGCACCGGAAATGTAGGGCACAATGGGATCACGAGGGGCAAACAAAACAACCCCAAAGTTGAAGGATGGAAAAGCTGACAGAATATGGATTTCCTGCTTGACTAATGTCAGCCCACAAATAGATGTGGCTGACGTCACTTACAGGAACCCCTTCCTTTTCCTTACCTCAGCCCCTCCAAGGAGGTGGGTGGGGGAGCGGGTGAGAATGAAGCCCCATGCCCTTAGGCATCCGCTGTAGGAAAGGAAGTCACTTCTCTCCTACACACCCAGCATGGCACTAACTGTCACTGTGTACCATCTTTGGCAGACTTGGGAAGGAATTCATTCCAGTGACAAAGGTCAGATAGTCCTCCCCAGTTAAAGAAGGAACCCTGGCATTTAACTGGGTCTCCCTAAGGCAAAAATCCTGGAGACAAAAGACACTGGTGACTTCCCAGCAGAAGAGAGTGAAGGGAAACCCAGGTTTGGTGTAATGCAGCAAATAATTTGGAATAATTTGGGGATTGACTTGACTGAAAAAATGGAATGGTTTCTCAATGCAATATGGATTTCACTTTGCACCCACAGTCCCAAACTTAGTGCTTCAGAATGCAAATTTTATGGAAATTTTCCTTGCTTTACCAGTTTCTTTTTTATTTTATTTTCTCTCTCTCTCCCACTTTCTTTCTCCTCTCTTTCTTTTCCTTCTTTCTTTCTTTTTGAGACGGAGTCTCACTCTTGTCTCCCAAGCTGGAGTGCAATGGTGCGATCTTGGCTCACTGCAACCTCCGCCTCTCAGGTTCAAGCGATTCTCCTGCCTCAGTCTCCCGAGTAGCTGGGATTACAGGTGCGCGCCACCACGCTGGCTAATAATTTCCCTATTTCTTGATTCTCCTTTCTAAGAGATATCAGCCATTACTTATAATAGCTAAGTCATGTATAATTATTTAATATAAAAGTACGAAAAAAACTAGCCACGAATGAGCAGTTTAAGTGTCAAAGGGCACAAAAATACTGCCAATGAGGAAGAGGAAAGAACGGCTGAATACGAGATCACAGAACGAGAAAGCGGCCGCGGAGTGGGACTGGAGACTGTGAATCACGCAGGTGAAATCAGAATGGGATCCCACTCGAGACAGGAGCCAGGAGCTAGCAGCAGCCCTGGAGCCGCCGGCCCAGCCCTGAAGCCGCTCCGGCTGTCGCCACAGCGAGAGGAAACCTGAACGCTCTGCTCCTCCACAGCGAGTCCCTGCAGGTGGGGACACCGCCCACCTGGCCCTCCCTGCGCCCCCTGGCGGAGCGAGCCTCGGCCTCTCCCGGGCCCCGGCCTCTCCACGACCGCCTGGCCGCGCGGGAACCACCCGCGGACTCGCGGCCTCTCCCCACCGGACCCCGCAACACCGCGGGGACGCCCGGGAGGCTACTGAAGAGCCAGTGGCGCCTGCCTCGATCACACGTCCCCTGTGGAGCTCCACCTGCCCGCACGCCGGCTCGGGCGCTCCCATAAGCGGCCGGCCGCAGAGGGGCTCCAAGGGAGGCGCGCGCCCGCGAAGAAGCACTCCGGCCCCGCAAAGGCGCCCCGCGGCCCTGTCCACCAAGGCCACTGGCCGACGGGTCGGAAGAGAGCCCTTCAAGACGGAACTTGCATTGCGCTTGTTAGAGAAAATTATGTGTAAAAACTGAGCCATTCAGCTTTACTTTCCACCCCGCGTTGATGTAAAACATGAGTTCCTATGGAAGATGAGGGGCTTCGTCAAGTGTGTAAAAACAAATGCTACCTCTTTCCATTAAAAATTTATATATGTATATTCATTCTCATTGTTGAAAATACAATAAAAAGTAATAAAAAATCACATGTAACGTCATAAGAAATCAACTTAATGTTTACATGTATGAAAATCACATGTACACCTTGGGAAGCTGAGGCGGGCGGATCACCTGAGACCAGGAGCTGCAGACCACCAGCCAGGCCAACATGGCGAAAACCCATCTCTACTAAAAATACAAAAATTAGCCGGGCATGGTGGCGCACGCCTGTAATCCCAGCTACTCAGGAGGGTGAGGCATGAGAATAGTTTGAACCCAGGAGGCAGAGGTTGCAGTGAGCCAAGATTGCGCCACTGCACTACAGCCCGGATGACAGAGCGAGACTCTATCTCATAAATAAATAAATATTACATGTAACACAAAGAAATCAACTTAATGTTTCTATGTATTTTCCAGGTATTTCTGCACCTATCTATAAATCGGTAATATCCTACATAATGCTATTTTGTACGCTCCTTTTTCAAATATTACATCATGAATATTTTCCTACCTTACTGTAATTTTCAAAAGATTGATTTTTAGGCCGGGCGCGGTGGCTCACGCCTGTAATCCCAGCACTTTGAGAGGCCGAGGCAGGTGGATCACTTGAGGCCAGGAGTTCAAGACCAGCCTGGCCAATATGGAGAAACTCCGTCTCTACTAAAAATACAAAAACTTAGCCAGGCGTTGTGGCAGGTGCCTGTAATTTCAGCTACTCGGGAGGCTGAGGCAAGATAATTGCTTGAACCCGGGAGGTGGTGGCTGCAGTGAGCCGAGATGGCGCCACTGCACTCCAGCCCGGGCGACAGAATGAGACTCCGCATCAAAAACAAACAACGAAGTAACAAACAAACAAACAAACAAACAAAAACGAAAACAAACACGTTGATTTGATTTTTTAAAATTCTTGCTAACTACCCATCATATGGATGTGCCATACTTGTTTAGCCATTGAAATCCTAGATGTTTACTTGGTTTCTCATTCTTTTCTATTATAAACTGCACCATGCAGAAGAGGTTTGATGTAAATTGATTATTCTATTAAAATAGCTTCCTAGAAAGAGAATTCCTGGATCAAAGTTACAAACTCAAGGCTCCTGTGACAAATTGTTAAATTGTTTTCCAGAAAGATGGTCTAATTTCCTTCTTGCCCTCAGCGTAAGACAACCCCATGCCCGCCCACCGCCAACAATAAGAAGATTCTCCAGCACTGAGTTATATTTATTTAAAATTTTGTCAACTCCAGAGGGGAAAAAGTAATTCTCCTTGTAGTTATAATTTGCAGTTCTTTGATTAGAGGGACTGAATATGTGTTGTGTGTTTTATTTTATTGGCTTTTTGTATTTCTTCCTTTGTAGTTGGCCTTATCTTCAGCCTATTTTTTTCACTGGGGAGATAAGTTCTTCTGATTAGTTTCTAAGACTGCTTTGTATAATAGGGATATTTACCTCTTGTCATGTTTGCTGCAAATACTTTTTCTAGCATAACATTTGCTCTTTAAATAAGTTCATATTTTTTGAGGGACTGAAATCTAAAATTGTGTGTATGATGTAATCAAACACACCAGTTTTTTCCTTCATGTTTCTTCTGAGATTTTATGCTTAACAGTTCTTTCTCCTCTCAGGGCTGATTAAATATTCACTTTGTTTTCTGGAGCTTGCTCATGGTTTCTTCTTTTACATCTGACTTTTTAATCCACCTGGAATTTATTTTGGTGGCTGGTGAGAGCTAGGGTTCCAATTTGATTTTTCATCCAAGCTTCCAATTTCTCCATTACCATTTATTGAATAATCTATCGCTTCCCAGTTGGTTTTCTTTCTCGTATATTGGGTTCTAACATAGTAGGGTTTATTTCAGTGTTTTCCATTAGGTTTCATTGATCTGTCATTATTGATTTTTCAGTAATGCCAGAGGGACTTAATTACTTTCAGTTTTATAATACATTTTAATATCTAGTAGAGAAAGCCCCCTCAATGGTCTTCTCTTTCAAAAAAAGTTAAGCTATTCTCACTTATTTATTAAAACATCCTAAGAATCAGTAGTTATTCTCCATTAAAATTTCTAATTTTGTGTTTTCTTTTTTCTCAATTAAATTTATATTTTAGAAGTTGGTATCTTTTGGATTTATAAATTATGTTTTTCTGGTTTTTAAATTCATTAATTCCTATCTTTGCCTTTGTTATAAACTTAATCTTCCCTCCTGAGGTTTGTTTTGTTCTTCTAATGGATTCAGTTATTTTCTCTGTTCATTTTTTTCTGTTTTTGTTATTAAAAATGGGGTCTCCCTATGTTGCCCAGGCTGAGGCAGTGGCTATCCACAGGCACAATCATAGTCCACTACTGGCTCGAACTCCTAGGCTCAAGTGATCCTCCCACCTCAGCCTCCCAAGTAGCTGGGGCTATCAGTGCACACCATTGTGCCTGAAAAACTTTAAGGATGTTTTTCATCTGAGTACACCTTTGGTCACATCCTGAGTTTTTACGTACAGGGTCATCATTGTTGTAATTTTCTAATAGCCTTTAACGGTAGTTTTGAATTCTCTGTTGTAATTGAGGAGATTGCTTTAAAAGTCCCACCAAAAAGTTGTCCTTTAATTGGAGTTTTATAGGCTTGTGGTCAGAGAATACAGCCCGAGCAACTTTTCTGATGTTTTGAAATGTGTGACCAAGAAGTTGATCAATTTTTTAAAGTGTTCCCTGGATGCTTAAAAAGAAGATGTTTGTTTATAGGCTACAAAGTGCTCAATTAATTTAAACATTTAAAAATTCAGATTATCAATCTCATTTTTTGTATAAAATTCACAGTTTTACTGTATATAGCACTTTTATCCATATTAAATGGTTCTTTTGGACAATTTAATGATTTCTGTTTTGAATTCATTTTGGTTTAAAATGAGAATTTCTATTCGTTTGCCATCTGATTTGTACTTACCTAATAAATCTTTGCTCTTCATTTATTTTTGGGTCCTTCTGTTCTAGGTACTTCTTTTGTAAATTGCATGCAATTAAATTTTGCTTTTAAATCTCATCTAAGAGACATTTACTTTTAACAAGGAGGTAAACACAATTATGTTGATTGTTATAAATTTTAAGTTTGTTTTTCTCTGATCTTCTTTCATACTTTGTATTGAAATTCTTCCTTCCTGCTTCCTTTATTTTTTCTGTCTTAGCTATGTGGGCTCTGATGTGGCATGGGAGGTATATGTTTTCAGGGTAGGGAAAAGGCTCTCAGGCTGGTGTTGGAGTCTCAAGTCTGCTGGCTCTGTGGCCTGAGGCACATCGCTCAACCTCTCTGTGTCTCAACATCCTCATATACAGAATGCAGATACAGTCTCATAGAACTATGGTATGGATTAAGTGAAACAATATATGGCTGATGCTACTGTTATTCTTGTTATACTCATAAAATTTTGCCTGTGGTTCCTTTAGGTTTTAAAAAAAATATTTCTCTGATTGCTAAAACTGAGTAATAGGGCTTTATTTTAAAATTCTCCTCTACATAGGACAACGCATCTGGCATGCTTTTACTAATCCCTTCTAGCCTTCTCCTCTCAAATTTTTAATCTGAGGATTTGCAACCCTCTAATTATTATTGAATTATTGCTTTAATTTCATACATCCACTCTTTCCAGAATCTACTTTTTCTTTGACATTAGAATTTGGAGTTTTGCAACTACGCGTAAGTTTAGTCTTGATTTCATGTTTGCCTGTGTGAACCAATGTCTGCCTTTCTTTACAACATTTCATTATTAAGATCTTAATTGTGATTCAGTCTTTGGTCAACTGGCAAACGAGTTCCCCCCAAAAGTAAACTCCAAGAATGACTTTTGTTGCCCTTTGGTTGCCTCATTCAAATGACAGGGTGGATCCAAATTTAAAATACTGTGGAACTGTTCTAATGACTCTGAATTTAGGGTTCCTGAGGGAGAGTCAGCTCTGGGATGCCTGTGTGCCTCTAGGATTGTTTCACCTTATGATTCAATAAATTTTCCAGAAAAAGAATGTATTGGGGTATGTCTAGGGGTGGCTCCTCCTGTCCCCCACATTCTAACTGGAAAAGAGGAATCCGTTTCGATCTGCCTACTCTGATCTACCATCCCCACACACAACATCCCCTTACCTAGGCCAATTCTGAAAATGTTTACTGTGCGTATATTTCTGATTATGCTTTTATCCAAATTTATCATTTCTTCCTCTGAAATAACTCTAATTCTTAGATTTCACCTGGATCCTATAGCCTCCAGTTCTGTCCTATTCATCCTTTCTCTTATCTCTTCTGCATTCTGAGAGAGCTTTAAATTTTTTAAGTTTGTCTCCACATTCCACATTTTTAAAAATGTAGTGCCATCAATGTGGATTTTCATTTTGCTAAAACAATTTTAGTTTTCTGGAACTCTGTGCTTATGTGAACCAGATACATTTTCATTTCACATCTGCCCACTCTTCTCTATCATAAGGATCATATATATTCTGGCACCCTATTAGAGATGCCCAAGACTCTTCTTTCTTTTTCCTTTTTTTTTTTTTTTTTTGAGACAGGGTCTCACTCTGTCACCCAGGCTGGAGTGCAGTGGCGCAATCTCTGCTCGCTGCACTCTTGACCTCCCAGGTTAGGTGATCCCCCCACCTCAGCCTCCTGAGTCTACAGATGCACCACCACTCCCGGCTAATGTTTTTTTTGGTTTTTTTTTGTTTTGTTTTGTTTTGTTTTTGGCAGAGATGGGTTTTTGCTGTGTTGGTCAGGCTGGTCTCCAACTCCTGACCTCAAGCGATCCACCTGCTTTGACCTCCCAAAGTGTTGGGATTACAGGCGTGAGCCACTGTGCCTGGCCACCCAAGACTCTTCTAATGTTGCTTTTTGTTTTTCATAATTAAACATTTTTCAGGAATCTTCAGGATTATTTTCCTCTTCCTTAATGCTGCAGGTTTTTCTCAAAGGCCTCCAGCAGGATCCCTGTCGCCTCCCCACCTTCCCCCTCCCCAGCCATCTATCTCTCCGCCTGGCACCAGAAGGGGATCGCTACAGGCTGCTCCTTCCCTACAGGAGGCTAACTTCTCACTTCTCCAGCTAGAGGGCAGGGTTCCTGGGTCTAGCAGGCTTCATCCCATGTGGTAGGCTACTTTCCTATCCTCTCTAACTAGTCCTCTGATATCATAAACCAGTGGTTTGCAAACTTTTAAAATCATGGGCTCCTACCAATTAAAAATTTTTTGAGCATGCCCTCCTCCATTATACATATATTTATTATAAATTACAGACATGTATTGCTCTCTATCCATTTATTAAATACTAGCCAGGCTTTATATATATATATATATATATATATATGTAGAAGTTCTGATCATTTCTCCCAATAGTCCCATGGATCACTGTGCGTGTGCCCCACATTGGAGGTTATAACTCAAACCAAAGCAGTCCATGAGGAACCACAGTGCCTGGCCCCACTGTTCCCAGGCTCTGCTCAGTTCTGCTCAGCCTACAGGGTTTAGCTTGCAGGCTTCCATCAACCCCATGTAGGGTGCTTCATCCCTGTAATGACCACTTTCCTACTGTTTTGTTTTGGGGTTTGTTTTTTTTTTTTTGAGATGGAGTCTGGCTCTGTCACCCAGGCTGGAGTGCAGTGGCGTGATCTCGGCTCACTGCAAGCTCCGCCTCCTGGGTTCACGCCATTCTCCTGTCCCAGCCTCCCGAGTAGCTGGGACTACAGGTGTGTGCCACCATGCCCGGCTAATTTTTTTGTATTTTTAGTAGAGACGGGGGTTTCACCGTGTTAGCCAGGATGGTCTCGATCTCCTGACCTCGTGATCTGCCCGCCTCGGCCTCCCAAAGTGCTGGGATTACAGGCGTGAGCCACCGAGCCTGGCCATTCCTACTGTTTTCTTGGAGTGGAAGTACCCCTTCTTGGAGGGGGTAGGAGGTTGTGGGAAGGAGATGGGAGGAGGAGGGAGCTGTGGTCTTGCTTCCTGCTGCTGGCAAGTGCAGGCCTGGGTGTCTGAGGCAGGGGCAGAAGAGAGTACAGCAAGGAAGCCTCTTTTTATCTCCTTACAATGGGAGTGGTGGCTCTCTTAATGAGAGAAAGAATGGGCCACAAATTGTTTTTCTCCTGCTTTAGGAGCCAGATCTCCAGAATAAAATTTCTCATTAAAATATCAGTATGCCAAAAGTTAACCAGCAAAATAAAAAACCTGTTGACAGACTGGAAGGCCTGGGACACTGAGACAGCCTGTTGCAGAATTTGGAGCCTCAGGAGGGACCAAAGTGAAGGGTCCAAAGGGTCCGAAGGGAATCCACTCAAGAGGACAGTAAGGTCATTTATAAAGCATGGCTGTGACAGCAAGGCTCACCCCACTTCATCAATGTTATGGGAGGCCTTGTTGCTCCTCCCAAGGAGATAAACATACAAAGGTGAGCTGGCAGGCCACTGCACTGCTCAAGGCACGCTAGGAAGGCTGGCTCTCCAACCTGCTGCCGCAGTGAGGACCCGGGGCCTCAGATGGTCTCTCCACCAGTAAAGCTGCTTGGCACTTGACAGTGTAAAATCAGGAGGTTCCTCCCTGAGGGAGGTGGGCAGGCAGCCAGGAGAATCCCAGAGAATGCAGAGTGCCACAACTGTCAGGCCTCGGAACCCATGATGTAATGCCTCTCTGGGGGCCAAGGAAAACAAGCCCACTGTTGTCACTGCCCTCCCAGCAACCAGGCGCTGCCCTCCCCATGGCACGGCTGTTCTGCGTAATTATGATCCCACTTTCTCTCCTTGGGAGGAGGAAATATGAAAAACCTTTGTTGTCACATAAAAACCAACCCAAGATATGAGAACTGTCTTTTAAAATACATCTTGCTGTAGAGAGATTTCCATAGCAACTTCAGAAGTGTGTGTATACAACTAGAGATAAGTCCAGGCTGATGAAAGCTACCTGGAATGTGAACAGGCTCTGGGCATCAGCAGCTGTGGATTTTTCTAGAACCTGTCATGCTGCTGTGTGACCCTGGGCAAGTCACTTACCCTCTCTGATGCCTAAGGTGATAGAATCATCATTAGATCAGGCTGAGAGAGATCAAGGCATCCTGTCCACACTACCCTGGTCTGACGCTTCAGTTCCCCAAAGCTTCCCCTGCTTCCAGCTTCTGTCCAGTCTCTGGCTGAATAAGTCCTGGCTGAAGGCCTCTGCCAATCTTACTTATTATTTGACATTGGGAAACAGAATGATCATTTAAGCTTGATTCTAAAAATAGTGCTTAGTCTTGGTAAGAGAAGTGCTTTGCCTGTTTAGGAAACAATATATTAACGGGGCAGATTCCTGGGAAACAGTCTGTGAGATGCTGAGATTTGGGGGTGGGAGTTTTACTGGGGCTGCTCTCAGGATCAATACCTCTGGGGTATAGAGGAAGTTCCCGGATGCAGTGGTAACAGAGGCCTTAGGCGATCCCTCAGGGACCCTGGAGCCTGGCTGAGTGTCCTACTAGAAGCAAACGGGGTTAGGCCTTTGAACTCCCACACTGACAAATCCCCTCGGGAGCTTGCTGCCCCCAGGCAAGGGGTTTGACCTGAAGAGAGGGACTCAGTCACAACCCCAGCTAAGGGAAGGAGAGCCCGGGTCCTGGAGGGGGCATCTGTCCCCTTCATGTTGACATGAAGCAACATGTCATCCACTACATGGATGTGTTTGAATTGGACATGAAGGCAGCCCAGGAGGCTAGTATGATAACATGGTCAAGACCATAGGCAGCAGAGGCAGAGAAAACAGCAAGACTGGGATTCACATGTTAGTCTCAGTGGCCTTAAGACTCTGAGATTGGGAAAGTTGCCAGTAGAGTAGAGGCCAAGATTTCCTCGTATGTGCAGGATTCAGCCTGGGTTGGTGACACACACATGGAAGTTCAGAGTCAGAAACCAGTTCAGATTTTGGCTCCACGCTTATTATTAATAGCTCTGTGACCTCGGGCCAGTTACTTTCTATCAGTTTCCTCAACTCTCCCATGAGCCTTCATGTCCAATTCAAACACATCCATGTAGTGGATGACATGTTGCTTCACCCAAATGCCCCTCCAGGACCCGGGCTCTCCTTCCCTCAGGCAAGGTACCTCTCTCATAGATCTATTGTGAGGGCAAGCTGGGATGACATATGGATTTTACACAGAACTAGCACAGGGGTGCAACAATAACATCCACCATGCTTTAATACACCTCATGTTATACCTAAGTCTTTGGTCAAATGGCCTTTTCGCAAGAGAAGGGAACTTTCAGAGAATTTCCGATTTGCTCATTGTTCCTCTGTGCCTTGGTCTTAGCGGGGGCTTGTGACCCATGTCTGCAGAGAGAGAGAGAGAGACCCAGTGGCCCACCAGGGACCAAACTAACCCAGCCTCAGCTTGGAAGCTATGGAAGGCCATGCAATATCAAATAAGGTGCATCATCTAAGTACTTTGCAAACTACATTCTTTAAAACAAGCTTATTTTCCAGTGAAAAATAGTCACCCCTTCTTGTGATAGGTTCAATAAACTACGAAACTCACTTGCAGGTACTTTGTTGCATGTTCAGCCATCTGAAATACATGCCAGAGAGCATCTGAGGAAGTGAAAGACTTCAAATAGCTTAAAGGGCTACGCAAATTCAATTACTATGTTAATAGACAACATGGCTTCCATCATTTAGAAAGGAAAACAGGAAGAGTATAGGCCCATGTATGGTACAAGTTGGGCTGTTCTAATTAAAAGAAGGCAGCACAAAATTCCCAAGAGTTATCAAGGGATCTGCACTATTATTATTAACTTTCACCATCATTGGATTGCAGTACATAGTGCATATATACACCTTGTTTGACTCTAACAATAAATCCTGTGTCCAGCTTTCAGATAAGAAAATTGAGGTCCAGAGAGGTGAAGCGACCAGCACAATGTTGCTCAGCTAACAGTACCATGAAGAGTTTGGGGTCGGAACCCAAGCACATGCTTTCTCCATTGGGGGAAGAGTGTCTGCTTACCAGAGAAGGCTCATGAAGCCCTGTGCAGTGTGGTCCCACTCAGAGCAGATGTTGCAATGTCAGCTGCTGAGTAATGGCGAGGTTCTGAATAGGTGAGCATGGTGTGTCCCTGGGGCTCTGTGTGTGAGAAAGGTCTTCCAACACTGCACTGGCTCTCAGAACCTGAACCTGCATCCTGGAGCCTGAACCCTTGTTCTGCGGCAGCAGAATGCCCTCTCAGTTTGACCGTGTGTCTGTTGGCCAAAACGCTGAAAGAAATGTCTGCAAACAGAATGTCTCAAAAATAGGTAGGAGATACGATTCAAGGCACCCATGTAGGGTGTGTTGAGGCTAACTCCTCTCCAGACTTCTTTGTCTTGTTTGATCTCTGCTAGGACACTGGTGCATGGAAGATTTGGCAATATAATCGTAAGTGTTGACAAATTAAGGGCGACTACCAGGATTTGTGTAAATTACACAGGATGCTTCACCATACCTCCCAACATAATAAAAATAATCTATCTCAAGCAAACATAGCTTCATTCTATCTCAAGTGATCCTCATTTTAAAATGAGGAAACTGTAGCCCAGAGAGGTTAAGTAACTTGCCCTAGGTCTCACAGCTACTTAGGAGCAGAATCACGGTTTCTAACCTAGATTTAGACTCCACATGTCAAATAGATTAAAATGAATATCCAGGGCTGGGTGCAGTGGCTCACGCCTGTAATCCCAGAATTTTGGGAGGCCAAGGTAGGAGGATCACTTGAAGCCAGGAGTTCAAGACCAGCCTGGCCAACATGGTGAAACCCCATCTCTACTAAAAACACAAAAATTAGCCTGGTATGGTGGCGCATGCCTGTAATCTCAGCTACATGGGAGGCTGAGGCAGGAGAATTGCTTGAACACAGGAGGCAGAGGTTGCAGTGAGCAGAGACTATGCCACTGCACTCCAGCCTGGGCGAGAGAGCGAGACTCCATCTCAGATAAATAAATAAATAAATAAATAAATAAATAAATAAATAAATAAATAAATAAAATGAAAATCCAGGACCCCTTGCAAGGAGAAGAGTCATTAAAGGCAGCTCGAGGGTGGTGGAAGGAGGTGGCTTCAGTCCTGCCCTTGAGCCTTGTTGATGGCTGTTCCAAGGAGTTGGCATTTTGTTCTACAGCCCTGGATCTCTGTCAGGCCACATCTCCCTTCTTTCCCATGAGTAGCTTCTCTGAATGACTCCCAACCACCAGCCTCCTAAAACAATGTTTCCCAAAGTATGTTCCATCAGTACAGTGCTTCTCAAACTAAGGTGCATATGAATCACCAGGTGACCTTGTTAAATGCAAATTCTGATTCATTCATTCTGGGCTAAGGCCTGAGATTCTGGGAACTCTAACAAGTTCCCAGTGATGCCAGTGCTGCTGGTCTGTGAACCAAACTTTGAGTAGCAAGGTACCAATAGTGCTTTATAATAAAAAGGATTTGCAGGCAAATACAATTAAGAAAGGCTGAACCAAACAAAAATAAATGGTTTCATTACTTCAGGACTTCTCAGAGCCTTTAAAATGCTAATAAGCATTATTAATACCCAAGAGGAGTAAGTTGCAATGTGTTATATGTGAGTTACTGATGTAACCAGAATGCTTTGATATATTGGTTTGCAAAGAAGGAACAGAAAATCAGGAAAATTCTGTGCCTTTTTCCCACCTTACTTTGGTTCCAATGCTGCAATTCTAGCTCATACTGAACCCCAACTCAGCACTCCCCTCTTTCCCATTGTCTCCTTTCAGGTGTCTGGGTACATGCCTGTCTCCTCCATCAGACCACATACTTCCTGGCACCCCTACTCCTCCTCCCTTCCCTGTCCCAGCACAGGCTCTGTACTCAGAAAGCCCCATGTGGAATACCTTTCACAGACACGGACGGTCCAGGCAGCAATGATCCACAGAGAGATGCTGAACACGAGCAGCACAGTGCCAGGGCAGATGGTCATGAGCGTCTTCATGACAAAGCGGGTGTTGAAGTTGATCTTGTTGAGGGCCCCGATGCTGCGGGACGAGGCATCGGTGAAGAGCTTGCTGTGCAGCAGCATGACTCGGGCGATCAGGTACAGGCGCAGGAACATGGGGATAGACAGGATGATGTCCACATCGGCCTCCGCCCGGGAGGGTGTGTAGGAGAAGGCCAGGCGTGCCGTCCAGAAGAACTTGTACTCGCCAGGAATGGGGTGGATGGCGCACACCAGCATCTCCAGGCTGATGTACAGGATGCGCTCGTAGGTCATGGCTATCCGCCAGTCATCCGCGCCATTGTCGATCACGAAGAGCTGGTGGGAGCAGAAAGTCCATTAGTGTGGCCAGGACCAGGAAGCCCACAGCAGGGTCCAGGCAGGACAGGTGGGGCAGGCTGGGGCAGGCTGCTGGGCTCAGGTCAGCCTGACCACCTCAGCATGCTCTTTAGGGGCCTTGCTATGTGGCAAGAGCCCTGTATGTGGAGTAGGGAGAGCTGGATTCAGTCTACCTGGGAAGCCCTGGCTAAGACACTTTGACTCTCTTGGCCTCACTTTCCTCCTCTGCAAATCGCTGCCTGAGATATAGTGATTTATAATAAGAAATAATGTACTTGGTCTTTATCCTGGTTTAGGCACAGTTCCCAAAACGCTCGGAATTTCCAAAGTGATAAGTGTCATTTGTATGCTAATGAGATGACTAGTGGCTGGGGTCGGTCGGGGTGGGGATCCAGGGTGGCCTCAGGATGGCGCTGGTTGCCAGGGGAACCAATCTGGTGATGAGAGGGTTGGAACTTTCAGCCCCACCCCACCACCTCCTGAGAAGGAAGAGGGGCCCGAAGGTTGAGTTGATCACCAATGGCCAATGATGTCATCAATTATGTCGGTGTAATGAAACCTCCACAAAATCCCAAAAAGACAGTGTTTTGTTTTGTTTTTTTAACTTTTATTTTAGGTTCAGGGGTACATGTGCAAGTTTGCTATATAGGTAAACTCGTGTTACAGAGATTTGTTGTGCAGATGATTTCGTCACCCAGGTACTATTGGGTACAGTACCCAATAGTTATTTTTTCTGATCCTCTCCCTCCCACTCTCCACCCTCAGTGTCTGTCGTTCCCCTCTTTGTGTTTCGATGAGCTTCCAGATAGCTGCACACATGGAGGTCCCTGGACACGTGGAGTGTTGCGTGCCCAGAGAGGGCATGGAAGCTCCACCCCTTCCCATGCGCCCTGCCCTTTGCTTCGCTCCCATATGGCTGCTCATCTGAATCCTTTGTAAGGTCCTTTATAATAAACCAGTAAATGTGTTTCCCTGAGTTCTGTGAGCTGCTCTAGAAAATTAATGAAAACCTGAGAAGGGCGTCCTGGGAATCCCTGATTTATAGCCACTTGGTCAGAGGCTCAGATAAAACAACCTGGGGCTGGTGACTAGCATCGGAAGTCAGGTAAATGTGGTGGGACTGAGCCCTCAACCTGTGGGAGCCAACACTAACTCCAGGCGGACAATCAGGCTTGAGTTATATTGCAGGACACTCAGCCAGTGTCCATTGGAGAATTGCTTGGTGTGTGGGAACCACCCCCTCCTTTTTGCTGACCACAAGTGTTCTATGTTGAGCCACTTCCCAAGGTCCCTTCCAGCACACAGGTGCCAAATTGGCTGTTTCACGATGGTGAGAAAGATCAACTCATTTATATTAGAAACACATCCCTGAGCCCCTGCCAGACCTGAGCTGAGCCCTGTAAGGGGATGTAAAGATGAAAAAGTCATGTTTCCTGCATGAGTGAACTCACAAGGGCTGGCACAGATTCCTTCTCCCCACTCAGAGAAGGGGGCAGCAAGTGTTTGCTGGCAGCACTGTGCTCTCAGACAGTGCAGTGAAGTGTTCACGGCACGGACTCTGGAGCCAGATTGCCTGATCCTAACACTACTGGCTCCATGATCCTGGGCAAATTACCGAACCACCCTGTGCCTCAGTTACCTCATCTGGGGATGATGATAATAACTGCTGCATAGAGGTCACTGTGAGGCTGCAGTGGGTTCGTATATGCAACATGCATGGAATCCTGCCTAGCACCCAGCACACTATGTAACTATTAGCTATTCTTATTTGTAGCATTATTAATGGATCTGGTCTCGGTCTTTCTGTAAAATGACAGTTGGGCTCAGTGATGTCTAAACTTCCTTCTGGCCCTAAACTTTCACGAAGATGCTTCCTGCTGTCACCTCATGAGGATGGCTGTTCTCACAAGAATTGACTGAGCACCTGCTGTGTGTCCAGCCTTTGTCTTCCGGTAAGTCCCACTGTGGAGTCCCACCATATTTGATGACTGTGAAAGGGACTTCACATCCTTCCCCTCTGGGGCCTCAGTCTTCATCTGAGACTGAAATGAGAAGCCTCTAAAGTCTCATCCAGCTCCGATGATTTGATTCTTGGAGGGTGAGGCCTGAGATCCGGGCATATGTTCGGTGTGGGCCTCCTGTGCAGGCACCTCACTTCTGGGAGGTAGTGGAATGTTTATCATCACACTATGCCCTCTCTTTACTGGGTCCTTGGCCCTCCAGCAGATCTGGCTGTTGCCTGTCCCAGCTCATCCACGAACACATCCCACTCAAGACTCCAGCCTCACATGCTGCCTGCTCCACCAACAGCCACAGAGAGCTGCTGCTCTCCAAAGCTGGTTATGATTGCCTTTAAGGAGGAGCTAGCAGGGTCCTGTGGCCTAACATGAGCTCAGGATGAAGGGTACCAGCATCAGCACCTCCTGGCTGGGAGAGCAGGCCATGCATGCATCCTGGGAAGGCCTGAGCTGCAAGGCCGGAAGAAACTAGGCTGGGTTAGGAGAAATTAATGTTGGGGCCAGGGTTGGGTGGAGGTTTTATTTAACCTGGAAATACACCCTCAGCACAGAAAGCGTAACAGAGAGACTGGATCAGCGTGGATTTGCGGGGGCTGGCTGAAAGCCGAGTGAAGCCTTCCTTTCCTCCCTTGCACAGGGAGATCAGGGAATGAGGAGCCCTTTATTCTGTCCACCCAACTGTCTCCTTGATGGTCTGGGCCAAAGGAAGCTTCTGCTCTGCTTCAAAGTTAGTCACCAAGCAGCTTTCTCACTCCACTTTGCTGCCTTCCTTACAGTTCAGCAAGAACTGAGGACCCAGGAGAGGACCTATGGTACCAGGCCTGGTGTGGTGTGGGCGGGCGATGCTTGCCTTGCTTTTAGCATCTACCTGTGATATGTTTCTGCAGCAAGGGGAACATTCCAGGCAATTCATGGGCCCTGAGAGGCACAGACAGGGGAGGCAGCACTAGGAGGCAAGTCTCTTACCTTGCCGAGCCTCAGTTTCTCTTTCTCCCTGCTCCGTACCCTTACAGAGCCATACTGGAGAGCAGAGGAGACAATGGATTGAAAGGGTTTAATAAACTACAAAGGATCATTTGTTCATTCATTCATTCATTCAACAAAAATGTGTTGATGGCCCTCTGAGCAGCCAGCCCCCCACCCACCCACCCATGAGGATCCTGAAGGGAAACTACAGGGCACTATGGGAGCAACTGGCTGAGAGGCTCACCTGGTGGCTCTAATCAGGGAGCTGTCATCTCTGAACAGGAGACAGTACCCAGCACAGCACCAGCTGGAGACTCACCCTCCTCCTTCCCCAGTGCAGCTGAGCCTGGGTTTTTCCAGACATAGGTTTTCCCCAGCAATTAGAAAGCCCTAATGGCTGCTCAAAGGGTTCCCTCTGCTTCTAACTGCCGCCCGACAGGCCAAGCCATGGCAACGTGACTGCCTGGCCAAACTCTTCAAATACAAAATTAAAACCATCTACTCCGTAATAAAGAATCGCATCTGGTTACTATAGTAACTGGGTTCACTCTGGGCAGGAATGGAAGCAACGAGTAACAGATTCCTTTGATTGCCTGATGAGGAGTGGGATTGTAAGTAAGAGCTGAAGGGGAGAATGCACCGGCAGCTCTGCCCAGCGAGACGGGAGGGTGCTGGTCCCCAGCTGCCTCTCAGGTGCCCCGCCTTGGTTGTGGCTTGCTGGTGCAGGGAAGGTGGGGGCCACATGGGGTAGTGGAGCTGGAGGTGGGAGAGCTAGCCTGAAGTCCCCCACATCCAGGTATTAGCCATGTGATCTCAGGCCGTGCGTGACTTCTCCGAGCTTGTTTCCACATCTCCAACAGGGGAACACTGACTGACCTTGGCCCTGCCTGCCTCCTGGGGTTAGTGTTAGGATCCAATAATACAGATAAAAAGTTGGACAGTGCTTTACTCACTGCTCTAAAAATGTGAGGGATTATTAAGCTGGCTGGCCTGGGGGCACTCGTAAACAGTGTGTGTAAAGAGCGGGTGTTTTGAGTAGGGGGTGGGGGAGAGTTTTCAGGCTGCAGGTTAAAAGCTTCTGCTAGACAGGGCTCCGCTGCAAGGTTTTCTGCATCTGCAGGGTGGGATGTGTCCCAGAAGATCCCATTGCTGTCCCACGTGAGGACACTCTATGCTTCCTTCCTTCTGACCCTTGGAATCACAGCTCTCCAAGTGTGGCCTCGCTCCCTCCCGATTCAGAGCAAGTAGCAGATACCCCAACCCTGCTGTTTCCTCACTCTGGGTCCCATTCATTCCTAACAAAGCACAATCCCAATTATTGATTTGCATGTGTGAGGTTTTGCTGTCTCTCCCCTTAGACATGGTTCTCAACCTACTTGCGTCGCACATTAGAATGACTTGGAGGGCTTGTTCAAAAATACCCATGCCCAGGCCCAGGCCCACCCCAGGCCAAGTAATCAGAATCTCTGGGGGTGGAGCCCTGGCACGGGTGTTCTTCTTAAGGCTCCCAGGTGAGTCTAAAATGTAACCAGGGTTGGGACCCCCCAACCAGTCACAGTTGGAGCTCCAAAGAGACAAGCGCTGTGTCTTCCTTGTTCCCTGTGGCATCTCCAGAGCCTAGCCCAGATCTTAGCACTTAGTAGGTGTTCAATAAATGCTTATTTAGTGAATTAGTAACTCCCACTTACTGCGTGCCCCTGGACTAATCTTCCCTCTCTTGGGCTCAGCGTCCTCCTCTGAGGAATGAGGGAATAGACTAGACAATCCCCAAGGTACCTCCTGCTCTAAGAAGCCATAATTCTGTGGTTCTACACAGACCCTCTTGCTCGCACCTCCTGCCTCATCTGTGTTCTCGGTGCACCTGAGCTCTCCAGGGACAGGAACCGTGCCTGGCTCATCTCACCCCACTCCCATGCCTGAGACGTTGCCTGGCACAGAGTGGGCAGTCAGTAGAATCTTGGTGAATAAAGGGGTGTGTAGGCGGATGACTGTGTCATATGAAGAAAAGGACAGATTGCCTGTGGCCCTTGTTAACCACCCAGAATGGAAATTCCTGTTGAAAATCCATTCCTAAGCCTGTGACTCACAAAGGACCTGACAATTCATCTCACACCATGGGAAGGGACACCCTCTTATTCCCAAAGGGTGGTTCAACCTGGAATAAACTGTCCCAGGTGACCTCCAAGCCTTAGAAAGTTCTAGAGCAAGTCTGGAACCAGGATCTTGAGTAGCACTGGACCAGAGGGGCTCGGGGAGTGTGTATGTGGCTCCACAAAGGACTATCCTCCCCTAGGGCTTAGTCTCAGTCATCCAGCCCTGATTCTAGACCAGCTTGACTGTTGGCCTCTGATGGATTCTGGAGAAGTACTGAGGTGATGTGGACAGAGTGTGGCATGGGGCAGGGAGTACCGTGGGCCCTCAAGTGGTCTGTTCTGGCCTGTTCCAGAGCAGGAGAAGCCACAGAGGCCCAGGGCTGACAAACGAGTCTCTTCCTGATGAGGCATAGGTTTGCTCCTTGTACTCTGGCTTCCCTGAATGGGAAAAGGAAAGCCACATTCTTCGAGTCACTGACTCTTTCTGCCTCCTAAGCCTAAAAAAGTGATTTCACTCATTGAGGGTATGACTGACCTGAAGATGCAATGTGTCAGTACCACAGTCTCTGGTTTCCTGAAAATTCCATTCTTTCCTCAGATAGTTGCTCTGTCCAGAGGTGGCTCTAGGCCTAATCCCTCTACCACTTAACTGGTGGTTCTGAGAACTTGCCGGATTTTCAGCCGTTAGTATAATTCTGAGAGCTCTGGGAGGGAGATTTTATGCAACAGTGATTCCAAACTTTCCTTTAAGGAGCTTGTAATTAGAGAAAAAGGAGAACTAACCCAACTCAGTTCAATATAATAATTATTAAGAATCAACAAGGTTAGGCCATTGTGGGTATATAAATCTGAATCAAACACATGTCCCATGAATCAGTGCACAATCTCAAGTAGTTCTAGCAAAAGACATGCATGATTAGGATGCAATTTGAAAAGCTTCTTGGGTTACATAGGGCTTCAGCAGCGCCCGGAAGGCATGCATCAGACACACCAGAGGGGGCAGCTTGCAGAAAAGGCCACAGATTCCTCCCATCCCATTCACTTACTTCTGTACATGTGACTTTGCCTCTCTTCCAATCAAGAAGTACAGCCTATTTCTCTCTCCCTCTCTCTCTGTCTCTTTTTTTTTTTTTTTTTTTTTTTTTGAGACAGAGTTTCACTCCTGTCACCCAGGCTGGAGTGCAATGGCACCATCTGCCTCCCGGGTTCAAGCGATTCTCCTGCCTCAGCCTCCTGAGTAACTGGGATAACAGGCACCCACAACCACACTTGGCTAATTTTTGTATTTTTAGTAGAGATGGGGTTTCACCATGTTGGCCAGGCTGGTCTCGAACTCCTGACCTCCAGTGATCCACCCACCTTGGCCTCCCAAAGTGCTGGGATTACACGTATGAGCCACCACGCCTGGCCAGTACAGCCTATTTCTCAATCCCTTCCGTCTGAACTTAGCCATGTACCTTGCTTTGGCCAGTGGAACATTAAAAAGTGTGATACAGCAGAGGTTTAAAAAATGTCATCGCCATGAGGCTCACTATAGACACATGGCCTCACTATCCCTTTCACCCCAGCCTGCAGCCAGTACCAGCTGCCAGCCATCAGAAGCCGTCCTAGACCAGCTGCATGACAGAAGCTCACCCAAGGTGAGACCAGCAGAAGAACCACCAAGCTGAGCCCAGCCCAAATGACTGACCCACAGAAACGTGACCTAAATTATTATTTTAAGCCATTATGTTTTGAGGTGCTTTGTTATGCAACAAAACTAATATATAACAAAACTAATTCTTATATTTGGCACATATTAGAAAAGCCAGGTCATGTGCCTACTGTGCCCAACATTTTCCTTTTAGATTCTTATGCCACAGCCCCTAGCAGGAACCCTCACCCGTCCCCACCTTCCCACTCCACTCAGTTATATTTGCTGGCCAGTCCTTCTCAAGTAACTGGGTGACTGGATGGGGAGGAGATCAGGGTCAAGGGCCATTCCTTGATGGCCATTCCCCCATCCCCACTCTCCCCATGGACACATGATTTGAGATATCAAAGAATAACTCAGAGCATTTAAAAAGTTATTTTGCAAGCAGTTTAGTTGTTTTGCATACAAAGTGTTTTCTCAGATGTGAGGAAGTCAGCTGGTAGACTGAATCAGGGAACAAGGGCACAACAGAATTAATGGGCAGGGGGGCCGCTGGAGAAAAACAGCAGGGAGTCTGGGAGCAGTGGACCTTGTTGGCAAATGCTGAGGGTAAATGGATTCGCTGGCAGCTAACAAAGAGGTCAGCATGGCATTCCATCCTTGGACGGCCAGCGAGGGATAGTACAGAAAGCACTTTCAGTTATTCAGGGATTCTTCAGAAGCCCTTGGCTTTCAGCTGTGGGTGTGTCACAGGCCCTCTCCCTTGTCACCTGCACCTCAGGGAGTCCAGGTCTGACCTTTCCCTGGTTAGAGTGTCTCGCCAAGCAAAGATGTCATCACCAGCTCACCACAAGGCCAACGCTGAAGGCCATCTGGACACCTCAGGACAGGGCCGTTCAGCTGCAATCTCTGCAGGGCCTGGGACAGGCTGCCTTGACAAGGAGACAAGGACACTACCCAGTGCCTCCAGCAGCCACATGGCACAGCCCGAGCTTCAGACTTGCGAGGCCTCCCCACATTTCCTGCAAAGGGGTAGGCATGCAGGGAAGCTTGCCTTTTTTCTTTTTTTCTTTTTTTTTTTTTTTTTTTTTTTTTAGGATAAGTTTAGAGTCGATTCATTGGATTCACTCGTTTTTCCCCCCATTCTATTTTGAAAGACTTGAGACCTTTCTGATTTTTTATTTAAGCAAAATCTGTCATTAAAATGTTCTCAGCTATCAGGGAGGAGAGCGTATTCCTGCTTAGACACTTTCTGACCAACCTGAAAAACTTTCACTCTTGCACAACTGTGAATTTCTCTAAATTAAAGGAGAGAAAATGGAAAAAGCCTTTTTGTGTACTGTTCTCTCTCTGTGGGGAGAAGAACTTCCGGGAAAATTTCCATCATTTAAAAAAACGACACAGAAACAAAGCAAGAAGAAAAAATTACAGATTTTCTTAAGATATATTATTTATATATATGTTTTATATTTTATATATATATATATACATATATAAATTTAAACACCCTGGAGCATATATTCTGCATGTACACCATTACTACGGGGGTTACCATGGAAGCAACATCAAAAATCCTGTAGTACCTAATTAGGTTTCCCTGAGGACAGGAGCTGATTGCCAGTGACGAAATGAACTTCTGGGTTTGCAGCAATGGTTGGTAAAATTACCAGTCAGCAAATGCTCCATGGAACTAGAGGAAGAAAGGGAGGCGGGTGGGGGTTGGGAAGCAAAGGTGGAAAAATGGTGGCTCTAAAAGAGGCCAGCCAGTGAACAGGCCTTGTCAGGGAAGTCTATGATTCTACCATAAACAAGATGCTTAGGGCGTTGGGGTCCACGCTACCCCGCTCTGTGTCTAAGAAGAAATTGTCCTCATCTGAAACCATCCCACTCCCTGGGCCATGTGTGATGTCCCACAGTGGCTCTTTGGTCCGGCCAGGATAGGCTTCTCCTGAGCGCTTCGCCAGAGCTCACTTTTGGTCTCTTGCAGTGTGTAATGACCACTCATGGGGGTTATGGAGTCTGAAGTTTGTTTGGGACTAACAGAGACCAGTGGTGATCATAAATCCTTTCCCCTGTCCTCAGTTCTCAGAGAAAGAAAGCCAAGTTTCGGCATTTGAGCGAGCCACTATTTTTTACTCACGTAGCAGGAATTTCTTGATCCCTGAGCACGTCACCACTAGGGATAGAGCATCCCACCTCTGGCCATCTGTGTGTGGCAAGTCTCTGGACCTCAGATTCCTCAGTGTAATGTGAAGACTTGGATGCAATTTGTGGTTTTCCATTTTCTCTGGGCTGTGGGGCCATTTCTTTCATAAGATTTTTCATGTACGCCCAACATGGGAAACAGACAAATTCAGAGCTGTTGTAGTTGAAAGGGTAGAGAAGAACATTCAAAGATCAACTCACTCACCTCCTCCTCCAGCCTAGGTCTCTGTAGTGGACCCCATGCTCTCCATAGAACCCTTTGACTGGAAATCCTTTGGATGGACCAGCTGGTCTCTAGTTGTAAGGAGAGACAAGGTGTGATGCTGGAAATCAAGTGTTTGGGGTCTGGTTCAAGAGGTGCTCGATGCACAGGCAGGGAGCTTTGCCCCGATCAGCTTATTCACTCATTCATTCATTGAGCATGAGTTGAGCCCCCATTATGTGACAGTCCTTGGTAAGCTCTAGGGATATAGCAAGACAAGTAGACAAGGCCCCTGTCCCCACAGAGCTTACATTTCAGGGGAGGAAAACAGATATTAAACAGGTAAACCATTTAATTTTAGAGAGTGATGCCTGCCAGGAAGAGAATAAGACAGGGCAAAGGAAATGAGAGAAGTCCCAGACAGCCAGGACAGGGAGGGCTCTCTATGGAAGGGACCTCTGAATCCAAAGTGAGCCTTGCAAAGGTATGCATTACAGAGGGGACAGCATGTGCAAAAACCCCAAGGCAGGATGGAGCTTAGAGAGTTGGAGAGATAAAAGAAAGAAGACCAATGTGAGAAAGAAGTGAGGGATGATACCAGGTGAGACCAAGAAGGTAGCAGGACCCAGATCATTGGGACCTTGGATGTCACAGAAGGAGCTTCCTCAAAGGACAGGAGACCACAGACCCACTCCCACCAGGGCCATGTGCACCATGTCACCACTTTCTGAAAACACACTGCCCACAGGTTAAATATGCACCACAGCTCGGGCCTCCGAAACAAAATATCATAGACTGGGTAACTCAAAAAACAGAAATGTATTTTTTCACAGTTCTGGAGGCTGGAAGTCTGAGATCAGGGTGCCAACACGGTCAGGCTCTCTTCCCGGCTTGCAGGTGGCTGCCATCTCACTGTGTCCTCACATGGCAGAGAAAGGGAGAGGGATCTCTCTTTTTCTCTTCTCCTAGAGCTGCAGTCCTATAGGACTAGACCTCATCCTTATGACCTTATTTAAACTTAATTACCTCCCACAGACCCTTTCTCCAAGGCAGTTACATTGGAGGTTAGGGCCTCAACAAATGCGTTTTGGGGAGACACAATTCAGTTCATAGCTATTCCCTTTTGTGTCAAAATTACCCAAAAGCCAGACTGTGGGCCGAGCCAGGTGATTCTGCACATACCATTTCATTGCCATCTCATAATGTCCCTGTAAGGGAGTCATACATCCATTTAGCAGATGAAGAAACCCAAACCAAGACAGGTTCAATCAATTGCCTGGGGCTTGCAGCATTCTGTGTCTTCCAAGTCCCACGCCCTTTCACCTGCCAGCCTGCTAAGCAGGCACTCTATTTGGGGGCTGGCCAGTTTGGGCTTTACTTTGTCTTCTAAAGAAAACTCGGCTGGGCGCGGAGGCTCACGCCTGTAATCCCAGCGCTTTGGCAGGCCGAGGCGGGCGGATCATGAGGTCAGGAGATTGAGAACATCCTGGCTAACACGGTGAAACCCCATCTCTACTAAAAATACAAAAAAACTAGCCGGGCGTGGTGGTGGGCGCCTGTAGTCCCAGCTACTCGGGAGGCTGAGGCAGGAGAATGGCCTGAACCCGGGAGGCAGAGCTTGCAGTGAGTCGAGATCGCACCACTGTACTCCAGCCTGGGTGACAGAACGAGACTCCATCTCAAAAAAAAAAAAAGAAAAAAGAAAAGAAAGAAAACTCAAGCCCACCCTTTAAATGCTCATTCTCAGAAGAATCTTTGCTGACCAGAGAATCAATATATGATTAAAATAAACTGGGTTCTATCCCTGGTGTCCACACCACCTGGGAAACCCACATCGTTATCTGTAATCTAGACTGGGCTATGTTTGTGGAACTAAGACCACGGCTTTCATTTCCACAGATACAATATCCATTTATCATCTTTCCCTTCCTCCTCTTCCCGCCAGTGAACAGGCCTCTATGGAGACCTGGTGATGGGGTCCCTAGCGAGGAAGAGACCATCTTAGTTTAGGAGCCCACTTATGCACCCCAGCATGTTTGCTAATGAAGAAGATTCCTCTGGACAGGCTTGGGGTGGGGTCAGAGGAGACCAACACAGGGCTTAATATATGTGCCCTAGAAATGAACAGGAACACTGGAGATGGGGGATTGTGAGCTGTGGGACTGGAAGGAGAGGGGAGCTGGCTAAGCAGCACCTTGGGCCAGTCCCATGAGAGGGGGAGGCCGGAGCCCACTGAGGACTTGACCACCCATGAGACAGGGACAGTGCTGAGACTGTAAGATCAGGAGCATGTGGCGTTCAGCGCTGTCTTATCTGTTGTGCCACCACCACCTCACCCCTTCCCCTTGCTCCAGATCCATGGAAATGTCAGCTAACCTAGAGGCCTTGGTCATGGGTCCCTCGAGGAGCAACAGGAACAGGAAGGGTGCCTAAAGCGGTTACTAAGTACAGGATGGAGGTGGAGAATTCAGCAGAAAGAGTTTGGCATCAGATGAGCTGTCAAGAGAGAAATGGAAGTTTCCAAGCCCCCAGAGACCAGTGGAAAGACACCGGGTCCCCTCCTGTGTGGGGTGGGAGTTTGTAACCAATTATATTTGAAGCAGTAAGGCCAAGTGACCCCGGCCAATCCTTGGGTTGCTGTGGCCACACCTTGGTCTCATCATGTGCTCCACCCCAGCCATCTTTACATTGCTGCCAGAGCAAATGTTCTAAAATACAAACCAAATCATGTCACCTCCCCTTCTAGAACCTTTCCGTGGCAACCCAGAGTGTCCACCCTCCTAGCTGCACTTGGCCAAAAGGGCCTTTTCCCACCTGGCACCAGCTGGCCCCTCTATCCCCATCACCTGCCACACCCGGTGTCTCATCCCAGCTAAACCAAGTTACCAGTAACCCCTAAGCTTGCGCCCTTCCATCTTCTGTACAAGCACTCCCTCTTCTCAGCTTCTTCACCAGAGACCTCCAGATCCAGCGTCCCACCCTTCCACAGGCCTAAGCTGGTCCCTTCTGACTCCCAGGTGGGGCTGGGTGCCTTCCTCCAGTATTCCCCAGGCCCTGTGCCCCCTGCTTGTCACAGAGCCAATCCCCAAATGGCAGCTGGAGAAGGATGGCCAGACAGTTGGGGAGTGCTAGCCCCCGTTTCAGGGGGCGGAGGGAGCAGGGCGGCGGTCTCCATTAACAATGGTAACAGCAGGGGCCATGTATTGCAGCCTCACTGTGCACCAGGTCCTGTGCTGTGTGCCTTACAGGCACCATCTCATTTAGTCCTTAACAGGATTTTGAGACAGGTATTCTTATTTCTATTTTACAGACAGGGAAACTGAGGCTCGGAGAGGCTAAATAATTTACTACAGGTCATACAGTTAATAAGGGGCAGACCTAGGCTCTACAGCCAGGGCAGGCAGCTCTCTTGACTACTGTGTGTGCTGCCCCCAGGCTGTGCTAGGAAGGCTTGTTGGGCTGAGCCCCAGTGTTTGCCTATCCCAGGCCAGGCCAATAGGTGTTTCTGGTTCTTTGTGTGCCTTGGCAGATCCAGGAGTCAAAGGTTTCTGTGCATCTGCTAAGTCTGGGGTAAGAGGTATCGTTTTCTCAACAGGAAGTTTCTGATAAGTTTCTTTCCTTTTGACACATGAAAGGATCCTGCTGAATGTTTGGGGGTAGGGGAGGAACAGCATCATCACTGGGGCTGCTGGGCCCTGATTGGTTCTAAGTCACCTGTTTACCACTAAGGGAGAAATTCTTTAACCCTGGCTTAGGGGATATTTTTAGCAACTAAAAATAAATAGGTTTTTGGATCTTTGAACAGCCTAGGGAGCTGAAGAACTGAGGTCAGGACCAGGTGGTGGTGGTGGGCAGGGAGTGTTTGTTTTTTCCCCAACTGACTAAAAGGCCCTTCACCTCCTTCCCAAGGGCCAGCTGCACTGTCACCCCTTCAGGGGGAGCTTTTCCTGATCTCCCAGTGGCGGGGGCAGCACTTCAAACAGCAACAAGCCATTTGGTGAGTCCAACTTGTTGGCTGGGGCCTAAGCACTTTTCTTTTTCTTTTTTTTTTTTTTTTTTTTTTTTTTTGAGACAAGAGTCTCACTCTGTCTTCCAGGCTAGAGTACAGTGGCACGATTATGGCTCACTACAACCTCTGCCTCCTGGGTTCAAGCAATTATCCTGCCTCAGCCTCCCGAGTAGCTGGGATTAGTACCCAGCTACCACGAGTAGCTGTGCACCACCACACCCGGCTAATTTTTGTATTTTTAGTAGAGGTGGGGTTTTGCGATGTTGGCCAGGCTGGTCTCAAACTCCTAGCCTCATATGATCAGCCATCCTCGGCCTTCCAAAGTGCTGGGATTACAGGCATGAGCCACCACACCTGGCCTCCTAAGCACTTTTCTTTACATCAACTCTTTGAGTCTCACAATAGCCCCATAAGAAAAGTGAACATCCCCCAGACCTCATAGCAACTAAGTGGTGGAGACAGGATTTAAACCAAGAGGCCACACTCTCATCTATTAAGTTTCCATTCTGGCCGAAACCTCCTTCTTGATCGTCCATCTGAGCCGCATTCCTGTCCACCTGCTTGTCAGCACCCTCACTAAAGCAGGGGTCCTTGAGGACAGACATCTCCTTGGTCACTGTCCTCCACAGTGCCAGGCACAGCGCCCAGGGCCACCCAAATGAATACATAAAGGGTTTAAGGTGTCAAAACTATATCAATGTGACTGTAAAGAAATATTTTAATTGTTCACCATTTTTATAATCCTCCTAAGGCAAAAGAGTCTTTTGTAACATATGCACAAGATAGAAAAAGAAATCAAAGAATATTTTAAAAGAACTGCTTATTATAATTTTTTAAAAAACCCTGGAAACAACCTGAATACACATCAATAGGGAAACAGCTGAATATATTATGGTACTCATACTGGGGAACATTATGTAGCTGTTTTTAAAAATGAAGTGGATCTATATGTATTGACTTAGAAAATGTTCATGATATATTGCTAAGTAAAAAGAGAAACTTACAGCATAATGGGTATAGTGTGATTCCTCTTTTTTAAAAAAGCAAACACCAACACATAAAAACAAAAATGCCCATATATGTGTATGCATGTTGGTACATTTTTGTATAAGCACACACAAAAGGTGCATTAATCACCTCTGGCTAAACACTAAATTGTTAACACTGGTACTACTGGGGACGCAGGGAGATGGGAATCAGGGAACCTATTGATTTTTTTCCTTTTGATAATGAGAACACACCTCTGTGTTAAAAGAAGCCTATATTGCTTTTGTAATTTAAAAAAACCCAATAAAGTATTTTTTAAAAGAGCTGTCATGGAGAAAGCCACTTGTGGCGCCTAATGGTGATGTTTTAAGCATGGCCATTCTTGGAGGAAAAATAATTGCCCAGGTCCTTTCCTGCCCTGTAATTTTCTGTGTAGAGCTTCAAATCCCCTGGGAGCCCCCAGGATTTTATGAATACAGCCCTGCTAGAAGTGTTCATAGCTGAGCTCCTCTCACAAGTCTCCCCCTCCAAGGCCAGCCTCATTACCAGATCCACAGCCCCTCTAACTAAGCCACCTTGTGAAAAATACTTCCAGGGCATGAAGATTAAACAAGGCACTTATTTCAAGGCCACCTCTCCATGTGAATTCCTATCGTAGGCACTGAAAGCCGCGTTAGTCAGTGGCCCACTCCGCTCCCCCACTGAGGGCAGAGGCCTAGGCTCCCTGTGGGAAGTGGTGGCCCTCCCCACGGTTGAGAAAGGAAACCTGCTCCACCATTCCCTCCATTTGGGAGGGAGGGACCAGGGCCAGGGCCAGGGCCAGGGCCAGGGCATGCGGCAGCCACCATCACCACAGCGACTGCTGCTGGTGAGAGGTCACTGCGGATCTGGCCTCAGCGTGCCAGGTACAATGCCAAGACCCGTGGGGTACAGCGGAGATCAGGATGCAAGTTCCTGATGAACCAGGAGCTTAGAACTGCGTGTCTGCTAGAGATGCGCAGAAGCAAACAAAGATATGGCTATGGAGAGGGCCAGTTTGGTGACTGGGGGCACTATTTGCAATTCGGGGTCTGTGCTGCTGTGTGTTCAATGCCCACAGGTACTGCCCTGGATCCAGACACCTGGAGCTCTGGCTCTGGGTCCCCCACACTAGAGGGCCCTGCTTGACCCCTCCTTAAGTCACACCACACCCCGTGGAGTCAGAAGCCCACAGGGCCAAGAGGCCTTGTCTGCCTCCACCTTCTAAACCCCCGTTTGGATATCCAGACGCCCAGAGTCCCCTGTCCAAAAAGGCCCCAGGCCTGCTTCCAGGGCCCACGCTGCCACTTTCTCTGTCCTCCCATAGGCTGACGCTGGCTGCTGGTAGGTACATCCCTAAGCCTGAGAAGCAGCCAAGGGGTAGCTGGAGGAGGGGGCAGGATGAAGTTTAGATCTGAGGGCTGTGGCATCCACAGTGCCCTCAGGGTCTTAGATTGGGTCAGGAGGGAGGCAAGAGAGGGGCATGCTAGGGTCTGGGGCCTCAGGGTCTAGGCGCCTCCACTGGAGGCTGGCCCAGGCCCTGAAGGAAACAGGGATGGATGGGCCTGTCGGTCACCCTTTCTGACTGTCTGGGATATGAATGACAGGAGCAGCAGCAGCTGCATTTTCTAGTTAGTTCTGAGGTCAGGCAAACAGGCCCCTGACACTGCCTCTCAGATGGGTTGTCCCACCTTCACACACCTCTGTAGCAGGCACAGGTATACAGGCTTGCTCTGAGGCGCCTTCTGCCGAGTGCTGGCCATGTTGGAAGCACCATACAAAGTGGTTGAGTGGCCAAATGTTTGAAAAATGCTTCTCAGAGATTCATCAGGCTCATTAGCATATTAAAGCTTCTGAGACTTCTAAAGAAAAGAAAACAAGTCGGCTTTGAAATGCAGTTTCTCAAACTTATTTGACCTTGACTCTTGTTTTGAAGTAACAGCTATTAATATTTCAAGGAACACTGGGAAATGCAGGGTGTGAGGCATTCAGTGTAACAGACAATGGAGGGTTCATTCCTTCAAGCATCCATGGTTCATTTTCATGAAGATTACCATAGTCTTCCTGAGAGGCACCAAATACTCCCCTGCCTTCCTGAACTGACTCCACGGAGCACAGCCCACGCCGCCAAACCCGTCAGCATCCACTCGCATCACCCCACAGCCTCCTGTGAGCCAGCCACCTTCACGTGCTTTTTAGTTATTTTATTTAACAAATACTTAACACAGCGTTTACTAGGTTCCGGGTGCTAGTCTCAATGACTTACACATACTAGCTTCTTTACTCCTCATAGCAGCCCTTTTGTGGTGGGCCTTATTATTGAAAGATGAGGAAACTGAGGCATGAAGAGATTAAGTGACATGCCCAAGGTCACACAGCTGGTAAGTGGTTTACTCAGACCCAGGCAGTCTGGCCCCAGAGTCCACGTACACTCATTTCTTATTGCTGCTGTAACACATTACTTAAAACAACACAGATTTATTATATTACAGCTCCGGAGGCCAGATGTGTGGAATCAGTTTCACTAGACTAACGTGGAGGTTGTCCGCAGGGCTGGCTCCTTCCCGAAGATCAGGCGGGGGAATCCGTTTCCTTGCTTTTCCAGCTTCCAGAGAGGGCCTGCCTTCCCTGCCTCGTAGCCTCTTCTCCCACCACTCCAGCCTCCTGCTTCACCATCACTCGTCCTGCTTCCTCTTCGGTAGCTTCCTCTGCCTCCCTTTTCACAAAGACACTTGTGATTACGTTTAGATCCCACCTGGATAACCCAGGATACTCTCCTCCATCTCAAGATCCTTCATTTAACCACATCCTGCAAAGTCCCTTTTGCCAGGATATCCAGGGATTAGGAGCTGGATATTTTGGCAGGGTGGTGGTCGGTGGGGCAGGGGGGGGCATTATGATTCAGCCTACCACATTATGCTTTTGACCATTGTGCTAAATCTAGTTTAATCTTCCTAACAATCCTAGGAAGACGTTGTCATTATTTCTATTTTACAGATTTGAAGACTAGGGCTCCAAGACGTCAGCTGAACTGCCAAGTGTCACCCAGGTAGTAAATGGCACAGCTGGGACAGGAACCAAGAAGTGAATGACTTGCTCCTTCACACCTGCCCTGCCATCGGAGAGGCGGCACTCAGGACAGGCAGGGCCTTGGGGGATTCCGAAGGAGGTGCTGCTTTTGTTACTCTCTAGACTGAGCCCTCCTGACATCCTAAGCCCACTGAAAACCTGATGCGAGCTATGAATTTGCTTTCCCTAGAACAAGAAGCATTTACAGAAACACACCATGTATTGCAGCTAGTTTCTGGGAGTTCACGGGCCCCAGGTTAGGAATGCTTGCTTTTTTTGTTTGTTTGTTTGTTTGTTTGTTTGTTTTGAGAGACAGAGTCTCGCTCTGTCGCCCAGGCTGGAGGAGTGCAGTGGTGCGATCTTGGCTCACTGCAACCTCTGCCTCCTGGGTTCAAGCAATTCTCCTGCCTCAGCTTCCCAAGTGGCTGGGACTACAGGCATGCACTACAATGCCCAGCTAATTTTTTGCATTTTTTAGTAGAGAAATGAGGATTCGCTACATATATGGCAACATATATGTTGGCCAGGCTGGTCTCGAACTCCTGATCTCAGGTGATCTGCCCGCCTCGGCCTCCCAAAGTGCTGGGATTACAGGCGTGAGCCACCATGCCCAGCCAAGAACACTTGCTTTTAAAAGCAGAGTATCAAAGGGATGTTTGCACACCCATGTTCATTGCAGCATTACAGATACTCCTTAACTTATGATGGGTCACGTCCTGATGAGCCCGTTGTAAATTGAAAATATTGTAAGTAGAAAATGCATTTAATACACCTAACCTACCGAATGTCACAGCTTAACCTAGCCTGCCTTGTGTGCTCAGAACACTTACATTAGCCTACATTTGAGCAAAATCATCTATCACAAAGCCTATTTTATAATAAAGCATTGAATATCTCATGTGATTTACTGAACACTGTAAACGGTAGAGTACTGTATCAGTTGCTGACCCTCGTGATCACAGGGCTGACCGGGGCTCTCTGCCGCTGCCCAACATCACAAGAGAATATCATGCCGCATACCACTAGCCCAGGAAAAGATCAAAATTCAAAATTCAAAGTACAGTTCCTGCTGAATGTGTGTTGCTTTCACACCATCATAAAGTCGACAAATCTTAAGTCAAATCATCGTTAAATCTGGGACTATCTCTCTCTGTAGGATTCGGTACTATCTGCAGTTTTAGACATCCACCAGGGATCTTGGAACACATCCCCCATGTATATACTGTACAGAATTTCAGGTTTGCAGGAGACAAGAGTTCTGGAGATTGTTTGCACATCAATATGAGTAAACATAACATCACTGAACTATATACTTAAAAATGGTTAGGATGAGGCCAAGTGTGGTGGCTCACGCCTGTAATCCCAGCACTTTGGGAGGCCGAGGTGAGTGGATCACCTGAGGTCAGGAGTTCGAGACCAGCCTGGCCAACATGGTAAAACCCCATCTCTACTAAAAATACAAAAATTAGCTGGGCATGGTGGTGCATGTCTGTAATCCCAGCTACTAGGGAGGCTGAGGCAGGAGAATCACTTGAACCTGGGAGGCAGAGGTTGCAGCGAGTCAAGATCGCACCACCGCACTCCAGCCTGGGTGACAGAGTGAGACTCCATCTCAAAAAAAAAAAAAAAAAACAAGTTAGGATGGTATTTTATATTACGTGTATCATACCACTTTTTTTTTTTTTTTCTCAAAAAGACTGCTCTAAACTGAGAGCTCTTGCAGAGCAAAGACCACATCAGGTACATTCTTGCGGCTGGTGCTGGGGAGGAGCTCAACAGATGTCTGCCCGCGACAGCTCAGCAGGTGGGATGGGTGATCGGCTGCCTCCCGCTGGCTGTGGCTAACACTTCTAGAAGCCCTGCACACCGGAGAGTAAGCAACCAGCCCAAGCCTGGCTAAAACCAAAAACAATAAAAAGCCTCGAGAACTGAGAATGTGGAGGAGGAAGACAGGACAAAAATAAATCCAGTCACTGCTGTGGTCAAGAAGAGGTGGCTTTCACCCATTCCTCAAAGGAACCTCGAAAGGGAACGAAAGGCCCCGATGTTAATTTTAGAAATAGCTTGAAGCCCTGTCCAACTTGAGAGTGACTCTGTGCCTCTTCCACAGCTTAAAGTACCTGGACTTTTTGACAGTTGTGCTCCTCTGCTGCCAAATGAATGGGGGTTGTAATCCACTTGAGGATCTTTTAAACTTCACTGCTGTTTGTATGAATTTGGAAGGAAAAACCAAACCTCCTCTGAGAGCTGACTCACGTCCCTTTGGGCATTGTGCCAGGCCCTCAGAAATCACCTCATCTGCCAACCCATCTATAATACCCTGTCTGTAAAAGCATCCTTCTGCTTCCACTGGCCAGGAAGATCGCAAAGGAAACCATGTAATTGCAAGAAAAGCCAAGTCAGAGAGGCAGGTGACACGTGTTTTATGACCAATGAGGGGCAAAGCCATAGAAAGTTCAGAACTGAGAGTGGGTGGGAGCATAAATCCTGTTGCCATTGTGGTAAAAATGGGTGGCACTCACTGTGGGAACCTTGAAAGGGAACAGAGTGCCACGATGCTGCTTTGCAGAGGGTCAGGTGGTCACACAGCATCCTGGGGTGGTTTATTCCCTCCGGGTCTCCCCCGTCTGCCATGTTCCAACAACCATCCCAGATCCTCCTCCCTCTAATTGGGATCATATTAAATAGCCTTTCCACCAGTGACAGAAGGAGGTGGGCTCTTAGTGGAGCCCACTCTGTAAATATAGAGTAACAACAGGAATCAGAATGTTCCACTGGAAACAGGTGGGACTTGTCCTCCCCATACAGACTATAGAAGATGTTTACAGGACTTTCTGCAACCATCCTCATCAAGTATAATCCCAGAAAAGTAACAGCAAGCTGATGGGTTTATTCAGGTAATATCCAGGAGACATATTTCTCTTTAAAAGGAAAAGGAATTTGCATGTTTTGTTATGGCCATCCCTTATTCCAGTTTAACTGGTCCCTAAGAGGCTCTAACTACAGCAAGAGGGATTTTGGTTAGAGAGATTGTCAAACCTTGAAGAAGGGTAGAGACGGAAAGAGAGAGAATTTGAGGGAAGATTCCTCCCAGGGAAATGTTTTCAAAATGAAATCTGGACCTATTCATGTGGGAGAGAATGCCCACCCCAGAAGCAGGGGATTGACCTATATGGGCTCCGAAGTTCTTTTCATGCTGTTTCCATTGAGCTGCCTTCCCTTGCCTGTGATGCAGGCAGAAGTTTGATTTTTTTTCTATCCCTGAAGGTGTTGGCAAAACAGAAAGTTTCTCTCCTTCAGCCAGGTCTCAGGCAACTTCTAGTGTGTATTTCCCCACCCTTTTCATTTCCCAGCCAGAGAAAGGGGAGTTCCTTTAGTTGTGGTCCTCGGTTCTGTACCAAGAGCAGGAAGCTCCTAACCCCAAACCATCGCACTCAGGAATATTCTCACCACAAACACCTAGAAGCCAATCTTTCCACTCCAAATGGAGATGGACAGGTCAATCAGAAAGAACGGGCTATTGAAAAGCTGTAATAAATCATGTGCCAAGTGAGGTGTCAGACATGCAAACCAGGGAATACAAAGTCAGAGAGTTGTAAATGAAGTAGTGGGTTGAAGAGCTAGCAGTGGCCTGGTTCTCTCTGCCCACAGCAAAGGCCCAGAGCCAGCTTGTGCACCACCCCTCCTCTTGGCCAGGAAGGTACCCAAATGTCTGTTCCTTGGTAAGAGGCTGACCCTGAAAAGTTTACACCTGGAGTTTCATCCCTGTATCTTAAAGCAAATGGGGTGATGGGGAGGGATGTCGGGGGCATGGGAGGGTGGCAGACCCCAATGCAGCCTAGAGACAAAGCCACCAGGCTTGGGAATTAACAGACTCCATTTAAAAGTTATAAACCACCTAAAAGGATTACCATTAATGACAGTGATTAATGCAAACTGCAAAGTAGCAATAAATCATTAATTATACTTTCAATTTTTAAAAACTCCAACAAATCAATATTAAATCTTACAGAACTTATTCACTATGCTGGGGACTGTTACCCAACTGTTGTGGGGGGAAAGGCAGAAATAGAACACAAAAAGCCTGCAGTGAAATACCTCTAAGAATGGCTGGAGTAGTTAACTTAGCTTGACTTGACCTCGTTAACGTAGTTGACTAAGCTGACTTAGTCAAGGAATACTAAAGACCTGCAGTTGGAAACCCGACCTGCCCCAGATCTCCAAAGTCAGTGTGGAGGCGGATTCATTCCAGGGTTTGCACATAATCTGGGTGGGAGAGCATCCGTCATTCCATCACACTGGATCCTTTCCCCCATGCATGCCTTTGTTCCTCACTGATGCATCCAGCCCTCGAATGTGCACAGCACTGTCCCAGGGCTAGAGGTTCTGCCTGGTGGTTTCCTGTTGTGCGTAGAATGTAGACAAATCCTCTTCCCAGGACCACCAAGGCTGTTGTGCTCATCTCCTTCTTGACACACAATCTTTCCGAATGCTGTTCCCTCTGCCTAGAATGTTCTTCCCTTCACTCTATGTCAAGTTAATCCTATTCATCCTCTGACTGGATCAATCTAGGCTCCTTGGAGTACTTACCACAGTTGTAATTTTACAGTCATTTGTGCAATTATCTGACTAATGTCTGGCCTGTTCTGAGGCTATAAGCTGCTTGAGGACAGAGACCATGTCTGTTTCTATGTCCATGTTTTCCCCAGAGCTTGCCCTTAAACATAGATGCTTAATAAACACTTGATGAATGAAAAAATGAGGCACACCTCAAAGGAGCTCAAGGTCCTGGTGGGAGAGACTCTCTTTGGCTCTCCATGTAAATGACTCCATCAGCCCTCTGCTGCAAGATCAGTCTTGCTTGTGAAGAACTGAGTCCTCTGATGGGATCAGGGACCCTCTGAGAGGAGAAAAAACTTGCATTATAGAGGGTAGACTATTGTTATGCTCTTTATTATCTTTGACTATTGCCTTTCTGGTCTCCCTTTGAATTAGTAGATTATTCAGCTGTCTTGAGGCCCACAAGGAACAGGCATTTTGGTCCATGGATCAACCATGGACCAAAGGTGGACCTCTGTGGAGGGCTCATTCACAGAGGTGCAGGAGCAGCAGTATGCCTGAGGCTAGGCATTGTGCATGGAGGTGGCACTGGAGGGAGGAAGGACTTTGAGCCCATCTAGAAAGAATGCTGGGATCGATTGGTTATGTCTGTTATGGATGCAGCATGGGAACCCAGTAGCGAGCCTGTCACACATTGACCAGGCATACTCTGAGGAGGCAGGGAGCTCGTTTTCACTGACTTCCTAGAGAGCTCTTTTTCATCCAATCCCTGAGGATGTCTGCTCTGTGTAATAAGGGGGGCTATTTCTTCACAGTTAGTTGTCATGGCTGGATTTCCCATAGCTGGGTGGTTCCATAAGTAGCCTATACTTAGTTACTGAGACAGGCATAAATTTAGGTCTTTCACATTTACACGGAAAATTCTCTGAAACGAGTCCTGTGAGAGAATGACATCCTAACGTGCCCAGGAAAGCAGAGGGACCACCATGCCCGTCGCCCAGCCCCTGTGGTCTGTGACACTTGTGCAGCCGCTGGCTAACCAAAAACTGAAGGTCTGGGATTAGATTGCCTTTGCGTAATCTGGGAAGCCAAGTCCCTTTTCTGACTGGCTTCTGAAGAAAGAATCTGGTCACCCATTGGTAGGCTGACTGCGTGAAAGAACGCACTTTGCAAACATAAGAGCACACACAGGGGCCACCCCACAAAGCCACCTCTGCAGTGGTAGTGTCGAGTCCCCCACCTACTGATCACAACGTGGTAAGGCTTCTCTGAAGGTTCCAGGACCATCAATTCATGTCTGGAAGTACGGTGGAAGCTGCACATCATTCACTGCTGTGCCACACATTCCCTGAGCCACCCTTCTGTCAGATGCTGTATAAGGCATGGGGACTCAAAGAGGCACGGGCCTGGACCACCCTCATATAACTCAGTAAATGAGCAGTGATGTAAACAGAGGAATATATTGCATATAAGAGGTGCAGCAAGAGACGTCTGTATGCATGAGGCTCCGTGGGGGCACTGAAAGTTGGTGGGGGTGGGTCAGGGAGGACAGCTCAGGCTTAAGAGATGAGAACAGCACTTGGAAGGAGGAGCAGTACATGCAGAGGCCCAGAGACGTGGACCTGTGGGGCACAGGGGACTCCAGGGTAATGGGCACAGGGGACTCCAGGTTGACTGGCACAGTGTTCCAGGAGGAAATGGCACAGATGTGGCCGCAGAGCAGGGCAGGGCCAATTCTGGAGGGCTCTATCTGCCCCCCTGGGGAGTCTAGACTGTATTCTAAGGACAAGGAGGAGCAGCCAAAAGTTTTCAGACAAGGACAAGGTCCAGTGTGTGTGTCTGTTGGATTCCTCACAGCTGTGACGATGAGGTGAGGTGGTGCAGAAAGGGTGAGGAGGCAGGGTACAAGTTAGAGGCTTCCCTAACAGTCCACATAAGACCTGGTGTTGGGGGATGAGTGGAGGTGGCGAATACTGCAATCGAAAGGTAATTTATGCCCACTGGAAAATACCTTGGAAGATATACACTCAGCAGTGACGGAGAAAGAGCTCATAAATTCTTATTGCCAGGTCCACATTTCTCCAAGAGTCTGGCCTCCCAGGACCATTTTCCTGGTCTCCACTCCAGATCTGAATTCTTGCCCCTCCCCTGGTCTCCATAGCTCTTTGTTATTAGTCTGTCTTCTTTGAATTACAGTCCACAGAATATCATCTCCCACCCGTCTGGGAAGAGGTTGAGGGCAGAGCTGGCATTCCACGTCTCTGTATTTCCCATTGGTGCCAAACATACACACGCACGTACAGACATGCTTTCATGCACACAGAGATGTCTAGATATCATTTTTTATTGGGTAAAAAAAAAATTTAGGTGCAGGGACTGCCCAAGTTACAATTCATCTGGCTGCATAGGCTCACGGTGAACTAGTTACAAATTTGTGGTTTGGGAGACAAGTCATGATTCAACCGATTCAACCGATTGTGTCCGTAAAGCAGCTGGGTTCAGAAGTGTCTGAAGCTGGGGGCCCCTGCCGCTGTCAGCATGCCAGCTCACCGGTCGATGTGCACAGCGAACGCTGGCCAAGCTGTGCAAGGCACTCCGGTGGCATTGGTCAATAATGGGGCAGGCAATGAGGCAGCGCCCAGAGGATAAGACACATCTTTTTTTGATTGTGTGGCTTGTTTTCTTGAGGAATGAAAGGGTTTTCCAAATGAAGATAGTAGAATGGAAACAAATGCAAAACCAGAAATGAAAAAGGCGTTTGGGATCTAGGACTTAAATGTATCTAATCCCGGTGTGCTTGTGGACATGGGGGTGATCTGCTTGGCTTCATCAGCAGCCTGCGACAACTAGTGGCCTACAAAAAGCTAGCCCTGCGACAGTGTCATCTCACTCCCAATGAAGCCAGTCTCCGAAGGAGAGGAGAGGGTAAGACCATCTAGAATATCCACCTCGTCCCTCCCCCTAGAACAGGAGACAGAGACAGCAGTGAGGCTGGGCTCACAGGTCTGGCCTTGGGGTCCCTTAATGCTCATACTAATGGTTACCATATTACCTGACATTCTGTAGTAGGTTGTCCTAATTTCTGTAGATAATCAAGGATGGTGGAAAAAACCTGGACTTCGGAGTCAGGCAGAGTAGGGTTCGAATTCTGACTCCTCCACTGACTGGCTGTGTGATTTTGGGCAAGTTAATTAACCTCTCTGAGCCTCACTTTCCTGAGGAGATAATACTGTAGTACATAGCGAAAGGAAGTATTAATAGAAATAAATCTCACAATACCAAAGTAACTTTCAGAGGTCGCCCTTGAAGCTACAACCCTAATTCATTTCTTCCTCCATGACCCCCCATCACTGCCACATTCCGTTCTTTGTCTGCATCTGAATTTACACGGACTTATTTGATTGATTCCTTGTTATTGCCTGTCCCTGTGCCTTCCCACTAGCCTGGAAGCTCTATGAGGGCAGGGATCATATCTGTCCTGTTCATTAGTGTGTCCCCAGTGCCAGGAACAGTGTAAGCACTCTTTCAATTTTTGGTAAATGAATTGAATGAGAAACACAAAGCTTGGCATATAGCAGATGCTGGAGGAATTCTGATCAGTGTGACCCCAGAGACCTAGAAGGACCAGAGGCGTGGACACAGGGGTGTGGCTCTGCCTGAGCAAGTCTCTGTAACTTGCTGTGTGGACTTTTAGGTGTCTTCTCTCTCTAGGCCTCAGTTTCCTCATCTGTTCAATAAGAAGGATGGTCTGATGATGATCACTGAGGCCTTCTCCAGCACTCTCTGGCTCTAATTGTCTTGGATCCTCCACATGGGCTCTGGACTAAATAGAACAGGAAATCCAGCTCCATCACTGGAGCCTCCATTTGTAACTTTCAGCTCCATGACTGCCATACTAAATCATCCCGAGAGGCCAGGGTACAATTCCTGGGACAGGGTAGATATTGCAAATTGCCAGCAGCAACTGGTAGCCCCACTTCTCCACTCCCCCAACCCTTATGGCCCAGCCACCCTCTTGGACTCACCAAGACACATCTGTTAGCCTCAGACCTGGTTTGAACAAACAGGAAGAAAGGAAGGACAGAAAATAGGTGGGCATTGACCTGTACCAGGCCCTATGCCAGGTGCTCTGACACACAGTGCTTGCCTGGTCCTCTCCATAGCTCAGGAACATCATTATCCCCATTCACAGATGAGGAGAAGGTATATTAGTTATACCCATGAAGGCAGCAAATAGCGAGGCAGGACATTCGCCAAGCCTTCTAACTCAAAGTCTCACACATTGAACAATTTGGTGGAGTTTACACCCTAGGCCTCTTATCTCTGACTATTAATCAGGCTATTCCCAAGTGTAATTTATGGCAAGAATACACTACTAATTCAGGAGCAGCCTCTATGGGAGACATTGTTTACACTAATGTAGTAATAAGAGCAAAGAAAAGAGCTGACATTTCTTAAGGGTAATGGGGACCACAGTGACAAACACATCACAAGCATTCTCTGGTTTTGTCCCCACAAAAACTCAATGAGTAGGCACTGACACTGTACCTACTTTGCAGATTAGGGGCACGAGACTTACAGAGTGTGTGAAGTTACACAACTAAGAAGTGGTGGAGCCAAAATTCAAATCCTAGTCTCTAGTTCCAGGCCTTCCATCCTACCACCTCACTATACTGTGGGCAGACTGGTGAGACCATTGCTATGAACTAACAGTCAATTACACAACACTGACACTTATTGCATTTTTTTTTTTTTTTTTTTGAGACAGAGTCCACTCTGTCACCCAGGCTGGAGTGCAGTGGCACAATCTTGGCTCACTGCAACCTCTGCCTCTTGGGTTCAAGCCATTCTCCTGACTCAGCCTCCCAAGTAGCTGGGTTTATAGGTATGCACAACCATGCCTGGCTAATTTTTGTATTTTTAGTAGAGATGGGGTTTCACCATGTTGGCCAGGCTGGTCTCGAACTCCTGACTTCAAGTGATCTGCCTGCCTCAGTCTCCCAAAGTGCTGGGATTACAGGCATGTGCCACCATGCCTGGCCTAAAGCACACTTTAAATAATGATTTATACTAACACAGTTCTTATTATATGATCAAACTGAAAGGAAAAGAGGTCAGTGGTCTCCAGTCTCAGCCAGCATTAATGCCAAATGGATTGGGTCATACTGTGGGATTAGGTCACACTGTCGGATTAGGTCAAGGGCTCAAGATCACTGTCACTCATTGGATGAATGCACAGCAGTGCCAGGCATCTCCGTGTTCTAGCCAGGGCACCTCTAGAGATTATCCCTGTGAACTGTCCAAAGAGCGTAGCCAGAGTCTCCAGAAAACGAGGGCAGGCTGACCCGCTTTTGGAGCCCACAGAGACTTTCAACCCATAAAGTGAAGCCACCAGGGTTGTGTCCCCTCCCCTGCATAGGGTCATGTAGGAATTTGCTGGAAATGCCCTAGAGTGCAGTTGAAAAGGCTTAGCTCCTACTGAAAGCAAGGAGAGCCTCCACTGCCTCCTTCCTGAATCCGCAAGTGCCCTGGGGTGGGGAGACCTGTGCCCCTACAGCGGACAGCCAGCTGATCGTGGTCTGGAGCTTCTTGGTCAGCATGGTGGCCTCATCCCACAAGAGATCTGGCAGCAGAGCATGGGACCCAGGAAAGGTCACTGAGATTAGTTCTGTAGCTGAGCATGAAACTGACTTTGTGCTGGGGCAACTGCAGCTCTGCATCCCACGTTGGGAGGCAGCCACCCCACCTTTTGCTGCCTGCATGGTCCTGGGCAGGTCCCTTGACCTGGCAGCACCTCAGCTGCCTCACCTGTAAACGGAGGCCACATTCATCCACTCACATGCAGGCGAAGGGTGTGACGTATGCATGGGAAACAGCCTCGTTGAACTGTAGATTCCTGAACGAATGTAAGGGAGTTTGATTTTCTTATTTTGGATCCCAAAGTCATCATTGTCATTGTGCTGTTGTGATGATTCATTGGCTGTGTTCTTACAGAATGGGACATATAAGCAGCTCACTTGGAAATAAAGGGGAGAGCTTGTCCCAGATCACAGCCACAGTCTGGAATCATGAGGGCCACCTGCCCCTGCTTGAGAAGGTGTAAGTTTCTTCCTTCACCCATCCATTCTATCGCAGATGGATTTCCATTGCTTTCCCACCAGGGCCAAGCTCCTGTGCTGATATTGGTACACGGCGGTGGCCCCCTAGCTTTGCTCTGTCCTCACAGAGCTGTTGCTCTACCACAGGACACAGATAAGGAGTCCAGAATTGGCTCAGAGGATCTTTCTGGCCCAAACCCTCACCCAGGAGATGGGTGCTCAGGGCCGGTGATTGTTAAGAGATCCCAGTACAGAGCTCCGAGCTGGCCTTGTTATAACCTGGTGAGGATGCTAGACCCACAGGAAAAGCAGACACCACCCCACCCTGAGAAGACTGACACTGGCACCTCCTACCTGGGCACCAGTTCTGATGCCAGCCAGCCTGAGAAAGTGACTTCCTGGGGGCCCATTAAGCAGGAGTTCCTTCCCTAGACTCCAGGCTTCACCGGGAGATGCCTGTTAGGAGGAAACAGATTAGGACTGTATCCATCACCAGGTATGGTACCTCACGCCTGTAATCCCAGCACTTTGGGAGGCCAAGTCAGGCAGATGGCTTGAGCTCACGAGTTTGAGACCAGGCTGGGCAACATAGCAAAACCCCATCTCTACAAAAAATACAAAGATTAGCCGGGCATGATTGTGCGCGCCTGTAGTCCCAGCTGCTTGGGAAGCTGAAGTCGGAAGATGGCTTGAGCCTGGGAGGTGGAGGTTGCAGTGAGCCAAGATGGTGCCACTTCCCTCCAACCAGACCTTATCCCCCGCTCAAAAAGAGAAAGAAAAAGATTCTATACACCAAGCTGGCCAGTGGACTCCAGCCTCCGTCCTCCTTTCTTTAGGATTCTGGGGGAGATGAGGAAAGGAGGTGGGGGGGAGAGCCTCACCCCCAACACAGGAGGCCGTTCAATTTTACCTGGAAAGCCCTGCTTCTTTTCTCACTGTCCCCAGCTAAAGGGAACCATTTATCCCGGCAAAGTAGAAGAAGGCCGTTTGCATTCTGAAATGAAGCATCAGCGTGCAATGACAGTTAAGGTCCCAAGATACCCCCGGAGTCACTTTTTATTCTTTTCTATCCACAATCATTAGGGGAAAATCTCTCTGCAGCTTCTGTAAAACCCATTCACTAGAGGGAAATAGATCAATGAGAAAGCCAGAGCCCAGAGAGCCTGTGCTGGCGGCTCTGAAGCAAGAACATCCATTCTTCCCCAAGAGCCTACGCCAAAAGGACAAAGGATGCTCGCTCCCACCCCCTGAAAGAAGAGTTAGCCAAAAAAGTTCTTTAACTAGGAATCTATTTCTTATCCTTTATTCAGTAAGAACAAAATCTCTTTCTGAGAGTGACATATCTTACACTTCAAACAAGTGCAACTTTTGCCACTTATTTTTAAGTGCGCTTGCCTGCCAAAGGGATAGCAGGAATCCAGGGGGAGGAAGAGGCAAGATGGTGGAGGCACAGCTGTTTCCATAGCTGGCATCTCTAGCCAACAGCTGCAGGACCTGGAAGAGCTTGAAGAGCTGACACCCCCGGAGGATGCACAACCCCGGAGTGAAAGACTCGGCCTCCGGGGCTCTGTTTGCTGATGTCAGCACCAAGTCGGGGCGCGCCAGGAACGCTCTCAGCAGTCTGATGGGAGTGGGCATGCAGGCAGCAGAAGAGGAAGGGGCCAACCCACAAGAGCAAGGGAATAAGAACATGGCCTTTGTTCACTTGTTTCTTGATTGGACAATTATTAGCACTTACTGCATGCGGGGCACTGGCAGTAGGGGTGAGATGAAATAATAATAGTAACAAAAACAATAGCAGCTACCATACTGAATTCCTACCCTGTACCACTGCTTTCTGAGCATTATTTCATGTAATGGGCACAGCAACCCCTTTAGGAAGGTACTGATATTAGATGAAGAAACTGAGGCAGAGAGGTTTAAACAACTAGTCCAACAGCTAATAAAAGGCAGAGCTGGGATTTAAACGTGGATCTATTTGACTCTTGGCTAGAGAAAGACAAATGGTTGATGTGGGCTTACTGAGCTTCTCAGTATGAGCAAGGCACCAAACCTGCATGGAGCTCAAGCCACTACCCCGCACCCAGGAGCTCACTCCAGAGCCAGGAAGGAGGGGAGTTTGAAAAAACACAGGGAGCAGGGGTGGGTAAGATCTATTCTCACCCCAGGTGTTCAGTGACCTCAGGGCAGCTGGCCAGGGGCAGGGCCCAGGAAGTATGGAGCCCAGCCCTGCTGTAGAGCCTGATGTCCAAGCTCAGGGGCTCAGCATTATCCAGAAATCACCAGATGGTAAGAAATCACCAGTGGTGAACAGAGGATGACCTACTCAGTCATGGTTTAGGAAGACCAACAGCTGCAGACTAATATGGATAACCCAAGAATATGAGGCAAAATACAATTTCTACACTATTAAAGAAAAAAAAAAGATCCATTCATCAAAACCCTCCAGCCAGGGCTAGGCATGAGACTTAACCCCAGGGACCTGAATGTTCCCACACAGCTCCACCTACTAACATGGGTGTGCATGGAGCCCCATCCAAGAGGCAGACCCACACAGGCCCAGTGGCTTCGGCCTGGGTTTCCTCTGGCTGTCACTGTTAGGCTCCTTTCCTGGCCATATTCTCCAGCTGCACCAGCCTTTCTACTTAGTTGTTCTGCCTGGTTGGAGGGGAGAGGCTCTCTGTCTTTGTGAGGGCCCTTTTCACGCCGTGCATGACACCTTCCCACTCTGGCCTCTCTCATAGCTCACTGAGGCTGTGCCAAGTGCCTTATGTTAGGGATGGAGCAATTCACCATGGAGTCACCTGGGCTGCAGCTGTATGTACTGGACTTCAGACTGTGGCCAGGCTTTGTGAAGTGGCTCAAAAATGCCCCCAGGCCCTAGACACCAATGAGCCTGAGGGCCCTCCTTCCCTGCCCAGAGTCCTAGTGACTCTGGAAGCCTAGAAACAAAAACAGACATTTCTGACCACTAGCAGGGCACAGGGATGGGTTAGCAAGGCTTTCACGCAAGCCCCAGGCTACTGTAAACATTTTGCCACAAGCAACACTGGGCTGCAGATGAAAAAGGCCAGCAGTATGGAGCAGGTTGCTCCAACAGAGGCAGTGACACTCTGAGCTATAGGTCAGCAGTGACACCTGTCATTTGGGGATGATCTGGTGTCATTATTAGCTCAGTAAGCCCTTTATAAATAAACACGTTCATCAACATCTGTCTGCCTTGAGACAGTTGTTTTTCTTCAAAACACAAAAACTCACAAGCCCATCAAACATTTGCCTGCCCCACTGTAGTCCCCAGGCAGACATGAGTTTGCATCCTTCACGTGGCATATTTTACAGTTAGAAACCAAGGAGCGTTGAGTCCTGTTTTTAAGTGTGTTTGACCAAGAGGGAATGGGAAACATGCCAGGGTGTGATGTGGCCCTGGGCAGTGTACAGCTGTTCCCACAGCTGACGGAGATTCCTACAGTTGCCCGCCACACCGGCCAGCAAGCTGTTAATCTGAGCGAGAGATGTGTGACCATTTGGCTGGAGGGGACAGGAAGGAGGCATCTGCCCAGGCAGCAACCATTCTCTCTACAGAGCCTCACACACCAAGGATTCACCCCTCCCTCCTTTCCCACTCACCCATGGCCACCTTACCACATGAGCATTCCCAGAGGAACATTTTCCAATCCCTGCCTGTGTGGGCTTTTAAGACCCCGTCTCCCCGTGCAACTCTGCATTTTCCTTGGATGTCCCTTTTGATTGCTGTCATTGCTCCCTTGTTGGCATGACACGTCCTCCTTTACCACCCTCTGCAGTGGACTCCAGCCGCTCTCTGGGATGCACCTTGAAAGGAGGGTAGGGCTAGGATTTGAAGAGACTGGCTGTTTTCTTGGAGAAAGCCACCCCGTTCCTCTCCCTGTGAGGGGCATTTGCAGCAGGAACTGGGATGCCACTGACACCTTTCAGATTAATGCGTTCACTCACAAACACTAACACAATTGGCTCGAATTCACAACTCATGAAATGAGTCTAAGGGGCTTAACAGGGTGTTACAGCCCACAGCTTCGCAAATGCGGATGGATGGCAGGACAAAACGCACTAAGAGTTTTTTATTAGTGCTTAGAATTCATGATATGCCTTCACGACCATGGTGAATCCCCACATCATGATGTCCCCATCTTTATTATTCCACAGCAACGTGGTTCCAAGTCAACACTGTATTATATCATTAATTAGCTGTTCACCTATTTGACTCCTTCCCTTCTCCTTACCAGCCCTCTCCCTCCCAAGACCATGAACTATTTGAAGGCAGAGAACACATCTTATTCTTTCCCATCCTGGCACTGAGTAGGGAATCGGTATCTGCTGAAATTAACTGAATCCCACAGATCTCGGTGAAGACAAGAGTAGTAGCAATACTGGTAACATGAGCAAATACATAGTCCTAATCCCTTTTACATATATGAAAGCATTAGTTCTCACACCAACCCTAGGTAACGGCTATTCTGATCCCTATTTTATAGATGAGGAAACTGAGGCACAGAAAGCTAGAATCGTTCACCCCAAGCTCAGTCAGGAACTGGCAGGGTTCGGCTTTGCACCCAGGCAGTCTGGCTCCAGAGTCAGACCTCCAACCCTCTGCACACACTGCCTTTCAAGCTGAACTGATGCAGACACCGAAAACATAGTGAATTACATTTTCAAGGAAAGACTCTATAGAAATATAGCATATACAAAGAGGACATTAAAACAATTCTATTCTGCAGACAGCCATGCAAGAGGGGCGTGAGAGATGCCAGAGGAGAGAATATGCCCCATTTCCCATGGGAGGGTCCTCTCTACACATCTAATGCTGCTCGGCACACAGTCAGGGTTCGAGTGAGGCGGTGAAGAGGAAACAGGGGGACCTGGGCGTTCAGGGAAAAGGCCCAAAAGGTGGGAGGGGTGTGTTCTGGGCATGGTCTAATCAGACTATGGACACAATTGTCAGGTAGGGGGAATGGCTGTGGCCATGGGTTAGTTCAGGGCAATGATTCTCACATTCTGATGCACTTTCAAATCACCTGGGGAGCTTGGAAAAATCGCCTCTATTCAATGCCTCCCCTGAGCAATTGAGCAATTGAGCAATTAAATCAGAATCCCTAGGGGTGGGACTCAGGCACCAGTATTATTTTAAAGCTCCCAGGGCAATTACAAACTACTTTTTCTCAATCCAAATGTGAGAAGCACTGGTTCAGAGTTTATGCAGTATTATTCACCAGTCTCTTCTCTGCATTATGAACTAAAACGGTGTGTGGGGATTCCAATGGGTGGGCTCTTTTGATCTCTACTTCTCCCGCTGTGGTCGGCTGTTTGGGGCCATTCTGTGGGAATGAGCTTTCTCTGGGTTTCTAGGGGGCCCTTTAGGGTAGTAGTAGACTTCAGATTGTGCAGCTCCAGTTCAAATTCCAACCTTGCCACTTACCGGCTGTGTGACTTTGGGTATGTGATCTAATACCCTAGCCTCAGTTTCCTCATCTACAAATAGAGGATTGTGGTAGGCAGAATAATGGCCCCCCAAAATGTCTGTGTCCAAATCACCAGAACCTGTGACTATGTTATAAGCAGGAATTAAGGATGCAGATAGAATTAAGGCCGCTAATCAGTTGACTTTAAAATAGGGAGATTATCCTGGATTATCTAGATGGGCACAACATAATGACAGGGATCCTTAAATATGGAAAAGAGAAGCAGGAGAGTCAGTGTCAGAGTGATGTGATGTGAGGCTTCCTAGAGCCCCGTGATGTCCGTGAACACTGCACGAACTAGTGTTTCTACTTCCAGACTCTATTCATGAGAAACAACAGGAAATGGGGCCGTTGTGGGGTATGGGTAGGAGAAGTGGAAGGTTGAGAAGGGAGGCCCCTAGGGAGTGTTCCTGGTCACCAGCTAAGAAGGGACCGTGGACATTGTCAGCAAGGACTTTGGAGAGTTCATCTCAAGGTGTTGGGTACCCCACCTGCTGCCAAGAACAGGCAAGAGCTGCACCACTGTGCACCAGCAAAGGGCTGGATTTGCAGTGGTGATCTCCTTAGCAAGGAGAGTCCAAAATTAAAGTCACCGAAGTCTCTTGTTTGTGCCAGGCCCTGGTGGGCCCTTTAACCCAGCTCTCTCAGCTGATGCTCACAACATCAGCATGTGGCCAGCATTATGACCTGTTTATACAGAGGAGGAAACAGACTCAGGGAAATTCAGTGATTTGCCCGAGGTCACCCATTAGACGGCAGCAGAGCTGAGATTAGAACTCTTGATTCTAAATCTAGAATCTTCCATGTCATACCATATTTCATTTTCTTTTCATAAAGGCCTAATTAATACTGCAGTCATTATTGATTCAATCCTGAGAGCATGAGAACACAGCCAGTACAGACTATTAATCTGCATTTCCTCCTTGAGATGTGCCAGCCATAAAAAATGTAGCAGCTTCAAAAACTACAAACTAGAAAGGGGCCTAAAGGAAATTTGGTGCCCAATGAATAAATCTTATGTCAGCTCAGGATTGTTGTAATTGCAGTTCTGTATAATGTTCATAAGGCTTGGGTTTCCTGCGGTCCCTGAAATCGACCAGGGAGGTGAGGAAGGAAGCAGCCATTCCCCACCAGGGTGCCCAAGGACTCCCACCAAATTAGAATGTGGTCCCAGCCCCGGGAACTAAATTTATCCTGAAAGGACATTTGGATCAGAATGTTCTCTGCTACAAGAGATCCTGTCCCTCATTGTCCTCCTCTTTCTCTTCTTCCAGAGCCAGGCAGTATTGGCTGTAAAACTCAGCCCTGTCAATTCAGCTTGAAAACCACACATACACATGCAGTCAACCCGCAGCAACAGACACCACATGTTTAGATTTGAAAGATGGGAAAGACTGAGGCAAGCAGGAAAGGAGAGGCCGAGGACATACAGAGAAGGTGAAACAAGGTGGTTTTGGTGAAGCTGAGCGCAGGGTCAAAGAGGAACTGAGAAGAGGAAAAAATGTCCCCTGGTGGCTGTGGACAACTCGAGCCCGTAACCCAACAGCAGCTGGGGCAAGTCATTCCCTCTACAGCGCCAGCTGCTCCTTCCCAAGCCACGCAGCTCCTCCTACCTGCCCCCGCACTTCAACCTTTTGAGCCCACTTAACACTCAGAAGCCCCCCGCACAAAGTCGGCTTTGGGTGATGTCACTGCTGCTGCGGGTGACAGCCAGGCCCTGGGGATAGAAGCCTGCTCTGGGATGGTGGCGGTTTCCAGCCACCCCACCAAACCTGCAAGGTTGAATTCTGCAGGCAAAGGAAGGATGTAAACTCCCTGCCTGGGGGAGAAGCTAAGTCCCCGAGGCTGCTGGAGAAGAGTGTATTTTTAGGCATAGGCTTGATTTGTGAACAATAAGGGAAGAGCAAAATTGTAAAATCCTAAGGTTCTTGTGAAGTCTGATCAGTGTCGCTCCTGCTAAACATCCAAAAAGATCCGACAGAGCAAGACAAACTCGGGCTGCCCTCAAGCCCTGGCTCCTGGTTGGGTGGTGTTCAGTCAGTGAGATCAGAACCTCAGCGTTTTGGGGTGGGAGGGGTGTTTTTCCATTCCTCTGACTCTTAAACAAGAGTGTACCAGGTGGCTCTCATCTTTAATCCTAACAATCTCCCAAGGAGGGAGATTCATCCACCATTCCTCTAGCCCAACCCTGTACTCTAAGGTCAGAGCAGGTCCCAGTGATTGAGGGGGGTTCAACCTGTACCATAATCTACACCCGTCTCCCATCCCCATTCTTACCTCTCAGTCTTTGATACAGACTATTGACATTCTCTCCATCTTACATAAAATGCTTTGCAGGTGCAACCTGAAGACAAATTCCCTGGCTTCCCTCTCCCGCCATCAGATCGCCATCCCCCAACCCCTTCTCATAGATAGAATGGGGCTACTACCATTTTAGACCTGGGTGCCTCATCGCTCCAGCTGCTGCTCACCAGGATCTGGCTCCAGCCCTTCTTTCTATTCTCACCTTTCAACATTCCCTTTACGATCAGCTGCATGCCTCCCATTCCGCAGAGCCCTGAGCTTCTGCATTCTTCACAGCTGCTGGAGCTGGTCCCTTCCCCTAGAGGACCCTCGACCCACCTGCACCTGCTAGAACTGACCCCATGACCATCTCAGATGCCCTGCACAGCAGCGTCCTCATTCCCATCTAGGTGGAACTGTGCGCCGTGCCCTCCACACCCTTGTCCTCAGCACCAGCAGCCAAGGCGTGTGTGTCTGCGTGCTTATCTCTCCATTAGATCACAAGCCTGTTTAGGGCAGGGACCTTGCTGTCCCCACGGTGCCTGGCTCAGAACAGCCCTTCAATAGCTCTGTGCTGAATGAATTAATCACCTTTTGTCCAGTCCTCAGGGGAGAGAATAGTTGCTATTTCTAACAGCAGCAGGAAGACAAATATCGCCCTGCCCACTCCCCCGCCTCCCATTCCACACATACACACCCACTGGTGGCAATTTCTCTTTGCTCTCAAATCGATATGGTTTCTAGCACATTCTAGCAAGAAGCACCATAAAGAGCTGATAGGGACCTTGGAGAGCCCTTAGCTTCCTCCCCAGATGCACAAGTGAGGGATCTGAGGGCAGTGAGGGGCAGGGTCTGCTGGCGATCACACAGCAGGCAGGTGTCGGGCGGCTCCCGCAGAGCCGCCTCGTGGCTCTGAGTTCAGAGGCGGTGGCTGCTCTGCGCCCACTGGATGGCTCCGCCGTGTCTGGTTACTGATCTCTGGTTTGTGGCTGTGCCTGATGTAGTCACAGGTCAGTGGTCATAGCCAGGCCCAGCTGCTGTGGCTGAGCAGTGTCTCTGAGAACGTCCAGCCACGGTGGCCATGCCTCAGCACTCTCCTGTGACACAACGTGATCTCACCGAGTGACCAGGTGTACGGCTTCACCCGTCCATTTCACAGACTCAACACTCAGCCCCAGCAGCCAAGCCCCAGCACCAGCAGCCACGCTTTCATTTCACAGACTGTGAGTAACACGAGACCGGGTCCAGTCTGTAGTTCACAGCTCTGTCCCATACCAGGCACCGTGCCCCTCACAGAGCATGGCTCAATAAACACGTGTTCTATGAATGCAGAGCAGGCTTATTTGGGGGCTGGGGTGGGAGGGCACATAAAACTACAACCTCACAGGAGGCCACAAAACTTTTAAGATGAAAAAGATTTGCAAATCCTTGAAGTTTCTTCTTTACTTCTCCTGTCTTTAGTCCAACCAAAGAAAGTTTACCTCCCAGATTTGACTTCTGGTTCGACATTTGTATCAATGGTTTAGATGAAGCTATTATACTCAGGCTCATCACATGTGGGAGGGCAGGAAGCTGGGAGGCCCCCAAATACATGTTGCTGAGTGAGATGCTAAAAGGCCTGGACAGACTAGAATGAAGGGCTGAAACAGCTGCAGGGAAACGTAACAGAAGAAAATGAAAGGTACAGTTCTCACCTAAAAAGCCAACGGTATTAGGAAGGATGGGAGATTGAGGGGGCAGAGGGTGGGGAGCTGCTTAGCAGCTCATGAGAAGACAGAGGGGTTTTAGTAAATATTCAATTCAATATAAACTAACAGGCTACCATGAAAGCTAAAAGTCACTGGCTGTCTTTGGCTGCAGTAACAAAGTGAGAAAGCAGGTCGGTGCCTTCTGTACTGACCTGATCCCAGTGGTGTGTAAGGGTCAGTGTGTCACCAGATCCCTGGGCTGCTGTGGACCAAGCAGATCCTGTTCAGAGTAGCAAGATCAGGGTGGAAACAGGATTATTGACATGATTATGGCAGGGAAGTGGGGGCATTTAATCTAGGGAAGTCCTGGGTCCAGCTTAGGGGAGTTTGGGTGGAAGGCTGCTGGCACCTTACCATAGGAACGGGCAGAAGGAGGGGAGAATATGGGCGGGGAAACAGGAAGAGCTGCTGAAGCCTGACTCACCCAGGCCACTGGCAGCCCAAGGCACAGTGTCTAAGGGAAAGACCAGACTCAGCCCAGGCAGATGATGGCTTGGGGTTAGAGGCAGGTCTGATCCTGAGGGCCTGGGGACTATCAGGGACACTGTGACTCCAGGCGAGCAGAAGTAGAAGTCAGCCCCTCAGAAGGCAGGGAGGCAAGAAAGAACAAGACCCAGTATGGGGCTCAGTGAGGCTTCAAGGAAGACCCTAGCCTTCCTTGGGATCAGAAGGCAAGGCAGAGAAACTGAAGCGGGTCCCAGTTCTGATGGCTGGGCAGGTTACCCTGAGATGGCTGCCCTTCTACCTCCCCAAGGGTGCTGGGCCTCATCCTTGAGGCAAGCCTTGGACCCAAGGGGAGGACAATAGGGAAACCAGGAGAAGGAAGGGATTTTAATAGGCAGAGGAGCCACCACAAGGCACAGCCAAGGTGGGGGTGTGGCTGGGATGAGGGCCTCCAGAGCTGCTGCAAGGTTGGACCAACACTGGGTTACTGTTCAGCCCTAGGCTTCCTAATATTCACCCTTGTTGGAGGGAAGTCCCCATGACTCAGCCCACCTTCTAGGCTGCTTCTAGCCATTGTAGGAACCAGGGGTAGAAGAGTTAATTTGAGGACGGGCCTCTCTCCCCCAGGCAGGGCAACCTGGCTAGCTTTGGAGATGGTCAACTCAAACAGTTGACCTCAAAACCCTCTGCCCTCACCAGCCACATGACTGTGGACACATCTCTTACCTTCTCTGCTTCAGTTGCTTTATCTATAAAGGGGGTATGAATACAGAGCCTAACTACGGGACTGTCGCCAAGAATCACTGAGATGATAAAGTAAAGGCACAGTCTCCAGCACACAAGAGATCAACAGATGGAGGCGACACTATTACCACCTGTGGGATTACCAACCACTTCCCCAATCGAAACTTGGAATCAGAACCCCGGCCCGTGACGTTAGGGCGATGGGACAGGGTAAAGGTAAGTTTAGGGGCTGACAAAGTGGGAGATGCTTGTGGAGATGATGTGCGAAGAGAGCTCACCACAAGCCTTGGTGGAGGCACACAAGGCCACACAGAAAATGACAAAAGTCAGTTCTGGAGATGGATGGTGGTGACAAATATACAATAATAAGGATACAAATATATATATAAGAATATAATTAGACAATTAACGTCACTGAACCATATACTTAAAAATGGTTAAAATGCTAAATTATAGGTTATGTATATTTTACCACAAGTTTAAAAAGTGTTTTAAATGAACAAGTCTCAACTTGGACCCAGGTCTACGGACCGCAGGCTCAGTGTCTCTCCCACCATCATGCTAACAGGACAGGTTTGTATGGGAGATGCCTTTGGAGGAAACAAAACTGCTCAATTGAATTGCATCGAATTCTTTAATTCAAAGGTAAATCGGGGCAGTTCATCTCTTTTCCTCGTCCAATTGTTGGGTTTTGGAGAATTTGAGCAGTGGTGATTTTGCCATTTTTTCTCTTAAAAACAGGAAAATGTCATTTTACTAGATTTGTACTCAACAGGAAACTAGAATTATCAGAATTTTCTTGATAGCACAATGCAACAACACTTGTATAGAAGCCTCCAAACACTAAAGATTCAACAGTGCCTTCCAACTTTACAAATTCTCAGAGAGTCAATGATCCTTACCCCAGGAGTCACTGAGTCCTACTATGCACAGTGCTCTTCGTTAGGCACAGCAGGGGTGGCTGCAGGGATGATTGGGAAGACGCTGGCCTCCCTGAGCTTAATTGAGTGCCATGTTTCTTAATAAGAGTGTGCACTGGCCCCCCTGCGGTGCTGTCAAAACACACATTCCCAGGCAGTGGGGTTCACCTGCCTATGCAGGACCCAGATATGACACGGGGGATCTGAGGCACACCCCTGATTGAGAACCGCTGCCACGGGGGAAATGATCATCATTGAAAAATGGTAACAACAAAACCAAATAGAACGGATTAACTTTGAAAAAGTCAGGGATGACACACCTTGGCACTCTCAGAGAAACAGAATATTCTTTTTTTTTCTTTTTTTTTATACTTTAAGTTTTAGGGTACATGTGCACAACGTGCAGGTTTGTTACATATGTATACATGTGCCATGTTGGTGTGCTGCACCCATTAACTCGTCATTTACATTAGGTATATCTCCTAACGCTATCCCTCCCCCATCCCCCCACCCCACAACAGGCCCCGGTGTGTGATGTTCCCCTTCCTGTGTCCATGTGTTCTCATTGTTCAATCCCACCTGTGAGTGAGAACATGCGGTGTTTGGTTTTTTGTCCTTGCGATAGTTTGCTGAGAATGATGGAGAAACAGAATATTCTATTAAGCTGAGCACTTGTTCCCCATGACTTTGGAGAAGTGGGAGTGCGCGTTCATGGAAGGAGTTTGGAATGGATTGTTAAGGCAGGGGACTTGGCCACTTACTCTATTATCCTGAAAACTTTAAGCTGTCTGACCAGCTCCTGTGTGTAAGAGACTCAAGAGGAGTCACCTTTAAACTTTAAGATGTTGGAGCCAAAGAGCTGTCTTTATTATTGTTTTCTATGTCAAGTTTGAGGCTGTGTTTAGGGGACAGCCAGCTCTGTGACTGGGCAGAGGCAAGGCTATTAAGAGAAGGGACAGAAGTTGTTCGGACAGTCCCACAAAGGGCCTCCTGAACACAAACCAGGTCAGTCATTGTTACCAAAAACCGCTCACAGCCACTCTCCCGACATTTTCCTCTCCTTGTCAGGCAGTGCCCCTCAGACATGGAATTCTGGCTACAATCAGAGTTCTCAGAGATCCTCTGGCCTAATCTGCCCACTTTACAGACAACACAACTGAGATTGAGCTAGAACAAGTAGCTTGTCCAAGCTCACAAGTGATCAGCATCCCAGACAAACTGGCCCTGGCCTCTCGTCCCATGTAGAATGGGCAGAGGGTTGCTGGGGTGGGAGCCCCTTGGGCAGGGCAGTTGTTAGGCTGCTTTTTTTTTTTTTTTTTTTTTTTGAACATTTTCATTCTCTCAGCTGCCCATGCTGGGACTGTGATTTTTTGTATCCTGAGTTACACTGGAAGCTTCCTGAGAAGCGTGTCCACGGCCCCCTCACTTCACATGGCCTAGGGCGAGGACAAGTGTGTGGTTTCCAAGGTAACACATAGCTGGGTGGATTCAGCCTCCCGGGCCGCCTCCTCTTCCTGGGAGGCTTCATCTTAAGCCCGCAGGGGAGGAGGCGTGGGAGGCCAGGCGACGCACCGCCTTCCCATTCACAAACACGGACTCTTCCCGAAACCAGTCTCCCCTCTGTCCTCCTGCCAGGGTTCAAGGGCAGATGACCCCTCCCCACCCCGTCCTGAACTCCTGGAGCTAAGGAAGCTCCTGGAGGACTTGGCAAGAGGCGTTTGCCTGGAAGTCAACAGAACCCCAGCTGACGGGGAGGTCAAGCCTTAACATGCCCGGAGCAGGGCTTTTCACACCTGTTAATGGACACAGCACCACCCAGTGAGAGCATGATCCAGGATGACATTCCCCAGAGACAAAACAGAAAGTCAATACAGGCAGCCGAGAAACAAGCCTTGCTGCCACCACGAGCACACCCACCCCATCGGAGACGCCAGCCAGGGCCAGGGAGAGCAGCCGGGGGCCCTCACACCTGAGGGACAGGGAGCAGGGGCAGGAAAGCCCCCTCTGAGGCAGAAAGGGTTAAGCCCAAGTGTTTAAATGTTTAGCAAATAAAACCAAAATGTCACACAGAGACTGCCAGGGCTGGTGTAGTAACCATGGCAATCCATGGCCAGCGGCCGATCCAAGTGAAAAGGTGCTGGGATCGAGGTGGGCCTCCCAGAGAGTGGCAGGGAGGGCCATGGTGGGCATGGCCAGCTCACTGGGCAACCTGCTGGGACCCGCAGCCCCTTAGGATGCAGAAAGCACGGGCCAGATGCCAGGTCTGTGGGCTTCAGGTCAGGCTCTCAGCCTGTTAGAGGCTCTACTTTCTCCTTAGAATGAGGAGGGAGTAAATCTGCCATGCCTACCCCAGTTTTGTCATTCATTCATTCATTTATTCAGCCTACACTCATTGAATAGCACCTACTATGTGCTAGGCACTCTCATGCCTTTGGGGGTCCAACAGTGAAACCAATACAGTCCCCACTGCCATGGAGCCCACAGTCAGAGAAGGGAGTTGCAGGCAAGAAATAGTATTCACAACCAACATAAGACACGCAGGGACAAGTAAGAGCCGCTGCTATAAGAGCTGGTGCTAGGTCCACTCCTAGAAGGGGCACCCTGGGGTCAGGGAAGGGGGACGATGGCCAGAGAGAGTTCCTGGAGGAGGAAATATCTATGCTGAAACCTAAAAGGCAAAAAGGTGAAGGCGGCCAGGCCCAAGGCCTCATAGATGTGAAAACCCTCTAAAAAATACAAAGCGCTAGACAAGATGTGGCCACACCATCGTCTCTGAGGCGCTTGCTAATGTATCAGCTCTGAGCTTTCTGTCTTCAAAGTGTAGTCTGACGAGGATTTATTCCATGGTGTTCTGACTTCTCGGGCCCAGTTGGTGGTGTAGCTCCTCTCTCTATTTCTCCCTTTCTTTCTAGCCCCACTGTGCACAGCTGGGCCAGGCAGGAGGCCGAGGCCCAAAGAAGAGCAGCGCTCCAGTGAATCCCCATCACCAGTCGCTGTTCTCTGGAACACATTCCCCATTTTCAATTTCCCTTGTGTGCTGTGATCATCCAGGGGCACACTCATGAAAGTGGGACAGGAGAGGGATGTAAACCTGGCAGAGGAGGCCCCCATCTGGAATTTCCTTGTCAAGGTCTCCTCCCCTTCAGTACGAGTGGCCCGAGCTCCCTCCTTCCATCTGCTCATCACACCTGAGTTAAGGAGCTGACATGCTCAAACCTAGCCAGGCTGAGAAGTCTGTCTGGGGGTCTCAAGATCTCGGAGGTTCAATGAAGGTATTTCTAATTCATCAACCAACCAGCCAGAGACACCCTTAGGAAACCTCTACCAGGTGTCTGAAGAAGGATGGGGACTCTAGCCCCTACCTGGGGGGTTTGGGCAGCCTCCACCTCCCTTCGGAGGACAGGCACAGCTTCCTTCTCTTTTTTTTTCCTCTCCTGAAACGCTCTGGGCCAGCTTTGTCCTGAGCATACAAGGTCTCTGCTCCTGGCGAATGCAGGGCACAGCATCATCTCCGCGTGAAACCTGCCCAGCCTCTCTGGGAGAAATGCATCACTCCCTCCTCCGTGGCCACTTGGTGTTTCACAGACCCTCATATTATGGCACTTATGACCCTGGGTCACAGTGGATAAAGGTCTAGGACAAACCAATTTCCAAAGGCAGGAATCAGGTCTGCTTTATTTCTGGATTCTCAATGCCTAGCACAAAGTAGTCCTACAATAAATGTTTGTTGAATAAGTAAACGAATGAATGGACTCACCATTTTTATAGACTGTACTAGGGTTGGAAAATTTAGAGAGGTCAGTACGTGCTCTGCTATTATACCTTGTCTCTCAGTGCCAGGACACCTTACAGGTTACATTCAGGATGTGACTTGAGCCTGCTTTCTTTTACAGGGAGAAGGGAGGGTGAGGGCACAGAGCAAGACGCAACGTGAGTTGTCCTGTCTGTTCTTTCAGGGGAAGACACCACTAACTCATTTAGCGGTGGGACCCCAAAGCACCTGGGCCAGCAACACCTCCTGCATTACAGACACCCATGTCCCTGTGACAGCACATTACACGCACCCAGGAGGACACTCCCATCCACAGAGCAATTATGCCACAGGAAGTGAGGCTTCCTATAATTTATGTCCTGTAATTTCAAGTAATTTCCCTGTCTGCTCAGAACTCTATTGGTATTTAATGAAAATATCCACTTTTATATACCTAATAAATTAAAAGCCTCCCCTTTTTTTGGTCCCTTGTATTTCAAATTCATGAGGTTGAAGGCCCATAGTTTGTTACTACCGTTACGTTTCTGTTGAGTTTGAAAAAGACTGGAAACATCTGAGACCAACGCTAGATCTTGAGGGGATTGATATCCCCAGGCAAGAGTGGATCTCCACCCCATTGATCTGATTGATGCCTTTTACTTTGAATATGGCCAAGAACCACAATTTGAAATTAATGATCTCTGAAGCTCCCATTCTGGGACTGGATTATATGAACTCTGCCACTGCTCTGTATCCCATCCTGGGTCACAGTAGTCTCTTCAGTTTAATTCAATAAACATTCACTGACTACCTGCTACGTGCCCGGCATTGGCCTGGATGTAGGGACGGCACCTCCCATCCCTGCAACTTTATTAAGGATGCCAGGCTCTGCTCCACGCCTCCGGATGTGAATGTGTCTGCACCCCACCCCTTATTCCATGCCTGGGGCTCTGAGCCAGGCACTTCCTCCCAGGGGTACTGGATCCCTCCCATCCTCCCTTCCTCACTCCTGCCCCAGCTCTGGGCATCAACACCCCTCACCTGGCCCATGATGACGTGCTTCCCACTGTCCTCCTGCCTCTGAAATTGGCCTTTCCTATATTTGCATGCTGCAGATGAAGAGTGCTGTCTAAAATGTAAATCTGATCATCTCTGTCCCCAGCTTGAAACCTTCTCATAGTTTCTGCTGCTGCCTACAGGACATTCCAAAACCCTTCAGCAAGGCAAACAAGTCCCTACGGGTCCTTCCCACCCTCCATAGTGAACTTGCCCCTCTACCCAGGACCCTGTCCTTGAGACATTCCCAGTGTGCTCTGCAGTTCCCCATCTCAGAGCCTTTGTTTACTCTGAGACCTCTGTCTGGGGTATCCTTTCCACTCTGTCAGCCAGACAAACACATTCTTACTTAAGCTAAGGAGTTCTGCATATATTATCTAATTTAATCTGTACAATAACCCTTTCTGGTAGGTACTGGTTCCGGGTGGGTAGGCATATTCAAACCTACCCCCAAAGGCTGAGGAAGCTGAAAGGCTGAAGAAAGGGGCTGACATATCCAGTTTCTCAGAAAGAAGCATTTAATAGGGACTTATGAACAAAAGCCACAGTCTCTGGCAGCAGTAAGACAAGATGGTGGATCCTGCACCACGACCCCCTAGTCCCAGGGATTAAATACCAGAGGAAAGGGGTATATGTGCTTCAGAAGCAATTTGCCTAAGGGCAGGACTTACAGTAAACAGTAGATAAAGGAGAAATCTTAGAGGCTTTCCCGAAACTGGGTTAATCGGAAGTCAATATGGAGGATCAGCATCCAAGATGGAGTTGCTGTGGCCTCCACAGTATGGTTATTAGTCCTATTTTACAGAAAGGAAATAGACTAAGAAGGATTAAGTAACTTGCTAAAGGCCACCTACACACTAAATGTGACAAACAGCATGATTTGCGCCAAGCTGGGCTGCTCTGAAGTCTACATTCTCAGTAGAGAACGTTCCTCAAGCCTGGGTCATAACTGAGTTTTATGATTCTGCCTGCTAGCCTGCCTTCCAGGATGGCACCAGGGCCATTCATTAGAGCCATAGATTCACTCAAGGCTGATGACCCCTGGGAGAAGCAATGGTGAATTCTGAGTTTCTCATCTAGAGAACTGGGCTCCTGTCCTGGGCTCTGCACCTAGAAGAACATTATTAAATAGATGCTGAACCAATGACTGCACTTGGTGGGTCATCAAGGGCAAAGGAGGAGAGGATACTGGGGAGCAAGAGGAGTTCAGTGTTTTGTGTGTGGAGCCAGGGGCTGCCGGTGGCATGTAAAACGTGAGCCTGCAGCCTGGGGAGGGGATTAGCACGGTCTGAGAGCTGTTGGTGAGAGCTAAACCACAGAAGTAAATGGACTCTCCAAGGGAGAGCATGGTTTTCAGTCAGAGTTTTGGTAAATAAACAAAATGCATTGCTTCTTGTGTTTTCATTTCTCTCCCGGACACACTGGCCTGAGGAAAAGAGGTGCCTGAGTCTTTGAAAGGTCCGTGCTCCAAAACGCCAACAGAGAGGGAGACTGAGGAGAGATGGGGTGGGGTGCCATCTTCCAACAATGGAGGCTACCATGCGGGAAACCAACCCCTTCTTTTCCCTGCTCCAGAAGCAGAACCAGGCCAGGGGGCAAGTTCCAGGGAGGCTGCCTCTTCTCGGCAGAAGGGCGGGCTTTCTAAAGACATTGGTAGGGCAGCCTCTCCCAGGGGGGCCAGCAGCTCCGTCACAGTAGCACACACAGAGGCCCTGGGGTTCCTGCACTAGGTGGACACTACAGTTTAAACGTGTCCCCTCCAAAATTCAGATGTTGCCAATGTGGTAGTGCCAAGAGATGGGGCCTTTCAGAGATGTTGAGGCCATGAGGGCTCCTCCCTTGTGAATGGGATTGAGGCCTGTATCAAAGAGGCCCCATGCAGTGTTCAGTCCCTCAGCCTCCTGCCTTCCCTGCCTGAGGATGCAGCAACGTAGCGCCGTCTTGGAAGCAGAGAGCAGCCCTCACCAGACAACTGAAGCTGCTGGCACCCTAATCTTGGACTTCCCGATCTCCAGAACTGTGAGAAATACATTTATGTTCCTTATAAATTACCCAGCTTGGGTGAGAGTTACCCAACAGTGTTTTAGAATTCTTCTTCCTGAAAAACTCAAGCCATCTAAATGAACAAGTAAGAATACTGTTCTAAAAGGTACTCCCCCAGCCTCACATGTGTGCTGGGCAGGGCCTGGGTCCTGGGTGTGAGCTTCTGGGGCAAGGCTGGGGAAGACGGGGACATGATCATCTGGTCCCTGCTAAAATTTAGCTAGGTGATCAGGAACCACTGTGGATGAGGAAAGCTGTGAGCAGATTCCTAGCAAAGGTCCTGACATCACCCAAAGGGGAGATGCGGCAGCCACCCCCTGCCCTGCCTGCTTCGCAACAGGTGAGCAGCAGCTGGCCTTTGCCTGTGGAAGGGTGCTTGCTAAGCACTCCCCTCTGCATAACTTCATCAGTCACACTTGGGATAACTCCTTCCTCCACTCGCAGGAAGCAGGTTCCGCAGCTGGCTGAGCAGCCAGATCTAAATCAGAGAATTACAAGATTGGGGGGCTAAGTAATAGATGAGGAAACTGAGGCCCGAGACCAAAAAGCTAAGTCAAGGTACGACCAGCTTTGGAAAAGAGTTACCTTGAACTCAGCATGCTTTCCATTCAAAGAACGTGCTACAAACGTGCTATACTCTGCCGAGAAGAGTATACTGTCAGACACTATAAGTCTCTGGACATGCAAAGATTAATGCAAAGATAACTGTCCCTGAGGTAGGGAAGAAAGACACCCAACAGAAAACTACAATATGGCCCAGTGCGGTATATACAAGGGCGCTCCGTAGGAACCTCCCTCCCACTGACTCTCTGGGCCCAAACTGTTCCCATTTCCCTCTGGCAAGAGAAGGTCTAGCTGGGCACAGAAAGAACTTTACTGGAAAGGTAAGAGGCACAGAGGAAGCCGGTTTTGGTGACTTTCCTCAAGTGACGGAGGCTGCAGGGAGGATAAGGGGCTGGGTGGTGGGAGCTCAGGGTACAGGCAGGGCTGGGCCAGAGCAGGAGGAAGCCCAGCCACCTGCCAGTACCAGGCAGTCGTGATAGTGACCACCTGGTGGACCCAGCTGGTAAGTGCAAGGCCCAGCTAGAAGCAGTGGGACAAAGGTCACAGGAAAGGGACCAAAGTTTCCATTCTGTGAAAGCCCACTCTGTACTCTACACTGTTTCCAACCCCTGCAAGAGTTCAGCAAAGTGGGTGATGTGGTTCCCATACTTCAGATGGGGAAACTGAGCCCCAGAGTCAGGATTCAACACAACTGATTTCACTTTGTTTCTCCAAATTGTGTCAGGCCAAAATGAATGACCCCCAATAGCATCATCTACTGCCCATGATTAGGGCTGAAACAGAGATTGGCCATGAGCTGGACATGGGACAATGGGTACCCAGCCAGGTTCTGGGCTGTCAGCAACATGACCCTGCCACCAGGCCGGAACTGAGTCAAGCTGCAGCTGGACCAGAACAGGCTGAGAGCTAGGGCTGCAGGCCCTGGACTGGGAACAAGGACCTCAGGAGCATCAGAGGGAGGGACACCTGGCTCTACCCACCCCAATGCCTGGAGCAGAAAGAGGAAGTAATCAGGCCTAGCACCACCAAAGTGTGGGGTTGAGGCTGAGAACAGCTCCTCTTCTTCCCCTTCCTCAAGCCTGGGTCATAACTGAGTTTTATGGTTCTGCCTTTTTTCTTTGTTGTGTGTGACACCTCCCCACACAGGTCAGGGTGACACATAGTAATACAGTCTCCCTACAGATGAGAACATGAACACTGAGGGACTGCCTGGATCCCGCGGCTGGCTTTGGGTGGGGTGGAACCAGGCCCGGAGCCCAGACTGTCAACTTCTGTCCTGTCTCGATTCCGTGGCCCTAGTCCTCCCTGCCTGTACTCCTGGCTCCTTTCTGGGGCTGACTGGACAATGGTCTGAGTTAAAGTCCACCACTCTGTCCAATTCAGACTCCATGAAGGAAGCTGCCTGGTGGCATCTGGCACAGGCACAGCCCCTGTCCAAGCATCTGCAACCCTTTAGAGGCTGAAGAGTCCCAGCATCCAGGTCAGTATCCTCTAGTCATTGACAGAATGCAGCCCTGCCAAGGTGGCCTGGAGCCAAGGCTTCCATGTCCCAGCCAGCCACAGTGGCCCCTGACCTTCAGACAAAAAGCCAAGGCTCTCTAAGAGGAGGAGGCACTCCCACCTGCGTCCGCACTGCTGCTCCACCCTGAAAATGCCGAGTAACAAATGGGACTGGATTTGAACGGTGTTGTTAAATAGCGCTTCACAAAGCACTCTCCCATGCGCTCCTCATCCCATCCTCACAACAGCTCAGCAGAGCTGGAATAAAGGCCCCATGTTCTAGATGAGAAGATCGAGACCCAGGAAGGTCACAGGGCTGGCCAAAGACACACCAAGAAAAAAGGTCATGGCCGAGACTTGACCCCAGTTTTTCTGACTCTGAGCTCTGGTCTTCGTCAATCTCTCGCCTGCTGCCCAGATGTGAATCTATCTGTGCTCCTCCAGCCAAAGGACCGGGATGGTTTCCAGATTCACATGCACATGAGGAAAAACATCTGGATAGTTTAGAACTTCTCAGGTCCACAGCAGTGCAGGTCAGCCTGAAGGGCCGGGGGCTGGGGGAAGCTCATTGTCACCAGAAGATGCTTCAGATCTGTTCTCTCCTGTCTGACCCTCCTGGCCCGGGTTGAACCATCCTCCCTATGTCAGCCAAACTGGAAGTGCACCCTGGAGGCCCAGCCAATGTTTCTCTGGGTACCAAGTCACTCCTGGGCAGCAAGAAACAGAGGCCTTCTCGGCCACAGCAGACTCTTACTCTGTCTAGAAAATGACACCCCCAGCCTAGACCCACAAGGGTGAAGACCACACCATTCACAAAAAGCAGACTCCTTGGTGGAGTTTGGTGCAGCATATGTGGGGGTACACAAGGCAGGTCTGCCTCACTGAAGGGATGAACTGAGTGGCCCAAGTTCAGAAAGGACAAGAGACACAAAAGGCAGAGCAATGCATCAGGGGCTCTCCCGGTCCGATGGTGCTCAGTGAGGGTCCCGAATACGGCAGCCTCGCTCAACATGAAGCCCTATGTTTGCCTCTGGGATCCCCACTTTGAAGACAACTTAACAGTTATTCGAAAGCCACAGGGCGGCCTCGCAGTTTCCTCTCCCATTTGGGTCCAAACCAGAAGAGAAGAGCCACGATCTTGGGCACCGTCTTGTAAAATCACCCAAGTAGCTGCTAAGGGAGTGGGTTTTGGGGGTGGGGATGGGCTCGGCTCAGAGCAAGGCCAAAGGATCAGCCGCTGCATGAAGGGGTGAGGTGGGGGCACCTACCTGGACTTCACGTGTGTGGTAGGCGATGATCAAGCCCAAAAGGATGATGGTGGACAGACTGATAAGGCATTTCAGGGCCAACGAAAACATGGAGTCCTGCAGGAACAATGGAGAGAGAGAATTAGGGAGTGCGGGGAAAGGAGCGTCTCACTTTATTCTGCGGCTGTGTAAAAGAGAAGGGGTGGGGACACAGGAGGGACTGTTACCAGCCCCTCCTAGGAGCAGGTGTAGCACAAAGTCAGCCTGAGCCCCACAAAAGCCTTGGGCTGTGCCCGGGCCGGCTCTGTCTCAGCAGCTGCCCCCTTTGAGCCTCTGTTTTCTCGGGCTAAGTCGTATTTGCATTCCTGGGATGAACGCTACTTGGGCATGATGTATTATGTTTGTTATACACGGCTAGATTCAGTTTGCTGATGTGTTATTTAGAATTTGTGCTTCCATGCTCATAACTCATATGAACGTCATTCTTTGTTGTGCCGCTATTACATGGTTTGGGCATCAATATTACGCCAGCTTGGGCCTCTGTTTTCTCTTAAACCCAAACCAGAGGATTTCGGAGGCAGAATTCTTTCAGGAATGAATTTGAATGTCCCGGCAGCTGCTCTCATCTCCTGGCTTAGGCCAAGGGCAGGGGAGGGAGGCAGGGACGGCAGAGGAGCTACTGGAGAGAGAAGCCAGGAAGCACAGGAGCAGAGAGGGGTCCTGGCAGGAGAAGTACCCTGATGGTCCCTCCTGCTAGGGATTAGGTGGGGGAGGTGAGCCCCGTGGCCTCCACTGCAGCCTTTCAGTCCCAGGGCAGCTTAGAGAAACCGAGAAGTGTGGTTAAGGGCATGACCTCCGGGGCCAGACTGCTGGGTCCCAGCCCTGCGACAGCCATTTAGGGCTACCTGACCTTGGAACGCCCACTCCACCTCTCTGCACCAGCATGCCTCCTGTGTCAGATGGAGATAATATTCTGGACTACCTCACAGGGCTGTTGTGAAAATAAAGGAGTTAATGTATGCAAAGTGCCCAGAACAGTGCCTGGCCAAGTAAGTGTTAACTACCCTTATCATTTACTTTGCATCCTCTACAAATCAGGGTGTCTGGGTTGGAACTTGGTGCACCTCTGGGCATTTCGAAGCTGGAAGTAGAGATAGCTCCTAGTTCCAAAGGAAGGCGGGAACACAGCCCTGAGCAAAGGCAGCAGATGAGATCCAGGAAGCATTTCCAAGCAGTGACTGTGTGTATGGCGGCCCTGCACTTGGTCCTGAGTGGTGCACGCCACAAAAGAAACATTCCCTTCCTCAGGGAGCTGGTCATTAGAAGAATGATGCCTGATTTCTGGAAGGCACCTTACAGTTTACAAGGTGGTTTCACGTATTTGTTCTCATCCATCCTCACAACAGCCCTCGGCCTTTTACCTTATAGATATTACAGGCTGAGGCCCAGAGGAGGGTGGGTGGCTTGTGCCAGAATTCAAAGTCAAGGCCTCTGACTCGCAGTACAGAGCACTGCCCACAAGCCCTCAGGCACACTCTCCAATGGGAAACAACTTAGAAACATGGGAAGCATCCATTTAAATAGACCTAAATGACATCTTAAGACAACAAGGTAAGGTAGAGTATGATCAATTGCCAGAGTGAAACCTACAGTAGAGCTAGGGGAGCTCAAAGGAGGGAGGCCACTGTGGATGGGTCAGAGACAGCTTTCAGAGGCAGATGTGAGGAGCAGCTGAGATCTGTGGGGTGAGGCGGTATGTCCAATATGGCAACCACAAGAATGAGAGGAGGGCTTGGGACTCGAACCCAGGACTTCCAAGTGCCCAGGTCCATGCTCTCGGCCCCACTCTGTGTGCTGAGATGGAATGAAAGTGCTCTCCCTGATGTCTATTAATCTCCCCATTCATTTAATTGGTACAGTTCTTGAGGCCCACTGGAGATACAAAGAAAACTAATAAAGTAACTAATTCATTCACTCTTTCACAAAAATTTCAACCACTTCTCATTTGCTGAGCACTTGCTAGATATCCAACAGTGTGCTAGATTCTATATATACAGTGATATACACCAGAAGCTTCTGATCTGGCTTATTCACTAACTCTGACTTTCTACATTGCATGGGGTCGTCCAACTATGGGAAAAGGTCTCCATTATTTGCTATGCATAAGATGATCTACACATAAGCCAGTCTTCTTTTAGCCTCTTCATGTTCCACAGTTCCATAAGAGCAGCCTGCAATCATTTACTCAGCACACATGTATGGGGGCCTAAGGAGGGCTGGTGCTGTTCTGGTCCAACATAAGCACAGAGAAGGACAGAACACAGTGCTGGCCCTCAAAAATATTTTGATCTTCACAAGCACTTCCTGGTGCCTGAAATGCTACCCAACCACAAGACCCAGATGGGGCTGAAAAGAGCAAATGGTGAATTCAGGAACACTCAGACTGTATTAGGGTAAAACAAACCTCCCTACATCAATCAACTGGGGATCAACTGGGGACAGCTCACAATGTTTTCCATCCAGAAATGACCATAACTTTCTTTTCAAAGGGGTCTGAAAGCATCTGGGAGCATCACACCTCCCCGGGAAGGATTTGGGATCAGCTGCACATTTCAGCCCCTTATTTATTTCTTTTGGCAGCAATGAATTGACATCAGAATCCAAGTCTATTTCCATCATTTTAAAGGAAGCAGTGAAGGGAAAGGGGCCAGATGCTCTCTCCTTTGGGCCTCTTCCTTTTGTCCTAAAGCTCAAAACCTTTACATGAACAGGCAACTCCCACCTGCTTCTTGGTTTTGGCCAGTACAACCTCCCTGGCCAGCTCCAGCCCTGTGGGATGACCAAGCTGTGTGCTGGATCAACAGGGACTCTCGATATCTTACAGATTTCTTTGCATTCTCCATCGCATGTCAATAAAAAAAATTAACCAACCGCTTTTAATAGCTGGAAAACATGTCAAAGAAGTCTGGCTGAACTAGGAATGTTTTCTATTTGGTAAAATGTTGAATTAGCATCTTCTCTTTGCTGCCTGAACATCAGTGAAGCTTGAAATTGATATGGTTCCTTGGGGGATGGCAGTGACACCGGGCTGCCATACATCCCAGGATAGGGTACCTGCCACACGCATTGCCCCCACTCACTCCTATCTGAGGACCAATAAGGGGCTTGTAGAACAGAGGGAATCCAGCGGTCAACTGGTCAACCCTTCTGCCCCGTGACTCAGAACTTTTCAACACAGAGTAACAATCCTTAACACACAGGAATGCTTAGGAATTATATCCCATTTGATGAGAATCATTTTTTTTTTTTTTTTTTTGAGACAGAGTCTTGCTCTGTCTCCCAGACTGGAGTGCAGTGGCACGATCTCAGCTCACTGCAAGCTCTGCCTGCCGGGTTCATGCCATTCTCCTGCCTCAGTCTCCCCAGCAGCTGGGACTACAGGCGCCCGCCACTACACCCGGCTAATTTTTTTGTATTTTTAGTAGAGATGGGGTTTCACCGTGTTAGCCAGGATGGTCTCGATCTCCTGGCCTCAAGTGATCCACCCGCCTCGGCCTCCCAAAGTGCTGGGATTACAGGCGTGAGCCACCGCGCCCAGCTGAGAGTCATGTTTTAAAGTCATTTATTCCTAAATGCCCACAAATTTTCAAGTGGTTAAGTAGATTTGAGATCAGGCAGTGATGGAACACTACGCAGCCACTAAAAACACTTCTGCACACGGCCGTAATCCCAGCACTTTGGGAGGCCGAGGTGGGCAGATCACGAGGTCAGGAGATCGAGACCATCCTGGCTAACACAGTGAAACCTCATCTCTACTAAAAACACAAAAAATTAGCGGGACGTGGTGGCAGGCGCCTGTAGTCCCAGCTACTCGGGAGACTGAGGCAGGAGAACGGCATGAACCCGGGAGGCGGAGCTTGCAGTGAGCCGAGACAGTGCCACTGCACTCCAGCCTGGGTGAAGAGCGAGACTCCATCTTAAAAAAAAACAAAAACAAAAACAAAAACAAAAACAAAAACAAAAAAAACCAAAAAACACTTCTGCAGACAATATCTGAAGACATGGAGAATGGTTGATGATAGACTATTAAGTGATAAACTCAGACCCCAAAACGATATGTAGTATATTTCCAATTATTTCATTTTTAAGCTTTTTTAGTGTAGAAAAAGACTGAAAATATGTCAATAGAATTCCTAAGAGCTGCCTCCATCCATGTGGTCCCTGTTCTGCTCCAGGCCACGAGCCAGCCCTTCACAGATCTGTGATTTCTCATTGATGACAATAATCTGTAATAAAGCACATCTATAGGGGCCTACCATGCAAGGATGGCATTGTCAACCCACTCTTACAGAGGAGAAAGCTTAAGCTCTCAGAAGTTAGGTAACTTGTCCAAGGGCATGTTACCTAACTTCTCACCATGGCAAAGCCAGGATTTGCAAAAGCCAGGTTTTACACCCAGATCTGTCTGCCTCCAGGTTCCATTGCCCCGCCTGTGTCCCAGCACCCCACCTGCTCTGGCGGCCACGCCTTGCTGGCCCTCCAATATCTGCAGCGAGGCTTCTTAGAGCTGTTCCAGCCTTTCCTCCCCTGAGGCTGTGCAGAGGGTGATGGAGTGTGTTCCCCAGCTTCTGAGCCAGCCACATAAATTGCTCTCCTGGCCTGCCTTGTAGCTTCCAAAAACAGGCCAGAACTGTAATGATTATGGTATATCTTCCCAGAGACTTTGAAGTTCTAAATGTATTTTATTGTTTGGGTCATCGCAAAAAGGAGAAAGCTATGCTTACAGACAGAGACCTGGAGGGGCACTGAACCAAACTGAAATATTAGCTTAACTGAGATAATGATGCGCAGGCTCCTTCCCCAACCAAGCTGTTACCCACAAAGAGTATATGTGTATGGTTGTGTGTGTGTGTGTTTATACACATATGTGGTCCATTCACGATTTCTGTCACTGGCTGAAACCCCCAAAGGGAAAAGGTGATAGTATCTGAAGTTCATAATTTCTGAATTAAGGTCTGATGTGCCTGCCTGACATCACTATGTTTTGTGCATTCAATCTGGGAAATAATTGATTTAGAAATCTTTTCTATCTAATAAGGTCAACTTTTCCTTCAATTTCATGGAGAGGCTCCAAAATTGATTGATATTCAACATCGGCTTATGACTGTGGTTCTGTAATGGTTGTCCTAATTAGATACTCTTGCTAATTAATGCTATGCAAATTAAACCAGCCCCTCTTCCGCTAAAGGGAAGACCGCATCACTGGTCGCTGTTCTCCATGGAGACCTGAGGCTTCTTTCCCTCCACATCAGCACCAAGCCCTGGCCTTCCTCATTCCTCAATCTCACACTGTCCAGTTCTTGGGATCTTTCATTCTTACCCATCATCCTCAGCTCCTATCTTAGCACAGCCTCCTCCTCCCAGGTGCAGCACCCTAATTTAATTGCAAGCCCAGGCGTGGTGGCTCACGCCTGTAAGTCCAACACTTTGGGAGGCCAAGGCAGGTGGATCACTTGAGGTCGGGAGCTCAAGACCGGCCTGGCCATCATGGTGAAACCCCATCTCTACTAAAAATACAAAAATTAGCTGGGCATGGTGGTGCAAGCCTGTAGTCTCAGCTTCTCAGGAGGCTGAGGCAGGAGAATGGCTTGAACCCAGGAGGCAGAAGTTGCAGTGAACCGAGATCACACCACTGCACTCCAGCCTGGGAGACAGAGCAAGACTCTGTCTCAATAATAATAATAATAATAACAACAACAATAATAATAATAATTGCAGCTGTTGGCCCTCCCAGCATCCTCAGAGCGGCTTCCCAACCTGGCTCCTACCAGAAGTCAGCTAACAGAATCCTGTTTCAGTCACTAATGAATGAAGTGACAGAATGAAGTCACTCAGACCCTCTCTCTCCCAGGACTGTCCAACCTGAGACCGGGAGAGACAGCCGATGCTGTCACAGTGGGAAGGGAGACTCTGGGGACTCCAGAGGGCAGCTGGACCTCTGACCAGCCTGAGAAGGGAGAAGGGCCTGATACTTGCTAGCCAAGACAGCTCTGGAACAGAGGCCCAGGGTGTGCATCCGAGGGCGCAGGAGTCTCAGCCTCCTCCATAGTGAATGCCTGGCCTGGACAAGTTGCTTCCTTCTCCTAAGCCTCAGCCCCCAGTAAAATGAGACTCCTGGACAGAACCTTCTCCGAAGTTCAGTTAAGCCTGATGACCAAGGCGCCGAGCACACATGCCATGACAAACAGGTCATAGGGACATGTCCAACACTCATTCCTTTTTTTTTTTTTCTTAGGAGTTTTCTTTTCCCAGGCATTTCTGTGATGAAATGTTGGGTGTGAAACGGTCAGCCACAAAACCCACTCACACCATCTTCTCCTCAAACACAACAAGGCAAGCTTCCTATTTTTAGTCATGGGGGGGCTAACGAAGATGTTCCTTGTCTCTTTCTAAATAACATAGGATTTGAAACCAAAAGGCCAGAGTTCAAGTCATGTCTTTGCTACTAACTAGCTGTGTGACACTGGATCGGTCCTTTAACCTCTCTGGGCCTCTGGTTTCTTCTCTGCAAACAAGAACTACCCTTACTTTTCTCACAGCTGTTAGGGGATGAGATGAGATCATGCATACGAAAAATCTCATTCTGTTTTCACACAAAGAGAAGCATGCATTCCCTTGTAGTCAAACACCCCTTCTCTTGCCATACAGATGTCAGTGCAGGTAAATGCAGCTGATCCTCAGTCCGGAGCTGCTCACTGCACCCCCAATATCAGCATTTTATGGCTGCAATAATTTATAAAGATATCCCTGAGGCATTTCAGAAAGACACCTTTGCAATCCGCATAGCCAAACATTCATTCACTTGTGCATTCATACAACATATATTCACTGAGCACTTACCATGCCCAGGCACTGTGCTGGGCAATTGCCAAATGCCAGGGATTCCCCACCCGCTCCAACCCCAACCTGCTGAGCCTGAATCCCATCCAGGAGCTCCCAGGAGCTCATCCCAAGGGCTGCCCTCTGCACCATCATCGCCCCGTCACCTTGACATCCCATCCTGTCCCTCTTGGACACTCTCCCTGGCCTCTCTGTCCTGCCCACAGTGCAAGGTCAAGAAGAGATGGGCCAAGGGTCAGGTCAGGGGGCCCTGGAGGACACATCAGGCTGGGACAGCCAGGAATGGGCAGGAAGCCCAGGCTGAGGGAGAAAACCCACAAGTGGTTCCTTTGCGCTCGAGTGACCAGCTCTCTCCACGGCAGAGCTCAAGAATGGATATTAGAGGCCAAGCTCCAGGAACCTTTCCTGCCTGCCTGAGCCCACTGTGTGGGTGAGGACATCTTTACCACAGGTCCCAGGGGCTGGAGATGGGGCTAAACCTCACTGCCACCTTTTCTCCAGCCCAGTCACCTTCTTACATGAAGCTTCTGTTCTGGGCCCACCCCTCAACCCCACAGCCAGGGGATGCTTGAGGTGGATCCCCAGTGGGCGGAAAGCTGAGACAAGACCATCCACACTCTCCTCTCAGTCCCAGGAGCCAGCCAGGCATCATGAGCCAGCTGACCCGCATCAGGATGCGGGGTCTGACCTAGACCCGAGAGCAGGTGGCTCCTCAGAGCCCTGTCTTCAGTCCTCCTGTGCCCTCCTCAGCCCCCATCCCTGAACGGGGTCCATATACCCACCATCGAAGCTGGGAGCCATTACCTGCTTTAATAGTACACAGGGTAACCTCAGCACCAGGAACCCCGCTGGTCTGCCCTGGGCCCCACACCCTTCCCGAGGCTGGCCATGCCTGGTGTCTCCCATTGGCACTGCCCAGCTGGGGTGACCAGAGCACCTTTCACCATCTGACCCCATTTTCCCACTGATGTTGTTCTCACACCCCCACCAGAGTGTCAACCCCAGAGGGCAGGGAATTTTTACATTGCATTTGTTCACTCCTAGAGCCCCATGCCTAGAACACTGGTCTGGCACATAGTAAGTCAATAAATATTAGTTGAACGTTGAATATTTGAAGGAAGGGAGCAAAATTTTTGAGATATGTCAAGCAGGTAGACACTTCCATCCTGAATTTCCAAATTCATCAAAACTAAAGAGAGGTGATGAAAGTAACAGCTAACATTTATTATTCACTTACCAGAGGCCAGGTACTGTGCTAATTTCGTTAGGTCCTCAGAACAACCCATGGCCCCATTCTAGAGATGAGGGATCTGAAGCCTGGAGAGGGTCACATTCCCACCGTCCCTGGATGAGGAAGAGGTGGGGGCTAGATTCAAACCTGTGCTCTCACCACTGATCCAGAGGGAACCTCAGGAAGACAGGATGGCAATTGCCAGAACATCACCCTTGCAGGCCCTGCCCTTACCGGTCCCACCTGCTCTCTGAAGAAGCCCCCAGTTGTGTGGCTTTAGTGGTGTGATAGATGGTGAACAGACTGAGCTCAGGGCTTGGGGTCTTCACCGTCTCTGCAGACTGGGCCCGGCACGGGGAAACTAGGCAGATAATACTTGTGGCGTGAAGGAAGCCAGTGGTCTCGACACAAAACTCATAAAGTCAAGTTGCCCTGGAGCATTTCCCTGGATCTCTACGTTGCCACTCCCAGAAGGAGACGGAACCTGATGTCTGAGGGACATCATGCAGTTAATAACAAGGGCATTCAGGTCTGAGCAGAGGGTGGCCTACTAATTTTTAGTGAAGCCAGCATGATGACCAGGACACCAATTAAGAGAAAATGATCCTCCCCAGGCCCTGGCTCTCCCATTGTGTGATGTCCCAAGGAAGGCAGAAAAAGGTCATTTAGGAGACCACGCTCCCAAAATATCAAGTCAGACGGGGCACCCCTTCAGGCCACAAACATAATTCCAATTAAGGAGATGGTTTCCTTTATAAGGTCTGGGCAGAGGGGAACTGGCATATCATGAATTCTCTACTGCATGCTTGCTTATAATTTATTTTCCTGCCCCACTTACAATATTGGCAAAGATTCCATGCGATTCAATCAAACTTTTTATTACATGTTTGCCATGTGCCAGGCACTGTGCGGGAGGTGGAAACATACAGGATGAGGCCTTTTTAAAGGCAGTTTGGTCCTTGCTGCTCCTAAGGTAGCCAAAAGCTGGCCCACCTAGGATTCTTGCAGACACAAAGCAAGCACTTAACAAGTGTTTCTTGGGTAAATGAATATGGAACGGTAAATACAGACTTAAACCTTTGGGCTCCATACAAAGGCAGAATGGGAGCAGAAGGGTTTGTAACTCCCCACCCCTACAGGGAGGATGGAGGTGGGATGGAAGCCCATCAAGCACCAATAGCCCGGGTCCTTGTAGAACTGAGGGGCTTGGCACCACCCCAGAGCAATTAAATTGGAATCTCTGCAAGTGAGGTCTCTGCACTAACTTTTAAAAAAAGATCTCAGTGAATCTAATGTGCGGGCCAGAAATGAGAATTGCTGTTCTGGGGCACAAAGAAAGAAGCCAGGAGGCTGGGGTTGCCCTCACAGCTCTGAGACACTGTGAAACAGACAGTCATACACACAAGCAATGGAGCTTAGAAGCCATCTAGTTCAGTGCCCCATGAGTCTCCTAAGATTTCTGGCACATGGCCATCCAGTCTCTGCTTGATTTTCTCCAGGGGTTGGAAACTCACTTCCTCTCAATGTAGCCCTGGAGAGACTCTATTTTGGATGGCTCTTTTTCAAAGATCTGCCTGCAGTGCTTGGTCCCAGTGAAACAAATGCCTCTGTGAAGACCTGCTCTGACTTTAGCATCCCGGTGTCTATGTCAATGACTTTGACAAGTGAGCCTCTCCCTGGGACACACACTCATTAACGTACAGAACACCAGGAGATCAGCTAGTTCCCCAACCCTCATTCTCCACGATGACACTGAGGCTGCCTTGCCCCCATCATACAGCATCCTGGCTTGGAGAAAACTTTAGAACCCAGGTGTTGGGGCTCCCGGCCTATGCTTACAGGGGCAGGCAGCCCGGCCCACCCTGCTTTTCATACTAACGGAAATATAACAACCGGTCCCTGAATTCATCTGTTCTCCAAAAGCCTGTATCCCTATCCTGGAAGTCACCTCCAAGACTGTCACTTAGTCACTGTTTCCTTCTCCAATAAAAAAATGGGCTCCTGATGAGCTTTTAGCCTCCTCTGCTTGTGGAATGTGAGTGCTCTTGGCCAGTTAGCAATTACATTACTCTTGTGGTGTCAAGAAGTCCCTACAGCCTCCTCTGGCTTTGATGAATGCGTACCTGCCACTATGCATCAGGTTCTGAAGGTCCTGACACCATACCTTTATCTCAGGAGAACTGTATAGCATACTGAAGGTTCCTAGTCCCAGCCCCCAGATCTGTCCTGGCATCCAGGGTGTACAGAGTTACAGTGAAACACTTAACCTTTATTCACCCTCCTAGCGCCTCCCAGAACGCTGGTCAATTTGCCATCACCATGAGGGGTTCACCTAGCAAATATTTACTGCTCCACCTGCCAAGGATCTGGCCCCCATATTTCATCCAGATTGCAGGAACCCCCATTTTCTTAAATGTTCTAGAATATTTGAAACAAATAATTGTGCTTTCTGGATGGCTTGCTTTGAAGTAGTTTTGCTTTCTCTTAGTAAAACCTATCTGGCTCCCAAATGAATAAAACAGCAGGAAATCACTTTGCTCTACAGAAAGCTGTGGGCTCCCTGTTAGACTGGGTTGCTGACTAGAACCAAACCAGCCTAGCTGGGCTTGTCCCAGGCCTGGGCTTCCCTTTCCCCATCCTGCCCCAGCCATCGCTGACAAGACGCACAACAGATTCCCAGATTCTCTGCAGGAGCTGTGGTCAGCTAATTACAGGGAACTGGCTACATTCATTTCAGATGGCTATAACTTGAAATAATGTTGATTTTCATCACCTGATAGCCACAGAGAGGTATGTGGGTTTTAAAGACACAAAGCAAGGCCTACAGACAACTCCCCACCCTGGGTCTCTCAGCCTTATCACCCCTCCAATTGGCCTTCCCCCTTTCCTCCCTCCAGCCCTTGCCTCTGTCTGCACCAGAAGCTGCTGCAACACTAGGGCCCCAGCTGAACCTTCCAACTTCGTCAGAGAATTCCAAAATGGAGAAAACCACTACTACCCACCTGATGCTCAGAGGCAAACCCATTTCCATCCCCACACTGGGCAAAATCATCCCCCAACCCCGGCAATGTTTGGGCCAAATGAAAATTTTTAAGACACCCAGAAATCACATATGGTGAGAAAAACAACCGCCTGCAGGCTCCACAGACATCTCTGGAGGCTGTTCTGGAGTTTCCCAGATAAAGAACAGCCTCGTCCGTGTTTCCCAGCCATGCTTCCAGGCTTCCCGGAGTTGCCAGCATTCTGAGGGCAGCATCACCTTCCTTCCATTTCCACACCCACGGCCTTGCCAACAAACGTGAGACAGTGAGTCCTCCACCCAACACTCGACTTAGCTGGAAGAGGCCTTCTAAGCCATCAAGTCTGACTCCCCGATTCTATAGGCAAGCAAATTAAGGCCCAGAGAGGGACTCTGGCCTACCCAAGGCCACACACCAGTAACAGAAAGGGCTGATAATGCCCTAAGCCTTCCAAGGGTGGGGCTGGTGTTCTGCCACATCCTCACTCTGCCCATCCACCAGCTTGAACACTGTCTGAAAGGGACAGGCCCCTGTCTTAGTCCTCTCTCCACCCCTCTGCAGCTACTCAATTCAGGTTTGGGGAGTGAACATTTCCTCCATGCCTCATTCAAGGACAAATCAGGAGAAACAATAATTACCTACTCCAGGTTCTCTATCTTCTTTTGGCTTAACAATACAAAAGCTTAAACATAAATAAAGGGAAATGGTCTGGAAAAATAAAAACCAGTTGGCATGGAACTATTGGCATCTCAGTGCGGCATAAGAAGTAGAAATGCTGTTTTTCAGAAACAGCACAGCCGTGAGTTTCCTAACATTTGGCACAGGTTTTTCAATTGTTTGGATGTGATGGACGATGTTGATAGAAGTGGTGGAGACCAAACACAGGCTATTAATAGACCAAACATGGCACTTGTATAATTCTTTCTCTCTCTCACTAGCTCTCTGGCACCAGACTGCTGCCAACCTGCCTACCTTTTACTTTGAGGTGCCATGAATTCCAGCAATGGGGCACGACACGAGCCCCACTGCCTGCCCATGTCCAAGCATGTTCATCTGAGAGCCTGGAGGAAGGCTGGAAGCCACACACCAACGTGGGCCACCAGCCTGTACAGGGCTTCAAGGAAACTGCAAGATGCAAAGACTCCTTGGGTGCTGGTCCTGCCTATCACGGGGCATGCAGTAGAGTCTCCCAAGTAGACTATCCATGGTCTAGGGGGGGTCAGGGAACCTCCCAATTCCTCCATGTGGTTATTTCCTCCATTTCTTTCTCCAAGAACATGAGGCAGCCCCATCTCAAGGCGGGAGCTCATTCCACACTAATTGATTCAAGTTAGAGCCATTTCAAGGCAGAAGGATCTCCATGGTTCCCCTACAGGTGTTGCCTCTAGGAACTCTCCACAGATTCAAACTCTACAAGGACTTACTGAGTACCTGTTATATGACAGGCTCTGAGTCTACCCATCCATCTTCATATAAACTCTCACTTAATCCTCACAGGAAGGAACTGTCCCCACTTGACAAATGAGAAACTGAGGCACGGAATGATTATACAATTTGCCAAGATCACACAGCTGAACTGTGGGAGCCAGACTTGAAACACACAGCTTCTGATTCCAAGCCCAGGATTGGTAAGGACCGCAGCACAGTCCCGGCTGAGACCTACACCCTGAGCTCTTCACGGAGGAGGTCGCTTGTTCCTGCTCCACTGAAGCCAGATTTGCTACTTCTTTCCCCCTGAGCTGCACTTGTTTCCACATCCCCAGAACTCCCGGTCCTGACCAGCTGTCCTCTACCTGCATGGGGTCAGCCACCGAGGAAGCCAGGCCAAAGACTAGAGCTGGACCGTTTGACACCATCACCATCTTTAACATCTATTCAATGAGACTAAAAAATCCTTTCTTCCTTCCAGGGTTGTTGTGAGGAAGAGCAGATAATGAACGTGAAAATACTCTCCCAGTCGAGGGTTCCCACGGGCTTAAAACAGCCTATGCAGAGGGTGGCGATACATTCGGGTTTACCCAGGAGAGTCCAGTGTATGCCTGTTATCTGGCATAATTATTACTATGAATGGTAATCATTAATATAATAATCTCAAAAGTGTCCCAGTTTAGACAATGAATCATATGATCACCCTATATATGTAGTATTTGCTGCCAAAGGGTCTGAGAGAATTGGGGCCCCCTTCCCGCCCTCTGCCCCCACACCTGCCAGCTTCCACACCCACTATGTGCACTCCATTAGCAGACACTTTGCCAGGCTCATGGGCAGACATCATTCTGCTGGATCAAAGCAATTGTTAGTAGACAGTATTTTTAGCAAGGTGGTGTCACAGTGCCTGGATTAATTGCAATTAATTATATGTCACTCCTTTAAGGTTTATTTCATCAATTATGGACAATCACGGCCATGTGCCTTGCTTGCTTTAACCCTTGGTGACTTGAATTTCTTGGCACAGAGGAGGCTGTAACCATGGAAAAGGCTGAATATCAGAATATATTTGCTACTGAGTCACTGTGTCCTGGATGTCAGTTTAGGGCTTTCCTGTTTACAAAGCATTTTCTTGCACAGTTTCCTATTTGATGCTGGGAGGTAGAGAGGACCACTCCTAACCCACAGATGGAAAAACTAAGGCTGGGAGGATTTAAGCAATTACCCAAAGCCATACAGTTAGGAAACCCCACTCTTCTAACACAGGGTTGCCAAAACATTTCCAAGTCTTCTGTATAGACTGATGAGTGTGACCCTCTGGCATCAGTGGTCAGATAGCCCCATGGCCAGGCATGGGGACAGGATCTGAGGGCGTCTGGAGGCAGACTTGCCAGGGAGGAGCCAAAGGCACCTGACGCATGTCTGCCAGGCAGAGCAGCCCTTACCTTGAGCATTTCAAGTGGCCCTAATGTCAAGAAACTCCAAGAAGAATGTGTCCGTGCCAGAAAAATATGCAAACAAGGACACCCAGCACCTTCCTTCTTTGAGTGTTGAGCAGCCGGAAGAGCAGCCAGAAGGTACCTCGTACAAGTGAGGAGATGGTAGGACTCCCACAGTACCCCTGGGTCCCTCTTGCTGTTGTAATAGGAGGAGCCAGAGGAACACCCCACCTGATACTCGACTGGCCTTAATTTGGGCTCCTGCCCCCCGTCTATTTTGCCCTGCACCGGTTACAGAATATTAGTTCTAAACAGATCTCTGAGCTCCCCTAGTCCAAAGCCTCGTTTTACAGATGGAGAGACTGAGACCCCAAGCAGGGAATGCCCCATCTCCGACCCCACTTGCCAGGGCAGAGCTGAGCAGGGACGTGGGCCTCCCCTCCTGTGGGTTCTTGCTGACTGTGGCTGGGAGTCTCAGCTGGGAACTGGGGTGCTGTCTGGAGCGTTTCTCTCACGGGAAAGTTTGCTGCGTCTTTTCTTCCATCCCTCTTTCTTACCTCCACCCTTGTCTCACTCTCCTCACCCACATTTCATCCCTCTCGCACTATTCCTGTTTTCCGGGACCAGGCTTTAAGATTGTCAGCTAAAGGGGCTAGGTCTGAAGGAAACTCGGCTGGAGCCCGAGAGCCGCCGCCCCTGGGCTCCCTCTGAGTGGCCCCTCCAGGCTCAGGGCTGCTTCATGGCACAGTCGGGGTCCTTTCTGTCTCTCTGCTCCATCACCTCACAGAGGACTTGGCACACAGTAGGCACTCAATAAATACTTGATGAATGAATGAAGGGATGCTACCCTATGGCCTGTTCCCAAGAAGAGGAGAATCGTGCAAAATCACTTCCCTGCAGGCCCCATCATCTAGGTGGGGAACAACACTTCCAATTGTGGGGAGAACTCCATCAACTTTTGTTTCCTCGTTCCACTGACTAAACAGATACTTATTTGCTTAGAACCCATTGTTTAAGCCTTTTTTTTTTTTTGAGACAGAGTCTTGCTCTGTTGCTGGGCTGGAGTGCAGTGGCACAATCTCAGCTCACTGCAATCTCTGCCTCCCAGATTCAAGCAATTCCCCTGCCTCAGCCTCCTGAATAGCTGGGATTACAGGCGCACGCCACCACCATGCCCGGCTAGTTTTTTGTTTGTTTGTTTGTTTTTCATTTTTTGTGTTTTTCTTTTTTTTGCATTTTAGTAGAAACAGAGTTTGACCATGTTGGCCAGGATGGTCTCGATCTCCTGAGCTCGTAATCCACCCGCCTCGGCCTCCCAATGTGCTGGGATTACAGGCATGAGCCACCGCGCCCAGCCTATCTACATGTAACAGCTGTGATCAAAGACCTAGGAAAACAGCCAACCCAGCCAACTCCTCCTCCTGGTTCCTCACCCTGGAGGAGCTCTGGGCCCGAGAGCACAGAAGCTAGGAAGGCAGCAGAACGAGTGATGCTTATGGGGGAAAACCTGGCTTTCCACCCACAGCTGTTTCAAGGCGTCCTGCAGAAGTGGGTCTGGGGGTCCCTGGGCAGGAAGAGCCAGTCTGGGGCTCCCAGGCATCCACTGCCGGTGATGACACACTGAGCTATCAAAGCTTGGGTCAGAGCAAAGGAAAAAGCTCACACCAGCCAAATGCACAGACATCTCACAGATGTCACGGGCTACCAGGTGGCAACCCCGAAGCAGCTGCCTCTTGTCACGTGGGGGCCAGGTGGGTGGGGATTTTGGCCCAAGGGGGTGAACTGTCTCACTGAAGAGACACAGCTGGGCCCAGCCAGGGCTGTGTGCCGTGGGGAGCCAGGTGTGCTGAGGTCAGCGGGGAGGAAGGCGCTCTCGCAGGGCTGGAAGAGGAGAAGCCAGGCAGGCCTGAATTACGAGGGCAGGAGTGCACATGCTTCCTGGAGGACTCACCCCTCTCCCTCCAGCTGCCACCAGCTGCTGACCACGGTGGGACAGCCAGCTGACAGGGGTCAGGCGGCCAGAGGTGGATGGACAAGTACAGAACAGAGAGTGTGGGGGCCAAACAGGAAGGCGGCCACGGGTGTGGAGAACGTCAGGGCTAAGACAGACCTTAGAGTCTTTGCATCTTACAGGTCAGGACCCTGAGGCCTCGACTTGGCCAAAGTCACCCAGCTGCTAGATCCAGATCTAGAATTTAGAGCTAGAGCCTAGCTCCTTCCCCTACTCCCGGGCTCCTTCTGCTATACCATGTAGATTCCATAGCAAGTAATTTAAGACACAAATCGTGCCATCCCACTCCTTAAATCCCTTCTGCGGCTCCCCACAGCCTCTGGGATGAAGGCAGACCCCCTAAGCAAGGCATGATCTGACCCCTGCCTGCCTCTACAGCCCCATATCTCATACTCACACCATAAATTCTAGCCATACCGAGTTGCTCACACTCCTTCAAAATGCACTAAGCTTTCGTTTCCCTCAACCTTTCCATGTGCTTGCTGGGCCGGGAACAACCTCCCTGCCTTAGCCTTTCCCGTTCCCAGTCAACCTTCAGGACCGGCTCCGTTCTCGCCACTCCCACCACCCTACCCTCCAGAGCTGCCTCCGCCTCTGCGCTTCCTCCACCCTGTCCCTTCAGGCCTCTTCGGGAGACAATTCTAAGTGCGTTGAGCATCTGCTTACCAGGCTGTGAGCTCTTTGAGTGTGGGAACCAAGTCTTTGTCATCTTTCTGTTTCTCCCCCACCCCCAGCACCTTGCACAGTGCCTGGAATGTGAGAAAAACTCCATTAATGTTTGTGGAATTAATTATCAAATTAAGGAGTGAATGAAGCCTGGGCAGCTTTGACAGTACCTTGTTTCTCCCGAAGCTACTTTACCTACAGAAGGGCCAGTGCCACTCAGGACATCTCTAACCGCTGATCTGCCTTCTGCTCTCCCTCCCTCCCCATGTTGGAGGGCAGTCGGGTCACTCCATGGGAAAAACAGCAACTGAGATACAGGGGACCCAAGTAACACCCCCAGTTGTGGTGCTGACACAGGTCGCTGTGTAGCGATGGCAAAGCAGCTGAGATGGTGACTGAGTTCACTTATCCATGAAATGAGTGCATAACCACGTGCCCACCACCATCGAGTGACCTGCGATCTGCAGACCTCAGGAAGCAGGGCGCAGTTGTGCTCCCTCCACCCCCATCACTGCTCCAAGGCTCTGCGTACCTACACCAGAAGGGGAACAGATCCCATAGCCCAAAGGAGCACTGAGCCTCCAGGAGACCCTTTGGAGGCTCTGGTAATGTGATTTTAGAGACCATCTGTCTTCCAAATTCTGTTTTCCCTGTACAAAATACAAACAAGATACGACACCTGATTTACATCCCCTAAGCACCACCAGCTGATAGGGAGGAAAGGTCCCCATGCAGTGAGACAGCAGCAGGGACGAACGTGACCTGGGTTTGGAAAAGACACTACAGGCAATCCACAAAGTGGATAATCCACACCTGGCTGACGAAGGTTTGGCCCAGGCACAGAGAGTGCTCCACAGTGAGTGAGGGTTGCTGGACTCAGACCCCCGCTCAGCTCTCACTCGACAAGGCTGAGGACCTCGCCTGGGGCAGACTCGGCCACAGAGCATCTGAGCCTTTCTAAAGCAGTCCTCAGCCACCCCCAAGAGCCCTTCTGGGGGCCCTGGCCACTGGCCACTGGTGGAAGTGTTTTGAATGATGGAGCGCAGAGACAAACACAGACGGGACAAGGTGCCAGGAGCCACATACCAGAGCTGCTTCTCAGAGCTGCAAATGGCTCTCAGATGACACCCCAGCTGCTAGCTCCTTGCCAGGGGCAGGGTGGGCAGAGAGGCCTGCAGAGCAGGGGCTAGGTCACAGAGCTGGGGGGAGGGGCACAGGGAGTCAGGGATTTCTAAGACTCAGACTGGGAACCTAGCAGGAAAGGCACTGGAAATTGTACTTACTCCATTTGGTTTGTCTATTTGTCTCTTGCAATTTATCTAGTATTTCCTAAAAGGTCACTGGGTGGTGATTTCAATAATGTAAAATTTGTAGAGATGCTCTAAAAGAAATGTACAAATTTCACAGGTTTACACTGGCTTAAAAGCAATATATTTTATTAAAAGTGTCTATTCTAAGTGCACTTTGGATAGGATTTGGAGACTGATTGGTTAGAGATTCAAAAGGCCTTGTGCTATTAAAAGATCCACTGTGTTTTTGGGGTGGTAAAAAGAAATAGAAATCAAAGCATTTGCAAAGGTATGGTTGGTGGATGGAGAAAAAGCGGCGTGTGAGATCACAAAATCCTTTGTCACCTCACAGTCCCCGAAGCAGGGAGCTGGGAAAGAAAGATGCTTATTACAAGCAGAGGGCCAGGTTTCCTGCGAAGGCTTCCGTGTCCCAAAATCTCACAAGCCGCTTCTCACTTTCCTCTCACCGCTCCTCATTAACTGAAGCCAATCCTTGTCATTCAAAGGAAAATAAACAGGGAGCAACTGCCTGCAGAGACAAAGAGTCCTCATATCGGGACAAAACGGCTTCTCCAAGCAGACACCTTTTCCCTCAGCCCCAGTCAGAATTCTCTATTTCTTTCCAAACAGCAGAGCCATTTCCTTCCTGTCAGCCCAGTGATGCACAACTTCCTGTCAGGACAGCTGAGGAATCTGGAGAAATGTGTCTTCCCTCACAGCCTCTGCTCAGGTTTGCAGGGCCTCAGACAGTACCAGGGAGCAGAGTGGAGAGCTCCAAAGAAGCAGCCCCTCCCACGCCTCTGCCCCCACCAACGCCCTCCCCGGATCCCCCAGGTCAGGCCACCGAATCCAGACTGAGTGTGTGCACCGCACCCTGCCATCTTAGGCTTCTGTCTCCCAGAAGCCTTTGTGGGAACCAGCATTTCCATTCCCAAAGCCACCAGGTGGAGACCAGGGGCAGGCCTGCCCCTGCGGGGTCAGGCCCCGACCTAATCAGGACCCTGGGGCCTGTCAGAAAGACTGAGGCCTGCCCTAGGGCTGCAGAGATGGTGAGGGCGCAAGGGAGGGTCTTTTCCGGGTAAAGATGGGCCGCTGACAGCCCCCTTAGGTCAGCACTCTGGCAAACCCACTGTGGTATAAAAATAAAAACCTCAGTCCCACAGACTCCACATTAAATGGAGTGAGAGGCAGGGAGATGAACACTGAAATAATCACCTCCATTTAGTAAGCGCTCTCCACGTGTCTGCATTCTTCCTTTAATCCCCAACAAACCCTGGGACAGTGGTTCCCAAACTTTGCGGCACATTAGTATCACCCAGGGAGCTTTTTAAAATCCCCACACCCAGGTTGCACCTCAGGGCAGTGACATCAGGTCAGAAGCTGGGAGCCAGGCATCAGCATTTTTTTAAAGATCCCCAGGGGATTCCAAAATGAAGCCAAGTTAGGGGACCACTGAGCAAGGCACTGTTCGTACCTGTTTTATTAATAAGGAGATTGAAACTCAGAGAGGTTAAGTCGCTTGCCTAAAGCCACACAGCTTCTAAGCAATAGAATTAGGCTTCTGGTTCATGCCTGTTATTCCATCACAGAGCCCCCCTCACTCCAAACTTTCTGCAGAAAGTTGTTCAGCTCTATCTACCAGGTATTGTCTCCCTACTACATCCCCATCCCCGAATGAGAGCACCTGCAGACATCTTTGCTTGCTAGCAGGAGTAAGGATGAGATGTGCGAGCCGAAGGGGCTGTGCAGGGCTGGGGAGAGCGGGCTGAGTGTGTGCAGATGGCCTATTGGGAGGTCATGGGATCGGCAGGTTCTGCTCCTTCCTCATCTGACAATGCCATTTAAGTTCTCTCCAGAGCAAAGCCTTGGCCTGGCCTAAGAGGATGGCCAGGTGTGAAGGAAACGCACGCGAGAGTGTAGCCACGTGGGTGAGCGAGGGCACGACAGAGGTGGTGAGGATGGCACACAGCCTGGAGAGGGCGAGCCCAGGGTAAGGGGTGAGGGGAGACCCCCGGGAGTGCTCCAAACCAGAACCTTGGGGGATTGACCCACTTCTTGCTGCCTGTGTGACTTGCAGCAAATCACTTCCAGTCACTGGGCCTCAGATCCCCTCTTTGCCCTGCAATGGGGTGGGACCCTATGGTCCAGAGGGTTCTCCCACCCTGGCCTCCACAGTGATCATGGCGGCCCCCTTCTTGGGTGTGAGCAGGTGCGGGTGTGGGAGCAGCTGTGGCCTCATCCCAGGCAGGGTCCACACACAGTTCAGGCACCCACAGAGCCCTGGCTCTCAGAGCTGTCTGGCCAAGACAGGGAGGCCAGTGCACCTATTGAACATACAGGCCGAGGAGAGGGGCCCTGGGGCAGCACCCCACACTTGACCTTCCTGAGTGTCCCAGCCATGACCTCCTGAGCTTCACATCACCTGGTCGCACCCCAAAAGTGGGGCAGAAGGGGGCTATAAGCAACTGGGATTTAAAGCCCCTACCCCTCACCCCAGCCCACTGACCTGCAGCCTCCACTGGCTGCTTCCCTAAGTGCCAGACAGAATCTGGTTTCCCTCCTGTGGCTCATTCAGGGACCCCCCCCCCGCCACCACCTCCTCTGTGAGCTTTCCCCGGCCCTCCCTGACATAATTAAATGCTCAGTGCTACTTCTGTGCCTGGTTCCAACCTCTCCCCTTGCATATATTACACTACACTGTGCTCACCATCTGTTTACACTGCTGTTACCATCAGGGCCTCAAGGGAAGAGTCCGGTTTGACTCAACAGAGGCAGCAAAGCATCACGGTCTGCAGAAGGGGCTTTGGAGTCCGAAGACCTCACTTAGAGCCCCACTTTGCCACTTCCTCGCCATGTGACCAAGCCTCAACTTACTCATCTATAAAATGGGGCAGTAAGAGTAGTGACCTCATAAAGTTGTCATACACATTACATGAGATGACACGTGTAAATAAGTGGCTTAGCGAAGGACCTGACACTTATAATAGGAGCTCAATAAATGACAGCTATGAGTGCCTTCATATCTCTGACACCTAGGGCCTAGCACAAGCCCAGCCCATAGACATAGATGCTGAAGAAGTATGTTGAAATAAGCTGAACCCCAGCCTGTTTGTAGCCTTGACGGTCTGCTTGGCCTCTCCAGGAGCTAGATATGGTCCCTGCCCCTCCCACCTCCCAACCAGGGCTGGCTCCCTGCATCCATCCACCCTGCAGAACAGTTCCCCTCCCCAGAACAAGAAGCTGCCCCATCCAGGTTCTAGACAAAAAAGCCAGCTGCCTGGCTCTCCACAGCTGGTTCCCAGCGTCCCTTCAGCTTGAGAGCCCACATCCCCGGGCTTCCAGGCAGCACCCACTGAGCTCAAGCCTCAAGTATCCTCAGTCCCAGCCTCAGCCCTCATCAAATATTTTTTTTAATAGAGATGGGGTCTGGCTATGTTGTCCTGGCCTCAAGCAAGTCTCCCACCTCGGCCTCCCAAAGTGCAGGGATTACAAGTGTGAGCCACTGCGCCCGGCCCCTCATCAAATCTGAAGTCCCAAGGTTAGCGAGTATGCAGGGAGGCTGGGAGAGAAAAGCAAGAGGCCCCTTACAGCAGAGGCTGAAACCTTTTAAAGCAACAGTGAGAAACGCTGAGAGAGAAACCAGGCGGGGTAGGTGGGGAGTTCTCTCCCGGAGACTCCTTCTCACCCTTGCTTCCCACAGAACCCAAGAAAAAGGCACTTGGCAATAGTTACAATTCCAGACGGCACTTAACGAAGTCCAATGCCTCAGCAAGACAGACGTTTGGAGAAATAATGACCCAGGGGACTTTCAGGGAAGGCTGTCTGGACATGGAGGGGCGGCTGTGAGATTTAATGAAGCCAGTTCTACACAAGAGTCCAGCACAGGGTGCGGTGCCCCTGCCTCGGTGACTGCCCCGAAAGTAGGAGGGGGGGCTGCACAGCCAGGCCACAAAGGGCAGACACCAGGCCAGCAGGGGAAGGCCAAAGAACACACCCTCGGGACCAGCAGGGGCTTGCAGAAGGGGACTCCACCCAAGGGAGCAAATGAATGTCCCCCGTTACACACAGATCTGGGCAGACGCCCTCACCCTCACTCCTTCCCCTCCCCAACCCTCCTCCAGCCCCTCCATTATGCAAATCAAGTGACTACACAGATTTGCATAATTCATGCATTATTAGTACGCGTTCTTGTCAGGCTTTTAGACTTTATAAAGCAATTTTGCTACCTTTAATGGAGAGTAAGAGACAAGGTTCTAGAGAGAGATTTTCTGTCCTTCTTTCATTAGACATGAAAACAGTCTCTAAATCTTAAGCCAGGGAGAGAGTCAGACAGAAATGAAGTGACTTAGAGTTGGAAACATGACCAAACACCTCGTTGACACTTGGTGTCAAAGGCCTGGGTGCCGGGCATCGCGCCGGTCACACATCCTGTCAGGCCTCTCAGGCACTCAGACCATGGAGTAGTCCCCAGTGGGGCAGACGTTATTATTGGGAAGTCACTCCAGGTTCCTGGGAGACTCAGTAACAACAAAACCCCCACTCTGGGTTTGTATCGCTTTTTTATATTTTACAAAGGGCTTTCGCTCTGCTATCTTACTCAGCGCCCACAATAAGGCTATCGGGTTGGAAGGGCCACATTTTTACCCTCATTTTAGACATGAGGAAACTAGGGGGCCAGTTGCAGTGGCTCATGCCTGTAATCCCAGCACTTTGGGAGGCTGAGGCGGGTGGATCACCTGAGGTCAGGAGTTCAAGACCAGCCTGACCAACATAGTGAAACCCCGCCTCTACTAAAAACACAAAAATTAGCTGGGCATGGTGGCGGGCACCTGTAGTCTCAGCTACTTGGGAAGCTGAGGTGGGAAGATGGCTTGAGCCCAGGAGGTGGAGGTTGCAGTGAACTGAAATTGTGCCACTGCCCTCCAGCCTAGGCAACACAGCCAGACCCCGTCTCAAAAAACAAAAAAAAGAGAGAGAAAAAAAACTGGGGCCACTCACCTAAGATCAAATCTAGGCTCTCTGTATTTTTTCCACTACACCAGGGATGGCAAACCCCTTGCCACTCTTCCATTTCCCCTGCCCAAGATAGACCTCATGAATCAATCAGGGCACTCTTCCCATTGAGCTCAGACAACACCTCAGAATCCTTCCCAACACAGCCCTCCTGGAAGCTGGTACCAATTGTTTCAACTTGACACCCAGATAAAACCTATTTGCTGTTCCTGCACTGTATCCTGCCAACTCCTCAGCATCCAGCCAACACTGTGACAGTGCCACCAGTTTCTGGGAAGTGCCTGTGGGCTAAGCTTAGCCTGGCTGCTCAGCCCCAGGAGCCCCAGACAGCCACCATCAGCCAGCTCACCGGCTCCAAATGGAACCAGATGCACCTGCATTTGGGAGCAGATCAGGGAGAGTGACTCCTACACCCCCGGGCCCAAGAGGTCTCTGCTTTTCTCACTGCGGGGGCCCCACTACCCAGGACCACTGAGGCCACCTTGACTAATGCACACCTGCTTCCCACACAGCAGGAGCCAAAGGTGTCTGCTTCTGCAACGGACGCAGCATTGCTGTGTGGCATGGGGCCCTGCAAGGGGTTCAGTCAGGGAAGGGGCCACATGACCAGACCACCCCCGCAAACACACACACACACTTCCCTAGGGCCGTGCCCCAGCCAGTCCCAAGGGCACACGTCCTTCCCTTGTACACATGCGGAGCCTCCTCCTCTAGACAGATCCTTCTGCATGGGCCCCTTCCACAACCCTGCAAGGAAACTTGTTTAGTAAATAATAGTAATAAAACCCTAAAAGTGCTCATTTTGATCCTCACGCACATGCTTGTTGTCCAGGCTAGAGAAATGTGAATCCTGCCTTCCCCAACGCCCTACCAGCCCCCAAGCCCATAGGGCAGCCCTGGCTCCTTTCCTACCCTTGTCAAGAGGCCAGTCCCCTTTGGAAGATGGCAAGCAGCCTGCCGGTCCAAAACAGTGGGGTGGCACAGCACCCACACCAGCCAACACCAGCTGGCAGCGGCTGCCCTGGCTGGGGGGCTTTCCTTCTGGAACCCATCAGCGCTGGCTTCCTGCCAGGCCCAAGGGAGATGAAGTACACCCTCTTCCTGACCACGTCTAAAGGGCCTAGACGATGCCTCTCCCAGCCAGAACCCACAGCAGTTACCTCCACTCTCTTGCCTTACCCTTACTTCACAGTGTGGCACCCTCCCCTTCCTGGTCTCCTGAGCCCCAAATCCATGCTGCTATTGCAATCATCAATGGGCTTATTCTCCAAATCATCGCTGGCTTCTTCTGCCAGGCCTTGCTGAGTTCCTTCCTGATATTTACAGCCCCCGAGGCTCCTTTCTGGAGGACGATTAGGCAGCAGCATACTGAGGGGGAGCCAGGAGCGTCTGCCCCCCGGGAGGAGGAGTGTTTTATCACTGACCTTGTTTAGAAGTGCCGGTACACAGCAATAACAAAAACCAGACTTTTTGTTGGCTTTATTTATTTTTCTATATCCTCTACAGACAGTGTACCCCTCATTGTCTGCACCGGGAGCCGATTGCTCCCCTGCCCCTTGGTACCCTACTGCCATTGGGTGTCTGCAGCCAGTTTCCATGGGGCTGGGTCAGATTTCAGATGAACGAGTGAAAGAATACACAAAATTGAGCAGAGAAAGCACTGGCTCCAGAAGCTCCACTTCTCGCTGTACTCCACAGTTGGGGTAATCAAGGCCTTTGGGGACTGCCCTCTAGGGATTTACTGTGCTTACTAGAGGAGGAATGAAGGTTTATTCAGCACTCTCAGGCCCTGGTGCTGTGTATCCATCTAGACCTATCACTATGTTGTGAGGTAGGCATTAGAGCGGCCCCCAAGGCCAACCTCCCATCACCACCACCCACACATGGATGTGACCAAAGCAGGCACCGGACTCGGAGTCTTCCTGCTAGTAAGCGGCAGAGCCAGGAGTTGAGCCGGCTCCGCCTGACCCCTCACCCCCCTCCCTGAGCCCTGGGCTCCTCCCAGGCCTGCCTCCCTGAATCCTGTCTGCCCCCTCCCCTGCCTGCCCTCACTTGTCCGCCAAGCATCTACCAGGGCCCCTGTGTGCCAGGCACGTGCTGCTGCTTTCACATCCCTCATCTCCTGGAACCCTCCTCACTACCCCCCCCTGCCCTCGGGGAGCCTGCACATCTCTCCAGGCCACACCGAGAGGGAAGGGGCAGAGCCAGCGTGAATATCAGGTCACTGGCCCCAGATCCAGGGCTCTTTCCTCTCTGGAGCCTGAGCTGGGCCGGCACCCAGCTGGATCCCTGGGCAGAGGCCCAGCCAGCCAATGGGAAATGCCATCACGGAGGAAGGCACCGAGGACCACGGGGAGTCACCAATGACACAAGCAAAGCCAGAGGCTGGGCTGGCCATGCTGACCCAAGACCCCGCTCTCCTGATGCCACACTGGGGTTGCCTGCAGGGAGGCTGGTGTCTTGAAAAGTTGACTCTGAGATAGATATTATAGTAAGGGTCATTTATGTGAACCACATGATTAGAAGTCCCTAGATTTCTTCTGAATATCCTAGGATTTTCCCCAGCCCCTCAAAGCCAACACGCCCAAGATAGAATTCACCATTCCAACTGCTTCCCAAGTCTTCAACTCCTTTAAAGGCAAGGAGGTCTTGCCTCTCCCCACCCATCAAGTCAAGTCCATCATCATATCTTGACAATTAAAAACAGAGGCCATTTATTGAGCTAAGAACATGACACCTGCGTAATTACACCTGTGTGATGCCCTTACAGCCACCCGTGGGCCAAGCATCATAATGCCCACTTTACAAACACAGACACTGAAGTTCAGGGAGACCAGGCAACTTGCCCAACTGCACAGCCAGTCACTCCCCCAGCTCCGACACGAACCCGAGAGTAGCCGGCTCCAGCACGCTGCTGCTGTCCTCCATACCTACTCCTCCCAAATCTCTGAAAACGAGCAGGAAGAGGGTGTATTCCACCTCCTTTGGGCCTGGCCAGAAGCCAGCGCTGATGAGTTCCAGAAGGAGGCCTCCCCCCCTCCCCAGCCAGAGTGGCTGGTGCCGGCTGGTGTGGGCACCGTGCCATCCTGTTCTCTGGGACCAGAAGGCTGCCTGATGCTCGCTGCTTGTCATTCTCCAAGAAAAGGCTGGGCTTTGAGCAGAGCAATGTGGCGAGTGGGCCACGACAGTCACTTCGAGCCTCACACACAACTCAGATACCCAGGATGGAGAAAGGTGAAGCCTGACAAGCTGCCTGCCTCCCCAGACCTCCCCCCATATCTTCCCTTCCCACTGCCCCGAGCTGGGTTCAAGCCTTCATTCCTCCTTTTCACAACTATCGCAGTAACACTGCTTCCAGCTTCCTCTCTCTATAACCCATCCTCCATGCTGTGGCTGGAGCACACCACTGCCCTGCTCACATACCTTCCACTGTTCCCTGTGCCTTTAGACAAAAGTGCAAATTCATCAGCCTAGTTCGTGAAGCCCCCACTACTCCACCAGCTTCACGGGCAGGGGGCTCCATGTCCCTCTCCAGTCTTCTCTTCCCAGAACTTCTAGGAAAACCTACCTCTCCAGCCCTCCCTAAGAACACAGGGCACTCTCCAACTTTGAGCCTCTGCCCCTACTGTTGCCTCGGCTCAGAACACGCATTCCCTTTTGCCTCATGAAGCCCTACCTTCCTTCAAAACCCAGCTCAACCCCTACTTCTTCTAAGAAGCCTCCAAACATTAATATCCGCGGCAGGCCCTTAACGGGATGCAGAGCCTCTCTACCGCACTTAGCACAGTCTGCCTTGCCTCAGAGTTACGGCAGCCCGAACACCCCCTCAGCCTCATCCATCTCTGTGTCCCCCAACGTCCCCGGGGCCAGTGCCTGCCACAGAATGGGCATCAGTGAAAGTTTGCCGAGTAGAATGTTCTCAGAGCTTCAATATATTGGTACAGACCTTTCCCCGACAGCAAACCCCATCTTTTCCTGGGGCTGGTCCTGAGCTCAGAACAAATGTTTGCTTCCCGAGGTGGCCACTGGGGAATCCTGGCCCACTCACCTCAAGAGGATTCTAGCGATGCCTGGGCTGGCACACTTAGCTGTTTCTCCCCCTGCCAGGAAATCTGCCACTCAACCAGCTCTGTCTCCCACTCACACAGCACAGAAATAATAGCCCTGCATTTTCCTGCAAATTCCATCTTCCCCAAATGGAGACTAGCTCCACCTGTTCAAGGAAACACAAGCAAGAAGCAAGATGGAGCAGGCCTGGGAGAACAGCCATGTGGCCTCGCAGGGGCCAATGGGGGTTCCTGGGCAATGCCCCCCAAGGCTATTATTCAGTGCTGGACTAGAAAGCGGATTGGCCTGCTGCCTCCCTTTGCCGGCACATCACAGCTGACTAAGCATGCTTCCCATCCGGGTTCCCACTCAGTCCACACCACAGCCCCATTACTGTGTAGACACCACTGCCCCACTCAAGACAAGATTTCCAAGGATGAAAAGACATGGAGACTAGAAACTAAGGAAAAACTTCACTGAGGCATGAGGAGTCAGGACTTGAATTCAGGTCTGCTGACTCCTGGACCAGGCTGCTTGATGACAGAGGCAGCCCCCTTGGGAAAGGGTGAGGGAACGAGAGGACCTGGAAGGGCAGGCTGCAGTTAGAAATGCAGGCTCCATTTTCGCATTCATCCTCATAACAAGCTGGTGAGAATGAGTCATCGAAAGCAGGGTTTCTCAGCCTCAGTACCACTGACATTGTGGGCTGGGTAATTCTTTGTTGTAGGGGGCATCCCTGGCCTCTCCACATTAAAGGACTATAATATCCCTCTCCTGACTGTGACAACCAAAAATGTCTCCAGGCATTGCTAAAAGTCCCCTGAGGAGCAAAAGTGCCCCAGTTGAGAAGCTCTGATCTAAAGGCACAGTTAGATCCCAGGTCTTGTGGTAAGGGAGGGGACCCCCCACTGTTCTCCCTCACTCCCATTCTGGCAGGCGCTTCTTTCTCCCCTACTCATGCCACTCGCCAGGCATCCGCAGCCCATACCAGTTCTACTGTTCCCTCTGCACCATCTCCCTCCACTCTAGGGGCAGAGCCAGGCGGCCCCACAGGCATTCCTTATGTTGGGCATGTGTCAAGTCACCGGCCTAAGCTCCTTCATTAACATCACTTCACAAAACTCCTCCAAGGCAGGCACCATCACCCCAATGAAACAGATAAACTCAAAGATTAAATCACTGAAGTCCTGCAACCAACAAGGGTCAGGGTCCAGCTTTGAAACTAAGTCAGAAGGCCCATGTCCAGCAGGCCTGGGCTGCCCAAGTGAGGTGGCCTTGGTCTACAGGTCCCAAGACTCTCACCCTCCAAGCCCGGGTGCCAGCATCAGACACCAGCTGGGCTAGGAGAGGACCTCAAAAGCCATACCTGCTGCCTTTCCCCACTCTCCTCCCAGTCTTAAAAAGAACAGGTGCAGTGGCTTCCCTGTGTGGTCCGTGAGAGCCCTGGGCCCTCTGCAGGCTTTGGACATTTGGCGACATGGTTGGTGCACATGAGGCTGGTGATTCCCAACATCCAGTGCTTACCTTCCCCCAGCTGGGAGACCTTGAGGAGGTTATTCCACCTCTCCAAGCTCATTAATCCCTTCCCCCAACATCCCTGTGGAGTTGAAAGTGCTAGAAAATTAGGAATGCATATCTTTAGCGTTTTGTATCATTTCAGTAAGTTTCCATAAAATCAGGCTTCCAGGCCACACTGGGGGAGCTTCTGAGCATTTATGACACATTTTATTCATCAGCCCAGAGCAGGGAGATTTGACCTTGAAATGTGGATTGACTCAGAAAGACCCTAGCAACTTCCAGTGACCTTCAGGGAGTCAACACCCACGGTGCTGGAGGCATGGATAACTTAGCTGATTTTTGTTTGTTTGTTTGTTTGCTTTGTTTGAGGCAGAGTCTCGCTCTGTCACCCAGGCTGGAGTGCAATGGCACTATCTCGGCTCACCACAACCTCCGCCTTCCCGGGTTCAAGCGATTCTCCTGCCTCAGCCTCCCGAGTAGCTGGGACTACAGGCGTGCACCACCATGCCCGGCTAATTTTTGTATTTTTTGTAGAGACGGGGTTTCACCATGTTGGCCAGGTTGGTCTCAAACTCCTGACTTCGTGATCCACCCGCCTCGGCCTCCCAAAGTGCTGGGATTACAGGCGTGAGCCACCGTGCCCGGCCAAATTTTTTTTAACGTTGCCAGCCATGCCTCGAACAGACCTCTGGAAGGTGAGAGGAGCCATCTGTTCTGGGTCAGGAGCCCAGGCAGAAGCTTGCCACGGCCTCAAGCACCATCCTGTGACCTCTTACAACCCCTGGGGCAGGTGCTACACGCATTATATGGAAATTGATACACCTCAAACTTAACGAGTCCAACCACAAACTCCCTGTCTTCCCCCAAAAAACTGCTTCTCCCACAGTCTTCTCCATTCAATTAACAGAAATTCCATCCTTCCAGTTGCTTGGGCCAAAAGTCTCAGCCTCATCCTTGACTTCCCCTTTCTCTCACCACTGCCTGACCTGCACACCATGACCTTTTGTCCAATTCATCAGGAATGCCCTCCTTTTAAATAGCCCAAGGGTCCAGCCACTTTTTACCAACTCAATGCTACCACCCAGGTCCAAACCATCACCACCCTCACCTGAGCTGTCCCCACAGCCTCTCAGCGGGGCTCCCTGACCCTGGCTTGACCCTCCCTGTCTGTTCCAAACACTGCAGTCAGAGTGGTCCCATTAAAATGTAAGTCAGATCTTGTCACTTCTCTACTCCAAGCCCTCCTCTTGCTCCCATCTCACCCAGGGTAAAGGCCACACTCCTCAGGACGGTCTACAAATCCCTGCAGAGCCAGACCCGCCTCCCCTGTGACCTCACAACCCCGCCCACATGATCCCTCCACTCACTGAATCAGCCTCACAGGCATCCTCTCTGCTCCCAGGCCTGCACCGTCCAGTGTGAGGACACGAGCCACGTGTGTCCACTGAGCCCCTGCAACATGACCAGTGCAACTGGATTTTAAGTCCATTTCATTTAAAATTAAATATAAAAAGACACTCCACTCTTTTATTGGAAAAATTTTAAGTACGTTTTCAACAACTTGAGTGTGTGAATCTATTCTTTTTTTTTTCTCGGACGGGGAGTCAGGGTCTTGCTCTGCTGCCCAGGCTGGAGTGCAGAGGCACACGCATGGCTCACCACAGCCTCAACAGCAAGCTATCCCCCACCTCAACCTCCCAAGTAGCTAGAACCACAGGCATATGCCACACACCCAGCTAATTTTTTTTTTTTTTTTTTTTAGAGAGATAGAGTCTCACTGTGTTACATTACCCAGGCTGGACTCGAACTCCTGGCCTTAAGCAATCCACCTGCCTCTGCCTCCCAAAGTGCTGGGATTACAGGTGTCAGCCACCATGCCCAGCAAGTCTGTTCTTTTAATTGTAAATTTTATAAACTCTAAATACAGATCAAGTATCTCCAATGAAAACTTAATGTCTGATTGAGATATGCTGTGTCAGAGACACACCAGATTTCAAAGACTTAGTACAAAAAATAAAGTGTAAAAGATCTCAATAATTTTTTGTATTGCTTGCACATTCAAATAATAATATTCTGGCTATGTTGGGTTAAATTAAAAATATTATTAACATGTATAATTCTACTTTTCTCTTTTCACTATTTTTAATATGGCTACTCAGGAATTTAAAATGACAGCGGTAGCTCCCATTTCGTGTCCACCGGACAGTGCTGTCTACAACACACCAGGCATGATCCCCCCTCAGGGCCTTCACCTTGCTATTCCTCTTCCCCCAGGTGGCTGGATCCCTCACCACTTCAGATCCTCCAATAGACATCACCTTTTTGGTAAGGCCTTCCCTGAGCACTTATTTAATTTATTTATTTATGTGTTTATTTTTAGAGACAGGGTTTCACATGTCACCCAGGCTGGAGCACAGTGGCGTAATCACAGCTCACTGCATCCTCGAATTCCTGGGCTTACGGGATCTTCCCACCCCAGCCACCCAAGTAGCTAGGACTACAGGTGCACACCAATGTACTCAGCTTTTTTTTTTTTTCTGTAAAGATGAGAGTCTTGCCATGCTGTCCTGGCTGGTCTCAAACTCCTGGCTTCAAGCAAGCCTCTTGCCTTGGCCTCCCAAAGTGCCAGGATAATAGGCGTGAGCTACCATGCCTGGCCCTAAGCACTTCTTTATTTGTTTTATTTGTGGTTTTTGTTTTCTGTTTTTGTTTTTGTTTTTGTTTGAGACCAGGTCTCACTCTATTCCCCAGGCTGGAGTGCAGTGGCACGATCACAGCTCACTACAGCTTTGACCTCCTGGGCTCAAGCGATCCTCCCACCTCAGACTCCCAAGTAGCTGGGACCACAGGCACGCACCACCATGCCCAGCTAATTTTTTGTTTTGTTTAGAAGGCGTCTCACTATATGGCCTAGGCTGGTCTCAAACTCCTGAGCTCAAGCGATCCTCCTGCCTCGGCCTCTCAAAGTGCTAGAATTACAGGCATTAGCCACTGCACCTAGCTCTGAGCATTTATTTAAAATGACCACTCTCAGCCGGGCATGGTGGCTCATGCCTGTAATCCCAGCACTTTGGGAGGGCAAGGCAGGCAGATCACTTGAGGTCAGGGGTTCAAGACCAGCCTGACCAACATGATGAAACCCAGTATCTACTAAAAATACAAAAATTAACTGGGCATGGTGGTATGTGCCTGCAATCCCAGCTACTCAGGAGGCTGAGGCAGGAGAATCACTTGAATCTGGGAGGCGGAAGTTGCAGTGAGCCGAGATCACGCCACTGCACTCCAGTCTGGGTGACAGAGTGAGACTCCGTCTCACAAAAAAAAAGCTGGGCGCGGTGGCTTATGCCTATAATCCCAGCATCTCGGGAGGCCAAGGCAGGCAGATCATGAGGTCAGGAGATCAAGACCATCCTGGCTAATATGGTGAAACCCCGTCTCTACTAAAAATACAAAAAATTAGCCAGGTGTTGTGGCAGGCACCTGTGGTCCCAGCTACTCGGGAGGCTGAGGCAGGAGGATAGCGTGAACCCGGGAGGCGGAGCTTGCAGTGAGCCGAGATTGGGCCACTGAACTCCAGCCTGGGCGACAGAGCAAGACTCCATCTCAAAAATAATAATAATAATAAATTAATTTGAAAATAAATAAAATAATATGACCACTCTCCTCTCAGAAGCCCCTGCACTCCCATCCAGAGTGGTCCTAACAATTGTGATTGTTATTGATGATGACAATGATGAAAGGAAAAGAGATGTCTTTTTCCTGTTATCTAACTCTGGCTGTAAAATTAGTTGGGGCCTTAACAGATTGGGATCTAAGACTTGTCAATGGAGTAAGAAGTTGTATCTTGGAGGGAAGAGGCTCTTCATAACACTCATCATAGCACTTATCACCATCGAACATAATATATAATTAACTTAGATAGTTTACTATCAGGCTTATCTATTAAAATGTAAATTCGTGACAGCAAAGATTTTTCTCTTTTGTGGGTTTTTTCTACTACAGTCATGTGTCCCATAATGACATTTCAGTCAAGGTCCTGTACAATTATAATGGAGCTGAAAAATTCCTATCACTTCGTGACATCTTGATGATCCTGAACCTGTGTCAGCCCAGGCTAACGTGTGTTTGTGTCTCAGTTTTTAACCAAAAAAGATTTTGTAAGTAAAAATGCATCTTTTTAAATAAATATTTCTAAAATGGAAAAAAACTTATAGAGTAAGAATATAAAGAAAATACTTTCGTGCAATTGTATAATGTGTTTGTGTTATTACAAAAGAGTATAAAAAGCTTATAAAGTGAAAAATTTGGCCAAGCGCAGTGGCTCATGCCTGTCATCCCAGCACTTTGAGAGGCCAAGGCGGGTGGATCACTTGAGGTCAGGAGTTTGAGACTAGCCTAGCCTACATGGAGAAACTTTGTCTCTACTAAAAATACAAAAATTAGCCGGGTGTGATGGCACGTGCCTATAATCCCAGGTACTCAGGAGGCTGAGGCAGGAGAATTCTTTGAACCTGGGAGGTTGAAGTTGCAGTGAGCCGAGATCGTGCCACTGCACTCCAGCCTGGGCTACAGAGTGAGACTCTGTCTCAAAATAAATAAATAAATAAATAAATAAATAAAATTATAGTAAGGTAAGGTTAACTTGTTATTGAAGAAAAAAATATTTTAAATAAATGTAGTTAGCCTAAGTGAACAGTGTTTACAAAGCCTACACTAGTCTACAGTCATGTCCTAGGCCCTCACATTCACTCTCCACTCACTCACTGACTCACCCACAGCAACCTCCAGTCCTGCAAGCTCCATTCATGGTAAGTGCCCTATACAGGTGTAGTATTTTGTATCCATTGTACAGTATTTCTACTGTACCTTTTCTATGTTTAGATACATACTTGCCATTGTGTTATGATTGCCTACAGTATTCAATACAGGCCTGGGAGCAGTAGGCTACACCATACAGCCTCGTGTGCAGAAGGCCATGCCACCTAGTCTGTGTAAGTGCACTGCATGATGCTCACACAATGATGAAATTGCCTAATGACACATTTCTTAGACTGCGTCCCCGTCGTTGCAACGCATGACTGTATATCTGTGATGCCTAGAACAATACACTGGCACATAACAGGCATTCAATAACTTTGTCAAATGAATGAAATTATTTTTCCGCCTGGGCTGGCTACTCAGCTGGAAGTTTCTAAGTGTCTAGCATATGGTAGGTGCTTGACAGATGCCTACTGAATGTCAGGCTGATCTGTTAGCAGGGTCATTGGGGAAACTGAGGCAGCTTAGCTGAGTGATCCCACAGAGAGCAAAAGCAAGCGCCAAGGGTCCTTGAGTCAGACGTGGTGCCTCCTCCCGCTGCCACCCATGCTCCCTCTCCCCGCCCTGAGGGAAGCTCCCCTGAGCCCAACAGCCTCAGGTACCTCGGGGAAAAGTACATTTCTTTTCCTTTCCATAGACTTTTATTCTCCCAGTGAGAAGACAAATCTGTTTCCCCTCCACCAGAAGGCCTCAAGCCACAGCTACTTACATTATAGTAATTAAATCCCTGCTGCTAGGAGGGTTCAGGAGACAAGCAGGACTCGTGCCAAGGGCTGGCCTGCAGGGAGGAGGCAGCAGGGAGGGAGGCTGGCCAGAAGGGCCTGTCTCTCAGCTGTCTCCTGAGAGTGAGAAAATCCCCTTAGCCACGATGTCTTCACAGGCTTTCGCTTGTGGGATAGGAAGATAACGCCCCCCGCAGCCCACCCTGCCAACATGCACCATCGATGAGGACCCCCGCCAGCTGGAATAGCGTAGCTTTCTTCCAGTTCTCTCCGAAATTCCATCTGGTGCTCACGACCTTCCCGCAGATGGCCAGTGCAGGAAACATCCCCTCCTCAGGCTCCTTCTCTCACTCTCTAGATGACAAAACAGAGGACCAGAAACTAAGCTGCCCCACACCTAGCCTAGGATGCTTCTCCTCACCTGCAACTCAGCTGGCCTTCACAGAGCGCTCCATGTGTGCCAGAAACCATGTCCTCTGCCTTACAAACAGCAATATCTCATTAACTCTCATGACAGCCCCAGCGGCCAGGTTAGGATTCACCCCCATGGAAACTGTGAATCAAAGCACTGAGACAGCTTCCCAAAGCCACACAGCCTACAGTAAGTGACACAGCCAGCGCTGTACCCAATATCTGCTTGGCACTAAAGCCTGTTCTCCTAACACCAGGCTAGATAGCCCATATAGAAGAATCAGAGGATGGCCTGGGAGACAGATATGAGGGAGGATGGAAGAAGTGAGGGTGAGATGGACCTTCAGGAAATGGGGGGAAGGGGAGCAGACGGAGGCGTGGGACACCAAGTCTCAGGCTTGTGGGTCAAACCCAAGCCACATGTGTGTGCCCTTGTCTCTCGCAAAGCTCACATCAGACCTGTTGTTACTTGTTCAGTGCCTGCCTCCCCCACCAGCCTGTGAGCTCCATGTCTATTTGGTGCTGAACCCCCAGAACCAACCAGAACACGCCAGGCAGTGCCCTTGTCTCATTTATTCCTCATGACACCCATTCTCATGAGAGAGAGAAAACACTGTTAACCCCATTCACAGACCTGGAGACTGAGGCTCAAAGAGGTCAGTTTTCTCAACAAGGCTGCACAGCCGAGAAGCCACAGAGCTGCGGCAAGAACACTAGGACGCATGCTGTTGAGGGCTCGGGTGGCCCCTCCAGGGCCCACAGGAGACTTTCCTCAGCCCCAGAGCCCAGCACGGCACCTGGAGCTTCAGCAAACCCCTGTATCTAAACTGCCAGCATCCTCCTCCCCTCCTCCCTCTACCCTTACCCCACTCCATGAGCACAAAACATCCCCTGAGGCTCTGGGGGAGGCTGGCAGGGGACTGAGGGTGGCACAGTAAGGGGTGGGGTGGGCGGGAGTGGAGAGCTCAGGCAGGGCAGGAGAAGCTTTTTGGCTTGAAAGAGCCCAGTCTAGGATCTGATATGCAAAAGCATGTCTGCTGCACAATGTGAGGGCGTCGGAGACACTCCCCTGTGTGCAAATCCAAACTCCACCACCTCCCAGCTGTGAGACCCTGAGCAAGTCACTTAAACTCTCGGAGCCTTGGGTCTGTCATCTGTAAAATGGGGAGAATTATATCTACCTCACAGGGTTGTTGTGAGGACTTAATGAGATGAGGTGTGTAAACACACATAGTAGGCCCTTAATAAATATTCTCTTCTCCACCGCCTGTCACCTCTTCACTCCTGAATAAGACCCGGTGTTGCTTTGGAGTCATTCTTACGGAAGGAAAAATAAGTTCCCATGTAATGAGAGCGGTGCCTTCCCCCAAGCTGCTGTGGACACAGGCTTTCTTTCTATATGATCCCGTCCACCCACCAGGAAACCCTCATGACTCAACTCCATCCTAGACTTGCTCTCAGCTTGCATCAATTTCATTTCACTCTTAAGGGATCTTTCCATCGCTGGCACATAGTGTGCACCCCGTCAGGTGTCTTCTGCCAAAATGCCCTCCCACCAGGCTCAGCACCATTACTCTCCCAGAGCAGGGGAAAGCATCTTGGCAGAGCTTAACACCAGGTCCAGCCCAGAGCAGGAGGGGCTGGGAACCATGGGCCCAGCTGTGAGGGACCTTGCATGATCCCAAGGCCACTGAGCTCTCAGAAGAAACAACCAAGGTAAAACCCACCATTGCCCAGCATGGACAAGAGCCCCCTGGGTGACAGCTCTGGCCCACGTTGAATTCTTCACCTCTCCACCCACAAGAGGAATTAAAATACCACCTCCCAAATAAAGGGGCCGCTGCGCAAGGCCACACAGCCAAATAGCCAGGATTTGAATCCAGGTCTATGGGGAAAGCCTGTGCTCTCTTAGGAAGAGTTGGTGGAGAACAACACATCTGGCTGGGGAGAGACCCCCCTGGAGTCTGTAAGGCACAGATTCTCTGCACTCCTGCCGCCTGGAGCAGGGCTTGCCACACAGTGGGTGTTCAGGATATGTTTCCAGAAGAGGGATGGGAGAAACAAAAAGAGAGGAAGAACTAAAACCAGGAATTCCAGGATTCCAGCTATGCCCCTGCCACTAACAATGCTGAGTAGCCTCGGACAAGTCATGTAACTTTTTTTTTTTTTTTTTTGAGACAAGGTGTCACTATGTTGCCCAGGCTGGTCTTGAGGTCCTGGACTCAACCGATCCTCCCGCCTCAGCCTCCCAAAGTGCTGGATTACAGGTGTGAGCCACCGCATAACTTCTATGGGCCTTGGGGTCCTATAAGGAGGAGGATGGTCCTTTCCCTGCCTTCCTCACAGGGCTGGGAGGCATATGCAGGGATCTTGCCCACCCAGGCTAGCACACCTGGCTGGCCTACAGAGCTTGGCCATCTAGGGCAGGTATGGTGCCCCCCTGAGGAGGCCTCCCCTGCATCCTCCACCAATGCCATCCAGCTCTGAGCCCTCCAAAGGCGGTGGCTCAACCCTGAGCAACATGCCTACCCCAAGCCCTCACCTTGGGAGAAGGTAACATCACCCATGCAGGCAGCTCCGGCCATTCCCATGTATGGGAGATTTTTGGGGAGCCAACATCTTACCCACTGGAAGCCAGAAAAGAAAGAAAATAGCTAAACTCCAATTCGTTAAAATCAGAAATCTCAAAAGGGGTTTTGCTCTGCAAAAATCGCTGCTAGTGGAAGCTTGCGAGGAGGCAGGCTGATGCCAACTCAGGCAAAGGGGCTAGGAGGAGCCACCACTTGCTGGCAGCCCAGGAGCACCCACAGCCAGGCTGGCCACTTGACCAACCACTAGCAAGTGTCATCCTCCCCAGGTTAGTGGATGTCAGTCTCCCCACATCCATTACAAACGGGGACACTGAGGCTCGGAGAGTTTGAGGCACAGAGCTTAAGGAAAACCAACGGTGGCAGATGGACCAGAATGAGCAAGGGCAGCCTCTCCCTGCCTCCCTGCAGGGCCCCCTCAGCTCAAAGCCACTGACAGGTCAGCAAGGTTCAATGGCTCAAGCCAGGCAACAGGTCATCTGCTTCCTCCTCCCTACCTACTGGGTAACCTGGGCAGGGCACCCACCTTTATAGGTCTCTCCATCTATAACCTGAAGCAAAACACCAAACAACTGTCCTTGCAGATGTCGCGTGGCAGGCCTGGTATCAGCAAGCTCTAAGGAGTAGGTGCCAGCTCAGTCCCTGCAAGGAGTGTCCTTTAAGCTGACTTTCCTGTTAATTTGACACTGAGCAGCACTCCTGTCCTTTAAGAAAAATGCCCAACAAGCTGACTCAAAAATAACAGATGCCAATTTGCATATTATTTCACACATCATTTGCATGCTGTTCATTTAGTATCATCAAGGCTCTGCTCAGAATACAACTCTGGTTACCCTGTGCCCAGGGCTTGTGAAACAGATATGGCTTCCACAAAGGGCAAGCCCTGGGCACGTCCCTCCCCTGCCCAGCTGCTCTTGCTGCCTGCCCCCTGGCACCTGGCTGGGAACGTCACCCACTGCCACAGCCCTGGTGCTCCAAGCAGGGTGAAGGGGCAGAAAGAATCTTTAGAATTCTAGGAAGCACCCTGACTCAAGTCTTGAAGGGGAAATTGTGTTCTCTTGACGACGCATCAGGCAAGCTGTGGCAATGCTTTTCTTCCCTGCTTCTGTCCCAGGTCAGCTTCCTAGTTCGGCTCTCCCTGTGGCCCTACTCTCTCAGCCTTTTTCTGCCTGGTCATCGTGTGTCCCCCTGACCTTCCTCCAGGCCTCTCAGCCTCTGGCCTGGCCCCACGGGTTTATTTTTGTTCTCTCTCCACCTGTCCGATTTGCATGTCCACACCCGGTTAGCTCTGCCCAGACCACAAATTGCTAACTGAGTGTAGAATAACAGGGCCCCATGGGGTAAGAAGGCTCCAGAAGTCCAGCCCAGGCCACCACTGCAGCCCTGCCCTCCGGAGAACAGCCCACTTCCTTTTTACTCACACAGATTCACCCAACAAGGTCTATCCAGAAACATGACTGGGGAGCTTGTCACGGACGGGAAGCCATTTGGCTCATGAGAAAAGGGGCATGTTCCACACGTGCTCTCCAGGCAGGGACACCTGCAGACAGTGGAGGGGTGACATGGGCGCATATGCCCCTCCTGTCTTGATGCTCCAGGTGGCATCTTCTAACCACCACTCTAATAAAGGCAACAGTTGCCAGCTGCTGAGACCCAGTGTGTGGCTGGCTCTGTGGTGGCTGCTGTGCTACAGCCAGTAGTTGTGATTCCCTCTTAACACTGAGGAAATAGGCTTTGGGTTCAGTAAGTTCCCAGAGCGCCCATCACTGGTGTGCCACCCAAGTTTTTTTTTTTTTTTTTTTTTGAGATGGAGTCTCACTCTGTTGCCCAGGCTGGAGTGCAGTGGCGCGATCTCGGCTCACTGCAACCTCCGCCTCCCGGGTTCAAGCGATTCTCCAGCCTCAGCCTCCCAAGGAGCTGGGATAACAGGCGTGAGCCACCAGGTCCGGCTAATTTTCTTATTTTTAGTAGAGATGAGGTTTCGCCATGTTGGCCAGGCTGGTCTCGAGCTCCTGACCTCAGGTGATCCACCCTCCTTGGCCTCTCAAAGTGCTGCGATTACAGGTATGAGCCACCGCGCCTGGCCCCAAGTCCTTAACTACCAAGCCTGGCCACCTCTAAAAGGAAGGATATCAGGTCTTCGGGGCCTGAGTGTGCAGAACTCTGCAGCCCTGGTGGTTACTGATGCTACCAAATATTCCATCCATCACTGTGCCCTCGCCCTGGGCCTGTGTTCACTGCCTGCCCAAAGCCTCTCCAGACGAGACAGTCTCCTCTTTCCTCCCTACATGCCCCTGTGTGCACCACACGGCAGCAACCTGAAGCTGCCCTCATGCCTGCTCTATTCCCTACACACTCTGCCCCCTCTCCCCGGGCTTCTCACACTCAGAATTGAGCCCCTGCCCGAGCCCCTCCCATCATGGCTTGTCTAGTCCTTCAGGGACCCCCCAACCTCCTACAGGGAATCCACCCAGCATCCCCAGTCTGAGTCACTGTCTCCTTCCTCAGTCCTCCCAAGCACCAACACCATAAACCACCGTCCGCCTGGGATGGATGCCATCTGGGTGCTGTCTGACACCCCTAAGAACAGGACTCTCCGGACTGTGGCTGCTCATCCTCGTGATGAAACATGATCTGGAATCAGATTGCGAAGCCTCGGCACAGGAAGGGAGTTCAGCTCCTGTTTTTAGGCCAGAGAAACGAGGCCCAGAGAGGGGAAGGGACTCGACAAAGATCACACAACAAGCTGGAAGCAAGAGGCAGAAGCACCTCCTGAGGGGCTCAAAGCAGAGACGGGCCTTTTCTCGGCACTCACTGCCCATGACAGAGCTCAACAGAGGCATGAGGCACAGACAGGGACGCAGGAAAATGGGACTCAAGAATGAAAAAGAAACTTCTAGAACCAGGAATGGAGAAGCCCTTCGAGGTCCCTCACTCAAATCCCCAGCAGAAGTTTGTGGTGGGGTTTGGAATAGGGAAATCAGAAGTGTACTGAGACCTGAGCTCTCATTCTAGAACCCTCTCTTTCCTGAGATGGGCACCTGGAGTGAGGCACTCAACCCTGGGAACCCCTGTGCAGCCGAGTTTTCTCATCCCTGAGATAGTTGGTCATCATGAGCCCTGGGCCAGCCACCGTGAGGGTCATGAGGGACCCAGGGGTGAAAATGCCTTGTAAGATGTAAGATGCTGAGCTCATGTGACTGTCCCCCGATAAACAGCCACACAGCCAGTGCTGGAGGAGAAAGGCAGCCTAAGAGAAGAGCAAGGTGGAGGTGAGGGGTGAGAGAGTTATGTATGGACATGTCCAGTCAGGTCTAGGGGTCCTGCTGGCCCTCCAGGGGTGGAAGGTGGGGGTGCTAGGGGCTGTGGAAGGAGCTTTTGCAGGAAGGGCTTTCATTTTCCCTGTATTCTCCACACCTACCCTCCTCACAACCTGCCCGGTATCACCCTGAGGGCAGCAGCACCAGACCCCAGAGAGGAGGCATCAAGAACTGACCTTGGGCCAGTCCACAATCTCACCCTGATCCCAGGCCAACCTGGGGTGCCCACACTTGCCCTGGCCACCCCTCCAGCACTGTCTTCTCCAGGACCTGCGCCAGCATCTCCCGCCCTCCATCAAGCCCTTCCTGCCCAGCTCGTGGTAAAGTTCCTCCTGTTCCAACATTTTGCATCACGGGTCTCAGTGCCATAAACTCAATTTTTCTCTTTTAAGGATATGGGCAGCAGCAGGCAAGGGAAAGGGCATGAACTTGGGAGCTAAACGGGCTTGGGTTCTTATCTCAGTGCCACCACCGCTGGCAGTGTCAGTGTGGCCCGGTGACTTCATCTACACAGGGGGCGGTGAGCACGACCTGCTCCTTGTACTCCCGGGTGTAATGTAAAGCCAGCCCAGCACTCAGCAAATGGTCCTTGCCTTCCCCTCTCCTGTCACTCAGCAACATCCCGGCCAGCCCAGCGAAGTGCTGGGTGACCAGAAAGTAGCGTGGTCCCTGCCCCCAGCTGCTCCTCCCCTCCTTTCCCTCAGATCCCAGCTGAGCTCCTGGGGGTGGAATGACAGGGTCGGGGGAGGGGGCACTTAAAAACCCATTCGCCTCCTCCGGACTTTCCTCACCCGAAGAAAAGGCACTAGAATTTTCCTCCCTACAGCTCCTGGGAAAAGCACAGTCTCAGAATTCCCCACCCTCATTATTTAAAGAGGAATAGGTGCCTTGCTTTCTTGCTCTCCTTTTGGGGTTTTGAAAGAAAGAGAAGAAAAAGAACTACAAATGAATGTGCTGGCCTGCCTGTCACTGAGCTGAGTAAAGTGGTATTTCATCAATATACAGCCGCCCCTCACAACCCCCGCACACACTCATTTTCTCCCCCAAATGTGCTTCACAAATAACTGCAACAGAGCTGAAGCGCTCTATTCTGATCTTACATTTCCATCCAGGCCCCAGATTCTCTACAGAGGTTACTCAAATTTCTTTTCATTTTGACTTTCTTTACCTTATATTTTTTTAAAGCAGATCTTTTGACCATGGCCTTACAAATCCCTCTTCCTAAAAGCACAATAAGAGAAATACGAGGCATCAGCCGCCTTTCTACTTAGGCTGTGCAGGAGATAAGTGCCCCAGCCAGGATGCCCCTGGCGGAGCACCTGGGTAATGCCGCCTGTGGGGAAGGGAAGTCCGGATGTGTGATGAAGTCTTTCCCCAGGACAGTTATAAATAGTGTGATGACACGCAAAGGAGAAGCATATATAAAAAGTTAGCTGTCCCCCTGTGGGTTACAGATGTTTGACTCATTTACAGACTGTCCACAAAGATTATAAATAAAGTCACCACCACCCTGGGGCGGGTGGCGGAGAAGGCCATTTTCACGCTGTCAAAAGGCCATTTTCACGCTTGCCCTCCTGTGGGCCGACACACTCAGTGTGACCTGTGAAGACAAAATGTGTGCCTAGGGCCCTCGGCAGTGGGCTCGCAGGCTCTCAGCCAGTCTCCTGCCTTCTGCATCCTGGTCCTGCAGGTCACCCCACAGGGAGGGTCCATGGAAAGGGCTGGAAAGGGTCTATCCTACTCCTACTTTTCCACCATGGCCTGAAACACAGGCACCAGTACCCAGAGGCATCTTCTCAAAAATACCAGGACACTGTGACAGCCAACAACCTATCCCAAAGCAGCACCTGGGTCCAAACAGAAGGTGCAGAGCCACTTGGCTAGCCAAGCCTGCACTGCTGCTCTGCCCTTCTGCAGACAAGGCTTCCGTGACCAGGGAGAGCAGAGGATCAGAACTGGTTCCAGTGATACTACTCAATCATTTGGTCTAGAGGCTGGGGATGGACTCAGGGACCTCTGTGAGGTCTGCAAAGAGACAGACAAGTTGGCCTTGGCCATTCTGTTTAAAGAGTGAATGGCCAGACGACCAGGCTCCCCTGGGCATACGGAGAAGCGGCCTCCCATGAGGTTGTCTGAAGAAAGAGTAACTAGAAGTGGGAAAAGAAGACACTGTGGGAGCAGACAGGGCAGCCTGGATAAGCATCTTCACACCAACTCCTCTCTGCCACCTGGGTTACCCCAGCAACGAGGCCAGGCAGGGGCCACAGAGAGGAGCAGAGGGGCAGGAAATCAGTGGGGCAGGCGAGACAGGAGCATGGTGGGGGAGTGGGCAGAGGACTGGTTCTGCCTGGGAGGAGAGATGCAGACCAGTTTCAAGGCCGGGCATGGGGAAGTGGCTTGAGGTTGTACAGATTGGTGGAAAAGAAGAGCCATGCTGCCACACCAGCACTCTCCAGCCTCCCCTGAGAAGATCCCACAGCCCAACGCCTGAGATCCCGAGAAACAAGGCCCCTGGGTGCCTTGCCAGCCACACAGAGGTACCAGCTCAGCCACCAACATGATGGCAGGGTCAGGGTGGTGAAGTCACAGCCTGGGGAAAGGGGAGGGCAGCCAGGCCTTTCCCTTCCCTAATTCTTTCTGAACCCAGGGAAGAGAGCATACAGGTAATTTAATGCAATGGAGTGGGTGTGCCCCAAACCAGCTCTAAAAGAAAATAAAGAACACTAAGAAGGACTCCCCAGGTCCTTGCTGGTCTACCCAGGTGGCACCGATCAGTACAGATGATGTGATTAAGATTCTCAACAGAATCTCTAGACCAGGCCTCGTCACAATGTCTAAGACTTCAGAGAGTAAACCTGCCTATTAAAAAAAAAAAAAGGACTCCTCATTTGGTTCAAGGGTCACCTGGTACCTTTAGGAGCCCACTGGGGCCATCTCAGGCATCTCTGCCGTTTGATCTCATGTCCCAGGCATAATAATGAGAAGCTCTCCTCTTATCTGAGCTCACCCAGGAATCAAGCCCCACCTCCCTGCTCCAGGCTGATGCCTCCTAGCAGAGCTTACTTCCATCATCAGCACCTACAGGCCTGTGAGGCAGGAGCTGGGGATGTTCTGTCCCGGTTGCTCAACCCCCTCACATTGGCTCCCATTTGCATTAACTGAACATGCTCAGGGCACATGCCACCCTCCTTTTCAAAAGACCCAGGCCTGCATGACAAGTTACTTCCCCAGCAGCAGCCACCCGCCAAACATAGGTGAACAGCAAGGCCACAACCCCACGGAAAAAAAAGCAGAGAACTTCAGAAAGCAGCAGCTCAGGCACAAGGTTAGTTAATCTTCAATCACCTGGGGAAAAAAAAAGTTTGTCACCTCCCAAGGGCCTTTGAGTGGGAGCTGCCACTGGATGGGCAGAATTACCTAATCTGCCTGGTACCCCTGAGGTTGCCTTGTCCATCCGCCTGCCTCCAGACTGGTCAGCAGGGCCAACCAGGCACACAAAGCTCTCCAGCAAAAGAGTGTCACCCATCCCTCCCCAGGGTCCACTGAATGTCCCTGAGCTCTCCTGGGCTGTGACTAACCCAGACCATGGAGGAGTAGAGACCACTTCCTCCATGAAACTGGGACACAGATATTCACCTCCCCCCAAGAATAAACCATGCTTAAAGGTGGTCTCTAGTCAGACCCAGTCCCTTCTCAGGACTTCTTCCCTCCCAGATACAACTTCTCACTCCGTTGACAAGTCTTAGATCCCAATCTGTTAAAGCTCCAACTAATTTTACAGCCAGAGTTAGATAACAGGAAAAAGATATCTCCTTTCCTCTCATCATTGTCATCATCAGTAACAATCACAATAGGTCCCATTTGTTGAGCAGGCAGATACGTGCCTTACACGTCTCTAATTTAATTCTCCCTACTCGACAGCTGGGGAAACAGGCTCGCTAAAGCTCCATGACTTATCCAAGATCACACAAATAGTAGTGGCAGAGCTGGGATTCCAACTCTGGCCCAGTTCCTTGAAATGTTCCCATTTGCCTCCAGGAGAGAGGGATATCTATCTTGGCCCTGCAGTGTGTACAAGGCCTGGTACATAGGAGACACCCAGAAAATACTTGTTTCATAAATGACTCAAAACATGGATGGACAGTGCAGGGATGGGTGAATGAGTGAGCAAGTTAAATGAGCTCTGCTTATCTCAAGACCAGCCCCAAGGCACACAGGAAGTGGCCGCTGAGGCAAGAAGGACCTCTCAGCTACTGCCCCCTCGGTGCACGCCACTGCTGCTATGAGGGTCTGTGATTCAGAAATGCGGGGAGCCAAGCACCTCAGGTGGCCTCCCCTTTCATTCACCTAAAATCTGCCTTCCGCATCTCTGGGAAAGCCCCTTTCCCTGAGCTCCCCCTCAGGGGTGGCACCTGCCCCAGGCAGGGAAGAGGGCCTGATCCTGCAGAGTGGTGACTCTCCCGTCGCGTTAAGACAAATGTGCATAGATCCCACACTGGGATCTGTGCACAGCCACTGTCTCTGGGAATAGCCGTTTCCTTAAGAACTCTGACTACGGGTGTCACTGAAAGAGAAGGTGCTGGGATTGCCCCTTCCCCACACCCCCCTTGCATTTGGGCCTTCATCAGTTTTCCCCAGTGAGGGCCCCTGGTCTCCAAGGGAGGACTGGAGAGAGCCAGGGCTGTGACCAGGGCAGCTGCCAGTCCTAGCGAGGCTGCCAGCCCCATATCCTGGAGCGCCCAGCAGGAGAGGCGGTTCTGAGAAGGCAGCGAGCAGAAGGACCCGCAGACGCAGAGGCTCATTACAGGGAATGACTAAGTGAGCTGCGCTTCCAAGGGAAACCCCACTCGCTTCTGCTCGCTGAGACGCTCATCCTTGAGCTATTTTGACTAAGGCGGCTTCCAGGTGCTGCCCTCCGCTGGGGCAGCCCACTGAGAGAGCAGCCGGGTTGCTGGAGGACCCTCTGCCTGGAAGTCTTGGTCCTGGCTATTCAGGTCGTCTGACAGGTCTGCCCCACCCGTTTCCAGGGCGGGAAAGTCTGCCCATCACCGATTAAAGTGAGATGCTGGGAATGGGGGAAATCCGATCAGCACCTCCTAGGTTTTTGCGGCTGGATTTCAATAAGGAATGTGACAGTCTCGCAGCAGCTGTGCCCTGCCTGAAACAAGCTCTATTTGAAACCTCCAACAGCTGAACCCCTCCCAGCTACCCGATGGCCAGCCCGCCCAGCCACCCCCCCACCAAGCCACCCCCTGCCCCAAATGACAAATAAATAGAAAAACCCAAGCAACAAGCAGGCGCATGCATACGTACAAACATTACGCACATACACACACACACACCAACAAATTGGGGGTGGGGGTATCGTGGAGCCACTTGTCCACCGATTCCCAGGTCTCCAAGCCTTCCAGCCCACAGCAGGAGAGCTCCCCGGCAAGCAGAGCATCGGCAGAAACCCACCTTCCTCCATCTCCACTCCCTCTGGGAGGGAAACCCCCTCCTCCGTCTTGGGGCTGGACTGAGAGGCTGGAGCAGTGGGGCCAGCTCCCCGCTAAAGCCAGTGCCTGCTGTTCTCCATCCGGGCGCGCACTCACACACACACTCATCTTTATTTATCCCAAGGAGGAGTTGAGGTGGGAGGGGAGAACTGGGGCTGAGCTGGGGCGCGGGCTTGTGGGGACCGCCTGGGAAGCCCTGTCATCCCGTCCCAAGGAGAGGTGCTCCCCCAGCTGATTCCAAGGCGGCGCCCAGCTGCTCTGCCCAGGTAACACCTGTAGCCATTTTTATCAGGAGATGTTTACGAAGCAGCAGCAGGTTTATTCTGAGTCCTCTCTCCTGAGGGAAAGGACCACTGATTTCCTCCACCTATATTTTTACCCCATGCCCTCAGGAGACCCAGGTCATGGATGGTTTTCTATTTTGCCCGAGACTCTCTGAGAAGAGGAGGGAAACAGAAACTTGGGAAGAGATGGAGAAGACAGGGAGAGAAGGGACTTGGGCAATGGTACGGAATCCCCACCCCCCACCCAGACATTTATTTCTTTTTTATCCTCAGGAAAATGGAGTGGAGCAGGGAGGGGAGGAAAGAAGGGGAAGTCGCAGGAACTGGCAAACACATGAAGGCGGAGTGTAATTAATTGGTGCGTTAAGCTGCTGGGTTATGCTTTAGTACGAGTGAGCCAGGAGGAAAAGCGATTTCTCAGAAGGGATTATTGAATCCTCCCTAACAGAGAGTCTGCAAATTAGACACAGTGTGTGGGGATGTCCCCTACCCCCCAGAGGAAGCTAGGAATGAATTCTCCCGGGATCAAGAAGGAAAACCACGGGAAGTTAGAGTGTTGAATATAACTGAGCAAGCGCCTCTCACCACCACCACCACCTCTCTCTCCCAGTCTCCCTCCCAATCTCTCAATCTCTCTCTCTCTCTCTCTCTCTCTCTCTCTCTCTCAATCTCTCTCTCTCACAATCCCCCTCTCTCAATCCCTCTCTTGCTACCTACATATTCCTTTTGTTCAAGGTATAAAGAGAAACCACAGCCCCTACCTTTGAGTACAAACCCCAAGAGAGCTCGGTCTCTATCACCATAACAACAATTCCAAACATCCCAAAAATCAGAGCATAGTCACTCAGTCGCTTTCTCTTTTCAAACAGGGCCCTCCTGTGTCCCAGCTTATAGCCAATGTTTTGGTTTTTCCGCTTGTTGGCTTTGGGGAAGGTGGTGCTGCTGGCGGTGGTGCCGGCATGCTGGTGGTTGTGGGTGGCATTAGGGTGATGGAGCAGGGTCTGGTGGGCATGGTTGTCCTCCCGGGAGGAGATGACGATCTCCGGGGGGTTGCTAGGGCTGAAAAGCTGGAGGGGTTGGCCCTCAGTCTCGGCCTCGATGAGGTTCCTCCGGGAGGCGCTGAGGCGGCTGAGGGGCTTCATGACCCCACCGCTATACTTGCAGGAGCTCATGGCGATCTCCGTGAAGGGGTTGCTGTCCCGCCGGTGCACCAGGGGGCTGGCCTGTCGGTGCCGGCTGCCTCCGCCAGGCCCACTTGTAGCTGTGGAACTTGGAGAGTGGCCAAGCAAGTGGTCATTGAGATTGAGCTGGCTGCCTTGCCTGGAGGAAGGGTGGAGGATGGCGGTGGAGTTGGACGAAGGGGGGGCCCTGAAAGCGGTGGGAGAGGAGTGCAGCAGGCCAGGGTGGACGGGCTGGCTCTGGAGTTGGGCGAGCTGAGACAGGGGATGCGGTGGCTGCTGCTGCTGCTGCTGCTGCTGCTGCTGCTGCTGCTGCTGAAGCTGCGGAGGCTGAGGCTGCAGCGAGGGTCCCAGGGGCTGCTGGGGGGCTGCTGGTGGCGCTGGCGGTGGTGGCTGCTGCTGCTGTTGCTGCTGCTGCTGCTGCTGCTGCTCATCCCCAGAGGATGGACAGGGGCACTTGGGGTCTTCATCCAAGTCCCCCACCCCCGAGTCATGGAAGTGCCCAGAAGTGTCCATCTTGGGGCCTGGCTGTATTCCCTGCAGCACAAGCCCCCACCCCAAAGCCACCCTCGCTCCAAAGATGTCCTCAAAGAAAGCCAGGCATCCAATCTCCCCCACCAGTATCTTGGCTCCAGTCCTCTCTTTGGCTTGCTTCGGTTCTCTGGGGCTGCCTGGAGTCCAGACGCTGCCACTCAAGAATGCATTGTATTGGGCAGGGAGGGAGAGCAGGAGGGGAGCTTGGAGAAAGAAGAGGGGGTGAAAGAACTCTCTCAGGAGGTGGTCCTCTAGGAGCGTGTGAGGCCAGGCTCAGCTTCACTCCTCGCTGGCTCAATAGCTTCGCTCGCCTCCTCCTGCCACTGTTACATTGTAAGCCAAGCCCACTTATTAGCAGCTGGTCTCATTGGCTTGGCTTAACTCTCCAACCTCCTCCTAGCTCCGCCCCCCGCATAGGCTCCTCCCCAGAGGAGGGGCCTGGCGTCCTGGGCTCCGGCCCCAGTGGCGGCGCAGCGAGGACTGGGAACTGTAGTTTTTGCTCCCCCACCCCGGAGCTGAGCCGCTGTCCTCTTTCCTCTGACAGGTATGGCCACAACCCTTAAGCCCACGGCGATAAGGGATGTTCGCTCACGCTGGGCGATGGGGAGGAGGGACAGAGGGCCTCCGAAGGAGGGGAGGTGTGCACCCTGATGAGGGGGCAGACGGAGGGGAAGGCAAACATTTATTAACCACCAGGGTTTACGATAGGTTGTTTCACATATATTATCCGGATACAGTCTCCAAACACCCAAGGAGGTGGGCAGTATGGTCTCATTTACAAAGCCTGATGCTTAGAGGTGTTGAGTAACAACGTCAAGGTCACAGAAGCAGGGGGGATCCACACCTTCTAACACCCGGTGGATAAACTCACCTACCATTGACTGAGTGCCTACGCCTCGTGTTCAGGGTCCTCTCTGTTATTTCCAACCCTCACATCAACCCCACAAAAATGATGTCATCACTCTCCTTTTACAGATGAAAATTGGAAGAAGAAGAAGAAGAAGGAGAAGGAGAAGAAGGAGAGAAAGGAAAGTGGAAAAAACACTCAAACGCTCAAACATAGATATGTAACTTGTCAGATGTCATCCCGCTTGTAATTAAAGATGCTGGGATTTGAACTTAGTCAGTCTGACCCCACAGATCAGATACTTTCTCCCAGGATGCATTTCCACTATGATATTCAGTACAAAGTGGTTGTTCAATAAATATTGTTCAAATGTTAGTTGGGGAAAACAAAAGAGAAGCTGCTGAGGAAGAACTGGCCTCTCCAAAGCAGGGTGTGTGAAGTGGACCATGGCTCCAGCCCCTTCCCTAACAGCTGGGTGTGTAGTCACAGGGGGATCTGGCAGGAAGACTGAAGATTCCCCCATGGTCATTCCCTGCCTGATTTGCCCCATGGGGCTCTGAGAGTCAGAACTAGGAACAGCTGCTGGCTTCCCAGGTTCAGAACCATCATCATCAAGTATTTATTAAGCCCCCACTGTGTGCAGAGGGGGTTCCAAAGGATGGGACCAGAGCTGAATTCATTTTCATTTCTAACCACAGCAGCCTTAGGAATCAGAAAGGAAGTCACCATGAGGGAATTCCCCAGAACACCTGGGGTTTTAAAAGGCAGGCCTCTTCCTCTCTGGCTCTTGATTCCCCATCACCCTTTGGCCTCTGTCCAGCTCCCTCCCTCGATGGGAAGAGGAAAGGGTAGGAGATCCATGCACACATACACAGACACACATCCAGAAAACATGTAAGCAGGTGGACATATGTGCACATGTGTACATGGTTGTGTGCACACACTAGCCCATGCATGCACACATGCACACATATACACATAGGAAGCTCCTAAAACAGCATTCCTGACTGGTAAGCAGCAAGTGTCCAGATCAGGGAGGGACAGAGCCCCCCCAAAATGAGCCCAGAGTCCCCTCTGTATATCAGTTCTCACCTCTCCAATCCCCCATTAACCCTGATGATTGAGAGCTAAATATTACTTGTAATACAAGCCACGACCCCAGATACGTGACAATTACTCTTGCACAATAATCTTGATTCTGGCCAGGCATGGTGGCTCATGCCTATAATCCCAGCACTTTGGGAGCCCAAGGCAGGAGGGTTGATTGAAGTCAGGAGTTCGAGACCAGCCTGGACAACATAGCAAGACCCAGACTCTACAAAATTTTTTAAATTAGCTGGACATGGTGGCGAGTGCCTGTAGTCCAGCTACCCAGGAGGCTGAGGGAGGAGGACTGCTTGAGCCCAAGAGTTTGAGGCTGCAGTGAGCTGTGATAGCGCCACTGCACTTCAACCTGGGCGACAGAGTGTTACCCTGTCTCTAAATATATATATATATAAAATAATAATCTTGATATCAATGACATAATCATTTCCCCTACCCCTGCCAACACACACACACACACACACACACACACACACACACACACACACACACACACTAGAAGTCACAGTACCAGGCCTCAGATGCAAGCCTGGGGTCTCATGTGTTTTCCCATGACCAAGCCCTCTAGAACCCACCCCCAACCCCTTCAGCATCCTCTGCCTTCCCTGCCCTTCCCTTCTGTATTCTTGATTTCCCTCCCTCTCCTCCATCCGCAGACAGAGCCACCTGCTTGGTTCAAGGCTCCAGATCGCATACTTAGGTTTAATGATCCTCTAATAAATTATCATGAATATGTTGTTAGTAGCAAAAATGTGCTGTTCGTGTTGGTTTTTTAGTGTTGGATACAGTTTTCTGGGCTGTGAAAAATCAATTTTGGAGAACAGGCTCCAGGCCTGGGTATTCCTATGCTCACTCTACCCCCATGAGCTGCCTTCTGCCTCAGCTAACCTTTCTGGCCAGCCTCTTGCCTCCAGTTCTTCTGGCTGTGCCAATGGGATCCAAATGGGGCCTATCAGAGCACGTCCTGCCATCATGGATAAGGATGAAAGATAGCTTGGGTAGAGCCCTAACTATGCCAGCACCAAAGATCAGTGGTTATCTGGAAATGGGCTGGAACTTGACAGCTGATGCCACGGAGCCAGCTCATGCCCCTTGTTACAGCTATCCTGTCATGAACAGGAGGAGGAGGACAATGTCATGTTTAGAGCTTGGGCTCAAGTGTCAGACTGCCCAGGCTGGAACCGTTCTCTGCTGCAGGGATGGCTGTGTGACCACAGGCAAGATGACCTTCTGATCATCCATACACATCTCTTCCTAACTCCACAGTGATGTCACATTAGCAGCTTGAAATCAGCCATGATCAGAGTATTTACACCACAGAAATCGGCTAACACTGTAAATTAGAGCTTATGTTTTCCTGGAAGCCGCTTGCTAAATCTTTCCTGGCTGTTCAACATTTATCAGCATATTACTGCCTCCTATATCATTACATACAGGCTGTGCGCTCCACCCTCTGCCTTCCTTCTCACCAGCACAAGCTTTGCCACTCGCCCACTTTGTGACCAGTTGCTTATGTTCTCAGGCCTTCAATTTCCTTAGTCCAATGAGAGCACCGGCCAAGTACTTTGTAACTGTCAAGCACCGACAGGTTAGTGAATCAGCTGGGAGCTCTCAACCACAGGGCCTGATCATGTCAGGTTTTCCACGTTGCCCTCCAGATGCACCGCACTCAGGCGTCTTCCCGCTGTTGCTGCCTGTCCAAAGCCCCACTGTTGAAAAGCCCCCAATGCTTCCCTTGGCCCCCAGCCACAACCATGTCTTCACAGCAGCCTGTGAGTTGAGGCCATCACCCATTTTATAGATGAAAAAACTGAGGCATTAAAAAGATTTTAAAACTTGCCCAGAGTTACTAATTAGTAACTAGCCATAAAGCTGGAATCAAACCCAGGCCTGTCCAACCTTTTGACAAACCCTCGCCATATGTCCTGAAACCCAAATTTAAAGGATTCATTCTTACTGGTGTTTATTAAACATTACCATGTGACTCACACACCCAACCCTCAGGAACTTAAAGTCTCACTGTAGAGACAAGTTATACTTACATGGGGTGACAAAAAACAGCAATGCAGATCCCAAAGTGTGGGCGAGACAGTAGAGTTCATTGAAGGCAGAGGGTTGTCAAGGGTGGCTTCCTGGAGGTGGTGGGACTTAAGCCACACCTTAAGGAATGGGGAGCAACTCCTTATGCTGCCCTAAGATGACAGGCTGACAAATTAGGCCTCTTTAGTCTGCAAACGGGGGTGTGGAGGAGCTTCTTACCTCAGAGAGACAGGAAGAGCAGACAAGGAAAGTAGGGGTGGCCTTTGGCCATACTGGCTCCACATCAAGTGTACTGGCACTCGGTTTCTGCCCTCCTTTCCAGGCTCATTCCTCACCACCTTCCTCCTTAAGCCCCAGCATCACCGACCTATTGTAGCTCTCCCGTAAGTCATGCTATTTCACATCTCCATGCCCTCTGCCTGGCATGCCCTTCCCCCAGATTTCCATCTAACACATTTCTCTTTGCCTTTCAAGACATGGCTCAAAGGTCTTCTTTCTGAGAAGCTTCCCCTGAACTCCCCAAACCCAAATCAGGAGCTCCTTCTGTATTTTCAGTGCCCTGTGCTAACAGGGCCTCTACGGAGCAACACAGCTGTTATCTCCATATGTGTCCTTTGCCCATAGACCATGACCTCCTTGAGGGCAGGGATGATGTCTTCTTCACAGCTGTACTGCAGCTCTTCCGAAGAGCCGCTTACAATAGATGCTTAGTAAAGATTAATCGAACTGACTAAACTTGAAACCTGGATGAGGTCATTTGAAGGCAAGTAAGGGAAAGTCACAGTACTTTTCACAACAAATCATAAACACAATTTCCTCATCCGTAAAATAGTGAGATAAAAAAGATGATTTCTAAGATCACTCAGCTTTAAAATTCCATAATCTATTGTCTGTAGACCTTGTTATCCCCAAAAGGTAGAACTAACTGAAAATAGGTTTAAGAAAAGTAGTGGTTCATGGTTTATATGGCTGTCTTTCCCACAGGCTGTGACCTGCATAAAAGGGCTCTAAATTTTTTCAGTATCCCCAACACTGATCACGGTGCCTGGCTATGAATTACTCATTAAAGATTTATTGGTCGGACCTGGTGGCTCACGCCTGTAATCCCAGCACTTTGGGAGGCCGATCACAAGGTCAAGAGTTCAAGACCAGCCTGGCCAACATGGTGAAACCCCGTCTCTACTAAAAAAAAACATACAAAAATTAGCTGGGCGTGGTGGCGAGCGCCTGTAATCCCAGCTACTCAGGAGGCTGAGGCAGGAGAATTGCTTGAACCCAGGAGGCGGAGGTTGCAATGAGCCAAGACCATACCACTGCACTCCAGCCTAGGCAACAGAGCAAGACTCCATCACAAAAAAAAAAAAAGATTTATTAGACAGATGGATAGTAGGATGGATGGACAGATGGACGTGTGGATGGGTGGATAGGTGGGTGGATGGATGGATGGATGAACGGACGGATGAATGGGAGGATAGATGGGTGGATGTATGGATGTATGGATGATGGATGGATGGATGGAGGGAGTTTAGACACAAATGACAGATAATGGCAGGTTTTCTAGAAAAGCCAGTGGTGTTGGAGGGATACCCTTAACCTGGTAAGGATAGGGTCATAAAGATTAACCACCCCCTTTCTCAGACTCTGAATGGTTGGACAGCTTTAGGCTGAACAGCTCATTAGCCCATGTGGGTTCAGTCATTACTGTGTTCTTATCTAGGAGCTTCATTACTGGATTAATTAATGCTCCAATAATAAAAACAAATCCTGTGTTTGCAGAGCACTTTATAGTTTTCCAACTGCTTTTATGTAAAATATTTCATTTGCAACTCTTGGCAGCCCTGGAAGGCTGGCTGGGGAGGTTCTATTGCCTCATCGTTGCCACTCTTACTCCCATGAACTAGAGTTTAGAAAGGTTTCAGTAGTTTGCTCAAGGTCACCAGTTAGGCATGGATTTGAACCTGGGTCTGTCTGTGCTCTTTCCCATCCATTCTGCCTGGAAAGCCCTTCCAGCCCACCTCTTGCTCTGTGTCCTGTCCTGTGAGAATTTAGGGAGCAGCACAAGTGCCACCCCTGCCCAGAGCTTTCCCTGACCTCCCCTCCTCTCCTCCCTCAATTTGACATTATCTCCCTCTTCCGAATTCCCTTGGCACTTTATTGTATCTCTCTGGGGACACTGTTCACCTCTTGCTTTGTACTGGTGTTGTCTATAGATATATGTCTTCTCTCCCCTGATTTTATCATATATATATACAGAGAGAGAGAGAGAGAATCTGTTGCCCAGGCTGGAGTGCAGTGACGCGATCTCAGTCTTGGCTCACTGCAACCTCCGCCTCCCAGGTTCAAGCGATTCTCATGCCTCAGCCTCCCGGGCAGCTGGGATTGCAGGCGCCCGCCACCACGCCTGGCTAATTTCCCTGATTTTAATTGACACCATAAGCTCCTTGGTGACAGGAGCTTATGGTATAAATTGGAAAACACACACACACACAAAACACTGCACTTCACGCTGCACCCAAATTGTGTGTTGAATACATAAGCAGGTAAGAGGGTGAGTGAGTTTAGCCTGACTGAGAGTTTGGGCACTTTGACCCAGGACACATTACTTGCCCCTTACTTGCCCGGCTGGCCACCAGGAATGCCAACTGGTAAGTGTAGGCCTTCTGTCCACACTTCTTTCCTGAGAGTCCCTGGATGTCTAGACCCTGGGTGAAGCCTCTTATAATGAATGCCCACCTAACCCCTGCCCCTGCAAGCCATGATCTGAGGAGCAAGGTAGGACTACAGCATGTCACCTGTCCCCTGGCCACGCACCAACAACTCTCAGCCACCTATGGGTGCCAAGGAGTCTTCAGCTTCACACAGGCTCCTCCCCATACTCTGCTTTGCTAAAGAAAAACTGGAGCTCTTTTGCATCATCTGAGTGTCAAGGTAAAGGGGACATACGGCCTGACTCCCTACACTTGGAGCATTTACTGAGGGCCAACTGTGGGCATTCATGGTTCCAACACGCCAGGGAGTAAAGTTAGTATGCCCATTCTATAGATGAAGAAACTGAGTCAAATTTCAGAGAAGGTTAACTGGCCTGCTCTTGTTCACAGTGGGAGGGGAGAGTCCAAGCCATGAGCCACACAGGTCTATGCGCTCTGAGAGGTCACAACCTCTCCACTCAGCCTCTGCTACTGAACTTCATTGCTTTCCAGAGAAAGTATCCCTCCTGCCCACCACTCCCACCCAGGTCCTCCATGAAACCCCCTCTAACAACAGGAGTGGGAAAAGGTTTCAAAAGAGCAGCTCCATGGAGATCTGTCTGGACAAAGGTTGGTGATTCTGCTTCTAAAACTCTGCAGAGGCCAGGATGGCCCTAACATGGAGAGAAGACAGTGGAGTGGCCAGGCCAGGCCAGGCACCAGAGCAGTCTTGGGCTGGGAATCGGTCCATCTGATTCCGAGTTGCCATTTTCCTGCCAGGGACCATGACGAGCAAGGTGCGCCCCTCTGAGCCTGTGAAACTGGGATCGTTCACACCTCCTGCACAGTTGTCTTGTGAAAACTGAGATACATTTTAAAATGTGTCTCCTGACCCCTTCTCTGAGGCTTTGGTGTAGGAACTTGTTGTTCTAACCAGATGAGTCAGTCCGGATGGGAACGTTTATTTACTTGAGGGAGTCAAAGGTCGAATGGAAGGTGCTGATACCGTGTCTGGAAAGAAGGCATGGGAAATGGGCACAGGTTGCCAACATTCTGTCACCAAGATGCCTGCCGGGCTCACAGGGAGCCAGTGGAGGTGCATACTTTGCACACGGTGAAGTGCTGCCGACGTGCACTGGCCAGTACAAGAGAGGGGTCTGTGCAGACCCCTGACTGACAAGGGCTCAGCATGGAAGCCTCGGCCCCAGAGTCTGGGTAGGTCCACTGTCTGCATGGGGCCGACTCGGTAGAGAGAGCCATCACTTGCCATCCTGGGTGCGTGTGTCCTGCCCAGCCCCACACTGTGGTGTAGGTGATGACACCCACCCCCACTGGAGACTTGGCTCCACAGGGTGGGATTTGCGTCTATTTTATTCACTGCTATAACCCCAGTGCCCAAAACAGGGCCTGTCATAGAGCATGTTCTCAATTCAGATTTGCTGAATAAATCAGCTTCCTGGCCCCAGTCTCAAACGACTCACAGAAAATAAAAACTCTAACAGTTTCCGGGGAGAGGGGAGAGATACCATTAGGAGATATACCTAATGCTAAATGACGAATTAATGGGTGCAGCACACCAACATGGCACATGTATACATATGTAACAAACCTGCACGTTGTACACATGTACCCTAAAACTTAAAGTATAATAATAATTTAAAAAAAAAAAAACTCTAACAGTTTCCCAAATGCAGAACAGGCACCTGAGCAGCAGCCCAAGGGAGGGCCCAGACCGGAGCAGCCATGGATTCCTAGCAGGGAAGAAGGCGGCCAGTGTCTCGTGGGCCTGGATGGATGTCTCTCCCACAGGGAGGGCAGTGAGGGACGAGCAGGGCCGGCTGGCAGTTGAGGCCACAGCCCCCTGAGCCAGCCCCTCCCTGGACCCCAGGTGGCCAGTAGCAGATCCCCGCCCCGCCCTGGCTCTGAGATTGCGGTCCGAGCTGGTCAGTGCTCACCCATGGGGATGGGGGCAGAGCAACCTGTGGCGGGTTTGTGAGGAGTGTGGCGGCCTCTGCTGGTGGCGTATGCACATAGCTTCGCACTCCAGGCACCTTGGGAGATGCGAGGGAGCCCCCAGACAGCATCTGAACCCCGGCCTCAGCTTTCTGCTTCCTTCCATGGAGGCCCAGGGACTGGATCTGGTGCCAGAATCAACTTCTGTGAATATTTTGCAAAAGTCGCTCTTATTTCCCAGGCTTCCTTGGGTTTTTTCACCATTGGGGAAGAAGAAACCATCTGTTGTCTGTCCCGGGTGAGGGCACCATAAAGCCTTTGAATGAGAGGGCTGGACAGGATGCCAGAGGCGCCTCCAGGCCCACCACCCTATTAGCAAGAGAAGACCTCCGGAGATGGGAGGGGACTTGCCTGTACTCATTCGTGAGTCAGGCACAAAGCCGGGACTCGAGCCCGGCCTCCGCGATGGTCCCCTTCAACTGGTCCATCATCTCTCGGTTGCTATGGGGCATCCACCAACACAGCTCCACTCCCGGTTGCTGCTGTGAAACGAGGGAAGAAGCCCCCTCTCCCCTCAGCACAGCCACCAGGCACAGTCAGGAGCTGCAACCTGGGTGCCCAGCCCTCTGACAGGAATCCTGCAGAAGGCCAGGCCCCTCTCCTGCCTCCCGCCCTTGTTTTGCCTCCCTTCGCTCCTGGGAAAGGTGGCAGCCGGAGGGTTGCTATGGACACCGCAGTCGGGCTCTCCCTCCGCAGTAATAATCCGAAGATGCCCTCCCTGCTGGAGTCCAAGTCTCTAATTGCCGAGCCTCAGAGGCAGTGATGCTGCCGCACAGGAAGTACTGGGCAGCTGGAGAACCCAAGGATTAGATGGGCTGAGAAGGGAAAGAGAGAGTGACAAGATGGAAATCACCTGAAATTGGAAGCAACAAGCTTGACCTATGTAGGTAGATTGACAAAACCAATGTCGATTTAGCCAGAATTAGAAAAGCAATAGCGTCTTAACAGGCCCCCCATCAAATCGGACACCTAATCACTGTGGCCAGCGTCTCTCAGGTGGGATGCTGAGTGGAAAAGGAGGGAGAGGAGAGGCGCCACAGCTGTGTACATGGGCAGTGACTGCAGGAAAGACCTTGACAGCCATTTTGCTCTAATTTGAGAACCACAGGTCCAGGACTTTTCTGAGCTGGATTCCTGGCCACTCTGCTGCCTTGAGGCAGAAGCACCCTGGCTCCCCACTGCCACACAGGCCCCCTTGTTTGTCCCGACTGGGAAACCAGATCATTATCACCACTGCTAGTCTCCCCACCATGAAAACAGAGCATGCTCCTTACCAGGGTCTCTGCCATGAGACCAGGGCATACCACCTCCATGAGCAGCCTCTCCAGGGGATCAGGACACTGTCACTGCTGTTCTGTCCCCACCATTAGACCAGAACTTTTCCTTCACTGTTGGGCTCCCCACCTTGAAATCAGAGCATTGTCACCTCTATTCATGTGACACCCCACCTACCCACCTACACATCAGACCAAGTCACCAAGGCCACAAGACTTTACACAGCCACAGACATAGGTCCAATGTGGAGCATCCAAACCAAAGATCACATGCTACTGGGCAGAGCAAAGTTGGTCTCACCTCCAGAGCCCGCAGGGCCACACAAACCTTTATAGAGAGGGCACAGAGGGAAGTGCGCTAGGCCCTGCAATTCACCCCACATGTCTGTGGCCACTGGGTTTGCCTTCTGGAGGCTGTGCTTGTCTCACGCAGACCCTAACGCCTGGTGACATTGGGGCATAGCCATGAGGAGGACAAAGTTAGATTTGCTCCACCCTGACCACCAGCAGAGAATCCCCCCTGCCACGTGCATCAACCCTGGAGGAAATGTGAATGAACTAGGGAAGCCCACCTCCATCCCAGAGATCCTTGGGATAGATATAGACACACACACACACGTATATATAGACACACATACATACACATACATATAGATACCTACACACACGTATATGTGTATATCCATGTGGACACATATATATATATTTATACATAAAGAGAAAGGGAGAGATGGAGGGCAGGATGGAAGGCTTCTCTAAATCCTTCAATCTACCACTGTCTCTCTCAGTGAGGCAGTTTTTATCATCCCAATTTACAAAGAAAAACTGACCCAGAGAGGCCTAGGGACTTGCCCAGGATGAAATAACTGAGTTTCAGATTCCAAGGCCCAGCACCCTCGTCTTGGCTCTCTTCCCATCTGGTGTTTGAAAGTCACGCCTCAGAATGGGAATGGATGAGGCTGCACATCTGAGAGAGAATGGATGCCAAATAGAAGCCATTATTCTAACCAGGGAGCTTTTTCCTACAATTTAAGAAACCTCGCCTCCTCTGATTATTTCCGAAATTGTGTTCCCAGGGCCGATTTTATGACAGAGTGCTGCTGTGGCAATCCCTGTGGCCCAACACAGGAACTCCTGGGAGACCTGGCGAGTGCTAATCCTCCTTTCTTAGCACACTATCTTCTCCTCCGGCAAACCCAGTGATTAAGCCTCCTGGTAGCCCCAGGAACTGGCACATGTGAGCCTCAGAGAGTAAGAAAGGCCAGTGGCTTCCTACTTACTTCTTGCTACTTCCATTATAGAAGCTTCTGAGCCCACCAGGAGGGCTAGAGAAGGAAAAGGAAAAAGGGTGGGAGCCCGCCCTCGCAGCCCCTAACATCTTACTACCGCAGTTCCTAGCAGTGTGAGCTTTAACTGTGATCAGCAGGGCGCACACTTCTGCATCTCCTGACTAGGGCCAAGTAAGCTGTCAACTCCCCCTTGCCCAATGGAGAAGTTTTGGGTCATCCAGTGTCCTCAGACCCAAGGATCTCAGCTGATCGAACGAGCTTCTGGCCGTAGAGAGAAAGGACAAGATAGCAAGAAATCCTGAGAGACCTGAACCCTGGGTCTGAGACTGCAGGAAGTTGATTTGTGTAGTACTGGTACCAAGGCAGAAATTGTCCAGAAGAACAGATTGCCAGAGACAAGCAGGCAGCCAGTATCTCCTACTCCAGATTAGACAAGTTCTAGCTGAAAAGATCTGCTCTCCCTGTGAAGTGTAGTTGTGAAGAGGTTGGCATGGTGCTAGGCAGGTGCCTGATGAAGGTTCATTTCCTTCTCTCCTCACTTTTCATCCCTCTCATATGAAGGGGTTTCACGGACCGAGAAGGGGTCTTGGATCAGAACTCTAAAAGCTTTAAATTCGAGGAATACAATTAACCTTAGTCCAGCCATTGCTCAGGAAAGGGAGAGGGAGGCACCCTGGTTTCCAGGAATGTGTGGCATGTAGGAAGGAGCTCTGGGCTCACGTGAAGTTAGCTGCGCCCTGGCTGGCCTGGGCAGGGCCCATCTGAGGACAGGAGCCCAGTGTCTCTGGTGCTCACTATCACCTGCAGGATCCTGCGCCTTCTTGTCTTTGACCTCCTGAAGAGCTTGGAGGGATTAAAGTCAAACTAACCTAAGGGATGGACAGAACCCACTCCAAGGCCAAGCCCAGTGGTATAGCTTCCAGGCTGTTCTTGGCTGGGGAGGTGGTGTTCAGCCCCCTGGCTTCTCCTGTCACCCCAGACTTGGCGGTTTTGAAGTGGATAAGCAGCTTTGCCAAGTGATCCACCAGAAGAGAGAGAAGAAACGTGCGTGCATGTGGCATTTTGTCAGCTGCACCAGAAAAGTGATGATGGGGGAGGCGGTGGAAGTCAGTGACTCAAAGCAGGTTCGGGGATTATCTGCTGTTTTCAATTATCCACATTCTTCATCACCATGGAGAATTGAGAATTGGGTGTATTTGCCTCCCCCTCAACACTGGTGCTGGCATTAGAGACGTGATTTGTACTTGGAGCAACTGTGGGTAAAGGACTTAGAATGGTCTCTGTGTAAAATTTCCCCAGCACTGAAATGTCATTAAATAGCTCTCCGTACCTGGCACCTCTTGGTCCCATTAAAAGTAACTGGAAGAGGCCTGTTGTGGCGGTTCATGCCTGTAATCCCAGCACTTTGGGAGGCCAAGGCAGGTGGATCACCTGAGGTCAGGACTTCCAGACCAGCCTGGCCAACGTGGTAAAACCCCATCTCTACTAAAAATACAAAAATTAGCCGGGCATGGTGGTAGGCGCCTGTAATCCCAGCTACTCAGGAGGCTGAGGCAGGAGAACTGCTTGAACCTGTGAGGTGGAATTTGCAGTGAGCCGAGATCATGCCACTGCACTCCAGCCTGGGCGACAGAGTGAGACTCTGTCTCAAAAAATAATAATAATAATAACTGGAAGATAAGCATACCTGAAGAGAAGAGAGCTGATGATTATTGAGCATCTGTGATGCACTCAATACTCATTTTGAGCCAAGGAAACTTCAGCTCAGAGAGGTTTTCTTGCCCATGGTTTGTCATAGCATGGAACGACAAACTGCTCCAAGGCAGGGCCTTCGATCCCAAGGCTTGTCCCCACCCTACCCTTCTCTCAGTGAGCTCAGACCTCTCTCAGAAGACATGGGGGCCCATCTTGGACCTCTGTGGTCCTGTCTGTGTCTACTAATATGCTTTCAATTGCCAGTCAAAAAAAAAAAAAAACCTCAAGAGAGTTTAAAAACAAGGAAATTTGTTATTTCACACACTAAAAACTCAAGAGGTAGAACAGTCCCGGGGTCATTAACTTGGCAGCACATGTCACCATGAGCACTGGCTCTTCCTGACTTTCTGCTCTGCCATCCTCAGCAGGTTGATCACAAGGTAGCCAGGGCACACTGAGGCATCCCATTGCCAACCTTCAAGTGCAACAGCAATGAAGGGAAGCCCCCTGCTGTGGATCTCTTTAATAATGAGAACATTTGTCCCAGAAGTCCCTAGACTTTCCTTTGCATCTCACTGGTCAAAGAATGGGTTAGGCTGGGGCATGGTGCCTCATGCCTGTAATCCCAGCATTTTGGAAGGCCAAGGCGGGCAGATTGCCTGAGGTCAGGAGTTCGAGACCAGCATGGCCAACATGTTGAAACCCCGTCTCTACTAAAAATACAAAAATTAGCTGGGTATGGTGGTGGGCACCTGTAATCCCAGCTACTCTCGGGAGGCTGAGGGAGGAGAACCACTTGAACCCAGGAGGCGGAGTTTGCAGTGAGCTGAGATCGCACCACTGCACTCCAGCCTGGGTGACAGAGCAAGACTCAGTCTCAAAAAAAATAAAAATGAAAAAGGGGGGGTTAAATGCTCAGACCTAAACCAACCACCAAGAAAAGGAAGGAGGAGTACCATCTTGGCTAGACTGGGGCCTGACTTCCTCTGAAGCAGATGGTAACCAGAGGAGTGTGGGCACACGGGGGGCTTAAGGCAGAAGTGGGGGTGCCATTGGCTCCTGGACAGAAGGCACTGCATGGCCACATCCGCCAATCCAGCCAGAGGTCTGAATGCTCCTACTTGTAGGGGTTCTTGTCCCCGGGGCAGCTCCCAGTGTGGACTCTGAGGACATGTGCCAGCTCCGTGTCCTTGTGGCTTAGATAAGAAGGGGTGAGGCACCGGCTCATACCAAAATGGGAACCTGCTGGCCTTATTGTGAGCTTATCTAGAGGACACACACGACCGACTTCATTAGAAAAATTGGGGGAAAAATCTTATTAAAGATTTGTTCTATCACATACCAGGGAAGCAAAGCCTTTCATGAAACCTAATGGGCAATACGGGTGATTTAAACAACTACACGGTACTGAGGTCTTTAATTTCCTGTAGGAAACCTGATGATTATCTGTCTGGAAATGCTTCAGCTCAAGTAGGGATATGTGCGAGTCAGAATGAAAAAGCTCTTTATATTTTCACACTTTAAATCCAGACCCTGTGAAAAGAGATCCTTGTCACGGGAGGCCAATCAAGTTCAGAGAGTCCGACTAACTTTGCCCTCCCCAAATGCCATCAAAGGCAAGTTGGGGCTCCATTAAATGGAGAAAACCAAGGGAGTGACCCCAAGGTCAGCAAGAGATACAAGAAAGAGAAAGACAGAGAGAGAAAGGTAGCAAAGCAAGAGAGACAGAGAAATGCTCCAAGAGACAGAAAGAGACAAAGAGCGAGAACAAGAGACCAGAGAATAGAAAAACAGACGAGAAGGAAAGAGGCAGACAGATGTGGCAAAGGAGGAGAAAGACACAGGGGAGAGAGAAAAACTGAGAAAAGGAGAGAAGAAAGAAAAGCAACAGAACTCGACAGACAAGAGATGGCTAATAATCACCTTTGCAAGATTTCTTAATGATACTAATATTTACCTGTTAGAATTTCCAGTTGTGAGTCCCCTTCTGAAAGCTGTCCTTGCTTTCTGTGTGAGGATAGAGATCTAGGGGTCACACATGTTTTTCTAGCCCAGCAGGATCCAGATGTTTCCAGTTCCTGAACTTGGGTCAAGATCCAGCGTTGAGAGGGTCATTATTCAAAGAGGCCTTGAACACACATGATGTTTAGTTAAACATGGGGTAAGAAAACAGCCAGGACACAAATGAGTTATTCTAATTTTGTGAGTTCAGACCTTTGAACTCAACTCCTCATTCTGGTCTCCTGGCTGGAATGAGGACAACAGTCTATAAACAATCCACATATTCTATCTTCCCTCATAGCACATGTAGGCATCTCTAAAAATAATTCCCAAAGTAGCTTAGGCTCCATTTCCCTCTATTTGTTGCCTAGAGAACTCTTATTCACCCCTCAAGGCCTTGTTCAAATGATCCTGCTTTAGGAGGCCTTCGCTGATCCCCAACATCCTCAAACAGGGTTAGCCATGCTGTATTCCCCTAATACTCTGTCGGGACCTCTGCTGAGGCCCTTCTCACATCACATTGTGATTATGTGTTTATGTTCTCCAGCATCTGGGACAATGCCAGGAACAAAGGAGGAACTCCATAAACACTCGTTGAATAAACGGTTGAGTAAATAAATAAGTCTGCCTCCCTGACAGGATTGTAAGCTGTTCAACTTGTATGGAATTAAGTTGAATCCCAGCACTTCAGAACAAAGGCGCACTTAGTGTCTACCTAGTTCAGCTCTCAATGATCAGTGTGTGGTTCATTACAAATACAAACAACTGAATCTAGCGCTCACCAAGCTCTTCTGACATCCCTGGAAATGCTTCTTTTTTTTTTTTTTTTTTTTTGAGACGGACTCTTGCTCTGTCGCCCAGGCTGGAGCACAATGGCACGATCTCGGCTCACTGCAACCTCTGCCTCCTGGGTTCAAGCGATTCTCCCACCTCAGCCTCCCAAGTAGCTGGGATTACAGGCATGCACCACCACGCCCAGCTAACATCCCTGGAAATACTTTTCTGACCTATGCCAATGTGTAAACATAGGAGAGTCTTAATGTATTTACTTTTCTGAATTTTCACGGTAAATGCTTGCTGATTATTAAAAGTTTGGGAAAAAATAGAAAACAATAAAGAAGCAGAAAGGTCACGTAAAATTCCTCTACCAAAGTAGGTATTGTTAAGATGTGGCATATTTCAGTCTTTTGCTATGCATTGTGTTTTCCTTATACAATTGAGATGACAATGTGTGTATATAGGTTTTAGAGCAGTTGTGCTGTAATTAGTGTGTACCTGATATTTTATGTTCTTGTTTCATTAAAGACAGTCTCATAGTGACAGTAAATCCCATCTCATTAACATATCAACATAACCCCACGTTTTTATTAGATAATGTCATGCTCCTCCCCCATCATATGTCTAGAATTTGCTTAGCCATTCACTCTTCTTAGGCAGTTGGGTGGTTTTCAGTTTTAGTTTCTGGCCATTTTAAGGATCATTGCTCTGAACTTCCAGGAAGTAGGTACATGTGGTTAGAGATAAAACTCCCAATAACATCATCATCCACAGACTCTCAAGTACTGCAGCTCAACCAGCTGAGATGGAAGTGAGGATAATGTGCTCCAGATCTTGCTAGCTGACTCCAGAGGTGGCTCTAGTGACAGTGGCACCCCTGTATCTGGATGTGCATAAAGCATGTGAGCTCAAGGAGGCTGGGACAGGCCTGTCTTGTTGCCCTTGGATTCCCCAAGCCCAGCACAGTGCCTGGCACATGACGAGTGAATGAACAAATGGTGCATGCTTGGACAGACGAATGCACTGTTATGCTCAGACACCTCAGCAGTGTGACTGGAGCCTCAGCCTTCTGTATGTTGTACTGTCTGGAACCCCAGGCCTCTGGGGAATTCTGGGAATGTTCCATGTTAGTGATAGGAAAGTGCTCTGAGCCTCTGGGCTAAAAGCACCGCCCTGCAGCCAGAGCATGCTCCCAGCTGAGCAGTAAATGTGAATGAACGGTGATGAGATGCTAAGGACAATGCTCCCCCAACTCCCAGTGCCCCCCTCCCACATGCCCACACATACCCACTTGCTGCCCACATGTGCCTCTCTCTGCTATCATCTGGGGTCACCTTCAGAGCGTCTATTTGGGCAGATAACCCACCAAGTTAGAAACAACATAATAGACACTTCACTTTGTCATCTGAGGAGCAGCACTACATGCTGGCCAACAAGACAGACCAGCAAGCCCAAGAGTGGCTTTCCAGTCATTTATTCCACAAACACTTCTTGGGCTTCTGCTGTGCCCAACCAGAGAATTAGAGATGAATAATATGTGTGTCCATCCTTGAGGAGTTCACCCTTATGTGCCAAATAGATTCGGCTGTGCCTCCAAAATCATCTCCTGGTCCAGCGTCTCCCCAGCTCAGGCAGATCCCCAGCATCCCCCAGAAGATGGGAGCCGTCCTTGGCACCCAATCCTGTGGACCCAGCCTTGAAGGTAGCTCTCAGCATCGCTTTCCTTCTCTCTCCACCTCCCTGTTCAGACTTAACCCAACACCTTCCTAACTGGTCCCACTCCCACCCCTCCAGCCCTCAAATCCATCTTCCACAGGGCAACAGAAAAGTCTTTTGAAAATGCAAATCTGGCCAGGCGCAGTGGTTCACGCCTCCAATCCCAGCACTTTGGGAGGCCAAGGTGGGCGGATCATTTGAGGTCAGGAGGTAGAGACCAGCCTGATCAACATGGTAAAACCTCGTCTCTACTGAAAATACAAAAATTAGCCAGGCGTGGTGACATGCACCTTTAATCCCAGCTACTGGGGTGGTTGAGGCAGGAGAATGGCTTGAACCCAGGAGGTGGAGATTGCAGTAAGCCGAGATTATACCACTGCACTCCAGCCTGGGCGACAGAGTTAGACTCTGTCAAAAAAAAAAAAAAAAAGCAAATCTGATCACATTGGTTCTCTGCTTAAAACCCCATAATGGCTTCCCAGAGCTCTCAGGATAAAACCCGAAGTCCTCCTTTATGTCGCTCCTTTATGTGGCTCCATGACCCCACAGGGGCTGACCCCAACCCTGAACCTTGCACAGCCCCGTGTCATCCTTCCCTACTCCCAGCTGCTTCTGCATGCCAGCCACACCAACTCCCTCCAGTTTCTCAGAGCCATGTATCCCACCACTCAGAGCCTTCCTTGTGATGTTCCTCTGCCTGGAAAACCACCAACACCCGCTCCTGCCATCTTCTTCAGCTGGCCACCAACTCCTCCTCATCCCTAGAGTCCTCATATAAGCATCAATTCCTCGGGAAAGCCATCCTGACTCCTCCGCTAGAGCAGGCCCCCGTTACCTACTCCACGAGTCCCCTGCACTGCTCTTCCCTGGCACTGTCTTGGCTGTAATCCAAGAGTGTGTGTTTAGTGTCAGAGCCCCACCACCCTGACTCCTATTAAAACCTGGCTGCGAGCTAGGAGCAGTGATGGTGGCGGCAACAAGGGATCAACCTGGGAAAGCAGCTGGGAATGGGGGAGCTTCCCAGAGCAGTAAAGCTACCGCTGAGTCCTGAAGGACGAGGACTCATGAGTCAATGATAGAGAGAAGTGAGGAGATTCGCACTCAGGCAGAGAAAAAATACTTTAGGGAATTACTTTGGAGAAATTGGAAATAATCCCATATGGCTTGAGTTCACCTGAGTGTGAGAGCATGATAAGAGATATGGCTAAAGAATTAAATAGGAGCCAGACTGGAAGGGTCTTACAACCAAGAAAAGTACTTTGATAAGGAAATAGAGAGCATCGAAGGATTTAAACACTAGAGTGACCTTCTTAAAAAGTACACTCTGGCCACAGAGTGGAGAAAGGACAGCATAGGATAGAGACAAGGACATCAGTTTGGAGCCAGTTGCAGTGACCCAGGGAGACGATCAGGAGTTGAATTAAGGCAATGAGAAGAGAAACGAGAGAAATAAGGGAGGCATTTGAAGATAAGAGGGACAGGGCTTGGTGACAAAATGGATATGAGGTTAAGAGAGGGAAAGGGTAGTTCCCAATTCCTGTCTTGACAGCTCGACGGAAGTACATTCTCCAAGATAAGGAATGCATGGGGAAGAAACGATCGGGGCCAGATAAGGATATGACACTTATTGGGCATGTTGCGATTCAGGTGACTGTAGGACAAACCAAGTACACATGTCAAGTAGGCCTGGAGCCTCAGGAGAGAGGTTGGCAGGGGTGCAGTTCTGTTCAGAAAAGGTTTATTCAGCAGGTGGTGCTTAGAAATGTCAATATCACAGAGGACTAAGAGAAAGGGATGGATGCACAGGGTGCTATGGGGACCCAAAGAAAGGTACTTGGATCACCTGGAAGTTCTTGGAAGCCTTCTGGAGGAAACAATGCCCGGGCTGAGCCTTGAAGGTTAATGGTGTGGCCTGGCATGGGTGGGAAACATGGACTATCTTGGGTTGATGCAGTATGAATGTGCAAGGTGGGAGCAGTGGAAGATAAGACTGGAGAGGTAGATAAAAGTCAGGTCATGGACACCTGGACCGCCATGGTAGGAACTTGGGATTTAATCAAAAGTTATTAATCAGAAGCCATTGCAGGATGTAATCAAAGCATTGACACGGTCAGACATCTGACCACACTGGAAGACAGAGTCAAACAGAAGGAAACAGGCACAGTTGCCTCCTCAGTAGCCACTGCCCCCCTTCTTTCTTGTAAAAGAACCCAAGATCTGTTTAGGTACTTTATTGCCCATGTGGCCATGTATCTTGGAAAAGGAAGGCCACAGCTCCAGTCCCAGGGGTTGAATCATAACTGGTTTAAGACTACCATTGTAGTCCCATTCCCCTCCACAGTGTCTGGTTTAGGCACAGGCAAGCAATGGCCAATTAAATGAGAAGGGAAAAGTCTGTAAAAGGCTTCTGATTCTGGATGTCATTGGGTCTATATGTGTTGCCTGAACCTATGGCAGCTACCTCGGGACCAGGAGGGGAGTTAGCTTGAAGAGAACTCAATGAGGATGGCAGAGCAGAAAGATAAAAATAAGCCAGGTGCTAGATAACTTTACTGAGTTGTGGAATCAACCAACACTGGAGTCTTCCAGCCTGTTTTATTATGCAACCTTCTTTTCTTTTTCTTTTTCTTTTTTTTTCAAGGCGGAGTCTCCCTCCATCCCCCAGGCTGGAGTGCAGTGGCGCGATCTTGGCTCACTGCAAGCTCTGCCTCCCGGATTCACGCCATTCTCCTGCCTCAGCCTCCTGAGTAGCTGGGACTACAGGGGCCTGCCACCATGCCCGGCTAATTTTTTGTATTTTTAGTAGAGATGGGGTTTCACCATGTTAGCCAGGATGGTCTCGATCTCCTGACCTTGTGATCCGCCCATCTCAACCTCCCAAAGTGCTGGGATTACAGGCGTGAGCCACCGCGCCCGGCCTATGCAACCTTCTTAATATGTGACTCCATATGTTGAAGCCGACTTGAATTGGTTTTCTATTGTGTACTGCCGAAATCATCATAATCAACCTAGACTACAAGAATGGAAGCCATACGATAAAACAGTCCGGGCGCAGTGTCTCATGACTATAATCCCAGCACTTTGGGAGGCCAAGGTAGGGGAAGATTCCCTGAGCCCAGGAGTTCAAGACCAGCCTGGACAACATGGTGAGACCCTATCTCTAAAAAAGAAAAAGTATAAAAACAAAAAATAATCATGAAAAGTTTTAAAAGAAAGTACAGTTAATAGGGTATTCATGATTCTCTTCTTATAACTCAGTTGCTAAAGAGGAAAGACTTACGCATGGAGAAGTTAGAGGAAAATTCAAAGAGGATGGATTAGTTATCTATGGCTCCACAACAAACTACACCAAAACTTAGCAGCTTACACCACAAACATTTATTTATTTATTTATTTATTTATTTAGAGACAGGTTCTCGCTCTGCCACCCAGGCCAGAGTACAGTGGTGCCACCATGGCTCACTGCAGCCTTGACCTCCAGGGCTCAAGCAATCCTCCAATCTCAGCCCCCCACCACCCCCAATAGCTGGGACTACAGGTGCGCATCACCATGCCTGGCTAATGTTTGTATTTGTTGTAGAGATGGTGTTTCACCATGTTGCCCAGGCTGGTCTTGAACTCCTAGGCTCAAGCAATTTGCCCACCTTGGCCCCCCAAAGTGCTGGGATTAACAAACATGTATTGCCTCAAAGCTTTTTTGGGTCAGGAATTAGGGTGCAGCATAGCTGGGTGATTCTGACTCATAGTCTCTCATGGAGTTGCAGTGAAAATGTCAGCTGGGTTCATTTTTTTAGTCTTTTTTCTCTCTGTTTCATGTTGGGTATTTCTATTTATATGTTTTCAAGTTTACCAGTATGTTCTTCCACAATGTCTATCTGCTGTTAAACCCATCCAATATACTTTTCTCAGAGCATCAGTGAGCTTCAAATAACCTAACATATGTGTAATTGGAATCCCAGGGAATAAAGGAAGCTGGGTGGGAGAGGGGAACAGAAAAAGTACTTGAAGAAATAATGGTCAAAATTATTCAAAATTTTATGAAGCTATAAACTCACAGAACCAAGAACCTCAATAAACCCTAAGCACAAGAAACATAAAACTGTACTAAGGCACAGAACAATCAGATGGCTCAAAGCCTATGATAAAGAGAAAAATTTTAAAAGCAACTAGGGACATTACATGAAGAGAAACAAAGATAAGCATGACAAAAAGCTTCCTGTCATAAATAATGCATACCGGAAAATAATGGAAGAATATCTCTAAATACTAAAAGAAAAAAACACTGCCAACTTTGAATTATATCTTTTGAATATATCTTAGATGTATATTATATCTTTGAAAATATATTTTGAGACTGAAGGTAAGATAAGACTTTTTCAGCCATGCAAAAGCTAAAATAATTTATCACCTGAGATACAACAAATGTTAAAGAAGATCCTTGAAGCAGAAAGAAAAGGATAACAGATATATAAATCTACACAAAGGAAGGAAAATCATCAACATTGGCAACTATGTGGATAAGAAAAGGATAAATTAAATGGAATTATTTAAAATATTCAATTAATTCAAAAGTATGCAGAAAAAGAGGGGGAGAGGAAAAAAGAATAGAGGGGACAAACAAAAAAACAAGGCCATAGAAGCTTTAAGCGACACAATCAGCCAAGTTGACCTAACTGACGCTTATAAAACCCTCCACCTAACAACAATAGAATACACGTTATTTACATGTGCACATGGAACATGTTTACCAAAATGGCCATATTCAGGGCCATAAAACAAGTCTCAAAGAATTTTTAAAGTTTCAGGCCATACAAAGTATGTTCTTTGAACATAATGGAATTAAATTAGAAACCAATAACCAAAAGAGCTTTACAAAATCCTCAAACATTTAGGAACACAATAACACACTTCCAAATAACCCATGGTTCAGAGAAGAAATCAAAGGGGAAAACAGGAAGTATTCTAAGTTGAATGAAAAATAAAACATAACATATTTGAGAGAAGCCACAAAAGCAGTACTTAGGAGGAACTTATAGCACCAAATACCTATATTAGAAAAGAAGAAACTTCTCAAGTAAATGACTTCAGCTGGTACCGTAAGAAATTAGGAAGAGAGCAATTAAATCTTAAGTAAACTAAAGAAAAGAAATAATAAAGATCATAGTGGAAATCAATGAGATATAAAACAGAAAAACAGAAGAAAAAATCTGTAAGCCAAAAGCTGCACTTTGAAAAGATCAATAACATCAATAAATCTCTAACCAGGCTTATCAGGAAAAAAGAAAGAAGTCAAAAATTAATCAATAATCAGGAATGAGAGAGGTAATATCCCTACCAATTCTTAAATATTAAAAGGATTATAAGAAAATATTATAAACAACTCTATGCCAATAAATTTGACAACTTATATGAAATGAACAAATTCCTTGAAAGACACAAACTACCAAGGTTCACACAAGAGGAAATAAATAACATGACTAGTCCTATATATGTTAAAAAAATTAAATTTGTAGCTCAAAAATTTCTCATAAAGAAAGCCCCAGCCTCAAATTGTTTCACTGGTCAATTCTACCAAGCATTTAATGAAGAAATAATAATAGTTTTATACAAACCCTTCCAGAAAATTGAAGAGGAGAAAATGTTCCCAAATCATTATATGAGGCCAGCATCACCCTCAACCTGATAAAAAGCGTCTACTTAAAAAATCTACAACTAACAGCATACTTGATGGTGAACAGCATACTAAGTGATTTCCCCCTAAGACTGGGAACAAGGCATGTCCTCTCTCACCACCTAGTCAACATTATACTGGAGGTTCTAGCTAGTGCAATAGGATAAGAAAAAGAAATAAAAAGCAAACAAATTGAAAAAGAAGAAACAAAATGTTTTTATTCAGAGATGACGTGATCATCTACATAGAAAATTTGATGGAATCTCCAAAAAAGCTACTAGCACTGATATATGAGCACAGCATGGTTACAGGATACAAGATTAATGTACAAAAATCCACTGTATTTCTATTACTTAGCAATAAACAATCCAAAACTGAAATAAACAATGCTATGTGTTATACAATAGCATCAAAATTTTGAAGTAGGGGGCAGGCACGGTGGCTCACGCCTGTAATCCCAGCACTTTGGGAGGCTAAGGTGGGTGGATCACTTGAGGCCAGGAGTTTGAGACCAGTCTGGCCAACATGATGAAACCCCCTCTCTACTAAAAATACAAATATTAGCCGGGTCTGGTGCTGCACACCTGTAATCCCAGCACTTTGGGAGGCTGAGGCAGGTGGATTGTCTGAGCTCAGGAGTTCGAGACCAGCCTGGGCAACATGGCAAAACCCTGCCTCTACTAAACACACACACACACACACACACACACAAAATTAGCTGGGCGTGGTGGTGCATGCCTGTAGTCCCAGCTACTTAGGAGGCTGAGGCATGAGAATCACTTGAACCAGAAAGGCAGAGGTTGCAGTGAGCCAAGATCACACCACTGCACTCCAGCCTGGGCGACAGAGTGACACTCGTCTCAAATTTTTAAAAAAAATTTAAATAGGGATAAACCTAATAAAAGACCTAATGTTAGACCTGTACACTGAAAACTACAAAACACTGCTGAGATAAATTAAAGAAAATTTAAACCAACAGAGAAGTATATACCATGTTCATGGGTTAGACACTCAATATCATTAAGTTGCCAGTTCTCCCCAAATTTATAGATTCAGTGCAATCTCAATCAAAATCACATCAGGCTTTTTCTGTAGAGTTATAAGCTGATTCTAAAGTTTATTTAGGCTGGGTGCAGTGGCTCATGCCTGTAATCCCAGCACTCTGGGAGTCCAAGGTAGGCAGGCAGGTCACTTAAGGCCAGGGGTTCAAGATCAGCCTGGCCAACATGGTGAAACCCCATCTGTACTGAAAATACAAAAATTAGCTGGGCATGGTAGCATACTTGTAGTCCCAGCTAGTCGGGAGGCTGAGGCAGGAGAATTGCTTGAACCTGGGAGGCAGAAGTTGCACTGAGCTGACATCACGCCACTGCACTCCAGCTTGGGCAACAGAGCAAGATTTCGTCTCAATAAATAAATAAATAAATAAAGCTTATGTGGAAATGCAAATGACCTAAAAAAAAGTCAAAATAATTTTGAAAAAGAAAGTTAGAGGGTTTACACTACCTAATTTCAAGACATGATCAAGCTACAATAATAAGAGTGTGGTATTGGCATCAAAAAGAGAAAAATATTAGTGGAACAGAATAGAGTCCAGAAATAGACCTACACGTATTGGCAACTGATTTTCAACAAAGGTGCAAAGGCAATTCAGTGGAGAAAGGACAACCTTTTCAACAAATGATGCCAAAACAATTGAATATACATATGCAAAAATGTAACTTTAATCCATACCTAATATCATATACAGAAATTAATTCAAAATGGATCAATGACTTAAATGTAAAACTTAAATCTGTAAAACTTCTAGAAAAGAACATAAGAGAAAAATCTTTGTGACTTTATGTTAGGCAAAGATATCTTAGATATGATACTAAAAGCACAATCCATAAAAGAAAACATAATACATTGGACTTCACCAAAATTAAGAAGAATTGGAGTGGCAAACATAAGTGCCCATGAGTTTAGTATACCAAATACCACAAGAGTACAGAGGGCAATTGCTGGTTGCACCACCAGCAACAATTGCCCTCTTCTCCATAAAATATTTTCTTTTAGGAACTACCCACATGTATTTTATAGCAGCCACACGTTTGAGTGAGATTAATTCCATCCCAGATCCAAGGTGGCCCCTGCCTGGCATAATTTCATCTTTTCTACCACACACTGACTAATTCAGGAAGAGGAGATAATGCTGACCTAAGTCAGTTGGTGTATGGATTTTCTTGGCCAGTTCAGGTCTAAACCCAGTAAGTCTTAGGGCTTTTGGTCTATGGCTGGGAAAGAAGACATTCTTTCCTTCTGCCTATAAATAAGCAAGCAATTTAGTCTCCATTGCTGTTGACAGTCATATCACCTCCATAGGAGAGGCTAGCAGAGGACAAAGCCAACACATCAGAGGAGGGTGGGGTCTAGAGAACTAACAAGAAACAGAGCCAGCATCCTGATCAAACCATGCCTGAAGCTAACATTACTTCTGAAAGGTACAGCTGTGTAAGATAATAAATTATCTTTAATTGTTTAAAACCATTTAAATTGATTTTCCCCTGTTCCTTGCAACCAAATCTTCCTTAATGATATAGGAGCACAAAAAAGGGCCGATTAATTTTGTCTGGTGATGTTGGAGAAGTCTTCCCACAGGGGAAATCACTTGAGCTTTGACTTATAGGACGAGTAAGAGTTCATCAGGAAATAAGAGAAGTAAAAATGATCAGCACTGCTTCTGTCAGGCAGCTGCGTGGCCCTCCACGACCCTCAGGTGACCTTGAGGGCGGCCTGACTTCCCTCCAGCACTATTGCTGAGATCCCATCACTCTGGTCCTCCCTCCCCCATGGATCTGCAGGTTCTCATCTCCATTCGCCAGACAGCAGCTTATTGCTAGTGAGGAGAGATATTAAAGCTACTCCGTCTGGCCAGGAAATGGAAAGAACCCAGGAGAATTAGCTGGAGAAAACCTATTAAGCAACAAAGAACATACCCAGCTGCCGAGACATCTTTGGAATTTTAAATCATACAAGTTGCCTTCAGAGTGGCTTTCCCAGCCTAGTGCTCTCCTCTTCAACAGGGCCTTGGAGACCAGTGGGGTTCGGAATTTTACCAGCCTGGGCAACACCTCATCCGTCTCCCTGTGTGCCTTCCTGTAACTTGGCCACAAGACTTTAACAACAAAATCCACCACCATGAAACTCCTAAATAACTACCATGAGCCCTCTTTCCTTTTGTAAAGCAATCCTTTCCCTCTTGAGCCAAGATAAAATCCAGCCCTTGCTGTAGACTGTTAGCTTCACACCAGTGGGAGTCCCTTCTCCCGTGCAAGACTTTTCCTACGCATTATCTCATGGGAGCTCACAGCAGCCCCAAGAACCAGGCAGGGGTGACCGGCCCCAGGGAGCAGATGAGGACCCAGAGGCTCCAGGAGATTCAGTGGCTTGCTCAAAGGTCACAGGGCTAACACCTAGAGGGGTCAAGATTTGAACACAGGCCTTTGGGGCCCATTTCTAGACCCCCATGCTAGCTCTGTTCTTATACAACAATTCTAAGAAAAAAATCTTTGTTGTGCCCACCCAGGCTGCCATGTGAACAGGAGCAAACCTCACCAGAAGCACAAAGTATTCTGTCCTTCTGGAAGCCTAAGAACCCACCGGGGGATCATGAGAGAACTCAGCTACCAAAGGGAGGCTTTGGGCAAGGCATTCAGCAAGTGAGTCTCCAATCCCTGCACACAAAATGGCAATTAGCAGCCTTGCTGGCAGTTGAAAGAATCAAACAAGTTCACCGTGTTCCTATGACAGGCTGGCATTCACTCTTTGTCCAGCTGGAGAGCTGTGTGGGGGAAAACTGCCCCCAGCACTGCTAGGGCAGTGCTGGCGCTGGCGTGGGAGCTGAGGGGTCCAGCCAACCCCACACTTTGCTGGGACAATGGAAAAGCCACTCACAGAGGAAGGGGTGAGGGGAAGGGCAACTTCCTACCTGCTCCATAGGAACCGGAGCAGAACCTCCCTGGGGCCGAAACCTGCACACCAGGCTCACAGTTTCCATCCTTCTCGCATGGCAACAGCGGCCACGCTTCCTTTCCCACACTGGTATCCCCGCCTGAAACCACCTCCCCTACCGCCCAGCCTCACCCAGAACAATAGAACCAGGAGGCCTCCTAAAATTAGTCAGTCTGCCTCCAACCCTGCCTGGGCAGGCGGGCTAGGTCTTCTGCCAGCACCCAGGGTTGCGGTGGGACCTCCTGAGCTGAGCTGCCCACAGTTGTGATGGGACCTTGTGAGCTGAGCTGCCCAGGGTTGTGATGGGACCTCCTGAGCTGGGTTGCCCCAGATTGTGGTGGGACCTCGTGAGCTGAGCTGAGCTGCCCAGGGTTGTGATGGGACCTCCTGAGCTGGGTTGCCCTAGATTGTGATGGGACCTTGTGAGCTAAGCTGCCCAGGGTTGTGATGGGACCTCCTGAGCTGGGCTGCCCAGGATTGTGGTGGGACCCCCTGAGCTTGGCTGCCCGGGATTGTAGTGGGACCCCCTGAGCTGGGCTGCCTGGGGTTGTGGTGGGACCCCCTGAGCAGCACACAGGGAACTCTGTGTGGCCTCTCTCTTTGCCAGCCTCCTCCTTTCCTCCCTCTGGCTCAGATTCCACCTAGTAAACCCCAATGAAGAAATGAATGAGCACAGGTATGGGGGCGGGAAAGCTGGGCCAGGAAGCACAGAAGGCTTCCCTCTGAGGAAAAAGCTGGGGATATTTATAAGTCAATCTAAAATGAGCACCCAAAGCTGGACGCAGTGGCTCCTGCCTGTAATCCCAGTTCCTCAAGAGGCTGAGGCAGGAGGATCACTTGAGCCCAGGAGCTCGAGGCCAGCCTGGGCAACATAGCAAGACTGTCTCAAAGAATAAAATAAAATGAGTACCCAGTAATCCTACCACACTTCCTTGGAATGAATATTTCCCCAGTCTCCAACATGATGAGTTCATTCCTTCTCCTCAGTCCCCAGATGGCCTGCATCCTCCTCCCCACAACTCCCACACCACTATGCCAGTAACCTTGCATTGGCATTCCTTGGGGAAAACCTGATGCTACCTGGCAGGAACCACCTCATCCCTGCATACCACAAAACTTACAGCCCACCTGTGTCAAGACCCCTCTCTCTTACATATGTATTTAGAATAGTTAAGTTTTAAAAAAAAAAAAAGCCCACTCTCTCTGCTCCTCCCCTGTGAGGACAGACAGTGTCCCTGCAGCCCTGCACCCATTCCTGTGTTGGACCCCTTCTCTCTCCCGTCTCAAGGACAGACTTCTGCCCATTTTCTCTCTCCTGCACGTTAATTTCTGCCTTTCTACCAAATCCACCCTGCGGTGTGTACAATATAGTGTCCTAGTATCTCTTATTTTAAAATCCTCCGTCTTGTGAACTTAACCTGGAATCGTTTTTTTAAATCCTCCCTCAATCTCATCTCCCCTCCCTCTGCTCCTCCATTCCTTTCCTCCTCATCCACAGCAAAACCTTCTTCTTCTTCTTTTTTTTTTTTTTTTTTTTGAGATAGAGTCGCACTCTGTCACCCAGGCTGGATTGCAATGGCACGACCTCCGCTCCCTGCAACCTCCACCTCCCGGGTTCAAGCGATTCTTCCCCCTCAGCCTCCCGAATACCTGGGATTATAGGCACATGCCACCATGTCTGGCTAATTTTTGTATTTTTGTAAAGATGGGGTTTCACCATGTTGACCAGGCTGGTCTTGAACTCCTGACCTCAGGTAATCCACCTGCCTTGGCCTCCCAAAGTGCTGGGATTACAAGCGTGAGCCACCGCGCCCAGCCCACAGCAAAACTTCTGTAGAAGGCCAGACTAGGTGGCTCACGCCTGCAATCCCAGCACTTTGGGAGGCCAAGGTGGGAAAATCACTTGAGCCCAGGAGTTCGAGACCAGCCTGGCCAACATAATGAGACTCCGTCTCTACAGAATATTTCGAAATTAGCCAGGCGTGGTGGCACACCACTGTAATCCCAGCTACTCGGGAGGCTGAGGTGGGAAGATTGCTTGAACCCAGGAGGTCAAGGCTGCAGGGAGCTGTGATTGTACCACCACACTCCAGCCCGCGTGACAGAGCAAGACCCTGTCTCTAATAAATAAATAAATAAATAAATAAATAAATAAATAAATAAATAAAATATCCAACTGCCTACATGACATCTCCATGGAAATGTTTAATAAGTATCTCAAATTTACTCCTGGACAGAACAGGATTAGCCTTCCCTTAGTCGTCCCCTTCTCAGTAAATAACATCACTGTCTACCTAGTTACTCCATCCAAATTCTGTTCACTTCTGTCTGCACTGCCTTCCCCATGCCCAGGCCACCACAGTCTCTCCTACAGGGTCTCCCTGCTGATCCTCTTGCCCATTTACCATCTATGTTCCACACCCAGTGAGAGTGATCTTCTGAAAACATAACTCAGATCAGGCCAGATTCAAAATTCGAATTGTTGTGGCCAGGCGTGGTGGCTCATGCCTGTAATCCCAGCACTTTGGGAGGCTGAGGCAAGAGGATCACTTGAGGCCAGGAGTTCAAGACCAGCCTGGGCAACATAGGGAGGCCCCCTCCATCTCTACTAAAAATACAAAAAAATTAGCCAGGCATGGTGGTCTGTGCCTGTAATCCCAGCTACATTGGAGGCTGAGGCAGGAGAATCACTTGATCCAGGAGGCGGAGGTTGCAGTAAGCCGAGATCATGTCACTGCACTCCAGCCTGGGCGATAGAGTGAGACTCCATCTCAAAAAAAAAAAAAAAAAAAAATAGAATTGCCCAGTGGCTTCTCATCACACTTAAAATTCAATCTCCTTGCCCTGGTTCAAAAAACTGTGCCAATCCAGACCCTGGCTAAGCCTCTACTCTCATCACATCCCATTCCACCACCATGTCCTCCCCACCCTAGCCAATCTGGCTTCTTTCAACTCCTCACCATGCCAAGTTCCTTCCTATTTTCTGGCCTTTGCACATTCTGTTCCTTCTGCCTAGCATGCTATTCCCTGCATCTTTGCTCTTATCATTCAGAGCTCAGTTTAAGTGTTTCCTCCTCAGAAACTTTCTTCTTGTCCACCCAACCTCCCAGTAACCATCACCACCTACCTATATTAATTCTCATTATTGCATGTATAACAGTCTGATAATTTTTGCTTCTCCAGTGTTTGTGATTTGTCTCCCACCATGACAATTAAACTCCACAACAGCAGAGACCTTATCATTCCCGTTCAATGCTGCGCCTCCAGTGCTTAGCACGATGCCTGGCACATCGGTCATAGTCAATAACTATCTGTTGATTGCGTGAAGAAAAGTGTCCTGGACAGGCCTATTGCAATTTTTCAAAAGGGTTTTTAGAGTTGGCAAAGTCATAATTAGAACCATGTATTGGGCAGATTACAAAAGGAGAGCACTGGGGCTGGGTGCAGTGGCTCACGCCTGTAATCCCAGCACTTTGGGAGGCCGAGGCGGGTGGATCACTTGAGGCCAGGAGTTCAAGACCAGCCTGGCCAACATGGTGAAACCCTGTCTCTACTAAAAATACAAAAATTAGCGAGGCATGGTGGTGGGTGCCTGTAGTCCCAGCTACTCAGGAGGCTGAGGCAGGAGAATAGCTTGAACCCAGGAGGTGGAGGCTGCAGTGAGCCAAGATGGCACCACTGCACTCTCCAGCCTGGGCAACAGAGCAAAACTCCGTCTAAAAACAAAAAACAAAAATCAAAGACAAAAACAAAAGGAAAGAACTGGGCATAGAGGGACCTTTTAGGAGGCTGGGATGATATGTCAAGGGAGGTAAGAAGACATACTGCTGCCAGGTGCAGTGGCTCACGCCTGTAATCCCAGAACTTTGAGAGGCCAAGGCGAGCGGGTCACAAAGTCAGGAGTTCAAGACCAGCCTGAGTGAAACCCTGTCTCTACTAAAAATACAAAAATTAGCCAGGCATGGTGGCACGTGCCTGTAATCCCAGCTACTCAGGAGGCTGAGGTAAGAGAATTGCTTGAACCCAGGAGGCAGAGGTTGCCATGAGCCCAGATCGCGCCACTGCACTCTAGCCTGGGCGACAGAGTGAGACACCGTCTAAAAGAAAAAAAAAAAGACATACTGCCAAGATTGGTAAAAATGACAAAAATCAATAATATCCAGCCCTGCAAAAGGCAGGGAAACCAGCATTCTCGTGAACTGTTTTTTTTGTTTGTTTTTTTTTTGGAGATGGAGTCTCGCTCTGATGCCCAGGCTGGAGTGCGGTGGCGCGATCTCAGCTCGCTGCAACCTCCGCCTCCCGGGTTCAAGCGATTCTCCTGCCTCAGCCTCCCGAGTAGCTGGGACTACAGGCGCACACCGCCACGCCCGGCTAATTTTTTGTATTTTAGTAGAGACGGGGTTTCACCGTTGTTGCCCAGGCTGGTCTCGAACTCCTGAGCTCAGGCAATCCAACCGCCTCAGCCTCCCAAAGTGCTAGGATTACAGGCATGAGCCACCGTGCCCAGCAGGAACTGTTAATGATAATATAAACTGTATAAAGTTTTCAGAGGAAAATGTAGTAGTATTTATTTAAAATATTTAATGTTTATATTTTCTGACCCAGCATTTCCATTTCTGGGAGTTTATTCTACAGAAAAACTCCCACAAATGCAGAAAGGATATGTATACAGAAACACTGTTGCAGCATAGTTTATAATGGTGGAAACTTGGAAACAACCCAAATATCCACAAACATGGGGCTGGTTACATAAACCACCATATAGCCACACTATAGACTGCATATCACTATTTGAAAGAATGATGCGAGCCTCTATGTATTTTCATGAGAAGATGTCTAATATATTTTGATGGGGGGGGGAACACAAGGATGAACAGTATACACAGTTCTATTTTTGTTTTAAAACAGAGATAATATGTTAGAATATGTATAAAAGTTTCAGAAGAGAAGGCACTAAATTGTTGATGATAGCTATTTCTGGGGGAGTCAGTATGGGGATGGCTCTGCTTTCTACATTTTGTATTTCTGCAATCTTTTGGGTTTGTGTATCTGTGCATTACTTCTGTGATCAGAAAACACAAAGAGCAAACAAGAGGTAATGAACCACGTGAGGCCAAACTAGGATGGTGGAGGGAAGGGGCAGATGCGAGAGTTATTGATGATGACACAGACAAAATGTATACCATGAAATTAATACACAAAATGTGTGTCATGAAATTTAGGCTGGGTGACTGGGAAGGTGATGGCCCTATAACCAGCATGTTAGCACAGAATAGCCACTTTTCAGTTAAATGCCCAGATTATAATTTGGCATCTCTCACAAGTGACAGCCACCATTCTGGTTTTACCCTTTTCTGGCCACTCAGCCCAGTGTGACAAAAGCCCTTTCCTTCATTCCCCACAGGACAGCAGAGAATGGGCTGCCAATACCACCCTTAAACTTAAGCAAAAGGACCCTTCCCTGAACCCACACACATGCACACACACACACATACATACACACAAACATTGTTAATGAACGCAGGTGACTTGGAAATTCCACTCCTAGGTATATCCCCAGAAGAACTGAAAATATGGCCAGGCGCGGTGGCTCATGCCTGTAATCCCAGCACTTTGGGAGGCCGAGGCAGCCAGATCACTTGAGGTCAGAAGTTCAAGACCAGCCTGGCCAGCATGGTGAAACCCTGTCTCTAGTTAAACACAAAATTAAAAAACAAAAAATTAGCCAGGCATAGTTGTGCATGCCTATAATCCCAGCTACTCAGGAGGCTGAGAGAGGAGAATCACTTGAATCCAGGTAGTGGAGGTTGCAGAGAGCCAAGATCACACCACTGCTCCCCAGCCTGGGCAGCACAGTGAGACTCTGTCTCAAAAAAAAAAAAATTGAAAATTCATGCCCACACAAAAACGTGTACATGAATGTTCATGGCAGCATTATTCATAATAGCCAGAACCCTAATGGCCATCAACTGATGAATGGATAAACAAAATGTGGTGTATCCATACACTGGAATCTCATTCAGCCATGAAGTACTGACATCTGCTACAATATGGGGGAGCCTTGAAAATATTGTGCTAAGTGAAAGACATAAGTCACAAAGGACACATATTCTACAATTCCATTTATATTAAACATCCAGAATAGGCAAATCTATAGAGGCAGAATGTAGATTAGTGGCTGCCAGGGGGTTGGGGAGGGGAGAATGGGAAGTGACTGCTAATGAGTACGGGGTTTCTCTTGTACTGATGAAAACATTCTGGAATTGGTGGTGATGGTTGCACAACTCCGAATTGTACTAGAAACCACTAAAGTATTCTCTTTAAATGGATGAATTTTATGGTATGTGAAAATGTTACAATAAATCAAACACACATGGCTGGGAGCAGTGGCTCATGCCTGTAACCCCAGCACTTTAGGAGGTCAAGGTGAGAGGATCATTTGAGCTGGGGAGGTTGAGGCTGCAGAGAGCTGTGACCATGCCACTGCACTCCAGCCTCGGTGACAGAGTGAGTGAGACCTTGTCTCAAACACACACACACACACACACACGTGCAGGTACCTCATTCTCTCAGGAGCTGAACTCAGTGCTGGCACAGGGCACCACATAATCCTAACATCTTCTTTTGTGACTAACATTTCTGCACATCTCTCACCTTATGTCTTCAAAACAAAGGCAACGAAATCCGAACGCTGTAAAGGTGTGTGGGTTGCCGCACAACCAATGTTGCTGATGAACTCTGCTTTAGAATACAGGGAAGATTTCAGTGGAGAATTGTTTCAGTAAAAGAAAAGACAAATGAATTAATTTGTCAAACCCTTTTATATAAGCACAACATATCTTTCACCAGAAGGGCTGAATGTTCGTTTTCTTCCTTCCCTTCCTGTTTCAAACACGACTATGGAAGTATTCGTCGACTACCAGAGCATTCTTAACTGTTGTGCACAGTAGTTGAGGAATATTTTCAATATCGAATAATTTGTATTATGGAGCCAGGCATGCTGGCACATGCCTGTAATCCCACCTACTTGGGAGCTCAGGTGGGAGGATCATTTGAGGCCAGAAATTTGAGACCAGCCTGGGCATAGTGATTAGTGAGACCCTCTATGAAATTTTAAAATAATAATAAAGAGTATGGTGCTTAGCAAAATACCTAAAAATAAATAAATAATTCTTATTACTCTTAAATTAGTAAATATGTAGGCCTAGATGTAAATGCATAAAGCTCAATTATTACATTGGCTGTGAGGTAAATACTAGATATTGAATACTAGAATTGGAAATAGTTTTATTTTTGTAAAAACGTGTAATAAAATTTAAATTTTTGTAAAATCAAATTTAGAATAATTGTCTTTATTCAAAAAATTTGCTTTCAATTTTTTATATTCATTTATTTAAACCAATATTTTGCCTTTTATTTTAATAGATAAGTTGATGCCTTTGGCTATTCAGATTGTTATAACAAATTATCTTGGATTAGGTAATTTATAAACAACAGAAATTTCTTGCTCACAGCTCTGGAGGCTGAGAAGTCCAAGATTGAGACACCAGCAGATTCAGTGTCTGATGAGGGCCTATTCCTCATAGCTGGTGCCTTCTATGCATCCTCACGTGGCGGAAGAGGGGAACAAGCTCCCTCAGGTCTCTTTTTTCCTCTCTCTTTTTAATCTTTTTTTTTAATTTTTAATTTTTCTGGGTACATAGTAGGTGTACATATTTGTGGGTTACATGAGATATAAGAGCTGAGTGATACAGGCGTGCCATACACAATAATCACATCAGGGTAAATGGGGTATCCATCACTTCAAGCATTTATCCTTTGTGTTACAAACAATCCAATTATATTGTTCTAGGCTTTTTTGTTGTTCTTTTTTTTTTTTTTTTTTTTTGAGACAGGGTCACCCAGGCTGGAGTGCAGTGGAGCAATCTTGGCTCACTGCAGCCTCAACCTCCTGGGCTCAAGTGATCCTTCCACCTCTCAGCTCCCCCTGAGTAGCTAGGATTACAGACACACACCGGCACACCTTGCTAATTTTTGTGTGTTTTTCGTAGAAACAGAGTTTTGCCATGTTGCCTAGGTTTTGTTATTTTTAAATGTACAATTTTGTTTTACTATATTCGCCCTGTCGTGCTAGCAAATACTAGATCTTATTCATTCTTTTTTTTTTTTTTTTTTTGAGACGGAGTCTCGCTCTGTCACCCAGGCTGGAGCGCAGTGGCGCGATCTCGGTTCACTGCAACCTCCACCTCCCAGGTTCAAGCGATTCTCATGCCTCAGCCTCCCAAGTAGCTGGGACTACAGGCATGCGCCATCACGCCCGGCTGATTTTTGTATTTTTGGTAGAGACGGGGTTTTGCCTTGTTGGCCAGGCTTGTCTTGAGCTCCTGACTTCAGGTGATCCACCCGCCTCAGCCTCCCAAAGTGCTTAATTTTGGCCTCCCAAAATTAAGCCTCCCAAAGCTACCTCGCCCAGCCTTAATTTCTTAGTGTTTTACATTTATTGCAATGTATATTTTAATGAAAAATATTCAGATTCTATACTTTTTAGAAAAAATGACTTTTATACTTTTATCTAGATCATTACTATCAACAGCACACAAATTAGGTGAAGATCTTCATCAAATTAATATAATTTGTGATTTTCTAAAATAAAGGCAAGAAAAATAAACGTTATGGAAAAATAGAATAATTTATAAGTGACATTTACCTTCATTACTTATGCAATCATCTCTGGCACATTAATAGAACATCTAGACATATACAACAATAATTAAATTCAATCAATTTTGATATGTTGGCAACTTTGAGTTACATATTTTTCAGCTTTGTCATTATAAAGGTATATTTGTCAAAGTAGGAGGTTAGAATATATATACATATATATGAACATATGAATATATATGTGAATATATATATATATATATATATATATATTTTTTTTTTTTTTTTTTTTTTTGAGACAGAGTCTCACTTTGTTGCCCAGACTGGACTGCAGTGTTGCAATCTTGGTTCACTGCAAACCTCTACCTCCCCGGTTCAAGTGATTCTCCTGCCTCAGCCTCCCGAGTAGCTGGGATTACAGGCATGAGCCACCACGCCCAGCTAATTTTTGTACTTTCAGTAAAGATGGGGTTTTACTATGTTGGCCGGGCTGGTCTCGAACTCCTGATCTCAGGTGATCCACCTGCCTCGGCCTCCCAAAGTGCTGGGATTACAGGCGTGAGCCACTGCGCCCAGCCACATTTTATTTATTTAACAGTTTGTTAGTTTTATTTATAACTTTTTTTTTTTGAGACAGGGTCTCACTATGTTCTTCAGGCTGAACTCAAACACCTAGGCTCAAGCAACCCTCCCACCTCAGCCTTCCTAGTAGGTAAGAGTACAGGCGTGAGCCTGGCTTATTTATAATTTTTGAATGTTTAGACATCTAGTATGTAGGCCTCTTGTTCCAGCCCCACAAATGTGAGGGGCAGTTCCATAGGCCACACCTCAGACTCTTACTAAGGATCACGGAAGGAAAGCACAAGGCCGAGGAGAAACAGCTCCAGCTACTAGAGATGGCGCTACTCTCAGGGCCCCAGGCCCACCACCACGATGAGCTCCCAGCCAGCCCACAGAGGAAATAAAGAGGTTCCCCAGTAGCCAGGGACAGCCCACCTTTCCCATTGAAGAGCATTCTTTTCCCAGGATTATGGATCCTTCCGGAGAAACCCCAGCCCTACCAAGAGAGGGTGCTCTTGCTCTATGGCCCCAAGTACAGCAGCCCACAATATTCATTCATCTTTCATTCAATCGGCAGGGATTGGCCAGGTGCTGTGTGAGCTAGACACTGGAGAAGCATGGTGCTTGCCCTCATGCTGCCTACAGTCCAGTGGGAGACAGACAACATGACCACAAACAGGCCACCTGCGGCCCATCCCATTCAGGCGCTACTGCACTGGGTCCAGACAGCTCTGGCTTTAGTCTGTCCTCCAAGACAAAGTATGAGCGCATCACATCCATGGGTCCTACCAGCAGTTCTTGTCACCTCAGCTCTGGACACCCCACAAACCACTGGCCTACAAGAACACTCAATCCCACAAGACAAACAGCAGTCTGCAGCTCAGCGTCCTCTAAATTCCTACAGATTCAAGAAATAGTTTTCCTTCCCCCAACTCCCCAAAAGTGAGGATGGGCCGGGCATGGTGGCTCACGCTTATAATCTCAGCACTTTGGGAGGCCAAAGTGGACAGATCACTTGAGGACAGGAGTTTGAGACCAGCCTGGCCAACATGGGGAAACCCCATCTCTAAAAAACACAAAAAAATTAGCCAGGCTTGGTGGCACATGGTAATCCCAGCTACTCAGGAGGCTGAGGCAGGAGAATCGCTCGAACCCAGGAGGTGGAGATTGCAGTGAGCCAAGATCGTGCCACTGCACTCCAGCCTGGGCAAACTCTGTCCCAAAAAAAAAAAAAAAAAAAAGTAAGAATGGCTCAGAGGCAGAGCTCCGGCTCAGTTACGCACAAGAGATGATGTTGCCAAACAGAATGATGGATCAAAGCTAGTGCACTCAGGTATCCTGGGACTGCATTCTGCCCAAGCACTGGGTAAGTGCTTACTTCATATGTGCGTAATGAAAGGGCTCCTTTGGGCAATTTTTCTGAAACGAAGAGACTCCCTGATCCTAAAGGGAATTGATCTCACCACCTCTAAATATAAAAATTCCTTGCAACTTTTCCATAGCAGTTTTTCCCTTTTCAGTTTACCAAGTCTTCAAAAATCTGAAGGTTGGGTCTCGGCCAGGTACCCTGTTCCAGTGTGAGTGATGGAAGGGAGCCCGTTACGGAAGAAGCACGCTTCAAGAGCCAACATGAAGCCACTCCGAATACAGCGCATAGGACGCCCATGTAAAGACAGGAAAACTCCAGAGTCATCCATATTAAGGTGATCTCACCAAGGAAGGAGGCAAAAGAGAGAACAGAAGGCAGGGCCTGAGGAACACCTGTATTTCTAGGACAAGAAGAGAGGATGTTGGGAAAAGCTGAGTGTTAGGAGAAGCTGAGGCAGGGTTTGCATGTCTGACACAATGTAAAAGAGTCTTGGAACATGTCCGGGGTCCAGGGTCTAAAACCCCTTGTGGCCTTTGGAACACCAAGCTCTGTGCTAAAGGGTGGAAGGCTACCCTGACGCACCATAATCTAAGCCCAGGGCATAAAATCCCTCGTGACTTGGATAGAATCCAGGGCTCATGGCTCTGGAATGTGTCTAGACTTGCTGGCTCCTTGCTCTCCCAGGATCAATTGTATCTTGAGTTAAAAGAACCTACTCTCACTATCTCAAGTAGCAGAAAATGTTCCTTATAAATGCTAAACCATCACAGCTATAGATCATGTGCCTGCCCTTTTGACCTCCACATTCTCACCACCTGTTTCTTTGTTGGATTACTAATAAATACCACAGGGTCCCAGAGCTCAGGGCCTTTGCAGCCTCCACAATCGCGATGGCCCCCTGATCCCACCTTTCTCTCTCAAACTCTTTTTCTCAATCCTTTGAATTTGCCGGATTTTGTCACCCCTACGACCTGGTGTTGGGTCTGATCACCCCAACAAGAGGAGGAGTCAGAAATAGAAAAGGCAGGAGCAGAAAGGCAGGAGAACCAAAAAAGTGAATTCAAGAGAGAGGGAGTGGAGTGGGTGAGTTGGTCGGCTGATGCAGACTGGTCATGAGGGAGAACTAAAGACGCTGTCAGTGGTGGGTGACCTTCAAGAAGCAGTTTCAGTAGAGACAGGAGCAGAGGTCAAATTGCAAAGTGTTCAGGAGTAAAGGGGACAAAATAACTGAGATGATACTGGAGGGGTCAGCAGAAGGAAAGCTGTTTCAGGACAGGCGAGGATGGAGAAATTGGAAAACATGAGAGAGAGGGGCTAGTTAATGTGGCAGGGCCATAGATGGGGGTGGGCACTAGTGAGCAGCTAAGCACGGAAAGACTCACCACCGAGGCAGGAGGAAGGGATGGGAGGAGGAGAATGGGGTTGAGGAGATAAGGCGGGGACACAGGCTAGGGCTCAGCCGCTCTGGCTTTCATCACCTGCTCAGCTTCCTGATGCCTGGAAAAGAGACAACATCAATGTGGCCACACCACCACTGTGTGTCTGGGACCTGAGCTAATGGATCCATGTGCCCCAGAGCCCAGGCTCTTTCATGGTCCTAATTATGGCCTCCTGACCAGTGGTGGATTCACTCTCTTATTCACTTTTTCAACATTTACTGCCCACCGGCCACATGAGAAATGCTAGGAGTTGCATCAGTAAGAGGGACCAGAGAGCTCAGAGGGTTGCAGGGAGGACAGTTACATAGACTTTCCCAGGAGATGGTGAGGCTAGACAGAGCATGCTGTAGAATTCCAGAGCAAGGACACCTCACCTTGGGGAAGGAGTAGCAAAGCCAGAGAATGAAGTGACACGGAACCAAAGCAAGAGGAAGAGTTGGCCAGGAGAGCAGAAGGGGCAAGAGCGTTCCAGGAGAGAAACAGTACACACAAAGGTAAGCAAAGGTGAGCAGGAGCCTGGCAAGCCCTAGGAACTGGGAGCAAAATGTTCAGAATGCTACTCGGAGGCTGAGGTGGGAGGACTCCTGAGCCCAGGAGTTTGAGACCAGCCTGGGCAACATAGCAAGACCCAGACCCCCTCTCAAAAAAAAGTTCAGAATGGAGAGCACAGCACCAAAATGGTCATCCAAGGGGTGAGACCAAAGCCATAGTAAAAGGGCCTGCCCAGGCTATTCAGCAAAAAGTACCAAATAACATGAAATAAGGACCTAATTATGGGCAGACAGCCATAGGTCACTATATCCTAAGACCAAAACTGTGTACATTGTGTACTGAATAAAATCCATAACCCTTGCCAGGAGTTGGGGCAGGGGTGACTGCAGTGGCTAAATCAGTGACCAGAAGAAACATGGACTCCTGGAAGCAAAGGCGGGTCCCAGGAAGTCACAGCGCCAAGATATGGAGCTGACCATCCATCCGGCCAGCACTAGGCAAGGTCAAACCCCTCCCTGAGATGTAAGTGGAGGAAACCCAGGCTCAGATGAGTCAAACTACCCCGAGAAAGAGGGTGGAAGAATGAGGGCATACATGAGGTGGCACTGCTGTGTGCCCCAAGCTCCTTCCATCTCCCATCACACCTGGGTAAGTCCCAATGGCAGCAACTACATAGGGAAGGGTCACGATGGCCTGCTTGGCTTGCAGGAGTCAGCTCATCTAATTCCATAGACTCTGCAAGTCACTGTCACATCACTTCACCCTCCCTCCTCCTGAAAGTATTATCATCCCTGTTATCACACGGTTGTATTTTCTTGTCTGTTACCCCTACTGATCTGTGAGCTCCCCAAAGGCAAGGGCTGGGTTTTGTTCAACCTTATATGTCCTGATTCATGTATAATGGGTGATAGATACTCCTTGGTTAAATGAATGAATGAATGGGCTCCAAGCTCCATACTAGGTTTGGCTTAATGGAAGTTGACCATAATTGACAATACCAATTTTTGAGCTGGTCAAGTTCAATCCCACCAGATGTCATGAAAATGGAGCCCATGAAGAATGATTGACAGAAGGAAACCAGGTATGACCAAGGCTTAAGTTGCACCTCACTCATGCTTACATGGCCTATACATCCTGAGTGTGGACCTTCCAGATTCACCTCTGTTGTCAAACAAAAAACTACCTGTGGCCATGGTGGGAAGGGGTTCGAGTCCTGAGGTGTGCTGAGGAGCCACTCACTCGGGGCCCCAGGGCCACCAAAGGACACACCGAGCCTGTGCAGGGCTGATTTTGGTTGGCCACACTCCCAGTTCAAGGTAGGCTCAGACCATTCATTGTTGATCCCATTCATAGGGCCCACACCCAGAGCAGGTGGGGGAAGCTTCTGGGAGGGCCCCTGGAACCCTGGAGGACCAGCCTGTGGGCATATTGCAAGTCTGGGCCAGCCAGACATGCTGAGAGGAGACAAAAGAGCAGGGGTGGAGGTGGGAGAGCCCCGGGCACGCCAGCCTGAGCTCCACATTACACAGACATGGCGTCAGCATTTTGCCCTTCACACCTTCATGTCTATTTCCATGTTTCCCCTTTATTTCTTAATAAGAATTCCTTTTCCAAAACTGCCAGCTTTATCTCACATATACCAAAGAGTAAGGGGGAGAAGACACTAAAAATGGAATAGAAGTTCAATCCCAGGCCCAACTCCACTGTCTTGGGCTGTGTGATTTGAGGTCAGGGGAAAAGGAAAAAGTCAGTCCCTGGCCTCTTGCTCCAGGCAAGTGCTGTGCTGCCTAAACAAACCTCCATGTGAGCAGCATTATCCCCTTTGTACAGGCAGGAATCAAGGCTCAGAAAGGTAACCTAACTTGCTCAAGATCCCACAGGTGGATAGTGACAGGTGGGATTCAAATCTGACTCCAAAGTGTGCTGGGCAAAGTCATTTCATCTTTCTGTGTCCCCATTTCTTCAGTTTTAAAATGGAAATGACAATAGGGCTATTGCAAGGATTAGATGAAATAATATATGGGAAAACACATGGTAAATCATGAAGCATGCCATCATGTTATCTTCCCTTGACCCACTGCTTCCCCACTGACCCTGCCCAGGCAAGGTTCTGAGCCCCTCTCTCTCTAGTGCTTTCTTCAAGAGGTGCTGAGAGTAACTTTGCCAAATGGATCCAAGTCCTTGGCCCCCTGCCCTTCCTGGCACACTCAGCCAATACTCAACAGAATTTATAGTGCGGTTCCTGGAACATCCCAGATCTGCTAGAACAATGCCCAATCCAATCCAGCTGTCCTGAGGACAGCCAGCCACTGCAGCAGAAGAGCTGAGGAGCCAAAGCTACCACTGGCTCAGTTCTAATATGCCTGGAAATTCACCAAAGGTGTCACGGCAGAAGGACATTGCTGGGCATGTCCCATTTAGCAGACACAGTCAATGCCCAGATGGAAAACAGCCACAGTGAAGGGCAGGGCCTCCCCCACCTCAGGAATCTCAGCCTCAGCACCCTAGGAACAGCAAGTCCAAGTCTGTTCCCATCTCTCCCACCCCATCATCCTCTAGCACACAGCATTATTCCCTTCTGGGAAGTGACTCTGTGGCTTCCTCATCCTGGTACAGCTTGATTCACCTAAGCAGGACATGCCAGGTGGAATAGGCAGGTGGCCTGGCCTCTTCAGAGTAGGCTGGACAAACCCAGGAAGCAGGGAACTGGGCTGAACTCCCATGGGCTCAGGCTGAGCCGTCTCTGCCCTCCTCCGATAAAGGGCACAGGTTCATGCTCTCTGAGACATTTAGGGTGAGGGAAGGGCACGGAGTGGGGAGTCAGAAGCCTTGGGGCCAACTTTTGGCATTGCCAGTCATTGCCGCTTGACCTTGAGCAAACCACTTCCCCTCTCTGAGCCTCAGTTTCCTCGTCTGTAAGCAAGAGGTTTCGAGCTAGATCACTGAGGTCCATTACAATACTCACTTTGTGTGACATCACATATCTAGGTGGTGATCTCTCAGAAAGTCTCACACAGTCCCTAACATAGGCCTTCAACAAGCCCAGAAACTGGCAAGTGTTAAAGACAAAATAACATAGCAGGAAGCAGGCATCAGTTTCACCTCTCGTCTCCTGGGGGAGCTGTCACTGCCATGAGCTTGGGCTCCCAAAGAACTTGCCTTTGGCTGGATGTTCCTGGGACTCACCTGGAAGAAAATAATTAAAATCCTAAACTGTAAAGGGGGACCCATCACTTCACTTGGCTGTCAGACAACATGACACTGTCCAGATCCTGAATTAGGCCATGAGAGTGAGAGCTGATCCCCGTCTAATGAAAGTTGTTAAACTCCCTGTCACCTGTTTATCAGGTAGCAAGTGAACAAGACAAATGCCAGCATTCATCACAGCTCAGCTGCCAGCAGGAATGTCCTGGGCATGAGAGCTGGTGGCAAGCACAGGGTGCTTGGGTCCTTCCCTCAACATCAGAGAAAAGAAAACTGGGCAAAGAAGACATCTCTCTAGTCCCTTGCAGTGTCGGGCTCCAGGCAGGGAGCTACAGTGAGAAACTGAACCCAGGAATAGACAGGAAAGCTTTGCCACCTTGGACAAGTCCCTTTGTCTCTGGGCCTTATTTTACTACCTGTAAAATGAAGATAAAAATAGTATCAGATTGATGCAAGGGATAAAATATAGTCATAGACATGTGCTGTACAAGGAGCACGCAAATGAACTGGGTGATGATGGAAAAACAAAAGAGGTGTAGAATGTGTACAATGGTGCATTGGAACCAGCTTCAGCCACCTTCTACTGGCTTGCAAGAGCCAACATTTTGCATGTTCAGGGATTTTGCTAGCCAGCTGACATCCCACTGGTAGATTGAAATCAGCCACAGTGGGAATATTTACACTACAGAAATGGTCAAACACTACAAATCAGGGCTGTTTTTCCCCTTCCAGGGAGCTGATTGTTAAACATTTGCCAGCATGTGACTGTCTATAATGAGTAAGAGTAATGCAACGGGAGGCAATTTGTTCTTGCTTCAAACACATTCGCCATAACTTAATACATCCAAATGACTGCTAACTGCTTCATGACAATAAGCTTAGGAGGTCATATTGTTTTCTAACACATAAACTTTCTTCATTGTCACAAACATGTATTGAGACCTACTGATATGGTTTGGATGTTTATCCCCTCCAAATCTCATGTTGAAATGTGATCCCCAATGTTGGAGGTACAGCCTGATGGGAGGTGTTTGGGTCATGGGGCCAGAACCCTCATGAATGGCTTGGTGCCATCCCAGTGGTAATGAGTGAGTTCTCTCTCTGTTACTTCACAGGACAGCTGGTTGTTTCAAGGAGCCTGGCACCTCCTGCTGTCTCTCTTGTTCCCTCTCTCACCATGTGACACGCCTGCTCCCCCTTTGCCTTCAGCCATGAGCGGAGGCTTCCTGAGCCCTCACCAGAAGCAGAACAGATGCTGGTGCCATGCTTGTATAGCCTGTAGAACTCTTTACTTCATAAATTACTCAGTCTCAGGTACTCCTTTATAGCAATGCAAAACCGACTAATATACCTCTACTATGTGCAATGTACCAAAGACTCGAAAGGAAAAAAACCTTTCCTTACTTGCTCACAGCATGGTGGAGGAGTGAGAAAGTGTACACTGTGGAGCATTCTGGAAATGGAAGTGGAGTGCCCCTTGCTCTGCTCAAGTTGTAGGGGTCCAAGCCCAAGCAACTAGGAAGGGTACTTTAGGCAGCATGAATGGCACATGCGAAGATACAGAGGCTTGATTACTAAGGCAACTTTTAAAAATTCCTCTCTGAGAATTAACTTTGGTAAGTTTTAGAATTATTACATTACAGGACTATTTTTCCTGGCCATAAGATGTCTCTTTCACCAGAGTTTAGTACCAAATTCCCTTTGGTCGTTTCCAAAACCCAAATGCACTTTTGGGGATGAGAATTTGGCAGAGTTGAGGGCAGGTCCTCAAAGCAAAGAGGAGCTCCCAAAGCCATTTGATAAAGGCAACAGCCCTGAAGTGTCTCAGCCCAAATGCCCAAGGTGACTACTTTAGGTTACAGCAGACAGTTGGATGCACAAGACCATTTCAGTTCCCATCTCATTATTCAATAATGCTTTACCAGGAACAATAAGATGCCAACTTTTTCCTGTTAAGACACGTCCATATCTCTGCCTTGGAGAATGCCAGGATTTGAATTTCGAAAATGAAGACAAAAAGAAGAAAGAAAATATCCAAAAGCATCCAGGCAAAAAAAGAAGGTTACCTTCAAAGGAACAAAAGTCAAGGTGACCTCATACTCTCCAGACAGTGGAACCAGGTCATGAAACTTATGCCAACCAAGTCATTGTCCAAATATAGAGGCAAGAGAATGTCATTCTCTCATACATATAGGTTCAGAAAATAGATCATGGCCGGGCGCAGTGGCTCATGCCTCTAATCCCAGCACTTTAGGAGGCCGAGGCAGGCTGATCACTTGAGGTCAGAAGTTCGAGACCAGCCTGGCCAACATGGTGAAACCACATCTCTACTAAAATACAAAAATTAGCTGGGTGTGGTGGCACATGCCTGTAATCCCAGCTACTCAGGAGGCTGAGGCAGGAGAATCACTTTAACCCAGGAGGCAGAGGTTGCAGTGAGCCAAGATCATGCTGCTGCACTGCAGCCTGGGCGACAGAGCAAGACTCTGTCTCAAAAAAAAAAAAAAAAATCATCTACATACCATTTTCAAAAAATTTTTCAAGACACATTAACTATCTGGAGAGGAATCAAAATACAAAATTCAAAAATGGGGAAGTTGAGGTACTATAAAAGGATTGAAAATGAGCAATAAACCGGTGAAGTCTAAATTATAAATCATTGTTGTAAATTTGGTTTAAAGTTGGATGTTAGTCATTTGTGTGAAATTCTAGAACAGGCAAAACTAATCTATGGTGAAAGAATTCAAAACAATTGTTTCTGGGAAAGCAGGGATTGAGTAGGATGAGTTAAAAGGAAACCTTCTGAAATAATGAAAATGTGTTCTATCATGATAAGGGTTTGTGTTATACAGGTGTGCACATTTGTCAAAACTCATTGTACTGTATTCTTAAGGTCAGTACATTTCACTGTGTGTGATTATACCTGAATTTAAAAAATAAATATGTTAACAATATTGAGCCAGGTGCGGTGGCTCATGCCTGTAATCTCAGCACTTTGGGAGGCTGAGGTGGGCGGATCACTTGAGGTCAGGAGTTTGAGACCAGCCTGGCCAACATGGTGAAACCCCATCTCTACTAAAAATACAAAAAGTAGCCGGGTGTGGTGGCATGTGCCTGTAATCCCAGCTACATGGGAGGCTGAGGCACAAGAATCAGTTGAACCTGGGAGGCAGAGGTTGCAGTGAGCCGAGATCACACCACTGCACTCCAGCCCAAGCAACAGAGTGAGACTCCAACTCAAAAAAATAAACAATATTGAGTCTTCCAATATATGAATGTAGTATAATCTCTTTGCTTATTTAGTCTTTTAATTTCTCTTAGCAATGTTTTGTCATTTTCAATGTACAGATGTTATGTCTTCTATCAGATTTATCCCTATTTCATATTTTGATGGTATTGTAATTGGCATTATTTATCTCAATTTGATTGCTCATTGCTAAGAAATAGAAATATTGACTTTTGTATATTGACCTTGCAACTTTATTGAACTCACTTATAAGTTCTAATAGCTTTTTTGGAGAATCCATCCAATTTTCTACATAGATGATCATGTCATCTATGAATAAAAGGAGTTTTATTACTTCCTTCCCAATTTAGATGGCTTTTTTTTTCTCTCTCTTATTGCACTGGCTAGAACCTCCAGTAGAATGTCGAATAGGTGATGAGAACAAACATCATTGCCTTATTCCCAGTCTTAGGGGGAAAACATTTAGTATTTCACCACTAAGTGTGTTGTTAGCAGTAGGGCTTTTACAGATATTCTTTATGAGGCTGAGTATATTCCATCTACATTAAGCCATTTTTGCATTGCTATAAATACTTGAGACTGGGTAATTTATAAAGAAAAGAGGTTTAATTGGCTCACTGTTCTGCAGGCTTTACAGGAAGCATGGTGCTGGCATCTGCTCAGTTTCTGGGGAGGCTTCAGGAAGCTTACAATCATGGCAGAAGGCAAAGGAGGAACAGGCATGTCATATGGCAAGAGTAGGAGCAAGAGAGAGGGAGATTATGGGGAAGGTGCCATACACTTTTTTTTTTTTTTTTAATGAATCCAGACAAGGTCTCACTATGTTGCCCAGGCTAGGCTGGTCTTGAACTCCTGGGCTCAAGTGATCTTCCTACCCTGGCCTCTGCCACACACTTTTAAACAAACAGATCTCGTGTGAACTCAGAACAAAAGCTCACTTATGACTCAGTTGATGGCCTAAGCCATTCAAAAGGGATCTGCCCCCATGATCCAAACACCTCCCACTAGGCCCCAGCTCCAACACTGGGATTACATTTCAACATGCGATTTGGGTGAGGACAAATATCCAAACTATATCACCATCCTATTTCAAGCTTGCTGACAGATTTCATCAAATGTGAATACAGGATTTGTACCAAATTAGTCATTAGGAAAATGCAAATAAAATACCAATGAGGGCCAGGCGCAGTGGCTCACGCCTGCAATCCCAGCACTTTGGGAGGCTGAGGCAGGCAGATCACTTGAGGTCAGGAGCTCGAGACCAGCCTGGCCAACATGGTAAGACCCCGTCTCTACTAAAAATACAAAAATTAGCCCAGCATGGTGGCATGTATCTGTAGTCCCAGCTACTCGGGAGGCTGAGGCAGGAGAATCACTTGAACCTAGGAGGTGAAGGTTGCAGTGAGCCGAGATCATGGCACTGCACTCCAGCCTGGGCGACAGAGTAACAGAGTAAGACTCTGTCTCAAAAAAAAAAAAAAAAAAAAAAAAAAAGTCAATGACATACCACTACATACTTACTATAATGGCTAAAAGGTAAAAGACTCATCATATAAAGTATTGGTAAGAATGCACACCAACTGTAACTCTCATTCACAATTGGTGGGACTGTGGTACAACCACTTTGGAAAACAATTTGGCAGGGATTTCTTTAAAAGTTAAAAAGGTAAGCCAGGAGCAGTGGCACACGCCTGTAATCCCAGCACTTTGGGAGGCTGAGGCGGGTGGATCGCCTGAGGTCAGGAGTACGAGACTAGCCTGGCCAACATGATTAAACCCCATCTCTACTAAAAATACAAAAATTAGCCAGGCATGGTGGCACATGCCTGTAATCCCAGCTACTTGGGAGGCTGAGGCAGGAGAATCGCTTGAACCTGGGAGGCGGATGTTGCAGTGAGCTGAGATCGTGCCATTGCACTTCTGCCTGGGCAACAAGCGTGAAACACAGACTCAAAGAAAAAAAAAAGAAGAAGTTAAAAAGGTAGGCCGGGTGCAGTGGCTCATGCCTGTAATCGCAACACTTTGGGAGGCCAAGGCAGATGGATCACCTGAGGTCAGGAGTTTGAGACCAGCTTGACCAACATGGTGAAACCCTGTCTCTACTAAAAATACAAAATTAGCCAGGCATGGTAGCAGGTGCCTGTAATCCCAGCTACTTAGGAGGCTGAGGCAGGAGAATCACTTGAACCCAGGAGGCAGATGTTGCAGTGAGCTGAGGTTGCACCATTGACTCCAGCCTGGGCAACAAGAGCAAAACTCCGTCTCAAAAAAAAAAGTTAAGACCAGGCATGGTGGCTCACGCCTGTAATCCCAGCACTTTGGGAGGCCGAGGTGGGCAGATCACCTGAGGCCAGGAGTTCGAGATCAGCCTGACAACATGGCAAAACCCCATCTCTACTAAAAATACAAAAATTAGCCTGGCATGGTGGTGCATGCCTATAATCCCAGCTACTCGGGAGGCTGAGGCAGGAGAATCGTTTGAACCCGGGAGGTACAGACTGCAGTGAGCCAAGATCACGCCATCACACTCCTGCCTCGGCAACCAGACCAAAACTCTGTCTCAAAAAAAAAAAATGTTAAAAAGGTGGCTGGGCATAGTGGCTCATGCCTATAATCCCAGCACTTTGGGAGGATGAGGCAGGCCTCAGCCTGCCAAACTCCTGGGCTCAGGAATGCTTGAGCCCAAGAGTTTGAGACCAGCCTGAGCAACATGGAGACACCTTGTCTACAAAATACAAAAAAATTTAGCCAGGCATGGTGGTTTATGCCTGTAGTACCAGCTACTCGGGAGACTGAGATGGGAGGATCACTTGAGCCCAGGGGGGTCGAGGCTGCAGTGAGCCGTGATCATGCCACTGCACTCCATCCCAAGCAACAGAATGAGACACAGTCTCCAAAAATAAAGTTAAGCCACGCCCGGTGGCTCATGCCTGTGGTCCCAGCACTTTAGGAGGCTAAGGCAGGCAGATTGCTTGAGCCCAGGAGTTCGAGATCACCCTGGGCAACATGGCAAAACCCAGTCTCTATGAAAAAACACAAAAAGTAGCTGGGCATGGTGGCAGGCACCTGTAGTCCCAGCTACTCAGGAGGCTGAGGCAGAAGAATCGCTTGAGCCCAGGAGGTGGAGGTTGCAGTGAGCTGAGATCCTGTCACTGCATTCCAGTCTGGGCGACAGAGCAAGACTCTGTCTCAAAAACAAAAGTCGGCCGGGTGTGGTGGCTCACGCCTGTAATCCCAGCACTTTGGGAGGCTGAGGCGGGTGGATCACCTGAGGTTGGGAGTTTGAGACCAGCCTGACCAACATGGAGAAACCCTGTCTCTACTAAAAATACAAAATTAGCTGGGCTTGGTGGCACATGCCTGTAATCCAAGCTACTCAGGAGACTGAGGCAGGAGAATCGTGTGAACCCGGGAGGCAGAGGTTGCGGTGAGCCGAGATTGTGCCATTGCACTCCAGCCTGGGCAACAACAGCGAAACTCCGTCTTAAAAAAAAAAGTTGAAAAGATATTTACCTGAGAGAAATGAAAGCACATGTCCACACAAAGACTTATACATGTTGTACATCAATGTATATAGTTGCTTTATTTGTCATATCCAAACACTAGGAACAACCTAAATGTTCATCAACAGGTGAACTGGTAAACAACTGTGGTATATTCATACCACATACCAATAAAAAAAAAGGAATGAACTACTGATACCACCAATAATGTGGATGAACCTCAAAATAATTATGCTCAATGAAAAGAAACAAGACAATAAAGAATATATACTGTTCTTTGTATAAAACTTTATTAATCTTTTTTTTTTTTTGAGATGGAGTCTGGCTCTGTCACCCAGGCTGGAGTGCAGTGGCACGATCTCAGCCCACTGCAACCTCCGCCTCCCTGGTTCAAGAGATTCTCCTGCCTCAGCCTCCCACGTAGCTGGGACTACAGGCATTCGCCACCACACCTGGCTAATTTTTAGTAGAGATGGAGTTTCACCATGTTAGCCAGGCTAGTCTTGAACTCCCGACCTCAGGTGATCTGCCCTCCCTTGAGCTCTCAAAGTGCTGGGATTACAGGCGTAAGCCACTGCATCTCGCCAAATTTTATTATTCTTTATACAAAATCCTTGAAAATATAAACATCCATAGAGACAGAAAGCAGACCAGTGGTTGCTTGGGGGTGAGGGTGGGGAATCAGGGAGAGGCGAGAGGAGGAATTACAAGGGGACATGAGGAAATGTTTGAGAGTGATGAATATGTCCATAGTGATTGTACTGTGGTTTCACAGATGTATACATATGTCAAAACTCAGTAAACTGTACTTTTTTTTTTTGAGATGGAGTCTTATTCTGTTGCCCAGGCTAGAGTGCAGTGGCGCCATCTTGGCTCACTGCAACCTCTACCTCCTGACTCAAGTGATTCTCCTGCCTCAGCCACCCAAGTAGCTGGGATTACAGGCATGTACCACCATGCCCAGCTAATTTTTGTATTCTAGTAGAGACGGGGTTTCACCGTGTTAGCCAGGCTGGTCTCGAACTCCTGACCTCAAGTGATCCACCCGCCTCAGCCTCCCAAAGTGCTGGGATTACAAGTGTGAGCCACCGTACCCCACCTAAATTGTACATTTTAAATATATGTAGTTATTATATTTTAATTATAGCTCAATAAAGTTGTTTAGAAATATAATAATAAATTTTTAAAGAGGCTGTTAGTGTTACAAATCATGACTAAAATAACATATACATACATTCATGGGTGGGTAATAAATAAAAAAAGAAGAAGTAGTAAAATAACAGACACATAATATTAAAAATAACTTGGCCAGGCATGGTGGCCCATGCCTGTAATCCCAGCACTTTGGGAGGCCAAAGTGGAAGCTTCGTTTGAAGCTAGAAGTTCAAGACCAGCCCTGGCAACATAGTGAGACCCCCATCTCTACAAAAAAAATTTAAAATTAGCCAAGCATGGTGGCGCGTACCTTAGTCCTAGCTACTCCAGAGGCTGAGGTGGGAGGATCACTTGAGTCCAGGAGTTTGAGGCTGCAGTGTGCTATAATCATGCCACTGCATTCCAGCCTGGGTGACAGAGGGAGACCCTGTCTTAAAGAAAAAAATAAATAAGTAGCTTTATACTCTGAGATTATAACCACAGACAAAGTGAGCAAAGACTATAGGTTGAGTATCCCTTATCCAAAATGCTGGGGACCAGAAGTGTTTTGAATTTCTGATCTTTATTTTAAAATATTTGCATTATACTTACCAGTTAAGCATCCCAGATCCAAAAACACAAAATACAAAATGCTCCACTCATCATTTCCTTTGGGCGTCATATCAGCCCTCAAAAAGTTTTGGACTTCGGAGTACCTCAGGTTTCAGATTTTTGGACTCGGGATGGTCAACCTGTAGCAGTGAAGTGGGGAGAATGTCTTGAAATAAAAAGCAGCTAAGGCTCTCATCATAACATATAGTGTCAAAAGTGAGGGTTATTCTTGGTTTTTATATTTAGGGAAATATCAGTTAAAAAAAATTATGAGCTGGGCGCAGTGGCTCATGCCTGTAATCCTAGCACTTTGAGAGGCCAAGGCAGGAGGATCACTTGGGCCCAAGACTTCAAAACCAGCCTGGGCAACACAGCGAGACCCCATCACTAAAAAAAAAATTTTTTTAATTAGCTTGGCATGGTGGTACACACCTGTGGTCCCAGCTACTCAAGAAGCTGAGATAGGAAGATCACCTGGGGTCAGGAGGTTGAGACTGCAGTGAGCTGTAATTGCACCACTGCACTCCAGCCCAGATGACAGCGCAAGACCTTGCTTAAAAAAAAAAATTATGAGGCTGGGCGCAGTGGCTCACGCCTGTAATCCCAGCACTTTGGGAGGCCGAGACAGGTGGATCACCTGAGGTCAGAAGTTTGAGAACAGCCTGGCCAACATGGTGAAACCTCGTCTCTACCAAAAATACAAAACTTAGCTGGACGTGGTGGCGGGAGCCTGTAATCCCAGCTACTCGGGAGGCTGAAGCATTGAACCTGGGAGGTGGAGGTTGCAGTGAGCTGAGATTGTGCCACTGCACTCCAGCCTGGGTGACAGAGCGAGACTCCATCTCAAAAAAAAAAAAAAATATTATGAACTTCGAATCCGGCAGACACTGGGCTTCCTATTTTAAAAGGCATCACTACCAACCTGTCACCAGGTAGACAGACCCACTGGCTCCCAAGTCATAATCCTGTGTCTCCTCTAAATACCCAGAGCCAAGAAAGCAGGGCAGCACCCCTCCCGGAGGGCACAGGAGACCCACCAGTCCCTACCCCCCTGTCTGCATCAACTCTTACTCTAGTACCACACTTGATAGGTTCACATCCATCTGGAGCTTTGACCCTCATTGCCTACGAAGGCAGGGATTCACTGGCTTCCAAACTGAGAAGGTACTACCACATTCCCACATGCTGAAGACACCCCCTTCAGGGAAGGCGATAAAACCCAGGGTTTCTGGCACAAGTTTGAACTCCTCCATCTCCCCAGCTGCTGTGGCTAATCGGTCCCCAAGTTCTGTGGAACCTACCCTGTCTAGGATTATTTCTGAAAGGTAAATTCCGTGATGGCAGGGCCCATGTCTCTCTTGTAGCTGTGTCCCTAGCTCCTAGAGCCACAGCAGGTGCTCAGGAAGTGGATGTGATTGAATGCATGGTGAGACAGGACTACAGAAGACATGCTGGAATCAAGCAGGTAATGATGTCATGCAGTAGGTGTTTCCTCACCTCCAACCCGGAGGTTCTGACAGGGCTCCTGTGCCCGGAACCTCTGCTCCCCTTCAGGCAGTGAGCCAGTTTCACTGATGGGAATATGCCCGGTATCAGGTGGGCTGGGTCAGAAACAAAGTTGAATGCCACCACCAACCCATCTGCTTTCCAGTGACCCTCTCTCCTTCAGCCTGTGCTACTTCTTGCTTGGAATCTTGCAGAAGCCTCTTAGCTGGCCCCGTGGACTCTATGTTCTCCCTGGTTTGATTGTGTCCTTCCTGCCCTTCTTTTTTTCTCAGAGATAGTCTCGCTCTGTCGCCCAGGCTGGAGTGCAGTGGCAAGATCTCTGCCTCCCAGGTTCAAGCAATTCTCCTGCCTCAGCCTCCTGAGTAGCTGGGATTACAGGCACCTGCCACCATGCCCAGCTAATTTTTGTATTTTTGGTAGATGGGGTTTTGCCATGTTGGCCAGGTTGGTCTTGAACTCCTGACCTCAAATGATCCACCCTCCTCTGCCTCCCAAAGTGCTGGGATTATAGGCATGAGCCACCCCACCCCAGCCCCTAATCGACTTCTTTACAAACCTTATGACTCGTTAAGGTTTGTAACCCAAAAACTTTGCCTCCCACATTCATCAGAGTTGGCCCCAGTGACTTTTGGACATTTCCATGACTGGGATTGTTCACAATCATTTGCTCCCAGCTCCAGAGAGGGATTTCCAAGCAGCAATGGCAGTGCCCCTGGGACAAGGGGTCAGTGCTCACCCAGGCACGGCAGGCCTGGGTGTCATGGAAGCCCACCCTCCTTCCCAGAGAACTGAAGTTGTCTTTGGCACTGCCTTCAGGTTCCTGGGCACCTGGAGGGTGTCTATTTCTCACTGAGGTCAAGAGTTCCTTAAGGAACAGTCCTGTGACCTGTTCATCTTTATGTGCCCAGTGCCTGGCACCCAGCAAGGATGATGGCAGCAGAGCAGAGGAGATCTGGGCAGAAACAAGATTCAGTCTGGGTCACACTGAAAGTGTAATTTCTTTGGCTGTCCCCTTATCTGTGAGAACAGAATTTGTGGGAGGATTACGAAGCCAGGGCCAGAGTTGGAGGGCTTAGGCTTGGCCTGGGGACAGCAAGGAGCCTTGGGACTTTGTACCACAACCATAGGAATGTGCAGAAGGGGCCTGGTCAGGAGTCAAGTGGCCTGGGTTCCACACAGCACTGACACTTACTAAGCCCTCTAACCCTGGAGAAGTTGTTTCACTTCTTTGAGTTCTTGGCATCTGCTAAATGCGATGAAAATCCTATCCTCGCCCATTTCAGGGGGTAGCTGTGAAGAATCTAGAAGAAATTTGGAAATTATAAAAGGCTATATAAATTACAAGGGCAGGGCCAGGCATGGTAATGGCTCGCACTTGTAATCCCAACACTTTAGGAGGCCAAGGTGGGAGCATTGCTTAAGTTCAGGAGTTCAAGACCAGCCTGGGCAACATAGCGAAACCCTGTCTCTACTAAAAATGAAAAAAATTAGCCAAATATAGTGGTGTGTGCCTGTAGACCCAGCTACTTGGCAGGCTGAGGCAGGATTGCTTGAGCCCAGGAGGTCAGGCTGCAATGAGCTATGATCACACCACTGCATGCCAGCCTGGGTGACAGAATAAGACCCTGTCTCAAAGAAAAAAAAAAAGCGGGGGGAGGGGGCACTTGCTGGTGGCACTTTCTATGGATCACAGCCTTTCATGGCGCTATACCAGAGGGTAAGGGCCTCAACCCAATCCCACCTCCAACATAAACAGGCCAGTTGCCTGTGGGGTGCAGCATAGGTCAACCTCTGAAGAATACATTCTAGCCAGGTGGGAGGTGGAACAGGGACCCTCCAGCCACCATGACACCCTAACGCCTTCTAAACCCCACCCAGGCCAGCTTGGCATCAAGGAAATGAGAGACAAGCAGCTCTGAGAGTGTGCTCCAAGAGGTTTATTAGTATCCACACTGGGGAGCTCTGGGTTCTTGCCCAGAACAAGGGGCTGAGAACATCCAGTCAGGATGCAAGGCCACCACAGGCTGAGGGGACTGGCACTGGGGATATGGCAGGGTTTCGCCTTCAAGCACAGCCAAGACACCCTCCTTTGCCCTTGGAGTCTCCTCCTGAAGAGCATGGCTGTCTTCCCCATGGAGAAAATGAGGTCTCCAGAGGTTTCCTGCCTTGCCCAATATCCACCAACCCCCTCAGAATCTAGACCCCCCCTGTCTGTTCCTCACCTCGGCCAGGATCGGGGGACACCCCCATTTTGCAGAGTCAGCCCCACCCCCACCTCAGCAGGCCCCAGCTCACTCCTAGAACCTAGTGACTAAAGTCTGGAGCGGATAAATTCTATCAGGTTCTCCAACTGCTCCTCCAGGCGCTGTTCAACTCCATGGTTCTCGATGACCCAGTCAAAGTCCCCGAAGTTGTCCAGGCCACATTCTGACTCAGCATCGTCCACCCCTATGAAGGAAGCATGGTGAGGTCAGGCCTCAGCCCTCCAGACAGACAGCAGGCATCAAGGCCTGCTAACCCCAACTGGAGTGGGCCCTCCCGGCCTCTCCTCTGCTACCCTAGAGCCAAGGGCTACCCACCCAGAAGGCACCTCCCTACCCCTGAAACACTGTGATGGCAGGTTCAGTAGCCCATAGCCACCTGGGCCTCTCAGCTGATCCCTCCTGACTTAATCCTTCACTTGCTACTGCCTACAGAGGGTGAATCGGGTCATCTAAAACCACACACAACCCAAAAGGGCACTGTGTTTTCATTTTCTGTCAAGCTGGTTGTGTCCTTTTCTATCCCTAAATCTGTCTGACTCAATCCCCTCAGGAGGCAGCATGTGCTGGAGTCAGAAGCAGAGGGTCAGGAGGCCAGCTCCTCCTCTCACTCTTTGTGACCCTGGGAAAGAGACTTAACCTTTCAGGCCAGGGCCTCATCCAACCATGGGTAAACTAATAACAGCATCTACCTGCTGAATCTGTTTTGATGGTAAAGTGAGACAGTGCATATAAAATGCTTAGCACAGGCCTGGACATGTGAGTGCCCCAGAAATGAGCAGCATTAGTAGTGGTCATACCCATTGGATCTGAACTGCTGCTCTAAGTCACAGTGATCTAGGGCAGGAAGGAAGCCTGAGCTGTGCTTCTGAAGCCCACAGAGCGGGTCCTGGGCTTGCACCACTGAAGCTCCCAGCAGAACTTCCTCTCCACTACTAACTTCTAACTCCACTACTGTGTTAAACAGAAGTGAGCTTTGTCAGGTTTGCCCCTGACCACTGTCAGCCCCTACTGGGCTGGAAAGCAAAGGTGAAGAATCATGGGGGTGGGTCCCAGCCAGACCACCAAAGCAGCCCACTGGCCATGAGAAGATAGCCTAGGTTAAGCCAAGGGAACCTTGACCCTCAGGATTCTGTCCACCATGCTACTCCCTAATCAGGAGGCCTCAGATTCTCCTTTATCATCCCTTATTCACTTCCCCCAGGCCTGCCCGGTAGACAAACCACAGGGTGGGTAGCCTGTGTCCTCCTGTGCCCTACACATAGAGTGGCTCACCTGGCGTGAACACCCAGCCCCGCTGCTGTCGGCTCTGCTCCAACGCTACAACGCGGACCGTCTGCGTCACGGCCCCATAGGCCTCCCGAAACCACTGGATGTCAGACACTCTCCGTGTGTCACTCACCAGCTGCAGGAGAGGGACAGACAGGTGACCAACAGGACAGGATGATAGAAGTGAGGGGAGGTGGGAGGACTACAGAACCCAGGGCAGTGTGGGGTGTGGCTCTACCCCCCCATCATCGTGAGCATGTCAGCAGCTAGACTCACTATTCACGGATTCATTCATTCATTGAACATACACCACTGAGTGCTGACTACATGTCAGGCAGTGCTGCTGACAAGTTCATTAATCCAATTAAACAAGTATTATAGTAAGTACCTACTGTACGCTGGTCACTGTGCTAGGTGCTAAGGCTAGACTGGTAAGCAAAACAGACCCTGTGCCTGCCCTCTCAGAGCTTACAGTCTAGTGGGAGACACTGAACAAGTATTCAGTAATCAAATAACCATGTGATTACAGTGTATGTCAACAAGTGTCTCAACCTCAACACGGCTGAAACTCAACTCCTGATTTCCTCTCCAATCCTGTTCCTCCCCACCTTCCCTGTCTTAGAAAATGATAATTCTATATTTGTCCACCTGCTCAGAACAAAATCCTTGGTATAGTCTCTCACACCCCACAGCCAACCCAAGGGCAAATCCTGTTGGTTTTCTCTTCAAAATACACGCAAAATTGACCCCTTCTCTCCACTCTACGTTTGCTCCCCTCTGCGCCCCAACCATAGTCATTTTGTCTGTTACAGAAAGGTCCTGGCCAGGCATGGTGGCTCATGCCTGTAATCCCAGCATTTTGGGAGGCCGAGGTGGGTGGTTCACTTGAGGTCAGGAGTTCAAATTTTGCCAAATGGTAAAACACCGTCTCGACTAAAAATACAAAAAAAATTAGTTGGGCATGATGGCACATGCCTGTAATCCCAGCTACTCGGGAGGCTGATGCACAAGAATCGCTTAAACCCACAAGGCAGAGGGTAGAGTGAGCTGAGATCGCGCCACCGCACTCCAGCCTTGGTGACAAGAGTGAGACTCTGTCTCAAAAAAAAAAAAAAAAAAAAAAAAAAAACACAGGAAAGTCCTCCACCCGGCCCCTGTGCTTCTGCTCCCATCTTCCCCACAGCAGCTATGGCCAGGCTTCTCAATCTGAAATCAGATCATGTCTCTCCTCTGCTTAGAACGCTGTAGTGACTCCCCATCTCACTCAGAATAAAATCCCAGCTCTCCCAAAGGTCCGCCCTGGGAAGTCTGACCTGACCTTCCACCACTCTGGCCACCTGGCTTGTCCTCAGACACACCAGGCACACTCACCACTCAAGCCTCTGCACTTCCTCCTCCCTCTCTCTGGAAAGCTACTTCCCCAAATATCCATTCAGTTATCCCTTATTTCCTTCAGGTCTTGCTCAAACATCATCATATCAGTGTAGCCTTCCCAGGCACCCTTAATAAAACAGCAACGCTTCCCTATCTCTCCTCATATCCTAGGCCTACTTTATTTTACTCCTTAGTATTTACCACTGCCTGATATATTCTGTATTTATTCTGTGCCTATCTCCCCGCCACCCTCAGCTGTAATGTAAGCTCCCTGAAGGAAGAGATTTCATTGCGCTTTTGCACCAATATATCCCCACAACATGCAACCACACCTGGCAGAAGTAGACACTCAATATTCACTGCCAGAATGAATGAGGAAAAAAAGGGGTAGGGTGCTATAGGAGCACCTGCCAGGGAGCACCAGTTAAGACCTGAATATTAGGGAAGGCTTCCCTGTGGAGGTGTCATGTCAACTGAGCTGAAGCTAACCAGGGAAAGAGAAAGAAAGGGCAGTCCAGACAGGTGGAAGGGCATGTGCAAAGGCCCTGATTCCAGAAGGAGTTCGACTGACTTGAGGACCAAGAAGGCCAGTGTTGCTACAGCTTAAGGAGTAAGGAGGCTAAAAAAGTAGCAGAAACTGGATCACACAAGGCCCAGAAGTTCATGTGAAGGATTTTCATTTTGTTCATGAGCACAATGGGAAGCCACCAAAGTATTCTAAACAGAAGAGTGACATCACCTGGTTCACGTTTTTAAAAGGTCAGTCTGGGCCGCATGCAGTGGCTCACACCTGTAATCCCACTATTTTGGGAGGCCAAGGTGGGTGGATCACCTGAGGTCAGGAGTTCGAGACCAGCCTGGCCAACATGGTGAAAACCCGTCTCTACTAAAAATACAAAAATTAGCCAGGCGTGGTGGTGGACACCTGTAGTCCCAGCTGCTTGGGAGGCTGAGGCAGAAGAATCACTTAAACCCAGGAGGCAGAGGTTGCAGTGAGCCAAGATTGCGCCACTGCACTCCAGCCCAGGCGACAAGTGTGAGACTCCATCTCAAAAATAAATAAATAAATAAATAAATAAATAAATAAATAAATAATAAAAGGTCAGTCTGGCTACTGTGTAATGAATAGACCACAGAGGGCAAGAGCCACAGCTAGAGACCAGTGTGGAGGCTACTGCGACTGTCCAGGCCAGAAATGGTGGGGGCTTGGGCCAGGATGGTGGCAGTGGAGACAGAGAGAGATGGACACAGCGAAGAGCTAGGGAAACAGGTGTTCTTCATGCTGCCATGGAGCCCTCTTACCCAGATGGGCTGGGAGATGCCCTCCACAATCTTCCTGCAAAAGAAGCCTGGGTCAGCCTGGCGTTTCTCCTCTCCCCAGCGGATCATGTCCTTCCGAAAGGCCTCCTTGTAGGTGCTGGTGTCCAGGAGTCTCTGGAAGTTCAAGCCATGCTCCTGCCCAAAGGACATTATGTCTACGTCACCGGCCTTTCAACCTCAGTGGTCTCTCCTAAAACAGCGGAAGAGCCATCCCTCACCCTCACCTGCCTCCCCCAGGGCTGATGCAAGGATTAATGAGGTTTCAGCCAGGACAAAGGTCTGCAAGGGCAAGAGTCTCAGCAACTAAGAAATCCCGATCACTGGTAGACAGAAGAAAGGTCTGGGGATAATCCAGAAATTGTTTCAATTTGTCTTTGAAATATGTGGCGTGGTTTCTCTTTTGCAAGTTTTACCTTCCCAATTATTTCTGGCTTAAACTAATACTGAAATTAGTTTGCATCCCCTGGGCAAAGGCTTAGCCTTCAACTAAAGTGGGAAATCTGAGGGGGGAAAAAAAATCCTGCACTCCATGTCCTCCCACTAGCATTGTTTGCCCCCATCCCAAATCCCACGGAGATTGTGTCTCCTTTCTCTCCCCCTTACCCCTTCCCATCCCCAAATTCCTGGCGCCTTTGCTGAAACAGCATCACTCCATCTGGCTCTGGGCACTTGCAAGGCCTCCCACACCCAGAGGACCCCCAAGGCAGGAGAGGTTACTCTGACCACCCTGGGGAACTCCTTTCTCCCCTTTCCAAGCAGAGGGGTCCATCCAAAGGGATCCAGGATAGGAGGGGTCTGAAAAGCATCACCTCGTTCAGATTCTGGCTCCTCCATGAACTCACTGCAACAAGACCTTCTCCCCTCAGGCTCTCAATTTCTTGATCACCCACCTGCTCCCCTTGCTGCAAGAGGAGGTCAGTAGCCACCTCCTGCTCCTGAACCAGTTTCCCTCCAGGAGCGTTGTGGTCTACTTGTTGGTTATATTTCTTCTTGTGACTTAGGAAATCAATGCATGAACATTTCATTTTGGTTTTGTTTTTTAATGGGAGTGGGGGATAGAGTGGTGCTGGACTTGCACAGAGCAAGGGCAGTCTGGCCTATCAGAGTCTTCCATGGAGCTTTTAAAAATGCAAACTGGCCAGGCACAGTGGCTCACGCCTGTAATCCCAGCACTTTGGGAGGCCGAGGCGGGCAGATCACAAGGTCAGGAGTTCAAGACCAGCCTGACCAATATGGTGAAACCATGTCTCTACTAAAAATACAAAACAATTACCCGGGCGTGGTCACCCATGGCTGCAATCCCAGCTACTCAGGAGGCTAAGGCAGTAGAACTGCTTGAACCCCAGGAGGTGGAGGTTGCAGTGAGCCAAGATCGTGCCACTGCACTCTAGGCTGGGCGACAGAGCGAGACTCCGTCTCAAATATAAATAAAATAAATAAATAAATAAAAATGCAAACTCCTGCTCCTTCTTCCTCCCGCCCCCCACCCAACCCCACCAGTCTCACTCAGTAGGACAGAAGCAAGACCTGTCTGGGAACTTTGGAAGATCAGTTTTGAAAGTGCTCCTGGGAGGCCTTTGGAAGTGCCTAGGCCCCACTAGGGAAGGCTCAGTGCCTTCCCCTTCACCCCTTCCTTCCTCCCATCCCCCCACCACCACCCCACCACCCTGCAGCATCGCTCCCAGTCTGTCTCCTGGATACAAAGAAATTCTGTATCCAGTTTCATTTGGGAAAGAATCCTGCTTAAAATTTTTGAAAACCAGGCCAGGTAAAGTAGCTCCTGCCCAAATCCTAGCACTTTGGGAGGCCATAGTGGGAGGATCACTTGAGCCCAGGAGTTGGAGACCAGCCTGGGCAACATAATGAGACTCCCATCTCTACAAAAAAAAATTTTAAACTTAGCCAGGCATAGTGGCATGCACCTGTATTCCTAGCTACTTGGGAAGCTCAAGTGGGAGGATCACTTGAGCCCAGGAGGTCAAGGCTGCAGTGAGCCATTATGCGCCACTGCACTCCAGCCTGCGCTACAGAGCAAGACCTTGTCTCAAAAAGAAAAAAAAATAAACCACTTAATTTAGTTATTCTTACAATTCCTCAGGCTGCCACCCTATGAATAGGTCTGTTCAGCTGGTGAGAGATGACCCAATGCTTCCCATGGAGGCAAAGATGGCATATAGAAGGGGGGACAATTCATTTTATGTGGTTCCGGAAACCACACTCTGGCCAATTGAGGGGCCAAAGCACACGTCCCAGAAGGGTGCACCTAGAGGTCAAGGGCAAAATGTGGCGACAAGAGGGCTCTTCACCATGTGGGAGGCTGATCTTGCCTTCCAAGTTCCCTTTCTGAAGTCTAAGATTCTGAGAGTTCCTGTTGACTTATTTTTTTTATTCTATTTTAACGATTCTATTTTTTTTAATCCATGTGGTTCAAAATTCAAAGATACACATTAATTTACAGTCGAAAATCTCTCTCTCACCCTGTCCCCTCCCTGGGGGCAACCAATGGTACGGTTTCTAACCTGTCTTTCCCATGCAGTGCAGGAACACATCCCAGGCACCTGAAACAGTGCTGAACATGAGACAGGCACCCTGTAAATATTTGTTAAATAGCCAAATATATGAGCAGATATATTTAGAATTCTTTTACAATTCTTGGTCACAAAGTGCCTCTTCAGTTTTAGACAAATGTAGCATTCTCTACACACTGTTCTATATCTTGGTATTGGCTTTTTTTTTTTTTCACTTAATGATATATTTTGACAACTTCTGGGACTAAATTTCTTTTTTGTGTGTTGTTGTTTACTTTAAAAAAAATTTTTTTTAAAGAAACGGAGATGGGGTTTCACCATGTTGGCCAGGCTGGTCTCTAACTCCTGGACTCAAGCAATCTACCTGCCTCGGCCTCCCAAAGTGCTGGGATTACAGGCATGTGCCACCGTGCTCGGCCTGTACTAAATTTCTAGGAGCAAAGTTCTAGGGGCTGTGTCAGGCCAGCTGAGTGAGAGGGTGGTGTGAGGAGGCACAGGCAGGTCCTTACTAATCACACAGCATCAGAGCTGCCAACTCGAGTGTCGACAGCCTTTCCTGGGCACACCTTCCTGAACTCACTCTGAAGGGAGGGAGGCTATTAGGAAAGAAATATAAGCTGAAAATGCCCCCGAAAGGTCCACTCACAGAAAACCAAGAGCTGGCCACCACCCTGCCAGCAGTGGTGACGGGAATCATGCCAGTGACTCAGGCAGCAGCCACAGCTCCAAAGTCCTGGAGCCGGCCCCGCCCAACACACCGGATGCCACAAAGCACCACCTACCTGAGCATACTGTTCCTTGAGTGGACCAGAGAGCCGGAGGACAGCACAGACATCAGCTCCAAGTCTGCAGGACAGGGAGATCAGAATCCAGTTAGCCTAGAATTTCCAGGAGCTTCCATGTCCCAGAAAGGGAGTCAAGAGGCCTGTGTTGAAGTCCCATTTCTACTACTGGTATTATGTAACTTTGGTAGGTCTCAATGTCCCTGATCCTGTTTCCTCATCAGAAAATGGGGATAACACTTTCTGTTCTGTCTCCCACACAGGATTATTATGAAACTCTAAAGAATATAAAAGAGCCCTGAAACTAACAGGTAAAACCTATAAAGTGCTAATTACAGTGTGAACAGGCGCACAATATTCTAGCTGGATTAGGTTATTGCCCAGACCCTAAACTAATTCTCTCATAGCCAGAGGTATCTGTCTCCACTGACTTGGTCACCATAACATATATCATTTATTAATTCACTGGTTGGGCATGGTGGCTCACACCTGTAATCCCAATACTTTGGGAGGCCAAGGCAGGAGGAGTGCTTGAGGCCAGGAGTTCAAGACCAGCCTGGGCAACACAATAAGACCCAGAGATACCATCTCCACCAAAAAATTTAAAAATTAGCTGAGCATGGCAGCATGTGCCTGTACTCCCAGCTACTCCAGAGGCTGAGGTGGGAGCATTCCTGAGCCCAGGAGTTCCAGGCTACAGTGAGCCATGATTGTACCACTGTATGCCAGCCTGGGAGACAGAGTGAGACCCTGTCTCATAAAAATGAAATAAGAAAAGCAAATTTAAAAAACTGAAACAAAAGCCAGGTGTGGTGGCTCACGCCTGTAATCCCAGTACTTTGGAAGGCTGAGGCAGCAGATCACCTGAGGTCAGGAGTTTGAGACCAGCCTGACCAACACGGTGAAACCCTGTCTCTACTAAAAGCATAAAATTAGCCGGACATGATGGCGCATGCCTGTAATCCCAGCTACTCGGGAGGCTGAGGCAGGAGAATCACCTGAACCCAGGAGGTGGAAGTTGCAGTGAGCCGAGATCGCCCCATTGCACTCCAGCCTGGGCAACAAGAGTGAAAATCCATCTCAAAAATGAAAATAAAAATAAAAATAACTCATTCGTTATTTAATTTACTTAACCAACCTTTTTTTTTTTTTTTTTTTTTGAGACGGAGTCTTGCTCCACCACCCAGGCTGGAGTGCAATGGCGCGATCTCGGCTCACTGCAATCTCCGCCTCCCAGGTTTGAGCGATTCTCCTGCCTCGGCCTCCCAAGTAGCTGGGATTACAGGCGCCCGCCACTACACCCGGCTAATTTTTGTATTTTTAGTACAGACGGGGTTTTGCCATGTTGGCCAGGCTGGTCTCAAACTCCTGATCTCGTGATCCGCCCGCCTCAGCCTCGCAAAGTGCTGGGATTACAGACGTGAGCCACCGCACACGGCCCTTCTTTTTTTCTCTTTTTTGAGACAGAGTCTCACTCTGTCGTCCAGGCTGGAGTACAGTGGCACCATCTCGTCTCACCACAACCTCTGCCTCCTGGCTTAACCAACCATTTATTGGGTACCATATTTGGATCTAGGTGATACAAATGTGAATGATACATGCTTCCTGTCCTAGCCTTGAGATGCTCACAATACACTTAACGCACAGGAAGATAAGTGCTGTTTTTGAGACTGAGTCTCACTCTGTAGCCCAGGCTGGAATGCAGTGGTGCAATCTCAGGTCACTGCAACCTGCACCTCCTGGGTTTAAGCTATTCTCCTGCCTCAGCCTCCCAAGTAACTGGGACTACAGGCCGGCGCCACCACGTCCCACTAATTTTTGTATTTTTAGTAGAGAAGGGTTTTACCATGTTGGTCAGGCTGGTCTCGAACTCCTGAGCTCAAGTGATCCACCCTTCTCGGCCTCTCAAAGTGCTAGGATTACAGGCGTGAGCCACTGCGCCCAACGATAAGTGTTCTTTGTTTTGTTTTGGTTTGGTTTTTTAAGAGTCAGGGTCTTGCTGTCACCCAGGCTAGAGTGCAGTGGTATGATCACAGCTCACTACAATCTTGAACTCCTGGGCTCAGGCAATCCTCGCACCTCAGCCTCCTGAGTATCTGGGATTACTGGCATGCACCACCATACCCAGCTAATTTTTTTTATCTTTTGTAGAGAGGGGGTCTCACTATGTTGCCCTGGCTGTAAGTGTTCTTATTTTCATGTTTCAGATGAGGAAGCTGAGGTTGTGAAAGGAGGATTGACTCCCCCAAAGCAACACTGCAAGTAGTGAAGCCAAGATTGGTAAAATAAATATAGCCAACATTTAGTTCCTGCACCTCTGCTAGGTGCCAATAATTATTCTAAGCCCTTCACACACATTATCTCATTTAATCCCCACAACCACCCTATTATCATCCCCATTTTACAGATGACAAAACTGAGACGCAGGCCAGGTGCGGTGGTGGTTCACGTCTGTAATCCCAGCACTCTGGGAGGCCGAGGCAGGCAGATCACCTGAGGTCAGGAGTTCCAGACCAGCCTGGCCAACATGGTGAAACCTGTCTCTACTAAAAATACAAAAGTTAGCTGGGCATGGTGGCACACACCTGTAATCCCAGCTACTCGGGAGGCTGAGACAGGAAAATCGCTTGAACCCAGGAGACAGAGGTTGCGGTGAGCCGCAACCTGGGTGCGCTCCAGCCTGGGTGACAGAGCAAGACTCCGTCTCAAAAAAAAAAAAAAAAAAAAAAAAAAAACATGAGGCACAGAGTGAATGACAGATGTGTACAAGATCACACACTAATCAACAGTGAGCCAGGGTTTGCATCCCAGCAGTCTAATTCCAGAGCCTGTGCTTCGGACCACTATTTGACGTCAGGGTTTGGAGGTGAGGAGAAATGCAACTTAGGAAAAGGTGGTGAGATACTTAGTGATGAAAAATTCAGGTGGTGACCTCTGCTCTGGGCTCTCCCACACCTTCATAGAACCCCCGTGGTACCCAAAAGCAGCTTCCTGGTACCCCCACCACACTGGCCTTCAAGAGGAGAGGAGCCCCACTTTCTCCCCAACCTCTGCTCTCCTAGCCCAGGTCTCAGCAAAATGCTCCTGCACAGAAGATCTTGCTTTGACAGAAAACACTGTGCAAAAGGTATTATTATTTGGGGAGGCAGCCAGATAAAACAGAAAGAAACCAGTCCTTGGCGCAAGATAAAGTTGAATTTGTTTGGGTTTTTTTTCTTTTTGTTTCAATTATATATTAATTGCTGAGATGCCCATCATGAACCACAAAGCTGAATTTGAATCCTGGATTTGCCACTTACTTTGTGACCAGCAAGGGTTTTTTGTTGTTAACTTCGTATGTTATTTTATTTTATTTTACTTCGAGACAGGGTCTCAGGCTCTGCTGCAAGGACTGGAGGACAGTAGCATGATTACAATTCACTGTAGCCCCCAGGTTCAAGCGATCCTCCCACCTCAGCCTCCTGAGTAGCTTGGACTAGAGGTGCTCGCCATCGCACTAGGCTAACTTTTCCATTTTTTTGTAGAGACTAGGGTCTTACTGTGTTGCCCAGGCTGGTCTCCACTACTGGGCTCTCAAGCCATCCTCGCACCTCTGTCTCCCAAAGTGCTGGGGTGACAGACATGACCACCACACCCGGCCTGTTTAACTTTTTAAGAGCCTCAGTTTCTTCACCTGTGAAATGGAGATGCTAATAATGGCACACAGTACCTAACAAAGAGGTGAAGAGGGTTTTTTGTTTTGTTTTTTTAAGACAGGGTCTCGCTCTGTCGCCCAGGCTGGAGTGCAGTGGCCAATCTCGCCTCACTGCAACCTCCGCCTCCCGGGCTCAAGCGATTCTTCTACCTCAGGCTCCTGAATAGCTGGGACCACAGGCACGCGTCACCACGCCCAGCTACTTTTTGGATTTTTCGTAGAGGCGGGGTCTCGCCATGTTGCCCAGGCTGGTATCCAACGCCTGGTATATAGAAAGTGCCTTCGTAGGAACCATTATTAATGCTTCTCAGAGAGACCTGCAGCTGAAGGTCTTTGGAGAGGTGGTCACCTGCTTCTTTGAGGCTCGCCTGTGTAGACTACTGTTTTATGTAATGGTGGCATTCCACCTTCCCCAGCCCAGTGCTCCTCCTGCCTTGCAAACGGACGACCCGTACTCCAAAGCTCACTCCGTGACACCCAAAAGCACTCCTCGTGTCACGTGATGCGGAGAGCTCCCCCTTCCACCTTTCCCGCCTCACGGACACCTGCTCTGCAGCGCCTCGGTCACGAAGTCCTTCCCGGATTTCCTCTTGCCGCTGAACAGCAGTACCAGCCGCGGGGCGCCTCCCAGCGGGGCCATGGGGCCGCCACGCCTCGCGATGCCTGAAGCTGACACTTCTCCCTACCCCTAAAATCGGGACACCGCGCGGAATGGACGCGGCCACTAAGCGGAGCGGCAACAAGGAACAATCGCGCCCCTCCTCGCCGTAGCTGCGAACAGGGCTGACCGCCCGCGACCGTGCCCTCAGCTCATGTCCAAACAGATATGGGGAGAAAAGGGTGAGACACGCGGAGAGAAAGGCGGTTCCTTCACAGAGCAGCCTCCCCTCGTGAAGCTCCCCCACCCGAACTCACTTAGAACAGTCCAGCCCCGCCCAGAACCTTCGCTCACAGCCTGGCCTGCTTAACTGACACCCGGGGAGGAACCGGACGCGACTACCTTCCTCCGAGGGGGGTGACGTCTGAAATTTCCTGAGGTGAACCCCATGTTCCCTTCCGCGCAGCCCTAAAACTTTAGGAAAAAAAATCTCTGGAGTGAGATCACGTTGGAGACGTTTTGGAAACTGCCCTTTTGCCTGTGCGTTATAGTACATGTGCCACAGCAAATCTGCGCGCGCCCCAGAGTGGGAATGGGTCTTCCTGGGGGCGTAAGGCAGCCCTGACGCGAGCGGCGTGTCTGGCCACGTCATGTCGGGGGAGGAGCAGAATCGCGCACACGATATTTCATTGTCAAGCAGATTTTATAACCCGAGACGTCACTAAGATGTGGCCCTTTAAGCCCGGCGAGAAACCTTTGATTGCTTTTCTAGCCGCAGCCTCCGGCCCAAAGGTTTTCGGAAGCAAACGGCGTGGGTGACATCAATAGTAAGGGAGCGTTGAATCCCTAGATGAGATTGCCTGGTTTCATCCGAAGTCTGGCTCCCAGCCAGAAGTTTGAGAGGCAGGATAAGAATAATCTGTCCTTTCCCTGCATCCCCGGTTCTGCCTCTTCCCGCAGTAGGTGACGGGTTGCCCCAGCTGAGTACGTCGAGTTGTTTTTGGCTATGACTTGCCGTCCTGCATTTTTCTGAGCATGTCAGAACAGAGCCTGCAACTCATTACTGCCTCCACTAGAGAAAAAGTGTAGTGTGGAGACTTAGGGAGAAACCATTAATTTCCTGAATGTTGAAAAGAGGCACAGGAGAGTGGTCAGATGCAAAAAGAACAGACTTAAGGAGGTGGTTTTTTGTTTTTTGGGGTTTTTTTTGTTTTTTTTCAGCAACCCAGAAAACACTGCACTCATCAACGCCCTAGAAGGCAGCACAGAGTGGATTTTCAGTCCCAGCTTGGACACTTAGCAAGTCACTCTGAGTTTACCACTGATAAGGCCCACTTCCCAGGGTTATAATAAGAAAGGAATGAAGAAAATATATGACAAGGTACAATAAAATACTTTGTAAGTTCTCAAGTATCATCCAGATGTAAGGGGTTGTTATTTATTCTTAGCACTTCGTCATTCAACACAGAATCAGATTTTCCAGCTCATCTTCAATAAACATGTATTTGGGCCTCCACGGAAAGTCCACATCTCCTGTTTTACCTGAGTCACATGGAAGGAGTCAGAACTTACTCCCGGAGTCTCTTTCCTCACCTGACCCAATGCACGCCCCTTACCTCCCTCTCTGACTCTGAGATCCAGCTCCCTGAATACCTAGTGAGCGATCAGAAAACTTCCCCCAGGCTCACGCCTGTAATCTCCGCACTTTGGGAGGCCAAGGCGGATCACCTGAGGGCAGGAGTTCGAGACCAGCCTGGCCAGCATGGTGAAACCCCATCTCTACTAAAAATACAAAAATTAGCTGGATAGCTGGACGTGGTGGCGGGCACCTGCAATCCAGCTACTCAGGAGGCTGAGGCATGAGAACACTTGAACCTGGGAGGCAGAGGTTGCAGTGAGCCAAGATTGTACCACTGCGCTCCAGCCTGGACAACAGAAAAAGACTCCGTCTCAAAAAATAAAAAAAAACTTCCCCCATACTAGGCTTCCTAGTATGCCTCAACTGAACTCCACTGTCCCTTACTGGTGTCTCAAGTGGAGGCTTTAGTCTCCCAGCCCTCATCCCTCAGCATCCGCTTTGAGTCTATGGCCTCCCTTCCTCCCCATTTTAATTTCCACACCATTACTCATCCTGCCTCTTGGAAAACTATGGTTCCTCTAAGGCTCATGCCACCTGCCTGCGCTACCCTCCTGCTTTCCTCAGTACTGGCAGCCCAGCAATCCTGGTGGTTCATTTTCATTTTCTTTTGTTTCTTTATGCAGACGGGGTCTTGCTATGTTGGCCAGGCTAGTCTGGAATTCCTGGGCTCAAGCAGTCCTCTCTGGCCTCAGCCTCCAAAAGTGCCGGGATTACCAGTGTAAGCCACTGCACCCAGCCTCATTCTCATTTTCTGAGACTCAGCCACTGGCTCCCAGTCTCCTTTTCTACAGAGTTGCTGTCATCATCCTCGGTGACATCACGGTCATGGCCAGCCCATCCAACACCCCGCTGCTCAATCCCTTGGCCCTGGCTGTTCAAAGCCTTTTCCCCCCTCTCCTCCTCAGAGGCCAGCTCCTATGGACACACCCTGGGCTTTGTCATCACCAGAAGCTGCTCAACCTGCAAACTCACATGCTCATCCACCCAACCCTCCAAGGTCACTTGCTCAAATACTCCCCAAAGTAGCACTTCCCTCCCAAGTCCACTAGCTGGTGGAACTGGTTACATTATATAACATGCTCTGCCTGCCTTCCACAACCCAGGGGAAAAAAGTTAAATGTGGCCCGGTGCAGTGGCTCATGCCTGTAATCCCAGCACTTTGGAAGGCCGAGGCGGGCAGATCACGAGGTCAGGAGATCGAGACCATCCTGGGTAACACGGTGAAACCCCATTTCTACTAAAAATACAAAAAAAAAAAAACAAAACAGCCAAGCGTGGTGGCAGGCACCTGTAGTCCCAGCTACACTCGGGAGGCTGAGGCAGGAGAATGGCGTGAACCCAGGAGGTGGAGCTTGCAGTGAGCGGAGATCAGAGATCACGCCACTGCACTCCAGCCTGAACAACAGAGCGAGACTCCATCTCAAAAAAAAAAAAAAAAAAGAAAGAAAAGTTAATGATCCACCTAGATGACAGCCATGGCTTGTTTCTTTTCTTTTTTTGAGACAGGGTCTCACTCTGTGCCCAGGCTGGAAGTGCAGTGGCGGATCATAAGCTCACTGCAGCCTTGATGTCCTGGGCTCAAGCAATCCTTCCACCTTCAGCCTGCTGAGTAGCTGGGACTACAGGTGTGTGCCACCATGCTGAGTTAAACTTTTTTTTTTTTTTTTAATTTTTAGTAGAGATAAGGTCTTGCTATGTTTCCCAGGCTGGTCTCGAACTCCTGGCCTCAAGCCAACCTCCCATCTCAGCCTCCCAAAGTGCTGGAATTACAGGCATGAGCCACAGCGCCCAGCCAGCCTGTTCCTTTGCTGGCCTCATGCCACTATTTCTGGACTAGTCCTGTCATTCCAGATGAGCAAGCATTGATGGCCAGCCTGTTTGACCCATGGGCAATGGACCTTCCAAAGGGAGCTATCTAGCACTTTCCTCTCCACAGCATGTGGCTTCAGGTGTCTGCCTATCCTGCTCTAGCCAGATGACCTGTCCCTTTGATTTTGAACAGAGTCTCAGTGATGACCTCAATGGATGACCCTCCCCTCTGCTGAATGCCTCCCCTGGGGCTGAGCGAAGGTAAGTGCCCCATGCTGGTGAGAACTCCTGCAAAGGGGCCCTGCTCTGGAGAGGAAGTGGAGGGTGGGGGGAATGGTGAGGATTAGTGGCACCCCTCCCATTTCCTACAGTAGCCATCCCCTCAGACCTGCAGGCTGCCAGTGGCAGAATTTGCCCCCTCTGTGAACCATCTAGCTATAGGCTATAACACCCTTACCTCAGGCCTCACCTTTGCCTAGCCTGAAATACCTTCCCCCATTCTCCCATCTCTGAAATCCTATTATCTTTCAAGATCCAACTCAAAGGCCACCCCTTTCTTCCTCTTCACCCAGTTGGCAGACTGCTCCTGGCACCATTAAGAGAGTACTATTAAAATTCTGCTTTGTATGCAGCTAATCCAATTAGCCTCGGGGCAAGGATTGGGGGGCCCCACAGCATCTAGCACAGTATTGAGACCTGAATGCTAGTTAGCATCTTTTCCCGCCAGCTCCTGCCACATCGGGGAACCAACACCCTTTCCTCCCATATCAGTAGCTCCCAGTGGCTCCCAGTTTCCCCCTTAGAGGTTAAGTACAATAAAAATAACTGCTCTGTTTCAGTGCCCTTTAGCTTGCAAAGCCTTTTCATGTATCTTACATTGACTCATCTCACCCTCGGGACAGCCTCTGAGAGCAGAGTCTGTGGTCTCCACTTCAATGATGAGAAAGCTGAGCCCTTAAGCAAGGAGAGCCCTCTTGCCCAAGGCCCACAGGTGGGCAGCGGTGGAGACCGCCACTCTGGGGTTTCCGACTTCAAATCTCGCTCAGGTCAAAGCTCTGGTTAGAAAAGATCTGGGCTGGGAGCCCCCCTGGCCCAGGAACAGGTGAGCCAGGAACAGGCCCAGCCAGAAGAACAGGTGAGCGGGGAAGGGGTTCACTGTTGTTCTCCATTTGGGAGCGGCAGTCACCTATCCTGGGTGCCAAAGGTTACCAAAGAGATGGGTGGCCACCTTAAGGGAGACCTGGGAGAGGTGGGACAGGGAACTCAGATAAGTGCTTAACAAGGGGCTTCTGTGGCTCAGGCAGCTGAGTTGGGGAGGGGAAGAACCTGTTGTCTGATTTAGGCAACAGCCCTCCACACCCCTACCCTGCAACCTGCACTGTCCCTACCAGACCCCTGCTGTGAGCATGTGAAGGGGCCAGGAACATCTGTGGCCCAGAACCAGGCAGGATGAGGAGACATTCCTGTGTCAGGGTAACCCTGGGAGGTTCCCATGGCAACAGCCAGCCAGTCCAGTGTGTGTCCTTGGGCCCAGCCGGACGAGGCTGGGAGCCACTCTCAAAAGGAGCAATGTGCCTCTGACCTTCCAGAAGCCAATAGGGGTGGTCAGGCTGGGAAGCGAAGTGACCCACTACCACCTATGACCCACCCACCCCATCTGTCTCCACCACCTGTCACCCCAGGATGGGTGTGAATGCCAGGCAATGGGGAAAGCCTGGGGCCTAGGGGACCTGGGGAGGCAGCAGGAGACGGGGGAGATCCTGGAGGAGGCACAGGGCCAGACAGGGCATGGGTGGCAGAGGCTGGGCTGAGGGCACTGGGGAAAGGGTGGCTGAAGGAGCCTGGGAAGCAGGTGAGGCTGAAGAATGAGAGATAAGGACGGGAGGGGGGAATGCAGACTGGGGACTACCAGGAAATGAGTTTTTGGGACTGGCCAAAGGAAATAGAATTTTTCCATTTGAGAGTAGAAGGCCCAAGAAGGCCACCCCTAACTCTAGTGATTCTTCCCAAGGACCCCTGAGCTCAGCTCTCAGGGAAGCAGGCCCTACTTGGGCAAACTTGGGGAGCTCCCAGCGGAAAAGGCAGAAAGCCAAGTGCTAAAAATGCCAAGTGCTGAAACTGGAAGAGCCCAGCCCAAACCCTGGGAGGCCAAACAGACACGTGGTGAAATCCAGTGAGTCTACCCACAAGCTCCCCGAAGCCCTGCCCAGGCCAGAGCTATCCCCAAGGCCTGTGGGAAGGAGGGAATGCTGTCCCTTGGCTCTAGCCTCCCTGGACTCATCTCTACACACTGGGCCCATGGTCAGGAGATCATCCGAAGACCTGGACCCTGGGCTCCTCCTCACCACCAGTGCTGCATGGGTGTGTTAGAGAGAGGGGCCTCGTGGCCTGTGATGAGTGCGAGGATCGCCTCCCAGGGGCATCCCAGAGAGAGGGCGATCAGAGCAGCCAATGTCACTGGCATCCCAGCCCTCCCCAACATACCCCTTGGGTTCGTGGCTTTTTCTTCCTGATTCAGCAGCTTCAGAAACCTCCAGCTCAGCATATCTACTTCCTGAGTGGGTAAGGAACAGGAGGGGGCTTAGGGGAACCTGGCAGCCTCCCTGAGCGTTCGTTATGCAAACGAAGGAAATGAGCCCTAAAAATGAAACTGAGAAGCCCCAAGGGGCCACAGTGAGAGTCACCACCCTCTGGGAACTCAGGTAGGCCAGTTTGTATCCCCTTTCCCAGGCCCAGCCACCTGCCCCAGGACACTGAATCCTACCTACCTTCTAGCCTGAATCTGTCTCTCAGCAACCCAACTTTACCAGTCAGCTGTTCAGGCAGCAAGAATTTTGAGCACCTACAGAAGGTGAGCAATGTGAACAGGGTAAAACTAGGCTTCTTCAAGGAGCAGTGGTTCACAGGCCTGGGTACCAAATCCTAAGCCTCCCCAGCCCATATCACTGACCTTCTACCTGAAAGGAAGTTCTTCCTTAGATCTAACTGCAGTTCCTCCTGCTGTAGAAAGTTTCCACTGGACTATAGGCTTCTCTGTTTTTTGTTGTTGTCGTTGTTGTTTTGTTTTGAGCCAGAGTCTTGCTCTGTCGCCCAGGCTGGAGTGCAGTGGCACGATCCCAGCTCACTGCAACCTCCGCCTCCCAGGTTCAAGTGATTCTCCTACCTCAGCCTCCCGAGTAGCTGCGACTACAGGCGCCCACCACCACGCCTGGCTAATTTTTTGTATTTTAGTAGAGACGGAGTTTCACCGTGTTGCCCAGGCTGGTGTCAAACTGCTGAGCTCAGGCAATCCGTCCGCCTCGGCCTCCCAAAGTGCTGGGATTATAGGTGTGTGCCACGACACCCGACCCAACTTTAGGCTTCTTAAGGTGCCTCTGTATTCCCAGTGCCTCTCTGTTTCTGGTACACAGTAGACTTTATAAATGTTTGCTGAATTAGTGGTCCTTGTTCCATCCCCAGCCTGCCCTAACCCCTGCCCCACCCACACATGAATTCAATGAACTAATACCTTTAAGCCCTTAAACAGAGTTACATATTCGCTTGCTAAATAATACAGAAATCAGTTACAGCCCCTTCTAGAACCTGTAGTCCCCCGCCTCCTGCCTGAGCAGTCACACCACATTATTCTGTCTCCTGTACTTCCTGGGCATTTCCAGGGTCATCAAAAAGCCCAGTGTATTGCCGAAGGGACTAAGGTTAGATCTCAGGAAGGACTTCCTAGAGAATAGCCAAGGGGAGTCTGGTCATCCTGGGAGAGCTGGCCAGTGGAGCAGGCGCTGGGGTCAGTGGGGTAGGGTCTGAGATTTTGGGGACAGTGAGTAGTGGGAGAGGCGAGGTCTGGAGCAAAATGGAGCCAGGGTGCCACCTAGTGGTTCCCTCACCTCCCCAGCCCCAGAAGCTCTTCCTTCTGGGCCTGGGTTCTTTTCCCTCCTCCACACCCTTCCCTAAAGAAGGCAATAACTTTTGAGTGCCCAAAACAGGAGAGGCATTTTTCTTGCGTTGCTTTTATTTAATCACTTCCCCAGCCCTTCCATCGCCTTTTTTGAGGATAAGAAACCCAAAGTTCCCAGAGATTAACTTGCCCAAGATCACTTGGCCTGGATTTGAGCCTGAGGCTCAGACTCCAAAACCCACACTCAATTTGCTACATCTCCCAGGGGTGGGGCCAAGGCAGCTGTGAGCAAAAGGAGAAGTATCAGCTTCTCAAGGGCCTAGGGTTTGTTGGAAGGGCAAGGCAAGGGCAAAGGGGGATACAGAACAAGGGGGCAAGTACCAGTGCCTGGGATGGACCCATCCATTCAGGCAGGGGGTGTGGGGTGTCCCCTGTGCTTAGAAACCACCTAGCATCATAGCTGCAACAGCACTTTATTGGGATCTGAGTCTACAGTTCACATAGGGAGGTGAAGCCGTGGGAGAAGCAGGGGTAAAAAAAAAAAGGGGGGGGACTTCACCCCCTAGGGACAGCTGCTTCCAAACCTAACAAAACCCCAGGGTAAGTCCTCGTGCTGGGCCTCGAGCCAGCAACTCTAGTCAAATCCCAAGGCACCGGTCAGCATGTGGGTCAAGGGGCCCACTATGGGGACATACACTCAAGAGGATGAAAGCTCTTTAGCTTCAGAATCAGATTGCCTTCCCCAGACCCCACCCCAAAACAGGCTCCTCTCCCATCTCCCCCTTCACAGTGACAAAACACAAGCCCACATCCCAGGGCCTGGAGTATTTGCATGCATTTGCATAGACGGCAACGCAGGTCCAGCTAAGGCCTTTTTCTACATAAAGTGACATCAGTGCAGGGCTGGTGATTTTGCTCTACTGTGTGAAAGATATCTGAGGACACCAAACAAGCCAGGACAGAGTCCACCCTCCAGGAGTTAGATAACGCTGGGATCTTGGGCTGGGCCAGGCCAAGGCCATTCCCTGTGGGGCAGGGTGTCAGCCCCGGTGGTGGTGGTGGTGGCTATGGCTGTGCCCCTCCCTGGGCCCCGCAGCTCTTGGGCTCTGTGAGTGCTTGTCCTTCTTCCCTGACCTGTGGGGAGGAAGAGGCCTTTAGGGGACAATACCATGCAATGAAAACGGGTTCCCCAAGGAGAGAGGACCCTGCTCCTCCCAATGAAGCTGACTTGAGCAGGCACCACCAAGCATATGTGGGAAAAACCTGGTCTCCCAGGATAAAGGCTCCAGTCGGGGAGACAGGAAGATGGGGATCTCCCTCGTCCCCTGGGCCATGCAGGTAGAGGTAGGGCAGGGCAACTCAGGAGAAAGAATCCCCCTGCCCAAAAGGGGACTGCTCAGGACCACTCTGGGGTGGGCACAGGCAGCTTCCTACCCTCAAGGGAAGAAAGGAAGCGGACCTGAATGCCTTCTCTAAGGGAAGCCAGCTGGGGACCAAAAGTAAGGATACTCAAACTAATGATCCTTGCTCTTCACATCCTCCCGACTGCCTCTGTCCCACCCGACCCAACTCCCCCACAGCTGCCCACCTCTTCTTCAGTGCTTTGTCTCCAAAGAAGTGGCTGAAGATGAAGTCCTCAAAGTCATCTACTTCATCATCATCACCTGTCTGTTGCACAGCCACCTCCTCCAAGCTGTCCTCCAGGGCATCCACAAAATCCCGGAAGCGGAGGCGGTCATGACGGAAGATGCCATCCTCACCAAAGAAAGCAGGTGAGAGGGGTAGCTCCTTGGTCAGCTGCCCAGCCCAGGGCAGCCGTGCCAAGTATGTTCTTAGCAGAGAGGCCAGCTCCTGTTGCCGCACTGGGGCTAGCTCTGTGCCAAAGAAAGTCAGGCCCTCCTGCCGGGCACACTCGTCCACACCTGAGCAGCCCTGGGGTGCCCGGTACTTGGGCCTCAACAGCTCTGCCCAGGATGGCAGGGGGTCATGGCTGTCCTTAGTCCCTTCCCTCCACCGAGGTTGCTTCTGCTTTTCTCCAGAGGAGTGGAAGCTACCACTTTTCCTTGGGGGTTCCTTCGGGCCCTGTCGCTTGCCCTCCTTCTTGCTCCCCGACTCCTCCACCCTTGGCCTGCCCTCCTTCCACCTTCCTGCTGGCTCCCTGTCCTCCTGACCTCCCCAGTTCTTCTTCCTTTCCCGGCCAGATTCTTCCTTCTTATGTTTCCAGTGCTCAGCCTTCCGGTCTCTCTGCCCATCCCACCACTTTTCCTTTCCACTCCACTCCCTAGAATTCTGGAAGTGGGACTTCTGGTGCCAGGCCTTTGAGGCATTGGCAGAGACCCCAGGGTCCTGGCCCCAGTTCTCCAGGCCCTGCAGTTTCTGGGCCAATCTGTGGCCCAGCTCAGCCAAGCCAGCATGAGCTGGGTCCCCGCGGCTGGCATCCTGCAAGCTCCTCTCCAGATCCTGCTGTACAGACCCCAGCAGCCGTCGCTGCCTCTCTAACTCTTGCCTTAATGCCTGTGCCTCAGCCTCCAGCTGTTCCTTCTGCTTCAGGAAGCTGAGTTCTGGCTCCTGCTCCCTGGGGCCTTGCTCCCTGATGGCCTTGTCACCCTGTGGGCCTCTACCCCCACTGAGGCACACCCCATCTGGGCCCCGGACACAGTCGGCCTCCAGCCCCTGGAGCCGGGCCCGCAGCTGCTGCAGCTCTGACTCCAGAGCCCGCTGGAAGGCTTCGCCCTGCTGCAGAGCCCCCCGGAGCTGGGCATTCTCCTCCTCTAGCCCTTTGGGCTGGTGCATCAGGCTCTGAAGCTCTTCCTTTTGGGCCTAGAATATGGTTTGGGACAAAGGAAGTCACAAAGAGTTCTTGTCAGGATAGCCCCAATGCCTTCTACCCCAATTCCATTCTATTATAGTGGGCAGGTGGCCTGAGCCCGTTTTACAGCCTGGAACACCCAGAGGATTTGGTTTTCATCCTCCACCCCATCTCCATCATGAATGAGACACAGGGATCCCCAAATTCCATCCTGAGCCTCGGCATCTACATCTTTATATAAGCACACACTTCCTAGATTCACCTAAGGATAGCCAATGTGTGGCTCTCACAGTCTTATTTCCTGGAACAGTGTTAACTGATCATGGCACCTGGCATGTTCTTTAAATCCTTTTCCACACAGTGCTCCAGGCAGACCACACCAATCAATCACAGGTGATACCATGTATGTTTCATGTACCATGTGGAACAGGTATGCCAGCCCTGGCCCAAACCTTAGCACAAGGGATGTGAACCAAGAACTGGGAAGACGCCCTGACTATAGTGGGAGAGGGGAGGGTCAGGATGTGTGGGTAAATAGGAAACATTCCTTTTGGGGGAGGATGCTAGGACAGACGCCTGGCCTAGGTGGGTTACCCTAGCCCAGCCCCTCCTGCCTGTGCCCACCTGCAGCTGGGCCTGCAGCAGCCGGATGTCCTGGTTCTCCTTGGCCAGCTTGTCCAGCAGAAGACCCATGTTTTGCAGGCTGGGGACACTGTCAGGAGGCACTGGGGCCTGCAGCTGTTCCCTTAGCCCATCCTGAGGGCAGAAGAGCCTGTTATGCCATGCTACCCCACAGCCCAGGTTCTCCCCAGCCAGGCCCCACCTGCCTCTGGAGACATTCACACATACCTGCCTGTCCCCCACAGCTTCCAGCACCTCGGGGTCTGGGAGGACCTGCCGCTCCACTTCCTCCATGGGCCCTGTGGGAAAGGGAAACCCTGAAACTGGTCCTGAGGCACACAGAGCCCATTCTCCCCACACCTTCCCATTCACACAGCCACCACTCCTGCTCAGGACCCACCCTGTGGCTGAGCGGTTTGGTGAGATAAAGGGCCAAGGGGCACCCTGAACAGCTGACAAGGCCACTAACTGAGAAATAAATGTGAGCCCCCAGCACCCCTACTCCTGACCCACAGAACCAGAGAACACATACAACTCCCCAGCACAAGACAGGCTCCTCCCTACTCACCAGTCTCAGACTCTGAGAGGCCACCTAAGGACAGAGACAGAGGAGTCTGATGAGGCCCTCGGGGAGGGGTGATGTGAGGTAAGGTGAGAACATGGCAGGAAGGCAGGCAGGCATGGAAGCCCAAAGCCCCAGCCTCAGAGGTACCACTCACCTGAGAAGAGGAGGACCCCCAGGCCAAGCAGAACCAGGGCCCCAAGGAGGCACATGTTGAGGGAGATGCCCAGCTCCCCGCCTGCACCCTCACCCCCAGCCTGGTTCTCCACAGCCAGGGGCACCATGGGCTGAGGTGGGCCGGCCTCCCGGCCCCGCCGTCTCCGCAGACCCTCCATGTCCACGTCGGTGTCATCGTCACTGCTGGAGCAGCGGCCCTCCTCCCTGATCCAAGCTAGGGGAAAGGACAGGGACAGGGCAGTGAGGTGACTGGAGAGATGGGGAGACACAGGGAGAGAGGGGAATCAGAGGAAGGCACAGGGAGGGAGGTCGTCAGCCCTGACCCCAGAGAGGGGCACATGAAGACCTTGCCCACTTGCCCACTTCTGCCTGGGCATTGATGACTGTCCCTGCCCAGTCTGGAGGCAGGAGACCAGTGCTGTCAATCTACGAGCTATAAAAGCCATTTTCATCCTGAAAGCATCCTCCTTCCTCAGTGTGCGCTGTGCATCAAACTTCTGCAGCTATTACCACCCTCCTGGGTTGCCTCCAAACTCTCTGGCCACTCCTTCCCATTCTCCCTCCCTGGCTCTTCCCTGATCCTAAAGTCAGTGGTCTCCCTGGCACCATTTCAGGTTCTCTGCTCTTCTCACTGTACACATAGTCACAATTCTCTGACCCACACCACTGACACCCCCCTTCAGCAATGAGTCCTTAGTGTGTAACTCCTCACTTGGCCTCCCAGAGCTCCAAGCCTGTATGTCTGACTGCCTGCTGGCCACTCCCTCTGGGACCAAACATTCAACACACTGCTCTGCAAACTGGTTCTTTTCTGGTGTTTCCCCAATTCAGGGGAAGGCACTGCTTCCACCATCTAGCTAACCTAAGCCCTCCCTCTCCACCTCACATCCAGACAGTTTCACAGTTCTACACTTAAACATCTTGACAGTCCACCCCTGTTCACAACCCACACTGTACCTGCCTTAGTTCAGGTCTGCATCTTCTTTCTTTTTTTTTTAATATTTATTTATTTTTATTTATTTTTATTTTTTGAGACAGGGTCTGGCTCTGTCGTCCAGGCTGGAGTGCAGTGGCACGATCACAACTCACTGTAACCTCCACCTCCCAGGCTCAAGCGATCCTCCCACCTCAGCCTCCTGAGTAGCTGAGACTATAGGCATGCATCATTACACCCGGCTAATTTGTGTGTGTGTGTGTGTATTTTTTTGTAAAGACGGGGTTTTGCCATGTTTCCCAGGCTGGTCTCAAACTCCTGAGCTCAAGTGATCCACCTGCCTGGAACACCCAGAGGATTTGGTTTTCATCCTCCACCCCATCTCCATCATGAATGAGACACAGGGATCCCCAAATTCCATCCTGAGCCTCGGCATCTACATCTTTATATAAGCACACACTTCCTAGATTCACCTAAGGATAGCCAATGTGTGGCTCTCACAGTCTTGTTTCCACCTCCCATACCTGGAACAGTGTTAACTGATCATGGCACCTGGCATGTTCTTTAAATCCTTTTCCACACAGTGCTCCAGGCAGACCACACCAATCAATCACAGGTGATACCATGTATGTTTCATGTACCATGTGGAACAGGTATGCCAGCCCTGGCCCAAACCTTAGCACAAGGGATGTGAACCAAGAACTGGGAAGACGCCCTGACTATAGTGGGAGAGGGGAGGGTCAGGATGTGTGGGTAAATAGGAAACATTCCTTTTGGGGGAGGATGCTAGGACAGACGCCTGGCCTAGGTGGGTTACCCTAGCCCAGCCCCTCCTGCCTGTGCCTCCCAAAGTGTGAGGATTACAGGTGTGAGCCACCACACCCAGCCTATTTTTATTTTTATTTATTTTATTTTATTTTATTTTATTTTATTTATTTTTATTTTTTGAGGCAGAGTCTACCTCTGTAACCCAGGCTGGAGTGCAGTGGCACAATCTTGGCTCACTGCAACCTCCGCCTCCCAGGTTCAAGCGATTCTCCTGCCTCAGCTTCCCAGGTAGCTGGGAAGTAGCTGGGACTACAGGCGTGCACCACCACACCGAGCTAATTTTTGTATTTTTAATAGAGACGGGGTTTCACCATGTTGCCCAGGCTGGTCTCAAACTTCTGACCTCAGGTGATCCACCCACCTTGGCCTCTCAAAGTGCTGGGACTACAGGCGTGAGCCACTGCACCCTGCCGCCTATTTTTATTTCCTTTAGAGACAGGGTCTCCCTCTGTTGCCCAGGCTAGAGTGAAGTGGGATGACCATGGCTCACTGCAGTCTTGAATTCCTGGGCTCAAGCAATCCTCCTACCTCAGCCTCCCAAAGTGCTGGGATTATAGGCACGAGCCACCATGCCTGGCCCAGGTCTGCATCATCTTTGCCTGACCACTGCAGTTGCCTCCTAAATGGCCCCCAGGCCCTCCATCCTGTCACTCAACAGGGACCAATTCCTACACTCCTCTGCCACAAGCCTGGAACAGAGCTCCTTAGCACAAGACAGGTGGTCCCCACTCCTTTGCTGATGCTGCAGCCTTGGCCTAAAACATTCTCTTTTCCCTGCCCTACGTACCAAAAGCCTACTCTGTGCTCAGGGCTCCACTCAAATGTCACCTCTCACTGTCCCAGCCTCTCCCTTGCCCTCAACCAGTCCCCTGACTGAATGGCCTCTCCTTCCTTTGGGAGTACCTTAATTACAGTTCTGTACCACTCTTAGGTCTGATATGCACCTTGGCTCAGTCTGATCTGCCGCTTACATAGGCGGTAACCAACCATCTTCCCTCTGCCCAGGCCCAGGGCCAGCACAAGGAAGGGACTCCAGAAATGAGGGTTGAATTCTGGAAGCAAGAAAAGAGGAGGTCCCCATGGCAGAGAGGAAAGAGTCAACCAGATGTGGGCCCTGCCCCTTACCAGCAGTGTGACCTTGGTCAAGTCATTCAACCTTTCTGGGCCTCAACGTCCCAGGGGTAGTGGTGAGAAAGGAGAGCACCAAGCTGCTCAGCCCTAGGGCCTGGACCACAGCATGTGCTCAGTAGTGATGGCTGATCCCTCTCCCATACCTTCTAGAAGGAGAGTGACAGGAGAGGCAAGGAAGACTCTCACCTGCTTTGGGGGTTGAAGGCAGGCTCTGTGGAGGGCTCTGGCCTTCCAGGTCCTGTGTGTCTGGTCCCAGGCCTGTCACCACGGTGGTCTCCTGCAGGTCTCCCTGGACTACTGTGTCTCCTGGGCCAGGAGGCTCCACACCACAAACATCACCTTCCAGGGTGCCCTAATGCAGATGCAGCAGTGAGCAGCTGCTAGCCCTCCCCGCCTCCCTTCCTTCCCACAGCAAATCTCCTCACCTTGACCTCAGTCTCCTCTGTTAGAATGCTGCCAGACTGAGGGCTTTCAGTCTGGAAGAGCGTCCCTGCGGTAGGAGAAAAGGCGCAGAAAAACCCACTGCCCCAGCTGAATTTCCTTTGCAGCCCTCTGTCCATCCCACGGGCCCCTACCAGGTTGGAAGAGGCAGGAAAAAGCCAGGATGGAATGAGAAAAGGAGTTTGTCAACTGAGATTAATGGAGGAACTAAAACGAACCAGCCTCCCTTTCTCTGAGGAAACTGAGAAACCCCAAAATATGGAGAATAGCTTTGTCCGGTAAGCTATGTCCTAAGCAGGGCCCAGTACCTTCTCCATCCATGGTCCCAGCTAATTCTTTCCCATCTGTCTTGGAGGGGCTGTGAGGGGCCTGCAGGGCTCTCTCAGATTCTGGGTCCATCCTGGATGCCGGGCCCAGTGTCTCCACTGGCAGGCTCTGGGAGGAGAAGTGCAAGGAGAAGGGCTGCACCCAAGAATGGGGCCCCAGCCCACATCCCAGAAACACACACATTCAGTCATGAGCTGGCCCAAAAAGGGGCTCGGGGCAGCACCAAGTGCTCGGCATTCCCCAGCCTCACTCACTGCGAGGAGGAACTTTCAGGGGCCAGGTTTCCGCTACACAGCGCCGCACCACCAGACCAAGGCACTGGTTGCAGTACAAACCTGGTGCCCCGCCTCCAGAAGGTGAGCTAGAGCCTACGTTTCCCTCCCATCAAGATCAGCAGCACTTCCTTCCCCACAGATGAACAACCCAGATATTATAATATTAAGGGTGGGAAGAAGGCAAGAGAACAAAGTCCCCTGGGTGCCCACGGGTCACAGTTATGCCTCCCAGGGTGTCCCTGCAGCTGCCCTCTCAACTGGACAACTACTTACATCTCTCAAGCCTTTCTGGCCTTTCCCGCTGGCCCCTGACACTCCCCCGACACCCGTCTCCCAGCAGCTGCTCACAGAAGCCCAACCCACCCCAACCACAGACAGCCTGTCTCCAGGGCACTCTCAGCCTGGACATCCAGCCCTGGCCACACAGCCTCGGCCTCCTCCCTCTGCCTACTCCCCTTCCATAGGGCCCTGGCCTGCCACCCGCCCCGTGGCTCCAACTATCCCTCTGAGAGTAATGCTTCACCTTAGTTATGTCTTTGCTATTTTCAAAACATTTTTATTCTCATGGTCCCCCCTACAAGGCAAAAATCATGACGCCCGTTTTACAGGAGAGGACAGAGAGGTGAAATGGCATGCCCAAGGTCCCCCAGCTGTCAACAAAGACACCTCAACAGGAGGCCAGGGCTCTGAGAGCCTGGTGCCCGTCTGCTCATACCTGCCTTCCCTCTGCCAGTGAGCCCCAGTCCATTATCTTGCTCCAGCGTCATCCCCAAGGTCAACTCCTTACTCCCAGCTGGGTTCCTCAAGGGCACCTCAAACTCAACATGTTGAAACTGAGCTTCTCTCCTCCTCCCCTCCTGGTGGCTCTAATATACAAAGTCGCTACGTCTTGGAACTCTCAGAGATGCCTTTGACAAATTTTTGCCATCCCTTCTCTAGCCACTCAGTTCCCCATCCTGCCAACCCCCTTCTCCCTCCTCAGTGGGCTTCTGCCCCACCAGCTGCTACCTGGACTGCTGCAGGGGGTCTTTGAAACACTCTCTCCCTGTTCCCACCCAGCATGCACAGTGGCTTCACCCTCTGCCTGAGACAATGATTGTCCTGATCCCTCTAACCCAAAGCCCCACACTGATTTCCCATCAGGATGAGGCCTGAAGGCCTCAGCCAGGCTCTTCCGGTCTCTTCCAGGGGTTCCCAGGCTCTGTCCCCAACCTCACTCCAACACTGGCTCCAACCCACGTCTCCACATCACCCATGGGTGTCCCACAGTCTCCCCCAGCATGGCGTTCCCCACTATCGCCTCAGGACCTTTGTTCACATTGGTCTCTCCATTCGAAATCCATCCCTACTTGTCTCAGCTTACCCAACTGGTCCCTTCCTTCATGGCATGGTCCAAGTGCCAACACCTGACCCCTGGGGCCTGATCTACTTCTTCCTGCTACTGGAATTCCTCTAACAGCCAGCAGGAAGTGATGTAGGTGACCATCAGGACTAAGGAAAAGGACCCACCAAGAAAGAAGCCCAGCACTGCAGAAACACCCCCCAACCCCACCCCCATGGTTCCCAGGCCCGCTCTTCCTACCTCGGAGCCAGCAAGCACCCAGCTATTATCAGAGTCTGGGCAGGAGGCCATAGTTGCTGAGGTCCCTGAGGCTGCTGTGGCTGCCACCTGCAGAAGAAAGCTCTCTTAAGGATGGGAGCTCCCTTCAGGAGGGGCAGAATGCAGAAAGCAGCCTTGGCTGGGTTCCAAGGTTCAAGTGCTGGGCAGCAGCCTCCAGAACCAAGCCTGGTTCCAGTCCTTCTCTCCCTGACACCCCAGCTCTTCTAAGCAGTATTTGCCTTGCAAATCAGAATCTGCCAACACCCACAGAGAAGCCAGCCTCTTCCAGGGACCAACAGGGCCTTGGAAAACTGAACTGACCTTGAAAGGTCAAAGTAGCATAGGCTGGAAAGGCTCTGGGGAATTCCAGTCCAGCCCCCTGACATTTGAGTCAGGGAAGATGAAGCCCAGCAAGGTTGACAGACTCAACTTGCCAATAAGAAGACTTGTTAATAAGAAGAGCAGGGAAACAACACAGCCCTCCCTTCACAACACCAGGTACCTACACAATCACTACCTTCTCCCCCAGGACCTGGAAGGGAAGACTCAATGGCCTCCTTCAGCCCTAAGTGTCCCACCACTTGCCCAGCATAAGTCCTTGGTATGGTCTAGTTCAGTGGTTCTCAATCTTGGCTGCACATTGGAATCACCTAAGATTTTGATTCAATTGAGTTGGGGGGTAGGCCCGGCTGTGGGTCTTTTAAAAAACCACTCAAATGATTCTCATGCGCAGCCAGGGTTAAGAGCCACTGGCATAGCTTAGATCCACCTGGATGCACCTTTTATAAGTCTCCTCATCACTCTCAGTCTTCATCCTAAATTCTGTTTACCTTCTTAGTAATCGCCAGAGTTTGGTCTTAGGGAACTTGAAGGTGACTGGGAAAATGGATTTATGGCAACTATCATGTATATATACATCACTTTATAGCTTGCAAAAAATAGACAAAAATCAGGGCTATGGTCCTGCACCCGGTTAATCTGCTCTGACTTGACAGGGATAGGGGAGGGAATCACTCCAGTTTCCAAAGCCTGACTGACACAAAGCAGGGTAAGAAGAGAGGGATCCGCCCCTTCATCCAAGGCTAAAACAGTTCCCTCAGGCAGCTCCTGTTGGGACCAGGCATAAAGGTGGAAGGATAGATGAGCTGACCTCTCAAGAGTACTGGATTGTGATCCCTCAGAACAGGATAAATGACTGCTTCCCGAGCACTTTATAAGAAAACTCAGGAAAAGGGAAGTGAGGCTGGGAGAGTATGGCAGTTCTACCTTTGAAACCAACCACATTATCCCCTTCTGTTTGAGCTGTTTTCAAGTCCTGCGTGGTGCCCTAAGTAACCTCCTGTGGCTCCTGCCAGTCAAGATCCAAGTCCTGGATAGGTCTTTCCCAATGCCCATCCTCCCAGACACATGCACCCATTCCACACGGAGACAGGAGAATGGCTGCAATGACCTCCCTGTACCAAATCCAACAGGACACCCTGGCATGCATCTGTAAGTATCCATAGAGCCATGGCTGTTCAGCCTTCCGCTTGTGGCTCCACCCCCGCCCTTGTTATCATCTCCCCATCCCCAGTTGCTGACTGTTAACAGGTGGTGGCAGGAAGGAAGTGGCAGCAGCTTGGGCTGAAGTCCCTGTTTATCCCTAGCTGTGTGTGCAGCCTGCTCAGGTCCTCTAGAACCAGGCACCATGGCAACCACAGTGATGTCAGACCCACTGTCTCCATGGAAACCAGCAAAGGTATTTGGGTCAACAAAACAAATACTTATGAGACCCAAATAGGAGACACTCTGAAACTCCTATACTCTGGGTTCCAAACCCTGATACCTCTTTCTTGGTTAGGTTAACCCAGGGTTCAAAAAAACACCTCTTCTCCCAAGCCAGCATCTCACTGCCTTATTAGGAAGTTCCTTCTGCTGTCTAATCTCCACCCTTCCCTGCTGTGTTTCCAGATCTTTTTCTTTTCATCGACCTTCTGGAAGAAAACCCACCTCCACTCCCTCCCTCCACCCCCTTCTTTTCATTCAGGCAGGATTCAACAAACACCTCCTGTAAGGATTATGACAGAGACTTCTGCTATTTCTAAAAAACAGCTAAAGGGGGAGCTCTCCCACTCAGCATAAAGCTAGGAAGTCTCGCCTCTAGTTAATTTAAACTCCTCTAACAGTTGCTCCTCCAAACCGCTAAAGCAAAGGATCTAGGGCCACTTGCCTGGGGTACCCAGAGCAAGTTCCTGTTGTGTTAGCGTCGGCACCTGGCCTTCCTCCCCCAGCCCAGAAATGAAAAGCAGCTCATTCCTTCTAGATTAGTTCCGCCTTCCCTTTTCCTTATTCCACCCCCTTCAAAGCGAATCTGTGGACCCCTTCCCAGCTAAGGCATTACCTGAACCAGCTCTTGCTTCGGTCTTCAGCTTAACTTGTTGCAGGCTTCCCTTTGTTTGCAGCCCGAGAAGAAAATCATGTGACCAGAAACTGACCAATGAAAAGTCAACTTCCCCAAGGGGGCGGAAACTTTTGGCCAATAAGAGCAGGAATTGAGAGCCAGGGGAGGGGAAGGGAGGTCTAGCGACACGGCCCTAAACCTGGGCTTACCTCCTGGTGGGCGACCGGGGTCCCAGCTAACCGAATCCTGAGTTTCCTGCCCTTCTTTCCCAGTGTCTAAACAGTTTCTAGAGGGAACCCCCACAAACTGAGAGAAAAGCAGACGGTGCCGTCTTCTGAGATGACGAAGACAAGGGGCCAGGTTGGCCCCAGGATAGACAGAGACAGCTGTGAGATGGGGGAAGGGAGAGGGACAGGTCGCAAATCCAGGGTGTGGAAATAGCCCTCCTGCCATTCTCCCCAATCTGCTCCAAAACAGACTGCTTAAAAGATGCCATTGCTACTTTAAAAAACGGTTGGGGGACGGGAACGATCTGAAAAACATCCCAAAATGAAATTTGCTAGGACAGAAGCAGCCCCTCCCCTCACCCTTAGAGCGACACTTGCTCCCTAACCCAAACAACTGGGAGGTGGGTGGGGTGCTAAACCCAGAAGAGCTCAAGCACTTGTCTTCCAGAGGCTGTGGTGCCAAATCCGCCTGGCTCCAGGCCTGGCCCAGGAATATGCTCAAAAAGGAAACTCAGTTTCTCACAGTGGAGACACAGGGGGATGGGCGGGGAAACACAGGCCTCCCTTGGCTCAGCAGCTTATACCAGGGTCAGCTCAGGGGCCAAATCTGCCATTCCCACTCCCAGGGACCCTGGGGAGCATACATATCCTCAACCCCTAAGCACCCTACCCAGCAGTGACAGCGGCTCATTCCAGCCTTTTCACACAGCAACAGCAAGGAGTCCTTGTCTGGGATTTTAAAATCATTTTATTAATCCAACAGTACAAAAGACCCCCACCACCACCGCATTCTGCCATCACTTTGTTCCAAAAAGTAGTGGAGTGAGAGAGCGAGAGGGAGCAGATCCAGCAAAAACACTCCCCCAGGGGCCATTTTACAAAATGCGGAGCAGGGGAAGACAACACAAAAACAGCAACAGATAAATGGGGCAAACAGAACAACAAACACAAGAGTTGAGCAGCGGGGTGGGGGTGGGGGGTTGCCATCTACGCCGTTTTAGTGTGAGGGACACTGGGAACGATGCCCAGAGGCTGCTCTCCTCCCAGCCTCAAAGGTTGTCAGCTCCACCAGAGCAGGGTCTTCTCTCCTCATGCCAGGAACTGAGAGAAGTGGGGGTAGGGGACCACTAGGTCTTTGCCACTGTATCTTGAGCTGGGGGACTCCTAACTTCTCCGAGGGCCACACCCCATGCCTGCCTTCCCCACCCCATGGAGGAATGTGTGCATGAACAGAAAAGGAGAACGAGCAGCGCTAAGGTCCTCATCAGGCCCCAGGCCCATCTCTGGCAGGCAGTGCTTAAAAAATAAAAAAAGACAAATAAAGCCCAGTGCAGGCCTTTGGCTGAGAGGAATGAGAATTGCTAATTAATCACCAGGCCCAAGAGGATATGAAAGAATAGCAAAGAGAAGCAACAAACTCCAGGCTCTTCTACCTTTGAGTACCATGGCAATGAGGATCCCGCCGCATCCCCTACCCACAGGCTGTGACAGGGCCTCACTTGGATCCTTTTATCATGGAGGAAATGAGGTATAGGGCTCTGCGCCTTTTCAAGCTTTCCTTCAATCAAGCCAGGAAGGCAGGGGAATAAGGGCGCCGAAAGTTGAAGAACACACGGAGTATAATGTGCAACAGATGGGCTGGGGGAGGAGGGTACCACCAAAGTCCAGACTTTCAGGACAGCCCAAACTTCAAATATTCTGGTCTGTCAGATAACATATCCCAATTTTTGGCAAAAATATGGTCATTAGGAGAAAAGCACGAGAGAGGCTGAGAAAGGACCAGTGACTTTGGTATGAAGAAGATACGTCCTGACAGCATCTCTCACCTACTGTCTTGAAGCCCCAAATCACCAAGAAACTGCCATAACCAGGAACTCTCCTGCTTCCTCAGGCTATTTGGTTCTCTGAGGGGGAAGGAGTTGGGTAAGTCTTGGAGGAAGCAAAGGAGTGGGTAGAAAAAGGGGAAAATCCCCATTTATTCCCTAAAGCTGTCTCCCAGAGCCCATAAAAGGGCTATTGCAGGGATGGCAAGACCCCAATTCCTCTGGCCAGAAACCTTTAACACTTGACTCCAAAAACTAAGGCTGGAGCTGTGGGGTTCAGTAGGGGTGTTAGGCACAGGTGTTAGGGGCATCCATCATCAGCAGAGGGAACACCCCTGCCCTCCGGATCTTCCTCCAGCCCCTTTTCTCTTGCAGCCACACTCCTGGGCCTCCAGAAATAGCCACAAAATGGCTCTGCTCAGCAGGGCTTTGGTTTCCTGGATCTCTGTAGATCTCAACATGTAAGTTTCCCAAAACAGTGAGCAATCCAGGCTCTTCTGCCTGCCCACCTCAATTCCTTTTCTGCTCCCAGGAGCCACTGTTTCTGCCCCATGGGGATGGAAAGCCAGTGGAAACAAGGACCAAGAGCCAAACATCAAAAAAATCACCCTGGAAGAGCAGGGAGAGACATGTGCACTTCCCTGGGCCACTTCACCAGCGTCACCCATCGTTAGCAGCCACCAGCTGCCCCATGCCCTCACGGATGTAGACAGACTGGATCTCCTTGGTCTTGAGGCAGAGATCGCAGGCCCAGACGGCAGAAGCTTCAGTGGTCAGCAGCCCATAGGCGCTCTCAGTCATGCCTGTGCACTCACGGTGGAACCATTTCTGGCAGGAGGCCTCACACAGAATGGCATCCTGGTCATCGTTCACCTCACTCCGACAGGCACCACATGGGTACACCAAGCCTGGGGGAGGCTGGGGCCCGGAGCCCCCACCTGCCTTGCCAGGGGGTGCCAAGCTGTTGGCATCTGGAGTGCCCCCACCCCGCCCACTGCTGTTCGGGGGGAAACTGGGCTGGTTCCCATTAACAGCAGCAGCCGGGGAGCCTGAGTGGGGCTCCTGGGGAAAAGCAGTAGAAGCAGGTGGATTCAAGGGCTTCCCCCCATCCTCACCACCAGGGCCAGGAAAGCCAGGGTCCGGACCAGGAAAGGGACTTGTGTTAGGCGGCAGGCTGGGGAGCCCCTGACCAGGTCTCTGGAGAGGAGAAGGGCCAAAAGGAGCCCCTGGCTGAGCAAATCGTTGGGACAGAGAAGGTGGGCCCAGCTCTGCTCTGGGAGGCTGTCCCATGGTGGGTGAGATCATGGGACCAAATCCCCCCACTGGGCCCGGCATCATCTGCCCACTGGGAGGACTAAAGTTTTGACCCAGAGGCTGGTTGAAGGGTTGGCTGGGAAAGTTCATGTTGCCTGGGGGTGGGTAGCCAGGACCCTGGGGGGGCATGTTGAAAGCAGGGCCCATAGGATTGGGAGGGAAGGGGGGTGGCTGTCGACGGAGTGGCTGGGGGCCCCCTCCACCTCCAGTGCTGTAGCCTGGGGGTACCTGGCCCGCCATGCCCCCCTGCACACGGAAGCCTCCGAAGGGCACAGGACTGCCAAGGAATGGAGGGGCTGCAACCCCCACTTTGGGGGCTCCGAAGTCATCTTCAAAAGGGTTGGATGCAACCAGGTGATCCACCATGGGAGTTGGGGGTGGTGCAAACTCCGTCAGATGTGAGTATGCAGGGCCCTAGTGAGAAACAGTTGAGGGAAAGAGGGTCATGGAGGGAAACACAGAGCTAAACCAAGAGAGCACTACCAACACAATACACATTTTGGAGGCTGATACTGTGGGCAGCTCAGGTCTAAAATCAATATGGACCACAGGCCAGGTGCGGTGGCTCACGCCTGTAATCCCAGCACTTTGGGAGGCCAAGGCGGGCAGATCACGAGGTCAGGAGATCGAGATCATCCTGGCTAACACGGTGAAACCCCGTCTCTACTAAAAATACAAAAAAATTAGCCGGGCGTGGTGGTGGGCGCCTGTAGTCCCAGCTACTCGGGAGGCTGAAGCAGGAGAATGGCGTGAACCCAGGAGGCGGAGCTTGCAGTGAGCCAAGACCATACCACTGCACTCCAGCCTGGGCAACAGAGCAAGACTCCGTCTCAAAAAAAAAAAAAAAAAAATGGACCACAGGCCAGGCACAGTGGGTCACACCTGTAATGCTAACATTTTGGGAAGCCGAGGCAGGAGGATCCCTTGAGCCCATGAGTTTGAGTAGTAACACAGCAAGTCTCTGTTACTACAAAAAAAAAAAAAGAAAAGAAAAGAAAAGAAAAAAGAAAAAAAAAAAGACAAGAAAAAGAGGGTGGAGAGTGGAACCAACATAGTGCAGTAACTATGTTTTAAAAACAGGCAGAACTAGGATGGAATCCCAGCTCTGACCCTGAAAAACAACCTCAAGACTGTGGAGCATGTATTTAACATTTTTAACCCCCAGATTTCTCATCTGTAAAATAGGGATAATGCCTATCTCCCCAAACTGTTAAAGCATGTTAGCGCAATCCCTGGCACTAAAAAAAGGATCAGTAAGTGGTAGGTGTTACGTTATCATCAGGAGGAAACCAGGACAGGAAACATGGAGGAGACTGGAACCCTGCGTGGTAAGAACTTTGGTCGAATCATCTCTTAGGAGAGGATACTTTCCCCTAAACTTGTTATAAGGTTCAGCGAAAGAACAAGAAGCAAAGCAAGAAAGACAGTTTTCTCTCTCCTCCCTGCAGCTGATACAAGATACAAACAGATACTGGAATGGCAGAGTAGACAGTGTGCCGCCAAGGGGCTGCTGGGAACCAAACCCACCACCAACCACCATTCACCTGAGTATTTGACTTCCTTCGCTTCTTTTCTGGACTCTTCATTTGCAGACCTGGAAGAGCGGCAAAAGGAAGACGCAGACAAGTTTCCCTGAGGTTTCCCCAACCTCTTTTCTCTCAGCCATGCTCTGAGGAACTCCTTTAACGTCAATACATACTTGCTTATTTATTCAACAAATGCTAACAAGGGGTGCAATATGAAAAATAGATTGTGAAGATGATCATACTCTCAGCTACGTCTTCCTTTAAATGAAAGATATCCCATCTTTCGATATCCTCAAGCTCCAAGTGAGTACTGAATTCCATGTGGCTCCAAACCCTAGAGTCCTCAATGTGTGACACCTGCCCCCAACCCCTGGAGGATTACACCCACCCATCCTTTTCACCTGAGCCTCCCTTCAAGCCTTCAGACTGTGAAACACCCCCCGCCCACCATCCCTCCCCTCTGAGGTTCCCAAGTCCTGGGCCTCTTCAGCCCCCGCCCCTCGCAGCGCGCTCACCGGCCTTGCCCTGCTTCCTCCCGGTGCTGGGCGGCGCAGGGGGCGGTGCGGGGCCGCCACCTCCCTCCAGCTTGTCCGGTGGGGGCGGCGCCGAGGCGGCCATGGAGTGGGGGACCCGGGTTAGCGGCAGCGGCGGGGGATGGAGGCGCCCTTGGGCTGCACCATCGCCCAGAAGGGGTGTCAGGGGCAGCCCAGGCCCCCGAGCTGCAGCAACCACAAAGTGCGACGACAGGGAAGCGCCGAGCCGCCGCGCAAACTGCGCGCTCTCTCCAGACTCGCCGCCCGCCAGCGGCGGCAGCAACCGGAACCGGAACTCGTCGCGGCCACCACCACTGAGCGCTGCGGGGAGGGGGAGCAAGGACCGGACGAGACGCTACGCCTGAAAACAGGCGGCGGGCGAGGGACGAGGCTTACCACGGCACCACGCGAGTGGAAAGGGTCGTCTCCGCTAGCGGCGGCCCACACCAGCTCACCGAGGGGCGGCAGCGCGCGGCCCGGCTGCCGGACCGTACCATCCCGGGCGGTGGAGCCGCCGCGGAGGGGCGCGCGCGAGCCGAAGGCGCACCCGGGAGGCCCAGGTAGCCCGGGGGCCGGTGCTGGGGCGCCGGGCAGGCCCGGCTCCCGCCTCGACCCACCCGGAGCCAGCCCCCTCTGCGGACACGACATCCCCATGGGGACGGTGGCGCGAAACGCCCCACTCTGCCGCACCCAAACTCTGCAGACCCCCAGCTTCCCTGGGCGGCCGCGACCTCCCGCCTCCCCGTCTGCCGCTGAGGGCCCGCGGCGTACACAATAGGCTTCCCAGAAGGGTTAAGAGGCAGAGGTAGAAGAAATACGGACTTTAATGAAGAGTTTTCCCTTTGGTATAAGTGAGACCCGTGGAAACATCCAAACAGCAAAAGGAGGCCAGGATGAAAACGGTCAACTCTCCCTTATCCACAAGGCCAAAAGAGGGGGGGCCGGCTTGCTGTGGTGTGGCCACCCCGGGCCTAGGCTGGGCCGGGCCTGTAGAAGGTACTCAGGAACTGCAGGTTTTGCGTTTCCCCTCCATGAAACTGACAGGCATTCGGGCTGACTTCTGCCTCTCAGTCTCGCGGTAAGAGACCCAAGTTTTTCTAGTCCTAGATGGAAATAAATTTCATCTGCCTCAGGTCTCTGGTATAAAAGGTGCGATCCCAGTTACCTCACAGGCCTAGGCGAGGAAAATGCCAAGAGCTGTAAAAGGGCTTGGAAAAGTCAAAAAGGTGATGTATAAATGTAATAATTGATTATCATTTTGTGCTCAAGAATAAGCAATGGAAAAGAAAATAGGAAAGTAAGTCTACAGCCCTAAAATATATGCATATAAAACTTTAAAAGAATGCAGTTCCAACTCTACAGATGGTATGTGGGGATTGTCTACTGCTTTATAGTCTCAATGCCCCTTTTCTCACCTCCACAAAATCCACCTGGGAGAGTTAACTGTACAAGAGGCCCAAATTCAGTCACCCCCACCCCGCCCTCCCAGAAAGGGAGGCAGGGCAGAGGCTTCAGGAGGAAGGGCTGCACTTTGGCGTAGAGTACATAGGCATGCAACATGGGAGGGCAGGCCTTATGAAATGTATATACAGACCCCTTGGGGTGAGGGGCCCCGGCCAGGAGGCACTGAGCAAGGGAGGGGTCCATCTCCCGCCTGGCCGGGAGTGGGGCTCTGGGGCAATCTCTAAGGGTTGCATATCCCCAGGGAGAGGGGACAGCTGCCACTCCTGCCTCTGTTATCCCAACCCAAACCGGAGAGGGTGCTCAGCAAGAACACAGGTCCCAGAAGCCAAGAAGGTGTTGGCATCCCTGTCATTGAATTCAGGGGTCCAAGAACTGTTTGCATAAAATATCATTAGACCTAAGAGATGGTCAAAGGCACAAAGTTTAAACATGGGGGGGGCGGGTGTTGAGAGGGGTCTGGGATACCCTGAAGCCCAGAGGTGTGATTTGTTCCCCCTTGCCCAGAAGGGTGACTGTTCCACTGGGCCTGTCACCACAGGACATTTTCCATGACAAGCACTCACCTTCTTGGGGAAGGGGCATCAGGTTGGCACAGGAAAGGCCCAGGTGAGGGGCCACTCTGTACATTAATACTTTGGTGATTAATGTTTGGGGAGAGGCAGGATTCTCACCCAGGCTTTTGACTCAAACCCTCTCACTCAGCTGGATATGAAACCCAGAGTCCATGCTACTCCCAGCTCTGACACAAGGCCAAGCCCACAGAACACTCCCAAACGAGGTCCCGAGAGTTAGGGAATAGGGTGGAAAGGATTGGAGGGCATCTTCTGGAAGAGAGCGCTAGGGCAGATCACAGTTTCCGCTCCACAGGTTGCTGTAGACACAGTTCGCTGCCCGCAGAGATGATGGGCAAGTGATTGTCCATGTGGTAGCTGATAAGGTGACTGACACTTTCAAAGCGGTGATCCTTAGTCCGAACCTGGGAGGGTGGGAAGGAAGAAGGTCAATTCAGGTGAAGAGTCAAATAAGACCTCAGCCTCCAAGGTGGAAGAGGGTGAAACAGACAAGAGGCTTGAAGGAGGAGAAAAAAATGGTGGGGGAGAGTGTGGCCTGTCAATCCTGATCATTGAGGCTTCTCTAGAAAGAGACAGTTGTAGGAATAGACAGGTCAGTGAAGTGAGAAAAGGCAAAGGCGACATCAGCCCTGAAAGAGTGAAGCTGAGAGCTATATACCCCTTTCTTGACCTGGAGGAAGTTGGCATGTCTCAGAAGAGTATACACAGTGCAAAAAAAGATGTGGAGGCTGGGCATGGTGGTCCGTGCCTGTAATCCCAGCACTCTGGGAGGCCGAGGGAGGCGGATCACTTGAGCCCGGGAGTTCAAGAACAGCTTGGGCAACATGGCGAAACCCCATCTCTACCAAAAAAAAAATACAAAAATTAGCCAGGTGTGCCACCACACCGCAGCCTGAGTGACAAAGCAAAACCCTATCTCAAAAAAAAAGAAAGGAAGCTGAGATTACTGTAGAAAACAAACAAAAGTTTTTTTGTTTCCAGACAGGGTCTCTGTCACCCAGGCTAGAGTACAGTGGCGCAATCATGGCTCACTGTAACCTCGAACTCCTGGGCTCAAGCGATCCTCAGGCCTCAGCCTCCTGGGTAGGTAGGACTACAGGCATGTGTCACCATTCCTGACTAGAGACAAGGTCTCGCTATGTTGCCCAGGCTGGTCTTGAACTCCTGGCCTCAAGCAATCCTCCCACCTCAGCTTCGCAAAATGTTGGGATTACAGGCATGAACCACCACACCTGGCTAAACAAGGAAAGTTTTGAAGAACAGTGAGGCAGTGCAGATAAGAGAAAGCACAGTGGTCTGAGTCCTGAGTCTGGGGAGCTGGAGAAGCCCTTGGATCTTCTTACAAAAGGAAACTTGCAGTGTCTAGCCTCTAACCATCTGACATTGGGCATCACAACCTCTTCAGGGTGGTTTCCTTATTTGTCAAAAGAGGGGCACAGATGAGATGACTGCCTTCTAGCTCTGATAAGCTTAAGGCTTGGGGATTTGAGGACGGGCCAGGACTGTATTTGTTTTGTTTTGTTTTTTCAGACAGAGTCTCACTCTGTCACCCAGGCTGGAGTGCAGTGGTGTGATCTCAGCTCATTGCAACCTCTGCATCCCAGATTCAAGCAATTCTCCTGCCTCAGCCTCCTGAGTAGCTGGGACTACAGGTGCCTGCCACCACACCCGGCTAATTTTTGTATTTTTAGTAGAGACAGGGTTTCACCATATTGGTCAGGCTGGTCTCGAACTCCTGACCTCAGGTGATTCACCTGCCTCAGCCTCCCAAAGCGCTGGGATTACAGGTGTGAGCCACCACGCCTGGCCCTGTGCCAGGACTATAAAGAACATAGTTCAGGCTAAGGGATGAGCCTCTGGAGGAAGATGCCAGACACTTTAAAGAGCAAGAGAGGCCCATAGACAGCTGCCCAGCGGGAATGTCTACAAAGCAATGAGGGAAGGAAGAGGGATACACTGTAGGGTACTGTACCTTCCTTTTTGCCACCCCTCACCCACACCTCTGCCACACTCACCACACCCTCAGGGTCCACCAGTAGCAAATGCTTAGGCTGCCCACTCTGCAAGCCAGTGAGCACATACTGGCCAGGTGTGGTCGTGCTCTCCCGTACCAGGAAGTCCCCATTGAGCTGCAGCAGTGCCTCAGCCTCCCGCCGGCTCAGCTTCCCATGGAACCAGGGCTCCCCTCGGAGCTGCTCAGCCATGGACACCGACTGGGGAGGTGGAGGCACGCGAAGAGCATCTTCGAAGGGCTCTGGAAGTATAGAGGGAGGGTGAGGGGAAGTAGCAGGCACAACACACACCCAAGACCCAGACTTCAGGGAAGGGAAGTCAGGAAGGAAAGAGCAGATAGGCAGGAGAAGGGCCAGAACCAAGTAGAAAGGTGGGGATGCAGAGAGGAGAGAGACGAGCACTCACTCATGTCAAACAGGTCCCGGGGTGCACTGCCATTGATAGCAGGATTGGGGGGCCCAGCACCACCCACTGCTTGCCGGGCCTTGTCTAGGTTCTGGACGTTGACATAGGAGGGATCATCAAAAAGCTCTCTGCCTGCTGAGGAAAGGGAGGCTCTACAGTGATCCCAGCCCTGCCTCCAACACTCCCCAGCTCTGCCTATCTCGGCTCCCTTCATACCTGGACAGGGTGGTGGAGGTGGCATCTGTTTGCGGACTTCTGGATCTCCCCCAACAGGCTGTCCTACAGGCTGCAGGGATAAAAATAAGGTGAGACCAGAAGCCCTAACCAACCACTCCCACCCTAGCCCCAGCCCGCCTCCATCCAAGCAACTTACCAATGTAGCTCCCAAGTGGCTGGGGGTCTGGGCATTGGGTGCAGTGGGTCGAGCAGCCCCTGGAGCGGCTCCTTCCCGAAGCCTCATGTCTACCACCCCCCCCAAGGGGGGTTCCTTCCCCGGGAAGTCATTATAGTACTGATGGTCAGGTGGCTCTTCCTCCTCCTCATCCCATGCTGAGCCATCAAAGCCAGCCATCCTGAGGGACAGGACAGTGAAGCTGTGGCTGTAAATGTGTGGTGGGCAGGAGGAGGGAAGGACAGAATAGAACAGCAGCCATCTATTGGGTATTTACTATGGATTAAGCCTGAGGCTGAGTGTTTTATATACATAATCATTTCATTCTCCTGGCAACCCCGTAAGGTAGGTATTGTTTCCTTCCCCACTTTTACAGATGAGGAAAATGAGGGTCAGAGGTGAAAAGATCTGCCCAAGGTCTCACAACTAAAAGGCGGCCGAGCTCAGATTTAAATTCAGGTTTGACTTTAAAGCTCATCCCCTTGGCCAGGTGCAATGGCTCACGCCTATAATCCCAACACTTTCAGAGGCCAAGGAGGGAGGGTTGTTTGAGCCTAGGAGTTCAAGACCAGCCAGGACAACATAGCGAGACCTTATCTCTACCAGAATAAAAATACTACTACTCAGCCAGGTGTGGTGGCATGCACCTGTAGCCCCAGCTACTCAGGAGGCTAAGGTGGGAGGATCACTCAAGCCCAGGATATGGAGGCTACAGTGAGCTGTGATTGTACCACTGAACTCCAGCCTGGGCTACAGAGCAAGACTGTCTCAAATAAGTAATGCTCTTGCTCTTGATCTCTGTGCTATCTCCCAACAAGGAAGGGAAGCACCATGTAGGGGGGTGGGGGGCCGGGGGAGGCACTCCAGCTCCAGAATATTTTAACCTCTCCTAAATATTCAATCCCTACTGGCTCCACTGCTTATCCCTCAAGGCCTGAGGTGGGAAAGGTTGTAATCTCAGGGAAAAGAGATATCCTCCCAAACCCAAATTCTTGATGGCTTCTAGAGGCAGGAAAACACATAATGCCAAGCAGAGAAATGAGCAAGAAAGAGGGATGGGAGTAGAAAATCCCACCTAGCCAGAGAGAGATGTAACTTGGAGGCCCCGGACTACAACTCCACCATGAGCAAACAAGAAAAGCTGGTCCTGCGGCAAGCAGGGCCTCAAAAGTCTTTCCTCCTGGGCCACAGGAAACAGAAGAATAGCAGGAAGTGGGAAGCAGAGGCACACAGGTTATTCCCTCCCTGAACCTCTCAACTCAAGTGTAGGAAGAGCAGCCCTCCTTTCCTAATCCTAATCCAAGAGCTGCTCCACACTCTCCCCACCTGCTCACCTGTCATGAGGGGTGACCAGTTTGGGTGGGTTCCTGAGGTATTGTTTGAAGCGCAACTCGAAGGCCTGGCCAATGGTGCTGATGACATCCTGGGCAAGCCCTTCGGGACACTCCAGAATGTGGCAGGCTGAGGGCACAGCAGAGGCTGTCAGTGAGCTGAGCCCACTGGGAGGAGGCACAGACAGGGGCCCTCATCTTCCTCTGCAGGAACCCCCACTGAGATCTACTTAGAGTGGGTACAGATGACCAAAGGTCCTACTCACCTCCTCAAACAGCCAGACCCACCCAGTGCTCCCCACCATGCCTCACCTCTCTGATTCACAGGGTCTTTGGCAACATAGGCGACATACTCGGCTGTGTCCTGGGGAGGAAGGTCAAAAAATTTTACAGTTCTACTTTACTCCTGACCCCTAAAACCCAGTCCTTTTCAGATATCCCCACAATCCTAGCACCCCCACTTCTCTAATCAATGTCTTCCCAATCCCTAGCCCCTTGCTCTTCTCCCACCGCCTTTGCTCTGTTCCCCAACTCACCGGATCCCCGCCGGATGCAAATGAGATAGATTGCATGTGGTGGTTGGCGATGATCTGAGAATTAGGGCAGGGGATGAAGAAGGAAGGGAATGCCATGTGTCAGGCAGCCTCAGGGCCCAGAACCCTGGTGCCCCAGTCTCATTCTCTGGGTTCCTTATCCCATATCCTCATTTCCTCCTTCCCTACTGGTCTCCTGCTCTCAAGCCCTCTTCCTAGATTTTGGCCTCCTAACTAGATCTCCCCTTAGCACCCCCATCAGTGTTTCTGGTCCGTCTGCCCACCTTCACCAACCTGTTTGCAGTCTGCGGCCATGAGGTTGAGGCTGCTGGTGGAGACGGTGAGAGTGATTGGCATTCCAGCAAATTTCAGGTTACTCCTCCCCAGGATAGAGCTGAGCGGGCGGCTACAGGGCTAAGGTAGGGCCCAGGGTCTCAGAAGGTGAGGGTTCCCAGCACAGGCAAACCACACTTTTGCCTCCTGGCCCTCTCCCCACATGCCCCACACTTGCCTCCCCACTGCCCCTCCACATTTCCCAGCAGCATCCCTATCCCCAAGGACCCCAAGTACCTTTCTCCTCCTTGTCGCCCCCTTAGCACCCGGCACAGCCTCACACACCAGACTGATGGCCTCCCTGGGGAAAGAGGGGTACTCAGACCCAGCGCCTGCCTGCCTGCCTCCCACTCAACTGGGGCTGCCACAGGGCTGGGGGAGGGGAAAGCCAGGCCAGACTCCCAGGGCACTCCAGGCTCTTTGTCATGGTGGATTGAATTAAGGGCCTTTAATATTTGATGACACTGAGAGGCCACTTCCTGGCTGATTGGGTTAGGGCCTCAATGGGTATAGCCCCACCCCCTTCCAGCTACCAAATGTCCCATTCCCTTCCCAAAGGCAGCAGCAACCTTCCATCTACCCCCCTTTTCTACTCCAGCTCCACCTGCCAGCTGCTTCTGCCACCTTCCCCACAACTCCCAAGGCTGGATAGGTAAGGAGGATCCGGGCCAAAGGGGCCTCCTTTCAGTAAGAGGCGGAATCACTACCTCAGCTTTCTCTCAATCCCCTTTACTACGCAAAGATCAGCCCCCAGCAGCAGCACCCAAGTGACCCACTCCCCTCCTCTGTTTCCCATGGCCTCACTAATCCCAGGACTCCCACAATCCACTCCCTCCCCACTAACCTGGTGACCTGAGTCCGGGTGTTGAAGTCCAGGGCACGCATTGACTGGAGGACCTCCACACAACCCATGTACTAAGGGGAGGGAGAAGAGGACAGCAGGTCAGCGGCTCCCCCACCCCAGCCCCTTCACAAAGGGCCCTAGGACTTTACCCATATGGTCCCTAAGGGAAGTAAAGAGGAAGAAGTTCTGCCCACTTCCCGTGGCTACATCCCACAACCAAGGTGAAAGACAACAGGGAATGAGGAGAAAAAGAAAAGGCAGGCTAGAAGGACCTCACACACTGGGGAGAGAGTTTGGAGGGGACCGACAGGCATTGGCTGGGATGGAGTGACAACTCCAGAAAGCGGGAGGAGAATGGAGGAAAGATCAAGAAGTCATTCATTCCAACACTTATTAAGAGCTTCTGCCATGCTGGGCATTGTGCTAAGCATGCCAGGGTGGGGGTGGGGGAGTGAAAAGAAGGAAGGGGGCCCAGGCAAAGCTGGAAGGGAAGGGGCTACAGAATCGGGGAAGGGATGAGAAAGGTTTAGGAAATAGGACACTGAAACGGGGTTGTTGGGGAACAGCAGGAAAAAAGAGATTCCGGCCAAGCTGGAGTGAGCATTAGAACTGGAGGGGGTCTGCGGGGGAATGGAGAGGAGGATGTTCACTCACCCGAACCAAGTAGGAAACCCCGGGTCCCATGACTTTGTCGTTGGGATGCAGCCAGCCCCGCGTGGGCTTATTGACAAAGCTCCCGTGGCGGGTCCACTCCTCGCCCCCAAGCTGGCCCCCTTCCACCCGAGTCCTGCGCCCGCCGCCTCCACTCAGCTTGTTCATGTCCTGGAGGAGGGGTAGGGGGCCTGAGTCTGGCATGGCTGCCCCTACGATCCCCTCCCCATCATCAGCTGCCCTTCCTGGCTCCCCCTTAGACCCTGGGCGCCCCCCAGCCGGGTTGGCCAGCCTCAGGTTGCTCATCCGGGGGAAGAAGGAGCACAGGGTAGTGGGACTATCGTCCCCAGGCAGAGGAGGCAGGATGGGCCCCAGGGATGAAGCTGATGGGGAAGGCAGCTCCTCCGGGGGGGTGGACCCAGAAGCCCCTTCCTCCAGCGATGACAGAGACTCATTCCGGAGTGGATTGTACTTGGGCTTGGGGGGCAGGAGATCCATAGTTGAGGTGAAAGAGGGGCTGCTGCCCAGCCTGGCCCCCCTGCCAGTTTGGGCAAGGGGGCCAGGCAGGGGGTATCCCCAGGCCCTTAGCCTGGTTGGACCTCTGTGGCCCAGGAGTCACAGAAGTCCTGGGGAGGGAGAGGGACAAGTGGCTTCCGCTCCCCAGCTCAGACCCAGACAGTTTCAGGCCCCATCCCCGCCCAACGTGGAGCCTCTTCTCTGGCTGAGAAGAGAACAGGCTGGACCCAGCGCTTCTGGCTCCTCCCCAGGGGCGGGGAGCTAAGGGGAGAGACCAATCGTGAGGACAGTGCTGACTCACAGGCTCAGAGGGGCTGAGCCCCCACCCCGCCCCAACCTCGAACTGGAGCAGGGGGTAGGGCTATCCAAGCCCCTCTCCCCTGCCCTATACAAACAACTAGTAATCTGGGGAGAAGTAAAGTGGGGGTGGGAGGGAAGGATGGAAGAGTGGGACGGAAAGGAAGGAGATAGGAGGTCTGGGTCACTCAAAACCGGACACACGCAGGCCAAAGGGGGCAGGAAGCCAGGCAGGAGTACAGGGGAATGAGGGAGGAAACAGAGGCAGCTGGGGGTGGAAAAGGGAGGAGATCTCAGAGCTCAGCATTTCCCTTCCTGTCCTGGTTGGACACTCGAATTCCCCCACCCTCTCTATGCCCGAAAGCTGGCTGGCCCCAGCCCAGGCCACCCCCAACCGCTACCCCATACAGTAAGCCTGGGCCATTAGCATCCTCTGCTACAGCAGCTGTGGACTGGAGCTAGCGAAGTGGGGATGGGAAGTAAGTGGTCCCAATGGATGCAGAGCAGGGCCAAGAGGAAGAGCAAAGCTGGTGAAAAAAGGGGAATAAAGTTCAACCTGGATGATACATCAGGAAGCTACCAGGCAAGAAGGGAACAAGAGGACATGCTGGTCACGGCTTGTTCTCTACGTATGCCATCTACCACACCAAGACCGATGGCTCATAGCCAAGCACTGTCCTGTCTCCCCTTTCCACAGGGCTTGTTAACACAGCACACTGTCAAGGGTGAGAATGAGGCAATCAGGTCCCCACTCCCACTCCAAACCACCCCAATTCACATCCCTCCTCTTACAGGGCCCTAAGCCCCACCAAAGAGCACAGCATCCTTCACACCAGGGAAGGAGCCTGGCTGGAGGAGGTGGAAGAAACAGTTCTCCAAGAGAAGTAGAAACTACAGGCCAGGAAGGGACAGAGAGATCAGAAGACACATCTGCGTCAATAAGGACAGGAGAAAAATAAGTACAGGAGAAAGGGGTGTCAGGAGAAGATGGGTTGAAGCTGGACACAGGGAACAGTCCCAAACCCATTCCTGCCACCCACGGCTTCCTGCCACTGCTCTTCCGGAGAATGCCACAGGCAAAGCTGGAAAGTGACCAAAAAAAAAAAAACAAAGATACGTATTCCTACCGGGCGCGGTGGCTCACACCTGTGATACCAGCACTTTGGGAGGCTGAGGCGGGTGGATCACCTGAAGTCAGGAGTTCGAGACCAGCCTGGTCAACATGGTGAAACCCTGTCTCTACTAAAAATACAAAAATTAGCTGGGCGTGGTGGCGGGCACCTGTAATCCCAGCTCAGGAGGCTGAGGCAGGAGAATCGCTCGAACCCAGGAGGCGGAGGTTGCAGTGAGCCGAGATCGAGCCATTGCACTCCAGCCTAGGTGACAAGAGCAAAACTCCGTCTCAAAAAAAAAAAAATACGTATTCCCCCCAGCTCACCTTGGAATTACCCTTAGATTTACTTCAGAGAATTAAAATATAGATAGATAATTATCCTGATTAACAACATTAACACTTGAAGTGTGTTAGATGCTGTGCTTAACTCTTACATCTCCCCTTAGTGCTCATTCCAGAAGAGCTTTGTCACTCTGCCAGCCAATCCTGAGAAGGAATTTTATCACTTCATTTCCAGCCAGCTCTCGGGCATAGAGAGAATGAGGAAAGGATTCCACCATAGCCTCACACCCCCAAAACACACAAACACACACTAGGATGTCCCTCATCTGTAGAGATGATGTTCTGTGGGAGCCTACAGTATCCAGAGCCAGGGAAGGACCAACGGGTGTGGGCGTTCGGAAGAAAAGAAAGACGTATGACTCTTGAAATTTACATAGGGAGAAAGGAGATTGCCTACTGGAAGTCCAGGTGATTGGGTGTAGGGGAAAAGCTGTGTGTGGCTTCGCAGCCCAACTGGGAGGAGGGGACAGGGGCGGGAAGTGGCAGGAAATGGCGAAAGCCTCAGGAATGTTTCCAGCAGGGAAGGCTGGGCAAACGGGGCCAGGAGGAATGCCCAGACAAGAACTCTGGTTAGGGGGAGGGGAAGAGACAGAGAAGTAGCGACTGAACTGTCCCTTAAAAAAAAAAAAATCAAACAACAAAAAGAGCACTATTATCTACCCCCACTCCAAACTACCGTTCTTCTGGTAGTAGAAAACTTTTGCTCATGTCACACCCACATGCCACACACCAACAAATCCATGGTCTTATCCACTTATGTCTAGGAAGGCCTAGAGCTACTTCTGGGATGAGGTTGGTCCTGGGAAGGGAAAGCCAGGAAGTGAGGCTGGGAGTCTGAGGGCAAGTCTCTCTCTCCCTCTCGTGCCAAACCCCACGTTCAGCCCTTTCAAATAGTTCTACCCTTGGAGGAGGTTAAGAAAGAGGAAAACGGGGACGGGCGCAGTGGCTAACGCCTGTAATCCTAACACTTAAGGAGGCTGATAAGGGTGGAGCACCTGAGGTCAGGAGTTCGAGGCTAGCCTAGCCAACATGGGGAAACCCCGTCTCTACTAAAAATACAAAAATTAGCCGGGCGTGGTGGTGGGCGCCTGTAATCCCAGCTACTCAGGAGGCTGAGGCAGGAGAATCACTTGAACTCAGGAGGCGGAGGTTGCAGTGAGCCGAGATCGCACCATTGCACTCCAGCCTGGACGATAAGAGCGAAACTCCGTCTTAAAAAAAAAAAAAAAAAAAAAAAAGATAGAAAGGAAAACGGAAAACGGCTGCCTTTAATCTCACTCCTTACAGCCAGAGATGGGAACTTTGACTTCCCACCTGGGGGAGCACGAGAGTGCTCGGAAAACTGATCCCAAGGCCCAAAAAGAGAAAGGACAGGAAAATATAAGCAGGTGGAGTTTCAGGGATTGACGACAAGGCTTTTCAGCTGATGACCCAGGTCCCACAAAGATAAAGCTCCTAAGGGGGCGTGGTCCCCTAAGGACGCGAACTTCAGACTTCTGGGCGGGGAGGCTTTCTGGACAGTCAGACGTGGATTACGGAGGGGGCGTGGCTTCGGAGGGGCGGAGCTTCAACAAATTCGAATCGTTCTTTGAAGAGCAGGGTTTTGCCCTTTTGGGAGATAGGCCTTTTGACAGGAGTTAGCCGAGGATCGTTGCTAGGAGGCGGAGTTTCGGAGAATGGAAGGAGTAACGAAGGGTTTCTCGTAGTAGGGCTTGGAACGTGTCGGGGGGTGGGGACTTCCAGAAAAACTGGGCGACAGGGTGGGGTCGGAGACAAAAAATAAAAATCAAGTCGGGGTTCGGGGGAGCCCCCTGAAGTTGGGAGGTGGGACTTCCGGGGAGAGGGGTCTCAGGGGCGGGACTTATAAATGAAGACCGGAAGTGGGGTCCCGGGAGAGGGGTTCCGGGGTGAAAGAGTGAGTCACCTAAGGAGAAAAAAGTCAAGACTCACCAGGGCCTCATGGAGTCTCCGCACCGCACCGCGGGCCGATTTGGTGCCGGATCACGCCACTGCCAGCTTAGGTTACCGCTCCAACTTTCTCCCCGGGCCCTGCCTCCCTGGAGAAACTTTATTACACTCACTTCCGGCCTCACTAACCCCTGACCCTCTACCTCAGGGTCCCTCCTTCACGCTTCCCACTTTCCCGAGTTAGCCAATGGCAGCGCGAGATCGCGCACAAAGGCAGTGGTGGCCAATAAGACGCCTACTTTTGACCCACGCTCGTTCTTGAGAAGCGTGAGAACTGCCCTCCAATAAGGATCCGAAGAGAAGTAAATCTAAGCCAATCGGAGGCTTGAAAGTAGAGGTGTCCCGCCTCGAGCCAAACGGACCAATAGGAAGTGCGGGCGGCGTGTTTGAAAGCGAGGCCAAAGTGGGTGGGAGCGCGTGCTGTTGGGAGTTGCTTGGAGGTTGGCGGCGCGGGGCTGAAGGCTAGCAAACCGAGCGATCATGTCGCACAAACAAATTTACTATTCGGACAAATACGACGACGAGGAGTTTGAGTATCGGTTAGTGCTGGCGCGGGAGCAATAGCGAGGGTCGTGAGCTTTGGCCGCTGAGGGCACAAGGAATTAGTAACAGGAACTGAGGCGATAGAATTGGCGCATGCGTACGAGGTGCGAACGGGCAATGGTGTGATATTGTGGAAGGCGTAAGGCGCATGCGCGGAGGTGGGAGGCGCTCGTAAAACAAAGTGGTTGCGAATTTGGAGTCGCCTCTCAGTAGAGAGGAGAGAGGGGTGGGCGTGGTTAGGGTACTGACCACCCTCACCCATGAGGCTTTCTGGATCATTCTCTGAACTTTATCGGGCAAACTTAACTTGCCTTGTAGAGACTGTTTCACAGTAATCTTGTCGAATCCAGTGGGAGAACGTAGCAAAAGCGGAGCTGGAAGTTTCCTGGCGTCCCTAACAGGAGAGTAGCGCTGAGAGAGTTGAATATTGCTTATTAACTCGTGAAAAAGACAAGGGGCGTGGTTGTCTGGCTTGTGTAAGGAAGGGGATCGCTTGGGACTGCAATGGAATAAAACTGGCTAGGAGCATTGAGAAAATACTTAATATGGGTCTAATAGATGCCCTTTAAATATCAAAGGGAACAGTTACGGAATACTTAACAGGTTTCAGGTGTTCTGCTAAAGTGCAAGGATAACACATGGTCTCTGCTGTTCACAAATTTAAAAATCTGTGGGTGGTACCGACAGACACCAGAAAGGTGACACACGCTATGCAAGGAGCCATTACAGGGTGTGATGGGAGCACACAAGACTTGCTAAGGAGAGGGAACTGGCGACCCGAAGGCTGCGGCTTCCTAGCTGTGAGCGGGGGTTGAGGTGGGGCTAGAAAGTCAGTCCCCTACTTTTGCTAACTCCAGGACGCTCCCCCATCCCACGCTTCGAGAACGCCCCCCGCCCCGCCACCGCCTTGGAGGCTGACCTCTTACTTTCGGTCGGTCTTCTTCCCTGGGCTTGGTTTGGGGGCGGGGGAGTGTCCTAAGGGCCAATTCAGCGTGATGTCTCTTTCACCACCATTGAAAACGAAACCAGTAGTAAACTACGCGTGTTTTCATTTATATGTCGGAGATAAAAACACAGGGACAGAAAGAGGGGAACAACAGACATTGGGGCCTGCTTGAGGGAGGAGGGTGGGAGGAGGTAGAGGTTCAGGAAAAAAAAAAACTGTCGGGTACTATGCTTAGTACCTGGGTGATGAAATAACCTGTACACCGAACCCCCGAGTCAGGATTTTACCTATATAACAAACCTGCACATGTACCCTTGAACATGAAACTTAAAATACTGAGAGGAAAAACGGAAGAGGGAATGTTGGGGAAAGCTTCCTAGAGGGCAGAGCCTGAGATGAGACTCTAAGAAAAAGGTATGTGGGAGGAAGCACCTCTTGACTGAAATTGTTTAGAAGACACTGGATAGCCATCTGCCAAGGATGGTGATGATGGAATCCTGGCACTGGATGTGGCATTCGGGCTTGATAAATTTTAAGTGCATAATCTAGATTGGGAATAAGGGAAGACACAGGATTCCACAAATGTTGGCATTATGCTAATCTGTATTAATTGTAATAATTAAGACCACTTCCTGGTTTGTATCTTGTCTCCTCAGTTGGAGAACATAAAATGAAAACTTGCTTTTCTTGTGTCTCTTCACCCAGCCTAGTTCAGGGCTTTGGGTCTTCCAGAGAACTCGATGTGCATTGACAAATACATAATCATCTTTATGCCAAGACGGCTCCAGACCCTCCTTTAATTAACTTTCTTTTCCTCAGCTGTTTTCCTCTACATCTGAACTAAACTAACTTAAAACTGTATGTGCTTATAAGAGATTTGTGGAGCTGGGAAGGAATCACCATTTCATCCCCTGGAAGATGAAACTCTTGGCAGTGGCACTTTGGTTTAAGAGGGGTTTTTTGGTGTATGTATTGAAGCCAAATTTCGTGCCAGGGTGGTGTTAGAATGTGAGCTATTTTCATTATATTTGGACTAGAATTTTTTCTTTTAGGAGAATGGTGGGGAATCACTGTTACTAGCACAGAGGGAGAACTTAGTACATTTTCATTGAGCATGACGAAGACTATGTGGATTAGTTTGATTCACATCAGGGTAATAATTTTTTTGCTATGAAGGGAGACTTATCCTTGGTTAGAAAAGCACGGAATTTACCCAGAAAGTCTCAAGGTACATCCCTCCAGAGTTAGGAAAATAAGATTCAGGATAGATTTAATTTTTTTTTTAAGAGACAAGGTCTTGCTTTGTTGCCCAGACTGGAGTGCAGTGGCTATTCACAGGCACAACCATTGTGCATTGCAGCCCTTTCTTTTTTCTTATTTTTTTTCTCTTTTTTTGAGACGGAATCTCACTCTATCGCCCAGATCTCAGCTCACTGCAACCTCCGCCTCCTGGATTCAAGGGATTCTCTCCTGCCTCAACCTCCCAAATAGCTGGGATTACAGGTGCATGCCACCACACCCGGCTAATTTTTGTATTTTTAGTAGAGACGGGGTTTCACGTTGTTGGTCAGGCTGGTCTCCAACTCCTGACCTCAAGTGATCCACCCACCTCAGCCTCCCAAAGTGCTGGGATTACAGGCATGAGCCACCGCCCCTGGCCTATTTCTTCTGTATTTTAATCAGATTTCAAACTTCATACTGTATCTTTTTCAAACTCCTGGGTTCAAATGACCCTCCTGCCTCAGCCTCCCAAGTAGCTGGGACTGTAGGTTTGTGCCACCATGCCTGGCTTAGATTTTAAAGGACAAGATAGTTCATTTCATCCTTTGTAATAACTTGTCCACACAGTACTTCATAAAAGGCCTTTCCTCGCCACAAAATAACTTCTCTTCCTTCCTTCTAATTATTAACACTGTGTGCTCCGTGGGGCTCCCATTATGTTGTAGATAATCAACTAGAAGACTATAAGGTCCATGAAGGCGGAGAAAATGTGCCTTGAACTTAAGTGCTCATTCACTGGAATTATTCACTAATTTGTATTTTTAATATACTCTCGGAATTTATATAACATAGCCTGTATTTCTAGCTGCTGCTACCCCACAATAAAATTATATAAACTCTGACATCAAAAACCAGTTTTTCTTTCCTTTCTTGGCCTTGTAAACAGGCATTTGTCTAAGAGACTGTATCTGGTACTAACATAAATTCCCCACTTCCCCGTTTCTGTTACAGACATGTCATGCTGCCCAAGGACATAGCCAAGCTGGTCCCTAAAACCCATCTGATGTCTGAATCTGAATGGAGGAATCTTGGCGTTCAGCAGAGTCAGGGATGGGTCCATTATATGATCCATGAACCAGGTCAGTGCACTGGCTAAAAACAACCATATAGAACTGCTACACTGAGAGAATGAAAGAATAAGATTGTATAACCCAAATAGGGAGATAGGAAATGGTTTACTGGTTCCTTCCCCCTCCAGTCGTGGGGGATTTTTTTAAAAAAAAACTAGTGACCAAAAATAAGACTAAAATATCTGGGAAGTTCAGAGACAACCTGTCACTGAAAAACCTCCTGTAATCTTTCATTCAATCAGAGGGTATTCTTTTTAAGGCCACATATAGCCTGATCATAGCCCCTGCCTCATTCTCCATCGAAAACATTCTTGGATGTGTTCTAAATAAGCAAAGGAAAGTATATTTATTGATAAGACACCAGACACCCAGCTGCCAGGCAAAACTAATAAGGGACACCCTGGGGCTGTATAAACATAGCAAAAGAACTGATATTAACAATTCTGTACTTGGCAGACAGTCCAGACTTCTGGGTCTGCTTCTAAGGCCATATGCTTAAGTCTTTATTTAGTTATAAAGATCTGAGTGGGTGATAGCTGGGGAGGTGGTAGTGGAATACACTATAGGTTGTACATAGAATGGTGTGAGCTTGTCTCTTAGATTTCCCTCACTCTTTCAGAACCTCACATCTTGCTGTTCCGGCGCCCACTACCCAAGAAACCAAAGAAATGAAGCTGGCAAGCTACTTTTCAGCCTCAAGCTTTACACAGCTGTCCTTACTTCCTAACATCTTTCTGATAACATTATTATGTTGCCTTCTTGTTTCTCACTTTGATATTTAAAAGATGTTCAATACACTGTTTGAATGTGCTGGTAACTGCTTTGCTTCTTGAGTAGAGCCACCACCACCATAGCCCAGCCAGATGAGTGCTCTGTGGACCCACAGCCTAAGCTGAGTGTGACCCCAGAAGCCACGATGTGCTCTGTATCCAGAACACACTTGGCAGATGGAGGAAGCATCTGAGTTTGAGACCATGGCTGTTACAGGGATCATGTAAACTTGCTGTTTTTGTTTTTTCCTGCCGGGTGTTGTATGTGTGGTGACTTGCGGATTTATGTTTCAGTGTACTGGAAACTTTCCATTTTATTCAAGAAATCTGTTCATGTTAAAAGCCTTGATTAAAGAGGAAGTTTTTATAATCTAGTGCTGTAATTGTACGGGTTTTTTCCCCCTCACTCAGGGTGAGCATCATCAATATCATGGTTCTAATTATATGCCCTTCAGTTTGATAATGAAGCTCAGCTCTTTGCTGATAATGAGGTTTAACATTGAGATAACTGGTTTTTAATCTACTTTAAGCAGACTTGCTGTCAAACATCTACTGAAATATATTTCACTCTAACTACTAGCCTGAGGTAGAGGTTATATAGGGACAACTTCATCTCATCCAAACAAATGAACTGCTTCCTACAGTCGGGGTGCTGCCTTTAACATAGTCCCAATATTTGAATGGCACACATGGATAAAAGGATGCTGTCAGTCAGGGGCTGCTTGTGTGTCCCAATTCCTAATAGGAATAATAGGCATATCTATGACCTATTCACTGTGCCCCTTGGTTGGGGAAGGTTTTCAGCTGTTCTTAACTTGGCTTGGGCGTTGGAATCACCTGGGGAGCTTTACAAGTACTGATGCCTGCCTGAGTCATTCTTAAGGATTCTTAATTGGTCTGGAGTGTGGACTGGGGGTAAAGATTTCAGGCATCTTATGCAGGTAGGTAAAGAACTAAGCTTTGAGAAAACAGGTGCAAAATGTAGCTGTTTAAGAAAACATTCCAGGCCACACGTGGTGGCTCACACCTGTAATCCCAGCATTTTGGGAGGCTAAGGAGGGCAGATCACTTGAGGTCAGGAGTTCGAGACCAGCCTGGCCAACATGGTGAAACTCCCGTCTCTATTAAAAATACAAAAATTAGGCTGGGTGCAGTGGCTCATGCCTGTAATCCCAGCACTTTGGGAGGCTGAGGTGGGTGGATCACCTGAGGTCAGAAGTTTGAAACCAGCCTGGCCAACATGGTGAAACCCCATCTCTACTAAAACAAAATTAGCCGGGCGTGGTGGCACACGCCTGTAATCCCAGCTACTCCGGAGGCTGAGGCAGGAGAATCACTTGAACCTGGGAGGCAGAGGTTGCAGTGAGCTGAGATCACGCTATTGCACTTCAGCTTGGGCAACAAGAGTGAAACTCTGTCTCAAAAAAATAAAAATAAATTAGCCGGGCGTGGTGTGTGCCTGTAATCCCTGCTACTCAGGAGGCTGAGGTGAGAGGATCGCTTGAACCCGAGAGGCAGAGGTGAAAGTGAGCCAAGATCACACCACTGCACTCAGCCTGGGCGACAGAAGCTGTGTCTCAATTTAAAAAAAAAACATTCCACAGAATAATAACTTCCCCTCTAGTCTAACAAAACAGTAGTACTAAGTGGCCGGGCGTCGTGGCTCACGCCTGTAATCACAGCACTTTGGGAGGCCGAGGCTGGCGGATCATGAGGTCAGGAGATCGAGACCATCCTGGCTAACATGGTGAAACCCTGTCTCTACTAAAAATACAAAAAAATTAGCTGGGCAAGGCGGTGGGCGCCTGTAGTCCCAGCTACTCGGGAGGCTAAGGCAGGAGAATGGCGTGAACTCGGGAGGCGGAGCTTGCAGTGAGCCGAGATTGCGCCACTGCACTCCAGCCTAGGCGACAGAGCCAGACTCCGCCTCAAAAAAAAAAGAAAAAAAAATACTAGTACTAAGTAAGGATATTAATCTCCCCCATTTTTCCTGTCTTCCATCCACTTATTCCTAAAATAGCAGGCATCAACATCGGGAAAATTCATTAGAAATGCAAATTATTGGGCAACAACCTAGACCTACTGAATCCTAAACTCAGGATTGGGCACAGCAATGTTTTAACAAGCTCTCCAGCTGATTCTGATGTACACTTAAGCTTGAGAATCCACTAGGAAAATACTGGAACAGTCTTGGTATTCTGTTTTGGGAGGGGATCAAATATCACCTGTATTGCTAATAAAGATATTGGAACATGTGGTTTACTAGGCAAGTGGAATTCTTGTTTTGCCCTTTTTTTTTTTTTCAAAGAGCTGACTTTTTATAATTGAAAGAAATGAGGGCCAAGTACGGGGGCTCACACCTGTAATCCCAATACTTTGGGAGGCCAAGGCAGGGAATCACTTGAGCCCAGGAGTTCAAGACCAGCCTGCGCAACATGACCAAACTCCGTCTCTACTAAAAATACAAAAATTAGCCAGGCATGGTGGGGCGCCCCTGTGGTCCCAGTTACTCTGGAGTCTGAGATGGGAGGATCACTTGAGCCCAGGAGGTCGAGGCTGCAGTGAACGGTGCTTGCGCCACTGCACTCGAGCCTGGGCAACAGAGAGACCCTGGTTCAAAAAAAAAAAAGGGAGGGGGGGCTTATTACTTAAAAGAATGGTCTAGACACCTGATCACCTGGGTCCACCATTCACTGTGTTTTGTGGTTGTGTGGCATCCCTTCACCTTTCTGAGCCTGTTCCTCATCTGTAAAATGAGCATGATGTGTATCTTACAGGGTATTTTTTTTCTTTTTGATGGAGCCTCGTTCTGTCGCCCAGGCTGGAGTGCAGTGACACAATCTCGGCTCACTGCAAGCTGCGCCTCCCGGGTTCACGCCATTCTCCTGCCTCAGCCTCCTGAGTAGCTGGGACTACAGGCTCCCGCCACCACGCCCGGCTAATTTTTTGTGTTTTTAGTAGAGACGGGGTTTCTCCATGTTGATCAGGCTGGTCTCCAGCTCCTGACCTCAGGTGATCCGCCCGCCTCGGCCTCCCAAAGTGCTGGGATTACAGGCGTGAGTCACCGCGCCCGGCCTTTTTTTCTTTTTTTCAATTGAGAGAACTCAAGCAATCCTCCCTCCTCAGACTCCCAAAGTGCTGCGCCCGACCAAGGGTTTTGAAGAGTAAAATTTGGCAAGGTGTGGTTTACCAGTCCTACAAAGAATGAATTCGGCCCGGCGCGGTGGCTCACGCCTGTAATCACAGCACTTTGGGAGGCCGAGGCGGGCGGATCACGAGGTCAGGAGATCGAGACCATGCTGGCTAACACAGTGAAACCCCGTCTCTACTAAAAAAAAAATGAAAATAAAAAAATTTTTAAAAAAAAGCCGGGCATGGTGGCGGGCGCCTGTAGTCCCAGCTACTCGGGAGGCTGAGGCAGGAGAATGGCGTGAACCCGGGAGGCGGAGCTTGCAGTGAGCCGAGATCGCGCCACTGCACTCCAGCCTGGGTGACAGAGGGAGACTCCGTCTCAAAAAAACAAAGAATGAATTCGGGCCCTTACCATTCAAAATGTAGTCCATAGAGCAGTGGGATCACCATCACATGGGAACTAGCTAAATGCAGATCTCAGGCCCCACCCAAACCTACTGAATCAATCTGCATATGAAAAGATCCCCAGATTATTGTTGGAAAAAAGTTTAAGATGTACTTTTAGAACAAAGGCAACTGAAATGGGGGTAAGCTCGGATGATGTGAGGATCCAGAGTAAACATGTAAGGCACTCCCTATTCGCTGCCTCATTTGCACCTACAAGACCAATTACTGGGAAAGGTCATTTGAACTAAGCACCATCTGGAGCAAGGTGGAGGAAGAGAGGGTTTTTGGACTCTTTCTTGTCAAAGAGATTTAAGTAATTCGTTTTGTCTACTATACTAGAGATAAATTAAGGTTCCACACATCAAAAGCTCACCTACTCCAGGGTCTTCATATCCGACAGACAGTGGTAATAATCTTTCTCGGTGTCCCTCCAACTTCCTTCTGCTATAAATAAGATGCTTTCTCACTCCAGTAAAAGCCCTTAGCCTAGTGTTAGAGTCACGGTGAATGAAAACAGCTTAAACCATGGCTAACTGACCCATTAAACAAAACAAAACAAAGCAACACATGCATAACAATTATTTGAATCCAGCACCAGAAACTCCCCGAGGGCCTTACAGCACCTTTAACTACGGCTCCTTTCCCGCCCTAAACTCCCGAGGTCCCGCCCCCGACCGTGGGCTAAGGTCCGGCCCCCGTATTTCCGGGCGAGAAGTGACCACGTGGTTGTCGCCTATAACAATCCGGCCCTGCTCCCATCCACTGGCTAAAGCCTGAGAGCGACAGTTGAATACACCAATGGGACCCTGGAAGAGTCTAAGCGACAGCCAAAATCACCATTCAATGTCAGCTAGGTGCAAGGCGGGACTTTAAGTACGGAAGCTGCCCCGGGACATGAGGAAAGGAACAAGGGAAAGAGCCGGTGAAGGGGCAGAACAGGCAGGTGAGAGTCTAAGAGGGCTCAGTAATCTGAAGCTTGGTGGGAAGAAGGGATTCTGGGCTAGAAAGGGTGCAGAAGCCTGAAGTAGAAAGAGACGGGATTTTGGTCCGGGGTGGAGAGCGAATGCATTGAAAAGGGCCAAGGCCCAGGATAAGGTAGACATTTAAAGGGGTACGGATGCCCAAGGTAGAGCAGACACTTGAGGAGACCAGCTCAGCAAACGGAAGACACTTAAAGTGGTAGGTTCTCAAGAGAGAAGAAGTTTTTAAGACTAGAGCTAAGCAAGACATTTAAAAGGACATGGGTTGGGATTTGGGAACACGTTTATTCCAGAGGCAGGAACAAAGGAGTCGCTTGTCAAGGATCTGGTTAGAGAAGACTAGGGTCTTCCTCGAAGGAAGCACGCGCACGCCTGCTCTCCCCCATTGTCTTTTCTGGCTTCTCCAGGTTCCCTCGACCCAGGACCCCCTGTTCCCAGGCTATGGCCCCCAGTGCCCTGTAGACCTGGCAGGCCCCCCGTGCTTGCGACCCCTATTTGGGGGTCTGGGTGGCTACTGGAGGGCCTTGCAGAGGGGCAGAGAAGGCAGGACCATGACATCTAGGGCCTCTGAACTTTCTCCGGGGCGCAGCGTGACGGCTGGCATCATCATTGTTGGAGATGAGATCCTTAAGGTGTGTCTGGGACAGAAAAGGGGGGAGGGCGCTGCGTTCTCCTGTCCTTAAGGGCCTGCTGCACATCCCTCCATGGAAGGAGGTGAAACAGGGTGGGAGCCTCTTTGCTGCAGTAGGATCCTGGAGTGAATCCAGCATATTGGAGGAAAATTAACCCTCATTCTTTCAATTACTCTACTGAAAAACTTGTAGCAAAGTCCCTACAATTTTTCAACCTGAGAGAGCTGATTGAAAAAAAGAAAAATAAAAAGGTCATTGCAATTTACCAAGCAGTATGGTAGAGGGCAGAGGAGCTACACAACAATGACAGGAAGCCCCTCGAGTAGAGGAGGTACAGGTGTGTGTATTGTATATTTAAGAGTTTTGGCCGGGTGCGGTGGCTCACGCATGTAATCCCAGCACTTTGGGAGGCCGAGGCGGGTGGATCACGAGTTCAGGAGTTCGAGACCAGCCTCAACATGGAGAAACCCCATCTCTACTAAAAATACAAAATTAGCCAGGCGTGGTGGTGCATGCCTGTAATCCCAGCTACTTGGCAGGCTGAGGCAGGAGAATTGCTTGAACGTGGGAGGCGGAGGTTGCAGTGAGCTGAGATCGTGCCATTGCACTCCAGCCTGGGCAACAAGAGCGAAACTCCGTCTCAAAAAAAAAAAAAAAAAAAAGAGTTTTACCCAGCCTTTTTGGAAATGACTCAAGGTACTCAGCGTAGTGGATAAGTGAGCTAGAAGGAAGGTACTAGAAGGGATGAATCCCCTCCGAATGATCAGGAAAGTCTTACTAGAGGACATAACAGATGACACGGGTTTTTTTGTTTTTGAGACAAGATTTTGCTCTGTCACCTAGGCTGGAGTGCAGTGGCACAGTCACAGCTCACTGAAGCCTCCATCTTCCAGGCTCAAGCAGTCCTCCTGCCTCAGCATCTGGAGTTGCTGTGACTACAGGTGTTAGCCGCCACACCTGGCTAATTTTTTTTTTTTTTTTTTTTTTTTTTTTTTTTTCAGAAACGGTCTCACTATGTTGCCCAGGCTGGTCTCAAACTCCTGGGCTCAAGCAATCCTCCCACACCTTGCTGGGATTATAGGCATGAACCACTGAGCTTGGCCAAATGTCAAGTTTTAATAATAATCTTTTTTAATATTCTTTGTAAATTTGTGTTTTTTTTGTTTTTTTTGTTTTTTTTTTTTAGATAGTCTCACTCTGTTGCCCAGGCTGGAGTGCATTGGTGGGATCTCAGCTGACTGCACCTCCACCTCTCGCGTTCAAGCAGTTCTCATGCCTCAGCCACCCGAGTAGTTGGGATTACAGGCATGAGCCACTGCACTCAGCCTTAATAGACCCTTTTTTTTTTTTTAGACAGAGTCTTGTTCTGTTGCCCAGGTTGGAGTGCAGTGGCGTGATCAATTTTGGCTCACTGCAACCTCCACCTCCCAGGTTCAAGCAATTCTCCTGTCTCAGCCTCCCAAGTGGCTGGGACTACAGGCATGTGCCACCACACCTGGCTAATTTTTGTATTTTTAGTAGGGACGGATGGGGTTTCGCCATGTTGGCCAGGCTGGTCTCGAACTCCTGACCTCAAGTGATCCACCCACCTCAGCCTCCCAAAATGTTGGGATTACAGGCGTGAGCCACCTCACCTGGCCCTGACCCCAATTTTTTTTTTTTTTTTTTTTTTTTTTGAGACAGAGTTTCACTTTTGTTGCCCAGGCTGGAGTGCAATGGCTCGATCTTGGCTCACCGTAACCTCCGCCTCCTGGGTTCAAGCGACTCTCCTGCCTCAGCTTCCCGAGTAGCTGGGATTACAAGCATGGGCCACCACGCCCGGTTAATTTTTGTATTTTTAGTAGAGACGGGGTTTCTCCATGTTGGTCAGGCTGGTCTCGAACTCCTGACCTCAGGTGATCCACCCGCTTCAGCCTCCCAAAGTGCTGGGAGGCATGAGCCACTGCGCCCGGCTGTGTGTGTGTGTGTGTGTGTGTGTGTGTGTGTGTGTGACGGAGTTTCGCTCCTGCTGCTCACGCTGGAGCGCAAATGGCGCAATCTCAGCTCACTGCAACCTCTGCCTCCTAGGTTCAGGCAATTATCTCACCTCAGTCTCCCGAGTAGCTGAGATTACAGGCACCCGCCACCACGCCTGGCTAATTTTTGTGGGGTTTTTGTTTGTTTGTTTTGAGACGGAGTCTCGCTCTGTCACCCAGGCTGGAGTGCAGTGGCGCGGTCTCGGCTCACTGCAAGCTCCGCCTCCCGGGTTCACGCCATTCTCCTGCCTCAGCCTCCCGAGTAGCTGGGACTACAGGCGCCCGCCACCACGACTGGCTAATTTTTTGTATTTTTAGTAGAGACAGAGTTTCACCATTTTGGCCAGGCTGGTGACCCCTATATTTTAAGTGCCTACTAGAGTCTGGTAGTGTCCTATACATCACATATATGTGATTTTACTAATCTTCACAACAACCCCACACAAAAATCCCACGAAGTTGGCACTTTTTTTCTTCTTTAAAATTTTATTTTTCTGTGTGCATTTGTTTTATAAACGGGGTTCTCGCTATGTTAAACAGGCCAGCCTCAAGCAATTCTCCCACATCAGCCTCCCAAAGTGATGGGATTACAGGCATGAGCAACCTTGCCCAGCCCCCCACCCTTTTTTTTTTTTTTTTTTTTTTGAGACAAAGTCTCACTGTCGCCTAGGCTAGAGCTAATTTTTTGTATTTTTTTGTAGAGACAGGGTTTCACCATGTTGCCCAGGCTGGTCTCAAACTCCTAGGCTCAAGCAATCCTCCCACCTCAGCCTCCAAAAATGCTGGGATTACAGGCGTGAGCCACCACACCTGGTCGGCAAAAAATCCCAATTGATGAAACTGGGGGTCAGAGAGGTTGAGAAACCTGCCCAGGGTTACATACCTAGGAAGTTGTAGAGATGGGATTCCAGCCTAATGCCTGATGCTCCCTTACTCCAAAACACAGACCCTTTTTTTTTTTTCCTTTGGTGACAGGGTCCCTGTCACCCAGGCTGGAGTACAGTGGCATGATCTCGGCTCACTGCAGTCTCTGCCTCCCAGGCTCAAGCAGCCCACCCACTTCAGCCTCCCAAGTAGCTGGGACTACAGGCATGCGCCACCACGCCCCGCTAATTTTTGTATTTTTTTGTAGAGATGGGGTTTTACCATACTGTGCCGGTTGGTCTCGAACTTCTGAGCTCAAGCGAGCCACCCCACTCCACCTCCCAAAGGGCTGGAATTACAGGCATGAGCCACCATGCCCGGCCATCAGAACACAGACCCTTAACCACTAAACCCTTTGTAGACAATTAGAGGGAGATGGGGCTGGAAAAGAAGATAGGGTATACGCCACAGACAGCCCCAAATACTCTGCAAAGGAATTTGAACTTTCTTCTGTATACAGTTGGAAACAACAAATGGCTTTTGAGTCCAAGAGTGATGCAATCACAGTGACGCATTAAAACGGTTACTCCGGAGACATCAGAGCACTGTGGCTGGAGGCTGGGAGCCTGGCCAGGAAGCTGTCGCCATTGTCCAGGTGAAAGGTGCTAAGGACCTGCTTGGTGGCAGTGGGGACAGAAAGAAGAAAGCAGGCCAGGCGTGGTGGCTCACACCTATAATTCCAGCACTTTGGGAGGCTGAGGCAGGAGGATCACTTGAGACCAGGAATTCAACACCAGCCTGGGCAACATGGCAAGACCCCATTTCTACAAAAAAAATTTAAAATGAGCTGAATGTGGTGGCACGCGCCTGTAGTCCCAGCTACTCGGAAGGCTGGGGTGGCCCTTGAAGCCAGGAGGTTGAGGCTGCAGTGAACTGTGACTGAGCCACTATACTCCAGCCTGGGTGACAGAGACCCAGCTTTAAAACCAAACAAATGGATTTTCCCACTCTTGTGTCCAGTCCAGGCCCCTCAGCAGCCTGAGGTGGTGTCCTTCAAAGAGCAGAGCACTGCATCATCAGGTGGATGCAGCCATCATCTTCAACCCCTCCCCTTCATCCCTACAGTACTGATGGCCTCATCTTCCCCTTCAACCCCCAGGGACACACTCAGGACACCAACACCTTCTTTCTGTGCCGGACACTGCGCTCCCTAGGGGTCCAGGTTTGCCGAGTCTCAGTTGTACCTGATGAGGTAGCCACCATTGCAGCTGAGGTCACTTCTTTCTCCAACCGCTTCACCCATGTCCTCACAGCAGGGGGCATCGGCCCCACTCATGATGATGTGACCTTTGAGGCAGTGGCACAGGCCTTTGGAGATGAGCTGAAGCCACACCCCAAGTTGGAAGCAGCCACCAAAGCCCTAGGAGGGGAAGGCTGGGAGAAGCTATCATTGGTGCCCTCCTCTGCCCGCCTGCATTATGGCACAGATCCTTGCACTGGTCAACCTTTCAGATTCCCTCTGGTCTCCGTCCGAAACGTCTACCTCTTCCCAGGCATTCCAGAGCTGCTGCGGCGGGTGCTGGAGGGGATGAAGGGACTATTCCAAAACCCAGCTGTTCAGTTCCACTCAAAGGAGCTATATGTGGCTGCTGATGAAGCCTCCATCGCCCCCATTCTGGCTGAGGCCCAGGCCCACTTTGGACGTAGGCTTGGCCTGGGTTCCTACCCTGACTGGGGCAGCAACTACTATCAGGTGAAGCTGACTCTAGACTCAGAGGAAGAAGGACCCCTGGAGGAATGCTTGGCCTACCTGACTGCCCGTTTGCCCCAGGGATCGCTGGTCCCCTACATGCCCAACGCTGTGGAGCAGGCCAGTGAGGCTGTATACAAACTCGCTGAATCAGGTAGGGACCTTATGGAGGAGGGGCATTATGCCCAAAGCCATTGGTGGCACCCCAGATCTCAGTAATGCAGGGGCTGTTGGGTGCTTCCTGCAAATCCCTGAGAGGGCAGAAGATAGCTTCTGTTAATTCATTATTCTTCCAATAAATGTTGATTGAGTACCTATTTTCATCAGCACTGTGCTAGGTGTTGGGGATATGGCTCAATAGGATAATGTATGCCCTGCTCTTATGGACCAGTGTTTTAACAAAAAAAGATGGACATTAAACAGGTGATCCTGCATGGGGTGATGAAAGGAGTGATCTCCCACAGCAGGGAGATCAGCCTTGATCTGGGGTCAGAGAAGGCCAAATGACATAAACTGAGTGATAAGGAGGATTTGATCAGTTCAGTAGGTGGGCAAGAGCCAACAGTATGAATGAGGGCCTGCAAGGAAGCAGCATGGGGTTAGGGAATGGAAGGAAGCCCACACCCCACACCCCCTGCTACAGAGGAATGACACTGAGGCTACTGTGAGGTGTGGCTGGGTGGCAGATGGCAGGGCAGGTCAGGGGCAGACTGCAGGGCCTAGCGGGCAGCATGAAGGAGTTTGGACTTTATCCTCAGAACACTGGGAAGATATTGAAGGGTTTAAGCAAGGGCAGCATGCCTTCACTCCCCTTTGATAGCCATATGTGTCCATCTGATGCCCTCTTCCCTGCCTGCTTGGCAGGGTCTTCTTTGGGGAAAAAGGTGGCAGGTGCCCTACAGACCATTGAGACCTCCCTGGCTCAGTACAGCCTCACCCAGCTCTGTGTGGGCTTCAACGGGGGCAAAGACTGCACTGCCCTCCTGCACCTCTTCCATGCAGCTGTGCAGAGGTGAGCCTGCCCCCGGGAGACAAGACCCCTGATCTGTTTCTCCAGTTCCACATCCCAGAAAGCAAGGAGAAAGGGGGTGTACAGGTGGAGTTCAAGAGGGAGATAGTCATGGTGACCTCTCAGTTCCATTCTCCCACCATATTGAGTATATGATATGTGCCTGGCCTTGTGTATGGATGTGCAGGCCACTATCCCTGACGACAGGGAGGTCACAGTCCTGCTGGGGAGATGAGAGATTTACATACCTGAACCAGGGATGCGTGCTTAGATTTGAGAGGTGAAAGGTCAGAGTGGGCTTCCCAGAGGAAGTGGGTCTAATGGATGGAAAGGACAAGGAAAAGGGAGAAGGGGTGAGAGTCTGTCCTAGGGGCCAACGAGAACAGTGAGCTGTTTCAGGGGAGCCATTTCCTTGTCCATGCTCACAAGCCTGTGGATTCTTCCCCCTCTGCAGGAAATTACCTGATGTTCCAAACCCCCTCCAGATCCTGTATATCCGCAGCATCTCCCCTTTCCCTGAGCTGGAACAGTTTCTACAGGACACTATCAAGAGGTACTAGGGGCCTGGAGGTTTGGGCTCCAAGAGAAGCTTGACAGAGCCCACGCCCGACCCCTACTTCTGTTTCTTCCTAAGGTATAATCTGCAGATGTTGGAAGCTGAGGGCAGCATGAAGCAGGCCCTGGGTGAACTGCAGGCACGGCACCCCCAGCTGGAGGCTGTCCTTATGGGCACCCGCCGGACTGACCCCTACTCCTGTAGCCTCTGCCCTTTCAGCCCCACTGACCCAGGCTGGCCCGCATTCATGCGCATCAACCCACTGCTGGTAATGGGGAAGAGGGTTTATCACCTTCAGTCTCACGTGCCCCAGCAGTCACTGCACCCTAGCTCACCTGCAGTAGTGGGGAGGCTAGAGCCTGGAACCTGGATGAAGGGGCCTCATCATCCAAGGGAGGCAGTGCTATCTGTTCATTCATCCTTTTGACCAATATTTATTGAGCCCAAATTCAATAGCAGGCATTGCACTTCCTACTGTGGATAGAATAGTGACTTAGACTTGTGCTGTCCAATATAGCCATTAATTATTTATTTATACTTAAATTTTAATTAATTAGAATGAAATACATATGACTAAAAACCACTGAATTATATACTTTAAAAGGATGAATTTGATGGTATGTGGATACCTCAATTTTTAAAATTAAGTACAATTAAAAATTCAGTTCTGGCTGGGCGCAGTGGCTCACGCCTGTAATCCCAGCACTTTGGGAGGCCATGGTGGGCAGATCACTTGAGGCCAGGAGTTCGAGACCAGCCTGGCCAACATGGCGAAACCCTGTCTCTACTAAAAATACAAAAAATTAGCCAGGCGTGGTGGCCTGTAGTCCTAGTTACTCGAGAGGCTGAGGCAGGAGAATTGCTTGAACCCAGGAGACGGAGGTTGCAGTGAGCTGAGATGGCACCACTGTACTCCAGCCTGGGCAACAGAACAAGACTCTGTCTCAAAAAAAAAAAAAAAAAAAATATATATATATATATGTATATATATATATACACACACACATACACAGGCCGGGCGTAGTGGCTTACACCTGTAATCCCTGCACTTTGGGAGGCTGAGGCAGGTGGATCGCCTGAGGTCAGGAGATCGAGACCAGCCTAACCAAAATGATGAAACCCAGTCTCTACTAAAAATACAAAAATTAGCGGAGCGTGGTGGCAGGCACCTGTAATCCCAACTACTCAGGAGGCTGAGGTAGGAGAATCACTTGAACCCAGGAGGCAGAGGTTGCAGTGAGCCAAGATGGCACCACTATACTCCAGCCTGAGCAACAGAGTGAGACTCCGTCCAAACAAACAAAAAAAAAATACAGTTATTCAGTTGTACTAGCCACATTTCAAATGACCACCATATTAGACAGTAGAGATACAGAACATTTCCATCATCACAGGAAGTTCTGGCCAGGCACAGTGGCTCACACCTGTAACCCCAGCACTCTGGGAGGCCGAGGTGGGCTGATCAATGCCTGTAGTCCCAGCTACTCAGGCTGAGGCGGGAAGATCGCTTGAGCCAGGGAAGTCGAGGCTGTAGTGAGCCATGATCATGCCAGTGCACTCCAGCCTGGGCAACAGTAAAGGCCCTGTCTAAAAAAAATAGGGCTGGGCACGGTGGCACACGCCTGTAATCCCAGCACTTTGGGAGGCCGAGGCAGGCACATCACGAGGTCAGGATTTCAAGACCAGCCTGACCAACATGGTGAAACCCCATCTCTACTAAAAAAATACAAAAATTAGCCGGCTGTGGTGGCGCATGCCTGTAATCCCAGCTACTCAGGAGGCTGAGGCAGGAGAATTGCTTAAATCTGGGAAGCGGAGGTTGCAGTGAGCCAAGATCGCGCCACTGCACTCCAGCCTGGGTGACAGAGCAAGACTCCGTCTCAAAAAAAAAAAAAAAAATAGGGCCGGGCATGGTGGCACACGCCTGTAATCCCAGCACTTTGGGAGGCCGTGGCGGGCGGATCATGAAGTCAGGAGATGGAGACCATCCTGGCTACACAGTGAAATCCCGTCTCTACTAAAAATACAAAAAATTAGCTGGGCACAGTGGTGGGCGCCTGTAGTGCCAGCTACTCGGGAGGCTGAGGCAGGAGAATGGCATGAACCCGGGAGGCAGAGGTTGCAGTGAGCCAAGACCACGCCACTGCACTCCAGCCTGGGCGACAGAGCCAGACTCCGTCTCAAAAAAAAAATAGACGGTTTCTCCCTGTCCTCAAGCTCCACCCTTGCACTAGAGGGTGGTTCAAGAATGGAAAGCAGAGAGTGGAGAAGATGAAGTCCTTCTCTTTCTCTTTGCATACATAGAGCAAGCTATACCAGAGAATCAGATAGCAAGCCCTCCCTCAGAGGCCAAGGGAGCAGAAGAGCCATGGATGGGCCCCTTCCCAGGACAGCAGGGGTAGAAGTGGGAAAGGTGAGCATTTGTGACTATTCTATTACTCTGACCTCCCAGGACTGGACCTACAGAGACATCTGGGATTTTCTGCGTCAGCTGTTTGTCCCATACTGTATCCTGTATGACCGAGGGTAAGGGTATTAGGGGAAGGGAATGGGTAAGGGAGTTTTTAGGGTGCTGGGATAGGGAGGGCCAATAGGATCGCCCACCCTACCACATGCTTGCCCTCCACCCTCCCTGCTCCAGATACACATCACTGGGGAGTCGGGAGAATACCGTGCGGAACCCGGCCCTGAAGTGCCTGAGCCCAGGAGGACACCCCACATACCGTCCAGCCTATCTACTGGAGAACGAAGAAGAGGAGCGGAACTCCCGCACATGACCTCCCACCCTAGGAGGGAGGGAAGGACACCGTCCTAGGGTATAACCTGGCAATAAACCGTGCCTCTCACTGTGCCTGTTGCTCTAGCTGTGTCTTCCTGCTCCAGAGGATGGGAGAAGCAGAAGTGGGTCAAATGCTGCCAGCTCTGACTGGCTGTGCTCACTCTAAGGGGCCCAGGGGCAGGGCAGAACAGGCTGGAAAGGAGCTCTCACTGATGGTTCTCAATGTCAGCCTCAGCAGGAGCCCACCAGAGGGCGAAAGCAGGAGTTGTGCCAACCACTGGGAAAAGGGCAATCAGGCAGGGCACCACCTGGGCTGGAAGAGGGGAAGCTGCCTTGGCCTAGCTGTGGAGGATGAAAGATGGAGTGGCCAGGCCCTCCCTCCCACTAACCCCACCCTCCCATCCCTGTCTAGAGGGGCTGACTCAGCCTGTTCCCAGGCCTAGAACCTTCCCTTTGCTAGACCCTGGATCCTTTGTCTCTGTAGTCATGAGGCTGAAGGGGGTGGGGACAGTGTTGATAAAAGGCACTAGAGGCAGCTCCCACACCCTTCCTCGGAACTGTTGCCCACATGCAGCCCCGGACACAGCCCCTAGCCCAAACCCTACCCTTCTTCCTCGGAGGGGCCCCTCGAGACACTGGGCTGCGGGTGCCTGTCATTAAGATGGGCACAGGGTGGGAGGGCTTCCAGCGGACCCTGAAGGAAGTCGCCTACATCCTCCTCTGCTGCTGGTGTATCAAGGAACTGCTGGATTAATGGTAGCAGGGAACTGCCTCCTCTCCCCACCAGCACCATGGCTGGCATCGCTCAGGTGGGCAGGGTAGAGTAAACAGGAGGCATAGCTGCAGCTTCTGTGGCAGAGCTTGCCTTAGCTTCTCATTCTCTTCTTTAGCCCCCAGCCCAATTGCCATCAAGACTCCTGAAGCCAGCTGTGCTTGACCAAGGATGGGCCATAAACAATGAGTAAACAGTAAAGTGTGGATCCTGCTTTGAGCTGTGTCATCTAGCAGACCTGCCTCATCTCTGAGCCTCCTTCATTCCCAACCCCTGCCTCTGGTGGACCTCTGGTGGGCAGGAGCTTGGACTGCTCTGGCTAGGACCCCAGTAAGATTGTGGCAAGACCTGGCACTCCTCCAAGCTTGGCACAGTGAGCCCACCAGCTCAGATGGTTGATCTTACCATACCCTCATAGTACCAAGAATGGACTGCCCCCTAAGAAACCTGTTTGAGAATCACTGAATTATAAATATAATCCATAGGCCTTGAGGCCCAAGATTATAAGTGTCTAAAGGGGAATCAGAAAAAGTCAGCACTAGAACGGTCTGGGAGCAAGGGTGCAGACCAGGGAGGGAAGGAGCTTGTCCTGAATAGAACCAAGATTGAAAGCCAGGTTTTCTGACTCACTGGTTCCTGAGTGGGGAGGGTGGAAGACAGTTCAGGTTCCTCTCAATCTGTGGGTAAGGAGGGGACCCAGCTTGAGTAGGGTCTTCATCTGTGAGGCCAAGGGTGTGTGGAAACCCAGAGGACCCAGCCCTTTCCCAAATAGAAGACCTGGTCCAGGCAGCTTCCTGCCTCTGAGGATCTTGGGGAAAGCACTGCGCTGAGGCTAGTCCCCAGCTCATCAAGGAAGTAGGACCCCATGAGCTACAAGAGCTCCCAGCTCACATACAAAGTTACCAGAGAAAGACACCTGTGTGGCCACACAGGTCCCTCAGGCTTATCATGACACAGCCCTATCAGGACATAAACAGCTAGATTGAGCAGAATTGGCTCTTTACTTCCTCTTGGTAGCCACAGCTGGTATTTTCCATGAGTTACTCCCGGTGGTAGATATACACCAGCCATGTGTATCGTCTTGCTCAGGGGGTGCTTATGCTTACTGATCTGCCCACCCACAGCCCCCCAAACCTCAGAGCCAGCCTGTTTGGGACTGTTCAGTATTTCCCTGGGATTCCCATCCAGCATTCTCTGGCCCCTCCTGGGGGGCCAGTTATCATCCCCCAGCCCTTTGTCACTTGGGGCACTGGCCTGGAGATTATAGATAGTGCCCTCTTCCTCCCTGCCTGGGACCAGCTCTTCCTCAGCCTTCTTCTTAGTTAACTCTTTTTTTTTTCTAGATTCTTTTTGTAAAGGTGATATATGCCCAGAGTAAAGAACTTTAGGCCAGGCCAGGTACAGTGGCTCACACCTGTAATCCCAGCACTTTGGGAGGCAGAGGCGGGCAGATCACCTGAGGTCAGGAGTTCTAGACCAGCCTGGCCAACATGGTGAAACTGCATCTCTACTAAAAATAATTAGCTGGGCGAGGTGGTGAGTGCCTGTAATCCCAGCTACTTGGGAGGCTGAGACAGGAGAATCACTTGAACCCGGGAGGCAGAGTTTGCGGTGAGCTGAGATCATGCCACTGCGCTCCAGCCTGGGGGACAAGAATGAAACTCTGTCTCAAAAAAAAAAAAAAAAAAAAAGGCCGGGCGCGGTGGCTCACATCTGTAATCCCAGCACTTTGGGACAAGGCCGAGGTGGGTGGATCACTTGAGGTCAGGAGTTCGAGACCAGCCTGGCCAGCATGGTGAAACCCCATCTCTACTAAAAATACAAAAAAATTAGCTGGACGTGGTGGCACATGCCTGTAGTCCCAGCTACCTGGGAGGCTGAGGCAGGAGAATGGCTTGAACCCAGGAGGTGGAGGTTGCAGTGAGCCAAGATTGCACCATTGCACTCCAGCCTGGGTGACACAGCAAGACTTCGTCTTATAAAAAAAAAAAAAAAAAAAAAAGAACTCTAATAGTTAAAAGTCTCCACGTCTATCCCCCAATCCTTTAGCGCTCCCCCTGGAGGCAACCATGGTTACCAGTTTCTTGGAGAACATTCCAGTCTGTGCATAGACTGCATCTTCATTCATTCAACAAATATTGAGTTATTGAGTGTATATTATATGTCACTGTGGGTCTTTGGATGCAGCAGTGAACAAAACAGATCCTTGTACTTGTGAAGCTTACATTTTAGGGGGTGGAGAGGACAAACTATAAACATTTTTTAAAGTATGTATATGTTATTAGATGATAGGCACTATAGAAAAAAGAAGTGGAAATCGAGCTGGAGGTGGGAATGGGGGCAGGTCATAGAGGGCCTAAGAATTTGAGCTTTTATGCTGAGTGAAATGAGGAACTATTGCCGAATATTGAGTGTGAAATGAGTTTTTTAATTTAAAAGGCTCAAGCTGGCTGCTGTGTTGAGAATAGATTTCAGGGGAGCAAAGGTAGAATACGAGTGACCTATTAGGAGGTAATGGCACAATATAGGCCAGACATGTTGGTGGTCTCGGACCAGGTTTATAGCAATAGCAGTAGTGAGGGGTGGCTGGATTCTGGATATATTACTCTTCCTAGTTAACATACTCTCCACGCTGTTCTGCACTTTGCTTCTTTTCCTTTGATAAACCTTGGACAGGATTCAGGATCCCACATCAGTACACGGAGAGCCTGTCCATTCTTTTTTACAGCAGCCTAGCCTCTACGGTACTCCAACTTGAGCTTATTTCTTATCCCTGGCAGGTCAATGTGTCTTTTTTTTTTTTTTTTTTTTTGAGACAGATTCTCACTCTGTCACCCAGGCTGGAGTGCGATGGTACAATCTCAGCTCACTGCAACCTCCGTCCCCCGGGTTGAAGCGATTTTCCTACCTCAGCCTCCTGAGTAGCTGGGATTACAGGAGCGTACCACCATGTCCTGCTAATTTCGATTTTTTTTTTTTGAGACAGAGTCTCGCTCTGTCACCCAGGGTGGAGTGCAGTGGCGCGATCTCAGCTCACTGCAAGCCCTGCCTCCCGGGTTCACACCATTCTCCTGCCTCAGCCTCCCGAGTAGCTAGGATACAGGTGCCCGCCCCCACTCCCGGCTAATTTTTTGTATTTTTAGTAGAGACGGGGTTTCACCATGTTAGCTAGGATGGTCTTGATCTCCTGACCTCGTGATCCGCCCACCGTGGCCTCCCAAAGTGCTAGGATTACAGGCGTGAGCCACCGCGCCCAGCCAATTTTGATATTTTTAGTAGAGACAGGGTTTCACCATGTTGGCCACACTGATCTCGAACTCCTGACTTCAAGTGATCCGCCCACCTCGGCCTCCCAAAGCGCTGGGATTACAAGCATAAGCCACCGTGCCCGGCCTCAGTGCATCTCTTTAGGCATCCACAAAATGCAGCTTAGTGCTCTTGGCTGGTCCGTTGAGAGGCTCTCACCTGGTCCCAGTGATGGGGGTAGTCAGAATTTACCTTCCCATGAATCTGGGGCTCCTTCTTCCCCCTCAGAGCCTGCACCCTACTTGGCCAGCTCCAGCCTTTCCTTCCCTGACTCAGGCCCTGGCCTACCGCCTTCTTTTCCTTTCTTAGGCCTCACTCCCACCAAGCGGGGCAGTGCCTAGAGGTGGATCCTGGAGTCTGAGGTCTGAGCCCAAGGGCCTTTGCCAGGGGAGGGGAAGTCTGGCAGAAACCACTGGGGAAGTGGTGGGTAGAGGAAGGCAGAATCCAGGGCTGTGGCCTGTGGTGAGAAGGGTAATAGAGAGCAGCAGGGGGAGTGACAGGTAGAGACTGCCAGTGGCCCAAGGAGAATGTCAGAGTGGGAAAGAGGGCTTTGGCAGTGTAAAGACTGAGGAGAGGGATGAGGAGAATAAAAGAAACCTCAGATACCATTCAGAGAGCCCTTTTCACAATACAGAGTGCTTTGAGCCTTACGAAAGTCCACTTCAGCAATTATCCCATGTTAACATGAAGGAAATAGGCCCAAAGAGGTGAAATGATTCGCCCAAGAACATACACAGCACACTGAGGTAAAGGAGTCATTTAGCGAACCCAGATTTTCAGATCCCCAACTCACGGCTTCTCCTAATGAGCCTGCCTTCCTCTTCTGAGCTGGTGTTTGCATGGAGATGGTGGCCAAAGTGGCCTGGAGGCAGGGCCATGCAAACAAAAGCATGGAGGGTACCACCTCCATGCACCCGCTCCATGCCACTTCCCACCTCAGCCCTAAGCTCCCTGTTCTCAGCCCATTTGGAGGTTTCAGGTGCAGCCCTTTCACCTAATCCACACAGCCAAGAGATCTTTCCTGGCCCATGGCTCCCCACTCTGTGGCTGTTCCCCCACAAGTATCTCTCCCCGACTAGGGCAACTCAGGTTTTGAGTGTCCAAATTACTCCCTCAGGAACTCAAGTGGAGTAAGGTGGGAGGGAGGTGAAGGAGACAGGGTACCAAGATATTAGGTTGGTGCAAAAGTAATTGCGGCCTTTGCCATTAAAACCTCACCTACCCCTCGGTGCCCTGGTGCCCTCTAATGGTCACAGGGGGTGGGGGAATGGGTGGAGTAGGAATGGAGACAGGAGGGACCAGCTGGATGTGACCCTCAAGTACAACAGCGAGAGGAGAAGCCTGATATCCAGGATTCCCGGCGGATTACATCGGATACAGGACCCTCGTTGGCATGCAAGGAACAGTTGGAGGAGAGGGGTCACGGCCCAAGGGTCTGAGGAGCGGCAGGCAATAAACTGGATATCATAGCAATAATCTGGCGGCGGGGAGGGGTGGGTGGGTGGGGATGTCCCACGTTTTCCCAACACCAAGAGGCCGGCAAAAAGGGGTGTGTGGCAATCATTTCACTGGCAGCGCCAGAGCGCAGACCCATCCCCAAGGGCATAGGCTTTTTTTTTTTTTTTTTTTTTTAAAGACGGGGTTTGGCTCTTGTTGCCCAGGCTGGAGTGCAATGGCGCGATCTCGGCTCACCGCAACCTCCGCCTCCCAGGTTCAGGCAATTCTGCTTCAGCCTCCTGAGTAGCTGGGACTACAGGCGTGTGCCACCACGACTGGCTAATTTTTGTATTTTTACTAGAGACAGGGTTTCACCATGTTGGTTAGGCTGGTCTCGAACTCCTGACCTCAGGTGTTCCACCCGCCTCTGCCTCCCAAAGTGTTGAGATTACAGGCGAGAGCCACCGCGCCCGGCATGGGCATAGGCTCTTATTTGCATCATATTTACATCTGTCTTGCATGTGAGTTATTTCCCTCCACCCAACTTTCTCAGTTACTCTCAGACTCTAGAGTGTTCGCCAGCCTTGGAGCGTACCCGTTCCTCCAGCCATTCTTCGGCCTCAGTTCCTTTCCATCATTCGCCCTCAGGCCTTCGCCTACCCCAGCTTCAAAGAAGCGACCGTAACCTCCTAGCTGGCTGGGTTCGAGAAGCCGGGGACCTGCGCCTCCTGGTGGCTGATCGGAAGGAGGCTGAGTGCAGAGGGGTTGTCTTGCCTTCTCTGGGACGTGGAGTTTTGGAAACTGTTCCCCTGAGCTTCCTGAAGCTAAATTTGCCTCCCCCGGCCTTGGGGGGCGCAGAGATCCCGGCGGCGATTAGCGCTGCGCGGCAGCCGGCTCCAACCCAGAGGCCCGGAATAGGCGCGGAGTTATAAATAGTGCCACCCGCAGGTGTTGGGGGGAGTCGGCGGGAGGGGGGTACCCCTGGCGGCCACGGCCCCTTCAGGTGGGTTGGGCGGTCGCGGTGGGAGCGCTGGGGGGCGGGGGGCGTGGGGGGTCTGCGGTCTGAGCGCCCCCAGCGGTTTCCTGGGCGGCGGGTTTTTCGAGGGAAGCGGAGGCAGCGGAGGATGGGGGGGAGCAGCGGAGAAGAGGTGGGCGCCTGGCGCATGCTGACGCTCCGCTTGCAGCTCAGCCCCCCACATTCCGAAACAGGCCCCCAGACCCACTCACGCAGGACCCCGCCCAGGCAAAGCCTCGCCTTTCTTAACACCTGAAGGCCTCATTCCCCCAGGTTCTGCAAGCATCTAACTTCTATGCTTCTACCCTTCGGCGCACGTGGCCCGGCCAGTCCGCGCACCTGGCCGTCATTCCGAGTCGCTGTCCCCAGCCCCAGGTATTCAGTCCTCCCACTCGGGGCTTTCATTCCTCTCTTAGGGTAAACACTTCCTTCTCTGGGTATTTGTCCAACTCGTGCTACTCTCCCCAAATTTAAGGTCTAGCTGGTCACCTAAAAATTTAAGTCTTAACATGCGGATCTGGGACGCTCTCCTATCCCCAGGCGGCCCCTGCAGGCCCCTCACTTGCCCTCCAGCTCCCAGTTCCAGTCTGGGCCTAGTGGCGGGGCGGGGGCGGCCGGCCCCTGGGGCCCAGCAGGGGTTTCATGGGAGGGGGCGGGGTCCCCAGTCAGCGTTTCTCTGCCGCCGCTGTTTCAGTCGTTTGGCGTGGTTAGGGGTTGGGGTAAGAGGGAATTTCAAGTAGGGGTTCCCCGCTCCGATTTCTGAGTAAGGAGGGGAGCTATTTGCACCAGGAGAAAAAGAGAGACAAGGGAGGGTGGGCGTCACTGAGGAACTAACTGCGGGTTCCAGGACCATTGGGAATGAGGTGAGGAGTGGCAATCTAGCCGCAGAAAGATCAGTCATGTTCAGCCAGACGCAGAACGCGACCCTCAAACATGGGGGAAGTTGGGCGAGGCGAGCCTGAGGCACTGGGCACCTTTCGAGTTTCTGTACCCAAAGGCTGGTGCCAGGGAGCCCGCCCTTCTATTGCCTCTGGAAGCCCTGGCTCTGCCCTCCCCGGGCCACGTTCCCACCCCCCCCGCCCCCCGCCCCCTGCCCCCCGCCCCCTTTCCTTGGCTATCCTCCTTCCTCCCCAAAGCAGCCCCCTCTCCATTTCACTTGTGGCACTGCCGCCTAGCCCCTAGCACAGCCCTTCACCAGGCCTGCACGACCCAGACGGCTGGAGTAGGAAGGGGAAAACCCCGGCCTGGACGGCTCCGGGCCCCTCCGGACCAGGATCTGTCCGGCGGGGCTGAGAAGAAAACCCGGAGCAGTGATCAGCCTCGCGACCCAAGGGGGTCAGGGACGATAGGAAAACCCGGAGCGGATTACTCGAGCCAGAGCGCCCCATGCCTGCCGCTACCTCCTCCTTCCTATAGCCCCCCTAATTCTCCAGTGAGATAATGTCTGGGGTGGGGGGCTGTTTGGTTTGGCCTGAGCCCTCAGGGGCGCCTCACACTTTCCGCCCCTGGCTGGGGCGCAGGGCAGCGGCCCCGAGGCTGAGTCACGGCCCGGCGCGGAGAGGGAGAGAGGGAGAAAGAGGGAGGGAGGGACCTGGACTCCGCCCCTCGTGCGCGGGGATCCCGGGTCAGCCCGGGTGAGGGCCAGGGCCCCCCTGGCGCCGCCCATTGTGGTCCAACAGGTTGAGCTGGTGTCCCGAGAAGCCACCTGCTGGAAAGGGAGGGAGGCCCCCTGCGGAGGGGGGTTGGGAGGGGAAAGCGAGTCCGACCCGGTTCGGCCTGGCTTGTCGCAGGGGAGCCAAACCTGGCCCTAGGTAGCCGGATTTGATTCCATTTGACACTAGTGGGAGGGGCCCTTTGGGGTACGCAGCTCCGCAGGCTCAGTCAGAAACATCCTTCACCCGCTACCTTTCTCAGTTGGGGGACTCCTAAGTATTTATCCCGGTCCTCCCCAAAACCTACACATACCACACATCCCAAAACATCCAGGCACCCCTCGCCACCTGGGTCTCTCAGCGAATTCATGTCAAGCTATCCCTCCTCGGTGGAGACTCAGTTTCTCCACTTAGGGAACCCGCGGGATGGAGGTGGGGAGCAAAAGCGTCGGCGCGCCCCCTCCCCCTTCGCAGACTGGGCCCCTCCCCTCCGACAATGCCAAGGCCGCAGCGGGCACTGGCGACAGCACAGAGGCTGCTTGCCTGGGGCGCCCTTCCCTCCCCGCGGGGCACCGTCACGCGTGGGGAGGGACGCAGGGCGCCCGCAGGCTCAACTCCCCGGCTCCCTCCGAGAGGGGGTGGGGCGTAGGGGCCGGAGCCGAAGGCCTGGTGGCTCCCCCTCCCCCTCCCTTCTAGGTCCCTGACCTGATTACAGCCCCTCACGGGACCCCCTCCCTCAAGACCCTAAGTCCCCAATTCACCCCCACCCAGCCTATCCCTAACCTCTCATACCCTTCCCTCCTGAGGTCCTGACCCTACAGAAGCCCCTCTTGAAGGAGAGGGAGCCCCTGTAGGGGGTGCTCGATTCCCTGGCCGCTGCGGACACTGCCCCCTCCCCCCTCCTCTCCAGGTTCCAGGCCAGCCCCTCGGCTCCGCCCCCTCCCTGGACGAACGCAAGGCGAGACCTACTGGAGATGAGCGGGTATTCAGGCCAATGAGCGGACAGGGCGGTGGCGTGCAGGGGGCGGGCAGAGCAGCAGCAAAGGGCTGGATGGGGGCCGGGGGCGGAGTTTGAGTTAAGGTGGACTGGGAGAGATAGGGGCAGGAGAAAGGGGGGGGAGAGAGGGACCGCGGCAGGTGAAGGGAGACAGAGAGAAGGAAAGAAGGAGGGAAAGGAGGAGGGTGGGAAAGGCTAGGAGAGCTAAGTAAGAGTTTGGAGAAGGGGGCAAAAAAGGAGGGAGGGACCCATCTGCGCTCTGCAGGGACTGGCTGGACGAAGGGGTTGAAGTTTATGTCCTTATTGGGCGGAGGGAGGGGGCCTGGGGGGGCGGGTGAAAAACCAGGAAGTGACAGAGGGTGTTTCTAAGTGTTGGGGGGGGGGAGTTTGGGGGGTGGCAGGGGCGGGGGGAGGGAGGGGAGGGATGGGGGGAAAGCAAGCTGGAGGACAGGTGAGACAGCAGGACAGGTGAGGCGGGCCCTGAGGGGGGGGCGGGTGGGAGCCAGGTGAATGTACGGCTCTTGGCGGCCGAGGGGGGGCGGGCGGCAGGAGGAGGCAGAGGGCGGCGGAGGAGGAGCCCCCCAGCAGCGAGCGGCGAGCAACTGACCGCGGCCTTCTGACCAGGACCGGAGCAGGGCCCCAAGCCCCCGGGCCTGGTGGGGGACGCGCTTCTTCCCACACTGTGAGCCTCAGCAGCTCCAGCCAGCGGACCCGACGGCTGAGAGGTGAGTGTACCCCACTTTTGTCTCCTGGCTCGGGGTTCACTAGGCTCGAGACTACTGCAGTGTCCTTCGTCCGTCCTGTAAGTGGGACCCCCAGATACACACGCATGCAGATCACATTCCCACCACTCCCCTTCCCTGTGCTTTCCCAACACCCCGGGTCTCTGGAATTGGTTTTAACTGAGATGAAAGACAGAGAAGGAACTGCGGATGCCCCCCAACCCTAGGCGGAGGGTCCCCAGAAAGTTTATCTGCACTTCTCCTGGGATCAGACAGACAGACGGCTTCGGGATGGAGAGGGGGTGAGGCGACGCTGAGCGTTCCCCCAGTCTCCTTCGTGACTTTAGGGGGAGACCCCAGACCGGACTGAGTTGAGGGAATGGAAACGCTGACGGACTCTAACTAGGACAACGCGCACCCCCCCCCCACCCCGCGCCCCCTGGCGCGGTGGATTGGCCCCAGGCCAGTTGCATGGGGGTTGGGGGGGCGCAGGAGGAGCCGCGGCTTGGGGGAAAGTTACCGGCTGGACTATTCGGTTTCTTGCGCTTCCAGAGCCGCGCTCTCTCCAGCGGTAGTGGGGCTCAGCAACAACCTCTGAACCGACATAGAACGACCGCTCTCTTCCCTGCCCCTCAATCCCACTCCCTTCCTTCAGGCTCCAGTCCCGCCGCTACCTTTTCCACGCCAGCTCATGACCACAGAACCCAAGAGCGAGGGCGGGTGACTAGGAAGAATTCTCCTACCTACTACCCGTCCCCCCACCGGCGCCGGCGCACCTGCCCCAGCCCAGAGTGGGGGTCGCTACTGTGTTGTTGTAGAACCTACAGAGTGCGCCTGGCAGAAGGCTGCCATTCAAAGGGGTGGGGGGCGCTGCTTTCAATTTCCAGCTTTCTCTCCCTCCTCCCACCCCATCCCAAGTAAGAGAGCGACGTGTCCCGGCCAGAGCGAGGTGGGGGCGGGAGTGGGGGGGCGGCGTGGGCAGCGGGTTGTGCCCGGACACGTGCCTGCCCAGGCGCCCCGGCCCTGCTGGTGTTTAGAGAGAGGGCGGGTCCCCTGCCCCCCGCCCCGCACAACCCCCACGTATCAAAGGGCGGCTGAGACATGGTGAGACCTCGGGGCGCCCTGGGGGGCAGGGGGGCGGGGAGCCTGGGTCCGGAGCAGGGGAGGGGCAGAGGCGCCGGTGCTAGCTGACCCACAGGAAACGAGCGCTGCTGACCTAGTTTGGGACACCGGAAGTGGGTGCTGGGGAGAGGGGGAGACCGGCAGGCTGTCCAGGCTTCCGGGCCAGGTGGAGGGTGTTCTTGAATTGACCCCCGCCCGAATGCCTTGGAGACCCCTAGCTGCAGCCGAGAATGGGAATGAGTCAGCGCAGCTATTCCCCCTTCCCCCAACTTATTCCTGGAGGAGGGAGACCGCTTATCAGGGACGGGGGAACCAGATTGGGCTGTGAGGGGTTAAAGCAGGATGGGAACTGTCTGGTCCCTAAGGGAGTATGTGTGAGTGTGGGGATGAGGCCTGGAGGATTATGGGGTTGCCTCCTGCTGCCCCACACACACCAACTGGTTTGGTCACCCCTGTACCCGCCTGGCACTGCTGGGAGAGCTGGCATGGAGTGGACATCAGGTTGGGGAGGAGAGAGTGGGCATAAGGAGTGTTGTGCTGCGCTAGAGAGGGACATATGTGTGACTATGTCTGGATGATAGTTAGTGTTCCTCCTTAGTGGTAACTGGGGAGAAGGGTAGGGGGCTCCCCCTGGAGCAGCTGATGAAACAAGGAGAAATCTCTGTCAGTGCCTCTGTCCCTGGCCCCAGGGACCCCAGCTCCCCCAGCGTGCCTCTGTTACATGGTTGCTGTGGGCACAACACAACCTGCTGGCACCCCCAGACACTGTCCCCTCCCTTGGGTACCACACACCCCCAGCCCTGGCACAGGGGTCAAAAAGGGGTTAATACCACCAGAATGGGGCTCTGGGGAAGAAAGAAGGCAGTGCCCACTAGGCTCAGGTGTCAAGGAGACAGGCTTGCTCTAATGGGACTCTCATCACTACTCAGTTCTGGCTGATGTAGACCCCAGTGTCTGGAAGACAGGTGCTGTCCCCTTCTTCTTCCCCATGGTGCCCCCTGGCACCCAGGGCCCCCAGCTCCTCCTTGGCCTAGTGCCTGCCCAGGGAGGGTGCGGCGGGCAGCGGGGGCTGGGCTAACAATGCACCATCAGGCCCTTTGTGTGCCTGCACTTGGCACCCTGGGGAAGGGTGGGGGAGGGGGCCCAGCAGGCATGGGGGGCGGAGCGCTCTGGGGTGGGGACAGTGAAGGCTGGGGGAGAGAAGCAAATGAAAGCAGGTGGGGAGGAAAGGGAAGTAGGTCAGATAGGGTGCCAGCCCCCCATTCCAAGCCAAGGCTGAGAGAACCAGCCCCTGATCCTATGGCTGCCTGGATGGCATCAGACTGAGGGACAGCCTAGGACTGGGCATTTGGGGTCAGAAGTCACTGCCCAGGGGACTGCTCAGATGGAGAAGGTTTGGCCTGGTACTGCCCCCTTCTTAATGGCTGAGAGACCCAATTCTTCTGGCCCAAGACCAAGGCCCCAAGATGAGTAGTGAATGGGCTCCAGGCAGGGCACTGCCCTCTGACAGAAGCCTCTGGGCCTGCTGCGGGGCTTCCTGCCTCTGCCCCGCTTGGCTCCCTGACCTTCCTGAGAGTTAAGACTGCCCTGACACCAGGCCTTAGGGCCTATGCCTGTTTTGGCCTAGGGCGGGAGAGAACAGTGGGGGAGGAAGGTGGGGACAGGCAGATGGATAGGACCCTGGCATGGGGTGTGCCCGCCCTGGCCTCTTCCCCCTCCTTGTGCTGAGTAAACTCGTGAGTAAACTTGACGTTTTGCCCGGACAGTTTGAAGTTGCCTCGCTGCCCCCTCCCCCCCACTCTTGCCAACACAGAAGCGGCCAGGCGCCAAGGCGGGCCCGGGGGACTGGGAGGAAGGGGATAGAGCTGCTGTCATCCACCATCAAGTGTTTGGTGGGGTGGGGACAAGAAAGACCCCCACACCCAGCCAGGCCTAGGTCTTGGCAAGAGTCTTGGCTGGGGCCTGCCAGCATCTGTCCCAGAGCCCTGGGGAGCCCAGGAAAAGTGGCTTCAAAGCAGGTCCTCTGCCCACTTCTGACTTCCACCTCTACTAGGGAAAGGCACCCAGCTACCACCTGGCCCCCTGAGTTGCCATCTTTAATATTCACTGGCACAGGGACAAAGCTACCTTTAACAAATTCCCCAGGGAGACCAGAGAGGGCTGCCCTCTTCATCCTGTCCCATAGTTTGGGATGGACATCTTAGCCCTCTCTTCCCTGAGGCCTCCAGATGCCATGGTTCTGCTATGGAGGATAGCATTCTCATTTGCCAGCACTTGCCCTGACCACACCTGGGCCTAACCCCACATATACCTCTACCATATTCACCATCAGGCCTAGCCCTGATCTCCCCAAACCCCTTCCTTTGCCTGCTATCTTCCCCAGAACCAGGTCAGCCTTCAGAGCTTCCCAGTCAGCAAATACCTGTGCCAGATTCAGGGGTCGAAGGTGCCCCAGGCAAAAGAGGGCTGATGGCAGGCAAATGAAACAGTGATCCCCCATAAATATGTCAATTTGCTATCTTTTGACATCACTGATCCTCTTCTTCCTCCCAGGCCAACAGAATGACATGGGGAAATGCCATCCCAGTCCCTGACAGGCCTCAGAGTGGGGCTCCCCCAGGCCCTTACTTTCGACCTCATGTCTCTGGCTTCAGTTTCCTTCCTGTTTCCACCGTCCCCCCAACTCCTCCCCACCCATATGCCCCTTTCAACAGACATCCTCTCCTCCTTCCTTCCTCCTTTCCTCCCCCTTTGCCTGGGAGCAGGGGTCCTCTTTCCTCCACCATGGACATCCTAGCCTTTTACCTCTTCTTAAACCTAGCCCCCTTGGAGATTCATGACCAAGTCATCTGCCCTTCTCACCCATCAGCAAGGCTCTGGGGAAGAGGAGAACCCAGAGCTTCTCAAGGGGGACTACAACTCCCAAGGTACATACAAAGCAATTGTGGTGCACACTGGGAGTTGTAGTCCTTGAGCTCTCAATTTGGCTGAGTCTGGAAGTGTTTCTGGATGAAGGTGAAAGTCAGAACTGGGATGGGTTGGAATGTGGGTACCCTCTGCATCCCCCCACTTTATTCTTGCTATCGCATTGCCATGGGATGCTGTGTACCTATGATTGACATCCATCTCCCTTGCTGAGACATGCTACCTGTCCTCACCTTAGGGCCCCACCCAAAAGATGCCCACACCCTGCCCTGCTGCCCCTGGCAGGGGTGAAACAGAGGGGCCCCATGAACTCCCTCCCTGCCCCCTGCCCTCTAGGCTGGTTCCCTCCCTTTATGGGGATCAAAGGGCAGAGAGCAGCCCCACCCCACTCCCTTGCAGGCTGCAGGCACTAGGGCTCTCAGGAATTGCAGGGACTTTGGTGCCCAAGCAAATGCTTGGGCAGGGGGAATGCCGGGAGGTTGGCACCTGGTGGTAGGGAGAGACACTGGCCCCCACCCTGGGGTGTGGAGCCTTCATTAACTACTCACAGGGCTGTCCATTGCCTCCTAGGCTCTCTCTGTGTAGGCCCTGACCAGTGTGCTACCTCTTGAGGAGGTGGTTTGAGAACAGGGTCTTAGGCCTTATCTGTAAGGCCTAGGGGCCTGGGCCCGTCTGGCTGGCACCAAGGCACAGGGTGACCCTCCCCCACCTCAGGCCCACAGTTGGCATGGGGCGCTGGGAGCAGGGGGGTAGGAGGGAGAGGAGGGCAGGACTGCCAGCATCCTGGTGGGTAGGTGCCAACCGGGCCGGGAGCTGGTGAGGGGCAGCAGGCCAGCGGCATTGAGCCAGCAGCTGTTGGGGGAAAGGGGAGGGGATATTTTAGGGGGCATTTCTATGGTACCCCCAAGCCTAGCAGGATTTGGGATGGCCTAGTGTCTGGGGGTCACTAGGGCACCCCTCATTCCAGGAATAAGGGACCCCAGGAGTTGTTTAAGTGAAATTTGGTGGCCCATCCATGTCTGGGCTCAGAGCTCTCCTGAGTTGCCCCTCAGGCCCAGGCGGGTCCCACCCAACCGGCCAGGGTGGCAGCAGCTTGCGCAAGGGGTGGGGCTAGGCGCTTCCCAGCAGATGCCCCCTCCCAGCTCCTTCCTCTTTCGGTGCCCACAGCTCCCCCAATCTGTCTATCCCCCTCAGGCCAGCTCTGTTCCCCCTGATCCCCCTGGCTATTGGGGGCTGGCATGAGTGCTGCCCCCTGGCCTGGTTGGCAGGGGTTGGCACCCGGGCAAGGAACTGTGGTATGTGAGTGGGTTTGGGGTGAGGCTATGGGGAGGGCGGGGTGCCGCCTTGCCCAGCCCCTGAGGGCCCCAGCCCAGTACAGGGTAGGGAGAATTCGGCCAGCTCCCAGGGGGACTGAGGAGCTTGCTGGGGTCTAGAGGGCTTCCTTGTGGTCCCCATCCCACATACTCTGAGGGGCTGGGACCCAGGCACCTGTCACCCCTGGCACTGACTGTCCAGGGTTCCCCTCCTCCCTCTTCTAGCCACAGCTGCCTCCGTCCCCTCCCCTCCCTTCTTCCTTCTCCTGGTCCCACCTCCAGTAGCCTCTCCCATTGCTCCTCCTCATCTCTGTCCTCCTGGACTGTCCCAGCTCCTACCTTTCCTACCCCTCACCTTTTTCCTCTTTTAGGACTGAGTAAGGACAGGAGTGGGTGGGTTCTGCTGGGGCTTCAGGCACCACAGGCAGAGACTCTGGGCCCTCTCCCACGCCGCCAGCCCTCCGGTAACCCCTCCCTCCAAGCTGGGGGGAGGGGGGACAGCACCCAGAGGGTTAAGGCTGTAGGGGGGAGGGGCTGGGCCAGGTCGTGGGCGGCCCCTTTGAAGGAGGGAGCTGGAGCGGGGAACAGCCACCCTACCTCCCCCCAAGCCTGGCCCTCCCCCACCTGTCCCAACCTGCTGCCCCCAGGGGCCAGGAGGAGTTGCCGCCAGGCCCCTCAGCGTTCAGGTGAGTAGGCCCTGCTCTGGCTTGGGAGATCAGGCCCCAGGGGGGCTTGGAGGCCTAGAATTAGCCAAGGGTCAGAGGACTGAAAAACAGGTCAGGAAGAGGGTGCCCAGACTTCACAAGAGAGTTTAGGGAACTGAGGGCTTGAGAAGCGGGAATGTGGGGAGGCCTCAGTGTTTAAGGGGACCCGAGCAGATCAGGAGAGGCAGAAGAGGGGCCTATAGGGACTGAGTGATTGCTGGGCCAGGCCAGGAGGCTGGACAGGCTGGCAGAGAGCCGGGCTCCGGAGATCGGGCTGGGGTGTCCTCTGGGGCTGGGGGGCTCAGGTTTCTGCTGGCGGCTTGGCGGGTGTGGGGTTACCAGCCAGCTCGGTTACCCAGCCGGAGACACTAGGCTGGGGGGGAGGGGGTGGGCACAGGGCAGACCCTGGCACCTTGTGCGGTCTCCTCAGGCCCTAAGGGGAGCTGGCACTGTCCAGGCAGACCCTGCTGAGAATCCTGATGGCCAGAGTCTGTCCAAGTGGACAATTGCCTGGTCCAGGGTGGGCACCCTCCGGGGAAAGTCCAGCAGCTCCAGGGCTGGAAACTCTGACGGGCAGAGAGGCACAGGTTGTCCCCCCACCCCCACCCCACATCCGCTCTCGCTGCAAACCCCCCTCCACCACTCATTCTCCCCAACTGGCTCCCAAATTGTGGTCCCCTGCTTCATCCAAAAGTGGGGTGTGGGTGCCCTAAACTCAACCATCTTTTGGCAAGACCAGGCATTGGAAGGCAGGCCTGGTCCCTGATTTAATTCCTCTGCGGCTCTCCACCCCTCATATGCCTGGGAAGAAGGGAATGGATGGTTGGAGCAGGGGGCCAATGGAGAAAGTGGAGAAGTTTGAGCAAGAGAGAACCAAGGGGAAGAGAAAGGAGAGGCAGGGACAGTTCCTGGGAGGAGGCCTAGGGACACTGATGGGGTGGAGAGGATGCGGAGTTCAGGGAGGGCTGAAGGAAGGAAAGCAAAGGGTGGACTTGTGGAGGGAAGACAAGGGTCGGAGGAGGCAATGAGGGGACAGAACCAGGAGGCCAAGAGAGGGGCAAGAGTGAGGGCTGGATGATGGCAGGGAATACCCAAAGGTGGCGGCGCTAAGGCTGAGAGAGTTGCCCCCATTCCTTCCTCCGCCATCTTTTATCTTCCTCATATTTCCCTTGATGGGGACTAAGGGGCTATGGGCAAGGGCTGGTGTCATGGAAAGAAAATGTAGGGAAGCATTAAGGTCTCCCTCATTTCAGGAGCCCCAGAACCAGGACTGGGGGATTTGGAGCTGGGCAGAGACTTAACCCCCACAGCACCGGGAAGCAGCCAACTCCCCTCGCCTCCTTCCCCCTTCGTGGCTTGCGGTCTCTCTTCCCCGCCTCGGCCCCCAGGAAGTGTGAGTGCTGGGGGTGGTGAGGTTAGGAGGGGGAAGCGTCATATGGGGGATGGGGAAGGCATGCACAAGCTTGGAGGGGCTGGGGTGGGGAGAGAAGGGCTCCATAAATGTCAGAGCATCCCTGGGCAGAGAACCTCTTCTTTGAAGCCCTTCTAGTCCTCATGTGAGAAGAGGCTCAGCCCCTTTACCTTCCCTCCCCAACTGGGCAATCCAGATGGCTGCAGCTCCTGGGCCCCAGAGGCCCTGGGAAGCGGTGGGGGAAGCTGGAGAACAAGGATTCCTGGGTCCCTTAGGACTTTGGACTGGCTGTCCAATTTCCCCACCCCCCTGGTCCAGACGCAGGCCAAAGCCATGGCTTCGTGCAAACTTAGCTCCAAAAAAACAGGAAGAGAACCTGAGGCTGGAGTTGGGGTGGGGGGGTGGAGGGAGAAAGGAGACAGAAGTAAGGGGGAGGGGTGGCCAGCCAAGGCACCAGGAGCGTTGGGAAGAGCCTCAGGTCTCTCCATCATCCCTGGCAGGAAGATGTTACAGCCTGGTCCTCATCCTCCCTCACCCCAAGCTGCTGCTCCTGGAGAAGCCTGGCCAGGCCCCTCTCAGGCTCCCTGGCAGAGCCTAGAGGTAGGGGCCTTGGAACCTGGGGAGGGGGGGCTCTGCGTGCCTGTGTCCCAGGCCCATATCTATTTTCTCTGCTGCTAATCCTGGTTCCGCCTGCTGCCCCCCACACTAAGCCTCACTCCCCTAATCCCCAGGGTGGGGGAAAGGGGGGTCAGCTTTACTCAGCTGCCCTGTTCAGGGCCTGCTATCCCTGCCCTTCGGCTGGCTCAAGCCAGCAGTGTTGGCCTTCGTGGCCCCCAGCCCTGCACTGGACCCTGCCTGAGGTCAGCACCCGGAAAGAGTTCCCATCTCCCTTTTCTTTCCAAGACCAGGCCAGTGGCCTCCACCTTTTGGTTTCTTGGTGCTGGACATACCCTGCCAGGTGCCCTTGAGCACTGAAGGGTAGGTGATAGGCACTCCCACCTTTACCCCCTCCCAACTTTCTCACCCTGAAGTCTTCCCCCAACCAAGGACAGGGCAGGCTTGACTCAGGGCCCAGTTTCAAGAGAGCTGCCCACCGGCTTGGCCGGTCTAGCAGGCCTGACAGTGAGGGGAGCCTGGGGGGGTGGCGGGAAAGAGGGGAGTGATGGGGTGGGGCCCCCAGTTCTTCCCCCTACCAGGCAAACAGACCAAACAGACCTTGCCCGGTTCCCTGGCACAGCTGCACCCCCAACCACCACACACACCCATGCCCACAAGGTCTTAGCAAGAGGGGGCATGCCAGATTGGGTGGGGATGGGCCGCCTTCATGGGGCGTCAGGGGACTGGGCCCTCTGGGATGCAGAGGTGGGAAAGGTGCCCAAGGTAGGGTGGGCACCCTGGCACCAGTGCCCTGCCCTGGCAGAAAGAAGGGGGAGGCCTTTGCCCCACCCATCCCTCCCAGATGATGGGTCTAGGAGGGCCCCTTGGCCTGGTTGGCACCACCATAGCTCCAGGTGGCACCTATATTGGCATGGGTGTTAGAGCCCTGGGTAAGGGTTAGGGGAGTTTCCCAGAAGCTAGAGAAGCTTATGAACACCCTCTCCTTCCCACACATGTCCTCTGCCTCTCCCCCTCTTTCATTGCTACCTCTTGGCCATGGGCATTGGATTTGGGCCTAAGGAGTTAAACACCCACCCTTGCCCAATCCCTGTGTGAGTTGCGTGGTGAACGAGCCTGAGCCTGTGACCTGACAGTGAGGTCAGCCAATCAGCGCCCCCACCACACCAAGTTGCCACGGAGACCGGCCCTGGGGTGGGAGAAAGGAGGCGGGTTTAGCAGCGGGAATGGGTGGGGTGGGCAGGGAAGGAGGGAGAGGGATGGGGTGAGCCACGTGCCTGCCAGTGCCCAGCTCCCAGCCAATGGACAGCGAGGACAGCCCCACCCATCCCCCTTAGGAGGGACAGGATCCACTTGGGCCCAGGAGGGTGCCTACTGCTGCTTAAGTAGCTGCAGCCACTGTTGCTGCTGCTCCTCCTGCTGCTGCTGCTGCCCACCTGGTTTTTGTTTGTTCCCAAGTCTGGGGGCCATTTGCCACTTGTACCATTTGTAAAGTACAGGCAGGAGGATTAAAGGGAGCAGGGAGAGCTCCCAGATGGCTTGGTTCCTAGGGAGAGAAGTGGTTTGCGGACTTACGGTGGGAACAGGTGAGCTATCTAAGGGTGCCTAGAGGTGGCTTACAAGCAAAGAAGGACATGCGGGTGCTGCTCACCCAAGGTTTCTGTGCAGGAGCCCTGGCCTTGCAATGAAGAGGGCAGGCAGGGAGGCAGACACAGAGAATGCACTTCTTGTGTCCTAAAGAGGAAATTTGTGGCTTGACTCCCCCATTCACCCCCCCACCCAAAAAAAAAAAAAACCTTTCCCCATCAATGGCCAGGTCTGAACAGCTGCTGGAGTGGCAGAGGGGACACTGACAAAATGTCAGTGGGACTTGCCTTAGGGATCATCTGGGCCAGTCTTTAATATTACATATGAGGAACAGGCTTCCTCAGGAAAGGAAGTGACTTGTCCAAAGTCATGTAGCTAGTAGTAGCTTGGTTCCCTCAGGGTGATTTGAGGGAGGGAGGCAGACCTGTCCCCAAGTAGTTTTCTTAACAGAGGCCATCTGTATAGTGGAATCTGACCCCAGGCTAGGCCAAGGCCAGAACATTTATCGAATCCCTACTGCATATCAGGCATTGTGCCATATTTGGTCTCATTTAACCCTCACCACAACCCTAGGAGTCAGGTGGAATTATCCTATGTTACAGATGAGGAAGGCGGCTCAGAGATTAAATCACTTGTTTAAGGTCATGGAGCTAACTGGTGGCAGAGACAGGATTCAAACTCAAGCCTGGCTGACTCCAGAGCCCAGTTCTTTCCAAGCCCCAGCACTGTCTCCAGTTGCTCCAGACCCACAAAATGTCAGGGCTGAAGGTCTGAGCCATTGGGGCCACTACTTCCACCCCCTCCTTGCACAGCTGAGGAAATGGAAGCACAGAGAGAAATGACTTTCCCAAGGTCATTCAGCAAGACAGTAGCAGAGCCAGGATTTAAAGCAGGTCTCACCCCCTTCCAGGCCCCAACCCCTGCCGACACCTCTGCCAGCCTTGGTGCTCTGCACCCACCTCCTGGCTGCTCTGCACCCACCTCCTGTGGCTGGGCCTTGGAGGGTAAAGGATAGAGAGCAGGACCAAGGCCTTCTGGAGACGGGGCTCTCCTGGAATAGGGAGGGAGGGGTGGCAGTAGCTGAGGGGGAGGTGGGGGGTGGGACTGGAACTTGGCCTATTGGCAGTGGGGGAGGGGGCGGGGGCGATGCTTATCTGTGCGGGGCAGGAAGCACCCGCGCCAGCCAGTGACACCCCAGCAAAGGGTGGCTGCTCCTTGGCCCCATGGGGGAGGGGAGGATGTGGGGGGAGGGATGCTGGGAGCTGTGTTTCCCGTTTGGCCTGGAGAAGTGGGGGATCTAGAAGGGGAGATGAACTTTTGGTAGCCAGGGGAGGGGCAAGAGGAGGAAGAGGATGATGCTTGGAAGCTGCCTTCTCTTGTTTGCATATGTTTTACAGTGTCCTAACCGCTTTGGAGAGCGATAACTTGAGTTAAAGCACCTGTCTGTGCCTGGCCTCCAGCAGATCTTGGTCCAGTGTGAGTCTGAACTCTCTCATTGGCCTCTCCCCAGGTTATGAGGAGGTTCATTACAAAGACTGTTACCTCACTTTTCAAATGACTGAGGCCAGCTGCCAGTACCACCCCCGGTCCTTCAGCCAATTCTTTATGAAGCCTGAACCGGGACCCAGGCATCCTATCTCCCAGTCCACTGCTCCTTCCAAAGAGATGGGGAATGGGGCAGGTGACATAGATGGACCTCCATGAAAGGGCCAGAAAGGCAGGGCTCCTGCTGCCACAGAGGCAGAGTAGAATAGTATAGTGGTTAGGAACAAGGACCGGGCCCACTCCCTGAGTTTGAACACTGTTCTGCACTTAACTTGGAAAATCACTTCACCTGTCTGAACCTCAGTTTCCTTGTCTGTGAAACAGATGATGATCATACTTCAGAGGGTTCTGGAAGATGAAATGAGTGTAAAGTACTCAGAAGGGTGACTGGCATGCAGTCATCCCTCAATAAGTATTGGCTAAAGTTGGTCCTCTTTCCCCAGACCCCTGTGGGCTGAGCGCTCTTAATCTCCCCTCTACTTGACTCTGCAGGAGAAGATGGGGAGCCCCGAGGATGACCTGATTGGGATTCCATTCCCGGACCACAGCAGTGAGCTCCTGAGCTGCCTCAATGAGCAGCGCCAGCTGGGCCACCTATGTGACCTCACCATCCGGACGCAGGGCCTTGAATACCGCACCCACAGGGCTGTGCTAGCTGCCTGTAGCCACTACTTCAAGAAGCTTTTCACTGAGGGCGGTGGCGGAGCTGTCATGGGGGCCGGGGGTAGCGGGACGGCCACTGGGGGAGCAGGGGCCGGTGTGTGTGAGCTGGACTTTGTAGGGCCAGAGGCACTAGGCGCCCTCCTTGAATTTGCCTATACAGCCACACTGACCACCAGCAGCGCCAACATGCCAGCTGTGCTCCAGGCTGCCCGCCTGCTGGAGATCCCGTGTGTCATCGCTGCTTGCATGGAGATTCTGCAGGGCAGTGGGCTAGAAGCTCCCAGCCCGGACGAGGATGACTGTGAGCGAGCCCGCCAGTATCTGGAGGCCTTTGCCACAGCCACGGCCTCTGGAGTTCCCAATGGTGAAGACAGTCCTCCACAGGTGCCCCTCCCACCACCTCCGCCACCGCCACCTCGGCCTGTTGCCCGCCGCAGCCGCAAGCCCCGGAAAGCTTTCCTGCAAACCAAGGGGGCCAGAGCAAACCACCTAGTCCCTGAGGTGCCCACAGTGCCCGCCCATCCCTTGACCTATGAGGAGGAGGAGGTGGCGGGCAGAGTGGGCAGCAGTGGGGGCAGTGGGCCGGGGGACAGCTACAGCCCTCCCACAGGAACTGCCTCCCCTCCTGAGGGTCCCCAGAGCTACGAACCCTATGAGGGTGAGGAAGAAGAAGAGGAGCTGGTATATCCCCCAGCCTATGGGCTGGCGCAGGGTGGCGGGCCCCCGCTGTCCCCAGAGGAGCTGGGCTCAGATGAGGATGCCATCGATCCTGACCTGATGGCCTACCTAAGCTCCCTGCACCAGGACAACCTGGCACCAGGCCTGGACAGCCAAGACAAGCTGGTGCGCAAACGCCGCTCCCAGATGCCTCAGGAGTGCCCTGTCTGCCACAAGATCATCCATGGGGCAGGCAAACTGCCTCGCCACATGAGGACCCACACAGGCGAGAAGCCCTTTGCCTGCGAGGTCTGCGGTGTTCGATTCACCAGGTGAGCAGCAAGGGGGGAAGGGCCCGGCAGGGGCCATGGGTAGGGGACAGGGTGGGAGGAGATGGGGAAGAAGTTAGGAGACCCGAGGTGGTGGTAGGTGGTCCTGGAGGGACTGGGGCATGGGTGGGTTACTGGAGTGAGGAGAGCAGAAGAAAACAAGCCAGCAGGGGGTGGATCTGGAGCATGGAGGATTCGGTGCCCAGGAGGGCAGTGCTGGAAGCAGAGGAGTGGATAATGACAAGGCCTAGTTAAGCTAGAGGTGAGCTAGCAGGGTATCTCCTGGGGCAATAGTGGGGTAACAAATGGTGAGGAACAGGGATGGGACAAGGCCAGGGTGGGATGACCAGGAGGAGCCAGGGATCCCATCCTGAACACCTCCCTGCCCCTCACCCCTGCCTGTGCCAGGAACGACAAGCTGAAGATCCACATGCGGAAGCACACGGGAGAGCGCCCCTACTCATGCCCGCACTGCCCAGCCCGCTTCCTGCACAGCTACGACCTCAAGAACCACATGCACCTGCACACAGGGGACCGGCCCTATGAGTGCCACCTGTGCCACAAGGCTTTCGCCAAGGAGGACCACCTGCAGCGCCACCTCAAAGGCCAGAACTGCCTGGAGGTGCGCACCCGACGGCGCCGCAAGGACGATGCACCACCCCACTACCCACCACCCTCTACCGCTGCTGCATCCCCCGCTGGCCTCGACCTCTCCAATGGCCACCTGGACACCTTCCGCCTCTCTCTAGCTCGATTCTGGGAGCAGTCAGCCCCCACTGGGCCCCCGGTCTCTACCCCAGGGCCCCCTGATGACGATGAGGAGGAAGGGGCACCCACCACACCCCAGGCTGAAGGTGCCATGGAGTCCTCTTAAAGAGGGACGAGGGCCAGACTGAAGCAGCACAAGGCCGGGGACACCCATGCCAAGCAGTGGGAGCACGCAGGACAGACACAGCAGGGGTCTGGGGCACGGAGCCTTGCTGGCATCAGCATCAGCCCTTCCTCCCAGAGCCCTCATTCCAATTCCAAGCTAAGAAGGTATTGGGGCAGAGGCTCCCCAAATTGGGGTGATCCCCCAAGGAGTGATACATATATTGTGTATATATTTACAGCTGTATTGTAAAAGTGGGGTCCCTGTCCCCAGCTGCTCCTGGGGAGTAGAAGCAATAATGTATTTCTAATTTGTGGGTCCCACTTCGGCTATGCGGGTTTCTAGGGGGTGGGGGCTTGGGACCAAAGCCTTGCCCCGCCCCTATGCCCCTTGGGGGTTTTGGCTGTGTAAGGGGGTGAAGGACTGCCCCTCCCTTTCGAGACCCCTCCTTCCTGGTTTCTGTTCCTTTTTCCTGGCAGTGAATTATGCAAAGGGGGCCGGCAAAGGAAGGGTAGGTGGGGGAAAGCCAGGTGGAAGCTTGAAAGACTGGGGGACTGGGCCTGTAAGGAAGGAGCCATCCCAGTCCCCCTCCGCCCTGCTCCCGGCGCTGAGTCATGGGGTCGTGGAGAAGGGGGCGGGGTGGCCTGATTGGCTCGCCTGCCCCTGGGGGCAGTAGAGGGGCCCCGCCCAGCTAGGGGAGCCGCTCCGTTCCACTCCCCTCCCTAGCCCTCCCTCCCCACGGCCCTGGGCAGGGAATGTCTTGTTCCCGCCGCTCCCTCCCCGGGGCCAGAGGGCAGGGCGGGCCGGGCGGCGTCCTACCCTCTTCTCCTCCTCCCCATCTCCTCCCCGCCCAGGTGCGAGCCGGAGCCGCCGCCACCGCTGCCGCCCCTGACTCACGCCGCCCCCGGGCTGGCGCAGCGAAGGGTGTGGGACAGGGTAAGGGGTTGGAAGAGCCTTGTGGAGAGCGGGCGAGCCGGCGCCATCTGGCGGCCATGCTCTGAGTGGGCGAGCGCCCCCCGCGGCCACTGGAGCGAGCTGTCTTCACGCTCCTCATCCACCCCAGCTGGTGAGCGGCGCCCCCTTGCCAAGGCAGTGGGCACAGAACTTCTCGCTTGGCCGCAGGGGAAGGGGCTGCGGACCTGTGGGAAAGTGATCCCCTTCCCAGATCCTTGCCAGCCGGGCTTCCTGTCAGGCAGGGGAGAATAATCCCCACTCTGCTCTTAGGATTGAATCCACCCCCATTCTGTACATAGCCTCTTCTGTTGGTCTTGTTGAAATCTAGTTTCAGATTTTTAACTACCCAATTCTGCTGGGGGTGGGGGACACCCCCCCTTCCTCGCTGGGTGCTGGACCCCTTTTGCAGCCTGGGCTCTGCCTTGCACTATTTCCCCTTCCTGGCCTGACGGCTCCTCCCCCTCCTTAAAAGGGGCAGGTTCAGGGGCCCGGTGCTCTTCCTCCCTTCCATGCACCCCCATGCCCATTTGCACAGCTGCCCAGGTACCCCTAACAGTGGGGAGGGGTCACAGGGAGGGGGTAGCGGGACCAGTCCCTGTTATCTATTTAAAAAGTGATGATGTAATATATTGGGGTGGCGGGGAGATCGGGTTGTCCTGGGCCTCATCTTAGCATTTCAGGTGATGGGGGGAGCCCAGGGCTGGGGAGACCTGGGGCCCAGCCCCAGAAAGTGGGGACAATGTGGCCTCCCTTCTCCCTACTTTCGGCTTTCCCAGTCAGTGCCTTAGGGGGAGAGGCACTCCCCCCCTCCTATTCCCTTCCCCCCACCCCAACTCCCCCACCTCGGGTGTAAGCGACAGGAAGAAATAATAATAATTTAAGATTCACACTTGTGTCCACTTTTGGTTTATTTGGGGGGTGGGTGGGAAGGATCAGGAAGAGAGGGAGGTGAGAGAGGGACTGAGGGTTCTGAAGCTGGAGTGGGGGCTCCTTTAGTGGCGGAGGATGTCTCAGGTGGTCTGTGGGGCTCAGGGCTGGTGAGAATGCTGACAGGCTGATGGGCTTCAGGTAAGGGCTGCTGCCCGTGCTTCCTCTGCTGAGGCCCCTTCTCCTCATCCAGGTCACTAGTGAGGAGAGGAAGGGGGTGGCCGGATCACCCACCTTCTGTCTTCACAGGTGCATCCCTGCCCCCTGCCCTGCCCCATCTGTTCAGATCCAGCTCCTGTTCTTTCTGAGCAACTCCTGCTCTCTCAGGCCCACGAGGCGTACCAGCCCATGGCTGTAGATATTTTCTGATTTTAGGCTGATGCTGGGGGGTGGGCAGTGACTTGCCTGAGGCCACATGGCTAGGAAGGGCAGAATCACTAGTGACCTCAGTAGTCACACCTGCTCAAGGCTCAAGCTGTCCCCTCTGCTGACCCAGCTTATCCTTTCACTGGGCCCTCTAGAACCTCTGAAAAGAAAGCTTTGCTTCCCCTTCAACCTCTTGACTCATCATGACCTCTACCGCCCCATTCACACTGGAATGTGCCCACTGGACAGTTTTCTTTGCAGTCCTCCCAAGAGGAGGCAGCTTAACCTTCTCAAACCCAGCTGGCCCGTAGTGTTTTTTTGCAAAGCCCCTGGCTGCCATGATAGCTGTACCACCAGTGCTGTGGCTGTCTCCTCAGGCCTGCCAGACACCTGCCACATCTGTTTAAGATGCCGGCTCTGGACTCCTGCTGTTTGTATGGTCCTGCAACCTCGTCGCTAGAGGACCCACCCAATTCTCTGGCCTCTCAATCCCTAACCTCCTTGGTTCTATTGACCGTCATCTCTGTTCCCACTCAGACGTCTTCCTCAGCCTTGGCCTTTCACTGGATTCATTCCAGAGTTCTTCCCTGGCCATGGCCCCCTCTCTGAGTCCCTCCTGTTCAGCCAGCTCTCCCTCCTGGCCACTGCCCCTGCTCTAACACGTCATCAAGACAGAGACCCTGGGCTGCCCCCAGGGGCCTTAGCCCCTCCTCTTCCCCAGTCATCTCAGACACTCTTACCAAAGACACCTCAATTCTCACTCCATCTTGTCCTCCTGACCTGCCCAGAAAAAGCCCTCCACCTGTGAATCCTATTCATGGCTACCACATTTGCCAGAGAAAATCACATAACTGAGCGCACTGGAGCAATCATTACAAGTTACAGCTTCCAGCATCATCTGGGCCTTTGACGCTACCTGGAAATCCCTTAACCTCCCTAGTCGGCTTCTTTGCACACTTGCCACGGCAGGTCTTTCAACCTCTACCACCCACTCCTTGAAACCTTTATTCCACTCCCAGCTGCCTGCTCTGCTCTCTCAGCAGGTGCTCTTGCCTCCTACTCCCCAAAGAGAAGCGAGGCCACCAGGCTGGAGTGGGCTCAGCTGCTCAGGGGAACCTATACTCTCCCCCTCTGCCTCTGCCAGCCTGCTCCTTTCTCAGGCAGGCCACCTGGTCCACCTGGCCCTGGAGCCCAAACCTCCCTCCCCAACGTGCTTTTACACTGCCTAAATGCTCAAATCTTCCTGTTCTTAGATCTAGAAAACCCTTTTAGTGCTGAATCCCCTTCAAGCTACTTTCTTGCTCTGTGAAGCTAACTCTCTCTTTCTCTTCACCATCAAGCTTACATTTTTTTCAAACTACAGCACTCATTAGATTAAAAGCATTATCAAACTCCTGGCAACAGTGATGCAGGAGCCACATACCATATTTCTGAGTCCTTTTATTATTTATTTATTTTGAGACAGAGTCTTGCTCTGTCGCCCAGGCTGGAGTGCAGTGGCACGATCTCGGCTCACTGCAACTTCCGCCTCCCGCGTTCAAGTGATTCTTCTGCCTCAGCCTCCCAAGTAGCTGGGATTACAGGCGCCTGCCACCATGCCTAATTTTTTGTATTTTTAGTAGAGACAAGGTTTTACCATGTTGGCCAGGCTGGTTTCAAACTCCTGACCTCAAGTGATCTGCCCGCCTCAGCCTCCCAAAGTGCTAGGATTACAGGCGTGAGCCACCACACCCAGCCTTTCTGAGTCTTCTTTACCTGACACCCCTCAACCCATCATGACAGATCCAGTTTTGGTCTTCCCGATGCCATGAAAAATATTCCCACAAGCTACTCCAGTGATGTCTTAACTGCCTGTCACCTGTCTTCACATGATCCTACTTGATTTTTTTTTTTTTAATCTTCTAATTTTTTGAGACTGGGTCTTGTACTATTGCCCAGGCTGGAGTGCAGTGGTGCAATCTTGGCTCACCGCAGTCTCAGCCTCCCTGGCTCAAGTGATCCCTCCCACCTTAGCCTCCTGAAAGCTGGGACTAAAGATGCACGCCACCATGCCCAGCTAATTTTTGTATTATTACCTATTTATTTATTGAGACCAATCCTCCCTCTGTCACCCAGGCTAAAATGCGGTGGCACAATCTTAGCTCCCTGCAACCTCCACCTCCCAGGTTCAATCAATTCTCCTGCCTTAGCCTCCTGAGTAGCTGGGACTAACAGGTGCGTGCCACCACTCCTGGCTAATTTTTGTATTTTTAGTAGAGATGGGGTTTCACTATGTTAGCCAGGCTGGTCTCGAACTCCTGACCTTAAGTGGTCCTCCCGCCTCAGCCTCCCAAAGTGCTGGGATTACAGGCGTGAGCCACCATGCCCTGGCAAGTTTTTGTATTTTTAGTAGAGATGGAGTTTTGCCATGTTGCCCAGGCTGGTCTCGAACTCCTGGACTCAAGTGATCGGCCCACCTCGGCCTCCCAAATTGCTGAAATTACAGGTGTGAGCCACTGTGCCCATCCCCCTACTTGATTTCATATGTTTGGCTCTCCTGCTTTCTTGAGCCTCTCCCCTCCCTGTCCCCTCCCACTCTCCTGCCATGCCCTCTGCCAGGATGATCTAGCTCATCCTCTCTCTTACAGTCTCTAACTTAACCCCCCAAAAATATACCTCCAGCCCGGATCCCTGCCCTTTTCTAACTGCCCCCCTGGGCATCTCCAGCTGGATGCCCTACAGACACCTCAAAGATCTCAAACTGGGCCAGTCGTCTTTCCCCAGAACCTGTTTATCTTCCTGCCCTAACACCTGCCCAGGCCCAAGCATAGAAATCCCAGTCACGCTCAGCACTTCAGTACTGAGGCCATCACGAACTTCTCCTAGACTAAGACAAGCTTCTCTCTGACCTCCCTGCTCCTGCCCAACCTCCACTCTGCCTTCTTTGCTTATGGTCTTTTTTTTTTTTTTGGAGACTGAGTCTCACTCTATCATCCAGGCTGGGCTGGAGTGCAGTGGTGTGATCTTGGCTCACTGCAATCTCTGCCTCCTGGGTTCAAGCAATTCTCCTGCCTCAGCCTCCCGAGTAGCTGGGACTACAGGCATGCACCACCAAACCCGGCTAATTTTTGTATTTTTAGTAGAGATGGGGTTTCGCCATGTTGGCCAGGCTGGTCTCGAACTCCTGACCTCAGGTGATCCACCCACCTCGGCCTCCCAAAGTTCTAGGATTACAGGCATGAGCCACCGTGCCCGGCCCGCTTATGGTCTTAAAAGACAAATATGAGCATATCACTTTCCAACCTAAGCTTTTCAAATGACAAGTTAAGGTTCTTGCCCATCTCTTCCCACCTTGACTTCCAACCTCATCTCCCAGCATTCTCTGAGGTCTCTACCCAGCCACACCCATCCCTTGGGCTCTACCCTTCTGAATGCCTCACATTCTCCAAACCCACACAGGCCTCCCCTTGGAATGCTTTCCTCTACTTCTCAGCCTAACAAACCACCAAGTTGCCCCCAAAATCCAGCCCGTGGCCAGGCACCATGGCTCACACCTATAATCCCATAATCCCAGCACTTTGGAAGGCCAAGGCGAGAGGATGGTTTGAGCTCAGGAGTTTGAGACCAGCCTGGGCAACATAGTGAGACCCCCGTCTCTACAAAATAATAATAATAACAAAATAATAATAATAAGGCAGGTGTGATGGTGTTCCTGACATCCCAGCTACCCAGGAGACTGAGGTGGGAGGATCACTTGAGCCCAGGAGGTCGAGGTTGCAGTGAACTGGGATTGCACCACTGCATTCCAGCCTGGGTGACAGAGTGAGACCCTGTTTCAAACAAAACAAAACAAAACAAAAATCCAGCTCATGTATCACCTCTTCTATGAAGCCTTCATTAATATGCCCCTTTTCCCAAATTGGCTGTTGTGTCCTCTGTGCTGTCCAGAGTGTACTTCACTCCTTTATCAGGGTGCTGTCCACCCTGTTATCTATTCGATGTCACTCTCCCCAAGGGCATGGTGAGCTCCTCCTGGGCCACGGTGCTGACACAGAGCAGCCGCTTGGCAAACCTCAGTTACTTCCCCTCCCCTCATGTCTGTTTCAAGCCCTGGCAAAGGTCCAGACACCCAGGAAGGCCTTTGCAAATGGAACAGAACATGCTTAGGACTCACAATTCCCAGGTGCCAACTCCTGCTTCCTGCTCACCTGGACTCGGAAGTGGACTCCATTGAGAGGCTCCTGCCGAGCACTTCTTGGAGCTGTTGCTGCAATAACCATGCCTGCTCAGGGTCCTTCCTTTGAGCTGCAGCCAGCCATAGCTGAGGGCCCTCCTCATCGCTGGAGTCCCTGGAGAAGACTCTCATCTCAGTGGCCTGCAGACATCCTGGGAGAAGGGTGCCTACTTCCACTGCCCCTACAGACTCCAGCCACCCCATGTCACTGAAAGACTCACAGCTCCAGGTCCAGGTCCCCCTGGTAGGAGAGGGGAGATGCACACACGGAGCAGGTATTGTCCAGGAGGCGGAAGCAAGTGAGGCAGTAGAGACCTGGTGGAGGCCATGGGGAATGGAGGTGAACCCGAGTTCACCCACCCACCCTCTGTGCTTCCTGGTTGCCAGCCCCTGCCTCCCCTATCACAGACCTGGATGAACCATCCTTGTCAAGGGGTGCACACTAGGGAGCTGCTGCAATGCCACTTGCATATAAATCCTATTCATAAATACCCGGGAGAATAAAGGCAAGCATGGAGAAAATGAGCTACCTGAAGGCTCTGTGTAAATGAGAACGTGCATAGTAATGAAGGGAGGGGCACAAAAGATGAGGTACAAGAGAAGTCCATCAAGGAAGGACCACAGTGGATTGTCATATGCAAGTGGGGTAAGTCCGAGCAGGGAGAGGCACACGCCCCAGGGGGTCTCACCTTGGCAGCCGGGGGTACTGCAGGACACAGTGTTCTCCATGTCTCCCTCATCCTGGGGCTGCCCACAGCCCAGGCAGTAGGCCTGATGCAGCCAAAAGTGGCTGACAAATGGACCTAGGCAGGGGCACCTGAGAAAAGGGTCACAGACACTAAGCAGGCCAGCCCAGCCAGCTTAACCCTCCCCACTCCAGCACCAACCTCCAAATGGCAGGGAGGACTTCCTGACTTCCTGCAGTACATCCTCCATCCCTCTGATTTCAGCAGCAACCTCTCCATGGCCCTGCCTTCCTTCCTCCCTTCACTCCTCACCCCTAAGAATTCCCACCTTACGGGGAGAGGGATAGCATTAGGAGACATACCTAATGCTAAATGATGAGTTAATGGGTGCAGCACACCAGCATGGCACATGTATACATATGTAACTAACCTGCACATTGTGCACATGTACCCTAAAACTTAAAGTATAATAATAATAAATTAAAAAAAAGAATTCCCACCTTTCACAGCGTTAAGGGTATGCAATGGGCATTCTCTTCAACCAAATCTCTTGACACTTAGATAGCACAGAAATCCATTCCAACTCCTGGCTCTTTTTCTATCCCCTCTTGCCCCACCCCTATAGAAAAGACAGTGGCCTCACCGACTGGCCAGCACTAGGAAGGCACTTCTGTGGCCCTGGTCAGCCGCCCGCCGCCTCACTGATCGGTGCAGGGCAGCCAACAGATTGGTTCGGCGGCTCAGAAGTACATTGTACAGGTAGGAGATCCTCTCCTGGTGCGGGGAGATCAGGGATGGGGTCCCACTTGACCCTGTTTTGTCTGCCTGGAATGCCCTCTGCACCCACTACCTACCTTTTCCTTCTATCCAACTCCTATGAATCCCTCTAGGTTTGGCTCAAATGCCCCTTCCTCTGGGAAGTCTTCTGGACTTGCCCAGGTGGAGTTACCACTCTCTCCTCTGGGTTTCCATAACACTTTTATTCATTCCTAAATAAAAGTGCTTTTTAAATTACAACGTCTTGTTAAAAGCTTGTCTGGCCGGGCGTTGTGGCTCACGCCTGTAATCCCAGCACTTTGGGAGGCCGAGGCGGGTGGATCACCTGAGGTCGGGAGTTCAAGACCAGCCTGACCAACATGGAGAAACGCCATCTCTACTAAAAATACAAAATTAACTGGGGTGGTGGCGCATGCCTGAAATCCCAGCTACTCGGGAGGCTGAGGCAGGAGAATCGTTTGAACCCGGGAGGCGGAGGTTGTGGTGAGCCGAGATCGTGTCATTGCACTCTAGCCTGGGCAACAAGAGCAAAATTCTGTCTCAAAAAAAAAAAAAAAAAAGAAAAGAAAGCTTGTCTGGCCTGCCTCGAATCTGTGAGCTCCAGACTGTGTCTGGTTCATCTTGGCATCCTTGGAGACTGGCAAAGAGATAGGGGAATACAGTACATGCTCAGTAAATGATTAGTAAATGAGTAAACCGATGGTGAGGGTTTTTTGTTTGTTTTGTTTTGTTTTGTTTTTTTGAGATGGAGTCTTGCTCTATCGCCAGGCTGGAGTGCAGTTGCGCAATCTCGGCTCACTGCAACCTCCACCTTCCGGGTTCAAGCAATTCTCCTGCCTCAGCCTACCGAGTAGCTGGGACTACAGGCACGTGCCACCACGCCCGGCTAATTTTTGTATTTTTAGTAGAGATGGAGTTTCACCATGTTGGCCAGGATGGGCTCAATCTCTTGACCTTGTGATCTGCCCACCTCGGCCTCCTAAAGTGCTGGGATTACAGGCATGAGCCACCAAACCCAGCCCCGATGGTGAGTTTTTAATTACACCTCAACATGCCAACACTGCCCCCACCTCACCACCATGTTTTTTTGTTTTGTTTTGTTTTGTTTTTTTGAGACAGGGTCTCACTCCATTACCAGGCTGGAGTGCAGTGGTGCAATCATAGCTCACTACAGCCTTGAATTCCTCGGCTCAAGCGATCCTCCCTAGTAGCTGGGACTACAGGCACACACCACCATGCCTGGCGTTTTATTTTCTTTTTTTTTCTTTCTTTCTTTTTTTTTTAATAGAGACAGAGGCTCACTTTGTTGCAGAAAGGGTCTATAACTCCTTGCCTCAAGCAGTCTGCCTGCCTCACCCTTCCAAAGTGCTGGATTACAGGTGTGAGCCATGCTGCCTGCTCCACTCTCCAACTCTCCCCCGTCCCTCATCCCCCACCCCCTCAACACCCCTGTGATTTTAACAAAACTTTGGATGTAAATGCTGTCTCAGGAAGCCCCACCCCAGAGGCACCATTTCTCCCAGCCCCATCTTGGGTCCAGAGGCTTGCAGTCCAGGTCATTTGCTTTGGAGTTCAACCAGAGGAGAGCGGGCTGGGGCTGCTGAAGGAAGTCAGCTCCCAAAGCCAAAAAAGCCAGCCACTAGCTAAGCCCCCTGGGGAGGGGGCAGGGACTAGCTCCCAGCCCCGGACCCCTCACCTGCTCCCGGGATGGGTAGTAGGAGGCACAGATGACTCGCCGCAGCCGGCTGACATAGCTGCCAAACAGGGTGATGAAGAAGCATAGGCCATACATGACGCCTGGGAGCACAGCAGCCACAGTCAGCCTCACCAGCAGGCACAAGTGCCAGCCCACCCCTGGCGCCCCCCACATCCTCAGCAGTCTGCACCCCTCATTTCCCACATGGTGTCCACGCCCCCAGGGACCTCAGGGTGTAGTTGATACCAATGACTATGTAGCCAGTGCTGTCAGGCTCCGAGGGACGAAGGAGACAACGCCGGGACAAAATACTGATGTTGCCTTGCTGCAGGACATCAAATGCTGACACCAGGTCACGATAAATATTCCCAGCGTAGCCAGTACCTTCCACGGTTAGAGACACCAACACAGGACCTGGCACAAAGACACTGTGTGAGTGACACTCATGGCAGTTGCTATGCAGAAAACCCCACACCTTCTGGAATGAGGAAAGTGGAGCAGCGCAGGTCATAGGATGACTCAGACCCTTGGCTGGGGGCCTCTGATGCCTCAGGCACCCTCATGGTGCCCTGGGGCCTGACCTCAGTTCTGGCTCCTAGGACTGGCCCCATGGTCCAACTGGGTGGTACTGGTGTCTGGTCTTCCTATCCAAGCCACCATATCTAAGATGACCTTAATGGTCAGTGAGTCCACCCCCCGGCCTCCATGACCACCCAGAAGCATTTATTTTTTTTTTTAATTTATTTTTTGAGACAGGGTTTCACTTTGTCACCCAGGCTGGAGTGCAGTGGTGTGATCTTGGCTCACTGCAGCCTCAACTTCCCAGGTTTGAGTGATTCTCCTGCCTCAGCCTCCCAAGTTGCTGGGACTATAGGCACGTGCCACCACGACCGGCTATTTTTTTTTTTTTTTTTTTTTTGTAAAGAGATAGGGTTTCACCATGCTGGCCAGGCTGGTCTCAAACTCCTGAGCTCAAGCAATCCGCCTGCCTTAGCCTCCCAAAGTGCTAGGATTACAGGTGTGAGCCACCGAGTAAGACCCCCAGAAACATTTATTGGCTGAGCACTGACTGTGTAGCAGACACTTCGCCTGCCTTAGCCTCCCAAAGTGCTAGGATTACAGGTGTGAGCCACCGAGTAAGACCCCCAGAAACATTTATTGGCTGAGCACTGACTGTGTAGCAGACACTTAACCAAGTGCTTTATTGTTTGTTTTGGGGTTTTGGTTTTTGTTTTTTAGGAGTTTTTTACTTCTTTTTTTTTTTTTTTTTTTTTTTTGAGACAGGGTATCACTCTGTCACCCAGGCTGGAGTGCAGTGGTGTGATCTCGGCTCACTGCAGCCTCTGCCTCCTGGGTTCAAGTGATTCTTGAGCCTCAGCCTCCCAAGTAGCTGGGATTATAGGTGCCCACCACTATGCCTGGCTCATTTTTTTGTATTTTTAGTAGAGACAAGGTTTCACCATGTTGGCCATGCTGGTCTTGAACTCCTGACCTTAGGTGATCTGTCTGCCTCAGCCTCCCAAAGTGCTAGGATTACAGGCGTGAGCCACCGCACCTGGCTCACATTCTCAATTAATGGCTTACCAGGCACTCGACACACATAATTTATTTTATTTTATTTTATTTTATTATTATTATTTTAGACAGAGTTTCACTCTTGTTGCCCAGGCTGGAGTGCAGTGGCAGGATCTCGGCTCACTGCAACCTCTGCCTCCCAGGTTCAAGTGATTTTCCTGCCTCAGCCTCCCAAGTAGCTGGGATTACAGGCACCTGCCACGACGCCTGGCTAATTTTTTGTATTTTTAGTTGAGATGGGGTTTCATTATGTTGGCCAGCCTGGTCTCAAACTCCTGACTTCAGGTGATCTACCCGCCTCATCCTCCTAAAGTGCTAGGATTACAGGCATGAGCCACCCGCCTGGCCCCAACACACATAATCTAATTTATTCCTTACAGTGACCCAGAGAGGTTGCTACCATTATTATTCCACTATTCAGATGAGGAAACTGGGCCAGGACAGTGGCTCACGCCTGTAATACCAACACTTTGGAAGGCTGAGGTGGGTGGATCACCGGAGGTCAGGAGTTCGAGAGCAGCCTGAGCAATATGGTTAAACCCCGTCTCAACTAAAAATACAACTGGACATGGTGGCATGTGCCTGTAGTCCCAGCTACTTGGGAGGCTGAGACAGGAGAATTGCTTGAACCCGGGAGGCAGAGATTGTAGTGAGCCAAGATTGCACCACTGCACTCCAGCCTGGGTGACAGAGTGAGACTCCATCTCAAAAAAAAAGGCCAAGCATGGTGGCTCACACCTGTAATCCCAGCACTTTGGGAGGCCAAGGCCAGCAGATCATGAGGTCAAGAGATCAACACCATCCTGGCCAACACAGTGAAACCCCATCTCTACTAAAAATACAAAAATAAGCTGGGCATGGTGGCATGTGCCTGTAGTCCCAGCTACTCAGGAGGCTGAGGCAGGAGAATCACTTAAACCTGGGAGGCGGAGGCAGTGAGCCGAGATGGCGCCACTGCACTCCAGCCTGGTGACAGAACGAGACTCTGTCTCAAAAAAAAAAAAAAAAAAAGAGGAAACTGAAGCTGAAGAGGTTAAGCAACTTGCTGAAGGTCACCGCCTAATAAAGGACAGAGCTGGGATTTGAACCCTGGCCAGTGTGACTCTAGAGCTTGCATTTTTAACTACTCTGTAAGTTATAATCTTGACCTAGACATAGGTGTTACTAGGCAAAGCATAGAGTTGAAAGAGTGGCACACTTGTGGGCTGCTGAGTAACAGTGACATGGGGACATTCAGGCAGTCACCAGGACTGAGGATGGGAAGAGGAGAAGGCTTGGGAGCAGGCGGGGAGATCAGAAACAGGCCGAGGGGGCTGCAGTGGGTGAGTGGGAGGAGGCTGTCACGTAGGCACTCACTGCGGGCCACAATCTCCCCCTGCAGCTGGTGCCGGGCCAGGTCAAGCACCCAGAAGACAGCATAGTCTAGGAAGACTAGGAACAGCACGAGGAGGAGGTGTCGGATAAGGTTGAAGGTCTCCAGAATGTAAAAAAACTTCTCCCATTGGGACAAGAAGATGGAGCCTGAGCAGGAGTGGGATGGTCAGGAGGATGCTCCCCAGTTCTCCCGTCCACCAGATCCCAGTTCTTGGAGAGGCCTCCTGCCCCTAATCAGGTGTGGGCCCGTCTGCTCATCAGGAATACGGAAAAGAAAAGAAGCTGTGAGGACTCTGGCAAGGATGGAAAATACTCTTCAGGGGAGGGGGCTCCGTGGCTAGAAGGGAGGGGCCTGCCTAGCATCTCCACCTGGCCCTGTGGCCCATTCCAGTCTAAGGAGCCCTCCCTCCTAGGGCATCCCTCATCCCCTTACCTGCCTCCCCACCTCACAGGCAGTCCTCCCCCTCCATATTAGCACTTCCTGCCCACCCCGGGGAAGCCCTCCCAACTTGACTTCCCTCGCTCTGTGTCCATCCCCTGCTGTCCTGATGTCCAGGGTGCTCCCAGAAGCACCATCTGCCCCTCTTGTCTCTGGCTACTTTCTCCAAGGGTGTCTATGTTCCCCCTTTCAGACTGCGGGCTCCCCAAGGACCGGGCAGTGTCTTCCCTCAGCCTGAAAGTTCCTTAAGCTCTGGGTTGTGTCTCCTCCCTCTGGCCCCTGCCCCAAGCCCATCCTGAGCCCTGCCTGTGCAGGGGCTTAGGGGCAGGGCAGCGGGGTGGGGGGAAGCCCTGGCCTCCCTGGCTTGGGCTCTCCCTGTCCTCAGGGCCCTCACCCGGTGGGATGTAGCGCCTGGCCTCGTGAGCACTGAGCGGTAGCACTGTGGGCAGCCCTGCCGTGGAGCGCACAGCCTCCATGCGCAGGAATCGGCTAGTGATGTAGATATTGTCATAATGGTCCCAGTTCAGGTAACAATACCGGTAAAATAGGGCTCTGGGAAGGGGAGGTGGAGCACATGTGAGGCCCCTTAGGACCCCAGGCCAGACCCCACAGGGCATCCGCGCTTCAACCCCACAACTTCAACCTCCCTGGATGCTGGGGCAGGGAGAAATGAGCTGCTCCCTGCAGCCCTGGCCCTGCACCCCCGGCCCTGCATCCCCCACGCTGCCCGGCAGCCCCTCACTGGAGGTAGAGAAGCACAAGCAGCAGAGGCGTGGTGAAGCCCATCAGAGCCAGGGCCTCTCGGACACGGTGCAGCTTCATGCTGACAGCCTCGTGGAGGTCCATGGCTACCTGGGACAGGCTCCGAGAGGCATTGAGATCCACAGAGAAGTGGTGGGTGGCTGTCATGTTGAACTCAAACTCCTGACGCACCCGGTTGAGCAACTGAATCACGGCTGGGGCCAGCAGGTTCAGGGGAGACGTGGGCAAGGAGAGTTAGGAGAGGGTGGAGCTGCCCCTGGGGAGGGGCCTGGCACAGCCCAGGGGGCGCAGCTTACAGACCAGCTGGGAACCCCCCAGTGCTTGGGTCAAGGTGGACTGAGGAGGGGACAAAGCCTCCACGTATCTGTGCCATCGCCATCACATGCTCAGCACCCAGCATGACACAGGGCATGCAACAGATGCCCCTAAGGAATGATCTTGATGACCTGAGTGTGGACCTGAATGTGGACAGGAGGCCCTGGTTCTGTTCCCAGCTCCTGCTCTCAGGGCAGGCTGTGGTGAGGCACTGGCCCTTCGCTGGACCCGTTTCCTGATCTGTACAGCATGGATATGGGCCTGGGTGATCACTTGAGCCCCTTTCTTTCTCTTACATTCTCCTTTATGGGCTGGGAGCACTGGGGGCTGGCCATGGCCACACCGGGATGAGGGAGGGAGACCACTAGGGAGCACCATATGTGGCAGGAGGGGGTCACTCACGGGTGCCGATGGTCTGGCGCAAGAAGGGTTGAATGTACTTAGGGATGACGCAGAACACCTGGACCACTGAGGGGCGGAGTCGGCTGAGTGTCGGAAGGAGGGGCACAGCCAGGCCTGCCCCCGACCTCTGGAGACCTCTTCTCACAGGGCCTCTTTTCGATTTTCCTATTGGCCTCCACATTTGCTCAAAACCTTGTAGCACCTCCCTGTCGCCCTTCTCTCCCAACACCAGTCCCTCCCTACTGCCCACCCCCACCCCCAATACTGGTCCTACCAAGCTTATTGGTTCCTCTCTGTTGCCCTCTAATCGTCCTCCTGAGCCTGCCCTCCCAACTGACCCCCACATTCCCACCCCACCCCACCCCACATCGGCTCCTCCCCGCTGGCAGACCCTGGTTTTCTCACGGCTGGCAAGTCCACAGAGCGCCAGTTTGAAGGGCATGAGCACGTAACACAGGTGGTAGGCTTGTGGTATGACCATCATGCAGCTGTCCTTGGCATCATCGAAAACCCGTGCACACTTCAGGTAAGGGTTGCCCAGTTCCGAGTTGCACACATCGCCGATGTGCAGGAGCCACTGCCACACATTCCGGAGAGCCCTGGCTGGGGACAGCTGCAGGGTTGGCACCCAGGGCTGGAATCCTACAGCCTCTTCTCAGGGTTTTGGGGAACAATACCACAGTATCCAGGGCTGGAGAGGCCTGTGGTCAGGGACCTGGCTGTGCTGTGTCCAGTGAACACTAGCCAGCGCCCAGAAGGGGCCCAAAAAACCCTGGACAGGGTACAGGTGAGGAGACTGAATTTTTTTGTTTCTGTTTGTTTGTTTTGTTTTGTTTTGTTTTGAGATGGAGTTTCGCTCTTGTTGCCCAGGCTAGAGTGCAGTGGAGTGATCTCGGCTCATTGCAACCTCCGCCTCCTGGGTTCAAGAGATTCTCCTGCCTCAGCCTCCTGAGTAGCTGGGACTACAGCTGCGTGCCACCACGCCCGGCTAACTTTTTGTATTTTTAGTAGAGACGGGGTTTCACGATGTCAGCCAGGATGGTCTTGATCTCCTGACCTCCTGATCCACCGCCTCAGCCTCCCAAAGTGCTGGGATTACAGGTGTGAGCCACCGCACCTGGCCCCCCCGCTTTTTTTTTTCTTTAGAGATGGAGTCTCACACTGTCACCCAGGCTGGATTGGAGTACAGTGGCACGATCATAGCTCACTGCAGCCTCAAACCCCTGGGTTCAAGAGATCCTTCCACCATAGCCTCCCCAGTAGCTGGGACTACAGACATGTGTCATTACATCTGGCTAGTTTTATTTATTTTCTATTTTTTTATTTTTTATAGAGACAGGGTCTCGCCATGTTGCCAAGGCTGGTCTCAAACTCCTGGGCTCAAGTGATTCTCCCACCTCGGCCTCGCAAAGTGCTGGGATTACAGGCATGAGCCACCGCACCCGGCCAGGACTGGGTGCATTTTGAGTCCCCGGGATAGACATGCTAATGTGCTTACCTATGTGTTTCACACCATCCATGATTGACCGAAAGAACTTGCGGACCCGGTCAGCCACCTCTTTGGTCTTCCGGGCAATAGCTTTAATCTTGTTCAGGGCACCTGATGGGTGAGGGACAGAGGCACTTTGGAGTCTTCTCCTCTAGGGGCTGGTTCTCACCATTGCCCCTTAAGCAGGGAGTAGAGAGGAGGCCACCATTTCCAGAGGCGGGAAGCCTGGATTCTGGGGCCTGGGAGATCGTTAATCTGGGAGTGGAGGAGGCCAGAGAGCAAGGAGAGAGGGTTTAGCTGTGCCCAGAGTCCCTTCCAGGCCCAGATGCTCCGCGATTAGCACCAGCAGAGAAGGAGGCCAAAGGACTGTAGAACATGCAGGATGAGGGGGGCGAGGGGGGCCCGTGGGAGACAGTGGTAGAGGTGGGGGACTTACTGACAAGAGGTTGCTTGGCCCTCTGTAGCACTTCGGCGGTCTGGTTCAGGGCCAGCTCTGCCCCACAGGCTACAGCCTCGCTGGCCCGGGTGAAGTTGCGTAGAGTGTTGGCACAAGGCCCTTGAAGCACCAACCCAAAAGCAGCCACCAACAGTAGTGTCCGGCCCTGCCCTGGGGGCGACAGCTTTGTTAGAACCAAGACCCCAGCCCCAAACATGGCAGCAAGTCCCTTACATAAGCCTTCAGAATATTTCCCTTAACCCCTGCCTCTCCTCCAGCATCTCTTCTGCCCCAGCACCAGCCCCAGGACCTGCCCCCTAGCCCTGGGTGCCAAGCTCACTGGAGAAGGCCTGAGGCAGCAGCAGGAGGACAGTGGCTCGGACCTGGCGAGAGAATCCCATGCCCAGGCTAAGGAAGGCAGCCAAAGTGAGGGTGCCCACCAGGCAACCCCAGGGGCTGTGGCCTTCCACCAGTAGCTCCAGAAGCCCGTAGGCCGTGGCTAAAGACAAGCCCAGGGTAAAACCTCCCACGCTGCGAACCACAGCTCTCGCCATGCTAGGCTCCTCTCCCCCCAAGGGGTGCACAACATCCTTCATGACTTTGGGCATGGCTGCTGAGACCAAATGTCTGCCTGTCTCCAGGAGATGCCCGCTGACTTCTGTGCTCCTGGAATTTCTCACCGTATTCTAAGGTTCCAAAGGGCTTTCACTGCATATGTCTTGGAATCCTTGACCCAGTTCCGAGGACTGGAGAGGGGATAGGTAGGTCTCTAATCTCCTTCCCCACTTCTCGGAGCAGAAGGATTAAAAGGCCCAGAGCTCAGGCCTAGGCTTCCCATGAAGCGGAAGAGACAGGCAGCACCTCTCTTCTCTCACCAGAACCTTGTGTCCAAGGAGGTCCTTCAGGAGACCTGGGATGAGTGGTGCTTCCCCAAAACAGACTCATGGACATTAAACATCATCAGAATGGCACAAGAGGGCAAAGAAGAAAACAGCCTCATACCAGTGAGTCACTCAGCAGAGACCCAGTATCCCTTGACCTCCACTCTCATCCCATCTCTCCTCCTGGAACTCCTGCACACTATCCCCCAACTCGGTGTCCGCGCCTCCACCACCTCTCTGGTCTAGTGCCTCCCGCCTCCCAGCCCAGCCCTTGCCTTTGCTGTCCCTTACACCCATACCACTTCCTCAGGCTCCCTCATCCTCCTCCAGGGTCCCCTAAGTTCCTACTGTTTCACATGCCAGGTTTCCCCAGCCTCTATCCACCTGCAAGCCCTGAATCCTAATGAGCCCCATCCCAGGCAGAAGAGTGGGCTGTTGAGCTACCCTGTCCCCCTCTTAGCGGTGCAGAGGCTCCTGACCTGGGGGCTGCCAGTCTCCTGTAGCTGGTTCCTGTGGCGCCAGCCGGGCGAGTTTCCTGTCACTGCTCTCCTGCTGGGGGCAGGCGCTGGGGGGCTCCTGGCCATAGGTGAGTGTGGAAGCAGAAAGTTCGGGGTGGGCAGAGGCTGGACCAGGGCTAGGACCCATCTTTTGGCCTTTGGCTTGACCTTGTGCCCTTAGGTCTCTTTCAGCTCCTGGTGAACCCCATGAACATCTACGAAGAACAGAAGATTATGTTCTTGTACAGCTTGGTGGGTTAGTGCTGGGCAAAAGCCAGGAACACTCAAGCGGCCTGTGGAACACAGCGCCGTCCTGCATGCCCAGGAAGGAGTCGGGACTTGTTTCTTCTGTACCCATACATCCCCTGTGGCTTCCGCCTCCTCCTGGGCTTTACGGGGAGGTCCAGAGGGAAGAGGCTGCCAATTTAAGAAGGAAGACACCGTCCTTGCCCTGAGGGAGTCTCTCCATTCCGAGGGACTCCCCATCACCCACATGATATAGTCCAACCCCATAACCCTTCATAACTCTCATCTCTCCTGACCTGTCTGACCTCGTTTTCTGATCCTCCTAAGAAATTAAATTCATTCATTCATTCATTCATTCACTCAGCACTTACTGAGAATCTGCTGAGGATTTAGCAGTAAACAAGGATGACAAGCATCCAGCCGTTTTGCTTTGGTTTTGTTTGTATGTTTTTGTTTTCGTTTTGAGACGGAGTCTCGCTCTGTTGCCCAGGCTGGAGTGCAGTGGCTCAATCTCAGCTCACTGCAACCTCCACCTCCCAGGTTCAAGCCATTCTCCTGCTCAGCCTCCCAAGTAGCTGGGATTACAGGCACCCATCACCATGCCCAGCTAATTTTTGTATTTTTAGTAGAGACGGGGTTTCTGTATGTTGGCCAGGCAGGTCTCGAACTTCTGACCTCAAAAGATCTACCTGCCTCGGCCTCCCAAAGTTCTGGGATTACAGGTGTAAGCCACCGTGCCCAGCCCAGTTTGGATAATTTAACAGCTCAGTAGCTTCGAGAAGGACTCAGGTTCCTTCTGTCTTTTCTCTGCCATCTTCAGTCTATTGACCACTTCTCTTCAGGTCACAAGATAGCTGCAGCAACTCTGGCATCACATCTTCATACAATAATATCAAAGATCAGAAAAAAATAAAAAAAGAGGAAGAAACAGGCCAGGCACAATGGCTCACGCCTGTAATCCCAGCACTTTGGGAGGCTGAGGCGGGTGGATCACCTGAGGTCAGGAGTTTGAGACCAGCCTGGCCAACATGGTGAAACCCTGTCTCCACTAAAAATACAAAAATTAGCCGGATGTGGTGGTGCACACCTGTAGTCCCAGCTTCTTGGGAGGCTGAGGCAGGAGGCTTGCTTGAACCCAGGAGGCAGAGATTGCAGTGAGTGGAGATCGTGCCACTGCACTCCAGCCTGGGTGACAAGAGCGAAAGGCCATCTCAAAAAAAAGAAAAGAATAGAAGTTCAATCCCAGGCCCAACTTCACTGTCTTGGGCTGTGCGATTTGAGGCCAGGGAAAAAGGAAAATGACCTAGGTGACAGAGTGAAACTCTGTCTCAAAAAAAAAAAAAAAAAAAAAAAAGGAAGAAACATCCTTTCCTCATGTCTCTTTTTAGGAACAAGGGAAACTTGCCTATAATCCCCACAGTAGACTTCCTCACATCTCTTTGGTCAGAACTGCGTGCAACACATGCCCTTTCCTGAACCTGTCCCAGGCAAGGGAAATAGAATTAGCATTTCATCACCTGTTTATTGAATTAATCCTGCTGGATACCAACAGGAGACTACTTTTTCTCTGACCCACTGTATTCAAACATGTTTTTTCCCATTGATAACCTTTCACACAGCCCCTTAGATTTCTGGTTGTATTTCTTTAGAAGACCTAGTCCTACTTCAACAATTAAGACTTATTTTTAGGGGTTAAAGAGGTCCAGTCCACTCTACATCAGACTTTTAACCTCATCCATTCTCAAGCATCTTCCCTCCTTATCTTGCCCTCCCCATCCCTTGCGCCCCCAGCTCAGGCCTGCTCCCTAGCATGGGGTCCTGCAATGGAGAAGGGGCGTGGCCTGCTCTTTCCCTTTTTTCCTCTACTTCCTTCCCTTTCTGGTTCTTCTGATGTCAGAAGGGAGATTAGAAGAATTAGAGGAAAAGGGACAAAAGTCTTAAGTCACTAATGCTATTATAATTCCACTGTGGATGCCTGCGTGTAGCAGGCACTCACACCCTGGCTGTCCCAGTAGGCCTGATTATTGTCCCCTTGGAGGCTGTGTGTGGACCTCGGCAATGCCCGGTTTCTTGCAGAGGGCAGTTCTTTTTGGCTGACCTCGAGTGAAGCCCCCCTTCAGGGGCCACCCACAGCCTCTTGCTTTTTGGATCCCTCCCTCCAGCAGGCTGGGAGTGCACACGTCCGTGCCCTGCCAGGCAGAGAAAGCAGTGCACCTTCCTTTTTGTGGAGAATGGGGTCTCGCTATATTGCCCAGGCAGGTCTCAAACCCCTGGGCTCAAGCTATCCTCCCGCCTCTGCCTCCCTAAGAGCTGGGATTACAGGCGTGAGCCACCAACGCCCCATCAAAAGCAGAGCACCTTATGGTTGCCTCTCTCCTGCCCTGATGAGAAGCAGATGCCAGTCTCCATGCTTGTGTGCCAACATCGTCCAGGGGAGGTCTACAGAGGCATTACAGAGGCTGAGCTCTCCCAGGAGCTCTCCCTCCACTCTGTGCTCTGGTGGGAGCCCTGGAGTGGCCTCATGAGGCTCTGCACTCAGCAGGAGTCTAGTCTACAGAGACCAGGCAGGTTCCCCTTCCTGCAGCGCCAGTCCCTGAAGCCTCTTGGACTCCTGGAGTCTCTCACTTGACATGTGACACCCATCCTCTCCACAGACTCTCCCTCTCTGCCTGCCCATTCCAACCACTTTTCTCCCCTTCCAGGAAATCCACATTGTTGGTCTTTTTTTTTTTTTTTTTTTTTTTAAGACAGAGTCTTGCTCTGTCCCCCAGGCTGGAATGCAGTGGCACGATCTCAGCTCACTGCAATCTCCGCCTCCCGGGTTCAAGCAATTCTCCTGCCTCAAACTCCTGAGTAGCTGGGACTACAGGCACCTGCCACCATGCCTGGCTAAATTTTATATTTTTAGTTGAGACAGCCATGTTGGCCAGGCTGGTCTCAAACTCCTGACCTCAAGTGATCCACCCGCCTTGGCCTCCCAAAGTGCTGGGATTATAGGCGTGAGCCACCATGCCTGGCCCATATTGCTGTTCTTTTTATATAGATGGGGTGGGATAGAGGAGTGAGAGTCAAGTTTTGCTGTTTTGGTGAGCCCAAAGAAGACACCCATAGCTCCATGGGGCTCTCATTAGAACATAGGGCAACTATTTGTCAACTATTAGCCTCAGCTCGAGTCTTTGGCCAGAAGGCCAAGACCACAGAACTAGTCCCTTTCAGTGTCCTGTTCTACCATGACTGGTTTAGACAGATCCAGATTTATCCCTCAGGGGCTGGGGCAGGGCCAGGCTATTGCCCTTGCAAAAAACCCAAGTTGTGTTAGCAAGGAAGAAGGCACAAAAAAAACTGTGGGGTGGCACCCGACAGGGTTTGCCACAAACCTGAATGACTAGGTGGAGCCAGCCATGTGAAGAACAGGGAGAGGAGTGCTCCTGGCAGGGGGAACAGCTAGGGCAAAGACCAGAGAGGAGGAATGAGCTTGGCTTGTCCAAGGAGCAGCAACGAGGTCTGTGTGGGTAGACATGGTGGGTGAAGGGCTGCATAGCATGAGATCAGGAGGCAGGCAGGAGCCAGATCACAAGCTAGGTAGACCATGTTAGGGAGTTCGGATTTTATACCAAATGTGGTAGAAAGCCACCGAATGGTTTGAAGCAGGGAAGGGACATGATCCGATTTATGCTTTTGCAAGATCACTCTGGCTGCCTTGTAAAAACTGAAGTGTAAGGTAGCAAGAGAGGACATAGGGAGACTCATCAGGTTATAGTCCCAGTAAGAGATGATGGGGACTCTACCACGACAGTGGAGATGGAGGAAGTGTAAGGATTTGGGATTTGCTTTGACGATCATTGGGTGAACATTCCATCAACACAGGAATCTTCTAGCTCCCCCGACCAGCTTATACTGTTCCTTTGGCCTGGAATGCCATCTGCACCTCCTAACAACACTTACTCACCTTCCAGGCCCAGCTGACACGTCCTGTCTTTGTCCAGCCTTCTCAGCCCCACCCCTCCCTGAAGAAATACGTACTCCCTCCTTGGCTCCCACAGCGCTCTATAAGCACCTCCCTTGTGCACTTAGCACATCGTGTTGTAGTCACTTGTTTACTCATCTGTCTCTTTCTCTGGATTATGAGCTTCCAGAAGTTCACTGTCTCCTTGCAGAGACCACAGGGAGACACATGTGAAACTGCTAAAACATACCAGGCGGTACATGACCAAGGGCTAAAATTAGAGGCAGGGACTGCGAGTGCTGTAGGTGTCTGAGTACTGGGAGTACTGAGGTGGGCTCTGATCTCTCTTCTGACCATTCTGAGCATGAGCACCTGTTTCCAGATATTTTCTCTTGCTCTCTCTGCTCCCTCAGCACCTAGGGTCAGTGTCACTGTAGCCCGGAAAACCTTGGCTTCCTTCCCTAACACAAACACACACAAGTCAATCATTTGTGGTTTTTTAAGTTCTAGCCATCCCTCTATGCCCTTCCAGAGACTGGCACATAGCTAAACTCTGTGAGTGGCTGCTGAATGAATGAATGAGTGGCCCAGCAGGTCTATCAGAGTCAGTGTAAATGGGGATAAGGGCAGGATGGTGGTGGTTCCAGAAGGGGGTGTTGCAGGTGGGTGCTCTGGTAAACGTGAGGAAGGGAGGCAGCTTCCTCACTTCAGCTCACCACCTCCTGGGCTCTCCTGACAGGCTTGGGGGCCATGGGCTGGGGGACCTCCCCTCACATCCGCTGTGCCAGCCTCCTACTAGTACCCAAGATGCTGGGCAAGGAAGGCAGGCTCTTTGTCCTGGGATACGCCTTGGCTGCCATCTATGTGGGTGAGTATGTGGGGGCCAGTGAGTTACACTGAAGCAGTGACCCTGGGTGGGTCATCCAATGGGAGCCAGGCCGGGTGAAGGAGAAAAGACAGGAGTGTCATCCCAGCTGCTCTAACTCACTGTATGTCCCTGAGGGAGCTCCTCCCCATATCTGGGCCTCCTCAGTTTATAAGAGTGAAAACATTGGCCAGGCACGGTGGTTCATGCCTGTAATCCCTGCACTTTGGGAGGCTGAGGTGGGTGGATCACCTGAGGTCAGGAGTTCAAGACCAGCCATGGTGAAACCCCATCTCTACTAAAAATGCAAAAATTAGCCAGGCATGGTGGTGCACACCTATAGTCCCAGCTATTCGGGAGGCTGAGACAGGAGAATCACTTGAACCTGGGAGGCGGAGCCTGCAGTGAGCCGAGATTGCGCCATTGCACTCCAGCCTGGGTGACAGAGCAAGACTCCGTCTCAAAAAAAAAAAAAAAAAAAAAAAAAAAAAAAAGGCCAGGCACGGTGGCTCACCTGTAATCCCAGAACTGTGGGAGGCCGAAGCGGGCGGATCACGAAGTCAGGAGTTCGACACCAGCCTGACCAACATGCTGAAACCCCGTCTCTACTAAAAATACCAAAAAATTAGCCAGACATGGTGGCGTGTGCCTGTAATCCCAGCTGCTCAGGAGGCTGAGGCAGGAGAATCGCTTGAGCCCGGGAGGCGGAGGTTGCAATGAGCAGAGATCGAGCCACTGCACTCCAGCCTGGGCAACAGAGGGAGACTCCGTCTCAAAAAAAAAAAAAAAAAAACAGTGAAAAAAATCAAAGGTTGAACAAGTTGACCTTTCATAGGCTCTCGGCCCCACCACTGTATAGTTCTAGGCGATGGGCACTATTTGCAGAGGGAAGCTGAGCGGGTTTGAGAAAGTGCTGGTTATACAGGGAGGTGACCAACCAGGGCCTCTTTCTCCAGGGCCAGTAGCCAATCTGCGACACAATCTCAACAACGTGATCGCATCGCTGGGCTGCACCGTGGAGCTGCAGATCAACAACACCCGCGCAGCTTGGCGCATCTCCACAGCCCCCTTACGGGCCATGTTCAAGGACCTGCTGGTCAGGAATCTGCACAGGCAGAGCCTGGGGGGTCCCTCTCCCTGGGGCCAAGTTAACTTGAGCTGGGAGTTGTCACCCTGGATTTACAGTTTCCCAATGGGGATACTACTGGCATTTTTTGCAGAACTATTCCCAAACATTGCAGAACGTGCCCTGGTCCTGGTGTTAAATGCCAGGAGAGCCCCTGAGTCATTAGGACATGCTCTATACACATTTCCTAATACCTGAGTGGTCAGTACTCTGGACAGCTGAACTAGAATATCTAGGAAATTTGGGGGCTTTGGCCTTGAGTAGCTCAGAAGTTTCGAAGACAAGAGTATTCAAGAATTGGGTATTGGAAGGCTGGAGACTGGGGGTTTGGGAGAATTGGAGAGCTGGAGAGTTGGGGACATGGGGGCTGAGGGGTTTGGAAGTTGGGGGCATTCAGATGGCATAATGATCTCAGAGACTAGTGGTGAAGGGTAAGGTCTAAGGACCTGGGGAACCACTGACCAGGAAGGGTCTGGGATGGGAGGACTGAGGAAGAGCTGAGAGTCTGGGAGGTACGCAGAGCCAGGACATGTGGCATCAGACAAGGCAGCTGGTGGGGGGGCTCCCAAGGGCAATGGACAGCCGGGAATTTGAGGTGAGAGGCTGTGTCTCAGGGCCTAGGCTCCCTGTCGGCCTGGGGTGAGAACCCAAAGCTTGGCTACTGGGGGAGGACAGGCCCTCAGGCAGCAGAAGTTCTAAAGCCCCAGCCCTCACCCTTTCCTCCCTCCACCTCCAATCCCAGAGTAGCAAAGAATTGCTGAGAGCAGAGACTCGGAACATCTCCGCCACTTTTGAGGACCTGGATGCCCAGGTGAATAGTGAGACGGGCTACACGCCTGAGGATACCATGGACTCAGGGGAGACAGCCCAGGGCAGGGAGGCCCGCCAAGCCCCAGCCTCCAGACTCCACCTGTCGACACAGAAGATGTATGAGCTGAAGACCAAGCTGCGTTGCTCCTGTGAGGGGTATCCCTGGGGAGTGGAGGGTGGGGTGGGATGTGGGGCCAGCATTGTGGATCAAGATGTGGGAACCTCAGACACCCTTGCTCCTTCCTACAGATGTGGTGAACCAGGCCATACTCAGCTGCCGTCGTTGGTTTGACCGCAAGCATGAACAGTGCATGAAGCACATCTGGGTCCCACTCCTCACCCACCTGCTCTGCCTGCCTATGAAGTTCAAGTTCTTCTGTGGCATTGCCAAGGGTCTGCACAGTTGCAAAGGGGTGGGGAGCATCGGGGTAGGGAGCTGAGTCCTTGGGACCCACTGGTAGGTGACAGGCAGGAAAGCAACAGATGAGGAGGGTTTTGGCCCTGAGGCCACAGCATCCTTAGAGCCCTCCACCTGCTGAATAGCTCTGTGACGCAGGGTGAGTTACAGCAAAGCTCTGAGCTGTGGCTTTTCATCTGAAAGATGCGCATGGGCAGAATAACAGTAGTTCTTGCATTAATTTTTTTTTTTGAGACGGGGTGCTTCACTCTTGTCACCCAGACTGGAGTGCAGTGGCGCAATCTCGGCTCACCGCAACCTCTGCCTCCCGGGTTCAAGCGATTCTCCTGCCTCAGCCTCCTGAGTAGCTGGGATTACAGGTGGCCGCCACCATGCCCAGCTAATTTTTGTATATTTAGTAGAGACGGGGTTTCACCACGTTGACCAAGCTGGTCTTGAACTCTTAACCTCAGGTGATCCACCCACCTCAGCCTCCCAAAGTGCTGGGATTACAGGTGTGAGCCATCGCACCCAGCCACATTAAGGGCTTTTAAGGATTTATGGGGCTAACGTATGTGAAGGCAGTGGCAGAGCTGGCACACAGAGGAGCTGCTCTGTAAACGCTGGCTCTCCTTACTGATGTTTGTTATGGTTGAGGATAGATTGACAAAAATGAGGGAACTCAGGTCTGGTTCCTGGAGGGCAGGATCCAAAGAGAGCAGAGAGGGGAAGACTCAGCATTGGTGTGGTAGCAAGCCATGGGCAGAGAGACAAAAAAGCAGGATGAGGAGGACTACAGGAGGACAGGCAGGCCAGGCCTGCACCTGGAGGACAGGCCCGGGGAGGCCCCTGACCCCGTCCACTGTTCACCAGTGATGGAGGTTTGGTGCCGCAATCGCATCCCAGTGGAAGGCAACTTTGGGCAGACCTACGACTCCCTCAACCAGTCTATTCGTGGCCTGGATGGGGAATTTTCAGCCAATATTGACTTCAAGGTAGAAGGCAAGGGCGAGGGTTGGTGGGGGGTAGATAGGGAGTGGGAGGAGGGCATGAGGGAATAGAGCTAGAGGAAGGACAAGTGAGAGGGCACAGGAAAGAGGTGACCAGGGGTGAGGGAGGGGGACAAGGAGGGGGAATGTCGCTGGTGTTGAGGGGGCCCTCTGTTTCCCATCTCCACCCCCGAACACCTGAGATGGGCAGGGGAGGGGAAAGGTGGTGAGGAGGGGACAGTGCCAAGCCTGTGGTTTGTGCAGACTTGGCCTGGGGTGGGAGCTATCAGCCAGATATGAGATGATGTCAGCTGATGTAGGTGCAGGGGAGCAAGACTGTGTCCAGGAGGGTGGTGAGCAGAAGGAAGTGACAACTCCTAGAGGTCCTGGGAGGGCCCCAGGGACACAAGTGGGGTACTGGGGAACAGATGTCATGAAGAGGTGGGACCCAGGTCTGACGAGGTGGCCGCAGGCTGAGTTTGCTCATGTGCCCTCCACCAGGAAGAGAAGCAGGCTGGGGTGCTGGGGCTCAACACAAGCTGGGAGCGCGTGAGCACCGAGGTGCGGGACTACGTGTACCGCCAGGAGGCCCGGCTGGAGTGGGCCCTGGGGCTGCTGCACGTGCTGCTCTCCTGCACTTTCCTGCTGGTCCTGCATGCGTGAGCCATAGTCCCCACCCCAGCAGCCCCTCCTCTGCCCCGGACTGGAGCCCTGCCCTGAGGGAGGCTGTAAGGATGGAACCCTAGCACCTATCCTCACCTCTGAATCTGAATATTATTTACCTTTGTCTTTGTTTACACAAAGTTAAAGGAAAAGTGGACATTTTGTCAGAAGAACATTACCCATGTTCCCACTGCCTTAAAAGGCCAACCGTCTTCATTCATCCACCTCCTTCCAGCCTTTATCCCAATACTGATTTTTTTTTTTTACGTTTAGCTTTGACTTTTGATTTTTTCTTGCCCTTCATATTCCCCTTGGCTCTGACTTTGTGCCATTTTTATCTTTCCATTTTGCTTTCATTTTCTCCTGCCTGCTGCGTTGGCAGCGACTTTCCCTCCATTTAGAACAAAGTCCTCAACCCCACCCAGCCCAGTGTCCAGCTGGGCTGCCCCGGGCCTTGCTCTGCTCTAGCTCCCCTGCTGGTCTCTGGACCCTCTATTTCCCATCTCCACTCCCAAACACCTGAGATGGGCAGGGCTTGGGTGAGGGCTGCCACAGGGCTGTTGCTCTGTCTGCCCCTATGTGGGGGGCCTAGAGTGACTGCAAGTGAGTGGGTATGTGTGTATCTAGGGCCCCATGGGAAGACAAAGATGAAGGAGCTCTATTCCTGCCCCCAATAAGCTCATGATCGCCAGGCATGGCGGCTCACTCCTGTAATCCCAACATTTTGGGAAGCCGAGGTGGGAGGATGGCTTGAGTTGAGGTGTTTGAGACCAGCCTGGGTAACACAGTGAGACCTCGTCTCTACAAAAAATGAACAAAATCAGCCAGGTGTGGGGCACATGCCTGTAGTCCCAGCTACTTGGGAGGCTGAGGCAGGAGAATCACTGGGAGGTCGAAGCTGCAGTGAGCTGTGATTGTGCCACTGCATTCTGCATTCCAGCCTGGTGTCAGAGTGAGAGCTTGTCTCAAAAAAAAAAAAAAAAAAAAAAAGCTAATGATCTAGTTGGGATCATGAGACACCCACAAGACAGAGATGGTTCAAGGGCCATTCTATGGATTGGCTTTTGAGACGTGTATGGGAGCTGGGAAGGTGCCCCTTGGAAGGGCAATAACTGGGCTCCAAATGGCCGCAGATGCGGAACGGTGGTCAAGGAAAGAAGGGTGTCCCTTGCGTAAGGCTCCTGGTATCCATGGGATGCAGAGGGCAGAGGCTGGCCTGGAGAACTGAAGTGGGCATGACCAGAACAGTCTGGAAAGCCCTGCAGGAAGACCTGGAACTGGCGGTGGTGGCAAGATGGCCTCAGGAAGTCTGGAGGGAGGGCGGGAGGCCAGGCTGGGTTGGAGGTTAGGGAGCCTGGCCCGGGTAGAGCATGGCAGGAAGATGGCTTGAGATGGTGGGGGAAGGGGAAAGGTGCAGCGAGGCTCAGAGCCAGCTTGTGGAGGGAAGGAAGGAGGCACAGAGTCAAAAGCTACTTCCAGGCTTTCAAGCTGGGTGAGGTCATGCACTGAAAGGACAGCTGGCGGGAGGGCAGGCCCTGGCTCAGGAAGCCCAGGCACCACCTCTGTGAGCCTCTCCACAAGAGGGCACTCACAGTATGTCTTTGCACTTACAGTAGTTTTAAAGGCAAAGATGTGGATTTTTACAGGGCCCCAGAAGCAATAGCATTGAAACTAATGTTTCACACTTTACAGAGTTTGTTTAATGTACTTTTACAGTTTTAAACACATTTGCAGTAATTAACATTTTTTCCTTAGCAAACTGAAGCATTATGTAGGGCTTTGGGAAATACATGGGGGATAGCTATATATGCAGGCATGCACCCATGCACACGTGCACCGTGCTCAAGGGTAGCCAGGGAGAGCCAGGGTGTATTGGGGGAGGATGGAGATGGTGGTCTGGGATGAGTTTTGCCCCAGCACACTTCCAGGAGATATGCTGCAGGCAAAGCCAAGAGGCAGGAATTTGTGAGTCACAGTGGATTAGGTGATTCCTGAAACCTCAAGGAGTTTCCCCCTCTCTGTAACTCTGCTCGATATTCATCCTGTAAGATGCATGCCTGTCCCTACCTCAGATGCACACATGCAACTCCCTCCCAGACAGGCTGACCATGCCCTCCTCTGAGCCCCCACCTCATCCCCTACTCACTTCTGCTATGTCTCACCCATCATGTAGGGGGATGTCTTCCTCTACACAATTGGAAGGCAGGGACAGAGTCTTCTCCCTGTTATCACCATCCCCTAGCAGTGCCCAGGACATAGATGGTGCTCAATGAATGCTGGCTGGTTGGTTGAATGACTGTGCCTCAAGGAAGCCCATGTTTGGGGATAGATGAGGAGAACCTGGAAGAGATGGAGACATCCCTGCCCATCCACCCACAGGTCTTTCTCCTACATGGACAGCTATAACCATGACATTCGTTTTGACAACATCTACATCAGTACCTACTTCTGCCAGATCGATGACCGCAGGAAGAAGCTGGTGAGTGGGCACGGCACTGCCCGGGGATGCCTTGCTGCTGTGTGCCCTGTGTGGGTTCATGCTCCAGGAAGGCAGAGAGGAAAGGGCAGAGGGCCCTTGGGCTTCCTAACTGTGTGGACATTTGTTTTCCAGGGCAAACGGACTCTGCTGCCACTCCGCAAAGCTGAGGAGAAAACCGTCATCTTCCCTTGCAAGCCCACCATCCAGGCCTCAGAAATGAGCAATGTGGTGAGGACAGCATGGGGAGCGGACTCCTGGGTGCAAAGACAGGCCTGAAGGTGAGGGTGGAGGGTAAAAGGCACCAGAGAGTGCTCCGTGCCCAGGCAGATGGCACTGCCCAGCTCTGCCCCTCCTGCTCCTTGGCCAGGTGAGGGAGCTCCTGGAGACACTGCCCATTCTGCTGCTGCTGGTGGTGCTGTGTGGCTTGGACTGGGCTCTCTACTCCATCTTCGACACCATCCGCCACCACTCCTTCCTGCAGTACTCCTTCCGCAGTAAGCCCATCCCCCAGACACATTCCAGGCCCAAGAGACACCCTCTGGAGAACTCCAATGCCTGCACAGCCACCCCACCCTAGTTCTTCCAACTGTGCCTCGTCCTTCTGCCTCTTTTTTTTTTTTTTTTTTGAGACAAAGAGTCTCGCTCTGTCACCCAGGCTGGAGGAGTGCATTGGCACAATCTCAGCTCACTGCAACCTCCACCTCCCAGGTTCAAGCAGTTCTCCTGCCTCAGCCTCTTGAGTAGCTGAGATTACAGGTGTGAGCCACCACGGCCAGCTAATTTTTCTATTTTTAGTAGAGACAGAGTTTCACCATGTTGGTCAGGCTGGTCTCGAACTCCTGACCTCAAGTGATCCACCTGCCTCGGCCACCCAAAGTGCTGGGATTACAGGTGTGTGCCACTGTGCCAGCCATCCTTCTGCCTGTTCTTTTCCCCTTTCTGTGATTCAGCCCCTCCCTGTCCTCCTCAAGGTCAAATGACAGCCCTGCAACCTGACAGCTCTCACAGCAGGGGAGGGGGGCTCTGTACCCCTTTACACTTACAACTGGGAGCAGGGAGGGGTTAGGATTCAGGAAGGGACAGAAAGACTCAGGCAGCTGAGAAGCATTTCTGTGTCTTGACCCCTCCCTGACATCCACCCCCTTAACACATTCCTGATTTCTCCACCTGCCCTGACTTCCCTACCTGTCCTCCTGGCCGCAGGCAGTCATAAACTGGAGGTGAAGGTCGGGGGAGACTCCATGCTAGCCCGGCTTCTTCGAAAAACCATTGGGGCCCTGAACACCTCCTCAGAGACAGTGATGGAATCAAACAACATGCGTGAGTGATGCTGAAAGTTTGGATCAGAGGAATCGAGGGCGGTGGGGCAAGGGTCAAAAGACTCCAAGGTAAAGAGTTAGGGGCCTGGGCCTTGGGTGTGGAGAGATGGGGGTTGGAGCGCTTGAGCTGGGGAAATCGGAGCAGGGAACACATCTGGGCAGGCTTGAAAAAGGGGAGCATGACCAGCTTCAGTCAGAGGAGTCTGGAGGCCAGGGTCTTGTGGCTAGGGGGCCCCAGCCCTCCAGAGCAGCACTGTCCAACAGGACATTCAGTCAAGATAGAAATCTGCAAGATCTGTGCCACATTGGGCCCAGCGGCTACAGTACTGACAGGGCAGTTCTGCAGTGAGGGGCAGGCAGGAGGAGAGCAGGGGAATCAGAGGACTGCACCTCCCACTGGGATGGGAAGTCCAACCCAGGGCTGCCCTGCCCCTTGGCTGGTCCTGACCAGACCCCTGGCCTGCCCCTCCCCTAGCCTGCCTGCCCCAGCCTGTGGGCCTGGATGCCAGGGCCTACTGGAGAGCTGCAGTACCGATTGGCCTGTTAGTGTGTCTCTGCCTGTTACAGGCTTTTGGCTACCGACTCCGGAGGGTCATCGCAGCCTTCTACTTCCCCAAGGTTTGCCCCTCCCCAGACCTCTCCACCCCTACACACCTGCACACACACACACACACCACCCAGCTCCCTACCAACTCCATATTTGGGGGATGCCTTTCTCTATCATTGACCCCCTTCCTGCCCCCAGCGAGAGAAGAAGCGGATCCTGTTCCTCTACAATGACCTATTGAAGAAAAGAGCAGCCTTCACCAAACTCAGGAGGGCCGCTATCCTGAGGCGGGAGCGACAGCAGAAGGCTCCGGTAAGTCCAGGCGTAAGTGCTGCTGCCAGCTCCTGGCTGGGTCTAAGTACAGCAGGCAAGGGGCAGCTCCCTTCAGTCCACCCAGCACCCACCAATGGTCGCAGGCCTACTCGAGCCTGGTAAGTTCTTTTTATTTTTTGAGATGGAATCTCACTGTGTCGCCCAGGCTGGAGTGCAGTGGCACGATCTCGGCTCACTGCAACCTCTGCCTCCCAGGTTCAAGCGATTATCCTATCTCAGCCCCCCACTCCACAAGTAGCCAGGATTACAGGCACACGCCATCACGCCCAGCTATTTTTTTGTATTTTTAGTAGAGACAGGGTTTCACCATGTTGGCCAGGCTGGTCTCAAACTCCTGACCTCAGGTGATCTGCCCACCTCAGCCTTCCAAAGTCCTAGGATTACAGGCGTGAGCCACCAAGCCCAGCCAAGCCCGGTGTAATCTGATGCAACACATGCTGAGGGCCCCAGCCATCCAGCTCCTAAGGTCAGGGCTGTGCCCGTTTCTGAATCCCAGGATTCAGCCCAGCCTAAGACACTCAGTGGACCATTAGGAAGCAGGCAGAAAAGGAGAATGAGATTTAATACAGTCTGCTCATAGAAAAGCAAGAGGGCCGCACAGAAACAGGAGGCCCAAGGCAAAACCAAAGTTTCTACCAGAGGGCTGCAGACCAGAAGCTCAGTGCAGTTCAAGGGACAGGAGGAGGCAGGTGGGCTGGGAGTCAGGAAGGCCTCATGCAGGGGCACATGGTAAGGCACATGGAATCTGAGGAAGCAGACTCCAGTCCATACTCCCTCATTAAGTTGTGTCACCTTGGCCAAGGTCTTCACTGAGCCTCAGTTTCTCCCTCTGAAGAATGGCAAGACTGGAGAGATCTGTAAGGCCTGCTCACTGGAGATCAGCCTAGAGTGGTGGTCAGGTGTGGGACTCCGGTGCCAGAGGGCCTAAGTGTGTATCCCGGCTCCTTCCCTCATTACTATGACAACGGTGTGACCTTGAGCACATGACTTAACTGCTGTGCCTGGGCTTTTGCCTTCCATAAAATGGGGTTAACTACTCCATCTGGTTGTTTTAAGGATTAAATGAGTTGTACTTACATGGTGCTGGCATGCAGCAAGTTCCATATGCATGCATGTTATCATTGGGTGACCCTGGGCAGTGATCACATCTCCAAGCATCAGTTTTCTCACCTGAAAAAAAGGAGATGATAATAACACTATCTGCCTTACATGACAATTGAATTGAATTTTTTTTTTTTTTTGAGACTAAGTCTCACTCTGTCGCCCAGGCTGGAGTGCAGTGGCGTGATCTTGGCTCACTGCAACCTCCACCTCCCCAGTTCAAGCGATTCTCGTGCCTCAGCTTCCCGAGTAGCTGGGATTACAGGCACACACTACCACGCCCGGCTAATTTAGAATTGAAATAATTTATGTACAGTATCTTAGTACAGGACCTGACATTATAAACAATGAGTGGCAGCCATTCTTATTTAATCAGTCCTAACAAAGTTCATAAAAGTGAGACTGTGTTTGCTTAGCTTTTTCCCTAGGGCCTGGATACCCCCAGCCCCCATGACACACAATAGGGGCCAAATGAATGTGTTGTGAAAAAATGAAAAACAAAAAACAAAAAAGAACATGCTGGGATTCCTTGACAGGGTCGTGAAGCAAACTGAATGTGAATGCACAGATGGAAATGTGCCAGACAGTCATTCCAAGCAGAATGTGCAAAGACTCAGTCCACAGGGAATGCGAAGTGCCAGGGCTAGTCTCAGGAGAAACTGGCTCAGAAGAGACAGCTCTCAGGGAGGGCTAAAGTAGGAAAGAGGCTAGAAAGGGACCAGGTGAGGGAAGGCTCTGAAGGCCAAGCCCAAGAGTTCTGCCTGTCTGGCAGGCAGCAGGGCCTCTGGAGTTTCTTGGGCAAAGAGTGGCTGCTTCCTGGGTAAGGTGGCCTGTGGAAAATCCCTGACAACTGTGTAGAGACATGTCGTGAGGGATGGCAGGGAGCATAGTGAACTAGGTTTGTGGTTTGGAATCAGGGCCCCTGGGGTCCAGCCAAGTTGGATTGTTTACTATCTGTGTGACTTTGAGAGTCACTTCACCTTTCTCAACTGTAAAGTGGGGATAGCAACAGTGATAGTCGATCTGGCCTGCTCACTTCTCAGCCTCACTGTGAGAACCAAATAAGATGATTTACAGGAAAGTGCAAATGAGAGTTGTGGCTGATATCCGCTTGGAGAGAGCCTGGAGGGTGCATCCTCCCATTCTCCATCACAGAGTTGGGGAGGGAGGCACCCTCGCCCTCCAGGGGTTTCCTTTGTCCAACCCAGCCTCCTCCAACACGCGGGAATTGTCAGGCCTGGCGACTTCAGACAGGAAACGCTGTCCAGTTCCCCTTCTTTCCCGCCTCGCTCCCGGGCTGGCGCTAACGCCCACCTCCCAACAGCGCCACCCGCTGGCGGATATCCTGCACCGCGGCTGCCCGCTCCTGCGCCGCTGGCTGTGCCGGCGCTGCGTGGTGTGCCAGGCACCCGAGACGCCCGAGTCCTACGTGTGCCGGACGCTGGACTGCGAGGCCGTGTACTGCTGGTCGTGCTGGGACGACATGCGGCAGCGGTGCCCGGTCTGCACGCCCCGCGAAGAGCTCTCTTCCTCCGCCTTTAGTGACAGCAACGACGACACTGCCTACGCGGGGTGAAGAGGCGTCCTGCTCGCTCTTCCGCACCGTCCTTCCCGGTTAATAAAATGCCCTGTACGCTTCACGTGGGTCGGGGACTGGGGTGAGCCGCGCACTGCCTCGCCTGCAGTCGGGAAAGCCTGCCCGCCCGACCTCTCCGAGCCAGGCCGCGCACAGGAGGCAGGGAGGCCGCGAAGCTACTAGGGAGGGGTCCGGACCTGGCGCCGGGTGAAGGCGCGCCGCCCAAGCCGGTCGGACCGGGCACCGGCTCCCACTCCGCACAGTTGCGGGGAAGCGGTAGCGCTGAGCAGCGCGGGCGTAGTGGGCGGTGTCCCCGCTCCCGAGGCACCCGGCGCGCAGCGGGGCGGGCTTTGCCGGGGGCGGAGCTTGGCTTGGGGCCGGGTGGGAGGGGGCGGGCCGGGGCGGGGCCTGGTGGCCGCGCGGCGCTGCTGGGTTCTCCGAGGCGACCTGGCCGCCGGCCGCTCCTCCGCGCGCTGTTCCGCACTTGCTGCCCTCGCCCGGCCCGGAGCGCCGCTGCCATGCGGCTGGCGCTGCTCTGGGCCCTGGGGCTCCTGGGCGCGGGCAGCCCTCTGCCTTCCTGGCCGCTCCCAAATATAGGTGAGTCCTCCGCCTGGAGTGGGTCGGGGGGCGGACTGGGAGGGAGGTGCAGGAAAGTCGGAAGGCATTAGGGTAATGGGGCCGGACGGAGACCCTGGGAGAGCCCAGCCAGAGCGCGGCCCGCCCTGGTCCGCTGTCCTGGGCCTAGGGCCCGGTGACTTGGCGATGGGGTGAAAAGAGAAGGAGGGGGGATGCCGGCGCCCCCTGCCTCCTGCCTGGTCATCCTCTGCGCGGTCCCTGCGGACACTTTCAGGCTCAGGTACCAGGTACCGAGGGGCCTGTCCAGCGCCACTTCAAGATCGTGATGAGAGGGTCGCTGCTCCCCAGGACTGGCATCTTCGCTGCTCTGGGGCCTAGCTAACCGTTCGACCCGGTGCCAGGGCGCTGAGCGGGCATGGCTTGTAGGGTTTAGTGAAGAGGATTCTCTCTAGCCTCTATTCCAGGCCTGGGGCCGCCAGGCACTCCTCACCCTGGTGCTGTTGCCACCAGTGCCTGGCCGAGCGGGAGGGGCCCGAGATGAGCCAGGAGAAGGGAGAATTGGCCAGGAAAGAGGCTGGGACACCAACTCCTCCTTGGAACTTTCACTTCCCGCTGCTGTCTTGGGCCGGGACCGAGAGGGCAGGCGCGGGTGGAGTGTCCGGAGGAGAGAGGGCCATTGTGTGTTGGGGGGGTGGGGGGTGCTCGAGGAGGAAGCAGAGGCTGTAGGCAGCGGGTGTGCCTGACTGGGCATGAGGGTGTTTAGGGAGGTGGGGGTGTTTGCACTGCTCACCCAGAAATGGGCGTTCCTGGCATCTCCGATGTGAGCGAAGGGGAGGGTGAGCGGGCACCCGGCCACAAGGCTTAGCTCAGTCTCGAGAGGGGGCGTTCCTGAAGTGGGGGGAGAGTGATTGGGAGGGAGTGGGAACCGGGGAGGGTCCTGTGAGAACCTGGGATTGGCCGGAAGGGGACAAGGAGGGCCACAGGCTGCGCAAGCCGAAAGTCTTTCTTGGGGACTTGTGAATGGGTTGGTGGGTGGAAAGCCATAAATTAGAGAGACACCCTCTCCTTCCAGTATTCTTCTTTAAGTCTCAGCATGCAATGTGGAAGCCCCTCAGGTACCTAAGGGTCTTGATGGGCTGGGAGCTGGTGGATCTGAGGGCACCTGTCACCCCCAGCCCTGCTGTCGATTCCCTCAGTACTGTCTTGGGGTGTCCTGGGACCTGCAGGTGGCACTGAGGAGCAGCAGGCAGAGTCAGAGAAGGCCCCGAGGGAGCCCTTGGAGCCCCAGGTCCTTCAGGACGATCTCCCAATTAGCCTCAAAAAGGTGCTTCAGGTGAGCTCTCACTCCCCTCTAATAAATAAACGAATCCACACACGCCCCGGTATAGCCAGGTGTCTCAAAGCCAAAGCTTGGCTGAGGAGCTGGTGGGTAGAGCTCACTGTAGTGGGTCTATCCCAGGCCCAGCTGCCTCTCCCACCACACCCCAGCACCTGGCTTCACTTATCTCCCTCTCCCTCTGCACACACGTGTATCTGTCTGCCTCAGCCCCACCCAACCCATCCATCTCCACTGGGGAAATTGTGAAGCCAAACTTGCTTTCTTCATCTCATGTTGTCGGTTTTCTCAGTGGGGGGATTTGGAAAGAGTCAGGACCTTACCAAACCCCCCCCCCCCCACCCCATTCTAAAGCTGAGTCAGAGGAAGGGCTGGGGCTTGTGCTGGGTCCTACACGGTGCTTCCTCTCTGGGCAGGAAGCCGAGAAGGGGTGGCTCAGATACCTTCCTTGACCTCCGCACACAACCCCCCAGAACAATGCTCCAGGCCAGGCAGGGTTTCCTGGCCCCTCCCCTGGGATCCCCCCACCAGTGATCTAATTGCTGGTGCTCTTCTGTGGGCCTGAGGTTTTCTGGTTAGAGAGGCTGGGAGTTGTGGACAGGTCTAGGGAGGTGACCTGCCCTCTGGTGCCCACAGACCAGTCTGCCTGAGCCCCTGAGGATCAAGTTGGAGCTGGACGGTGACAGTCATATCCTGGAGCTGCTACAGAATAGGTAATAGTGATGGTGGCAATAACAGTGACCACATGGCCAACAACTTGTATAGCATTTATTATGTGCCAGGTACTAAGTGCTTGTGCTCATTTAATCCTCATAACAGCCCTATAAGGGATATACTATCATGTATTATTGTCCTCACTTTATACATGAGGAAGTCAAGGCACAGAGAGATTAAATAACTTGCCCCAGGTCACACAGCTAGTATGTGGTGAAAACCAGATTGGAATTCAAATAAACTAACAGAGTCAGTGGCCCAACCAGTATACTTTGCTGCCCCGGGGTCAGGAGTGGAAAAGTTGGCTGCGGGGGTTGCCTGGTCCCCAGCCCCACAACCACCTTCAAGCCTCTGCTTGTCAATGCACGACCTGGGAAGTGGCTTTAGCACTGCCTTCTTTTTCTTCACTCCACAGGGAGTTGGTCCCAGGCCGCCCAACCCTGGTGTGGTACCAGCCCGATGGCACTCGGGTGGTCAGTGAGGGACACACTTTGGTGAGTCAGGCCCTCTTGTGCCATTTTTGGCTTAGGGGAAAGAGGGAGGGGGTGGCTGGAAGGTGAGAGGACACTGCATATTTTTACCGTCAAGCTAGGCTCCTCAGTTCCAGTCCTGGTGTGCTCTCTGAGACAGCACTAATGTTGTTCCCATGCTGCAGGAGAACTGCTGCTACCAGGGAAGAGTGCGGGGATATGCAGGCTCCTGGGTGTCCATCTGCACCTGCTCTGGGCTCAGGTATACTGGGCGGATTTAATGACAGTAGAGAAAGTAAGGAGACCCAGGCATGGAGCTGAAATGTTCTCTGACTTTCTTTTTTCTTAGAGGCTTGGTGGTCCTGACCCCAGAGAGAAGCTATACCCTGGAGCAGGGGCCTGGGGACCTTCAGGGTCCTCCCATTATTTCGCGAATCCAAGATCTCCACCTGCCAGGCCACACCTGTGCCCTGAGCTGGCGGGAATCTGTACACACTCAGAAGCCACCAGAGCACCCCCTGGGACAGCGCCACATTCGCCGGGTGAGGATGAATGGCAGGGGGGTGGGCTTTGGTTGTCTTGAGGGCTGATCCCCAGACACTTAGAGCTATGTGTGCACAGTAACAACAGCTCCTGCGAATGGAGCACTTTCCACATGCTGGGCACTTTGTGAACATTAGCTCGTGTACTCCTCCCATACCTAGGAGGTAGGTGCTATCAATAGCTCTATTTTAAAATGACGAAACCTTACAAAAAGTATCTGGGCATGGTGGCGTGCACCCGTAGTTCCAGCCACTCAGGAGGCCGAAGTGGAAGAATCGCTTGAGCCCAGGAGGCAGAGGTTTCAGTGGGCCGAGATCGAGCCACTACACACCAGCCTGGGTGAAAGAGTGAGACCTCGTCTCAAAAAATAAAATAAAAATAAAATAAAATAAAATCTAGCTGAGACAGATTAGGTGGTTTGCCCGAGGCCCTACAACTAATAAATGGCCTATCCATTTATTAGTTGTATTTGGCTCTTCATCTGTCTTATGATCCCATTTGCAGAGAGCTCTCACTTGGTTATAGATAATACATAGTTACCAATGATGAAGCAATATAAACCCAATTTCCTAATTTGTAAAATGAAGATAATAAAACTACTTGCTGCATAGAGTTGCTGGGAAGATTAAATAAGTCCATATAGATGTAAAGTGCTTAAAACTATGCCAGACCTATGGTAAGTGACAAGAGTTGTTATTGGGATTTTTAAAAATTATTATTATTATTATTATTATTTGAGACAGAGTCTCGCTCTGTCTCCCAGGCTGGAGTGCAGTGGCATGATCTCGGCTCACTGCAAGCTCCGCCTCCCAGGTTCACGCCATTCTCTTGCCTCAGCCTCCCGAGTAGCTGGGACTACAGGCGCCCGCCACTACACCCGGCTAATGTTTTGTATTTTTTAGTACAGACAGGGTTTCACCGTGTTATCCAGGATGGTCTCGATCTCCTGACCTCATGATCCACCCGCCTTGTCCTCCCAAAGTGCTGAGATTACAGGCGTGAGCCACCGCACCCAGCTAAATTACTGTTTTTTAAAAATTTGAAAAAAACCACTGAGTTTGGAGCCAGAAAAGCAGGGGTCTACTCCAACCTTCATTATCTACTTCCTGGTCCTCCTTGGCAAGTTCCTGGGCCCTCTGGCCTTCAGTGGCTCATCTGTAAAATGGGCTCTTCACCCTCCTATTTGACCCACAGAGTAGGAGTGGCTGCCTCTTGGTCAGCCCGGCACAGCTGCTGGCTGCGAGCGGCAGGTTTGCCTGATAATTCTTCTTGTCCATAGTAGAGGCGGGATGTGGTAACAGAGACCAAGACTGTGGAGTTGGTGATTGTGGCTGATCACTCGGAGGTGAGCCTGCTGGCCCCTGCACATCCTCCTCCCCCTGCACTGCCCTGCCGCCTTTCATGTCACCTCTCTTGGCCTACAGGCCCAGAAATACCGGGACTTCCAGCACCTGCTAAACCGCACACTGGAAGTGGCCCTCTTGCTGGACACAGTGAGTGCTGGACAGGGCAACCCCCACCCCAGGCCCCTGACCATGGCAACCCCTCTTCTGAGCCCCAGCTGTCTTTCAGTTCTTCCGGCCCCTGAATGTACGAGTGGCACTAGTGGGCCTGGAGGCCTGGACCCAGCGTGACCTGGTGGAGATCAGCCCAAACCCAGCTGTCACCCTCGAAAACTTCCTCCACTGGCGCAGGGCACATTTGCTGCCTCGATTGCCCCATGACAGTGCCCAGCTGGTGACGTAAGGGCCCCAGACTCAGCCAGAGAGGCCAGTCCTGTCCTGGCCAAATTCACACCCCTTCAGCACCCTACCTCAGCCCCTGAAGCTCTGACCACCGTGGCTTCTGGCCCTGAACTTTAGCCTCTCTGTCCCACAGTGGTACTTCATTCTCTGGGCCTACGGTGGGCATGGCCATTCAGAACTCCATCTGTTCTCCTGACTTCTCAGGAGGTGTGAACATGGTGAGTTATTTCCAGGTCTCCTCCTCATTCCCAATTCAGTTCCTCCCAAGTGTGGTGGCATTTATGCACTGAAACCCCCCTATAAAGTTGCCCAACCCCAAAGCTACAGGTATAGAGGGTGGAGGTACGTGATGTGGCCTTTGCTATCAGGGAGCCCTCGCTTATGGCCAGCTAGTCACAGTGTACACAGTCATCCCCTGTGCAGTCTTCCCATTTCTTAGAGGAGGGTAGGAGGCAGCTAAGGCCCAAAGAACAGAGGTGATCTCCCTCCAGTGAGGGAGGGGGACAGAGCTGAGCTAGAACCCAAGTTTCTGCCATCCAGGCCTGGGTTCTCCTACTTTAGAAGCAATTCAGGAGGGAAGCAGTGCCTGCTGAGTGCCCACGAGGTCAGACGTGGAGGGAACAGGAGCAGAGAGGGTGGTCTGGGCATTGTGGTGGAGGCAGGCTGGGACTGGACCTACAGTACCCCTCCCCAATGACAGGACCACTCCACCAGCATCCTGGGAGTCGCCTCCTCCATAGCCCATGAGTTGGGCCACAGCCTGGGCCTGGACCATGATTTGCCTGGGAATAGCTGCCCCTGTCCAGGTCCAGCCCCAGCCAAGACCTGCATCATGGAGGCCTCCACAGAGTAAGTAGCTGCAGGATGGAGAGAGGGTGTGGGGCAGGGGGCAGGGAGAGGCCCCCAGCCCCAACCTTCCTTGCCACCCTCCCCAGCTTCCTACCAGGCCTGAACTTCAGCAACTGCAGCCGACGGGCCCTGGAGAAAGCCCTCCTGGATGGAATGGGCAGCTGCCTCTTCGAACGGCTGCCTAGCCTACCCCCTATGGCTGCTTTCTGCGGAAATATGTTTGTGGAGCCGGGCGAGCAGTGTGACTGTGGCTTCCTGGATGTGAGCCCCTTTCCCAAAGCCTCGCCCCACTCACTTCTGTACCCTCACCCTGGCTCATTAGCCCTATCCCAGCCTCCTGAGCTCTTGGGTTCTGAAGGGACTTTCCACCCCTCTCCTACTTGCCCTGTCTGTGGGGACAGCACATGGGTTGTTGGGCTCTAGCCCTCGCTTGCTGTGTAGCTTCTGGTCTTGGCCTGTGGGAGGAGGAGAGATTGGAGGGAGGCTCACAGGCCCCACCTGCTCTGATGCCCGGCCCCCGTGCTCCTGCCCACAGGACTGCGTCGATCCCTGCTGTGATTCTTTGACCTGCCAGCTGAGGCCAGGTGCACAGTGTGCATCTGACGGACCCTGTTGTCAAAATTGCCAGGTGGGTAGAGACTAGACTGGCCACCCGGAGCTCACCTGCCGGGGCCAAGGTGGAAAGGGTCATTCTGACCCCCGGCTGGATTTGCTCAGTGCCCACACTGATGCTCATCCACCCTCCACAGCTGCGCCCGTCTGGCTGGCAGTGTCGTCCTACCAGAGGGGATTGTGACTTGCCTGAATTCTGCCCAGGAGACAGCTCCCAGTGTCCCCCTGATGTCAGCCTAGGGGATGGCGAGCCCTGCGCTGGCGGGCAAGCTGTGTGCATGCACGGGCGTTGTGCCTCCTATGCCCAGCAGTGCCAGTCACTTTGGGGACCTGGAGCCCAGCCCGCTGCGCCACTTTGCCTCCAGACAGCTAATACTCGGGGAAATGCTTTTGGGAGCTGTGGGCGCAACCCCAGTGGCAGTTATGTGTCCTGCACCCCTAGGTAAGTGAGGAAACCTGGCTCCTCCTTTGGGTTTCTGAGAGCCTTGGCCCTGCTCCTACTAACTCTGTGTGCCCTTCCCCCTCCCCACAGAGATGCCATTTGTGGGCAGCTCCAGTGCCAGACAGGTAGGACCCAGCCTCTGCTGGGCTCCATCCGGGATCTACTCTGGGAGACAATAGATGTGAATGGGACTGAGCTGAACTGCAGCTGGGTGCACCTGGACCTGGGCAGTGATGTGGCCCAGCCCCTCCTGACTCTGCCTGGCACAGCCTGTGGCCCTGGCCTGGTGAGCAGCCTGGGTGGGCAAGACCAGGTGTGAGAAGGGACATTTGGACCACAATGAACAGAGCCCAGACTTCACCATTCACCAATGTCAAAGGCAGGGACTCCAAGGGAAGTCAGTTTCTTACTTCAGATGGAGCAAAGTCCTATCAACTCACTATGCCTTGGTTTCCCCATCTGTAAACGCAGGGTATGGCCTCAACCTTATTGGCCTCCCAGTCCCATTAAAGCTTTGTGGGAATCTGATCCAGGCTCTTCTCTCCCTGGGTCAGGTGTGTATAGACCATCGATGCCAGCGTGTGGATCTCCTGGGGGCACAGGAATGTCGAAGCAAATGCCATGGACATGGGGTGAGCTGGGATGGGGGAAGTGGAAGGGGAGCAGAGAGCCTCTAGAGAGGAAAAGGATACTGGGCTTTGGAAATAGACATATCTGGGTTTTAATCCTTGCTCTACTACTTCCCAGTTGTGTGACCTCGGGCAGGTTACTAACTTTGCTGAGCTCAGTTTCCCCACCTATCAAATGGCTATAATAATAGTATCCCCATCCAGGGTACATGAGATGAGTATGAAAGCATCTAGCACAGGCTGGGCACAATGGCTCATGCCTATAATCACAGTTTTTTTGTTTGTTTGTTTGTTTTGTTTTGAGACAGAGTCTCGCTCTGTTGCCTAGGCTGGAGTGCGCTGGCGTGATCTCGGCTCACTGCAACCTCTGCCTCCCAGGCTCAAACATTACTCATGTCTCAGCCTCCCTACTCGCTGGGATTACAGTCACCCGCCACCATGCCCAGCTAATTTTTGTATTTTCAGTAGAGATGGGTTTCACCATGTTGGCCAGGCTAGTCTTGAACTTCTGACCTCAAGTGATCCTCCCGCCTCAGCCTCCCAAAGTGCTGGGATTATAGGGGTGAGCCACTGCACCCAGCCAAATCACAGTACTTTGGGAGGCCAAGGCAGGAGGATTACTTGAGGCCAGGAGTTCAAAACCAGCCTGGTCAACATAGTGAGACCCCCATCTCTTTCAAGGAAAAATTTAAAAATTATTCAGGCCTGCTGGTGCACACCTATGCTCCCAGCTACTTGGGAGGCTGAGGCAGGAGGACTGCTTGAGCCCAGGAGTTTGGGGCTGCAGTGAGCCATAATTGCACCACTGCACTCCAGCCTGGGCAACAGAGTGAGACTCCATCTTACTTGCTGTCTAAAATAAAATAAAATAAAACAAAACAAAACAAACACAAAGAAAGAAAGCATGTACCACAGTGCCCAGCACACAGAAGGAGCTCAGTAAGTGTTAGTTTGATCTAATTTGCTCTGGTATGGATAAAGACCCTCCCTCCGGGCTGTCTCTACACACATACCCAGCACAACCCCCAGTTGTAGAAATCTGAGATCTTGAAAAGCTAGAGACAAGGAAATAGTTCCAGAGTGCAGAGCTCCTCATTGCTCGCCTTGTACCTCCTAGGTCTGTGACAGCAACAGGCACTGCTACTGTGAGGAGGGCTGGGCACCCCCTGACTGCACCACTCAGCTCAAAGGTAGCATGGGGGTGGGGGACAGGGGCAGCTGGGAGGGCAAAGCGTCTCATGCTTTATCTTGCCCCCTCGGCCCTCTCTTTCTGACCCCCCTTTGCTGCTGGTTCCCTGAGTCTGTGCCCCTTGAACCCTTCACTCTCCCTGATCACTTGACTTCACTCCCTGCCCCCTGCGCCTTCATGGATCTAGAGTTCTTAGCCCCGTCCTCCCTTAAACCTGACTTCCGCCCACAGCAACCAGCTCCCTGACCACAGGGCTGCTCCTCAGCCTCCTGGTCTTATTGGTCCTGGTGATGCTTGGTGCCAGCTACTGGTACCGTGCCCGCCTGCACCAGCGACTCTGCCAGCTCAAGGGACCCACCTGCCAGTACAGGTATGAGCATCACCTCCCTGCTACCACTTCCTTCAACTGGGGACAGTGCTGAAGGCTGCCTCACCTCTGCAGCCCCTGCCACCTGGTTCTGAGCCCCAGGCCCCTTGGACCTTAAAGTTGCTGACTGCCATACCCCACACCTCCCTTCCCTATATGTGCCCACAGCTTTTTACCTCACAGCTGTGCCCCTGTGGGGTGGCTGGATTGCTAGGGCCATTTCTCCCCAGGAGCCCCTGTGCTGGATAAGTAGGGTCTTCCCTCAAGCTAATAAATACTGCCCCCCACCCCGGCCCTACCACAATTTTACCTAAACCACACATAAGTGCCTGCAAAGGGTTAACCCCACTCAGGGATGGCATATGGTAGAAAACAGGGTCTGAGGCTGGGCCCTCTCCCTTCTTGCCTTTCCTCATGCATAGGGCAGCCCAATCTGGTCCCTCTGAACGGCCAGGACCTCCGCAGAGGGCCCTGCTGGCACGAGGCACTAAGGTGAGTCCTGGATGCCAGAGGAAGGGGACTCCACCTTGGCCGGGCATCCAGCTTGGGCCCTGGGGGGTGCGCATTAAAGGCTCCAGACTCAGAGAAAGGCTAGCACTGCCCAAGAGTCAGTCGAAGGAGTCAGGGCCAGCCCTGCCCTCCCCTCCCCTGGCTACAGGCAGGGAAGCTGAGTCCAGAAGAGTGGGGAGGGCAGCCAGCTGGAGCAGGAGCTGCTGGGCTCCGTCCGCTGGCCAAGAGGTGGCTTTGAGAGGTGGATCTATCCATGCCCCCAGCAGTGACCCCAGGAGGGCACAAGGGCAGTGGTGCTCAGAATGGCCTTCCGTAGGCCCAGGTCACCATGTTAGAAGGGCTGGTGAGCATCCCCACCCTGAGCCCTCTGCTTGGATGATGGGAGTGTGTGCACACCTCCTCCCCACTCGCTCCCCACCTGCATGCACCTGCATAACTGCATGCACAGCACCCACTGCCCTGGGCCCCTGCTGGCCCCCCCTGGGCACTGACCCTTCCCTGCCCACTCTGTCTCTCTGCTTCCTCTTCCCCCTCTGTGCCTATCTGCCCCTCCTGCCCTCTCAGCAGGCTAGTGCTCTCAGCTTCCCGGCCCCCCCTTCCAGGCCGCTGCCGCCTGACCCTGTGTCCAAGAGACTCCAGGTAAATCTGGGCCAGGGCCCGCCCTGAGCCAAGGCAGGTGGGAGGCTTGGTACCCAACTGCAGTTCTCATCCCTGCTCCCTGCCAGTGGTGCTCTTCATTAGGTGATCGGGGTGCCCCTCAGCCTTCAGACACTCTGAGCCCCAGAAGCAGCAAAGGGTGAGCCTCCTGCCTTGGTTTCTACCACCATCTGGTGGTCAATGGCGGGACTGCAGTCGGCCAGGGACTGCGGTTGACCTACACCTTCCTCCCCTGAGACATCAGCTGGCATGCCTCCAAGCCCTCTGCGCATGCCCTCATTCTCTCCTGCCCCCTGGCTGACTTTGCATGTTGACTTGAACCCCTCTGGGGAATCTCTGTGCATGTCCACAGCCCCTGGTTATGCTCTCACAGCCACTGCCCCTCTCTCTGTTCAGGCTGAGCTGGCTGACCGACCCAATCCCCCTACCCGCCCTCTGCCCGCTGACCCGGTGGTGAGAAGCCCGAAGGTAACGGTGGGGGGAGAGAAGGGCACGGCCTCTCCCCCCACCTAGGGCTGTGGTGCTGGTAGCCATGACGGTGGTGGCCGTGGCGAGATGCCCCCTCAGTGCATGAGGGCACATATCCCGGTGGTGCCTTTAATGGTGACAGGTTTGTTTGCAGACAAGGGTGACCGCTGGTGCTGCCCCCAAGCTGGTGTTCCCCAGCACCAGTGCGTTGGGGGTGGGCAACATGACACCCCCCCACCTAAGCCGGCCTCCTGCCTTCTCTCCCTCAGTCTCAGGGGCCAGCCAAGCCCCCACCCCCAAGGAAGCCACTGCCTGCCGACCCCCAGGGCCGGTGCCCATCGGGTGACCTGCCCGGCCCAGGGGCTGGAATCCCGCCCCTAGTGGTACCCTCCAGGTAGGAGGAGCCCTGGGCATGGGTGGGCGGGGCGAGTGACCTGGGGGAAAGGGGCCTCTGACTCTTTTTTCTTGGCTTCCCGCAATCCAGACCAGCGCCACCGCCTCCGACAGTGTCCTCGCTCTACCTCTGACCTCTCCGGAGGTTCCGCTGCCTCCAAGCCGGACTTAGGGCTTCAAGAGGCGGGCGTGCCCTCTGGAGTCCCCTACCATGACTGAAGGCGCCAGAGACTGGCGGTGTCTTAAGACTCCGGGCACCGCCACGCGCTGTCAAGCAACACTCTGCGGACCTGCCGGCGTAGTTGCAGCGGGGGCTTGGGGAGGGGCTGGGGGTTGGACGGGATTGAGGAAGGTCCGCACAGCCTGTCTCTGCTCAGTTGCAATAAACGTGACATCTTGGGAGCGTTCCCCAGAGTTTGTCTGCTTCTAGAACCCGGGTCGCTCCTGCTGCGGTTCCAGGTTTGGCCGCCAGAAGACGCTGCCGCCTCAGACGAGGGCGGGCTGTGTGGGGCGGGAGTACCAGAAAGGGTCGGCGTGTGTCCCCGGGATGCTCGCAGCTTCCCTCTGCCCAGACTGGGGTGGCTTTCGGCGCAATCTGTCAAGCTGTTGGACCTGCCGTCCCCACTCTGACCATTGGCTGGGAAAAGTGGATCTGGCTGATGCTCCCAGAGCCCAGGAGCCAGGGCGGAGCGGGGCGGCGGCTGCTCCCACGATCCCAAGGCCGCGCACCTGCCTCCTCCCCCTCCGCCGCCGCCACCTGAGGGATCGGGAACAAAGGTGCTTTGTACAGGCCGCAACCACCTCATTACTTCGTCTTAGGGACTGGGGCCGCGTGGGCCCCCAGCCCGGAACGAAGGTGTGGAGCGGCAAGGGACAGACGCCAATCCTAAAGTGAGCATCTAGCGCGCCACCTAAGGCTCTTTAGGGAAGGTGGTCCCAGAGCTGTGTTGTCCCTTCCGCTTGCACTGTCCCTAGATGTGCAAAGAAAACGGGGCAGTGCATGAAGGTGGTTGGACAGGCTTCATGGATCCTCGCCCGCGCCTCACTTTCCCCTATCTGGGCAAAGGTTATGTACCCTTATTTAAAATCTTCCAAACTTCTAATAAGGCAGTCTACCCTGCACTAAAGCAGACACGAAAGAGATGACCTCCCTAAAAATACTGCTGTTGGAATACGTCCTTCCTTCCCGCCCCCTCGCAGTGCGGTGCAGCCTCAGTGGAAGCTTTGGCGAACCTGGCGCGCGCTGCGGTGCACAGAGGGTTAACTGGAGTTGGCGCTGGGTGGAGAGGAGGAGACGCGCTCCCATTGGCGGAAAGTTATTCAGGGGCGGGGTCAGTGAATCTCCGTACCCCACTCCCCTTTCCGCAACTTCCCTCTTCACTTTGTACCTTTCTCTCCTCGACTGTGAAGCGGGCCGGGACCTGCCAGGCCAGACCAAACCGGACCTCGGGGGCGATGCGGCTGCTGCCCCTGCTGCGGACTGTCCTCTGGGCCGCGTTCCTCGGCTCCCCTCTGCGCGGGGGCTCCAGCCTCCGCCACGTAGTCTACTGGAACTCCAGTAACCCCAGGTAGCCGGGCCGAACCGGGCGAGCGCACAGCCAAGTCTGCGCGCTCCCGGGCTTTGCGCGCGCCCGCCACCCGCTCTTTGCGCGGCGCCGCCTGAGCCTGGCCGCGCGCCGGGGCTCCTTTGTTTGAGCCGGCGGGGGAGGGGGGAGGGGCGAGGGGCGAGGCGCGCCCTGGGTCTCCCCACAGCCCGCATGTGTTGGGGGGCAGGCAGAAGACCCCAGCCCCAAGGGTTGTCTAGGGGGTCTTGGAGCATGGAGCTGGGGGGGCCTTTGCCCGCACTCCGGGCTCCGCCCCCCTCGCTGCTCTCCTGGCGATCCCCAGCCTCCCGCAGGCTGGAGCTGTGGCTGACGAACTTGAGAGCGAGGGAGGGGGCTTTACTCTTATGAAAGAGCGTGGGTTACTCTCCTGCCCGCTGGGTCTCACCTCTGGCTCTCACTCTGTCTCCTGATCTCATTTGCTATCTCTGCTTTCATCTCTGTCTTTATTGGTCCTTCTGTTTCTTTCCAGTGTCAGCCCTGCCCTTCTAGCCGAATCACCTCTGGGCAAGTCTCGTGACCTTCCTAACCTCATTTATCTCACCTGTATAATGGGCTAATAATACCTAGTACCCTGGGAAGTCTGGCAGGGTAAGTGAGGTCATGTATGTGAAAGAGGCTCAGGCTGTACAGATATAAACTATTATTTCTTTCTCTCTCCTGAGCTGCCTGCCTTTGAACCTTAGTATATTTTACTGTTTCCATCCCCCTCCCCAAGTCTCCCTGCCTCTCCTATTTCCTATCTGTTTTTCTTTCTGATTTTCTACTTGAGACAATCTGTGACTATTCATTTCTTCACTCACTAACATTTATTTATTAAACACATACTGTGTGTGCCCGGCCCTGTGCTAGGTTGCAGGGGATTAACTATATAGATGAGAAGATCAAGACCCTGCCCTCTGGGATTCCACAGACTCTCTGGAGAACAGGCGCAGGCAGGAGAGCCTGCATAAAGACAGGTCATTACAATACCAATAACAAGTGATAAGAGCTTTTGTTGTCCTTGGACTCTGAATTCTCTATCTCTGTCACAGACCAAAGCTTCTGAATCACTTGGAGGACCTGTTAAAAATTCAGGTTTCTCACCCCCCAATCTTAAGGTTTCTGGCTCATTCATTCAATCCACAAATATTTATTGAACACTGTCCTGTGCTGGGCACTTTTCCAGGCACGGGGGATGCAGTAGAACAAAACTTACCAAGGCCCTGTCCTTGCTCAGCTTGCGTTCTAGTAAGTCTGGGCTGGCTGAGCCCAGGAATCTTCATTTCTAATCAGAACTGATACAGGTCGTCCTTGGACCACCCACTGGAGGCTTTTCCTAAGTCATGCTTCGCTGTGTTTGTGGTATGGGGGGTGGTTCATGCAGCATTCAGTACTGTGGGGAGCAGCCCCTTCCAGCCCTTCCCACCTGTGCTGGCTTCCCCAGGCAGCTCCCAAGAGGTGGGGAAGGGAGTCCTGAGAAGACTGAAGACTGGGTAGTATGTGGACTCCCCCCATGCCTGGCACTTGCTCCTCCTGGCCAAAAAAGGGAGGCACCTAGCACCCACTCCCTCATTCTTTTTTTTTTTTTTTTTTTAATTTTTAGAATTTAGAGACAGGGTCTTGCTCTGTCACCCAGGCTGTAGTGCGGTGGCATAATAGCTCACTACAGGAACTTGCGGACTCTAAGGATCCTCCCGCCTCAGCCTCCCAAGTAGCTGGGACTACAGGAGTGCACCACCACTCATGGCCTTTATTTATTTATTTATTTATTTATTTATTTATTTATTTATTTATTTTTTGAGATGGAGTCTCGCTCTGTCTCCCAGGCTGGAGTGCAGTGGCGCAATCTCGGCTCACTGCAAGCTCCGCCTCCCGGGTTCACGCCATTCTCCTGCCTCAACCTCCCAAGTAGCTGGGACTACAGGTGCCCGCCACCACGCCCGGCTAGTTTTCTTTTTATATTCTTAGTAGAGACGGGGTTTCACCGTGTTAGCCAGGATGGTCTTGATCTCCTGACCTCATGATCCGCCCGCCTCAGCCTCCCAAAGTGCTGGGATTACAAGCGTGAGCCACCGCGCCCAGCCTATTTATTTATTTATGGTAGAGACAGTCTCACCATGTTGCCCAGGCTGGTCTTGAACTCCTGGCCTCAAGCGATCCTCCCACCTCGGCCTCCCAAAGTGCTGGGATTCAGATGTGAGCCACCACACCTGGCCTCCCTCATTCTTTTTTTACCGTGACATTCTTTTCACCCTTGGGTTGAAGTCAGTCTAAAGGACAGTGTTCCTCACTTTATATCTGTTTGAGGAGACCTTTCCCAACCCCTGTTTCCACCTCTGTGTCTGCAGCTGCACTGTGTGCAACTGTACCTCCTGCCTCTCTGCCCAGCTTCTTCACAGCATCCATCCACCTGACATTGATCAAGCCTGGTGCTATACCACATTGAGTGTTGGGCACTGGAGCTAGAGAGGTGTGTGGCAGCTCCAGCCTGTAGGACAGGGTGTGGTGACCCTCCTTCTCACATCTAAGCTGTGTGGTTATGGGCACTGCAGGTCTTAGCCTCTCGGAACCTGTGAATCGATCATCTCATCCATTTCTTGCACTCTCTTTGTCTCTCAAGAGTTGTCAGTCTGGGAACCTCGGGCCTTCCTGAGCTGCTCCATCGCACATGGGTGGAGGAGAGGCTGGCAGGGGCCTCTGAGAAGGGGTGTCTCTGGCATCCATGGCCATGGCGTGGTGCCCTCCACTCCTCAGCCCACCCCTGCGTTATGCCTGCAGGTTGCTTCGAGGAGACGCCGTGGTGGAGCTGGGCCTCAACGATTACCTAGACATTGTCTGCCCCCACTACGAAGGCCCAGGGCCCCCTGAGGGCCCCGAGACGTTTGCTTTGTACATGGTGGACTGGCCAGGCTATGAGTCCTGCCAGGCAGAGGGCCCCCGGGCCTACAAGCGCTGGGTGTGCTCCCTGCCCTTTGGCCATGTTCAATTCTCAGAGAAGATTCAGCGCTTCACACCCTTCTCCCTCGGCTTTGAGTTCTTACCTGGAGAGACTTACTACTACATCTGTGAGTGGCCAAGGGCACACTGGACACCTCTTGTGTACCAGAAGGGTAGGGAGGGGGAAGGAGAGGCCTGGAAGGAGGAGGGGGCTGGGTCTCTAATGTACATCGGGTTGAGGTATGGGCTGAACTCAGGACTGAGGAGGGAAATGTCTAGAAAGGAGAAAGTAGGAGGAGCTAGGAAAGGGGGCCAGGGAGATGAGAGGACTGGATGGGGCCTGATACATGGGTGTGGCCCCAAAGTAAGGAAACGCTTTCCAGGGACCTGGAGAGAAGAAAACCTGGGAGGGTCTGAAACAGTCTGAGGCATACAAAGGGGTGACTCCCTGTGCTAACTTTTTCCCACTTTCCCACTACCCAGCGGTGCCCACTCCAGAGAGTTCTGGCCAGTGCTTGAGGCTCCAGGTGTCTGTCTGCTGCAAGGAGAGGAGTAAGTGGGTTGGGAGCATGGACCCTACTGGCTAATGTGGGGCCTTGGGAAGGAGGGAAGGAGTGAGAAGAATCTAGGAGGATCAGACTCCAGGGGTCCTGGTGAAGCTTCAAGCTGTGGTCTCTTCTCCCCATTTAGCCTTGAGGGAGCTTCTACTGCACCATCCTCTCCCCACTTCTGTTTTGTTTTGTTTTGGTTTTAGACGGAGTCTCGCTCTGTTGCCCAGGCTGGAGTGCAGTGGCTCGATCTCAGCTCACTGCAAGCTCCGCCTCTCTGGTTCACGCCATTCTCCTGCCTCAGCCTCCGGAGTAGCTGGGACTACAGGCACCCGCCACCACACCCGGCTAATTTTTTGTATTTTTAGTAGAGATGGGGTTTCACCGTGTTAGCCAGGATGGTCTCGATCTCCTGACCTTGTGATCTGCCCACCTCAGCCTCCCAAAGTGCTGAGATTACAGGCATGAGCCACCACCCCCAGCTCCCCCACTTCTTTTTTAAGAGACAGGGTCTTGCTGTGTTGCCCAGGCTGGAATGCAGTGGCACGATCATACCTCTCTGCAGCCTCAAACTCCTGGGTTCAAGCGATTCTCCTGCCTTAGCTTCCCGAGTAGCTGGGATTACAGGCATGTGCCACCACAACTCACAACTGGCTAAATTACTTTTTATTTTTTGTAGAGATGGGATCTCAGGCTGGCCTTGAACTCCTGGCCTGTGTTGCCCAGGCTGGTCTTGAACTCCTGACCTCAAGAGATCCTCCTGCCTCCCAAAGCACTGGAATTACAGGCGTGAGCCACCATGTCTTGTGTGGCCTCACTGCACACTTTTTTTTTTTTTTTGAGACAGAGTCTCGCTCTCGCTCTGTCGCCCAGGGCTGGAGTACAGTGGTGCGATCTCAGCTTACTTCAACCTCACCCTCCTGGGTGCAAGCAATTCTCCTGCCTCAGTATTCCGAGTAGCTAGGACTACAGGTGTGTGCCACCCAGCTGATTTTTTTTTTTTTTTTTTTTTTTTTTTTTTTTTTAGTAGAGACAGGGTTTCACCGTGTTGGCCAGGCTGGTCTCAAACTCCTGGCCTCAAGTGATCCACTCGCCTCAGCCTTACAAAGTGCTAGGATTACAGGCGTGAGCCATCACACCCGACATACTGTACACTTTTTAAAGCTGGGCCAAGAGAACAGGGTGTCCAGGGGCAAGGCCCTTCAAGGTCTTAGCTGAGTTGGTTGTCTCTATTGGCAATTTTGGGGAGGCTTGGAAGTTGGGGCTTAGAAAGGATGAGGTCATAGATCATGGGAAGGGAGTGGCTGGTTTGGGAGACCCTGGAGGATGGGAAAGGAGGGAACTGCTAATGGGAAGGGGAGGAAGGAGGATGGTAAAGTGGGAGGACTGATCAGTGCTACCCCCTCCCCCTCACAGAGTCTGAGTCAGCCCATCCTGTTGGGAGCCCTGGAGAGAGTGGCACATCAGGGTGGCGAGGGGGGGACACTCCCAGCCCCCTCTGTCTCTTGCTATTACTGCTGCTTCTGATTCTTCGTCTTCTGCGAATTCTGTGAGCCAAGCAGACCTTCCCTCTCATCCCAAGGAGCCAGAGTCCTCCCAAGATCCCCTGGAGGAGGAGGGATCCCTGCTGCCTGCACTGGGGGTGCCAATTCAGACCGACAAGATGGAGCATTGATGGGGGAGATCAGAGGGTCTGAGGTGACTCTTGCAGGAGCCTGTCCCCTCATCACAGGCTAAAGAAGAGCAGTAGACAGCCCTGGACACTCTGAAGCAGAGGCAAGACAAACACAGGCGCTTTGCAGGCTGCTCTGAGGGTCTCAGCCCATCCCCCAGGAGGACTGGGATTTGGTATGATCAAATCCTCAAGCCAGCTGGGGGCCCAGGCTGAAGACCTGGGGACAGGTCGATTGCTGGACCAGGGCAAAGAAGAAGCCCTGCCATCTGTGCCCTGTGGGCCTTTTCCCTGGGGCAGCACCTTGCCCTCCCCAGGGGATCACTCACTTGTCTTCTATGAAGACGGACTCTTCATGAGGTTGAATTTCATGCCAGTTTGTATTTTTATAAGTATCTAGACCAAACCTTCAATAAACCACTCATCTTTTTGTTGCCCTCCCCAATCTACTGCCCTCAGGCCACTTCCCTGATAGCAGGACTCCCTGTGGCCTGGGCTCTCAGCTTAGCTTGGCCTGACCTCCATGCCAGCTGTGCTCAGGCCATCCATGCCAGGCCTCAGTGGGCACCCCTCTGGGCAATGTGGGGTGGGTGCCAGCAGCAGCTGTGGAGCTTGGCACCCTCTCTCACCTCCCCAGCCGGCTTCCTGTGCTGAGGAGGGGCAGATGCTCCTGACAGCCCATCCGCTTGGGGCCCTGCCCAAGTCCTGGTAGCACCAACCAGGGCGCCCAGCAAAAGCAAAGGGTAGTATTAATAGCATCTGGGTTTCAGAATGCCTGGGTCCCTGAGAGCTGGTCATCCCTCCCCCTCCCCAAGGGCACTCTGGGCGGTGCCTGGCCTAGAACTGGGAAGGTGGGGTCAGATCAAAGCCTCCGTCCCCAGCGGCCTCTTTGTTCTTAGCTTTTATAAGGAGGAGGAGGAGGTGGGGCTGAGGAGGGAGGGCTCCCTCTGCTCTCAGCCCACACTGTCTCTTCCACCTCTGGTAGGCGAGGCTATGATCCCCACAAGGCCAAGTGGGGCCCTCTTTCTGAATGGTATCCTAGGTGGTGCCTGGGTAAGGGGCGCCCCTTCCCCTGCAGCTGTACTTTACCCGCCCTGGTGCCCCGCAGCCTCCACTGGCACGGTGCCGGCCCGCCTGGCACCGAGCCAGCCATCGATAGGTGGATGTTGTGCTGATTAGCTCGGCCCGGCTGCGGCAGCGAGAGGCAGCGTGTGAACATGGTTACGGGGTGTGGGGGAGACGGCGGGGTGGGGGGAGGGCGCTAGAGGTCCAGAGACCGACACAGAGGTGCTAGGGTTTTCTAACCCCTCCCCCACCCCTTTGCACACCTAGGTCAGATCCCGGTCTCTCTCGGAGGGGGCGGGGGCCCTATCCCCCACCACCATGCACCCATTTCGGCTGCCATCGTTCATGTTAATTCGATTGCTCTAGCTGAGGCCTTGGGTGGAGGGCAGCACCGCGGGCAGAGCGGACTCCAGTCTGTCCCTTCCCCCAATTCGAGGCCACCTTTCAGAAAATGCCTCTTGTAGGTAGGTGCGTGTATCAGGGCCTTCACCCCAAACCTTGATCTTTAGCGGGGGCGAGGGTCTGGGACGCGAAGGGGAGGGTGTAGTCGGCTGAAGGAGAAGCTATGGGCTAGGTCTTCAGGTCCTGGGTTCAAGTGTTCAAGTTCCATCTTTACCGTCATCCAGGAGGGTGTCTACACGTTGCCATGGAAACTGGCTTTACTGCTACCTCCGCCCCTCCCAAGTGAAGCCATAGGCGGAGTAGACTGGGAGCGACTAGTTAGCAGCCCTTTCCCTGGATTGAGAACTGTGGGGGTCTCACCCGGCTCCCAGCGGCCCCAGGCCAGCCTCCTTTTCGCAGAACCAGGCGGGCGCGCTCGCTCCCGCGGCTGGGGCTGGCGCGCGGACGCGCCGCTGATAACGCATGTGCGAAAGAGACGCGGGGCCCAGTCAGCTTTCTCCGCACTCAGACGCACGCCCTAACTGTCGGGCGCTCCCACTTGACACGGACACACGCCCCTGCCGGCCGCCCAGCCCCTTGCAGGTGCAAGGGCGGATGCCTCAGCGACCACGGGAGCCGGGCTGGGGAGGTTGGTGGGGGGCGGGGGGAGTCTTAAACTTAGGCCCGCCCAGCCACAGGCGCTCAGGCCCAGCCGGCCTTCCCTATACAACTTTCCTCATAGCATGCGCGGGCGGCTGATTCAGTCCCGGGGCGCGTCCCCATGGAAAGCCAGGGCTGAGTCCACTCATGGGGCCGAGACGGGCTGCAGGCGCTGGGAGGTCTTCCAGGCACCGGGCCTTACCCACGAGAAGTCGAGGCGTGTTCCAGGGCGCAGTTCCAGGAGGCTGGGCAGGCCTGCAAGTTTTGGGGCGTCACCGATCTCCCCTAAACTCAGTAGCGCTAGGCGGCTTAGGGTGGGGCCCTCAATTTGCTGGGCCTGCCCTAGTCTCTCCCGAATAGATGCGAAAACTCCACTCATCTTTACCTCGCCCTGTCTCCCTGTTTGAGAGCCTGAGAGTCTCTGCGACGGGCAATCCTGCTCCACACTTTCTGGGGTTTCAAATCTCCCTTTTCTTCTCCAGATTCAACCCTGAAGTTTTGTTCTTTTTCTGTCACCTCCCCCCTTTTTCTTCTTCCCTTTTATTAGTTCCTTCTTTCCTTTTTCATTCACTCAGCACATTGTGAGCTTCCAGCGCGCCTTTCTTTCAGTAGGCCAGACGCTAGCTGGGGTCGTCGGGGGATCCCCAGCGGTGACGCCATTGAAAAGGGTGCGCTCTGGCTTCCAAATAGCCAATAGAATCCCGGGGCCTGGGGCATGAGGTCATCAGCGGTGATGCCCATTGGTTCAGGTCTGGAAGTGAGGAAGGGGTCCCCATAGCAACCGACGGTGCGTCCGAGTGCAACCTGGAGAGTAATGTTTGCCTGAGCTGCTGTGGCAGCTTGGGTGGGTGCTTGGGATGGGGTGAGGAAGCTGGGGTGGAGCTCAGCTTCCCAGGTCCTGCAGCCCTAGCCCAAGCAAGCTCTTATCTCTCTTGAGATCCTTTTTCGTTCTCAAAGTAATGGTCAGCACCACTTAACGCAGAAAGATTAGGAGTAGGTTGGTTATTGGCAACAGCATTGGGGTGCAGAGCTGCTGCCACCAGGAATGTCAGTACTGAGATCCTGTGTTCATCTGCATATCGTCTGCATCTCATTTGCATTCTCTTCATTTAAGGTCAAATTGGGCAGACATCTCCACATCCCCAGCCCTGTCGCCTGTCTGTTTCTGGAATCTATCCCTGAGTGGCTCTGTAATCTGTCCCTCAGTTCTCCACCTTCATACCCCACCTCTCCCATTCTCCAGTGTCTGTTGGGGACGGATGGGGCAAAGCCAGCAACAGAAGAAAGGATAAGGAGTTTGTTCTCCCGCTGGATGTTTGGTGACAGATGGGGAGTACTAGTCTATACTGCTTGGCCCCGGCTGGGTGGAGGGTCTCCAGGGCCAAATCACCCACATGCCTGGCGGGGTGCTGGAACTAGGGATGCCTGGTTCCAGCAAGGGGCAGGCCTGCCCACCTGTCTGGTGCCAAGGCAGCTTCCTTCCTCCAATTAAACACTAATGAGGTGTCATTAACCCTTACCTTGCCTGCCAACCCTCAGGTTGAACTCAAATTCGTGGTCTCACACTGAGGGAAGGGAAGGAAAGGAGGGCTTCTGGAGAGCTGAGTGGTGGTGAGGGGACCAAGAGAAAAGAAGGCAGGGTCAGAAGCCTGAGTAGCATGCACGGTTTTCTACTGTGGGCTTCTGAAGGATTCTAGAAATGGGAGTCCCACTGTCAGAAGGCATTTATTCTTTTGTTCCTTGATTCAACAATTATTAAGCACCTCACTACTCCTACTAAGTAAATACTAGGCTGCATACTAGATGCTGGGGACACACACTTGCATAAGACAAGATCGCTTCCCTTAAGGGATCTTCAGATTACCCAAGGAGACAGACTGGCCAATGAGTAATTATAATGCAAAGTGAAAATGCTAATATAGAGCTATATACGAAGTGTTATGGGAACACAGGGAAAACGGGTCATCAGAGAAGGCTTTGATTTTGAAGGACAAAGTATATGGCAGAGAGGGGATGTGTAGAACTAATAATGTCTGTGGGTTTGACACAGTGTGGGTCTATGTTTGGATGTGTTTTCAGGACTGCTGGTGTCTGCCCTCCCAGAGCGGCATGTTTTGCATCCGTATGTATGTGTGTGAGTTAGTGTATGTGTGTTGTGTCTGGAATCCCTTCTCCTGAAACACATTGTGGTTTTATTACAGATCAATGTTTGCTGTGAAGCTCTTCAGCAGATTGGCCTGAACCTGCCCAGCCCAGGGGAGGGGAAGTGGAGACTGATGTTGGCTCCTTGGGAAAGGGTGGGCAGGCACCATCTTCACACCTGGGGGCCCAGACCCCTGGCTCCCAAAGTGGCAGCAGGCTGACCAAAGAAGGTGAAGGGTTGGGCCCCTGGCTTTGTAGGGTGTGCCCAGGCTCTAGTCCCCTCTGTCCCTAACTCCTCAGAGGAGACATGGGGGTTACCGCTACCACTCCCCACCAAGATCTCAGGCCCCCTCCCCCAACCTGTTCTTCTTCTGTCTGTGGAGGAGCAGGCCAGCTCAGACCTGTTTGCTGGCTCTCCCACAGGGAGCGGATCCTTTCCAGGGGACACAGAGGGCTGGGGAATGCTGGGACCTACTGGGAGGCCGCCAGATACTCCACCCTGGCCCTCTGAGGCTCTCTCCATCCTGGATTCTCCCCACCCACTCTGGGGTGCCACTCTTCTGGTTTTTGCCCAGACACAATCATTTTTGTCAAGGAAGCCTTCAACCACTAGGCAGAGGGTGGGGGCCAGAACTCTGGCAGGGAAGACTTGTTGGGGGTGGTGGTTATGATGCTACTCAGAGACCTCTGCTCCAATCTCTCTGCCTCCTTGCAGCCACTTCCTTCCTTCCTTTCTTTTTTAAGAGACAGGGTTTCACTCTGTTGCTCAGGCTGAAGGGCAATGGTGTGATCATTGCTCATGGCAGCCTCAAACTTTTGGACTCAAGTCATCCTCCTGCCTCAGCCTCCCAAAGTGCTAGGATTGATTACAAGTGTGAGCCACTGCATGGGCATTGCAGCCACTTTCTTTTATTTATTTATTTATTTATTTTTGAGACAGAGTCTCGCTCTGTTGCTCAGGCTGGAGTGCAGTGGCACGATCTCGGCTCACTGCAAGCTTCGCCTCCCGGGTTCACGCCATTCTCCTGCCTCAGCCTCCCGAGTAGCTGGGACTACAGGCACCCGCCACCATGCCTGGCTAATTTTTTGTATTTTTAGTAGAGACGAGGTTTCACCATGTTAGCCAGGATGGTCTCGATCTCCTGACCTCGTGATCCTCCCGCCTCAGCCTCCCAAAGTGCTGGGATTACAGGTGTGAGCCACCCGGCCATTGCAGTCACTTTCTAGAGAGCTAAACTTTGGTGAAAGTCTGGATTTAGGAAGACTTTTAAGGCTTAAGGAGAGTCTCTGGGGTCTGAGGAGAAGGTCAAGGTCCCTTCTTCCACACTGTCAAGAATAGAGACTTCCTTTTTTGACTGTAACCTCCTCTTCTCATTCCATCTAATCTTTTCCTACCCCTTGCATACTTTCTAAGCCCTAGGTCACATCTCTCCCTATGTTAGCTGTTAGGAAAGCTTGGAAATGAGGGAGAACAAATGGAAAAGAGTCTGGGCTGGTCTAGGTGGGCAGACCTCAGTAGATAACCTCTTAATTATAAGAAACCCTCCATTAATCCAGTGCCTCTGGGATCCTAAACACTGTGTTAAGTGCTTCCCAGGTATTATGGATCTTAATCCTCTTAACTACCAGCTCCCTGAGGTGGGGCATTATTATCCCCATTTTACAGATGAGGAAGCAGTCTCAGAGAAGTTGAGTGACTAGCATAGTTAGCGAGTGGCAGAACTGGAATTCGAATCCAAGCCCAGGCTGTTCACTGCTAAGCCAATACTGCTGCCTCTCAGCTTTTCTTGAAATACATTCAGAGGACTCACACACACCTCTAGTGTAACACCCCAGAGCTCCAGGCTTCTTGGCTTGCTGGACTCATTAGAGGGATCAGGACATGACCAGAATCAGAGGTGATTACACCCCAATGCCACCCACCAAGCCCTGCATCCTAATTTCCTGTGAACTGGACCACATACCAGTGCTTATGTTCCCTGCTGTCAGGCTTGTATGTAGTTCCATGTCAACTCACAGACGTTAGAGCATCCTCAGAGCCATGCCGACACACACACACTTGCTGGGACCCAGGTTTCCTGGTTAGGACGGCACCAACAGCCTGCCTGGGCTGGGGCCACACACACGGGCCCTGTGCAAGGTGCAGAACCTGTGAATATTTCATGCCTGGAGCTGGCAGCTGCCTCTCTTGCTCACACGTGTGCCTGATCTTCCCTCTCACAGGCTCCTTGTTTATTTGTTTAATGAATTATTTATCCATGGCCCCGCTTCCCTCCTGACCTCCCCCTTCCCCAGGCCCTAGCCTCCATGATTTATTGAACACAGCTCAGCTCTGTGGTTGCCACCTACTGTCCCAGACGCTGCCTTCGGCCACACAGCCTGAGAGCTCCCTCTGTCCCACACCTGCTCAGCTCCCTGCTTCCTTGGCCCCTGAGGGATGGAGGAGAGTGAGGCACCATGTCAGAGTCCTCCCAGGAGCTGAGCTCAGTGTCCCGGGAGAGATCTTGGCAGCCAGCAGTGTGCTAGCAAGCCCAAGAGTCAGAGCCTGCAGGTAAGGAGGAGGAGGCCTGAAGCCCTGAAAACAGGACCAGCCCCATGGAGGGAGCTCCAACCTCCACAGAGGCCCTCATCCAACAGAGAGGTCGTTCAGGGCCCAGGCCTTAGACACCAGTTTTTCACACTATAGGTTGTGATCTATAGTGGGGATGGTAAAGTCAAGAAGTCAATTTTATGGGCTTCAACCAGCTTTTTATTTTATTGTTTTTAATTTTAAAACTAGAACAGAGGAAAATATCATCGTGCATCCTCTGTAGTAAGGGTAAGTATTGTTTCATGAAACTTATTATTTCAGTTAAATGTGTGTGTGTATGAGTGTGTGTGTATGAGTGTGTGTGTGTGTGTGTGTGTGTGACTGAACTGCAGTGCAAAATATAATCCTACTGTGGTGGATCACAGTCAGAAACAATTTGAGTTACATTTATACCCAAACGTCTAGACCCCATCAATAAGGCCTGGGTCCTTCCATGACTCACATGCCACAGAGAGAAGCCCAGGCCTTTAGATTAGGCCCTGGGCATGTGGACAGTGGCTCAGATCTTATACACAGGGACTCAGTCCCTAGAGAAGCCCAGACCTTATGAATAGAGGCCTATAGACAGACATAGGCATTATAGCTAGAAGCACATATCCTGTAGACAGAATTGCCATATATGGTCATATAGTTTGTGCATGGCACAAAGGAGCCACCCAAGGGGAAGGGGACATCGGCCCAAGCTCCCTCACTAAGACAGGGAGCCACTAGAGCCACCTCTCACTGAAGGAGGCAGCACCTTTGTTTTTGCACAAAGGCACCACTTGCCAAGAGATGCACCCTAGGGACTGAGCCTGCAAAGAAGGGTCCTTTTTCTAATTCACACAAAGGCCCAAATCAGCTAGCAGCCCTATGGATAGAGGCCCAGGTAGACAAAGCACTAGATCCCACGGACACAGGCCTAGCTAGGCCCTATAAAGAGTATCTCAACTTCAAAACCAGAGGCTTCGACTCCATAGAGAGAGCTGCTTAAATCCTGTAGAGAGGGCTCCGGATTCTAAGAGAAGGGCTCAGTTATTATTGGAGGGTGGGTGTGGGGGTGCCAGATTCTAAAGAGTACCCAGGCCCTATAGAAAAAGGCCCAAATTCTTAAGCAGAACCTAGATTCGATAAACAGGGATATATCTTTTCTAAAATGGAATTTAAAGTCCTAGACCAAACCAGCAAGTTCCTGTTCACTATCAATATGAGCAGCGTCTCTGCCAACTGTGGGCCCCTACAGAGAGAAGCTGCCCTTGTGGAGCAGGGAATATGATTTGAGTGGAGGGGGCTGGGATTTGTGGCACCTGGAGTAAGCAGGTTAGCATCATTTGGGTGAAACAAATCTCTCTGGGGATGAGGAGCCTGCAGGGAGGGAGAGCTGTTTGCAGAGTCCCCCACTCCCATCCCAAGGGGCCTAATTTATTTGCTGGCTCCTGAGAAGGAAGAAGAGATCTCCTGGGGTGGAGAGGAGCCCAGAGAAAACAGAGACTACTCTCACCTGGCAGCAGTCAGACACTGAACCTATTCTGGATAGCACCGCCCCTGCCCCCAGCCTAGCACCTGAGGCTGACTTGTGGTCAAGACTCTGTCCTGCCACAGATAAGCAGATAGGGAGGTGCCTGCATGTTCCCTCTCCTGAAGGATAGAAGCAAAGTAGCAGCATGCCTGTCTCCCTGGACACAGGTGGTTGGCTTGCGTTCTGAGAACCCAGTCAGGCCTGGTTCCGCCTGGTCTGGGCCTCTCCAAAAGAGAAGAGATAAGGGACAGATAGCCCTAGGTCTGGTTTCTGAACCCTTTTCCTGAACTTCTACTTCCTAGAAAGAGAGAAGAGGAGAGCAAGGAACTGTGTGTGTCAGGATGCATGTGGGTTTGTGTGTGTGTTGTGTGTGGATGGATATAGGTGTGTGCTTGGGTGTCTCTGTGCCTGATCTCTAGCAGTCTGATAGTACCCTTTCCTATGTGTGTCTGGAAGGTGTACCTGTGTGTCCATATGTCTGTGTCAGGCACCTGTGTCTCTATGTTCTCTGCCTTTGGGTGACTGTGCCTTTTTTCCTGAATGTGTGTGTGTGATGTGTGTGCTTGGGTGTCACTGTGAGGACAATGACTGTGGTGAGAGCTGGAACACAAGGTGCTCTGCCCTCTGACTCAGGATCAGCGTCTCTGAGAGTAGGAGTGAGAATCCCTGGGGACAACCCTGGCTGCCCCGGGAGGGGCCCTGCCTAAGTGCCAGTGAGGAATCCTTTGTAGGTGTCCAGGGAACCCTGCTTTGCCCCAGCTGACTCTCTCCTTGACCCCCTCCTGCGCCTTGGGTTCTGGACCACTGAAGACTCTTACAGCTCCCAGTATTGACATTCTCAGGGGCTGAGCTCTTTTACTCTGCCTCCAAGATAAACAAGCCTCATGCTCAGCTGGGGGCTTCAGGTCACCAGCTGTCAAAGCCTTGGTGCCAGCTGAGGACTTCTCCACCACCCTTCTGTGCCCACCTGAGTCCTCATGCACACGGGAAAAGGGGGCATGGACGCAGCAGAGGGCCACAGTTTTCAGAAGGGAAGGGGTCCAGCCCTACTTACTAAGAGGTCCTGGATCCCCAACTTCTTCTCAAGTCTTCTCCTTCCCCTCATTCCCAGAGATGATTGGGCTTCCCTGAGATCGAGATCCTTATCTTGGGTTCCCAAATCCTTCTGGGAAATTCAGCCTGGGGAGCAAAAGACCCAGGACCAGTTGTAGCAAACTGAACTCAAGAAGGAGAGACGAGGCACGCGCTGGTCTTTCCCGAGGGGGCAGTACGGTCCCCACCTCCCACGCGTCGCGCGCTCCCGACCGGAGCGGGACGGGGCCTGTCGGGGGCGCGCCAGGGGCGGGGCTTCGGGGGCGCGCCCAGGAGGGCGGAGGGAAGGGCTGGGGGCGTGGCCTAAGGCTGGGGGCCGACGGCGGCGGCAGCAGGGAGCTGGGAAGCGGAGAAGCCGGGAGCGCGGGGCTCAGTCGGGGGGCGGCGGCGGCGGCGGCTCCGGGGATGGCGGCGGCTCCGCTGCTGCTGCTGCTGCTGCTCGTGCCCGTGCCGCTGCTGCCGCTGCTGGCCCAAGGGCCCGGAGGGGCGCTGGGAAACCGGCATGCGGTGTACTGGAACAGCTCCAACCAGCAGTGAGTCGGGGACCCTGGGAGTCCGCGCGTCCCGTCTCAGTGAGAGGGGGAGCCGGTGGGCCCGAGAAGTCCTGGGGGATCCCGGGGTGGGAGTCCTGGGAGACCAGAGCTGGGGGCTGGGAGGGGACGGAGAGGGGGACGCACTCTGTGGGCGTCTAGGAAACTCGGGGGTGTCTGAAGAGGCTGTTGGGCTATAGTAAGGAGCGCTCGGGCCGTGTGGAGGAGGCTGCTGGAGGGGCCCCCCACCCCATCTTGGCTTCTCTCCGCACCCGCCGCTGGAATAGCATGCCCCTGTCCCATAGTCCCACCAGTTGGGCTGGGGTTTGGGGGTAGCGCTGTGCTGGGGATAGGCCGCTGCATTTTGGGGCCCAGGGATGACCTGTTTTTGGCCATGAGGGCTTCCAGGGGTTCTGTCTAGGACTCCTGCTTTTAAAAGTGGGGTCCAGAGCTGAGGCAGGGAGTCCGACCGAGCACCTCCCTAGAAGGAAGGCGAATGGGTTGTCTTGGTTGTGTGGATAAGCCCGGCTAGGGTGAGCTAGGGCTGGGTCGCTGAGTTGGGGGGCCCTGGGAATGCTGCTTGGTTAGGATGGGAACGTGGGGTACCGGCGAGACGGAAGGCGGCAGAGAGATGTCGGTGTGTCACACACGCACACACACGCCCGGGCTGGGGACGGCGAATGGCTCCAAGTGTGAGCGGGCGTGCGCGGCTGTCAGTGTGCGTGTGTGTCTGAGTGTGTGATTTGTGTGTCTGCGTCGGCGATCGTCTGGGGGTGGGAGCGGGCTGCGGGTCGGGGAAGGGGCTGCGGTCGCTGTCCGCGCGGCCAGCTGCGTCTGGGCTGGGGTGGCTGTTGGCGCCGCCGCGGTCTGGGCGGGTGTCAGGGCGGCCGTGTGGTTTCCCGGGGTGTGTGGCGCGGTGGCCGGGTGCTGGCTGCGGGGCCGGGTCCTCATTCTGCTCAGTCCTTGCTGCCCTTGTCTTCTCCTCCCCGCCAAGCCGCCGTGTGTATCTCCCTGGCCACATCAGTGTGTGTCTGTGTGTTAGTAGGGGGAGATCCCTGGGGACGCGGGGGTCACTGTCACACCTGCCCGGGCGGTGGCGGCAGCACTGCCTCTGGCTGCCCACCCCAGGGACCGACCGACCAGGGAGCAAATGGCCAGACCCCAGGGGAGGGGACCGGGAGGGCCGGGCGGCCGCGACCCCCAACCTCTCGGAGGAGGGGCTGCCGCTCGCCGCTCCGCTCTTTGTTGTTTGGGGCTCCGCGCCTCCCCCTCTCTCCCTCCTCGCGCCCGGAGTGTCAGACTGGGGGTGGGGATGAGCCAACGACGCCCCCCTCTCGCTTCCCATGGAAACCTCGGGGGTGGGGACGTGGCCCCTCCCCCCCGGAGCGGGACTCCAAGAACTCCGGGGGGCGCTGGGGGCTGACTTTCCAGCTCTATCTAGCTCAGCCCCCTCCCCCAGACTCACACGTCCGCCCCCCACCCCGCTAGAGTCTGGCGGGGAACGGAGAGCTCGCAGGTGAGGGGCCCCGGGTTCCCCGCCACCCTTGGAGCACCTCAGCGTTCTTAGGGGAAGCCAGAGCCGGGGAGGATGCGGGAATAGGTTTGGTGGGGGGAGGTGTTGATCAGGTTCCCCTCCCCCGCATACACCTGGGCGCAGGTGAAAGCTCAGGGAGCGGGTGGGGGAGCCCGGGTTCCGGGAGCCTCCTTTCTGTCCTCTCTACTCCGTGCGGGCCTGGGCCGGCAGAGGTAGGAGGGGGCGCACACCGGGCCAGGAGGCTGCCGCCGCCCCCGCCTCGCTTCCCGGGCCTTTGTTGCCGCTGCGCCCGGGCTCCCCGGCTCCCTCACTGCGGCAGCCGCGGCCCCATAAATCGTGAGAGCGACGTGCTCCGGAGCCGAGAATGGAGAGGGCCGGGGAGCTGGGGGCGGGGCCGACCGAGCCACAGGCTCCCGCGCCCCCTCCCCCTAGTCACGTGAGCTGGGCTCCTGGCTCCCACCTCCCGTCACGTGCGGAGGGTCTCTGCCCCTTGGGGTCACGTGGGGAGGGTCTTGCGACCCCGCCTCCTGGGGGGGTCACGTGCGTCGGCCTCCTTTGACAGACCTGGGGACTGTGCCTTGCACACCGGCCGCGACCTAGCCCTCTGCCCCCCACTCAGTACTTCCATTTAGTCCCGTGGAACAGGAGAGACCTGTTCCCAATCTGGCCCAGAAACTAGGGATGGGGGGACTGTATTGGAGCGATGCATTAGAGTATGAGGTCGAGGAGTCCCCTAAGCCGGGAATCGAACTTGGTGAGGGGGGTTGGGACGGCCGATGGCCAAATATATGCCCCCTGGCCTGTGTTTCATTTCTTTGCAGAACTGAGCAAGGATGTTGGTATTTGCTCCGTTCTCAAGGAGCTTCGGGAACATCTTTCTATATAGCTGTCTCTCGACCTATCTCTGAAATGCTTCTGTTGCTGATCTCTCTTTCATTCATGCATTCATTCAACAAATATTTATTGAGGCTCTACTACGTCCCTGATGGTCTTTCTCTGTGTTTTCTCCCAGTCTCTGAGTCTCAGCCTTGCACCCTTCCCTGTCCCTGCTTCTCTCCTTTGCGTCTCTGTCTCCGTCTCCGCCGTCTGTGGGCCTCTCTGGCCTGCCTGTCTCTCCTGTTCTCCAAGACTCTCGGTTCTCGTTCTCTTCCCTGCCTCTCTCGGTTTCTGCGTCTCTCTCGCACTGTGTCTCCCTTCCTTTCCCCTTTCAGTGAATCCGGCCTCTGCCACCCTCCCCTTGTCGGTGTGTGTCTCCCCCTCACTCCGTCTCTGTGTCTCGCTTTCGGCAGGTCTCTCGCTCCTCTCCGCCGCTGCAGATCAATAAACCTTCGCCGCCGCCGCCGCCGCTGTCGCAGGGAGGAGGGGCGGAGGTGTCGGGCGCGCTGATTCTCCCCCACCCGACGCGGCCCAGGGAAGCCTTGCGCCCAGACCTGGGCTGTCCAGACTGGGACGGGCGGGGCGCCGAGGCCCAGGGCGCCTGAGGGGCGCAGAGGTGTCAGCGTGCAACCGCCGCCCCCCAGCGTTCCCGCCACCACCGCCACCACCCTCAAAGCCCGGGCGCGCGGACCCCACGCCGCGCACACGTGGTCCGGCCTCGCCTGCTGGAGCGGGCGGCGCGCAGCCTCGGGGGCGCGCGCTAGAGGGAAGAGGAACCCGGGTCTACATTCGTCCTCCACCCCTGTAACTCTGCAGCCCGGCGTCTAAGACCGGGGCTGGGGGTGGAGGATGGCGAGGATTTGACAAGTTCAGGGCCCCCTGGGATCCTTTCCCTACTCCCTGGTCTTGTTGGACACCCTGTTTACCTGCCCTAATTGCCCCGGGCTGGGGGAGAAGTTTGCTCCTTCCCCGCTCCGCCCGCCTGCCCCCTCCGCGGACACTCCGGGTTAAGTGGAGCCAGGCGCGGGCCGGCAGGGCACTGAAAGCGAGAGAGAGGTGTCGGGATGCGCCTCAGAGGCTGTGAGAGCCAGGAGAGACCGAAATAACGGGGTGAGGGGACACCCCCTCCAAATGGGGTGTGTCGGCATTCGCCTTTCTGCAAGAGAGGCGAGAGGCTATAGGGGATGAAGTGGAGCAAGAAGAGAGAACAGTACGAAGGGGCAGGGCACAACCCGGTCCCCAGGTCCCAGCCCACCCCCACCCTTCCGCAGGAGGCGCGGCCCTAGAGGCGGGGTTAGCTGCGGAGCTTCGCGTGGGCCCAGCGGCACCTCTCTCTCCGCACTGCTAGGGAGAAGGAGGGAGGATGACAGATTCAATTAAAGTGCCCAAGCCAAGCAGACACGTTGGGTCTCCAAAGAGTTGTGGCTGGGAATTCCTGGCTCTCACCCCGTTTGTCCCCGTGCCCTCTGTGTACCAACTGGGCCCAGCCACCCCACCGGCAGGTCTTTCTCTCACATGCCCAGCCTTGGGGGGGCATTTCAGGAGCTGTTCCTGCCACCCAGCGCAGGAGTACATAACAGATGGCTTCCCTTCACCTGTGGTCGCCCTGCAACCTTTTTTATAAGGCTAGTCCTGCCCTGTTGAGGAAATGGAATTACCTGTAGGAATACCTTGGGTGTTGGCTTCCTCCCTGCTGGAATGGGGTGTGTTGTAGGGGGAACTGGGCGGTACAGCAGGGAGGGGCTGCTTCAGAGTGGGACTGGAAACATGGGTGAGGCTCAAAGACAGAGATCCCAGTGTGGCTGTGCAGCTGCTCCAGACCTGGCACCCTCACCACTGGAGGCCCCCTCCCCAAGGCCTGAGGGGAGGAACAGACTGTGGGTTGGTGACGGACAGGCAAGCCTAGGATGGCAGTTTGGAGCCAGGCCTGGTCTAACCCGTTTTCCTGCTCCCAGTGCCGCAGGCCGAGGCTCCTGCCCACCTGAGTGCCAGGGCAAGGGAGGGGCCTGAGTGACCCATTAATCCCATGGGAACAGAGTGGGGCTGGTGGCATTCCTGATGACCAAAGGAGGCTGTGCCAATTCTTACTGGGGTACCCAAACATCAGCTCTCTGCCTGCCTCACTGTCAGGCTTGGAATGGGTTGCTGGTGGAGGGGACAGCACAAGCAAAGCCAAGGAAGTGGGGTCAGGGGGGAGGGACCCCCAAGGCCCCACCGTGTGCAGAAGCCTCCACGCTCATTTCTTTAATGGATCTAATTACTGTTTGGGGAACTGGGTGGTGCCTGGTGACATAGGGAGCCAGTCTCTCCCCCCAGGGAGCTCCCAGGGACTAGGGACCCCGTGGTATGACATTTTGCCAAGGACCCCATGCCTTTCTGTGTCCACCACTCTCCTTGCACTGCCAAGATATGTGCATTCTTACGCTAAAGAAATTAGGGAAAACTCCTGCCCCCTCTCCGAGTTTCTTTCTCCATTCAGAGGTTTCTCCATCCCCACACCGCTCACTACTGCCATCGAGGGTGTTAAGACCAACACTTTGATGGTGACTAGCAAGGCAGGTGGGGATTACAAGGGACCCAGCATCTGCTTCTCTGTCCCAAAGAGGGATCAGGGAAATAAGAGGCGCAGCCATCTTGTCTAGGCCCTGTGCCCACTGCTCTGCCCAGCATCATTAAGGGGGGCCGTTGTGCCAGGTTGAGGAAGGAGGTGCACAATGAGACAGAAGTTTGGGCTGGTTGGCATGATGCCATGTGGAGTCTTGGTACTGAGTCCCTTAGCGCCCTCATGTGTTTAAAGTTCCTGGGAGCCTAACTGTCCTTGGCCTCAGGGTGGGGTCTCTGTCACGGGACTCAAGGTACAGAAGCCAGTGATACTGTAGTATGGGGAGGGCAGGGGGAGACCCCCAGATTGGTGGGGTCAACCAATACTGGCATGCGGGCCAGCACACATACAGCCCAGCTTTTCTGTGTGTCTGCTGCCTATGAGTGGGCGGTGGACATATTTGTGCGTGTGCCATAGAACTTATGCATGTATATGCATGAAGCCGCCATACATGCGTCTGTAAGGGCAGGTCCTGTTGGACTGGCCTCCGGGGTGGACTGGCAGCCGCAGGGAAGCATGGTGGGAGAAGCGATGGAGGGTGTGTGCGTCCCTCGGAGGGGATCCCTCCCACGTTCACCCTTGGCTTCCATCCCTCCCATCCCTCCTCCCGGCTGCTGAATTATGGGGGATGGACGGAGGAAATCCGGGCCTGGGTCTGAGAGTCGCTGGGGCCTGCGCCGTTTCTGTGGCAACCAAAGCGTACGTTCCCTTCTTCCCTCCGCCCCTCTCCCTCGCCTCCTTTTCTTTGGAGGCAGGCCGGGCTTCCCTGCGCCTTTGCTACCCTCTGGTGGCCAACAGGAGAAGGACAGACCAAGAAGGAGGGCACGGAAGGAGACTTAGGGGAGCGGCGGCACTAGGGCCCCGGGGGCAGAGACAGGGCTGAGCCGCGAGGAAGCTCGGAGGAAAAGTCGGAAGGCTACGCGGACCCTGGGGAGGGGCTGCGGAGCGGTCAGATGGAAAGCGGCTTTGCTCTGGGGTTTCTTCTCTCTGAGCCGCTTCCTCTTCCCCACAGCCTGCGGCGAGAGGGCTACACCGTGCAGGTGAACGTGAACGACTATCTGGATATTTACTGCCCGCACTACAACAGCTCGGGGGTGGGCCCCGGGGCGGGACCGGGGCCCGGAGGCGGGGCAGAGCAGTACGTGCTGTACATGGTGAGCCGCAACGGCTACCGCACCTGCAACGCCAGCCAGGGCTTCAAGCGCTGGGAGTGCAACCGGCCGCACGCCCCGCACAGCCCCATCAAGTTCTCGGAGAAGTTCCAGCGCTACAGCGCCTTCTCTCTGGGCTACGAGTTCCACGCCGGCCACGAGTACTACTACATCTGTGAGTGACGGCGGCCGGGCGGGCGGGTCTGAACGCGAGAGTCTGAGTGACAGCCGGGGGGTGGAGCCCCTAGGCTCCGGGGCGGGGCCGGCGCGGCGGGCGCCAGGTCTCGCGGCTGAGACCAGGGAGGAGGCGTGGGCACGGGACGCCTGAGGGGTTCAGCTCAGACGAGGTCGTGGGGCCAAGAGAGGAGTTTGGTGACAGTCCCAAGTTTGGGCTGCGGAGAATCGCTGTTTCTGTGAGGGACATTCCGGGGTTGGAACATCAGGGATCCCAGTTTCTTGAGGGGTGGGACCAAAGGGGCGTCTAGGGCCGACGGCAGAGCTAAAGTGACCCGTGTCCAAAGGGTAGGGGAGCTCCTGAAGGAGACCGCCCGACGGGGACAGTTTGGAGGGGGTGAGAAATAGAGCCGTCGAGGGAGGGCACAGGCACACATTGGGCGAAAGTGACTCAGGCCCGGTCTCCTCCCCAGCCACGCCCACTCACAACCTGCACTGGAAGTGTCTGAGGATGAAGGTGTTCGTCTGCTGCGCCTCCAGTGAGTAGAATAGGCTCCGAGCCGCGCCCCCATCCTCAGCTCCCTGCTTTGGGGCTCCCCTGGCTTCCTGGGGGTGGGGGCGGAGGGCACAGGTGAGGGGGGCTTGCTCCCCAGCCGTAGCAAGGGGAGGGAATCCTGGCCCTGACTCTCCCCTCCTCTCTCCCCACCCGCACCCCACCCCGCAGCATCGCACTCCGGGGAGAAGCCGGTCCCCACTCTCCCCCAGTTCACCATGGGCCCCAATGTGAAGATCAACGTGCTGGGTGAGTCTGCGCAGCGCCCTCTGGTGGCCACTGCTGGAACCGCAGCCCCCCGCCCCGGTGCCTGCTCACCTCGCATGCCTTCCCTGGGGGCACTGATACTTCCTACCCTGTGGGTGGTCACGTCCCTGGCTCCATTGCTGCTGCCGCGTGCCCCTGCCCTGGCGCGCAACCCAGCCCTCACCAGTCTGTCTGTTCCTCTGTCCACAGAAGACTTTGAGGGAGAGAACCCTCAGGTGCCCAAGCTTGAGAAGAGCATCAGCGGGACCAGCCCCAAACGGGAACACCTGCCCCTGGCCGTGGGCATCGCCTTCTTCCTCATGACGTTCTTGGCCTCCTAGCTCTGCCCCCTCCCCTGGGGGGGGAGAGATGGGGCGGGGCTTGGAAGGAGCAGGGAGCCTTTGGCCTCTCCAAGGGAAGCCTAGTGGGCCTAGACCCCTCCTCCCATGGCTAGAAGTGGGGCCTGCACCATACATCTGTGTCCGCCCCCTCTACCCCTTCCCCCCACGTAGGGCACTGTAGTGGACCAAGCACGGGGACAGCCATGGGTCCCGGGCGGCCTTGTGGCTCTGGTAATGTTTGGTACCAAACTTGGGGGCCAAAAAGGGCAGTGCTCAGGACTCCCTGGCCCCTGGTACCTTTCCCTGACTCCTGGTGCCCTCTCCCTTTGTCCCCCCAGAGAGACATATGCCCCCAGAGAGAGCAAATCGAAGCGTGGGAGGCACCCCCATTGCTCTCCTCCAGGGGCAGAACATGGGGAGGGGACTAGATGGGCAAGGGGCAGCACTGCCTGCTGCTTCCTTCCCCTGTTTACAGCAATAAGCACGTCCTCCTCCCCCACTCCCACTTCCAGGATTGTGGTTTGGATTGAAACCAAGTTTACAAGTAGACACCCCTGGGGGGGCGGGCAGTGGACAAGGATGGCAAGGGGTGGGCATTGGGGTGCCAGGCAGGCATGTACAGACTCTATATCTCTATATATAATGTACAGACAGACAGAGTCCCTTCCCTCTTTAACCCCCTGACCTTTCTTGACTTCCCCTTCAGCTTCAGACCCCTTCCCCACCAGGCTAGGCCCCCCACACCTGGGGGACCCCCTGGCCCCTCTTTTGTCTTCTGTGAAGACAGGACCTATGCAACGCACAGACACTTTTGGAGACCGTAAAACAACAACGCCCCCTCCCTTCCAGCCCTGAGCCGGGAACCATCTCCCAGGACCTTGCCCTGCTCACCCTATGTGGTCCCACCTATCCTCCTGGGCCTTTTTCAAGTGCTTTGGCTGTGACTTTCATACTCTGCTCTTAGTCTAAAAAAAATAAACTGGAGATAAAAATAACTGAGTGTGTGTGATTTCAAGGGGCCATCACCCTTCTGTTACACTGGTTAAACCTCACAGGGCACAGGGCCTGAGTAGGAGAGGGAATTCTGGGGCCAAAGAGTCACAACGAGGTGTTCAAATCTTGTTCTGGGGCTCATCTTCATTACAAAGGCAGCGCTGCTTGGAAAGAGCAAGAGGGGCCTCCAGGCAGGGCCTGGTTGACTTTGGGCAAATCACTCAACCTCTCTGATTCTCAGGTATCCCACCAGAAAAACTGGTTGTGGTATCTCTCTCTTAGGGTTGGTGTAGGGATTAAATGACGCAGGGAGTTAAAGGCTCCATCAATTATGGTTTCCACCTTTTCTTCCCCTTCCATGCTGTAATTGAGGTTCTTGACTGGAGTCTATGGATTTCAGGGGATTTGAGAACCTAGACAGAAAAAAAACTATCTTTATTTTCACTTGCCTATAACTAAAATTTAACATTCTCTTGTGTGCTTGGGCAGCAAGCCATAATAGTATTAATAGTACCTGTGACTTTGTAACCAGAAATCACACGTTTTCAGGCTGCATTATAGTTGTTGAAGATATCTCAAAATACAATTTACACTCATCAGTACTTTGAAATGATCATAGTTGTTAGGCCTTCCTCATTTTTAATGTGTTAATAAGAAAGCATATATATTACTATATCAAGAAATGTAAATGTTTTGATAACTCTTTCAATATAATTAGCTTTCTTTATAACCCTTTGTAATTTTACTCATTTCAAACATTATGCCCAAGGTGCTGGGAGTTTGCTGGGGCTGGGGCTGCTCATAACTACACCACCCTGCATCGCTCGGGAGGGCAGAGAGGACAGAAGGGCAAAAGACAGGATAATGGCCGCTTCCCAGGGGCCCCAGAGAAGGTCAGGGTTTACAGACCAGCACAGCATAAGGGAGTGCGGATAGGGGCTGAAATGTACCTGCAACTTCACTTGCTGAGCCAAGTGCCTGGCCCAGGGAGGGGACACCTTATTGCCAAGCTGTGCACCCATGGGACTCCATCCCACCCAGGCTCTCTAATTGGCACTGTGTGAGCAGGCCAGATCCTGTGTGCCCCTGTGGCTCTTGCCGGCTGCTTTGTGAGAATGAGCCCTTGGTGGTAAGGACTGTGTTTTCTGCTCCTCTCTACCCATAAAACATGGAAAATGGAATCTGAGCTAGACTCTGCAGAGTGGGTGGGTTTCCCAATAGCGGAACAGGGAAGAGTGTGGGGTGGGAGAGCAGGTGGGGAAAGAACTGGGGGCAGCCACTAGACCAGTCTGAGACTCCCTACAGACTGATAAGACAGAAAAGGTGGGCCTATCCATCCAATCGTCCATGCATTCAATCCACATTTATCGAGCACCTGCCGAGTGCCAGGCTCTATCCTGGGTATTGGAGACACAAGATATAGTCTCTACCCCAAAATAAGCTCATACTTTAGTATGTGTTGATGTATGAGCAGAAATTGGTAACACACACATACATAACTGACAACATAACCAGCTCTTTCGTGGGTAAATGCCTGGGAGCTGTGGGAATGCCAAGAAAAAGCACACACTTGCCTAGGGACAGAGGAAAGAGGCTTCAGACAGGAGGAGATACACAGAGCGGGGTCGGGTACTGTTGGGGAGAATCTCGAGGACCCATAGTAGTGGGCCTGGGCTGCAGGCTTGCTTCAATTCCCCGGGCCAGGCAGGATAGGGGCTGGCCAGATGGGATGGGGGAGGGCCTTGCAGATTCAAAAATTCTGGAATAGTAAGACTGAAAGGGCCAAGCACTTTGGGCAGTAACTAGAATAAGCCAGCTTCCATTCACTGAGCACCTCCTATGTGCCGAGTGCTGCGCCTTTGTAAGCCTCACTATTCCAATAACACAGATGAGGATCTAAGACTTAGGGCCACACAGCCTGGCTAATGATAGGGCTGGCATTCAAAGTGGGTCTAACAGGAGGCTGAGGTGGGAGGACCGCTTGACCTCTGGAGTTTAATGCCAGCCCAGGTAATATAGCAAGACCCCATCTTTTATTTTTATTTTTATTTTTTTTGAGACAGAATCTCACTCAGTCGCCCAGGCTGGGGTGCAGTGGCACCATCTCAGCTCACTGCAACCCCCGCCTCCTGGGTTCAAGTGATTCTCCTGCCTCAGCCTCCTGAGTAGCTGGGATTACAGGTGCATGCCACCACGCCTGTCTAATTTTTGTATTTTCAGTAGAGATGGGGTTTTGCCATGTTGGCCAGGCTGTTCTTGAACTCCCGACCTCAGGTGATCTGCCCGCCTCAGCCTCCCAAAGTGCTGGGATTACAGGCGTGAGCCAGTGTGCCCAGCCGACCCCATCTTTAAAAAAACAAAAACAAAAACAAAACAAATGGCCAGGCACAGTAGCTCAGGCCTCTAATCCCAGCATTTTGGGAGGCTGAGGTAGGAGGATCACTTGAGCCCAGGAGTTTGAGACCGGCCTGGGCAACATAGGAAGACTCCATCTCTACAAAAAATAAAAAAAATATCCAGGTGTGGTGACAAACCTTTAGTCCCAGCTACTGGGAAGACTGAGGTGAGAGGATCGCTTGAGCCCAGGAGTTCAAGACCAGCCAGGGCAAAATAGTGAGACCCTATTTCTACAAAAAAAAAAAAAAAAAAAAAAAGCTAGGCGTGGTGGCATGCACCTGTAGTTTTAGCTACTCAGGAGGCTGAGACGGGAGAATTGCTTGAGCCCAGGAGAGCAAGGCTGCAATGTGCTATGATCACACCACTGTACTCCAGCCTGGGCGACAGAGCAAGAGCAAGACCCTGACTCTTTTTTTTGAGGTGGAGTTTTGCTCTTGTTGCCCAGACTGGAGTGCAATGGTGTGATCTCATCTCACCGCAACCTCCACCTCCTGAGTTCAAGTGATTCTCCTGCCTCAGCCTCCCGAGTAGCTGGGATTACAGGCATGTGCCACCACACCTGGCTAATTTTGTATTTTTAGTAGAGACAGGGTTTCTCCATGTTGGTCAAGCTGGTCTCGAACTCCCAACCTCAGGTGATCCGCCCACCTCAGCCTCCCAAAGTGCTGGGATTACAGGCATGAGCCACCGCGCCCGGCTGACCCTGTCTTTAAAATAAATAAATAAGTAAATTGGCAGGCACTGTGGCTCACACTTGTAATCCCAGCACTTGAGAGGCCAAGGCAGGCAGATCATTTGAGGTCAGGAGTTTGAGACCATCCTGGACAACATGGCGAAACCCAGTATCTACTAAAAATACAAAAATTAGCCAGGCATGTGGTGCATGTCTGTAATCCCAACTACTCAGGAGGCTGAGGCAGGAGAATCGCTTGAACCTGGTAGGCGGAGGTTCCAGTGGGTCGAGATCGAGCCACTGCACTCCATCCTGGGCGACAGAACGAGACTCTGTCTCTCAAAAATAAATATCTAAATAAATAATAAATAAATGAAATCAGTTTTAAAAGCTGCGGAGCCCTGCTGAGGATTTTCCCGTCCAGCGAGGCTTTCAATCCCAGAGCATGTAAGGAAGACTGGGGAGAGAGGTCTGCACTTAGATGGCCAGACACCAATGACCCTGAGCCTGTCTGGTACAGGGCCCTACTTTGTGACACCAAGGTCTGCAGAGCCCAGGGCGTCCTGGCCAAGGCAGTGGTAAGATGTCACCAGGCACAGTGGTATGGCCTGAGGGCAGAGCAGCCTCACCCTGGGCAGGGTCTTCTTCACCCTTGTGTTGTCTCATGTTGGCCCCCTCCAGCACAGGCACAAAGAGGGCTCCCACCTGACACGCTGGCATTCCCAGAGGCTGTCACAGGTTAATGCCCCCAACACAGGTAGAGATCGCACACATCCCTCCTCTTCCCGTCCTCCCCAGGGTGAAAAACAACAGCAACATCAAACAACTGAACAGAGATTTTGGCTTGGAGAGTAAAGTTCAGAGCTGCCCCGCCCCTCCCTTCGGGGTGAGAGGTCACTCCAGCAGCGCTGTGGGTAGCAGGGAAGGAGCTATTTACAATCCCGGCTGGGGTCTAAGCCTCGCTGCCACGTGGGTTTGCCACTCGGGGCCTGCAAGTCTGCCGATATCCACCAGGTGGCGCAGCACCTGGGCTGGGACTCGCCGGAGCTGTGAGGGGAGCTTGGGATGGGTTTGCGGTCGGTGGAGCGGGTGTTGGTCCTTGAGGGGACTCAAGCAGCTGCGCCGTAGGACCCTCTGTTCTCAGGCCTGGGGCAGGGTGGGCTAAGGCCCAGCCCACTCTCCGTCCATTTCTCTTATCCCCACTCTCTTCTTTTCCTCCCCTAGTTGTAGATGCCATGGGGTTGGGAGTGGACTTGGGCTCAGTCCACAGCCGTCCAGCCCAGACCTACTCGGCACGCAAATCTCGCCATTCTCTCTCAACCTCCATGTTCCGTCCAGCTGGCAAACCAGGGATACAGACTGGGCTGGAGGTACGTGGCAGGGACAGAGGCGTGGACTGGAGGTGGTGGTGACGGGGCTGGGGGGCCATGGATTGGAATGAAGGACACAAGCTGGGACCAGGAGACAAGGACTAGGATGAGGGGGGCGGGAGGATATGGAGGGGGGGAACGAGGGGCATGAGCTGGGTTGGGGGCATGGACTGGCAAGAGGGGTCCAGGTGGGAGGTGATGGGAACACAGGCTCGGTGTCTGCAGCCTGTGGACGACAGTCTGGGGAAGTGTGACGCGGATGGGATAGCCCAGATGTGCTGGGGCCAGGTCAGCCAGAGACACACTGGGCCCAGAGCAGCAGAGCAGCTTCAGGCTGAACCTAGTGATGTGGCCTGTGATCTGACTCCAAAGAGGTCTGGCCTCCTCCAGTCTCCTCCGGTGTGGCCTGGGGGAGGGGCAGATATGACTCCTCCCCAGAGTGTTAGCACCAAACTCTTGGCCTTCGCCACAGCATCTGGCCCCAGGTAATTACAGGGGCCAAGCCTGGCTATAAAAGGATGGATGGGCCAGCCTAGGAACCTGGGAGAGCTAGGTTCAACTGACCGGAGGTCCACCAGCCTGCCTCTGAGAGGCTGGCATTGGCCAGGGGATACTAGAGTTTCACATTCAATGGCATACACTTCATATGCCATACACCAATCATATAATCTCATAACCTTGCAACCACACACAGTCAATCAAACTCGGTGCTGAGGGAGAGGGGGCTGGGGGGCAAAGCAGGGAGGAAAGCAGGGGCTTTGTTCACACCACTGAAGTGGGAGAGGCCCCCCACGGGACTGAGGGACCAGTCCAGGCACCCACAGGAGGGAACACGCACACACACTCATCCATCACTTGCACACACATCCATGTGTGCACATTCGACCCGTTTTGCGGCCGTCACACTCAAGCCATTCATGGGTATTAGGCACATACTAACGCCCCACTGTCTATAACACACTCACGCAGGCACCAGACCCCACACAGGGCAAGGGGCTCCCAGGTACCCTGAGCCGCGCTTGCATCCAGGGTCACATACGGTGACACACTTGAGGGCTGGCATTCAACAGATGATACAATTCTCTAACACGGACCCAATGACAATCCCAGCCAAGCCAACTGGGCAAACCCTAGAGTCAAGAAAATCAGAAGAGGGAGGAGGTGGGAGGGGGTAGATCAGAGCCACATTCACACCCTCTGGAAACCGATAGGTCATTTCAACAGCCACAGGAGACACAAAAACAACCTCTAGGACCCCAAGGATATACCCAGACACATACACAAACACAAGGAGAGGCAGGGGCTTCTCAATCACATCCATATGTGCACCCACAGATACGTGCCCACACCCAACATCACACGCAGTGCCCACCACATTCTTCCCAGGGACCTTGGGAACCTCCTACCCACTCCTGCCTTGTGCTGGTGAAGGAGAAGACAATGGTGGGGAGCAGAGGGGGCTGGGAAGAGTAAGAGCTAAGCTTGAGACAGGAGAAAGCCCTCTTCCCACACCACAGACATGCCTGCACACACACACACACACACACACACACACACACACACACACACACATACACAGATGCCAGACCTTGAGCCTCCAGGGAGAGCCCTGAGGAGAAATCAACAGAGGCTGTCCAACTCCACGTGGGGCCATGCCCATATCTGACCACCTGGACACCAGCACTGCCCACTCTGGGCACAGACCCCAGGCCTGGCCTCTCTGCACCATTAAGCACACTGGGCATGGAGGGTGACCCTCGCATCCCTCTGTGACCCCAGGCTTGTCACTTGGGTGCCCTTCAGGGCCTGGCAGGACCTGGTCTGACAGTGGAAAAAGCAAATATTCTCAGTGCCCTCCTAATACGGCCCCCAAAAGAGGCCTTAAGAGCCTTCCTCCCTCCTTGCAGGCTAAGCACACAGCAGGCATCATGCTAACCCCTGGGTATACAACCCCGAGTCTGGCGGCCATTTGGCTGGGCCTCTGGCCAGAGTTGTCAGGGAAGACTTTGGGAGAGATGAGAGGCTTGAGGGATGATTGGCAGTTTGCCAGCTAGGGTGTGGGTGTTGGCTGGGAGGGACTACGAGGGGAGACAGGCCAGCAGAGGGGGCAGCATGATCAAAAGGACGGAGGCTGCTGTGTTTATGTTTCACAGCATAAGCAGTCACAAAAACATTCACACTCACAACAGAGCACGCCCTTTTCACACAGGGCGCCTTTGTACACATGTGCACCCTCCTGGAGCAACACTCTGCAGTTTGTTCGCTCCAGGCTGCCCTCACACCACTCCGTGGCACCATCCCCGCAGTCTCCATGAGATGACATCCCTTAGAGATCCTCTCACACCTGCACCCTGCTGAAGGGCTGCCTGTCTGTGGGTGCCCACAGTGAGCACCCAGAGTTGAGGGAGCCTCCTCTCCTGGGACAAGTGGTTGGGAAGCCGGGGACATCTGAGCAGTCCCTGAGCCTTCTAGGGCTGGAGCGAGCAGAGAAGCCGAGGAGACTGTGGCTGCCTGAGATTCTTAGAAGCAGCAATTCTCTTTTAGCCAAAAGCACTTAAGCAGAGGCCTGAGTTAAAAATAGGCTGGATTTACTGCCAGAAGGTGGCAGGAGAGGAAGTTTCTTTCTGACGGTACTCATTCTATCCCAAACACCTACAGAGGCTCTATGGGACCCTGCTGGGCTGGGGAACTCCACCCAACTGTTCTGTGTGCCAAGGGGGTGGCCAGCACACCCCTTGTGATCTTCATTTTATCTCCTTTATTGGTTCATAATACTACACTTACATTTTTTTGTGGTTCTTTTAGGATTACACAATGCTTCTTTAACTTATAGTCTATCTCCATCAAGTAATATCACACCACTCAGCGCAAACACCTTCCTCCCATTCCCCACCTCTCCGCCTTTGTGCTATTGTCACCATGGATTTATTTCTACACATGCTATAAGCCCCACAATACATTATTAGATTTGCTCTAAACCCTCAAGTATCTTTTAAAGAGAATTTTAAAATCAGAAAAATATCTTTTCTATCTACCCACATATTTACCATTTCCAGCTCTCTTCATTCCTTTGTGTAGACGGAGATTTCCATCTGGTATCATTTTTCTTCTGCTTGAAGGACTTTTTAAAGCCGTTCTTCTAGTGCAGGTCTACTGATGATGAATTCTTTCAATTTTGGAATGTCTGAATGCATCTTTATTCCATCTTCCTATTTGAAAGATATCTCCACTGAATTCTAGGTTGACAGTTTTTATCTTTTCGTACTTTAAAGACATTACTCCACTGTCTTCAGGGTTGCATTGTTTCTGACGAGAAATCACTTCTATTTTTCCTTTTTACACAATGTGTTTTTTTCCTCTGGCAGCTCTTAAGATTTGTGTCTTTATCACTGGTGTTCAGCAGTGATTAAGGCAGATTATGATGTACCCTTGGTGTAGTTGTCTTCATATTTCTTCTGCTTAGGGTTTATTGAGCTTCTTCGACATAGGGATTTATAGTTTCCATCAAATTTGAAAATTATTGTTCCTTCAGATATTTTTTCTGTCATCTCTCCTGTGAATCTGTTAGACCCACGTTTCTGGTCTCCAAACAGGTATACAGGCTACTTGTTATTCCACAGCTCACTGATTTTCTGGATTTTGGTTTTGGAGGTTTTGTTTTTGTTTTTTGTTTTTTGTTTTTAAGTCTTTTTTTCCTCTCTGTGTTTCATCTTGGATAGTTTCTATTGCTAAGTCTTCAAAAACCTGTTTTCTACAGGGTCTAATCTGCTTTTATTTCCATCCAGTATACTTTTCATCTCAGATATTATACATTTCATCTTTAGAAGTTCAATTGAGGTCTTATTTTATATCTTCACACCTCTTTACATCGTGTTTATGTTTTTCCATATCTGTTTGAATATATGGATGGTATTTAATAATAGCTATTGGAGCTAAAGTCCTTGTCTACTAATTCTGTGACATTTCTGGGTCAGCTTTGTGTCATTATTTGCCTGTGTCTTTGCATGCCTGGTAATTATTGATTGGATGCCAGACATTGTATATTTTATGTTGTTTGGTGCTAGATTTTTTTGTATTCCTTTGAATATATTTGAGCCTCGTTCAGGGACTTAGTTAAGTTCCTTGGAAACAGATTGATCCTTTTAAGGTGTGCTTTTAGGTACCATTTGGCAAGAGGAGAATAGCCTTTGGTCTAAGGCTAATTTGCTCTCACCACTGAGGCAGTATCATCTGATGACTCTACTTGATGTCCCATGTATCAGTCAGTATCTAGTCAAGAGGCAGAAACCACACAGCAATTTGAACAGGGAAAGTTTAATGTAAAAAGAAAAAAAATTTTTTTTTGAGACAAGGTCTTGCTTTGTTACCCATGCCGGTATGCAGTGGTGCAATCATGGCTCACCATAGCTTCCACCTCCTGGGCTGAAGTGGTTCTCCAGCCTTAGCTTCCTGAGTAGCTGGGATCACAAGCGTGTGCTACCACACCTGGCTAATTTTTACATTTCTTTTGTAGAGACAGAGGGTCACCCTATGTTGCCTAGGCTGGTCTGGAACTCCTGGACTTAAGCAATCCTCCCACCTCAGCTTCCCAAAGTGCTGGAATCACAGGTGTGACCCACCACATGCAGTCTAATGTAAAAAGGTATTAACTTAACAAGGAATTGAGGTTAGAAGGGATTGGCTAGTAAGAAATAAACAGAACTCTAAATGAATACAGGAATAGGGGGCCAGATGCAGTGGCTCATGCCTGTAATCCCAGCACTTTAGGAGGCTGAGGCAGGTGGATCACCTGAGGTCAGGAGTTCAAGACCAGCCTGGGCAACATGGTGAAACCCTGTCTCTACAAAAATACAAAAATTAGCTGGGCATGATGGCGGGTGCCTGTAATCCCAGCTACTCAGGAGGCTGAGACAGGAGAATTGCTTGAACTGGGGAGGGCAGAGGTTGCATTGAGCCGAGATCCTGCCATTGCACTCCAGCCTGGGTGACAGAGCGAGACTCTGTCTCAAAAAAAAAAAAAAAAATCAGGAATAGCAGATACAAGAAGCGACTACTCTTCCTGGGTCTAAGGTGGAACACCCAAGAACAGCCCTCCCCATTCTGCCTGTTGTCCTATGTCTGGAATCACTGTTTCATATAGTCTGTCAGGTGTTTTAGTTGTTTAAAGCAGGTGGGGCCGGGTGCGGTGGCTCATGCCTGTAATCCCAGCACTTTGGGAGGCTGAGGTGGGTGGATCACTTGAGGTCAGGAGTTTGAGACCAGCCTGGCCAACATGGTGAAACCCTCTCTCTACTAAAAATACAAAAATTGGCCGGGCGCGGTGGCTCACGCCTGTAATTCCAGTGCTTTGGGAGGCCGAGGCGGGCGGATCACGAGGTCAGGAGATCGAGACCATCCTGGCTAACACAGTGAAACCCTGTCTCTATTAAAAATACAAAAAATTAGCCAGGCGCGGTGGCAGGCGCCTGTAGTCCCAGCTACTCGGGAGGCTGAGGCAGGAAAATGGCGTGAACCTGGGAGGTGGAGTTTGCAGTGAGCCAAGATCGTGCCACTGCACTCCAGCCTCGGCGATAGAGTGAGACTCCATCTCAAAAAATGAATAAATAAATAAATAAATAAAAATTTAAAAAATACAAAAATTAGCCGGGCACGGTGGCATGTGCCTGGAATCACAGCTGCCTGGGAGGAAGAGGTTGCAGTGAGCTGAGATTTTGCCACGGCACTCCAGCCTGGGCGACAGAGCAAGACTCAGTCTCAAAAAAAAAAAAGCAAGTGAGAAGATGGTCCTTGTTTCCCAGCTCCCCTCTCTGCATCTGAGAAGCTGCATGTGCTATGGACCCATGGAGCACACCAGAATCAGGAAGAAAAGCTCCTTTCTCCCACGGTGTCTCTCTAGCACTTTGCATTGACAAAGCTTAACATCATGCTGGGCTGGCAAAAGAAAAGTAATTAAAGGGCCCAGCTACATTTTCACAGAGCAGGCAATGAAAAATCAATTTAGAGCTGAGAGGCAATACATTAATAACTGGCACAAACCGATAACTATGAGGAGGTCTTTCCACTCTGGTTTGTGGGAACACAAAGTATTCCTGGCACTGTATGAGCACTTCAGATTTTTTGCTTTTTTTTTTTTTTTTTTTTGAGATGGAGTTTTGCTCTTCCTGCCCGGGCTGGAGTGCAGTGACACGATCTCCGCTCACTGCAACCTCCGCCTCCCGGGTTCAAGCAATTCTCCTGCCTCCTGAGTAGCTGGGATTACAGGCTCGCACTACCATGCCTGGCTAATTTTTATATTTTTAGTAGAGACAGGGTTTCACCATGTTGGCCAGGCTGGTCTTGAACTCCTAACCTCAGGTGATCTGCCCACCTCAGCCTCTCAAAGTGCTGGGATTACAGGCGTGAGCCACCACACCCGGCCTTCCTGCATCTTTCTTGTGGTTCTTTCCCTAATCCTGTCCTTTCCTCATATGCATATACTGCTCAGCACGCAGCTGAAGACTTGAGGGAGACCCTGCAGATCGCTGTGCAGCTCTTTCCTCTCCAGTACTCTGCCCTGTAAAATGCAGCCATCTACTCCCAGCTACTCAAGAGGCTGAGGCAGGAGAATTGCTTGAACCCGGGAGGCAGAGGATGCAGTGAACCAAGATTGTGCCACTGCACTCCAGCCTGGCGACAGAGCAACATTCCATCTCCCAAAATAAATAAATAAATAAAAAAGACCTTGTTGTGGTTGGGCACAGTGGCTCACGCCTGTAATCTCAGCATTTTGGGAGGCCAAGGCAGGTGGATCACCTGAGGCCAGGAGTTTGAGACCAGCCTGGCCAACATGGCGAAACCTGGTTTCTACTAAAAATGCAAAAACTAGCCAGGTGTGGTGGTGCATGCCTGTAATCCCAGCTACTTGGGAGGCTGAGGCAGGAGAATCACTTGAACCCAGGAGGTGGAGGTTGCAGTGAGCAGAGATCGTGCCACTGCACTCCAGACTGGATGATAGAGAAAGACTCTGTCTCAAAACGACAAAAACAAAAGCCTCAAAACTAGCATTAACACTCCTGTATATCACAGGGCAGGGGAGGGGCTTTATATTGTAATGTATACACCATCCTTTTTTTTTTTTTTTTTTTTTTTTTTTTTATGACAGGGTCTTGCTCTGTTCCCAGACTGGAGGGCCATGGCATGATCATGGCTCACTGTAGCCTCGACCTCCCAGGCTCAAGCAGTCCACCCACCTCAGCCTCCCAAGTAGCTGTGACCATAGGCATACGCCCCCATGTCCAGCTAACTCATATTTTTTATAGAGACCAGGTTTCTCCATGTTGCCAGGCTATTCTCAAACTCCTGAGCTCAAGCCATCCTCCGGCTTCAGCCTCCCAAAGTCCTGGGATTACGGGCATGAACCACCACACCCAGACTACATCATCCCTTTTAATTGCATATAATTAATTTTATTTTATCATAGTAACACATTACATCATGACGTAGTTTAAAAAGTCAAATAGGGTCAAGTGCAGTGGCTCACACCTGTAACCCCAGCACTTTGGAAGGCTGAGGCAGGAGGATTGCTTGAGGCCAAGAGTTTCAGACCAGTCTAGGCAACATAGCCAGACCCTGTCTCTACAAAAACAACTTTTTAATTAGTGGGTGTGGTGGCACACGCCTGTAGTCCCAGCTGCTCAGGAGGCTGAGTGGGAGGATTGCTCGAGCCCACGAGGTTGAGGTTGCAATGAGCTGTGATCGTGTCACTGCACTCCAGCCTGAGTGACAGAGCCCAACTCTGTCTCTAAAAAAAAAAGTCAAATGGGGCCAGGCGCAGTGGCTCACACCTGTAATCTCAGCACTTTGGGAGGCTGAGGGAGGCAGATCACCTGAGGTTGGGAGTTCAAAACCAGCCTAACCAACATGGAGAAACCCTGTCTCTACTAAAAATACGAAATTAGGCCGGGCGCGGTGGCTCACACCTCTAATCCCAGCACTTTGGGAGGCTGAGGTGGGCTGATCATGAGGTCAGGAGATCGAGACCATCCTGGCTAACACAGTAAAACCCCGCCTATACTAAAAAAAATACGAAAAATTAGCCGGGCATGGTGGCAGGCACCTGTAGTCCCAGCTACTCGGGAGGCTGAGGCAGGAGAATGGCATGAACTTGGGAGGCGGAGCTCACAGTGAGCCAAGATCACACCACTGCACTCCAGCCTGGGCAACAAAGCGAAACTGCGTCTCAAAAAAAAAAAAAAAATTAGCTGGGCATGGTGGTGCATACCTGTAATCCCAGCTACTCGGGAGGCTGAGGCAGGAGAATCGCTTGAACCCAGGAGGCAGAGGTTGCAGTGAGCCGAGATCGTGCCATTGCACTTCAGCCTGGGCAACAAGAGCGAAACTCTATTTCAAAAAAAAAAAAAGTCAAATGGACCAAACAGCTTTGATGAAAAATGACAGAGGCCAGGCGTGGCAGCTCACACTTGTAATCCCAGCACTTTGGGAAGCTGAGGCTTGTGGATCACTTGAGGTCAGGAGTTTGAGACCAGCCTGGCTAACATGGTGAAACCCTGCCTCTGCTAAAAATACAAAAATTAGCTGGGCATGGTGGCACGTGCCTGTAATCCCAGCTACTCAGGAGGCTGAGGCAGGAGAATTGCTTGAACCCAGGAGGTGGAGGTTGCAGCAGTGAGCAGAGATGGTGGCACTGCACTCCAGCCTGGGCGACAGAGCAAGATTCCATCTAAAGAAAAAAAAAAAGAAAGAAAGAAAAATGGCACATCCTGCCACACCCTTCTCCAGCTCCCAATCTCACATCACATAGGCAACCACTCTCCAATCTTCTAGTTTCTTCTGATATTTGTAGTCCCAGTGAGTAGCCGGGACTACAGTTGTGTGCCACTATGCCTGGCTAATTTTGTATTTTTAGTAGAGATATGGTTTCTCCATGTTGGCCAGGCTCATCTCAAACTCTTGACCTCAGGTGATTTGCCCGCTTTGGCCTCCCAAAGTGCTGGGATTACAGGCGTGAGCCACCACACCCGGCCCATATTTCTTTTTATTTTTTTTTATTTTTAGAGACAGGGCCTCACTCTATTGCCCAGGCTGGAGTGCAGTGGCACAATCATAGCTCACTGTACCCTTAAATTCCTGGGCTCAAACAATCCTCCCCCAGCCTCCCAAGTAGTTGAGACTGCAGGTGTGCACCGCCACACCCAGTTTACCTATATATATATATATATATATATATATATATATATATATATTTTTTTTTTTTTTTTTTTTTTTGAGACGGAGTCTCGCTCTGTCACCCAGGTTGGAGTGCAGTGGTGCGATCTCGGCTCACTGCAAGCTCCGCCTCCTGGGTTCACGCCATTCTCCTGCCTCAGCCTCCCCAGTAGGACTACAGTGGGACTACAGGTGCCCGCCACAAGGCCGGCTAATTGTTTGTATTTTTAGTAGAGACAGGGTTTCACCATGGTCTCAATCTCCTGATCTCGTGATCCGCCCGCCTCAGTCTCCCAAAGTGCTGGGATTACAGGCGTGAGCCACAGCGCCCAGCCACGCCCGACTAATTTTTTTGTATTTTTTAGTAGAGACAGGGTTTCACCGTGTTAGCCAGGGTGGTCTCAATCTCCTGACCTCATGATCCGCCCACCTCGGCCTCCCAAAGTGCTGAGATTACAGGTGTGAGCCACCGTGCCCGGCCTTACCTTTATATTTCTAAATAAGATGCTTGCACTGCTGTTTTTCTCTTTTTTCTTTTTCTTTATTCAATGTTAGACCTGCTCTATCGACTTCCTCTCATGAAACATGAGGATTCAGTTCTCTGTGTCCTGCCTCTCAATGCACAGAAACACATACACTGCCCTCCCAATAGAGTCAAATCCAAAATTTTTGGTTAAATCAATATTTAGCATTTAGATGGTTATTAAACTGTGACAATTGTTCACAATTGACTCACATAATATACTATGATTCATTCTAGTTCTTTAAAAACTTTTTCTTTTCCTTGGAATTAATAACTAACTGGAAAGACCAATAACCCAATAGAGAAATGGCCAAAGAGGCCGGGAGCAGTGGCTCACGCCTGTAATCCTACCAATTTGGGAGGCCGAGGTGGGCGGATCACAAGGTCAGGAGTTTGAGACCAGCCTGGCCAATATGATGAAACCCCGTATCTACTAAAAATACAAAAAAGTTCTCCAGGCATGGTGGGGCACGCCTGTAATCCCAGCTATTCGGGAGGCCGAGGCAGGAGAATTGCTTGAACCTGGGAGGCAGAGGTTGCAGTGAGCCGAGATTGCGCCACTGCACTCCAGCCTGGGTAACAGAGTGAGACTGTTTCAAAAAAAAAAGAGAAATGACCAAAGAAAATGAACAGTTTACTGAAAGGAAATGCAAGTGGCTTTTAAATGTTTAAAAGGATGTTCATTCTCACACATAAGAGAAATGAAAATTAAAACCACACCAAGATAGCACTTCTCATTTATCAGCTTGGCAAAAATCCAAAGGTTTACAACACAGTCTGTTGACGTGGCTTTAGGGAACAGGCATTTTCATACATTGCCAGTGGGAGGGCAAAGCTCTATCACTCACATGGAAGGGGATTTGGAGATACCAAGCAAAATGACAAATGCATTTACCCTTTAACCTAGCAATCCTCCTTCTGGGAATTTGTCCGGCAGCTATGTCTATGCACATTTGAAACGAAGTAGGTATATAGTTATTCATTGTGGCATTCACTGACAATAGTAAAGTATTGGAAACAACCCAAGTGTCCTATGGAGGACTGGCTAAATACACTACTGTACATCCACGCAATGGAATAAGCCACTAGACAAAGGAGTAAGGAATTTCTCCAAGAAAGATCTCCGGGATGTATTGTATGTATGTATTTTTTGTTTGTTTTTTGTTTTGTTTTGTTTTTGATACGGAGTCTTGCTCTGTCGTCCAGGCTGGAGTGCAGTGGCACGATCTCGGCTCACTGTGAGCTCCGCCTCCCAAGTTCACGCCATTCTCCTGCCTCAGCCTCCCGAGTAGCTGGGACTACAGGCGCCTGCCACCACGCCAGGCTAATTTTTTGTATTTTTAGTAGAGATGGGGTTTCACCGTGTTAGCCAGGATGGTCTCGATCTCCTGACCTTGTGATCCCCTGCCTCGGCCTCCCAAAGTGCTGGGATTACAGGCGTGAGCCACCGCACCCGGCTTTTTGTTTTTTTCTTGAGATGGAGTCTCGCTCTGTGGCCCAGGCTGGAATGCAGTGGTGCGATCTTGGCTCACTGCAACCTCCACCTCCCGTGTTCAAGCGATTCTCCTTCCTCAGCCTCTAGAGTAGCTGGGACTACAGGCGTGCGCCACCACGCTCGGCTAATTTTTGTATTTTTAGTAGAGGTGGGTTTTCACCATGTTGGCCAGGCTGTTCTCGGAACTCCTGTCTTAAGGCGATCCACTCACCTTAGCCTCCAAAAGTGCTAGGATTACAGGCATGAGCCACCGCGCCCGGCACTAACCTCATTCTTGATTGTTAGATTAGCTGGGGGTAGAATTCTAAGTTGGAAAACATTTTCCCTCAGAAGTTCAAGGTCACTGATTCAGCTATCCCAGTTTCTAGCGCTGCTATTGAGAAATCCAAGTCAAAACAGATTCCCGATCCTGTGTATGAATACTAATCTTTATCACTCATTCTAAATTTTCAGTTCTTAGAAAGTTTCTTGGCCAGGCGCAGTGGCTCACGCCTGTAATGGCAGCACTTTGGGAGGCCAAGGCAGGTGGGTCACCTGAGGTCAGGAGTTCAAGACCAGCCTGGCCAATATGGCAAAACCTCATCTCTACTGAAAATACAAAAATTAGCCAGGTGTGATGGCAGGCGCCTGTAGTCCCAACTACTTGGGAGGCTAAAGCAGGAGAATTGCTTGAACGCAGGAGGCAGAGGTTGCAGTGAGCTGAGATCATGCCACTGCACTCCCGCCTGGGCAACAGAGCAAGACTCCTTATTAAGAAAAGAAAGAGAGAGAGAGAGAGAGGAGAGAGAGAGAGAGAAAGGGAGGGAGGGAGGAGGGAGGAAGGGAGGAAAAGAAAGGAGGAAATGGAGGAAGAAAGCGTTTTGTATTATTTCTTGGATAATTTCCTCCCGTCTCCTCTCTTTTATAGTTGAATGTTCAGTCTCCTGGGCTGATTCTCTAATTTTTCTATTTTTCTCCTTTGTTCCCCAACTCTTTGTCTAATTATTCTGCTTTCTCAGAGATTTCCTCAGACTTGCCATTCCTTTGGTTAATTGTTTTTACTTACCTATATTTAATTTCCGAGTAGTTTAGTTTTTTCGAGACAGGGTCTCACTCTGTGGCCCAGGCTGGAGTGCAGTGGCACAATCTTGGTTCACTGCAACCTCCACCTCCCAGGCTCAAGTTAATTCTCCTCCCTCAGCTTCCTGAGCGGCTGGGATTACAGGCGTGCGCCACCATGCCCAGCTAATTTTTGTATTTTTAGTAGAGAAGGCAGTACACTATGTTGGCCAGGCTGGTCTTGATCTCCAGGCCTCAAGTAATCCACCCATCTCTGCCTCCCAAAGTGCTGGGATTACAGGCATGAGCCACTGAGCCTGGCCTTATTTTATTTTTTAATATAACCTGGTTCTCATTTTATGAATAATCTCTTACCTCTCTAAAAATACTAATTGCCATTTTAAAGGTTTTCTTCTACTCCCTGAATGATTCCTAGTTCCCTTTGATTTCTTTTTCTCTGTGCTTTGGTCTGTTTTTCCCCTTGGTGGCTCTCCATTCACATTTCTGCATGAAGCAGGACAGAGTGCTGTTGGGTGACTGTGTACACCTGGGTTTCGAAGGCACACTCTTCGGAATGTAAGCTCCTCAAGGTGAGGATCTACAGCAGTTTTGTTTACAGATAGAGTCCCAGCACCTAGAATGTTTTCTAGCGCATAGCAGGTGTTCAATAGTAGGTGCAGAAGGGAGTAAGTGTGGAAGGCAAGAATAAAAGGACATCTAGTGGCTTCTCATTTGTTCTAAATGTAGATCTTTGGCCTGGGACCATTCTCTGGAAGTTTTCCAGAAGAGTCCTCTAATCTTATTCCTGGAAGTGTAAACCTGGCTCTCAGGAAACAGTTAGGGGGAAGGGAGCAGCATACAGGCTGCCATTTTTATGTATCTGCTCCTCAAAGCCACTCTGTTTGGTGTTCCTGAGAATCAGCAATGCCCTTCCTGTTTTTTAAGATCCTACTTTGTGCTCAGAACCTTTTTCTGGATATGTTCTCTACAGTATGGAACAAAGTCCCTGCCTTATGAAGCTTATAGTCAGCTGGGGAGAAACAAAATAGAAAAGATTAGATAGATAGATAGATGATAGATAGATAGATAGATAGATAGATAGATAGATAGATAGATAGATAGGATAGGGCCGGGCATGGCGGCTCACACCTGTAATCCCAGCATTTTGGGAGACCAAGGCAGGTGGATCACTTGAGGTCAGGAGTTCAAGACCAGCCTGGTGAATATGGTGAAACCCCCGTCTCTACTAAAAATGCAAACATTAGCCGGGCTTGGTGGCACATGCCTGTAGTCCCAGCTACTCAGGAGGCTGAGGCAGGAGAATCGCTTGAATCTGGGAGGCAGAGGTTGCAGTGAGCCAAGAAAAAAAAAGAGGATAGAGTAAGAGGCGTGTATGTCTGTTTGTCTGCGTGTGTGTGTGTGAGCGCGCTCCATTGTGCATGCTGTAGCCATCAGGAAAGACTCTCACTGGAGGGAACATTTGATTGAGCCAAATTATACATTGGAGGAGAGTTTTGCTTCCTCTGTTTCAAAGTACAAATTCCCTGAGGCTGGAGCATGGCCAGGGAGGTCGAGGAGCATGAAGAAGCCCAGTGTGGCTGGAGAATGGTGTGTAAGGAGGGAAATGGATTGAGAAATGGTGGAGGCGGGCGCCAGGGGATTGGGAGAACACAGTGTGCATCTGAATTTCACTGTAAACATGACTGGGAGCCACTGGAGGGTTTGGCCAGGGGAGCACAGATAAGAGTCACACTTTAAAGGATCTCTTGAGGCCAGGTGTGATGGCTCAACACTTTGTAATTCTGCTAGGAGGACTGCTTGAGGCCAGGAGTTTGAGACCAGTCTGGTAACATAGTGAGAGCTTTTCTCTACAAAAAAAAAAAAAAATTAGCCTGGTGTGGTGGTACGTACCTGTAGTCCTAGCTTCTAGGGAGGCTGAGGTGGGAGCATCACTGGAGCCCAAGAGTTCCAGGTTACAGTGAGCTGTGATTATGCCACTGCACTGTAGCATCAACACAGCAAGACCCTGTCTCTTTAAATTAAATTAAATTAAAGGATCTCTCAACTGTGTGTGAAGAATAGGACTAGGCCAGGCATGCCTGTAATCCCAGCACTTTGGGAGGCCAAGGCAGGGGGATCACTTGAGGTCAGGAGTTTGTGACCAGCCTGGCCAATGTGGTGAAACCCCGTCTCTACTAAAAATACAAAAATTAGGCCGGGTGTGGTGGCTCACACCTGTAATCCCAGCACTTTGGGAGGCCAAGGCGGGTGGATCACCTGAGGTCAGGAGTTCAAGACCACCCTGGCCAACATGGTGAAACCCTGTATCTACTAAAAATACAAAAAAATTAGCTGGGCGTGGTGGTGTGCACCTGTAATTCCAGCTACTTGGGAGGCTGAGGAAGGAGAATTGTATGAACCTGGAAAGCAGAGGTTGCAGTGAGCTGAGATTGTGCCATTGCACTCCAGCCTGGGCAACAAGAGTGAAACTTTGTGTCAAAAAGCAAAACAAAACAAAACAAAACAAAAATTAGGCGGGCATGGTGGCATGCGCCTGTAATCCTAGCTACTCGGGAGGGTGAAGAAGGAGAATTGCTTGAACCTGGGAGGCGGAGGTTGCAGTGAGCCGAGATCACGCCATTGCACTCCAGCCTGGGCAACAGAATGAGACCTTGCCTCTAAAAACAATTTTTTAAAGTAAAAATAAAAAGAAATTAGAATGGGAATAAAAAGAGACAAAAGAAGGCTGAGAGGAAGAGACAGCCAGCCTAACGGGGAGGAAGGCCACGCCCACCCCAGGTGCATCACTAGCTGCACCCAGGCCTGCTTGTCACAGCCACTTCTTTCTCTCCCGGGAACTGAATGGGCTTGACCATCCTGCATTTGTCTAACTTTGAAGCCAAGCAAGGAAGTAACATTAATATGACAAGTGAGGTCTGAACAACAGAAGGAGCTGCATTTCCATTCGGTGGCCATAAACCTATCCTGCCCCCAACCCCAGGAGTGGGGGATCTTCATGCCCAGGTCCTCTGTGTCCAGGTGAAGCACATCCACGGGGATCAGGTATCAGAAAGGGCTGCTTAATTACGCTGAACATCCCCTCCAAAGAGGACTACAGCTGCACGCAGCTGATTCCCAAACTTGAACCAAAAAATCTTACAGGAATATGGATGTCTTCAGTCCCAACCAGCCCCTGCCCTGTGTCAAACATCACGTGCATGCCACATCACACATCACACCATGTCACAAGCCATATCAAGGAGAACTTTGCTCAGGGGCTGGTGTCACAATACTTCAGGCAGCAATGCTGGAGTTATCCACACACAAAAGCAAACAGTGAGCCCTCTAGAAATTTCTGGAAGTTTAGAAACATTCCTATTCTTGTCTGAAAACCCATGTATTTGCCATAATGCGGTTTAGGACAGATCACAATCCCGAGATTCCCCAAATCAATTCTGATGCTGGTGTTGCTGCTTTGGAACATCACTCTCTACAGCCATAAACCCAAGCAGATGCCACTGTGTGCCAGGCACTGGCAGAGGCCTTTGGGTGAGTCTCACTCACTGCCCATCAGGAGCTGCAGTGTGGGTTTTGGAGTCCAGTCCTGAAGGCTTGAGCCTGAAGCGCAATGCCACTGTGTGCCAGCTGGGCGGCACTGACCCTCCAGTGCTCCCAAGGTGATGCTCCTTCCAGCCTTGGAGGGTTAATGTGACAGGTTGTATAAAGCTCCCACGTGTCTGGTATATTGTAGATGCTGGACAAGTAGTCGTAGTTGTTATTACTAATAAGTAAAAATGTGTTGCTTCCTGGGTGTCAGCAAAGTGTCAAAGTCACGAAAGGCTACAGGAGTTCAGAGGGTGGAGCCATCACCAAGCTGTCCTTCCTGGAGGACGTGGAACTTAGCATAGTGTTGCCAGATAAACTACAGAACTCCCAGTTGAATTTGAATTTCAGGTAAACAATGAATTTTTTCTTAGCACATCTCCCAAATATTGTATTGGACATACTTAATACTAAAAAACTATTCGTTGTTTATCGGCAATTCAAATTTAACTGGGTATCCCATATTTTCATTTGCGAAGCCAGCCTAAATCTAAAGAAAGGGTGGCGTAGATGGGCTGCGGGGAGAGGTTGGAGGGGAGTCTGCCAGGCTGAGTGGGAGAGCTAACATGCCTGTGCACTTACATCTGCCAGGTGCTGTACCGGGCAGTTTACAAGTGTCACAAATCCCTGTGAGGTATTTATTATTCTTTTCACTTTACAGACGAGGGAACTGAGACTCAAGACCATTGCTGGTTACTATTTAAACCCTAGGTCTGCCTGGTCCCTAAGCACCTGTTTCTTCCCATGTACCACATCCTGGGGGCAACAGGGAAGCAAAGCAAAAGGGCATGAATGCCCACCTTCATGTTAGAGCTCAGCAGGCACCTGCCTCAGTGTTGTTCCAATACAGGCTCACTATTTAACACTAAGGTTCTACAAGGTCTCTTTCTTTCTCTCCCCTTCCTTCCTTCTTGCCTTCCTTCCTCCCTCCCTCCCTCCCTCCCTTCCTTCCTCCCTCCCTCCCTTCCTTCCTCCCTCCCTCCCTTCCTCCCTTCTCTCTTTCTTCTTTTTTTCTGATGGAGTCTTGCTCTGTCACCCAGGCTGGAATGCAATGGTGCAACCTTGGCTCACTGCAACCTCTACCTCCCAGGTTCAAGCAATTCTCTTGACTCAGCCTCCCAAGTAGCTGGGATTACAGGCACCTACAACCACACCCAACTAATTTTGTATTTTTAGTAGAGACAGGGTTTCACCATGTTGGTCAGGCTGGTCTCGAACTCCTGACCTTAGGTGATCAACCTGCCTCGGCCTCCCAAAGTGCTGGGATTACAGGCATGAGCCACCGCACCCGGCCTCTCTCTTTTCTTTTCTTTTTTTCTTCTTTCTTTCTCATTTTCAAAAGCTGAACACAACAGCTAAACTTACAGATTGCCACCCCCTTTAACATTCCCACTTAACGAAGCAGCATTTTGGGTGCCTTTGAATTATTCATACGAATCGTGTTCCTTCCATGCTCAGTCTTGTGTTCCATGATACCCAGCCCAGAAGCCACTGCAGAGAATAATGCCCAGTGGCTGGAGTGGCACCATCCTCATCAATCAAGTGCCAGCAAATTTCATAGTAAAGACAAATTTGCCACAGGTTTTCTTACCCCTTATAAATGCTATCGCCAAACAAAAGATTTTCTTGCAAGATAGACATTATGTATCATAACAACAAAATAAACCCATATTTTCTTCAAATTATATTTTGAATTCCATCAGTTCTAAATTCAACACAATTAATTCTGTACTCTATTTTGGTGATTGTTTGTTTGTCTGTCTGTTTTTAGACAGGGTCTCGCTCTGTAACTGAGGCTGGAGTGCCGTGGCATGACCTTGGCTCACTGCAGCCTCAACCTCCAGGGCTCAAGTGATCCCCCTACCTCAGCCTCCCAAGCAGCTGGGACTACAGGCCCGCACCACCACACCCGGCTATTTTTTAAATTTTCTGTAGAGATGGTGGTATCACTATGTTGCCCAGGCTGGTTTTAAACCTCTGGGTTCAAAAGATTCTCTCAAAGTGCTGAGATTACAGGCTGGAGCCACTGCACCAGCCTACATCTATACTCCAAATGATGCAAAGTTCAGAGCATGAAATATTTTAAAATATTTAAGTGTAGGCCAGGCACGGTGGCTCACGCCTGTAATCACAGCACTTTGGGAGGCCGAGGCGGGTGGATCACCTGAGGTCAGTAGTTCGAGACCAGCCTGGCCAACATTGTGAAACCCCATCTCTACTAAAAATAAAAAATTAGCCAGGTGTGGTGGTGCGCACCTGTTGTCCCAGCTACTCAGGAGGCTGAGGCAGGAGAATTGCTTGAACGCAGGAGGCAGAGATTGCAGTGAGCCGAGATCGTGCCACTGCACTCCAGCCTGGGTGACAGAGCAAGACTCTGTCTCAAAAAAAAAAAACCTTAAGTGTAATGGCTTTTACCAAGTTGGGTCCATGTCAATATGGGTTTTTAAATTTTCTGCAAAGTAATTCCCTTAAAAAAAGAAGAAGAAGTTTAATTCAATAAACATTAACCAAGATCCCACACTGGGCACAGAACTGCAGGGAAGACAACAGCCAAGACACAGTTCTGGTCCTCAAAGGACTTGTGATGGGGAAGGGACACATATTCGGCTAAATTTCAGAAGAGAAAGAACAAAGTAAACATTGTAAAAGACAAAATGTCACAGGGGCCCAGAAGAGAGAGTGATTAATTCGCTCTGTGGGGAGATGGTACGGAGCCAGGCTGGGAAGGATGAGTAGGATTTGACAGCTGGTAAAGGCGTCCCAGGCAGAGGGAAAAGCTTAGGCAAAGGTAGAGGCCACGATGTGCGGGGGTCTAATCGTCACCATCTAATTTACCAAACTGCATGTCGCTCTATTCTAATTATGATGTGTTGTCAAATATTATCACACCTGCTTGCTTCAGAAGTAAAAACCACATACCTGTATTATTAGCCCTGAAGGCCTTTAACTAATGATTTATAATAGAGTAGCTTTAAAAAAGATGCTAATTTCCCAGACTAAACCACCCTCACAGGACCAGAGGCCCCTTACACACATTCCAACACGGGGAACACACACCATGACAACAACAGACCCCTTTTCTCGCTCCTGGTTCTTGCAGGCTCTTCTGCATCTCTGCCTCTAAACCTGGTCGTTAACACGTCCTCCAGGCCACACATGCACATGTATTACCAACGCGCCATCCACCGTGCCAGACAGGAAACACATTTGGAGGATTTTAAACAATTTTAAAATGTGCCCTCAAATTTTACAACTTGCTTGACTTGCCTGAGGGAGGAACCAAGCCCCTTATATAAATGTCACCGCAAACTGGCTTACTCCACATCCCACCCAGCTTGGGAACCTGGGGTTTCTGGGGGGTTGTTTATTTTTATTTTATTTTTCTTATTTTTTTATTTTTTAATATTTCGTCTGTGTCTTCTGTGGGCACTGGCTTTTTAAATCATGTTTATTTTATATGCTCTCCCAGTAGCCAGTGGAGAGGAGACACTTTCCTCATTCCACAGACCACCAGCCACACAGCCAGCCTAGGGCAAAAGCATTTAGCAGGCTCTGGGATGACCTATGAAGAAACATCTCAAGGAGAGGGTTTCCTGGCGGTGAATCAGACAGTTCCTAGACCCAGGTGCTGTGGGGCAGAGGAAAGGCCCCTCTTCTGGCAGCAGGGGTAGGATGGACCCCTCTAGACCTGGGAGGAGTGAAACCTCAGGGCCCCAGCCCCTGGCCTGGTGCCTTATCCACAGGATGCCCTCAGGATACCACACCAGCCTCCTCATCCATTGTCCCTTTCACTGGTTCACAAACGGGGGTCTCCAGTTAACTTCCGCTGTTGATGTTTGTTTGTTGTATTTTTCTCTTCTTTTTTTTTTTTCCTCTCTGTCACCCAGGCTGGAGTGCAGTGGTGCAATCACAGCTCACTGCAACCTCTGCCTCTGGGGTTCGAGCAATTCTTGTGCCTCAGCTTCCCAGTAACTGGGATTACAGGCGCCCGCCACCACACCCAGCTAATTTTCTGTATTTTTAGTAGAGACGGGGTTTCACCATTTTGGCCAGGCTAGTCTCAAACTCCTGAGTTCAGGTGACCCGCCCACCTCAGCCTCCCAAAGTGCTGGGATTACAGGCATGAGCCACCGCGCCTGGCCTTTTTTTTTCTTTTCTTTTTTTAAAGGTTTGTCAGGAGAAAAATGGTGATGAGGCAGAGGGAAGGAAGATCTTGGGTGTGTTCTTGACCTGTGGAAGGGTGTGGGGAGGAGCCAGATGAATGGATTTGATGAGGGCCGTGGGGCCTGGGGGGCCTGGCTCTGCACATTTAGTGACTAAGTACAGCCCAGAGTTGGAGACAGGACTCGCCCCTAACCTGTGCAAGGGGCCCAGCCCCACCTAGTGTGGTAAATTGACGGCTGTGTCCTCAGCTCCCGCCCCCTTATCCTTGACTGCCCTCACCCTAGGCAGGTGGTCCTTTGCTTGGCCCAAGCTTTCTGCAGAAGGACTCGCCTGGGCTGCTGTCCCAGGAGGGGCCATGGCAGGCCATCTATGGGGAGTGTGATGGCTGTGTGCACACTGGAGTCGGAAATTGCCACAGCCAGGAGGAACACCTCACAGGAGCGTGGCTGCCTGCGGGAGGGGCTGAGGAAGCTCCCAAATGGCTCTGTGGCAAAGCCCTCATCCTCAGAGGACTAGAAATCCCGCTGCAGGCCGGGCGGGGTGGCTCATGCCTGTAATCCCAGCACTTTGGGAGGCCAAGGCGGGTGGATCACGAGGTCAGGGGATCGAGACCATCCTGGCTAACATGGTGAAACCCCGTCTCTACTAAAAATACAAAAAATTAGCCGGGCGTGGTGGGGGGCGCCTGTAATCCCAGCTACTCGGGCGGCTGAGGCAGGAGAATGGCCTGAATCTTGGAGGCGGAGCTTGCAGTGAGCTGAGATGGCACCACTGCACTCAAGCCTGGGCAACAGAGGGAGACTCTGTCTCAAAAAAAAAAGAAAAAAGAAAAAAAAAAGAAATCCCGCTGCAGCATAGCATGGCAGCAAGTGTGCAGATCCATCCTCAGTCCAGCCCCAGGGAAGCCTGTCAGGGCCCTGTGGATAGAGGTGACTGTGAATGAAAATTAAAGATGAATCTAAAAATCAGATGATTAAAAAAAAATTGGGCCAGGTGAAGTGGCTCATGCCTGTAATTCCAGCACTTTGGGAGGCCAAGGTGGGTGGATCACTTGAGGTCAGGAGTTCGAGACCATCCTGGCCAAGATGGTGAAACCCTGGCACTACTAAAATACAAAAAATTGGCCGTGTGCAGTGGCTCACACCTGTAATCCCAACACTTTGGGAGGCTGAGGCAGGCAGATCACGAGGTCAGGAGATCAAGACCATCCTGGCTAACATGGTGAAATCCCGTCTCTACTAAAAGCACAAAAAATTTGCTGGGTGTGGTGGTGTGCGCCTGTCGTCCTAGCTACTCAGGAGGCTGAGGCAGGAGAATTGCTTGAACCCAGGAGGCGGAGGTTGCAGTGAGCCGAGATCACGCCACTGCACTCCATCCTGGCAACAGAGCAAGATTCCATCACAAAAAACAAACAACAACAACAAAAAACAAGCAAACAAACAAAAACAACAACAAAAAAAACACAAAAATTAGCCAGGCATGGTAGCATGCGCCTGTAATCCCATATACTCAGGAGGCTGAGGCAAGAGAATCACTTGAACCCGGGAGGCAGACTATGCAGCAAGCCAAGATTTCACCACTGCACTCCAGCCTGGGTGACAGTGAGAGTCCGTCTTAAAAAGAAAAAAAAAATCGAAGAACAGACATGCCAATCTGTAACACATGAAAGCACAAGCCGCCTTTCTTGGGAACCCCCAACAGAGGTGACAAGGGAGAGGAGAGATTTCCAGTGCCCCAACCCCCACCAGCAGGAAAACACTGAGCCCTCCAGAACAGCTGCAGCACTCAGCCAGCCCAAACATGTTTCTGAGCCCATGTGAAATGCCCTAGGGGGACCATCAGTGATATTTCAGAGGGACTTTGCAAGGGGCTGGAGGTCCTATGTCAGCAAGCAGAAGCAGGAGCCAGTTGGCTTAAAACTTGTTACTGTCACTGTGAGCCTTCTACAATAAAAATCCTAATAATTGCTGTCATAATACTAATCCTGGCTGGGCATGGTGGCTCACACCTGTAATTTCAGCACTTTGGGAGGCCGAGATGGGTGGATCACAAGGTCAGGAATTCAAGACCAACCTGACCAACATGGTGAAACCCCGTCTCTACTAAAAATACAAAAATTAGCCAGGCGTGGTGGTGCATGCCTGTAATCCCAGCTACTCAGGAGACTGAGGCAGGAGAAACACTTGAACCCAGGAGGTGGAGGTTGCAGTGAGCCAAGATTGCAGTATTGCACTCCAGCCTGGGTGACAGAGCAAGACTCCATTTCAAAAAAGAAAAAAATAATAACAATATTAATATTAATCCTGAGGTTTTTCTATATGCCAAACAGGCCAGCCGTTCTAAGTACTTTACATACATTATCTCATTTCATCCTCATCATGATCCAAAGGGTGGGCACTATTATTATCATCCTTATTTCATAAATTAGGAAACAGGCACAGATGTGATTGGCCCAGGGTCATATCCAAATAAGTGATGGAGCTGGGATTCAAATCTTTGCAATCTCTCTCCAAAGCCCAAACTTTTTTTTTTTTTCTTTTTAAAGACAGGCTCTTGAGGCCAGGTGCAGTGGCTCACATCTGTAATCCCAGCATTTTGGGAGGCTGAGGCGGGTGGATCACTTGAAATCAGGTGTTCGAGACCAGCATGGCCAGCAAGGTGAAACCCCATCTCTACTAAGAATACAAAAATTATATGGGCGTGGTGGCAGACGCCTGTAAACCCACCTACTTGGGAGGCTGAGGTAGGAGAATCACTTGAACCCGGGAAGTAGAGGTTGCAGTGAGCCGAGATCCCGCCACGGCACTCCAGCCTGAGCAACAAGAGCAAGACTCTGTCTCAAAAAAAAAAATAAATAAATAAAGACAGGGCCCTCACTCTGTTGCCCAGGCTGGAGTGCACTCAGACCCCTGGTCTCTAGTGGACCCTCCCGCCTCAGCCTCCTGAGTACTAAGCTTTTCACCTAGGTGAGGCCTGGGGAAGTGGCAGTTAATCTGGGCATAGACTCTCATGAATTCTTTCCTCTTTATCAACAACTGGGCCTGGGTTTCCCCATCCCTTAAAAACATCCTTCCCTCCTTTCTGCAACCTCAAGCTACCAGGCTCTTCTAGTTAAATCTGCCTGTTTGCTTGCCCAGCTTCCATTCCCCTCAATTTTTTTGGAGATTCCCGTTTATCCTGTCTTAGACTACATTCCCTTTCCCAAACCAATCCCTGTGGCCTGGGGCTGCTGTGCTGGGACTGGCCAGTCTCAGGATATTGCCCGCTACGGCACCTGGGAGATGGGGTGATCCCACTCAAACCATAAACAAGCCAAGGAAATCAGGAGCAGACCTGTGTTTTGAAGAAATGACAAGGAGCTCTATTTCAGCAAGTTAAATTTAAAGTGCTCACACCTGTAATCCCAGCACTTTGGGAGGCCGAGGTGGGCAGATCACTTAAGGTCAGGGGTTCGAGACCACCCTGGCCAACATGGTGAAAAATGGATTGAGAAGTTGTAAATTAGAGCCTGGGAATAGTGCTTTGAGATAGAGAAGTGGAGAGAGAACATGGGATTGGGATTTAAGGCCCTGGAATTGTCATGTGTGAGGATGAAGAACTGGCTTGCAAATGCAATGCCTGCAGGGAGGCCAAGTGTATTTGTCAGGGAGGCAAAATATAGTCTTCGACTGCCATCTCATCACCTCAGTCATCCCAGAAGAAAGAGAACAGCTCTATAGGCCGGGTATGGTGGCTCACACCTGTAATCCCAGTACACTGGGAGGCTGAGACAGGTGGATCACTTAAGGTCAGGAGTTCGAGACCAGCCTGGCCAACATGAGGAAAACCCGTCTCTACTAAAAATACGAAAATTAGGTGGGTGGTGGTGGCGTGCACCTGCAGTCAAAGCTACTCAAGAGGCTGAGGGAAAGGCTCACTTGAACCAGGAGGTCGAGGCTGTAGTGAGCTATGATGGTGCCACTGCACTCCAGCCTGGGCGACAAAGTGAGATCCTATCTCAAAAAAATAAAATAAAATAAAATAAAATAAAGATAATAATTCTACCTACCTCTTATGGTGACTGTGAAGATTAAGTGCATTAATGTACACAAAGTGCTTCAAATGAGCCTGGAATAAGGAACATGTTCTATAAACATGAGCTGATGCTGTGACTATTCCCAGGGCAACTTCCCAATTAAATACAACCCCCTCAGCTTGCTTCTGAAGCCAACCTGGGTTTGCCCAAGAGCCCTTCTCCAGCCCAATCTGGTATGCCCTCAGCCCATTTAAAACCAATTTCCTGATAAGCCCAGTCTCCAAAGGACCTCCCCTAGGACGCCCAACACCTCCCCAGACATGGGGATTTGTGCCAGGAGAGGAGCTCTTTTTTGAGTGCCACAGTGCGGTGTGCCACCCCCAAGGAATTTACTGCTTTCCACCTGGCATTCCAGCTATCTGTTTTCTCCTGCCCTACCTCTCTGGGTGGTTCCTGGCCTCCTCCCTATTCCCCCTGCCCAAACTCTGTCTCTTCAGTGCTTTTTGTACCCTCCCCCCACCATTACTTAATCAAGTCCTACTCCTGTTTAAGACGAAACTCAGACCAAACAGTGCCCGGCCAAGGTTGGAGGACTTGATGATGCCAGAGCCAAGAGGAAGAAGGAGAGCAGGGGAGGGTGGGGGAGACTACAGTGGAGCCAGGGGAGGAAAAAGGACCAGGAAGGAGGGAAGAAGGAGCTCTGGGGGACAGATCTTCCCTGTCACCTTCCCCTCGCCCATGCAGGGGCAGGGCAGTGTGGCCCATAGGATTCCTTTGGGCATGGAATGCCCTTGCCCACCAACCTCACCCGAGAACCCTCAAAAGTCACTTCCCCCACTCATCACTCTGCCCTCACAGAACCTCAGCACTCTTGGCCACCTCATCCTAGGGCATTTACCACATACCCATCCCATTCGTGATCCTGGGACTCCTCCCCACTTCCCTGTATCCTTACCCTCACTATCAGCACGTTTGCCCCCTTCTGCCTGTGCGGGAACCATGCGAGGGGAAATTCACCCCGTGCTTATGCACAACCCACTCCCCAGGCTAAGTGCCAGGCCCGCACATCTATTATTTCATTCGATCCCTGCAATAATTGCATGGAGGCCAGGCGCAATGGCTCACGCCTGTAATCCCAGCACTTTGGGAGGCTGAGTCGGGCGGGTCACGAGGTCAGGAGATCGAGACCATCCTGGCTAACACAGTGAAACCCCATCTCTACTAAAAATACAAAAAAAAAAAAAAAATTAGCTGGGCATTGTGGCGGGCACCTGTAGTCCCAGCTGCTTGGGAGGCAGAGGCAAGAGAATGGCATGAACCCTGGAGGCAGAGCTTACAGTGAGCCGAGATCACACCACTGCACTCCAGCCTGGGTGACAGTCAGACTCTGTCTCAAAAAAAAAAAAAAAAAAAATTAATGGGGCGTGGTGGCAGGCATCTGTAATCCCAGCTACTCCGGAGGCTGAGGCAGGAGAATCACTTGAACCCGGGAGGCGGAGGTTGCGGTGAGCTGAGATCGCGCCATTGCACTCCAGCCTGGGCAATAAGAGTAAAACTCCATCTCAAAGTAAATAAATTAATAATAATAATAATAATAATAATAATAATAATAATAATAATTGCATAGAGAAAGTAGTCTTGACCCCATTTTATGATGAAGAAAAGGTGAGGCTCAGAGAGGTTAGGTAACTTTCCCAAGTTTCCACAGCTGGGCCCCCGACCCCACCCCTCTCTGCACTGTCTCCCTGTTCACCAGCTGCCTTTATTGGATGTGGCTTGCGGCACTTAGGCAGAGCACCTGTTATACAAACAAATGAGCTGTCCATTATCTGGCCATCTCCCACCTGCCTGCAGGGACGGGCCAGGGTGAGCTTAAGCCCTGGGGGACTGCATCTCAGAGCCTGTCCCACAAACCGCCTCAGGTTCCCTCTGAGACTGTCCCACACCCAGCCCCCTCTCTAGCTCTTTCCTTTACCTTCTCTACTGACTCCCCCCATTTGCTCCCAGCAGATACAGATATAGCACTTGGTGCCATATCTCCTTTATCCCCAGGAGAGCCAGGCAAGTGGGGCGTAGAAGGAATAGCATGGTGTAGATCCAAGCCCCATCAAATGTACCCCACCTGAGTTCTTTTTTTTTTTTGAGACTGAGTCTTGCTCTGTCGCCCAGGTTGGAGTGCAGTGGTGCAATCTTGGCTCACTGCAACCTCCACCTCCCGGGTTCAAGCCATATTCTCCTGACTCAGCCTCCTGAGTAGTAGCTGGGACCACAGACACGCGCCACCACGCCCAACTAATTTTTGTATTTTTAGTAGAGCTGGGGTTTCACTATGTTGGCCAGGTTGGTCTGAAACTCCTGACCTCAGGTGATCTGCCCACCCGGCCTCCTAAAGTGCTAGGATTACAGGAGTGAACCACCTCACCTGGCCTTTTTTTTTTTTTTTTTTTTTTTGAGTTTTGAGAGAGGGTCTCGCTCTGTTGCCCAGGCTGGAGCACAGTGATGCCATCTCGGTTCACTGTAGCCTCTACTTCCTGGGCTTGCCCCTGTTGGCCTGTGCGGGAACCATGCGAGGGGAAATGCACACTGAGAGTGAGAGTGAGACTCAGTCTCCAAGAAAAAAAAAAAAAAGAGAGAGAGAGAGAGAGATGGGGTTTCACCACATTACCCAGGCTGGTCTCGAATTCCTGAACTCAAGTTTGCCCACGTCAGCCTCCCAACGTGCCGGGATTGCAGGCATGAGCCACTGCGCCTGGCTCCCCATCTGAGTTCTGAATACCATCACCTTTCGGAGCCTTAGTTTTTTCACCTGGTCAGTGGGGACATAATTCCTGCCTTTGCCCACCTCGCAATGTGTAGGAGTCTATAAAAAGGAAATAGTATGTGATAAAATGTACAACTGAAAACACTGGACTGTAATAAAATGTTACACAAATGTAAGGGATTCCAAGTTGGTTGTAACATAGGCATTAAACTATAACTTCTCAAAGATATTGACCATAAAACTTACAGAGCCATGGGAAAAGAATAAAGAAATGTGCATGTTCCTGAGCCTTAACTTCTATGGGTGATTTTTTTCTCTCTGCATTTGTGTTTCTCTACGTTTTCTGCACTAATCATGTATTCCTTCTGGAATTAGAAAAAAAAAGGCAGAGCACAGTGGTTCATGCCTGTAATCCCAGCACTTTAGGAGGCCAAGGTGGGCAGATCACTTAAGACAGCAGTTTGAGACCAGCCTGGCCAACATGGTAAGACCACATCTCTACTAAAAATCCAAAAATTAGCAGGGTGTGGTGGTGCACGCCTGTAATCCCTGCTATTCTGGAGGCTGAGATGGGAGGATTGCTTGAGCCCAGGAGGTTGAGGCTGCAATGAGCCAAGATCTGGCTACTGCACTCCAGCCTGAGTGACAGAGAAAGACCTTGTCTCAGAAAAAAAAAAAAAAAGAAAGAAAAAGAGAGGCCGGGAGTGGTGGCTCACACCTGTAATATCAGCACTTTGGGTGGCCGAGGGGGGGTGGATCACAAGGTCAGGAGATCGAGACCATCCTGGCTAACATGGTGAAACCCCAACTCTACTAAAAATACAAAAAAAAATTAACTGGGCATGGTGGTGGGCACCTGTAGTCCCAGCTACTCAGGAGGCTGAGGCAGGAGAATGGTGTGTACATGGGAGGCAGAGCTTGCAGTGAGCCGAGATCACGCCACTGCACTCAAGCCTGGGCGACAGAGTGAGACTCTGTCTCAAAAAAAAGAAAAAGAGAAAAAAATTATATAAAAGTAATGCTTCTGAAATAAAAGTATCTAACTCCTGGTCTTATATACTGTGTTATAGTGAAAAATTTTAGCCAGGGGTGGAAAAGAGGTTTATCGGCTGTACCAAGAGTGAATGTCCTCCTGCCAGTCCCTCACCCAGCTTTCCCACCCTGGATGCCAAAGTTGAGGAGCTGGAAAGGACAGATTTCTCCCCAGCCAAAATCACAAGGAAGGGATTCCTGGCCCTATGTCTCTTTGCTCTTCTCCCCTGCCTGAAGCATTGCAGTCTAGGAGAAACCCTTCCCATGAGCCTCAGAGTTCACAAGCAACAATTGTTCTGAGCTTCTCACCTTCCTGAGCTCCAGACCCTCACCTCCAACCGCCCCTGGGACTCCTCATTCTAGAAGTTCCACTGGTTTCTCAAATGCAACATGTCTGCAGCAGATACTATTCACTGCTTACCCAAAAGCCATGTAATCCCTGCTTCTAGGCTGATAGAACTCCAGTGTCTTTGGGAAGCAGAACAGATTCAGGGGTGGATAGGTCCCTGCCCCAGCCCCAGTCAGAGCACTCCCTTCTCCTTTGTAGATATGGGTGTAGCAACGGACATGTGGACACACGAACTGGTTCTGTTCCTTGTCTGGGAAGTTGCTAGAAAAGATTTTCTTCCCAGATAAAAAGAGAGCCTTGGGCTGGTCCCAGATAAAAAGAGAGCCTTGGGCTGGTCAGAAGGTAGTGAGTTATCTCAATTGTTCACAGTCAGTTACAGATTGAACTCCCTGCTCTACTCTTTTCTCCCTTCTCACAGCTGCATTTGACTAGGCTTTAAAAAGGGAGAGGGGTTCCGGGCGCCGTGGCTCACGCCTGTAATCCCAGTACTTTGGGAGGCCAAGGTGGGCGGATCACGAGATCAGGAGTTCGAGACCAGCCTGACCAACACAGTGAAACCCAGTCTCTATTAAAAACACAAAAAAATTACCTGGGCTTGGTAGCGTGCGCCTGTAATCCCAGCTACTCAGGAGGCTGAGGCGGGAGAATTGCTTGAACCCAGGAGTTGGAGGTTGCAGTGAGCCGAGATCACGCCACTGCACTCCAGCCTCGGCAACAGGGCAAGACTCCGACTCAAAAAAAAAAAAGAGAGAGGGAGAGCACCATGGGAGGATAGGACCGCTTTGCTCCCACTCCTTCTTCTTGGGGCTCCTGTAGCTTGAATGGAGCTCTCTGGCTGAAGCAGCCATCTTGTGACCATGGTCCTGAGGACAGCAGGGCGTGGGGAAGCACTGGAACTTCGGTGACACTGTTGAGTTCCTGTCTCACTTCCAGACTGCTTGTTATGGGGGGAAAGTAAGCCCTTTACTTAAACTTCGAGTAGCTGGTATTCTGTTATTTGCAGCCAGAAATTTATATAATGTCCCAAACTGAACTCTCCATTCGTCCTTCCTAGGCCTGTTCCTCCCGTGCGTTTCCTATCGATAAGGAGCACTCCTGCCCACCAAGCCACCCCGGACTTCTCCCAGACTCATGCTCATGGCTCAGCTCTCACCTATCTCTGTCCTCTGCTCCCCACCTCCTCTGCCACTCCTCTGCTCCCCCCATCTCCTCCAGTAGCAACAGTCAGGGGAGCAGAGGACAGAGAGCTGAGCCAGAGTATTCACTGAACAAGCTCTCACCTCTCTACCTGCGTTCTTTGTTCCCTCCTCCCTGAATGGGAATGCCTACTTATTCTCCAAAGCCCATTTCAAATAGACTCTCTTCTATGAAGCACTCCCCACCCCAGATAAACATTCCTTCCTCTGTGAGTCTACAGCTTGTTATACTACTTATACCTCTATTATACTTCTTATCATGTATTCTAATTATACATTTGCCAGAATTATACCTTCTTTTTTTTTTGTTTTTGAGATGGAGTCTCGCTCTGTCACCCAGGCTGGAGTGCAGTGGCACGATCTTGGCTCACTGCAACCTCTGCCTCCCAGGTTCAAGCAATTCTCTGCCTCAGCCTCCTGAGTAGCTGGGACAACAGGTGCGCACCGCCATGCCCGGCTAATTTTTGTATTTTTAGTAGAGATGGGGGTTTCACCATGTTGGCCAGGCTGGTCTTGAACTCCTGACCTCGTGATCCACCTCGGCCTCCCAAAGTGCTGGGATTACAGGCATGAGGCACCGCGTCCAGCCCCAGAATTATACATTCTTTAGGACAAGGATGTATTTCAGAGTCCCTAGTGCCTCCCAGTGTAGTGTTTGGCTTAAATGATTAGTAAATTTCTGGTGGAAAAGGCCCCAATATAAAGCATCTTCTGGCCGGGCACAATGGCTCATGCCTGTAATCCCAGCACTTTGGGAGGCCGAGGCGGGTTGATCACCTGAGGTTGGGAGTTCAAGACCAGCTGGCCAACATGGCAAAACCCTGTCTCTACTAAAAATACAAAAATTAGCTGGGCATGGTGGCGTGCGCCTGTAATCCCAGCTACTCAGGAGGCTGGGACAAAATAATCACTTGAACCCAGGAGGCAGAGGTTGCAGTGAGCCTAGATTGCACCACTGCACTCAGCCTGGGCGACAGAGTGAGACTCCTTCTCAAAAAAATGAATAAATAAATAAAAATAAACCACCTTCTGCTGCTTTCTGTGCAGGAACCTGAGTCCCATCCTTCTGAGCTTCTGCCTCTCTCATCTCCCTCCCACTCTCCCATCCTATCCAATTTCCTCTTCCCTGCAGTGGACTTCTGGGGAGAATTCCACCTTCCCTCACAGAGTCTGGCCCCCTTCTGAGTGGGATGTGGGGAGGAAATTTTATAGAATATGTCCAGGGGAGTGGCAGGAGATGAGACAGAGGTGGTGTGGGGGCCATGTTGCCAAAGGCCTTAAATGCCACGCTGAAGGATTTTGAAATTACTCTGTAGCCCATAGATAATTAAGTAGAAACAGATCTTTTAGTTATAGTCACCTCGATTCTCAAGAAGATAACTGGACTAGTATCAAAAGATCTGGCTTTGGTTTGGCAATATCAAAAGCTTTTTCACACATCTGTAAGCCCAAATGTAAGCCGGTCCATAGTAGGTGCTCCATAAGTGTTTGTTGTTAAGTCAATTGCAGGGTTCTTTTTTTTTTTTTTTTTCGTGAGACGGAGATTTGCTCTTGTTGCCCAGGCTGGAGTGCAATGGCACTATCTCGGCTCACCATATCCTCTGCTTCCCAGGTTCAAGCGATTCTCATGCCTCAGCCTCCTGAGTAGCTGAGATTACAAGCATGTGCCACCCTGCCCGGCTAATTTTGTATTTTTTGTAGAGACGGGGTTTCACCTTGTTGTCCAGGCTGATCTCGAACTCCTGACCTCAGGTGATCCACCCGCCTCAGCCTCCCAAAGTTCTGGGATTACAGGCGTGAGCCACTGCACCTGGCAATTGCAAGGTTATTTCTAAGTTCTTTTTTAGAGACTGTCTAGCTCTGTCACCCAGGCTGCAGTGTAGAGGCATAGTCACAGCTCACTGTAACCTCAACTCCTGGACTCAAGTGATCCTCCTGCCTCAGCCTCCAGAGTAGCATGCACTATGTACCCCAGCTAACTTATTATTATTATTATTATTATTTTGTGTACAGACGGGTTCTCAAAATGTCACCCAGGCTAATTTCTAACTCCTGGTCTTACACGATCCTCCCAGGTCAGCCTCCCAATAGTCCTAAGTTCTTTTTCTTTTTCTTTTTTTTTTTTTTTTTTTTTGAGAGTCTTGTTCTGTCGCCCAGGCTGGAGTGCAGTGCAGTGGCACGATCTCGGGTCACTGCAACCTCTGCCTCCCGGGTTCAAGTGATTCTCCTGCCTCAGCCTCCTGGGTAGCTGGGATTACAGGTGTGTGCCACCATGCCTGGATAATTTTTGTATTTTTAGTAGAGACGGAGTTTCACCATGTTGGTCAAGCTGGTCTCAAACTCCTGACCTCGTGATCTGTCCGCCTCAGCCTCCCAAAGGGCTGGGATTAGAGGTGTGAGCCACCATGCCCGGCCAATAGTCCTAAATTCTAAGAGCCAATCCACCCAACTGCTCAGCAACTGAGGGATGTCTGAATGTGCATGGATATGTTTATTTCTGTCCTGCTTTCATTGCAATGGCAAACTCTGAAATACTCACGTAATGAAGCATTACACTCCCTTTAAAACATTGTTTACAAAGGGTTTATAACATGGAAAATGTCTTCTGTTGTAAAGGGAAAAAAAGAAGCACACAATTGAAATGAGTCATGTTTATCACATTGTCTAAAAGCAAGCAAAATCTCTTCCCCAGCAAAAAGCTGGCAGGGCAGGGAGGCCAATGTTAACAGCAGCCGGTGGTCCTCCCCTCCCCTTATCCTCCTGTTCTCTATTTTCCAACTTTTTTTTTTTTTGAGATGGAGTGTCACTCTGTTACCCACGCTAGAGTACAGTGGTGCGATCTCAGCTCACTGCAACTTCCACCTCCCAGATTCAAGTGATTCTCCTGCCTCAGCCTCCCAAGTAGCTGGGATTACAGGCACCCACGACTACACCCAGCTAATTTTTGTATTTTTAGGAGAGATGGGGTTTCACCATGTTGGCCAGGCTGGTCTCAAACTCCTGACCTCAAGTGATTCACCCGCCTCAGCCTCCCAAAGTGCTGGAATTACAGGCGTGAGCCACCGTGCCCGGCCTATTTTCCAACTTCTGAAAAATGTGTGCACATTACTAATAAAGTGGGGAAGGGTATACTTTATGTTTCAAAATGACCTTGAGGGAGTACGACAGAGATTGCTCTCAGCCCAGGTTCTGCTCCTCCCCCTGCTGCCTCACCCCATTGCCCAGAGATGACCCCTGGGGCTGAGCCAGGTTTCACTTGCCCCAGGGCCCTGCAGCTCTGGCCTTCCCCTCCCCAAACTGCAGGGCACCCAGCAAAGGAGTCGCAATCCAGTACCTGCACCTGTTCCCAACTGGAAATGCTGCCTCCAGGCAGCCAGGGCCTACCCCAAGACCTCAGAGGAATTTCCTCTGAGGAAATTCCTGCCCTCCCAGGAATTTCCAGAAAGGACTCATGGAGGAATTTCCTAGACATGCAGACAGGCAGACAGACAGACACCTCAGGCAGCTCTCGTCACTAAGCGCAGATGTTTGCCTGCGGGTGACGTGCTGGGAGCCAACACAAGCACACAATTTTGCGGCGAGAGGCAGCACGAAGCAAGAATGGAGAGCAGACCCACCCGGGCAGGCTGGGGGCTGGCATGAGGAAGGGACTGGGAGGGGGCCCCAGAGTTGGTCAGCAGATCGAGTCTCCAGGAACAGAAGTCCCTACTATTATCTCTGTCTGAATGGCACAGTGCCCTGCAACTCTCCTCTCAGCACAGCAGGCATTGCAGGGGCTCCAGGAAGGGTCAGGGTAGTGTGACTGTGAGTGGTAGGGCCGCAGTCTGGGCTTGAGCACTTAGCAAGTTTGCTGTCCTGGTGGCTTGTCAATATCCCCTACCGGCCTGGGGGCTCCCCAAGGTAGTGATTTTATCTTAAACCCATCCTTACACTCTCGGTGCCCATCGCAACACCCAGCTCATCACAACACTCAGTGTCTAGGGCTGCTCCAGTAGGGTGGATGATCGACCCCCATATGGATAGGGGAGTGGATAGAGAGTGATGGGATCAATGCCCTAAGTGAGATGAGAATACTGGGGACAGCACCAAAGCAGGGAAAGAGGGCTCCGGGTCCTGTCGGTGCGCAGAATTTCCATGCACGCTTCTGCACCCAGCTTGCTCCAGACCTAGACGCAGGCAAGAGCTGACGTGGCCCCGCCAGACTGGGCCCAGCGAGCCCGAACCTGCCTGGCCCAAGCAGCTGCAGCGTGGGACTTCACACGTCCCCGCCCAGTCCCAGTGGTCAGAGAAACCAGGGAATCCGGCCCAAAGCTGTCTCCTCCAGGAGGCAACCCGGGCCACCTGCTCTAAAGAGCTACCAGCATCCCTCCCCTCTTCAACCCCCCTGCTGGCTCCTTTTCAGAACAGTTATGTCCAGCAGAAGTTAAGTTCCTTCACTGAACAGTGAGTGATTTCACTCACTCCACAGATATTTACTGACCATCTACTGTATGTGCTAGATGCTGTGCCAGGTGCTGGCAGTAAGATAATGAACAAAACAAAAACCCATGTCCTCCTGGAGCTTTGACTCTATGGAATGCCCGAACTGGGAGGCAGTACTCTCGCCGGGGCCACGTGGGAGGTCGACACCCAGGTGTCCTCCTAGGTGAGCAAAAGGCGCGTGAGGTGCCGCCCTGGGAGCAGTCGGCGGGTGGACTTCGTCCTGGGCGAGAGGAGCGGGCCGCACCTCGGACAAACGCTTGGCTGGGCACGTCGCCTGGGGCAGGTGCCCGAGGGAGAGGGGGGTGGCGCTGGCCGTGCGCAAAACCCGGCCCTGACCCGGCCACGGGGTTAGAGGCCGTTGGTACTCTATGTTTATTGTAAACGCAGCGAATACGGCCTCCAGCGGCCTCAGCGCACGTGGTGGTGCAGTGGGGAGCCGGCTGGGCCCTCCCCAGCTCCAGGCTCCTCCCCGGCGGGGTCAGCGCCAGACTTGCTGCGGCGTCCGGGCCCCGCGTAATTACAGGGGCTGTAGCCAGGCCTGGCCGTAAAATAGGAGGATGAAACGGCCTGGGAACTGGAGAAGCTGGGCCGGAGCTGGCCAGGGGCCCCGGGTCCGTGGCTTCCCGCGATGCGCAGCCGCAGGGAAGGGCCGGCTGAGGATGCGCACACACACTCACAACACCAACCTGGCGCGCACACAGCCACACAACCACACACGTAAACCACCAAACGCACGCAGACACACAGCATTCGGCTCTCCCACTCCAGGCTCACTCGTGAGCCTAATCAAACACCTGCCCGCCCTCTCCACCCCAGGAGCTGACACCCGCCCGCCAAGCCCTCTCCAGACGGCAGCAGATCCAGGCGGGGAGAAGAGCCCCGAGAGGCAAATTCCAGTGGGTTTGTTTACACAGCGCGGGGGAGGGGGCCTGAGCCGGGTACTGGGGCCCGACTGACTGGGAGCCCCAGCTCAGACTGGGCCAGCTCCAGCTGTGCAGCCTGAGGACTGCGCACAAACGCCCCTCCGTTCCACCCCACCCCCGCTGCACGCCGGTACGCGTCTCCCCTCCTCTTCACACGCTGTTCACAAACATTAGCATACGTCTGTCAAAGAGTTTCACACGCTTCCACACACGCGGCTGTGATACTACTCACAAATGCTTTCATGCTAGCGCGCCATCACACGTATTTCATGTGTGGTTACAGTTTGTCACCCTTCATGCCCAGATTCTCACAGTCCATATTCAAGAGCCTGTTCGCACGGTGTACGCGTGTGTTGTTACATATACTCAGGTTATTAGCGCTCTTTGACTTATCTAAAATAAGAACGGCCCCCTCTCGAGCCCAGGGTCCCGCGTGTCGCTCCTGCGGGCAGGCACTGATGTGATGGACAGAGGCGTCCTTAGCCCCGGCCGCACACGTTACACACTCGATCACACAAAGCGTTGCACTTTATTCCCGGCATCTAGGCGATGACACAATCTCCAGAACAAAGACAACATTGACAAACCCAACAAAAACAAACAGCCGCGTGTGTGTGGGGAGGGGCAGTCAAGCGCAGAGTCCGGGAAGGGGATGGGGGAGGAGGAGAGTGTGGGAACGCGGGCGCCCGAGCCTGGGCATGCGAGGCTCAGAAAGGTGCGGGGCATGTCAACAACCTCGCACCCTGCAAGGTCCGCGCGCGGAGCAGCAAAGCCGTGTCCCGCACCCCCGCGTTCGCAGACTCGCACTTGCGAGTTCTTCCCTTCTCCCGCACGCGACTGCGCCCAGGGACGCAAGCCCACCACCGGGACAGGCTCACAAAGCTCCACGCAGACCCACAAGTGAGCGAACACACATCTCTGAGCAGATCTGCGGGGGCAGAGGAGCGCGCTTCGCTCTTTCCTGCACCCCCAGCCTCCTCGCCTCCCCACCCCGCCCCTCCTCCACCTCCCCAGCCCCCAAGCCCCCAGGCAGCCGCGCGCCGGGCGGGGCGAGGGCGGGGCGGGGTGTCGGGCGGCGCCGGCCCAAAAGGCGGAGTCGCTAGGCGAAGGGGCCAGATCTGTGAGCCCAGCGCTGACTGCGCCGCGGAGAAAGCCAGTGGGAACCCAGACCCATAGGAGACCCGCGTCCCCGCTCGGCCTGGCCAGGCCCCGCGCTATGGAGTTCCTCTGGGCCCCTCTCTTGGGTCTGTGCTGCAGTCTGGCCGCTGCTGATCGCCACACCGTCTTCTGGAACAGTTCAAATCCCAAGTAAGCCTCGAGACTCCCGCTGGCAGCCTGGGCTCCCGGCTGGCACTACCCCACCGGGATAACTGTCCCGGCCAAACCCTGAGCTGAGCCTAGAGTAGATGACCGAGGTAGGAGGGCGGCTGTAGATTTTCCTCCCCTCACTTCTCCGTCATATCTGGGAGCACCCCACCCCGGGGCATGCTTGTGTCTACTTGCATGGGCTTATATCTGCCCTTCCCTTCCTTCTCTCTGGCACCCCTATTACTCTAAAGTGAGGGACTCATGCTGGGCAGTTCCTGCCTTCAGCATAGACTTCGCCCCTGGCAGCCAGGGCCCTTGTTCCAGGCCCCCCACCCCCCCACTGTGAAAGCCTCCACGCCTCTCCTTGTGTGTCCTTTGGGTATCTGACCACACTGACAGATACCTGGTGTGACATCAAGAGTGCACAGAATGCTCAAGGTAACCCTGGAAGGACCTCTCAGGAGAGAGCTGGGCTGTAGGCATTCATTATGCATTCACCCTGTATTTAAAGCAAACCTGGAAAGTCCCTCACTAGGGGTCTTTTGGGGTGGCATGAGTGAGGCACATGCTGTGCATGGGTAGGCTGAGGGAATCACCTGTTTATGGGGCTCTCAAGTAGTAAAAGCGAAGAGCTGGGAGAGGGAGATCATGGGAAAGCTTCAGAATGAACAGAAGAGGTTAAAGGGGTTACAGAAGGTTCTGGGCAGGAAGGAGTTAATTTCTCCTGGGCAGGTTTAGGGCTGTGAGGCAAATGGTACTGGGAGGAAGACTCTGTCGGCCCCTTTGTTCTTGCCCTTGAGTTTTCTGAAGTTATGGGAACAATATTTGAGGGAATACAGGAGAGGGTGGTAGGGAGGAGCAGGGAGAGAAGTGGGCAGCTTGGTATCACGAAAGCCATCTCACCGGCTTAGCCACTCTCGGCCCTAGCAAGCTTGCCCCCCACTCCCCTTGAGAAATATGTTGTGCCAGCTTCCTCTGACCCCGTGTCATCGTCTGGTGAGGCAGTCTGTTGTCTGTGGCTTGTTAGGGTGGGGGAGAGAACAGCCAGCTGCCAACCCCAGAGGGCAATGCCCTCCTGCCCATGGACGCTGGGGAGGCTCAGCCAGCCCTCCGCCACCCGCTCCCTGTGCTTTGCCTCCTTGACCTGATGCATCTCGCCCTAGTATGGGAGAGAGCAAAGTCCCTGTTTATGCCCATGCCAGGTGTTGACTGGAGGAGGAGGAGGGGACAGGAAGCCATGAGTAGGGAGGGGGGGACCCTGGCCTTTTCCGTTCCCAAGCTCCCAGGTTTCCTCTCTTTCAGGAAGGAGCCTCTTCCTTACCCACCTCCCCGCCTTCCCTGACGCCGCTGCCCCCCTTTCCCAGATGGGGAGCAAGAGTCAAATGAAGGCTAAGTACAGCAGACTGTACCCCCAGGAGAGGGGGCTGATGGGTGACCCTCTGGCCACACACACACACACACACACACACACACACACACGCACACCCTATCATACCCAGGACTAAAGAGACGCCAGTCCAGAGTAGAGTCCGTAGGCAGCCAAGCTGGGCCCAGCGTGGGGGCAAATATGAGGCTACAATGAACGGGGTAGGTGAGGCTGGCATGGGTGACTCAGGCCAGTGGGCAGCAGCCCTGGGATCTCCAGGCCTCAGGCGGGGGCAGCATGCTGAGAAGGGCGCCAGCCTCCCTCATGCTGGAGGGCAGGCCCCTCATTCTGACCTGCCAGCTCCCTTTGTTTGGAGGACACTGTTGGGGGTGAGTGGGCGCTGTGCCCTCCTGGGGTCCTGGGGGCTGTGCACATTTGACAAGGTAAGTTTTCACAAGTTCTCATGAGTGCTGGGGCGGGTAGCAGAGGTGGATGAGGAATGAGTCAGTGCCCGTCACGGGAATGAGGGAAAGACGCCAGGCCCAGAGCTGAAATACCTGTTCTGAAATGGCTTCTATGTTTATCTCTCCAGAGAGGAATTTTAAAAGCCTCTCTCTGCTCCTCTCTTTTCCCCAGGGTGGGGGAGGGGCCTGGTAAGCCCAGTTTGGGCGCTGGCACGCTGCTGCAAAGCCTGGCCTCTCAGGGGTCATGCTGATTGGGCAGTGGGTGCCCACCTCCGAGTCCTCTCTGCCTGACTCCTTCCTCGCCCTCCCAGCCGTGGCCAGGGCTTTCAGTTCGAAGCAACTTAGCGCTAATTCTGCTGGGTCTCTAGCTGGCAGTGCCTGGGGGAATTAGAGAAACTGACCAGCTTGCGGGGTCGGGGGAAGCACTTTTCCCCCTACTGGGACCCCACCCAGGCTGGAGCCAGGTGTCTGGAGCTGGTGGGGAGGGGCTGGTGGGCAGTCAGGCTGGAGCCGGTGGGGCCAGGGGGAATGAACTAGGGGAGGGGTGCTGGCTCCACCTTGGGAGGAGGGGAGAGGAGGGGAGAGGGGGAGAGGAGGAGAGAGGGGAGAGAGGGGAGAGGGGAGAGGCTGTCTCAAGCTCAAGCTCAGAGCTCCAGCATTTCATCTAGGGGGAGGTGGAAGTGTGGCTTTTAGAGATAAAAGGACAGGGTTGTTTTGGGGTGCTCTGAGAAGGGGAAAAGGAGACCAGTGTATAACTTTGAGTAGCTAGAACGGGAAGATTTGAGGGGGCTGAATGAATTGATGAGAGTGATTTAACTTAAAGGACTGGGGCATTATCTGTGGGCCCGGGTATACTAGCTTCACTTTTGAGGAAAAGTGAAGCTGGGAAATGTGAGATCTACTCAGTGGGTCCGGGGAAATGTGAGAGGAGTAAGGAAAGTGAAGACACAGATGTGTTGGAGGCTCCAGGCTAGCATGGTAAAGAGAAAGGGTTTCCTGGATTCTGATTACAGAATGGACCTGTGGGGGTCTCAGATTGAGGCCTAACAGCATTTAAAAGGAGCAACTGGTAGAACAGATTTGGGGAAATATTTATGGGTAGAAGAGAATGATAAGTGAGCTACAGAAATAGGTAGAAGCCCATCTAAATATCAGGTAAGTATCAGGGGGGTTATGGAAAATGCTTTGGTACCCGAAAGATACTGAGTGAATGCTATTTGAAGGACCAACAGGAGACAGTGATGGTGCAGGGGAATGTTTAGAGATGGCAGAGAGAAATGTAAGACATCAAGATCAGTACATATTGGGAGTTGAAACTTCGGAAAAATCTCTTGGGGTCCAGTGTGAAATGTGAGAGGTCATGTAAACATTCAGAGGCCCAAGGATCTGGCCTGGCTTCTGAATGACCACCTGCTTCTTCCCCCTGTGTGTGTCCCCAGGTTCCGGAATGAGGACTACACCATACATGTGCAGCTGAATGACTACGTGGACATCATCTGTCCGCACTATGAAGATCACTCTGTGGCAGACGCTGCCATGGAGCAGTACATACTGTACCTGGTGGAGCATGAGGAGTACCAGCTGTGCCAGCCCCAGTCCAAGGACCAAGTCCGCTGGCAGTGCAACCGGCCCAGTGCCAAGCATGGCCCGGAGAAGCTGTCTGAGAAGTTCCAGCGCTTCACACCTTTCACCCTGGGCAAGGAGTTCAAAGAAGGACACAGCTACTACTACATCTGTGAGTGCCTGTGAGGGGACAGTGTCTGTGTTTCTTTTTTGCCATTACATACATGCTTGGGTACATGCTTGGTGTAGAGTCCAGCAGCAGAGGGCCCCTTCCGATCTTGAATTCTATTTTCATTCATCTACATCCCAATGTGAGTGAGCTTCTACTATGTGCTGGGCACTCTGTTTAGCGCTATGAGCACAAAGATAAATAAAACACTACAGAGCCCCTGTCCTCAAGGAAGCTGGGAAGAAACACACATAGGTTAAGAGACCCTTAGAACAGTGTGCTACAGTAGACATGAACACAGGGGCCTTGGGAAAATGACCTGGGCACCTGCCAGGCTATGGGGCTCAGAGAAGGCTCAGTGGGGAAGATGGTCCCAGAGCTCAGGACAAGCAGAGGAGCTGGCCAGGCATGAAGGCACACGTACAAAGGGAGCATGACATCTTCAGGGAACTTCCTGTGGCTCAGCCTGGCTGGAGTTGGAGGGACACAGGAAGTGAGGAGATGTGAGCCTGGAGAGGTGGACAGAACAGACCATGGGGGAACTAAAAGGTGATAAGGAGTTTGGACTTTATCCTGAGGGCTCTCGCCACTGATGGGTTTTATTTTATTTTATTTTATTATTATTATTACTCTTGAGATGGAGTTTCACTCTTGTCGCCCAGGCTGGAGTGCAGTGGTGTGATCTCTGCTCACTGCAACCTCTACCTCTCGGATTCAAGCAATTCTCCTGCCTCAACCTCCCAAATAGCTGGGATTACAGGCACCTGCCACCACGCCCAGCTAATTTTGTATTTTTAGTAGAGATGGGGTTTCACCATGTTGGTCAGACTGGTCTCGAACTCCTGACCTCAAGTGATCTGCCCGCCTCAGCCTCCCAAAGTGCTGGGATTATAGGCATGAACCACCGCGCATGGCCTGATGGATTTTAAAAGTTATGAGATCATCCAGCACTTTGGGAGGCCGAGGTGGGTGGATCACCTAGGGTCAGGAGTTCAAGACCAGCCTGGCCAACATGGTGAAACCCCAACTCTACTAAAAAAATACAAAAATTAGCCGAGTGTGGTGGCGCACTTCTGTAGTCCCAGCTACTCAATAGGCTGAGGCAGGAGGATCGCTTGAACCCAGGAGGTGTGAGGTTACAGTGAGCCGAGATCACACCATTGTACTCCAGCCTGGGTGACAGAGGGAGACTCCGTTTCAAAAAGAAAGTTATGAGATCAGCTTTGTATAAGATGGATCTAGGACTCTGTCGGTGGGGGCTAGGCAGGAGTAGTTTTTGTTTTTTTGTTTTTTTTCTGAGACAGAGTCTCGCTCTGTCGCCCAGACTGGAGTGCAGTGGCACGATCTCGACTTGCTGCAACCTCCACCTCCCGGGTTCAATTGATTCTTCTGCCTCAGCCTCCCGAGTAGCTGGGACTACAGGCATGTGCCACCATGCCCGGCTAATTTTTGTATTTTTAGTAGAGACGGGGTTTCACCATATTGGCCAGGCTGGTCTCGAACTCCTGACCTCGTGATCCGCCCACCTCGGCCTCTCAAAGTGCTGGGATTACATGTGTGAGCCACCGCGCCTGGCCTAGGAGTAGTATTAAGTGGCCCAGGCAAGAGGAACATATTCAGACTCGGAGGAATGAAGGATGAAATGTGGGGAGGGGCAGTGTCTATGCTGAGGGTTATTTCCAAAGAATGAGAGGCTGGGCTGAACATTGGGCAGGAAGTTAGCAAAAACTAAGGAGGGTAGGAATCAAGGTTAGAGGGAAGAGAAGAATGAAATTGAGTAGGGAGCTGAGAAAGCAGGGCGAGGGGCATTTGGACTTACATTTTCTTCCAGCAAAGGTTTCTTATTTAACCCCTGTGGGCTTATCTTGCAGCCAAACCCATCCACCAGCATGAAGACCGCTGCTTGAGGTTGAAGGTGACTGTCAGTGGCAAAATCAGTGAGTGTCAGAGCCCTGTGGGCCTCCTTCCTCCATCTCTATGCTGGGTGCGGTCTAGTGATCTAGGATGGTATAGAAGTCTTGCAGCCCAGCCCACTCATACTTACAGCCCTCTGCCTCTTTGATACAGTACCTGATCTACTACCACTCTTGTCTTTCAGCTCACAGTCCTCAGGCCCATGACAATCCACAGGAGAAGAGACTTGCAGCAGGTGGGTAGCTGGAGCAAACTGGGCCTGGGGCACAGGAAGGGGTCTGCTTGAAGAGGTTGGGTACAGGAGGTGGCTCCTTTACCAGGCTGAGGCTGAGGGAATCCTGTTGGGCTGAGAGCCAGTACAAATAGTGGAGCCACTCACACTGGTGGCCTTTGCCCTCTCACCTTGCAGATGACCCAGAGGTGCGGGTTCTACATAGCATCGGTCACAGTGCTGCCCCACGCCTCTTCCCACTTGCCTGGACTGTGCTGCTCCTTCCACTTCTGCTGCTGCAAACCCCGTGAAGGTGTATGCCACACCTGGCCTTAAAGAGGGACAGGCTGAAGAGAGGGACAGGCACTCCAAACCTGTCTTGGGGCCACTTTCAGAGCCCCCAGCCCTGGGAACCACTCCCACCACAGGCATAAGCTATCACCTAGCAGCCTCAAAACGGGTCAGTATTAAGGTTTTCAACCGGAAGGAGGCCAACCAGCCCGACAGTGCCATCCCCACCTTCACCTCGGAGGGATGGAGAAAGAAGTGGAGACAGTCCTTTCCCACCATTCCTGCCTTTAAGCCAAAGAAACAAGCTGTGCAGGCATGGTCCCTTAAGGCACAGTGGGAGCTGAGCTGGAAGGGGCCACGTGGATGGGCAAAGCTTGTCAAAGATGCCCCCTCCAGGAGAGAGCCAGGATGCCCAGATGAACTGACTGAAGGAAAAGCAAGAAACAGTTTCTTGCTTGGAAGCCAGGTACAGGAGAGGCAGCATGCTTGGGCTGACCCAGCATCTCCCAGCAAGACCTCATCTGTGGAGCTGCCACAGAGAAGTTTGTAGCCAGGTACTGCATTCTCTCCCATCCTGGGGCAGCACTCCCCAGAGCTGTGCCAGCAGGGGGGCTGTGCCAACCTGTTCTTAGAGTGTAGCTGTAAGGGCAGTGCCCATGTGTACATTCTGCCTAGAGTGTAGCCTAAAGGGCAGGGCCCACGTGTATAGTATCTGTATATAAGTTGCTGTGTGTCTGTCCTGATTTCTACAACTGGAGTTTTTTTATACAATGTTCTTTGTCTCAAAATAAAGCAATGTGTTTTTTCGGACATGCTTTTCTGCCACTCCATATTAAAACATATGACCATTGAGTCCCTGCTAAGTGCGAGGCTCTCTGTGCTACAACAGTAGCAACTGGGTTTGAATTTCTTTCTCTCCAAAGAATGTGTGCCCCTCACGAGGCCAAAAGGGTGGGATGTTTCCTCCTCTGAGGGCTGTCCAGGACCGGAGTGCTCCTGACAGCTGTCTCTCGGGTTCTGAGCTGCACTCCACTCTGGAAGTTCTTCCTATCCGACCTCTACCCCACTCCCACTCCGTCACCGCAGGGCTTTGGCATACTACCATTCAGGTACTCACGCTGTTTCGGTGAGTCAGGGAAGCTGGGAACGCCAGCTGAGGCATGCGGCCCCGCCCCACAGCCACACTAGCAGAGACGTGTGGGAGGCTGGGAGGGAAAGTTCCCAGTAACAAGTGGGTTGGACCGGGGGTCAGTGATAGAGGCGTCAGTGGATTGGCCACGTCATGTAAAGTTGACCCGAGAGGGAGGGCAAAAGAGGAAGGCTTGGTGATTCCTGGTAATGTGTTATTTTGAGAAAAAGCTTCGGCAGCACACTCCAGAAAAAAACTTCCCAAACCCTGGGCAACTGAGGTTCTGATGTGGAGCTCTGGATGGAAAGCGTGCTGAAGTCTTGTTAAACTAGCAAGCTTTTGTTTGGAGGTCCACCGCCGAAGGCGCACAGGCCTGTGGGAACACGAGCGTTGAGACTGGGGGCGTCTAGATGATCCAAGGGGTAGGCAGAGTGTGAGCAGCGGCAGGTATCGGGGACACACCCGCGGAGCCCTAGGAAGGGGACTGACCGGGACATGGAAGAGGTCTGGACCAGGGTACTGGGAAGGCGCTCGGAGGAGAGGGGCGCGAGTTCCGGTTCGGCGTCGGAGGGAGGGTGGGGCTTCGGCGCAGTTTCCGGAGGGACGGCCCGAGCGTGCGGGGGCGGAGCCGAGTGCGCGGGGCGGGGCTCCAGAGCCGCAGGTCTGGGCTGCAGTAGGTCCCGGCAACCGCAGGCTCGCGGCGGGCGCTGGGCGCGGGATCCGACTCTAGTCGTAATGGAGGCGGGCGGCTTTCTGGACTCGCTCATTTACGGAGCATGCGTGGTCTTCACCCTTGGCATGTTCTCCGCCGGCCTGTGAGAGTGCGGCCGGGCTGGGTTGGGGAGGACTAGGCAGTCAGGAAAGGAGAGAGAGGGGACAGAGACGTGGCCACAGCACCTGGCTCGTCCGGAACCGGGATCAAAGTGGGATCGGGTCGAGGGGACCGGGGTACAAGGGCGAGGCTGGTCACTAGGCCTGAAGGAGAAGGCAGGATAGCTGGCGGGGGGGAGAGGGGGCGGGGTCTGCGGTGGTCCGGAAAGGATGACAGGCATTGGGCATCCCCCTCTAGCACTCTGCTTCTCCCTTCCCACCCCCACCCCTCCCTTCGGGGCCCCATTACAGCTCGGACCTCAGGCACATGCGAATGACCCGGAGTGTGGACAACGTCCAGTTCCTGCCCTTTCTCACCACGGAAGTCAAGTGAGGGGCCGACGGCTGCGGTAGTGGGAAAGGCTACCAGAGGGAGGTGGGGGCGGGGCAGGAGGAGCAAGAGTGAAAGAGGTTTGGCCGGGCGCGGTGGCTCACGCCTGTAATCCCTGCACTTTGGGAGGCCGAGACGGGCGGATCACGAGGTCAGGAGATCCAGACCATCCTGGCTAACACGGTGAAACCCCGTCTCTACTAAAAATACAAAAAATTAGCCGGGCGTGGTGCCGGGCGCCTGTAGTCCCAGCTACTCGGGAGGCTGAGGCAGGAGAATGGCGTGAACCCAGGAGGCGGAGCTTGCAGTGAGCCGAGATCGTGCCACCGCACTCCAGCCTGGGCGACAGAGCGAGACTACGTCTCAAAAAAAAAAAAAGAGTGAAAGACCCTTTGGGTCCTCCTCTCACACTGAACCCTTTGAGCCATGTCCATCCCCTCCACCCTGCAGCAACCTGGGCTGGCTGAGTTATGGGGCTTTGAAGGGAGACGGGATCCTCATCGTCGTCAACACAGTGGGTGCTGCGCTTCAGACCCTGTATATCTTGGCATATCTGCATTACTGCCCTCGGAAGGTAGAGGCCCTCCCTTGGACCCACCTATCTGCTGCACGCCCTGCCTTGCTGGCAGGGCAAACACTATTTCCTAGAAGACTGTAACAGCTGGCACTGCCACCTTTTCCAGGAAGGCCTCTCCAGCCTTGCAGGTCCCCTTCCTCTATGAAGCCAGCCTTCTGAGATGAACACATTGCCCCCATTTAGGCAAGGCTGGTAGCTCTGCCTAGCCTGAGATGCCTATGCTGCCTGCCCTGGGCTTCAGCCAACAAGCTAAGGGGAAAGGGCTTTTGTCTCTGATATTTCTTTCAGAGCCAGGGCCTGTGGGTGAGAATGAGATGATTAGCTCTGCGTCCCTGCTAAATCACACAAGCATTTATGAAGCTCCTACTGTGTGTGCCAAGCACACAGAAAAAAACACATATTTATCTCCCCCAGAAGTCTCCAGTGTTGTGGGTGGATAAGACTTTCCTATCAAGTTGGTGGTGGGAAAGAAGCTGTGACAGTGCAGTGCTGGAGGCCTAGACAGCTTGGCTTCCCCATTGGAGCACTGGAGAAGGCAGGATGAATTAACTCTAGCAGGGAAGTCAGAGTGCACATCTGGAAGTAAGGGTACTCTCTCCCCTGCAGCGTGTTGTGCTCCTACAGACTGCAACCCTGCTAGGGGTCCTTCTCCTGGGTTATGGCTACTTTTGGCTCCTGGTACCCAACCCTGAGGCCCGGCTTCAGCAGTTGGGCCTCTTCTGCAGTGTCTTCACCATCAGCATGTACCTCTCACCACTGGCTGACTTGGTGAGTGGGGGTGTCCAAGGAGGTAGGAGAGATAAGAGTCAGGCTCTCATAGCCAAATACTATGGCTTACAGTCCCGAGGAAGGGGAGATCCAAACCCTGGAAGAAGACAAGGCAGTAGAAGTGGGCGAGTGGGAGGCAGGAAAGGTTGGGTGACAGATCAGGGAGGGTGTCTGACCTTTTTCTTGAGGAAATTCTTAGGCAAGTGAAGCTTTACGATGTGCTTGGGCCAAGAGAGTCTTCCATTCTTTCCCACAGGCTAAGGTGATTCAAACTAAATCAACCCAATGTCTCTCCTACCCACTCACCATTGCTACCCTTCTCACCTCTGCCTCCTGGTGCCTCTATGGGTTTCGACTCAGAGATCCCTATATCATGGTAAGCACAACTGGGATGGGGTGACAGGGGTGCAAGATGGAAAACTGGCTCCTCTCCTCATAGCAGTTCTTGTGATTTCAGGTGTCCAACTTTCCAGGAATCGTCACCAGCTTTATCCGCTTCTGGCTTTTCTGGAAGTACCCCCAGGAGCAAGACAGGAACTACTGGCTCCTGCAAACCTGAGGCTGCTCATCTGACCACTGGGCACCTTAGTGCCAACCTGAACCAAAGAGACCTCCTTGTTTCAGCTGGGCCTGCTGTCCAGCTTCCCAGGTGCAGTGGGTTGTGGGAACAAGAGATGACTTTGAGGATAAAAGGACCAAAGAAAAAGCTTTACTTAGATGATTGATTGGGGCCTAGGAGATGAAATCACTTTTTATTTTTTAGAGATTTTTTTTTTTAATTTTGGAGGTTGGGGTGCAATCTTTAGAATATGCCTTAAAAGGCCGGGCGCGGTGGCTCACGCCTGTAATCCCAGCACTTTGGGAGGCCAAGGTGGGCGGATCGCCTGAGGTCAGGAGTTCAAGACCAACCTGACTAACATGGTGAAACCCCATCTCTACTAAAAATACAAAATTAGCCAGGCATGATGGCACATGCCTGTAATCCCAGATACTTGGGAGGCTGAGGCAGGAGAATTGCTTGAACCCAGGAGGTGGAGGTTGCAGTGAGCTGAGATCGTGCCATTGTGATATGAATATGCCTTATATGCTGATATGAATATGCCTTAAAATAAAGTGTTCCCCACCCCTGCCCACGATGGTTCATTCTCTACTCATAATTCTAAACCTGCCTGGTTTGGTGAAGGATAGATCCACAGTTATTCTCAGGTTGGTAGGGTAGGCTCAGAAAAGGTATCTCAAAGAACCAAAAGGTTGGAAAGACCCAGGAAGGCCTTAAAAATAACAAAACTTGGATGTTATGAAGAATGGAACTTAGGCTTCAAGAAAGTACTTCTGGCCGGGTAAGGTGGCTTATGTCTGTAATCACAGCACTTTGGGAGGCCCAGGCAGGAGGATCACTTGAGCCCAGGAGTTTGAGAACAGCCTGAGCAACACAGCGAGACCCTGTCACTACAAAAAATTAAACATTAGCCTGGTGGCGTGGTGGCATATGCCTGTAGTCCCAGCTACTCTGGAGGCTGAGGTGGGAGAACTGTTTGAGCCTGGGAGGGTGAGGCTGCAGTGAGCCATGATTGCACCACTGCACTCCAGCCTGGGCAACAGAGTGAGACCCTGTCTCAAAAAAAAAAAAAAAAAGAAGTAGTACGCCGGGCGCGGTGACTCACACCTGTAATCCCAGCACTTTGGGAGGCCGAGGCGGGCGGATTACGAGGTCAGGAGATCAGACCATCCTGGCCAACACGGTGAAACCCCGACTCTACTAAAAATACAAAAAATTAGCCAGGCGTGGTGGCAGGCGCCTGTAGTCCCAGCTACTCAGGAGGCTGAGGCAGGAGAATGGCGTGAACCCGGGAGGCGGAGCTTGCAGTGAGCCGAGATCACGCCACTGCACTCCAGCCTGGACGACAGAGCAAGGCTCCGTCTCAAAAAAAAAAAAAAAGAAGTACTTCCTACAGGGTTGAAAGGACCAGGAAAGTGAAATGTCATTTCCATCCTGAGAAATATTGAGAAGGGGTCTTTGCCTCCTTGGGAGCAAAAATGGGAACACCAGCAAGATGCAAAGATAAAGGCTGAGATGGCCTCAAGAAGGTGGTTCTTTCACATTCACTTCTCGACCGTTAGTACATAGAATCCCCAATACCCGTTTTCCATACTCAAACTAAACGAAGTTAGAAAATAAACTGGCTCTTTAATGGGAAATGGGAGGAAGGGCTGTCCGCACAGGAATGGGGTTAGGCTGTCAGAAGCGCAGCCCCCTGCGGGCTAAGTCGGCTCGGGCCTCCTGTATCTGGCTCTGCAGCTCGCGTGCGGCGTCCTCGCAGTCATGAAAAGTGGCCACACGATAGCCCACAGTGCCCAGGGCATAGCAGCCGGCGGACACCAGCAAGTAGGCGGGCAGTGGCCACAGGACTTCCTGGCAGGACAAGGGCAGCTCCAGGCCCAAGGCTCCCGTGGTCAGGGCCACCCAGGTGGAGCCCAGGATCGCTAGTCCCCAAAGCCACTGCGCTAATTTCGTCATGGTCACTGCGAGAGAAGGAAGCAATGCTCCCCTGAGGAGCAGAAAGGAAAAGCGGACCAAACTCAACCGAAGCCCGCCCACGGAGAGCATTAAAACCAGCCCTGGCCAGAGGGGAATCGCCGATCCCAGAGGTCCGAACTTGAGTGCCCACAAAAGGTGGAAGGGCCCCTTCCACCTTGCTACCCCCTCTATATTTGAGACCCACTCCCCATCTCTCGCCCTCCCCATTCAGCCTTCAACCTACACTTACCTCTACCCCACGTCTCCCCTTCCCCGCGCGGCCCGGATGTTGGCGTCCGGAAGTCCTCCCTGGTTCACGTTCCGCTTCCGCGCGGCCTTCTGGGAGTTGTAGTTCACATGGCGGCGCCTGGTGTACTCCTGGCCAGCGCCTCAATCTAGGCGGGGGTACAGTGGGCTGTGCTCCGCAAACGGGGAGCAGGCCGGGTCTGGAGAGGCCTCGGCGCTGCTTTCCCACCTTGGGCTACGCTCCAGGCTGGCGTGGGGCTTGAGGACATCCTTAAATGTTGCAACAAGATGGGAATATAATACCATTCCCCTTAAACTCAATTCTCCAGCGCTGAAATCCATTCCTTCATTCACTAGTTCATTCATTCGAAGATTTCTTTCTTTCCATTCTTGACAGGGTCTCTCTATAGTGCCTAGGCGGGACAGAACTCCTTTTTTTTTTTTTTTTTTTTTTTTTTTTTTTTGAGACAAAGTCTCGCTCTGTTGCCCATGCTGGAGTACAGTGGCTCGATCTCAGCTCACTGCAACCTCTGTCTCCCGAGCAGCTGGGATTACAGGCGCGCGCCACCACGCCGGGCTAATTTTTTTATTTTTAGCAGAGAACGGGGATTTCACTATGTTGGCCAGGCTGGTCTCAAACTCCTGACCTCAAGTGACTGGCCCACCTCAGCCTTCCAAAGTGCTAGGATTACAGGCATGAGCCACAGCGCCCGGCCAGAACATTTCTTGATTACCATGATAGACTTTGGAGATACAGAGATGTCAAGAGACTCGACCCCTTTCAGGTGGAGGGGGAAAGCAGGAGTCAGTGAAGCAGTTGCATTGACAACTAACCATGAAGGCTTGAGATTATTGTTAGAACAGAGGTAGTCATATTTTTACAAGGACAACAACCAATATAACTTGGAGCCAGAGGAAGAAGGGCTCCAGGAGTCTGGGTTTCAAAAAAAAAGAAAAGAAAAGAAAGACCAGAAGAATTACCTGAAGTGGTGAAGGCATTGAAAGAAAGAGTATAATTCTTTAGAACAGTTTTGGGGATGAATTTATTATGTATAGAGAGAAAGAGAGAGAGAGAACAAAGTAAGAGAAAAGGTTAGGCAATTATCAACTTCAGAGGAAACAAAGAGTTATATAAGAAAGGAAAGACAATTGATAAGCCTGTCTTATAAAGACCACATCTGTAGTTTGACAGTTAGGTTTATTAACTTGCCACAACAGAGAGATCACACACTAGAAGAACTGTGGGGCAACTCATTAAAAAGGAAGAAATATGGTCATTCAGATGATATGGTTTGGCTGTGTCCCCACCCAAATTTCAAGTTGATGTGTATCTCCCAGAATTCCCACGTGCGAGGGACCTAAGGGGAGGTAATTGAATCACGGGGGCCAGACTTTCCCGTGCTATTTTCATGATAGTGAATAAGTCTCACAAGATCTGATGAGTTCATCAGGGGTTTCTGCTTTTGCTTCTTCCTCATTTTTCTCTTGCCACCGCCATGTAAGAAGTGCCTTTGTCTCCCGCCATGATTCTGAGGCCTCCCCAGCAATGTGGAACTGTAAGTCCAATTAAACCTCTTTTTGTTTGCAGTTTCGGGTATGTCTTTATCAGTAATGTGAAAATGAACTAATACAACAGGATATGGGAAAGGCTTGACTTTAAAATTTATATTTTAAAATTTATTTACTTATTTATTTAGAGTTGAAGTCTCGGTATGTTGCCCAGGCGAAGCTCAAACTTCTGGGCTCAAGTGATCCTCCTGCCTCAGCCTCCCAAGTGGCTGATACTATAGGCTAGCTAAAATTTAAATGAAACAGTGTTTTGATCGGTTCGAGGTAAGCATAACTTTAAGTGAAGGGATCAAGAAGTCCAAGCTGAGGGACCACTTGGAAATTACAAAGTCAAGATAAATATAGAATATAGTGTCCAAAAACCCACTATCTAGGCTGGGCACAGTGGCTCGTGCCTGTAATCCCAACACTTTGGGAGGCCAAAGTAATCCACGTGGCTCAGAACTTCTGGCAAGAGTAGGATGTTCCATTCGCACTGACTGATTTCAAATAGCAAAGTTTGTGACTATGATTTTAGAAAATGAAGTTTCTCAGCCGTATGTCCTGGATGTTAATTAACAAAAGCAGTTTTTACAGATTCACAGTCTTAGCACAAACACAAATGGCTCAGCTGTGAAGAAAATTTTCACAGCCGTAACGATGTAAACACTAAGTATTGATTTAACTAAAAATTGGAGCTGGGGACAGTGGAGCTGTGATCCCAGAACTTTGGGAGGCCTAGGTGGGAGTGTTGCTTGAAGAAATGTACAGATAAGTACCAGAAGAAGCAGCCTAGAAACTGGAGCGTAGTTGTATATGTAGGTTGTATATGTAAGGGTTAAAGAAGAGGAGCAGGGGATGGTTATTTTTCATTAAAAGCCTTGTAGAGTTACAGCTCTTTTTTTTTCTATTCTTTTTCTTTTTTTCAGACAAGGTCTTGCTCTGTTGCCCAGGGTGGAGAGCAGCGGTGCAAACATGGCTTACTGCAGCCTCGACCTCCTGGACTCAAGCTATCCTCCCACCTCAGACTCTGGAGTAGCAGGGACTACAGAAGTGGGCCACCACCACCACGCCCATCTAGTGTGTGTGTGTGTGTGTGTGTGTGTGTGTGTGTGTGTGTGTGTGTAGACGGGGTCTCCCTATGTTGCCCAGGCTGGTCTCAAAATCCTGGGCTCAAGCAATTCATCTCAGCCCCCACAAAGTGCTGCTATTGCAGTCGTAAGCCACGGCGCCCACCGAAGTTACAGCTTTCAGAATTTGTTGAGCAGGTTTCCCGGTTTTCACTTGAAAATGCCCCGCCACCCCGAAAAATATTTGTTGAACTAGTTGGCTTTTAAAACTATACAAATTCCTTTGTTAAAGTAAAAATTAAAACAAATAAAAACTTTTCTTTTTTTTTTTGAGACAGAGTCTCGTTCTGTGGCCCAGGCTAGAGTACAGTGGCATGATCTCAGCTCACTGCAACCTCTGCCTCCCATGTTCAAGCGATTAGCCTGCCTCAACATCCCAAGTAGCTGGGACTACAGGCACGCACCACCACACCCAGCAAATCTTTGTATTTTTATTAAAGACAGGGTTTCACCATGTTGGTCAGGCTGGTCTCGAACTCCTGAGCTTGTGATCCTCCCACCTCGGACTCCCAAAGTGCTGGGATTACAGGCGTGAGCCACCGCGCTCAGCCCAAACTTTTTTTTTTTTTTTTTTTGAGCCGGAGTTTTGCTCTTGTCGCCGAGGTTGGGGTGAAATGACACGGTCTTGGCTCACTGCAACCTCCGCCTCCCGGGTTCAAGCAATTCTCCTGCCTCAGCCTCCCGAGTAGCTGGGATTACAGGCACCTGCCACCATGCCTGGCTAATTTTTGTATTTTTAGTAGAGTTGGGGTTTCACCTTGTTGGCCGGGCTGGTCTCAAACTCCAGACCTCAGGTGATTCGCCCCCTCGGCCTCCCAAAGTGCTGGGATTACAGGCGTGAGCCACCGCTCCTAGCGAAAAACATTTTTTAGGCTGGGTGCGGTGGCTCACGCCTGTAATCCCAGCACTTTGGGAGGTGGAGACGGGTGGATCACGAGGTCAGGAGATCGAGATCATCCTGGCTAACACGGTGAAACCCCGTCTCCACTAAAAATACAAAAAAAAAAAAAAAATTAGCCGGGCGTGGTGGCGGGTGCCTGTAGTCCCAGCTACTTGGGAGGCTGAGGCAGGAGAATGGCATGAACCCGGGAGGCGGAGGTTGCAGTGAGCCGAGACTGTGCCACTGCACTCCAGCCTGGGTGACAGAGCGAGACTCTGTCTCAAAAAAAAAAAAATGTTTTTAAACCTGCTATACGACCTTCAAAGCCCTAGCCACATTTCCATTTCCACACCAAATCTTTCTGGTTTCTCAATCAAGGACTCACTGGTCACAATGACTTTCAAATATTGGTATACTTACAGGGGCTGGACACGAGCATTGCAGATGCAGATCCAGAAAGTCCATTTTATTCATACACAGTAGACTTGGCCCTGAAACTCCCCAGAACATTTTAGGGGCTTACACCACCACATATAAGGATAGATAATAAATTATAAAGTATTTCTGTTTTTTGGGTTTTGTTTTTTTTTTTGAGACAGAGCCTTGCTCTGTCGCCCAGGCTGGAGTGCAGTGGTACAATCTCAGCTCGCTGCAACCTCTGCCTCCCGGGTTCAAGCGATTCTCCTGCCTCAGTTTCCCGAGTAGCTGGGATTATAGGCACCTGCCACCATGCTCAGCTAATTTTTGTATTTTTAATAGAGATGGGGTTTCACCACTCTGGCCAGGCTGGTCTCAAACTCCTGACCTCAGGCAATTCGCCCGCCTCGGCCTCCCAAAGTGCTGGGATTACAGGCGTGAGCCACCGCACCCAGCCGAATGAAGTAGGTACTTTTCTATTCCCATGTATGAATGAGGAAACCATGACACAGAGAGGGCAAAAGGTAAGTAACTAGCTCAAGGTTGTGCAGATAGTAAACAGCAAAGCTGTTTCATTGGACCCAAAACTATATTCTTAGCACTTTCATTCTACTGTGTTGCTGCTACAGGAATGGGCAGTTAGGGTTCATCACAACAGCTGACATTCACTATGTGTCAGCTCTATGTCACTATGATTCCTATGTGTCAGGCACTGTGATGAGTGCTTTATGTGCATTATCTCAGTCAATCTTCACAGCAACCATGCGAAATAAGTACTACTGGCCGGGCGCGGTGGCTCACGCCTGTAATGCCAGCACTTTGGGAGGCCGAGGTGTGTGGATCACTTGAGGTCAGGAGTTGGAGACCAGCCTGGCCAACATGGTAAAACCAGGTCTCCACTGAAAATACAAAATTAGCCAGGGGTGGTGGCAGATGCCTATAATCCCAGCTACTCGGGAGGCTGAGGCAGGAGAATTGCTTGAACCCGGGAGGTGGAGGTTGCAGTGAGCCGAGATCATGCCACTGGACTCCAGCCTGGGCAACAGAGTGAGATTCCATCTCAAAAAAAAAAAAAAAGAAAAAGAAAAAAGGAAAGAAAAAGAAAAAAGAAATAAGTACTACTATCTCCGTTTCACAAATGAGGACACTGAGGCACAACCCAGCCGATCTTCCTCCAGAGCCTGCATACTTTACCACTGCAGTCTAGCGCCTCCTTCCCTAGATTGATGGAACATAATAAAAAGAGAAAATAGATCAGGCATATATACCAATGTAGCATATGATAGAGGCACCATCTTGAGTGAGTGAGGAAAGATGGATTGTTTGAAAAGCATTTGCAACTAGCTTACCATTTGAAAAAAAATTAAGGTAGATTTGAACCTCACATCTTATACCAAAACAAAGACCCAGAGCAATAAAAACAATTTTTTCTTTTTCTTTTTCTTTTTTTGAGACGGAGTCTCACTCTGTCGCCAGGCTGGAGTGCAGTGGCATGATCTCAGCTCACTGCAACCTCCGACTCCCTGGTTCAAGCGATTCTCCTGCCTCAGCCTCCTGAGTAGCTGAGATTACAGGCACACGCCACCATGCCCAGCTGATTTTTGTATTTTTAATAGAGACAGGGTTTCACCATGTTGGCCAGGATGGTCTCGATCTCCTGACCTTGTGATGGCCCACCTTGGCCTCCCAAAGTGCTAGGATTACAGGTGTGAGCCACCGGGCCCCGCCCAAAACAATTTTAATGTAAAAAGTGAAACTCTAAATATGCTGCAAGCAAATGTGGTGCATGTTTCTCTAATGCTCAGCTCAAGTATCATGTCTCCCAGGCAGCCTTCCTGCGCCTTGATTCTGTCCTGCAGGGTTGGCCCCCATCTCCCTCCTCCTGCTCTCACTGACTTTCTTTTATTGACTTTCATGGCAATAACCATGTTGAGCTGTAGGGGTTTTCTTTCTCTGCCTGTCCTGCCCCCAGGACCATTGTATTCCCAAGATCAAGCACAGTGTGGGAAATGTAGCCGGGTTTCTATAAATGTATGATGAGTGAGCGAGAGAGAGAAGGACAGTTTGGCATTAGATGGTCTCCAGAAAAACTGAGCTAGCTTTCCTGGTCCCAGGAAATACAACTACTCCAGAGACCCCAGTCTGCCAGACACAGGGTGTTTGGCCTTGGATAGCACTGGACAAGAGACAGAATATTCTTACAGTCCAACTCCTTTCTCTTCAGTCTTTCTGCAGATCATTACCCTTCCACTACCACCTCAGGATGAAGTACATGTGATTACAATAGGATATGAGAGGCAGAGCAGCTTGGGAGTTAAAAATTGGGGCTTTTGGGGAACATGTCATCAGGACCTCCTGAGGCTGTGTCATGGTTAAAAAAATAATAATAATTTTTTTTTTAATTGGGGCTTTTGCTGGGCATGGTGGCTCATACCTGTAATCCCAGCATCTTGGGAGGACAAGGCAAGAGAATCGTGTCAGGCCAGGAGTTTGAGACCAGACTGGGCAACATAGTGAGACCTTGTCTCTATAAAAAAAAATATTAAAAATGGACGGGCATGGTGGCTTACACCTATAATCCCAGCACTTTGGGGGGCTGAGGTGGGCAGATCACCAGGTCAGGAGTTCGAGACCAGCTTGGCCAACATGGTGAAACCCCATCTCTACTAAAAATGCAAAATTTAGCTGGGTGTGGTGGTGCACGCCTGTAATCCCAGCTACTGAGGAGGCTGAGGCAGGAGAATTGCTTGAACCCAGGAGGCAGAGGTTGCAGTGAGCCAAGATCATGCTACTGCACTCCAGTCTGGGCGATAGAGCAAGACTCTGTCTCAAAAAAAATTTTTTTAATATATATTTTATTTAAATATGTATCTATAAAATATATACATATTTAAATATGTATCTATTAAATAGATACATATTTAAATATGTATCTATTAAATAGATACATATTTATGTATCTATTAAATAGATACATATATTATATATATGTAAATTTTAGCTGGCATGGTAGAGCATGCCTATAGTGCTAGCTACTCCAGCGCCTGAGGCAGGAGGATTGCTTGAGCCCAGTCAAACAATTTGGAAGACAAATTCCAAATCTAAGAGCCTCTGTACTGAAGATAAAAGGATATGCAAAGTTAAACAGAACACAGAGAAGGAAGGGACTATCTGGAGGGAAGGCTTCATAGAGGCCCAGAAGCCTGAGTTGATACTGGAAAGATGAGTAAGAGTTGTTTAGGTGAGGGGAGGGGGCATGTAAGGCCAAGGGAACAGCTTGAATGAGAGGCCTGAAAGTTCATGGTGGGCAATCTTTTGTGGCTGTGTCTGAGACAAAGAATGTTTCATGGGGGCAGTGGCAAGGATGAGGTTGGAAAAGCTGGCCAGGGTCAAGTGATTAAAGACCCCTTAAAAGTATGTGTGGGCTGGGCGAGGTGGCTCATGCCTGTAACCCCAGCACTTTGGTTGGTCGAGGCGGGCAGATCACTTGAGTTCAGGAGTTCGAGACCAGCCTGGCCAACATGGTGAAACCCTGTCTCTACTAAAAATACAAAAATTAGCCGGGCACAGTGGCATGCACCTGTAATCCTAGCCACTTGGGAGACTGAGGCAGGAGAATTGCTTGAACCCAGGAGGTGGAGGTTGCAGTCAGCCAAGGTTGCACCATTGCATTCCAGCCTGGGTGACAGAGCAAGACTCTGTCTCAAAAAAATAAAATAAAAGTATTTCTGTTGGACGCTTCACCTGTAAAGATACATATAGGACTGAAAATAAAGGGAAAAGATATTCCATGCCAATGGAAACCAAAACAGAGCAGGAGTAGCTATACTTATATTAGACAAAATAAATTTCAAGATAAAACTGTAAGAAGAGACAAAGAAGCTCATTATGTAATGATAAAGGGGTCAATTCAGCAAGAGGTTATGATCATTATAAATATATATGCAGCCAACAGTGGAGCATCCATATATATAAAGCAAATATTATTAGAGCTAAAGAATAGAAGAAGAAGAAGATACAAGAATGACCCCCAGACCGACCCGCGTGCCCAGCGCCTACATCCCGTCGCTGTTGCCACCACCATGCCCAAGGGAAAGGCTGAAGGGGATCCTAAAGGAGATAAAGCCAAGGTGAAGGACGAACCACAAAGGAGATCCGCGAGGTTGTCTGCTAAACCTTCTTCTCCAAAGCCAGAGCCCAAGCCTAAAAAGGCCCCTGCAAAGAAGGGAGAGAAGGTACTCAAAGAGAAGAAGGGAAAAGCTGATGCTGGAAAGGAGGGGAATAACCCTGCAGAAAATGGAGATGCCAAAACAGACCAGGAACAGAAAGCTGAAGGTGCTGGAGATGCCAGAGGAAGTGTGTGCATTTTTGATAACTGTGTACTTCTGGTGAGTGTACAGTTTGAAATACTATTTTGTATCAAGTTTTATAAAAATGCAGATTTTTTAAATTTATTTTTTATTTTTTATTTTTATTTTTTGAGACGGAGTCTCGCTCTGTCTCCTAGGCTGGAGTGCAGTGGCGTGATCTCGGCTCACTGCGAGCTCCGCCTCCCAAGTTCACGCCATTCTCCTGCCTCAGCCTCCCGAGTAACTGGGACTACAGGCGCCTGCCAGCACGCCCAGCTAATTTTTTGTATTTTTAGTAGAGACGAGGTTTCACCGTGTTAGCCAGGATGGTCTCAATCTCCTGACCTCATGATCCGCCCACCTCGGCCTCCCAGAGTGCTGGGATTACAGGCGTGAGCCACCGCGCCCGGCCCAGATTTTTTTTTTTTTTTTAAGCTATGTTGTTAGCACACAGAACACTTCATTGTTGCTTTTAGGAGAAGGAGCAAATGTCACTAATAGAATGTCTCTGAAGCTGGATTGATATGGGGAAATCGTCTTTTCCTTCTAGTTCCGAGAGACTTCCTCTTGGCTCCCAGGAGGAGGGATTCCCTGACTTTGACACACATGGCCACCTTGGCACAAAAGCCTTGTGAAAGGGAAAAGCAAATTTGTTTTTATGTCCTCTTCTCCCTTTCCATCTTTCAGCATAGACTTAACTCCCTTAAGCCCAGACATCTATTGGAACCTGACCTCCAATCATTGGTTACTAGTGTGTCAGGCAATCTGGACTTTCCAGTGATGTCACTGAGATGGCACCTGTCAAAAGAGCAATGGTGCGGGGTGTGGTGGCTCACGCCTGTAATCCCAGCACTGTGGGAGGCCGAGGCAGGCGGATCACCTGAGGTCGAGAGTTTGAGACCAGCCTGGCTAATATGGTGAAACCCCCTTCTCTACTAAAAATACAAAAAATTAGCCGTGTGTGGTGGCGGATGCCTGTAATCCCAGCTACTTGGGAGGCTGAGGCAAGAGAATCACTTGAACCTGGGAGGCGAAGGTTGCAGTGAGCCGAGATCACACGACCGTACTCCAGCCTGGGCACGACAGAGCGAGACTGCCTCTCAAAAAAAAAAAAAAAAAAAAAAAAAAAAAAAAAAAAGTAGTGGTTCTGTTTCTAGATTGTAGATCTTCAGATAAATTCTGCCATTTTAATTTCACTTCCTGAAAGTCAGGGTTGACTTGTGAAAAGTTGTTAAACAACATGCTAAATGTGAAATGTCAACTCTCACTCTAAACTTTCCCTGTTCAGATCATCAGATGAAGACTTCATTGGGTTTTATAGTGGCTTTCTGATTTCTGGTAGTCCATTGAAGAAGGGAGTTTGAAAGTTGTTGTATACTGTTAATGATTGTCTGCCCATGTCCTGCCTGAAATACCATGATTGTTTATGCAAAGTATCTTTAATAAAACTGGATACAGTTAGGCTTGGGGGAAAAAAAAAGAATAAACAGCTGGAGGCTTCAACACCCAACTTTCAGCATTGGACAGAACTCCCAGATAGAAAATCAACAAAGAAACATCGGATTTAATCTGCACTACAGAACAAATTGACCTAACAGATACTTATAGAACATTTCATCCAATGGCTACAGAACACACATTCTTCTCCTCAGCATAGGGATCATTCTCAAGGATAGACCATATGTTACTCCCAAAACAAGTCTTAAAACATTCAATTCAAAAAAATTGAAATAATATCAAACATCTCTGACCACAGTGGAATAAAACTAGAAATCAATAACAAAAGGAATTTTGGAAACTATTCAAATACATGGAAATTAAACAATATGCTCCTGAATGACCAGTGGGTCAATGAAGAAATTAAGAAGGAAATTGAAAAATTTCTTGAAACAAATGATAATAGAAACACAACGTACTAACACACCTATGGAATACAGTGAAAGCAGTACTAAGAGGGAAATTTATAGCTATAAGTGCCTACATCAAAAAAGAGGAAAAACAGCCTTGGCAACATGGCAAAACTTTGCCTCTACAAAAATACAAAAATTAGCCAGACGGGGTGGTGTGTGCCTATAGTCCCAGCTACTTGGGAGGCTGAGGTGGGAGGATCACTTGAGCCTGGGTGGTCTAGGCTGCTGTTGGCCATGATTCTCGACACTGCACTCCAGCCTGGGCAACAGAGCAAGACCCTCCTCTCAAAAAAAAAAAAAAAGAGGAAGAAGAAAAACAACCAAATAACCTAATGATGCATGTTAAAGAACTTGAAGAGGCAGAGCAAACTGAACCCAAAATTAGGAGAAGAAAATAAATAATAAGGTTCAGATCAGAAATAAATGAATTTGGGCCGGGCGCATTGGCTCACGCCTGTAATCCTAGCACTTTGGGAGGCCAAGCGGGGCAGATTGCCTGAGCTCAGGAGTTTGGGACCAGCCTGGGCAACACAGTGAAGCCCTGTCTCTACTAAAATACAAAAAAGTAGCTGGCTGTGGCAGCATGCACCTGCAGTCCCAGCTACTCAGGCTGAGGCAGGAGAATTGCTTGAACCCGGGAGGCGGAGATTGCAGTGAGCTGAGATCACACAACTTCACTCCAGCCCAGGCAACAGAGTAAGACTCTGTCCCCTCTCTCCCCCACCCCCCCAAAAAAAAGGAAAGAAAGAAAGAAAGAAATGAATAAATGAATTTGAAATGAAGAAAACCCCATCTCTACTAAAAATACAAAAAATAGCTGGTAGTAGTGGCATGCACCTGTAATCCCAGCTACTCCAGAGGCTGAGGCAAGAGAATCACTTGAACCTGGGAGGCAGGGTTTGCAGTGATCCAAGATCGTGCCACTGCACCCCATCCTGGGCAACAGAGTGAGACTCCATCTCAAAAAGAAATAATAAAAATAAAAATATAAAATAAAAAAGATCAGGCCAGGCGCAGTGGCTCACACCTGTAATCCCAGCACTTTGGGAGGTCCAGGCGGGCAGATCACATGAGGTCAGGAGTTCAAGACCAGCCTGGCCAAGATGACGAAGCCCCATCTCTACAAAAAATACAAAAAAATAGCCGGGCATGGTGGCGGGTGCCTGTAATCCCAGCTACTCGGGAGGTTGAGTCAGGAAAATCACTTGAACCTGGGAGGTGGAGCTTGCAGTGAGCCAAGATCGCGCCACTGCGCTCCAACCTGGGCAACAGAGTGAGACTCCATCTCAAAAAATAAATAAATAAATGAAATAAAAAAGATCAACGAACAAAAAGTTGTTTTTTTAAAAAGATAAACAAAATTGGCAAACGTTTAGCCAGACTAAGAAAAGAAAAAGAAAAGACCCAAATAAATAAAATCAGAGATTAAAAAGGAGACAGTGCATCTAATACCGCAGAAATTCAAGGGCTCACTAGTGGCTACTATGAGCAACTATATGCCAATAAATTGCAAAATCCAGAAGAAATGGATAAATTCCTAGATACATCTAACCTACCAGGATTGAACCATGAAGACATCCAAAACCCAAATAGAGCAATAACAAGTCACGAGATCAGAGCTGTAATACAGTCTCCCAGTAGGCTGGGCATGGTGGCTCATGCCTGTAATCGCAGCACTTTAGGAGACCAATGTGGGAGGATTGCTAGAGCCCAGGAGTTGGAGACCAACCTAGACAACATAGAGAGACCCTGTCTTTATTAAAAAAAAAAAAAAAAAAAAAAAAATCCAGGCGCAGGGGCTCACGCCTGTAATCCCAACACTCTGGCAAGCCAAGGTGGTGGATCACTTGAGGTCAGGAGTTCCAGAGCAGCCTGGCCAACATGGCGAAACCCTGTCTCTACTAAAATTACAAAAATTAGCCAGGCGTGGTGGTGCATGCCTGTAATCCCAGCTACTCCGGAGGCTGAGGCAGGAGAATAGCTTGAACCCGAGAGGCAGAGGTTGCAGTGAGTAGAGATCATGCCACTTCTCTCCAGCCTAAGCGACAGAGCAAGAGTCTGTCTCAAACAAAAAAAAAAAAAAGAAAGAAAGAAAGAGGCCAGGCATGATGGGTCACGCCTGTAATCTCAGCACTTTGGGAGGCCAAGGCAGGTGGATCACGTGAGGTCAGGAGTTCGAGACCAGCCTGGCCAACATGCTGAAACCCCATCTCTACTAAAAACACAAAAATTAGGCCTGGCACGGTGGCTCACGCCTGTAATCCCAGCACTTTGGGAGGCCGAGGTGGGCAGATCACCCGAGGTTGGGAGTTTGAGACCAGCCTGACCAACATGGAGAAACCCTGTCTCTACTAAAAATACAAAATTAGCCAGGCATGGTGGTGCATACCTGTAATCCCAGCTACTCGGGAGGCTGAGGCGGGAGAATTGCTTGAACCCAGGAGGCAGAGGTTGCAAGTGAGCAGAGATTGGGCCATTGCACTCCAGCCTGGGGGCAACAAGAGCGAAACTCCATCTCCAAATAAAAGACAAAAAACAAAAAAACCAAGACAGTCTCACTCTGTTGCCCAGGCTGGGATTCCTTCCAAAGTGCTGAGATTATAGGCGTGAGCCACCATGCCCGGCCTAAGACTCTGTCTCAAAAAAGAAAAAAAATTTTAAAGAATAACTAATACCAGTCCTACTCAAACTGTTCCAAAATATAGAGGAGGAGGGAATACTTCCAAATTCATTATACAAGGCTGGTGTTACTGATACCAAAACCAGACAAAGACACATGAAGAAAAGAAAACTACAGACCAATATCTCTCATAAATATTGACGCAAAAATTCTTAGCAAAATACTAGCAAACAAAATTCAATAATTCATTAAAAAGATCATTCATCATGACCAGGTGGGATTTATCCCGGGGATGCAAGGATGGTTCAACTTATGCAAATCAATCAATGTGATGCATCATATCAACAGAATGAAGGACAAAAACCATATAATCATTTCGATTGATGCTAAGAAAATGTTTGATAAAGTTCAACATCACTTCATGATAAAAACCCTCAAAAAATGAATATAGAAGGAACATACGTCAACATATTAAATGCCATATATGACAGACCCATAGCTAGTAAAATACTGACTGCAGAGAAACTGAAAGCCTTTCCTCTTAGATCTAGAACATGACAAGGATGCCCACTTTGACCGTTGTTATTTAGTATAGTACTGAAAGTTTTAGCTAGAGCAATCAGACAAGAGAAAAAAATAAAGAGGACTGGGCGTGGTGGCTCATGCCTGTAATCCCAGCACTTTGGGAGGCCGAGGCTGGCGGATCACCTGAGGTCAGGAGTTCGAGACCAGCCTGACCAAACATGGAGAAACCCCGTCTCTACTAAAAATAAAAAACTAGCTGGGCGTGGTGGCACATGCCTGTAATCCCAGCCACTTGGGAAGCTGAGGCAGGAGAATCGCTTGAACCCAGGAGGCAGAGGTTGCAGTGAGCTGAGATCACGCCGTTGCACTCCAGCCTGGGTAACAAGAGCGAAACTCTGTCTCAAAAAAAAAAAAAAGAAAAAAGAAATAAAGAGCATCCAAACTGGAAAGGAAGAAGTCAAATTATCCTTGTTTGCAGGTGATATGATCTTATATTTGGAAAAACCTAGACTTCACGAAAAAAACATTAGAACTGATAAACAAATTCAGTAAAGTTGCAGGATACAAAGTCAACATACAAAAATCAGTAGCATTTCTCTATGTCAATCGTTAACAATCTGAAAGAGAAATCAAGAAAGTAATCCCATTTACAATAGCCATGAATAAAGTTAAATACCTCAGAATTAACTTAGCCAAAGAAGTGAAAGATCTCTACAATGAAAACTACAAAACACTGATGAGGCCGGGAGCTGTAACTCATGCCTGTAATGCCAGCACTCTGGGAGGCCAAAGTGGGAGGATTGCTTGAGCTTAGGAGTTTGAGACTAGCCTGGGCAACATAGTGAGATCCCATCTCTACAAAAATAAATAAGAAAGAAAGGCTGGGCACGGTGGCTCATGCCTATAATCCCAGCACTTTGGGAGGCCGAGGCAGGTGGATCACCTGAGGCCAGGAGTTCAAGACCAGCCGGGCAAATATGCTGAGATCCTGTCTCTAATAAAAATGCAAAAATGAGCCGGGGGTGGTGGTGTGCACCTGTAGTCCCAGCTACTCAGGAGGCTGAGGCAGGAGAATCACTTGAACCTAGGAGGCAGAGGTTGCAGTGAGAGGAGATCACGCCACTGTACTCCAGCCTGGGCAACAGTGTGAGACTCCATCTCAAAAATAAATAAATAAATAAATAAATAAGAAAGAAAAAGAATAAAACACTGATGAAAGAAATCGAAGAAGACACAAAAATATAGAAAGATATTCCATGTTCCTGGATTGGAAGTATCAATATTGTTAAAATGTCTATACTACCCAAAGCAATCTACAGATTCAAAGAAATCCCTATCAAACTACCAATGACATTCTTCACGAAAATAGACAAAACAATCCTAAAAGTTGTATGGAATCACAAAAGATCCAGGATAGCCAAAGCTATCTTGAGCAAAAAGAACAAAACTGGAGGAATCACATTACCTGACTTCAAATTACACTACAGAGCTATAGTATGCAAAACAGCATGGAACTGGCATAAAAACGAACACATAGACCAATGGCAGAATAGAGAACCCAGAAACAAATTTATACACCTATGGTAAACTCATTTTTGACAAAGGTGCCAAGAACATACACTGGGGAAAAAAACATTCTCTTTAATAAATGGTGCTGGGATAACTAGATATTCATATGCAGAAGAATGAAACAAGGGAGGCAGATTGCACAGGAAAAAAAAATGGATGAAACTTGACCCCTGTCTCTCGCCATATACAAAAATCTAATCAAAATGGATTAAAGTCTTAAATCTAAGACCTCAAACTATGAAACTGCTACAAGAAAACATTGAGGAAACTCCAGGACATTGGTCTGGGCAAAAATTTCTTGAGTAATATACCATAAGAACAGGCAACTAAAGCAAAAATGGACAAATGAGATCACATCAAGTTAAAAAGCATAACAAAGGAAATAACAACAAAGTGAAGAGACAACCCACAGAATGGAAGAAAATATTTGCAATCTGATAAGGGATTAATAACCAGAATATATAAGGAGCTTAAACAACTCTTTAGGAAAAAAATCTAATAATCTGATTTTAAAATGGGCATAAGATTTGAGTAGACATTTCTCAAAAGAAAACATACAAATGGCAAACAGACATATGGAAAGGTGCTCAACGTCATTGATCATCAGAGAACTGCACATCAAAACTACAATGGGATATCATCTTGCCCCAGTTAAAATGGCTTATATCCAAAAGACAAGTAATAATAAATGCTGGCAAGGATGTGGAGAAAAGGGAACCCTCCTACACTGTTGGTGGGAATGTAAATTAGTGCAAGCAGAGTTTACAGATGCCTCAAAAAAACTAAATATAGAGCTACCATGTGATTCAGCAATCCCACTGCTGGGTGTATACCAAAAGAGAAAGGAAATCAGTATATCAAAGAGATATCTGCACTCCCATGTTTGTTGCAGCACTGTTCACAATAGTCAAGATTTGGAAGCACGTTAAGTGTCCATCAGCAGATGAATGGATAAGGAAAATGTGGCACATATACACAATGGAGTACTATTCAGCCATAAAAAAGGAATTAAATTCTGTCATTTGCAACAATATGGATGGAACTGGAGGTCATTATGTTAAGTGAAATAAGCCAGGAACAGAAAGACAAACATCACATGTTCTCACTTATTTATGGGTCCTAAAAATCAAAACAGACCAGGGGTGGTGTCTCATGCCCGTAATCCCAGCACTTTGGGAGGCTGAGGTGGGTGGATCACCTGAGGTCAGGAGTTCAAGACCAGCCTGGCCAACGTGGTGAAACCCCATCTCTACTAAAAATGTAAACATTAGCTGGGCATGGTGGCTGGCACCTGTAATCCCAGCTACTCAGGAGGCTGAGGCAGGAGAATCACTTGAACCCAGGAGCCGGAGGTTGCAGTGACCCAAGATCACGCCATTCCAGCCTGGGCGACAAGAGCAAAACTCTGTCTCAAAAAATACATAAAAAATTAAAAACAGGCCGGGCACGATGGCTCACGCCTGTAATCCCAGCACTTTGGGAGGCCGAGGTGGGAAGATCACGAGGTCAAGAGATCGAGACCATCCTGGCTAACATGGTGAAACCCCATCTCTACTAAAAATACAAAAAATTAGCCGGGCATGGTGGCACGCACCTGTAGTCCCAGCTACTTGGGAGGCTGAAGCAGGAGAATCGCTTGAACCTGGGAGGCGGAGGTTGCAGTGAGCCAAGATTGCACCACTGCACTCCAGCCAGGGCAACACAGCGAGACTCCATCTCAAAAAATAATAATAAAAATAAAATAAAATAAAATAAAAATAAGTAAAAAAACAAAAATAAAAATAAAAACAATTGAACTCATGGAGATGGAGAATAGAAGGATGGTTATCAGAGGCTGGGAAGGATAGTAGGGGGATGTAGGGATGGTTAATGGGTACAAAAAATAGCTAGAATGAGTAAGACCTTGTAGTTAATAGCACAACAGGGGGATTATAGTTAATAATAATTTAATTGTACTTTTTAAAATAACTAAAAGAAGATAATTGGATTGTTTGTAACACAAAGGACAAATGTTTGAGGGAATGGATACCTAATTTTCCATGATGTGATTATTACGCCTTGCATGCCTACACCAAAATATCTCACGTACCTCATAAATATATACACCCACTATGTACCCACAAAAATTAAAAATAAAACAATTTTTTTTTTTGACAGTCTCGCTCTGTCGCCCAGGCTGGAGTGCAGTGGCACCATCTCGGCTCACTACAAATTCCGCCTCCTAGGCTCAAGCAATTCTCCTACCTCAGCCTCCCAAGTAGCTGGGATTACAGGTGCCCACCACCATGTCTGGCTAATTTTTGTATTTTTAGTAGAGATGGGGTTTCACCATATTGGCCAGGCTGGTTTTGAACTCCTGACCTCAAATGATCTGCCTGTCTCGGCCTCCCAAAGTGCTGGGATTACAGGCATGAGCCACCGCACCTGGCCACAATTTTAAACAAGTATAAATAAATAAATAAATAAATAAAACTGTATCAGTGGACTTTTCATACTCTGTTACATTATGATTCATTGGTTTCTCTTGCACTTTGCATAGATCCTTTACTCTTGCATAATTTTGTAATATTTGAAGATATTAATATTGACTCACTGAGTGATGCTAATCTTCCAACTGTTGACACTTTATTATACAAATGCTTCTCGACTGACTTCTGATGGGGCTACACCCCCATAAGTCCATCGTAAGTTGGAAATATTGTAAGTCGAAGTGAGTTTAGTGCACCTAAACCACCAAACATATAGCTTGGACTAGCCAACCTCAAACATGCTCAAAACACTTACATTACCCTGGCCAGGCATGGTGGCTCATGCCTGTAATCCCAGCACTTTGGGAGGCCAAGGCGGGCAGATCACGAGGTCAGGAGATCGAGACCATCCTGGTTAACATGGTGAAACCCTGTCTCTACTAAAAATACAAAAAATTAGCTGGGCGTGGTGGTGGGCGCCTGTAGTCCCAGCAACTTGGGAGGCTGAGGCAGGAGAACGGCGTGAACCTGGGAGGCGGAGCTCACAGTGAGCCGAGATCGTGCCACTGCACTCCAGCCTGGGCGACAGAGTGAGACTCCATCTCAAAAAAACAAAACAAAACAAAACCCACTTACATTAGCCTACAGTTGGGCAAAATCATCTAACACAAAGCCTATTTTATAATAAATTGTTGAATATCTCATAAAATTTATTGAATACTATGCTGAAAGTGAGAACAGAATGGCCGTATGGGTACACAAGTTGGGGTTTCTATCAAATGAGTATCGCTTTCACACCATTGTAAAATCAAAAAATCATTTATTGAACCATCATAAGTTGGGGACCATCTATCCAATAAGAACAAATAAAACCGCCAGGTGCGGTGGCTCACACCTGTAATCCCAGCACTTTGGGAGGCCGAGGCAGGTGGATCACGAGGTCAGGAGATTGATACCATCCTGGCTAACATGGTGAAACCCCGTCTCTACTAAAAATACAAAAAATTAGCGGGGCGTGGTGGCAGGCACCTGTAGTCCCATCTACTTGGGAGGCTGAGGCAGGAGAACGGTGTGAACCAAGTTGGTCCCTGAGTAGTGGCCCCACCCCTTAGAGGGGTGGGCAGCCCCCCTTGTATGCCTGTCAGGCAGTAGGGATTTCTGGATGTCCACAGGTGTCAAGGTAATTACTAGGTCCTTGGGGAAGGTTTCAGGTAGTCAGGTTGTGTTGACTTCATCCCTGCCCTCAGGGCACCCACAGTTCCATAGGGCAACAGGACAAAAGCACATGCAATTAACAAAAACACAGACAAACTTTTAAAAGGGGAGTAGTGGAGAAGGGGCTGGGTGAGTCAGGGTTTCCTAGAGAAGGTAAGCTACAAGAGACGAAGATGGGAAAATATGATAGCCTGAAGGTGGACAGACTCAGGAACAGGTCTGAGCAGCTGAGAAAAACATCTGGATCATTCTGAGGATTCAGCAATTTGGAGTTGATGCAGGGTAGAAGTTGAGTTTCAACAAAGGGCTCAAAGTACAAGAGTGGTGTGTTGCCAATGGGGTTCTTGGTTCTTCTTCTTTTTTTTTTTTTTTTGAGACAGAGTTTTGCTCTTGTTGCCCAGGCTGTAGTACAATGGCGCGATCTCGGCTCACCACAAACTCCACCTCCCAGGTTCAAGTGATTCTCCTGCCTCAGCCCCCCGAGTAGCTGGGATTATAGGCAAGTGCCAACACACCCAGCTAATTTTGTATTTTTAGTAGAGATGGGGTTTCTCCGTGTTGGTCAGTCTGGTCTTGATCTCCCAACCTCAGCTGATCTGCCCGCCTCAGCCTCCCAAAGTGCTGGGATTACAGACGTGAGCCACGGCACCTGGCCCTTGGTTCTTCTTTTAATAAACATTTGTTGAACACCTACTCTATGCCAAACAGCATTCTAGTGGACAAAATAGACAAATTCTCTGCCTTCAATGAACCTTATACTCTAGTGATGGGAGACAGACAAGACAAAAATAAACATTTAATATACCAACTAAACCTGCCCAGTGGCTCATACCTGTAATCCCAGCACTTTGGGAGCCCAAGGCAGGAGGATCACTTGAGGCCGGAGTTCAAGGTCAGCCTGGGCAACATAGACCTCATCTCTACTAAAAATAAAAATAACATATATTCACCAAGTAGTGAAAAGTACTATGAAGAAAAGTATAGCAAGGTAAGGGGCTAGAAGGTGACAGGCTGTACTGTGTCATATAGCACGATCAGAAAGGCCTGTCTGAGAAGGAGACATTTGCACAGAGACCTGAATGACATACAGAAGAGAGAAGTGTAGATATCTGCTGAGAAAGCGTTTCAGGCACAGGAACAGCAAGTGCAAAGGCCGCGAGGTGGAAACGTGCCTGGCACAGGGGACATGCAGGGTCTGGGGGCAGGATGGAGTGAGTGTGGGGAAGAGAGCAAGGAGGCGACATCAGAGAGGTGGCAGGAGCCAGATGGTGTGTTGTAACCATGCACTGTAGTCATGCTGGTTAAGCAACATGGTGGGCACAGATGGATCTGAATGTGAACTCCAATTCCGCCTTCATTTATCGGTTGTGTATAATCTTGAGCAGATTAGCCTTTCTTTCATTTAACCCCATTTCATTTTACTGAAACAGGGTGTATTAGTCAAGGGTTCTCCAGATGATCAGAACCAATAGGGTGTGTGTGTGTGTGTGTGTGTGTGTGTGTGTGATCCTGGTGCTGCCCCTCAGGAACTCTCTCTCTTTCCATGTGTATGTATATGGCAAGAGAAAGAGAGGGAGAGGCACAGTGGCTCACTCCTGTAATCTCAGCACTTTGGGAGGCCGAGGTGGGAGGATCACTTGAGCCCAGGAGTTTGAGACCAGCCTGGGTAACATAGCAAGACTCCGTCTCTACAAAAAAATAAAAAATAAAAAATTAGCTGGGCCTGGTGGTGCTTGCCTGTAGTCTCAGCTAGTCGGGAGGCTGAGATGAGAAGATCACTTGAGCTCAGAAGTGTGAGGCTGCATGACCTATAACAGTGCCACTGCATTCAAACCTAAGTGAGAGTGAGACCCCATCTCTGCCAAAAAAAAAAAAGGAATTGTTTCACACCATTATGGAGGCTGGTAAATCCAAGATCTGCAGGGTTGTGGGCAGACTGAAGACCCAGAGAAGAGTCAAGGTTCAGTTCAAGTCTCAATGCTACGTGCTTCTAAACTCCCTCTTGCTCAGGGAAGGTCAGTCGTTTGTTCTGTTTGAACCTTCAACTGACTGGATGAGACCCAATCACATCATGGATGGAGGGCAATCTGCTTTACCTAAACCCTACCAATTTAAATATTTAAATACTAATCTTTCACTCTCTCTCTCTCTTTTTTTTTTTTTTGAGACAGAGTCTTGCTCTGATGCCCAGGCTGGAGTGCAGTGACACAATCTCAGCTCGCTGCAACCTCCGCCTCCCCAGTTCAAGTGATTCTCCTGCCTCAGCCTCCCAAGTGGCTAGGATTACAGGCCTGCGACACCATGCCTGGCTAATTTTTTTTTTTTTTTTTTTGAGACGGAGTCTTGCTCTGTCACCCAGGCTGGAGTGCAGTGGTGCGGTCTTGGCTCATTGCAAGCTCCGCCTCCCAGGTTCATGCCATTCTCCTGCCTCAGCCTCCCGAGTAGCTGGAACTACAGGCACGTACCACCATGCCCAGCTAATTTTTTGTATTTTTAGTAGAGACGGGGTTTCACCATGTTAGCCAGGATGGTCTCGATCTCCTGACCTCGTGATACTCCCGCCTCGGCCTCTCAAAGTGCTGGGATTACGGGCATGAGCCACCACGCCCGGCCCATGCCTGGCTAATTTTTGTATTTTTAGTAGAGACAGGGTTTCACCATGTTGGCCAGGCTGGTCTCAAACTCCCGAATTCTGGTGATCCACCCGCCCACACCTCCCAAAGTGCTGGGATTATAGGCATGAGCCACCTCACTCAGCCTTAAATACTAATCTCATCCCAAAACACTGTCACTGAAATATCCAAAAGAATGACCACATTCTGTCACTGCACTGTGACAGCCAACTTGACACATAAAATTAACCATCACATGAAGTAAGAATATTGCTCTTATGAGGTTGGTGGAAGGGTTAAAATTGAGGATATCTATAAAGCATGAGTACAGTGACTGGCAAGTGGTAAATGTTCAATTAAAGGTAGTTGTTGTCATCACAAAGGGAAGAAATAATGTTTGTCAAATGCCTAGTATGTCAAGTGCAATGCTAGGCTCTTCTGCACTGTTATTTAATTAAAATCCACGTTACCACACACTGAGGTAGGTATTATTATCCCCATTTTACAGTTAAGGAACTTAATGTGCAGAGGGATCACTCACCTTGCCCAAGGACCCTCACCTGGTAAGTGTCAGGGCCAAAACTAGAAATTAAGTCTGTCTGATTTCAAGAAGTGGGCTCTTTCCCCCTGGGGCCGGAGGCTGAAAACAGAAAGGAGGGGTCTCCCTGGGGCGTCACTCCTAGTACCCTCACACACAGACATACACATACCTCGGTTTCAGCAATTTCCTTGAAAAATCCTGAGGCCCCATGGTAACTCTTTTTTTTTTTTTTTTTTCCAGACAGAGTCTTCCTCTGTAGCCCAGGCTGGAGTGCAGTGGCACAATCTCCGCTTGCTGCAACCTCCACTTTCTGGGTTCAAGCTATTCGCCTCCCTCAATCTCCCGAATAGCTGGGATTACAGGCATGTATCACCACACCCAGCTAATTTTTGTATTTTAGGTAGAGATGGGGTTTCACCATGTTAGCCAGGCTTGTCTCAAACTCCTGACCTCAGGTGATCCGCCCGCCTAGGCCGCCCAGAGTACTGGGATTACAGGTATAAGCCACCACACCTGGCCCCCATAGTAACTCTTAACCCAGAAAAGGGGAATGTGGAAGGGTTTATTTCTGTAGGATCTGGGCCTCTATGGACAGGAATCCTGCCCTCCAGCTCCTTCTGACAGTGCAGCCTCTTCCTAAAATGGATAGGGTAACCTTTGCCAGCTCTTCTCTCCCAACTTACCTGATATAAGAGTTCTCAGCTGGGCGCGGTGGCTTACGCCTGTAATCCTAGCACTTTGGGAGGCCAAGGCACATGGATCACCTGAGGTCAGGAGTTCGAGATCAGCCTGGCCAACATGGTAAAACCCCATCTCTACTAAAAATACAAAAATTAGCCGGGTGTGGTGGTGCACGCCTGTAATTCCAGCTACTCAGGAGGTTGAGGCAGGAGAATTGCTTGAACTCGGGAGGTGGAGGTTGTGGCGAGCCGAGATTGCACCACTGCACTCCAGCCTGGGCGACAGAGGGAGACTCCGTCTCAAGAAAAAAAAAGAGGAGTTCTCAGAGAAGGGCTCCTCACAGACCATGAGGGCCATTTGGCTCAGGCCTTATTGACACATAAGGCCTCAAATTCAGACTTCTGATGTTATCTCCAAGTGTGGTTACAGTCACGCTGTTACTCTGATAGAACAGAATGTAAGGACTTACCATAAAATTGATTTAACTTTTATTATGGAATTTTCAAATATATACAAAAGGAGGGCCAAGTTCGGTGGCTCATGCCTGTAATCCCAGCACTTTGGGAAGCTGAGGCAGGAGAATAGCTATACACACACACACACACACACACACACACACAAGTAGAAAGAATAGTACAATGAATCTGGTATGCCTATTATCAGAAGACATTTCTTTTTTTTCAACTTTTATTTTAAGTTTGGGGTACATGTGCAGGATGTGCAGGTTTGTTACATAAGTAAATGTGTGCCGTGGTGGTTTGCTACACAGATCATCCCATCACCCAGGTACTAAGCCCAGTATCCATCAGCTATTCTTCCTGATGCTCTCCCTCCCCTACCCCTATCCCTCTGAAAGACCCCAGTGGTGTGGTTCCCACCATGTGTCCGTGTGTTCTCATCGTTCAGCTCCCACTTATAAGTGAGAGCATGTGGTGTTTGGTTTTCTGTCCCTGTGTTAGTTTGCTGAGGATAATGACTTCCAACTCCATCCATGTCCCTGCAAAGGACATGATCTCATTCCTTTTTATGGCTGCATAGTATTCCATGGTGTATATGTACCATGGTGTATATAGTATTCCATGGCGTATATAAACATAGTATTCCATGGTGTATATGTACCTCCATGGTGTATATTTTCTTTATCCAGTCTATCATTGATGGGCATGTAGGTTGATTCCATGTCATTGTTATTGTGAATAGTGCTGCAATGAATATACACGTGCATGTATCTTTATAACAGAATGACTTCTATTCGTTTGGGTATATATACCCAGTAATGGGATTGCTGAGTCAAATAGTATTTCTGCCTCTGGGTCTTTGAAGAATAACCACACTGTCTTCCACAATGGTTGAACCAATTTTCACTCCCACCAACAGAGTAAAAACGTTCCTTTTTCTCCGCAACCTTGCCTGCATCTGTTGTTTTTTGACTTTTTTTTTTTTTTTTTTTTTTTTTTTTTAGACAGAGTCTCGCTCTGTCACCCAGGCTGGAGTGCAGTGGCACGACCTCAGCTCACTGCAACCTCTGCCTCCTGAGTTCAAGCGATTCTCCTGCCTCAGCCTCCCGAGTAGCTGGGATTACAGGCGCACACCACCATGCCTGGCTAATTTTTTATTTTTAGTAGAGACAGGGTTTCACCATGTTGGTCAAGCTAATCTGGAACTCCTGACCTCAAGACATCCACCCGCCTTGGCCTCCCAAAGTGCTGGGATTACAGGCGTGACCCACTATGCCCGGACGTTTTTTGACTTTTTAATAGCCATTCTGAGTGGCAAGAGATGGTGTCATTGTGGTTTTGATTTGCATTTTTCTAATGATCAGTGATGTTAAGCTTTTTTTCATATGTTTTTTGGTCACATGTATGTCTTCTTTTGAGAAGTGTCTGTTCATGTCTTTTGCCCACTTTTGGAGGCTTTTTTTTTTTTTTTTGAGACAGAGTCTGGCTCTGTCATCCAGGCTGGAGTGCGGTGGCTCAATCTCGACTCACTGCAACCTCCACCTCCCGAGTTCAAGCGATTCTCCTGCCTCGGCCTCCTGAGTAGCTGGGATTACAGGCACGCACCACCACGCCTGGCTAATTTTTGTATTTTCAGTAGAGATAGGGTTTCACCATGTTGGTCAGGCTGGTCTCGAACTCCTGACCTCGTGATCCGCCTGCCTCAGCCTCCCCAAGTGCTGGGATTGCAGGCGTGAGACACCAAGCCCAGCCCCTTTGCCCATTTTTTAATAGGGTTGTTTGTTTTTTTCTTGTAAATTTGTTTAAGTTCCTGTCACAAGACTTTATAAAATAGGACCTGCAGTACCCTGTAAAGGAAAATTTTCTATAAATTCTGTAATGATCTTGTGGATAGCCAGGTGCAGTGGCTCACACCTGTAATCCCAGCACTTTGGGAGGCCGAGATGGGCTGATCACCTGAGGTCAGGAGTTCGAGACCAGCCTGGCCAACATGGTGAAACTCCATCTCTACTAAAAATGCAACAAAATTAGCCAGGCGTGGTGGCGCATGCCTATAATCCCAGCTACTTGGGAGACTTAGGCAGGAGAATCACTTGAACCCAGGAGGCAGATGAAGGTTGCGGTGAGCCGAGATAGTGCCATTGCACTCCAGCCTGGGCAACAAAAGCAAAACTCCGTCTCAAAAAAAATAAAAACAAAAATAAATCTTGTGGATAGCATAATTGTATTGTAATTTTGTGTGAAAAAGTGTTAATCTGGCTGGGTGCAGTGGCTCCCGCCTATAATCCCAGCACTTTGGGAGGCCTAGACAGGAAGATTACTTGGGGCCAGGAGTTTGAGACCAGCCTGGGAAAAACGCTCTTCCAAAAAAAAAATGTGTTAATTTATCAAACGTAAACGTGCCTGTTTTTCTCATTTCCAAGTGTATCTGAAACCTCCACAGACAGTAGGGACCTAGACTTCTCTCCATCTTTCAGAAGTCGTGTCTCCAAGGGAGCAGTTGCTGAGATCTGTGGGTCGTTTCCCACCCTGCCCCTGGCCCCCTGCAGAGGCTGGGGTGGGAACAGCTGGCTCTTCAAACCCTGCCCAAAGCTCTGAACTCTGCCTCCTGCCAGTGGTCAGGCCTCCTCCACCTGACCCTTCACCCGAGGTGATGGGATGCCTAACCATAAGGCCAGCTGGGGGGCTTCTCTCTCTGCCTCTGCAGGAACTCAACCAAATAGCATTTACAGAGCAACCTCTATGTGGCCAGCTGGCTTTCAGCCCTGGGGGTGGGAGGTGCGGGAGTGGCTTTGGGAACCTGATCCCGATCTCGGCACTGCCCCCTGAGAAACTTCCAGGCTGCTGGGAGAAAAGCAAAGAAAGGTACCTAAAGCAGAGCTATTAAGTGCCCCAACTGTGCCTATGTGAGAGTCCCACCATTGTTTGCTTGGGAGGCAGATCCTAGTAAGCCTAAGTCAAGGAGGAGTGCGCACAGGGCAGGCCAGCCCGGAGGTCCCTGAGGGCAGGGCCTCCAGGCTTCCCATTCTTTCGCAGTTCCCACAGCGCTCAGGCCCCACTGGGCTCATAATAAGCTTCAATGCCCGCTTTTGACTGAACCTTCCCCTTTGTATCTGTCTCTGTGTCTCTCAGCATCTCTGTCTCTACGGGTCTCTGGCTCTCTCTTGTTTCCCAACATCCTTCCCCAGCCCCTGGGGAGCAGAGCTGGGGGAGCCCGGCAGTGGGAACGGGACAGCGTCCTGTTCTCACCAAGGACAATAAGGGCCGGAAAGGGCTGGAGCCAAGGCCTGGCGCAGACTCCCCCTCCCTGCCTGCCCTGGGCGCCCCCACCCTCCCGCCCTGACCCGCCAGCACGGCCTAAGTGCCAGTCCTCAGGGAGTCAGCCTCCTTGCCCTTGGTCTCACATTCCTACTGCTCTCCCTTTTCTCTGGAGGCATCCCTTCTGCCCCCAGGAACCCGCAGAGCGAGCGCCCTCCCGCACTCCCCGCAGCCCCATCCCCTGCATTATTTACTCCTGTTTCCGGAGCTGGCTGCGGGCGCCGGCGGGTGTTAGGGCCACGTGTGAGGGAGCAGGAGGAAACATCTGGCTTCCCTCTGTCCCCCAGGGGCGGGGACGCCTCTCTTTCCCTCAGGCCTACCGCCTCTCTCTCCCTCAGGCCTACCGCCTCCTCCGGGGTGGAACTGAGCCCCAGAAGTCCAGGGGCCAAGAGGTTAGCACCTTTGCCCTTCTCACCCTCAGGGCTCTGGCAGCCATGGAGTCCTCACGCCCCCTTACTTAATGATGGTGATTAGGTGGCTGTGATACCCCTGCCAGGGTTAATTGGCAGGTCAGGTGCAGGCAGCCTGCAACCAGGCAGGGTGCAGAGCTGCGACGTTGGCGCCAACCTGCCTTGTAAATGTACTCATTCCCTGAGGAAGGCGTCATTATTCCTGGGCCACATGCTGCCCATGGTGCCTACGCAGTGGGTGGCAGTAGGTGCTCAGATCCCTTGGCACTGCCCTGGCACCTGCTCTCCGGCTCCTCCCCACCCTCCCCTAGCCATAGAGATGATGCTCGCTGCTGGTCCCCACCAAAGCCAGCTCTCGTTGTGGAAGGCATGATGCCCTCTGGTGGCCGGATCCCCAGTCTCCCCCCATCCCGTCCCCCGCCACTCCCTTCCCCCCTCCCCGCCCTAGGCTGTGTCTGTGCTCACCTGGACTGGGACCTGACCCTCTGCCCAGTGCTCCCACGGGTTAGGACAAAGTCGAGGTTTGACAGTGAGACTTAGAGCCAATCCAGCCTCCCTTTAGGCCCAGAGACCAACTTGGACAACCTCGTCCTCTCCCAGAGGGTCTCATATATCACAACCCACCGCCCTCCCCAACCATCAGTACGGGTGAGTCAGAGCCAGATCTTCTCAGGGAGGCTCTCTCTGGTCTCCACTGAACTTTCCGCCTCCACTCCCAGCCTAGGGGGAGAAGAGGCTTAATTCAGGATTCAGTCCTTCCAAATGGACCAGTCTTCCGAGTCTTCTAAGAAGGCTGGCTTCCACACTGACGGACCCAGCAGCAACTAACGCCACTCCCGGCCCTCAGGGATAGCTTGCCTAGGAGGGTGCCGCTGGCTTCCAGGAGGCAGACGTGAGTCCATAGCGCCCCCTGCAGGCGTTTTGGATAAACTGCCTAGCACATCCTCCTTGGGCAGGTTACGGAAGGGCAAGTGTTCTAGCCAAAGATGGGAGTGGAGTGGGGTGGCCTCTAATCCCTGACCAAAACTCCTCTACTCACTTCTTCATCTTCACTGAGTCTTATTCCCTAACTCAGGCACCTATGGACAGGATTTTGTTTGTCAGGGCAGGTTATTTCATTCAACTAACCCACCTTTTTTTTTTTTGAGACAGAGTTTCACTGTCGTTCAGGTTGGAGTGCAGTGGCGCAATCTCCACCCACTGCAACCTCCACCTCCTGGGTTCAAGCGATTATCGTGCCTCAGCCTCCCAAGTAGCTGGGACTACAGGCACACACCACCACACCTGGCTAATTTTTGCATTTTTCATAGAGATGGGGTTCCCCATGTTGGCCAGGCTAGTCTCAAACTCCTGACCTCAAGTGATCCACCCACCTCAGCCTCCCAAAGTGCTGGGATTACTGGCTTGAGCCACCATGGCTGGCCCAACCCACCAGTCTTTATTGTCCATTATCAGGCTCTGGAAAAAACAAAGCTGACCAAGATGAGGTGTATACCCTAAAACACACGCCATTCAGCACGAGGGACGGCACCTAGGACGGGCACTCTGCATAGAGTTGTTCCTCATGACAGAGCACAGACAGGGCAGGGTGCAAGTAGCCACCTGCATTTCCATCAAGGTGGGCTCAGAGGTTGGTGTCCTTGCTCCTATTGTTTTATATACTTCGCTACAATTTAGGAAGTTCCCATTGTCTTGGCTACAAGATGGGGAAAAAATGAAAGCACCAGAACAAACAGGCTAGGAGCAGTTGATCACCTGGGGAGTCTTTCTAAACACAGCCATATGTTCATGCTGAAGTAGAACAGATAGGTCCCAGGGACAGCATCAGGAGAGAAGTCCCACCTATGCACTTGCAGCAGGGGGCTGATTTGCTTAAGGCAGGGAGCTGGAGTGGCAAAGATACCACGTGGAACCCCGTGAAACAGTGTAGGTATACGGGACCTTTCCTTCCTTTACTCTTTTGCTCCAAGATCCCTTCTGGTACTGACGGACAGGACTTCCTGCATTGCAGCCTTTACCCCTTTCCCCAAAGAACACGACTGCAGAACATTCATGTACTTTTCTTCCATGATGAGACTCACACAAGTATATGCCACTCCAGTGGCACTGACAGTATTCAACAGATAACTGGTAAAAATTAATGTGGGAGGAAGGAAAGCCTCACTATTCCCAAGGTCTGAAAACAGAAGGTGCCCAAATGTCTTAACATTCTGTACATCTAAGCTGGATACTGGTAGATGACACCCACAACATATCACAACTCACAGAGCTACAAAGAATCAACTTTATTGAACATTCAGGGTCAGTTTCTCTTCTTGCTCTTGCCTGTGACCTTGGCTGGTGTGAGGACTGGAGCTGCTGCCTGGTACAGGGTGGAGGAGATCTTGTTGATGTAGTACAGACCAACCATGGAGAAGATGAAGCTATATGGTGAAGACAGAAAGGTCATGGCACCAGTGGGCATCTGCCAGCCTGGTGCCTCCTAGGGAAGACACTAGCATCAAGGAAAGAATCCAAGTTCAAGTTTAGGAAAACGGGGAGGGAGAACAGAGAGAGAGGTAGGTGTGGAAGGAAAAACTCTGGCACCATCACAGTAAGATCCAATGCCAAAAAACGGAATGCTACACCCCTTACCCAGCTGTCAAGAACATACCAGGTGGTGACACAGACTCGGTGGATGAGGCCAGATGCAAAGAGAGCCAACAGGAGGCACAGGAGAACTAGGGAGGCAAGAAGAACAAGGAGGGCAACGGTCAGAATGGAAATACTAGGCATCTGCACATGGAGTCCAGGAGAAATCCGGGGCTCTCTGAATCCTGGGGAACCTGCTTAGAAGGGTAAGCGTGACTACAGCAGGAGGATTCTGATTACCTTAATGATACCCAGAACATGGAGGTAGGAGGTTGAGTGTGGTGGCTTGCACCTGGAATCCCAGCACTTCGGGAGGCTGAGGTGGGCAGATCACTTGAGCCCAGGAGTTTGAGACCAGCCTGAACAACAAAGTGAGACCCATCTCTTAAAAAAAAAAAAAATTGAATTAAAAAAAATTTAGCCAGGTAGTACAGTGGTACACATGCCTGTAGTCCCAGCTATTCAGGAGGCTGAAGTTGGAGGAACCCTTGAGCCAGGAAGTTCAAAGTTGCAGTGAACTGTGATCGCACCACTGCACTCCAGCCTGGGCAACAGAGTGAGACCCCGTCTCCAAAAAAAAAAAAAAAAAAAAAGAACATGGATGTAGATGTATGCTTTTTTTTACCAGCTCTGCCCCATATCTCACATAACTTCCCTACCCTGGCTTTCCTCCCATAAAAGGAAAAAGGAAAGGTGATGGACAACAGAGTCTGAAGGGCAAGGTGTGTTCCCATTTGGGGAACCCAGTTAAACCCTTTCCAAAAGAAGCCAGACAATGAGAGTCAATTCATTAAGCTGGGTGACCAGTGGTGGAAGTTGAAGGCCTTGCTCCCTGGACACAGGTTGGAGGGCAGAGTGCTTGGATCTACTTCTTCATGGGGGCAGGAAAGGATTTTAGGTTACCTGGAATATGATGGGAGAGAAGGTGAGAGGACAAAAGCAAAGACAAACAGGGCCCCACCTGCCCAGGTGGAGAGGGCAGAGAAGGCAAAGTGGGCCAAGAACTTTGCCCCACCACAATGGCATCTTTTCTTTTTTTATTATTTTTTTTTATTTTTGAGGCAGAATCTCACTCTGTCGCCCAGGCTGGAGTGCAGTGGTGCAGTTTCAGCTCACTGCAGCCTTGATCTCCTGGGCTCAAGCGATCATCCCACCTCAGCTTCCCGAGTACCTGGGACTATAGGTGCGTACCACCATGCCCGGCTAATTTTTGTATTTTTTTGGAGAGACAGGGTCTCTCTATGTTGCCCAAGCTGGTCTTGAATTCCTGGGCCCAAGCTATCTGCCAGCCTACACCTCCCAAAGTGCTAGGATTACAGGCGTGTGCCATCCCACCCAGCCAATGGTTTCTTTCAGAAGCAACTGAAAAGCCAGGCACAGTGGCTCACCCCTGTAATCCCAGCACTCTGGGAGGCCAAGACGGGTGGATCACTTAAGGTCAGGAGTTCAAGACCAGCCTAACCAACATGGTGAAATCCTATCTCTACCAAAAATACAAAAATTAGCCAGTTATGGTGGCGCACGCATGTAATCCCAGCTACTCGGGAGGCTGAGGCAGGAGAATCGCTTGAACCTGGGAGGCAGAGGCTCCAGTGAGCTGGGTTCACACCACTGTACTCCAGCATGGGTGACAGAGCGAGACTCCATCTCAAAAAAAAAAAAAAAAAGAAGCAAGTGAAGGTAATACATATGGAAACAAAACCTAACAGAGAGAAGTCCCGGGGCTACTGGATGGAAAGAACTCTGAAGCCTGCAAAAGGGCTATGCGGAGAAAGCAAGTCCTAGAGGGGGGCAAAGAAATGAGGGCAGCCAGGCACAGTGGCTCACACCTGTAATTCCAGCACTCTGGGAGGCTGAAATAGGAGGATCACTTGAGCCCAGGAGTTCGAGACCAGCCTGGGCAATGTGGTGAAACCCCATCTCTACAAAAACTTAAAACAGTAGCTGGGTGTGGTGGCACTCACTGGTAGTCCCAGCTACTGGTAAGACTGAGGAGGGAAGATTGCTTGAGACCAGGTCAAGGCTTCAGTGATCACATCCCTGCACTCCAGCCTAGGCGACAGAGTAAAGCCTTGTCTCAAAAAAAAAAAAAAAAAAAAAAGAGAAAAGATTAAGGGCAACCATGATAGATCTTTGTTTTACCACATGAGGGTTTTACATGAGATTGCATCTGCTGTGAATTTCTGAGCACGTGGCATTCCTTAAGTAATCTGGCCTTGACACTTAATTTGCTTTATAAACTTAATTCTCCATAAATAACTGAATCATCAATTCTTGATTACATGAGCAATTGAACAAGAATTATTCCAAACAGGAAATAATCTAACAGTTATTCTGATTTGGTCAGGATTCCTGCTGCCATAGATATTTGGTGCCTCTAGTATTTAGGCTCTTCACAATTCCCTCAAATAAGTAGAATTCTCTAATATTGAGTTAACTTCACATCAGAACTCCATAGTGAACTTGGTCCTGCTGCTTCTTCTGGTGGGAACAAGGACCGCCTCCCAGCGAATAGATGCAAAACATCAGCCCAAATTTGCCTGTTCCCCTCAAACCTTCCCTGGGAGCTGGCCAGAAGGTACCAAAGTTTCTTGCTTTCAAAGGCCTTCTCTTCCAGCTCCAACTCCAGGAGCTATACAAGGTGCAGAATCGAAAAGCGTCATCTGTCTTCAGACAGCTTCAGTAAATATATTTCTCCTTAACAACCTTTCACCTAAGCATCTGGAAATTCAATATCATGTTTCAGGAGGTTAAAGAGGAGAAAGTTCAAATACTCAAGCTCCAATATTCACTTACTCTCAGGGAAGATCTTTGCTTGGAATCCTTTGCCAAAGACAAGATTCTCCAGATTATTGAAGGCCTGGTTGAGGGAGTTAAGGAGTAGGGTGTGCAACGGGGACAGAGCTGTGTGGGGAAGGGGAAGGGCACATGCCTACGTGGCCCGCCCCCTCCAACTGCAGGGAGGATACAGTGAGCGAGAACACGAAGAGACCCGAACCAAGCAGGCCGCCCTGGATGGTGAGCCACTCGGTGGAGGCCAGCTGACGGCTGTACATCTGCATCCCAGCAAAGAGCAGCAGGGACAGGAGGGAGGAGAGCGCCAGCGAGGTGCCCGTACCCACCACTGGAGGGGATGGGAGAAGGGACGGAGAGTCAGGCTCCGCCCTCCCTCCGGCAAGCTACGGGCAGATCAGCCGGTCCGGAAGCTCGGTGGGCCGACCCCCTCCAAGAACTCCCGGGACTGCAGCCACACGCCCCAACTCCCCACACCGCGCGGCAACCCCTACGTATTCCCCAGCCCCGGACACCCCGAACCCTCCCGTCCGGTGGAAATGCCCGCTCCCGGTGGAACCCAGGACACGTCAGCTCTGTCGGGAGAGGACGAGGAAAGCTTGTCCACCCAAACCCCGACCCCCTCTAGGACTTCCTGGGGACCCCACCGGTCCTGTTACCCATCATGCCCCGCCCGTGAGTCCAACCGGCGCCTCTGGCCAAGAAAGGCGAGCTGAACCGGGTGCGGTTAGCTATGCGCATGCGTCAGCGCTTACCGCGGACTTGCTACTCCTCGCGTTCTCCTCTTTCTTCCTCTCAGTGCCTGGACGCAGCGCCCTCTTGCGACAGGGAGGAAATAATGCGTCGAGGGGGCATCCTCGGCCACCGCCCTGGTCCTCAGGCTTTCCTCGTACCTGGTGCGTCTGCTGCCACTCTGTACAAGGTGCACTTATCTCTTTAAGTCATTGGGCCCATGCCTGTGGCATCTATCCCATCTCTGTCTTCTTTGCCATTTCTTTCATCTCTAGTGCACGTTCCTCAAACCTCCCTGCCCCATGCCTCAACATCTCCCAACCTAAAATTTAGTGCTCCCAACCAGGAACTCATTTTCCTCCGAAACTAATCCCCCGCTTTATATGAGTAAAATTAGGAGCCAATGAAAAATGAGAATGTAAGAAATGGCTCCCCCGTCAAATACCTTTCCATATTCCCCAACCCCCCGACCGGCTTTCGAGAACCACGTGGGGAGAACTATTTCCCACCCCCTACCCCGACGGGCGCTGTTCGAGGCTGGTCCCGGGAGCATGCGCAGTGACACCTCAACCCCCAGCCCTCCTCACACCCCCACTGGGCTCCTGCATTAAGCCCGGGGTTCGCAGCCGCAGCCGGGATCGGGCACCCAGGGGCGGGCGGGCACGGTAGGGCCATGGCAGAGGGTGAGGATATGCAGACCTTCACTTCCATCATGGACGCACTGGTCCGCATCAGTGTGAGTTAAGGTGGGGTCGAGGGAAGGGGAGGGGGCGTATAGGGTTCTGGGGCAAGCTGGGACCTGGAACAGGTGGGGATCCAGGAAGATGCTGGGATGTAGACAGGGGGCTAGCGATGGCAGAAACGGCTGGGAGGGTCGGGATGCAGGTATGAGAGGGTAATCCCGGGAGCAGCCCGGAGGTGAGTGCCGTGAAGGCGTCGGTGTGCTGGAGCGTGAGGAGGAGCTAGGAGCAGCCCAGACGCAGCGGGTGGGCTGGGGTGGCCTCCAGCAGTGCACCGGGGCTGGGGCTTCAGGGGAAAGGCCCTGTTATGAGAAGAGGGACGTGTGAGCTTGGATATTTTCCAAGAAAACTGAGGACAGGTGGGGGATGATGTAGGAGCCGCCCCACAGTGCAGTTCCCAATTTGGACCCCTCCCCAAGACCCCACCCCACGCACCCCCACTCAGGGCTGCTTCCGAGCCTGCGGTTGTCATGGCAACCCGTGCCTGGCTCTCCCAGGGGCGGTGCCAACCGTGTTCCCCCCCACCACTTCCTCCCCCCCTCCTTGTTCCTCCCTCCTTTGTGTCAGCTGCGCCCCTGACCGGGATGGCTGCGAAGAGAGGGACCAAGGTGAGGTGTGGGGGTGGGGCATAGCCTGAGGACCCCCACTCTCGCCACCAAGAGGGGGAGGGGACTTCCGGTGGGGAGGGGGCGAGTAGGCGGGGCTCTTGATTCCCCCGCTAGTTCGGAGAAGGGGGTGCCGCTGACCGGGTTGCGCTGCGGGAGAGGGCGGGAGGGCCTGATGGGGGCGAAGGGGAATGGGTTGGTAAGACCGATGGGGAAGTGAAGGATGGGGAATGGAGGCTGGAGTGGCCGCAGGCCGGAGCTGCGGCAGGAGGACGTATGGAGCGAGCAGGATGGAGTGCCAACCTCGCCTGGCTATCGGGAGGAATCACGGCATGGGGGTGCTGCTAGAGAAGGGAGTGGGGGTCTGCATGGAGCTGCAGAATGGGCGGTGTCCTTGAGAAAAATGCCAGGGGCAAGCTGCCCAGAGATGGGGGATGGAGGCAGGTGAGGGGGCTGCCAGCTGGGGCTACTGCAGCTGGAGAAATGGGGATTGGGCTTGAGGCTGGAGCAGGCACAAGCTCCAACCGTCCCTCCTCTGGGCCTTTAGCTCTGCAGCGGGGAAAGAGAAGCAAGGGACAGAGGTCTGGGAAGGTCTGTGAACCAGCCCAAGGCAGGTGCTCTGGAAAAGCTGCAGGTAGCTTGTCTTGCTCCTTCCTCAGACCCCTAGGGTATCCAAGGGCAGCCAAGGGGCTGCTGAGGTATGCCTAAGTGTCCAAGCGCTGACCTAGCCTCCTGGTCCCTCCACAGACCAGCATGAAGAACATGGAGAAGGAACTGCTGTGCCCAGTGTGTCAAGAGATGTACAAGCAGCCACTGGTGCTGCCCTGTACCCACAACGTGTGCCAGGCCTGTGCCCGAGAGGTCTTGGGCCAGCAGGGCTACATAGGACATGGTGGGGACCCCAGCTCCGAGCCCACCTCTCCTGCCTCCACCCCTTCCACCCGCAGCCCCCGCCTCTCCCGCAGAACTCTCCCCAAGCCAGACCGCCTGGACCGGCTGCTTAAGTCAGGTGGGACTGGGGCCTGTAGGGTGGGGATGGGAACGCTGAGCTATTCATCAGGAAGATGGAAGAAGTCCATCACTGGTCAGAGGCATCTGTCTGTCTTTCTGGGGGGTGGAGATACTGCTTACGCAGGCTCTAATGAGAGCTGAGCTCTGGCACAATGAAAATCTAATTTAATTAAACAGGCTTCCCCACACCCAGCCAGCTGTAACTCTCATGTCCTCTACCTCCCTGGTTCACCCACAGGCTTTGGGACATACCCTGGGAGGAAGCGAGGTGCTTTGCACCCCCAAGTGATCATGTTCCCGTGCCCAGCCTGCCAAGGTGATGTGGAGCTTGGGGAGCGGGGTCTGGCAGGGCTTTTCCGGAACCTGACCCTGGAGCGTGTGGTGGAGCGGTACCGCCAGAGTGTGAGTGTGGGAGGTGCCATCCTGTGCCAGTTGTGCAAGCCCCCACCACTAGAGGCCACCAAGGGCTGCACAGAGTGCCGCGCCACCTTCTGCAATGAGTGCTTCAAGCTCTTCCACCCCTGGGGCACCCAGAAGGCCCAGCATGAGCCCACCCTGCCTACCCTCTCCTTCCGACCCAAGGTGAGCCAGCCCTTCCAAGGCCTGGGGAGGGAGGGACATGCTGCTGCAGGTGGGTGGGGGTGCCTGGCATTGTGGGTTTCCAAAAGGAAGTGGGAAGGGTTTTCCAATGCTAAGCACCTATCTCTGTAATCTGTCACAAAGTCACTGGACAAATCATTCAACAACTTTGGGCCTCCATCTCATTTACATCCCTGTAGGGGGATGGTAGTATCTGCCCTGCAATGTCCATACCTAAAGGGTTGCTGAGAGGATGGTGTGAGATAATGTTTGTTCACTAAAAAGTGTTACCTGCACACTGAAAAGGTCTGTGTGCATTCACTCACTGAACAAATATTTATTGAGCACCTATGTGCATGGTGCTATTCTAGGTGTTGGAGATACAGCAGTAAACAAGATGGACAAGGTTAATTATTAACTACCAGGCAAAGATTAATTGGCATCATTATTACTGTTATTACCATATATCCCAATGAGAGAGATGAAGGGAGGTGCAATGCTGGTGAAATGGGCACCGCCCGGAGACTGCAGGAAAGGCTCTTTGATGCCAGTATGTACCACCAGGTGGCACTGTGGAGCACCACCAGCGGATGTCTCCACTCCCATCTTGCCAGTGGAGGAGGGCACCAAACTGCTGTAGTGGTAGCATAGCACCCTTACCCACACCATTGTCTGACCATCACATTGTTCTTTGTGTCCCTAGGGCCTTATGTGCCCAGACCACAAGGAAGAGGTGACCCACTACTGCAAGACATGCCAACGCCTGGTATGTCAACTCTGCCGGGTGCGGCGCACCCACAGCGGGCACAAGATCACACCAGTGCTCAGTGCCTACCAGGCCCTCAAGGTAAGGACCCCCCTTATCCAACCCTAGTGCTAACTCACACTCTTACCCTCTTGCACCTCCTCCCAACTGCTGGCTTCTGCAGAGCTGGGCTTGATGCCCACCTCTTTCTTCCCCCTCAGGACAAGCTGACAAAGAGCCTGACATACATCCTGGGAAACCAGGACACGGTACAGACCCAGATCTGTGAGCTGGAGGAGGCCGTGAGGCACACCGAGGTGAGGGAGGGCACAGAGGTAGGCCCTGGGCCCTGCCTGGGAGTAGGGGCAGGAAGGGGGTGTGGGTGATCATGACCCAATCACCTTGTTGCTAGCTCAGGAAGCCCGTGAGGTGTCCAGGTTCTGGTTAAACCAGGTTTGCAGGAACACCAGTGCCCCAGGCCAGGCTGTACCTGGGCTGCAGGAGGGGGCAGGGTGGCTATAGCTCAGGAGAGTGCTCGAAAAACCCCATGCATAGCTCAAAAAACCCCACGCGTAGCTCAGATGCTCTCAGGCTCAGGTGCCTACCGAGGATGTCACGCATTCCCAGTGCTAGAGTGAGGTGATGACTGATACCTTCTGCCAGGTTGCTTGAGCTGGCTGACATGGGGATGGACAACTAAGGATGGCATAGATGCCAGTGGACATTAATTAGTGCAGTCCAAGTGGACATTAGGGTAGCCATGGCCTCGTTCATTTGGATGAGTCACTAAGGGGCAGAGATTATGATGTGGGGTTCCGGGAAGGTTGGCACAAATGACCAGGAGTTGAGTCCATCTAGAGGTGCCTTTGCAGCCATGAGCCCAGGCCCTGTAGGAATGGGTGAGTAGGATTTCCCCAGATCCCTTGTGACCTTAGCCATGCTGTGGCATCCAAGGAGGCCAGCACAAGTGCTGCCTCCAAAAAGAAGATAGTAAGTCACGCATCCTTTGGGTGTTGCTCCCTGGGCAGGTGAGTGGTCAGCAGGCCAAGGAGGAGGTGTCGCAGCTGGTGCGGGGGCTGGGGGCTGTGCTGGAGGAGAAGCGGGCATCACTGCTTCAGGCCATTGAAGAATGCCAGCAGGAGCGGCTGGCCCGTCTCAGCGCCCAGATCCAGGAGCACCGGAGCCTGCTGGATGGCTCAGGTCTGGTGGGCTATGCCCAGGAAGTACTTAAGGAAACAGACCAGCCTTGCTTTGTGCAAGCCGCCAAGCAGCTGCACAACAGGTACTCAGGGGCATGGGCTCCTAGGGGGGCAGGGACATCATGGATGTGACCAACATCTAGGACAATGTCTACAGTACTGCCAGGTGGAGAACTGGCATTCTAAGGATTCTCATGAGGCCAAACTGATACCAGCTCCCAAAGCAGTTCCCAAGGCTCTAGGGGCAAGCAAGACAGAATTGAGGGGAAGGGAGACTGCCCACATGGCAGTGCCTGACCCTTTCTTGCCCCCATCCCAGGATTGCCCGAGCCACTGAAGCCCTCCAGACATTCCGGCCAGCTGCCAGCTCCTCCTTCCGCCATTGCCAGCTCGACGTGGGACGTGAGATGAAGCTGCTGACAGAGCTTAACTTCCTGCGAGGTAAGGAGATGGCCAGGCCCCATGCCCAACCAGAGCCTTCTTCCCTTCCTCCCCAGCAGCGGGCCCGGGGGGCAGTGCCTACCGGGGACCTCCCCGGCCTCCTGCCCGGCCTGGCCAGCCATTCCTCCCACCCAGCCCACCCTGCCACACCGTCCTACCGCGCTCAGCGCTGCTTCTCCCTCTCTTTGTTTGTAGGCTGTGGCCACCGCGGACTCTGCTCCGGAGCACCCCAGGCAAGTCAGCGGCCCTGCCCCGGGGGCCCTGCCCGCCGCCGGGCCCCCTTCCCACCCCGCTGCTCCCACGCATCTCAGCCAACCACTCATTGCTTCCTTCTCTTTCCTGCCTTGCCCCGACCTCGTGGTCCTCCCACTGGACCAATGCCCTGTCTCCCTTCTGCCTTCTTCAGGCGCTTGCGTAATCCTGGCCCTTCTGACCTTTTGTCCTTGTGACCCTTGCCCTCTGGCCTTGCACTTCCTTTCCCTTGACCTCCAACCCCTGCCCTCAGCTTTTGCTGTCCCTCTGTTGTCCCCACTTTCCACCTCGCTGCCTCCTAAATCTCTCTTCTGAGCCTGGTCCCCTTCCTTCCTGCTCAGCGCCCTCTTGCCTGTGGGCTCCAGTGGCCTTTGCCTGCCCCTCCCTGGGGCTCCTCTTAATTCATAGAATAACTGAGCTGCAAGGGCCCCCAGAACTTACCTGATCTGATACCCTCATTTGACAGGGGAGGAAACTGAGGCCCAGAAAGGGGAAGTGACTTATTCCAGGCCAGAGTGAGGTAGCAGCAGCCCAGAACTAGCACACAGGTGTCCTGACCCCCAGCCCAGCGCTTTCCTGCCTCGTTCTCTCTTGGGCCCTGCCCTACCCCTCCTGTGCCCAGTTCCCAGATGAGCCCTTCCCCAGCTCCCTCTCACCCACACTCACCCCCCCGGCTCCCGCTGCTTTCCCTTTTCCTGCCTGCCCCTGCCCTCCATGCCAGGCCAGTGGCCAGGCCCTGACTGACACCCGCTGTCTCTTCCAACAGTGCCTGAGGCCCCCGTCATTGACACCCAGCGCACCTTTGCCTATGATCAGATCTTCCTGTGCTGGCGGCTGCCCCCCCATTCACCACCTGCCTGGCACTATACCGTTGAGTTCCGGCGCACGGATGTGCCTGCTCAGCCAGGCCCCACCCGCTGGCAGCGGCGGGAGGAGGTGAGGGGCACCAGTGCCCTGCTTGAGAACCCCGACACGGGCTCTGTGTATGTGCTGCGTGTCCGCGGCTGCAACAAGGCCGGCTACGGCGAATACAGTGAAGATGTGCACCTGCACACGCCCCCGGCACCTGGTGAGTGGGCAGGCACAGGTGGTCGTGCAAAGGGCATGGGGTATGCCAGGGCCTAGGCCCTGACGGTTGGTTCCGGTGGCCGCTAGAGAGGCCATATAACATAGTAGGTCTCACACACACTAGCTCTGGAGCTAGACTGCTTGGGTTCAAATCCCAGCTCTGCCTCTTGCCAACTGTGTGGGTGGCTTCTGGCAAGTTTTTACCCTCTCTGAACTTCAGAGTCCTTTTCTGTAGGGATAACGATAATACTGGCCAGGTGCAGCGGCTCATGCCTGTAATCCTAGCACTTTGGGAGGCCAAGGAGGGAGGATTGCTTGAGGCCAGGAGTTCAAGACCAACCTGGCCAACACAGCGAGACCCGATCTCTAAAAAAATAAATAGGCCAGGCGAGGTAGCTCATGCCTGTAATCCCAGCACTTTGGGAGGCCGAGGCGGGCGGATCACAAGGTCAAGAGTTTGAGACCAGCCTGGCCAACATGGTGAAACCCCGTCTCTACTAGGAATACAAAACTTAGCCAGGCGTGGTGGTGCGTGCCTACAATTCCAGCTACTCGGGAGGCTGAGGTAGGAGAATCGCTTGAACCTGGGAGGCGGAGGTTGCAGTGAGCTGAGATCGCGCCACTGGACTCCAGCCTGGACAACAGAGCAAGACTCCGACGTCTCGGAAAAATAAATAAATAAATAAATAAATAAAGGCCAGGCAAGGTGGCTCACACCTGTAATCCCAGCACTTTGGGAGGCCAAGGTGGGTGGATCCCCTGAGGTTGGGAGTTTGAGACCAGCCTGACCAACATGGAGAAACCCCATCTCTACTAAAAATACAACATTAGCTGGGTGTGGTGGCGCATGCCTGTAATCCCAGCTACTTGGGAGGCTGAGGCAGGAGAATTGCTTGAACCCAGGAGGCGGAGGTTGCGGTGAGCCGAGATCGCGCCATTGCACTTCAGCCTGAGCAACAAGAGTGAAACTCTGTCTCAATAAATAAGTAAATAAAATACGTAAAAAATAAATTATTTTTGGCTGGGCACAGTGGCTCACGCCTGTAATCCCAGCACTTTGGGAGGCCGAGGTGGATGGATCACGAGGTCAGGCGTTCAAGACCAGCCTGGCCAACATAGTGAAACCCCGTCTCTACTAAAAATGAAAATGAAAATAATTAGCTGGGTGTGGTTGCAGGCGCCTGTAATCCCAGCTACTTGGAAGGCTGAGGCAGGAGAATGGCTTGAACCTGGGAGGCAGGGGTTGCAGTGAGCCAAGATTGCGCCACTGCACTCCAGCCTGGGGAACAGTGTGAGACTCCGTCTCAAAAACATATATATATTTTTAAAAAATGATAATGCTTACCTCATAGAGTTGCAAGAATTCAACTGGTTTGAGACGATCAATGGGAGTCTGAGTACAGTGTCCGGCTCATGGTTAGGGCTCAAGAATGTTACTAAAGTGACTAGAAAATAGTTCGGACTCCAGGGGGTGGGCATAAGAGGGAAGCCTTGCCACCCAAATAGGGGCTGGGTATAAGGGCCAGGTGTGAACCCAGAGTATGGGCTGGAAGGCACAGATTGATGGTGATGGGAATGTCACCAGGTGGAACAGAATAGTGGGAACTGTCCATGGGGCTGGCCACAAGTAAGGGGTTCGAGGGAGCCCCATGAGTCAGCCAGGTCCGGAGCACTGACTTCTGTGCCCACTGCCATCACAAAAACTCTCTGGGGTCCCACGCCCATTTGGAATGCCCCCTTCTTTTTTCCTCATGCCCCCCATTCCAGTTTCCCATGTCCTGTTCTCCTGAACCCCCTGCCTGTTCCTGGTGACTGAACCCCCTTGCAACGCGTTCCCTGTTCTGCAGTCTCACAGCCCCCAGTGCCAGTGTTTGTCCCTGAAGTTCTTGCTCCATCTCAACCCTCTCCCTCCTTCCAGTCCTGCACTTCTTCCTCGATAGCCGCTGGGGCGCAAGCCGAGAGCGGCTGGCTATCAGCAAGGACCAGCGAGCAGTACGGAGTGTTCCAGGGCTGCCCCTGCTGCTGGCTGCTGACCGGCTGCTGACCGGCTGCCACCTGAGTGTGGATGTGGTCCTGGGCGACGTGGCTGTGACCCAGGGCCGCAGCTACTGGGCCTGCGCCGTAGACCCAGCCTCCTACTTGGTCAAGGTGGGCGTCGGGCTGGAGAGCAAGCTTCAAGAAAGTTTCCAGGGTGCCCCCGATGTGATCAGCCCCAGGTCAGACCCCTCTGGAAGGGATGGGGTGTGGGGGTCCTGGTGGGAGTGAGGGGCACAGAAGGGGTGGCAAGTGGAGCACAGACTTGCTAGGGTGGGGCTGGGAGGGGATTAGGAGGAAGTAGTAGGAGCCTGGAAGCCAGGCTGGGAGGCCTGTGTCCAGGAGACGCATGGGCTCAGCAAAAGGGCTTTTGAGGACTGATTTTCAGAGCATGTCGTGTGGTCAGGGAAAGGGATGATAGAAGAGGGAGCCATCTCTGCTTCCTTCCAACCATCTGTCACTCTGGATCAACACACCATCTCTCCAAGCATCTGTGTCCTTTCTTCCTAACACTCCATTTCCAACATACCTTCTCCATAAAACCTTTGCTCTCCAAGACCTCCTTCACCCGTATCTTAAAATTCTTCCCTTAGCCGGATGCGGTGGCTCACGCCTGTAATCCCAGCACTTTGGGAGGCTGAGGCAGGCAAATCACTGGAGGTCGAGAGTTCGAGACCAGCTTGACCAACATGGAGTGACCCCATCTCTACTAAAAATACAAAAAAAATAGCTGGGCGTGGTAGCGCATGCCTGTAACCCCGGCTACTCGTGAGGCTGAGGCAGGAGAATCACTTGAACCCGGGAGGTGGAGGTTGCGGTGAGCCAAGATTGTGTCATTGCACTGCAGCCTGGGCGACAAAAGCAAAACTCCTTCTCAAAAAAAAAAAAAAAAAAATTCTTCCCTTAAACATCCCACCTCCATAACCCTCCTCTCCCCAACTCCCTGTTTTTTTTTTTTTTTGAAATGGAGTCTCGCTCTGTCGCTCAGGCTGGAGTCTAGCGGCGCGATCTCCGCTCACTGCAAGCTCCACCTCCCGGGTTCACACCATTCTCCTGCCTCAGCCTCCCGAGTAGCTGGGACTACAGGCACCCGCCACCATGCCCAGCTAATTTTTTGTATTTTTAGTAGAGACGGGCTTTCACCGTGTTAGCCAGGATGGTCTCAATCTCCTGACCTCGTGATCCGCCCACCTTGGCCTCCCAAAGTGCTGGGATTACAGGCGTGAGCCACTGTGCCTGGCCCCAACTCCCTATTTAACACCCTCCCACTAATGCTTTGCATCCTAAGCCTTCTCCCCAGCACTCTATCCCCCAACACCTTATTTCTTCAAAATGCTTTCTCCCCAACACAAACCCCTCCTAAACCCCATTGTCCCCAACCCCGCATACCTCTAACACCCTTCATTTGTGACACCAATCCACCCTCATCTCTCTCCCGACACCCACCTTCCCAACATCCTTTCTCTTCTTAGTCACTAATCTCGGATTCTTCCAATGTCCTCTAATCCTCAGAACCATCTCCCCAGCATGATTTCCCCAAGACCATTTTTCTCAATGCCTTTCCGCGGGCTATACCAATGCCATGTCTTTCCTGTCCGCCTGCCCCTCTCTTGCCAATGTGCTTTCCTCTCAGTGCTCTCTTTCCACCAAACCCAAACCCCTGACCCTATACTCTAACCCCTGCCTCTTCAGCGTTTTCTTCTCAACACCCAAAATCCATCCCTTCAACCTCTTGCTCCTTAACATTCCATCCTTCCAGCGTCTCCCTCTGGTACCTCATCCGTCACTCCATCCCTCAACAATCTCGTCCCCAACACCCGCTTCTGCAGGTACGACCCGGACAGCGGGCACGACAGCGGTGCCGAGGATGCCACAGTGGAGGCGTCGCCACCCTTCGCTTTCCTAACCATTGGCATGGGCAAGATCCTGCTGGGGTCGGGGGCAAGCTCAAACGCAGGGCTGACAGGGAGGGATGGCCCCACAGCCGGCTGCACAGTGCCCCTGCCACCCCGCCTGGGCATCTGCCTGGACTATGAGCGGGGCCGGGTTTCCTTCCTGGATGCTGTTTCCTTCCGTGGGCTCTTGGAGTGCCCCCTGGACTGCTCAGGGCCTGTGTGCCCTGCCTTTTGCTTCATCGGGGGTGGCGCAGTACAGCTCCAGGAGCCAGTGGGCACTAAGCCTGAGAGGAAAGTCACCATTGGGGGCTTCGCCAAGCTGGACTGAGCCTTCCAGGCCCCTCATGCAGACCTGGGGTCCTCCTGGGCCCTGGCCCCCAAACCTCTTGGCACCCGGTTGTTACCCCCTGGCAGCTTCTCCCCCAAACTCTCCTACCATGTGGCCCTGCTCCTTCTCCCGTGTCTGTCTTCCCACAGTTTTCTCTTGACCCAGGGGCTCTCTTCTGCCCACCTCTCTGGATGGCCCCCGTTCTCTCCATTGCTTGTTAGCCAGGCCCCCACCCCCACTGAGTCTGCCCTATGACCTGCCTTTGGCATGTTACCCAAGCCATGGAGAGAGCCCCTTCTCCATCCCTGTCCTGTGCCCCCCAGGCTGATTGGGAGGGAGGGCACCTGGAACACTGGGCATGATCTCCAGCTCTGCCCTTGCCCTGCCAAGCTCCCTGCCCTGTTGATGCTGAACTACAGCCTTGGGACAGGCAGGCTTTGGGGCTGGACGCTGTCCAGGCATTCCTGGTGAGGGGAAGGGGACCCTGTCATCCTGCTTTATTTATTTGGGTCCCAACACCCCGCAGCCGCATGCCCCTTATGTCCCTCTTCTCCCTCTTGCATGCTTTACCTGTCCCACACCCATGCCAATGTGCCAAGTCTCCCTTGGGGACCCAGCTGAGTCTGGGTGTTCCCATTGGGTTGGGCCAGGCAAGGCCTCTGGTGCCCGCTGCCGTCCCCCTGCAGTGGGCTCTGCTAGGCCTGTGCTGAGCAACAGCTGTTATTGTCATGGTTTATAAACAATAAACTGTGATGCCAGGCACATCTCTGCCTTCCCTGAGCGCAATCATTCCTGTGAGTTTCTGTGCTGGGTGTGGTAGGCGGGAGGGAGCAGGGTGCTAGGCTGTGGTTCTAGGCAGGAGCAACCAATGGATCTGGTGCCTGAGAGAGGAAGGCCCCAGGCCAGGTGCTCTAAGCCTCCTGCCACACGTGTCCTGGCCCGGCCTGAGCGCATCACAGCTGCCAGGGAACATAGCTCTCTGGCTGCTGGTGGCAGGCCCCAATCAGGGCTTCCAGGCCTGCAGCACAGGCCCTGGGGGAATGCGGTCGAGGGACAGGCAACGTGCCTGGGCCCAAAGGGGTCAGGGAACCAGAACCACTTCCCCATTCCCAGGGTGTTGTGGAGCCCACCCCAGGGGCAGCAGGCTGGTGGGGCAGCCGGGGTCAGGGAGGGGGCTGGGCCTGGTGCCAGCGCCCGGATCTGACCCAGCCTCTGCTTATCTCAACCCTGTTGACTCTGGGCTGTTATCACTGCCCAAGGATTTACTTCACACCCGGACAGCTAAGAATAGAGCCACCTGGGGGGCACCATGCCAGGGGGCAAGGAGGGCGTGGGCCAGGCGAGGAGAGGGGAGAGCCACTGGCACACAGAGCTCAGTCACGGAGCCCAGTCACGCTAGCCCTCCAAAGCCCGCCTGGGTTTCGTTTCCTCCTTCCTCTTGTGCTGCCAGGGTTAGCCAGAGGTGGCTCCTCAGGCCACCCCTACTCCCCAATGTCACCTCCTCCTCACATCTCCTGCTTCTCAAACAAACTCGCTCCTTACTGCCTCCTGGCCTCCCTGTCTCCTCCCCCAGCCCCCTCACACACATTCTGACCGCCCTGCTGCCCACGGGTCACAGATGAAAGATCAGAAGTTGGCGCAGTGGGAGACCACGTTTTATTCAGTCCAGTTCAGGATCCCCGCTATCTCAGGGCTCTCTGGGCCAGTCCTCCTGGGAGCCCCCACCACAACACTTCCCAGGCATGAGCCCTCAGGGGCCCACATGAGCTTCCACACACTGAGAAGTGTCCGAGAAATTGGTGGGGCCTCTGAAGGAGGCTGTGAGCAGCCCACCTGAACTCCCAGCTCACCAGCCCAAACAGGGTGCAGGGGCTCTGGCCCTGAAGAACCTGAGTGGAGTGGAATGGCACTGGCTGGCCACTCAGCTCAGCGGGCGACGTGCCCCTACAAGTTGGCAGAAGTGGCTGCCACTGCTGGGTTTGTGTAAGAGAGGCTGCTGCCACCATTACCTGCAGAAACCTGGGTGGAAGGAAAAGAGATCCAGGGTGAGGAGCAAAAGGTACCTCCTAGAGCCCCTGGATGCCACCCCAGGCTGGGGTAATCAGTCCAGAGTCCTGGCCAGCTCTCAAAGGGTTAATTCAGAGAGAGCACCTGCCACCCCACCAGCCAGGTGACTGTAAACAGGGCTGCCCTCCTCCCTCTGCTCTCCTTCACTCCCTCTTCTTGGCTCTAATCAGCCCCCTTGTCCCTCCATTCTCTGCTGTTCCAGCCTAAGGAGGTGTGTGTGTGTGTGTGTGTGTGTTTTGGGGGGCGGGGTGTATCTGTGTCTTTGTAAAGCCGAGAGAGGGAGGTCTCCAGGAGGAGGAAAATAGGAGCAAGAAAACTAAACTCTCTCCTCCCCCACCTGGAGTGGTTTTCCAGCCTCAGGTGGCTGCAGTAATTATTTACTAGGTCCCATAGAGAAAGACCAGGAGAGGAAGGAGGGAGCGTTCCTTGCTTCCTTGAAGCTCCCAAGAACCCCACTGGCACCCACGCTCACCTGGTCTGCTGACACTTCTTCTTCTACCTGGGAAACCTCCCCCTATGCCAGCCTTTCTCGGTCTACCCTCCATTCCTAGGAGATGATTAGGGGCACAGAGGCTCACCCCTGGGACTCCTCGGGAAGGGCTCCCCTGGGCATAGTGCTCCACCCATTTTGCCTCTGGGTGCAAAAAAGCAAAACAAAACAAAACTGCCACGGTGGCACCAGTTCAGCCAGCGCCAGCCAGCATGAATGTGGACGGCCAATGATCTTTTAGGAATTCTGGCAGTGGGGCCACTCCCTCTTGAGGGCCCCTTTCTTCCATAGTCTCCTCCCAGGCCTGTCCCCCAAAACTCCTCTGACCTCTGCCCCTCATCCTTGCCAGGCCCTCCCCTGCTCACTTCACGCCACTTCTCACCTCTTCCAAGCTCTTTGGGTTTTCCAAGTACCCCCTTCAGAATCCTTGCCCAGCCAAACCCTCTGCTTCCCCTGGCCTGTGGGGCCCAATCTCACCTTCTCATAGGGGCTACGATCGGTACTGCTAGGGGGCACATAGCGCCCATGGGTGTGGTAGGTGGGGTACTCGCTCATAGGATGGTAGGTATCCCGGGCTGGAAAGATGTCCAGCTGCCCGTAGTTCTTTCGGCGGCACTGACAGACAGCCTGGGGAGATAGGAGGTTATGGCAGGCCATGGAGTGCCTTCTACCGGGGGGCTCTGATCAGGGCCAGGGACTGCACTCACCAAGGCAATGAGATAGACAATGGCCAGCGCAACCAGAACACAGACCAGCACCAGCAGCGCGATGCCCCAGCCTGGCACCCCAGCCCCAGACTGGGCAGAGAAAGGAAATGGCACATCACTCACTAAAAGGAAAAGCAGTGGTCAGGGCAGTCTCCCAGAGGAGGCGCCCCTCCCGCTGCCAGCACTAAGGAAAGAGCGGGGACCCAGACACTGGAAGGAGAGGGGCCCCGGCATGGTGCTGGGCTGCAGCCAGGGAAGTAGCCTCACCGCTGACGTCTGAGATCGTCAGGTTATATCGAGAGGCTGCTTCCGTTTTATACTGATTGAACTGTGTCTCCACGTCGTGGACATTGATGGTACCTTCTCGGAAGGCCAGAGTCAATTGTACCACCACAGATCCTGGCCTGGTCACAGGGAAATGGGCACTTCAGCCACGGGTCCCAGCTCTGGCTCAGCACTCTTCCCCCAACCTTAAGTGCACCAGTCCCTCCCTACGGTCATGACCACCACCCACCCTCCAACCACCACACTGGGTCCACACCCAGAACTGTACCTGAACTTAATATTGGAGAGGCCCAGAAAACCCCCTTGTTTATAAATCTGCAAAAACTGGGGTGAGAGGGAAAGGACTCAGGCTTGATGCAAAGGGTGTGGACAGTTCTGATGGCTGCTTCAGGGGAGCATGGGGAAGGAAAGGCCGATACTCACCATTTCAGAAATGTCTCTCTGCAGCTCTTGGTAGTAGTCGGTGCTGGGATCTTCCAGAGAGGAATTAAACTGGAGGTTTGAAATGTGAAAAGACAGGAAAAAGAAAGAGACCCCAGTAGACAACTGGGGAGAAGTGCTGTGATTGGAGGAGGTGAGAGGAGGTACCGTGCTATGGTGAGTGCTACTGGCATCAGTCTTGGTGCTATGGCTGGCAAGGGTGGTAGGAGTATCAGAGTGGTGGCTGGGAATTGAGAATGGAGTGCTCTTGCTGGCTGGGGTTGTGGTAGCCCTGGCAGAGGTGCCGTTGTGCACCAGAGTAGAAGCTGAGCCTGATGCAGAGCCTGAGGCCGAGGTGACATTGTGGACTGGAGGGGCGGTGGAGCCCAAGGCGGGCCTGTTGTCCGGGGCCGAGGTGACACCATGGGCTGGGGGGGCGGTGGAGCCCGGGGCCGGCCTGGTGTCCGGGGCCGAGGTGACACCGTGGGCTGGGGGGGCGGTGGAGCCCGGGGCCGGGGTGGAGCCCGGGGCCCGCCTGGTGTCCGGGGCCGAGGTGACACCGTGGGCTGGGGGTGCGGTGGAGCCCGGGGCCGGCCTGGTGTCCGGGGCCGAGGTGACACCGTGGGCTGGGGGGGCGGTGGAGCCCGGGGCCGGCCTGGTGTCCGGGGCCGAGGTGACACCGTGGGCTGGGGGGGCGGTGGAGCCCGGTGCCGGCCTGGTGTCCGGGGCCGAGGTGACACCGTGGACTGGGGGGGCGGTGGAGCCCGGGGCCGGCCTGGTGTCCGGGGCCGAGGTGACACCGTGGGCTGGGGGGGCGGTGGAGCCCGGGGGCCGGCCTGGTGTCCGGTGCCGAGGTGACACCGTGGGCTGGGGGGGCGGTGGAGCCCGGAGCCGGTCTGTTGTCCGGGGCCGAGGTGACACCGTGTGCTGGAGTGTCGGTGGAGCCCGAGGCCGGCCTGGTGTCCGGGGCCGAGGTGACACTGTGAGCTGGGCTGCGGGCGCGGTGGAGCCCGGGGCCGGCCTGCTCTCTGTTTTAAATATACACCGTGGGCTGCGGGCGCGGTGGAGCCCGGGGACGGCCTGGTGTCCGGGGCCGAGGTGACACCGTGGGCTGGGGGGGCGGTGGAGCCCGGGGCCGGCCTGGTGTCCGGGGCCGAGGTGACACCGTGGGCTGGGGGGGCGGTGGAGCCCGGGGCCGGCCTGGTGTCCGGGGCCGAGGTGACACCGTGGGCTGGGGGGGCGGTGGAGCCCGGGGCCGGCCTGGTGTCCGGGGCCGAGGTGACACCGTGGGCTGGGGGGGCGGTGGAGCCCGGGGCCGGCCTGGTGTCCGGGGCCGAGGTGACACCGTGGGCTGGGGGGGCGGTGGAGCCCGGGGCCGGCCTGCTCTCCGGGGCCGAGGTGACACCGTGGGCTGCTCTCGCGGTGGAGCCCGGGGCCGGCCTGCTCTCCGGGGCCGAGGTGACACCGTGGGCTGGGGGGGCGGTGGAGCCCGGGGCCGGCCTGGTGTCCGGGGCCGAGGTGACACCGTGGGCTGGGGGGGCGGTGGAGCCCGGGGCCGGCCTGGTGTCCGGGGCCGAGGTGACACCGTGGGCTGGGGGGGCGGTGGAGCCCGGGGCCGGCCTGGTGTCCGGGGCCGAGGTGACACCGTGGGCTTGGGGGGCGGTGGAGCCCGGGGCCGGCCTGGTGTCCGGGGCCGAGGTGACACCGTGGGCTGCGGGCGCGGTGTAGCCCGGGGCGGGCCTTGTGTCCGGGGCCGAGGTGACACCGTGGGCTGGGGGGGCGGTGGAGCCCGGGGCGGGACTGGTGTCCGGGGCCGAGGTGACACCGTGGGTTGGGGGGGCGGTGGAGCCCGGGGCCGGCCTGGTGTCCGGGGCCGAGGTGACACCGTGGGCTGGGGGGGCGGTGGAGCCCGGGGCCGGCCTGCTCTCCGGGGCCGAGGTGACACCGTGGGCTGCGGGCGCGGTGGAGCCCGGGGCCGGCCTGCTCTCCGGGGCCGAGGTGACACCGTGGGCTGCGGGCGCGGTGGAGCCCGGGGCCGGCCTGGTGTCCGGGGCCGAGGTGACACCGTGGGCTGGGGGCGCGGTGGAGCCCGGGCCAGAACTGCTTTCCGGGGCCGTGGTGACTCCGTGGGCTGCGGGCGCGGTGGAGCCCGGGGCCGGCCTGCTCTCTGGGGCCGAGGTGACACCGTGGGCTGCGGGCGCGGTGGAGCCCGGGGCGGAACTCTCCGGGGCCGAGGTGACACCGTGGGCTGGGGGGGGGGGGGAGCCCGGGGCCGGCCTGGTGTCCGGGGCCGAGGTGACACCGTGGGCTGGGGGGGCGGTGGAGCCCTGGGGCCGGCCTGGTGTCCGGGGCCGAGGTGACACCGTGGGCTGGGGGGGCGGTGGAGCCCGGGGCCGGCCTGGTGTCCGGGGCCGAGGTGACACCGTGGGCTTGGGGGGCGGTGGAGCCCGGGGCCGGCCTGGTGTCCGGGGCCGAGGTGACACCGTGGGCTGCGGGCGCGGTGGAGCCCGGGGCGGGCCTGGTGTCCGGGGCCGAGGTGACACCGTGGGCTGGGGGGGCGGTGGAGCCCGGGGCGGGCCTGGTGTCCGGGGCCGAGGTGACACCGTGGGCTGGGGGGGCGGTGGAGCCCGGGGCCGGCCTGGTGTCCGGGGTCGAGGTGACACCGTGGGCTTGGGGGGCGGTGGAGCCCGGGGCCGGCCTGGTGTCTGGGGGGGCGGTGGAGCCGGGGCCGGCCTGGTGTCCGGGGTTGGAAAACTGGGCTGGGGGGGCGGTGGAGCCCGGGGCCGGCAGGGGTCCGGGGCCGAGGTGACACCGTGGGCTGGGGGGGCGGTGGAGCCCGGGGCCGGCCTGGTGTCCGGGGCCGAGGTGACACCGTGGGCTTGGGGGGCGGTGGAGCCCGGGGCCGGCCTGGTGTCCGGGGCCGAGGTGACACCGTGGGCTGCGGGCGCGGTGGAGCCCGGGGCGGGCCTGGTGTCCGGGGCCGAGGTGACACCGTGGGCTGGGGGGGCGGTGGAGCCCGGGGCGGGCCTGGTGTCCGGGGCCGAGGTGACACCGTGGGCTGGGGGGGCGGTGGAGCCCGGGGCCGGCCTGGTGTCCGGGGCCGAGGTGACACCGTGGGCTTGGGGGGCGGTGGAGCCCGGGGCCGGCCTGGTGTCCGGGGCCGAGGTGACACCGTGGGCTGCGGGCGCGGTGGAGCCCGGGTCCGTCCTTCTCTCCGAGGGCCGAGGTGACATCGTAGACTGCGGGCGCGGTGGAGCCCGGGTCCGGCCTGCTCTCCGAGGCCGAGGTGACACCGTAGACTGGGGGGGCGGTGGAGCCCGGGGCCGGCCTGGTGTCCGGGGCCGAGGTGACACCGTGGGCTGGGGGGGCGGTGGAGCCCGGAACCGGCCTGGTGTCCGGGGCCGAGGTGACACCGTGGGCTGGGGGGGCGGTGGAGCCCGGGGCCGGCCTGGTGTCCGGGGCCGAGGTGACACCGTGGGCTTGGGGGGCGGTGGAGCCCGGGACCGACCTGGTGTCCGGGGCCGAGGTGACACCGTGGGCTGCGGGCGCGGTGGAGCCCGGGGCGGACCTGGTGTCCGGGGCCGAGGTGACACCGTGGGCTGGGGGGGCGGTGGAGCCCGGGGCGGGCCTGGTGTCCGGGGCCGAGGTGACACCGTGGGCTGGGGGGGCGGTGGAGCCCGGGGCCGGCCTGGTGTCCGGGGCCGAGGTGACACCGTGGGCTTGGGGGGCGGTGGAGCCCGGGGCCGGCCTGGTGTCCGGGGCCGAGGTGACACCGTGGGCTGGGGGGGCGGTGGAGCCCGGGGCTGGCTTGTTGTCCGGGGCTGAGGTGACATCGTGGGCTGGCGGGGTGGTGGAGCCCAGGGCTGGCCTGGTGACTGGGACCGAGGTGACATCCTGTCCCCAGGTGGCAGCTGAACCTGAAGCTGGTTCCGTGGCCGGGGCCAGAGTGACATCCTGTCCCTGAGTGGTGGAGGAGCCTGAACCGGGGCTGTGGCTGGAGAGTACGCTGCTGGTCATACTCACAGCATTCTTCTCAGTAGAGCTGGGCACTGAACTTCTCTGGGTAGCCGAAGTCTCCTTTTCTCCACCTGGGGTAGAGCTTGCATGACCAGAACCCGTAACAACTGTTGCGGGTTTAGGGGCTGTGGTAGCTGTAAGAAGTTAAAGTCATAGGGTTGGGTCTTTATGAAGGAAAAATAAGAGCAAGAAGAAAATATAAGCTCTGGCCACCAGAGAAATAATACCAGGAGGACTGGGGAGTGGGCAGCCTCAGTAACCCCTGGGTTGGCCGCCTCCTTCCCTGCAGCAGCCTCCTTCTCTCTGCCCATAGGCCTTGGCTCATGGCCCCTGCATTTCTTCCCCTCTTAAGCCTTCCCTCTCCCTACTCTCTTCCCCCTAGACTTCTCTACAGGACATTTGCTTGCCCCTGGTACCCACTCTCAGGGTTGGGGGCAACTCTTCTCAGCCTGTCCTTAGCCTCTCCCTCCTTCTGGCACAGACAGGGCAGCCTCTGTCTGCAATTCTTACCTTAACTTCATGGTGCCATCTGCCAGGGAGCAAAACCCACAGAAAGACCACGAAGACCACCTAAGCAGGGCAGCCCACTCCCCACCTCGTGCCCCTCACCTGTAAGCACTGTGAGGAGCAGCAGCAGGAAGAAAGGAGACTGGGTGCCCGGTGTCATGGTGGTGGTGAAATGGGTGGGGAGGGGGCAGAACAGATTCAGGCAGGCGCTGGCTGCTTGAGAGGTGGAGCGGGCACAGGCGCCTACCGCTTTATACCGGTCCCCCCACTCCCCGCCCGCCCGCCCTAGGCACAGCCGGAGCAGGTGACAGGTGACAAAACCCCGCCCCCTCCCCTACCTCCTACCTCTTCCTCCTCCTCCCCAACCATTCCTGGGTAGGGTACAAGGGCTCTAATCGCTCAACCCCCTGACTACCCGTTTGTTCTCCAGCTGGCCTCCCCCTTTCACCAACCACTCCCTGGCTCCGGGGGAGGGGGGAGGGGCAGTCTGGAACTTGGGGCCCCTGGGCTCTAGTTTTAGCCTCAGGGCAACAACTAACGTGGGGATGGGGAACAAAGCCAGCTAGGTCGAGGTCCTGTACAGCAAGGTCGGGAAGCCCACCCCTAGGTCTCCCACTCCACTTCCCCGCCCTCCCCGGGTCCACTGAAGCAGAGCGGGGCCGAGAAATAAGAGGGCTGGATAATGAGTGGACTAGGTGCTAGTTTTGGGCTCCCTCCCCCCACCACTTCCCGGAATAGCCCCACCCTTCTAACCGCTCCCTGTCCCGTTCCACACGCAGTTCTACCCTGAAACCCACAGTCCCCGCCCCAGCCGGACTTTCCAGCAGCCTGGGTTCCCTCCTTGGAGAAAGCCAAGGAGGGAGTGGGGGAAGAAATTTCCACTTAAGGGAGTAAACCTGGGCTCCGATGAACCCTAGGGTCCTTCCTTGCCACTCTCCACCACTGGCCAGGAGCTCCTCCCGCCCTCTAGTGGTCACCGGGAGCCTTGCGGGGCTGGGCCGCGCAAGCTGAGGGGCCGCTCGGACCGGGCGGAGAGGAGTAAGGGCAGCGCTGCCTAAGTGAGGCAGCGAGAGCCCGCGAGAGGGAAGCAGGGCCCGGGAGAGAAGGGTCACTGCCGTGGCCAGGGAGGGAGGAACGCACAGCATGGTGGACGGCTGGGAGCTTTAGGAGGGGGCACTCCGGGACGCGTGGTGGTGGCGTCTGGAGGAAATGGAGCTAAGCGGGTGGGGTCCTGAGGTATGTGGAAGGGGCACCGAGGTATGTGGGAGAGGACGTTGGAACGTGGGCGGGGGAGTTGGACACGTTCTGTGTGGGCCGTTATGTACTTAAGAGGCAGATCGGGCGTGGCACGGTGGCTCACGCCCGTAATCCCAACACTTTGGAAGGCCGAGGCGAGTGGATCACAAGGTCAGGGGTTCAAGACCAGCCTGGCCAAGATGGTGAAACCTCGTCTCTACTAAAAACTACAAAAATTAGCCGAGCGTGGTGGCGGGCGCTGTAACCCCAGCTACTCAGGAGGCTGAGGCAGGAGAATCGCTTGAACCCGGGAGGCGGAGGTTGCAGTGAGCCGAGATCGCGCCATTGCACTCCAGCCTGGGCGACAGAGCAAGACTCCGTCTCAAAACAAAAAAGGGGGGGGCAGAGAGTAGGTGGGGTGACAGAATGGGATTTACGGACACAGAACTATCCTTTGGGGAGCAGAGTGGTATTGGGGACAGGTAGGCACGTAGCGGGGGGCAAAAGCACACGTGAGGTGCGTAATGCGCGACAGCCAAGAGGTGTGTGCGGCAGCAGTGCACGAGGGGAGGAAGCTATCCCAGGCCGCGGCAGCACGTGGAACTTGGGTCCCGCAGTCGCAGGCTGCGCTCTAGGCCGACGGAAGCAGTTCCGCCTGTATTCAGAAAACAGTTCTCAGCCCCAAAGACACAGGTTGGAAAGAACACTTTAAAAACACTTCGGCGAGGCACGGGATTGGAGCGCATCAGATCAGCAGGCGAGAGACCACAGCTCTCGCCCGCGCGCCGCGCGGCGCCCGAGGCGCAGCTTTGTGTGCGGCGAGACCCTGGGGCAGGCGCTGGGCGGGGTGGGGACATCTGACGTCAGCGCGCCCGGGAGCGCGGGCCGGGGAGGCGGGGAGCCCCCCAACTCGCAGGCCGGAGAAAACACGAGTAGCTAGGTGGGCGGCCCCAAACCTCAACTCCCGGCATTGCCAAGCAACAGCCATTCAGTTCGGTTGCTGGGACACGCGTCACCATGGCGACGGCTCCGCGCCGCGCAGTCTGAGTACTTAAAGAGCAAGCGCGCGCAACGCCCGGGCGTCGGAAAGCGGCCTTCTGGGACTCCGCAAACTCCCGTTCTCCCTCCCCCCTCCCCCTTGCCATTCCCTTTGCCTTCCGGGCGCCAAGTCTCTCTGGCCTCCAAGGTGAACCCAACTCCCCAGCGCGCCCCGGGTTCCCGGGTCGGGCCGGCTTCAGGCGGTGGGGAGCGGGATCCCGGGCCCCGGGCGGGCGGGAGGGACGGGACGCGGTGCAGTGTTGTTTTTTCCCCCGCCAATATTGCACTCGTCCCGGCCTCCGGCCCCCCCGGCCCCCCGGCCTCCCCGCTACCCCTAGCGGGGCAGCCCCCGCCCTCCTGGCTCTCCATCCCGGCGGATCTTTGATAGACTGGAGTGTCGCCGCTGCCACCGTGAGTAAGTGGGTCTGGGAGGACTTCGGGCATCCTCCCTCAGGCACCCTATCCTTCACTTAACTCCATCCAGCACCTCCCCCACCCGCATCCCCAAATCAGCCAAACTTCCCCTAGATCCCTAACTTCCACCCTCCCAGGCTTTCTCTTCTACTCGCCGATTCCTTCCACTTCCCCACCCTATCCCGGAAAATCCCTAAAATAAGCAGTTGCACTGGCTTAGAAAACAACCAAAACTTTATGGCAATGTGCTGTCATCTTTCCTGGGGTTAGTGCCTGAGTAATACCCCTTGAAAACTTCTCATCCCCTGAAGGGTGGGGTGACCACCCCTCTGGGACTGAACTCCTTTTGGGAGCCAGAGAAGGGTCTGTGGTTGGCTGAGGGGCTGTAGCTTAGACCTCAGGGTCTCCAGGATGGACCCCAAGGCCAAAGGGTCTAAAATTCTGAATTCTGAATCTGGTGGCCTCCTCCTCACACCCTTCCCTGGAGCAGCTGCCTCCGGAATGGCTCAAAGTCCTCAGGCACTGTGTCTGAAGAAGGGGAAATAAGTAAGGTCAGAGGATGTGGCTCTCCCACAAGGCATGAAGGATTAGGTTGATCTCAATCAGCCACCTCACCATTGCATCGATACTGGAGATTGGACCAAATTATGTTTTCTTGGGAGAAGCAGAATACACCAAGACGCCCCCCTCGCATGGATGTGTCAATGATCACCCCAGAATCCGCCACAAGCTGGGGTCCCTCATAGAGCTTCACCCTGTCCAGGATTCCAGGATAGGAGTATCCATTGGTGCTAGGGTGCCAGTGGGCACTGTGCCACCATGCCTGGGGCCTTGCTTTTCCCCAGCCCCCCTTGAGCTCACCAGGCCTGAGAGAGAAGGGAGGGAGGGAAAGGGAGGCAGGAAGGAGAGGGAAGGGGGGTGCTTTTCTCAGGCCTGGGGCCCCTAGCTCTTTGTCCAGCTCCTTTTGCATCTCAAAGCACCAGCCGCATTCCAAGCGAGGATTGGGTTGCCATGACAATAAGCACAATGGGCTGGGGGGTGAAGTCACCCGCTTCCCAGGCTCTAGTCCACCCCCTTTTATCCCCTGTCCTGGCACCCCACAGCCCCAGGCACCTTAAAGGGGAACCAACCCAGGTTCCTGGACTCTGGGCTCTTGGCCATGGAAAGTCCAGCCTCTAAGCAGACCCATTTCCCCTCCCTTCCTGTTCATCTCCACCAACTAGGGCTACTTGTTGGAGAGAAATGCAAAGTTGTGGACAAAGTGTTGAACCGAGGCCTGTGAAGTCAGGGCCTTGATTTTCTCTTCTGTAAATGATGATGCCTTCCAGGTCAGATGATCCCTATCCACGTTGATAAGACAGGTTCCAGGTCATACCAACTAAGGGACCAGATGTGATGTGCCCCTTCACAGATTGGCCTGGGTTTGGAGGCTTCTGGAGAACTGTAAAGGGCATCTAACCCAATGCCCTCATTTTACAGACGGGAAAATGGGTCATGGAGGAGTGACTTCACCAACATCACTCATAGGTGCTTGTGTCCGTGGTGAGAAGGGTGATGGAGAGAAGTGGCTGCAGTTCCCACCCATGGAGAGGTCACTGGTGAATCCCAGCTAAAGAGGAAGGACAGGCCCGGCCTGAGTCCCACAGGTGGGCTCAGCCCCTCTCCTTACCGAATGTAGCCAACTTGAGGCCGGTGCAGAAGCTGCCAGCGATAGGAGGTCTTGTCCCGCCAGCCCACATTTCGTGGGTCTGTCCACAGCAGTCGTACCTGATCAGGGGTGTGGCCAGTATGCCACAGGGCATTTCGGAGGTGCTCACCTGGGCCAGACACTGATGTCACTGCCTAGGAGACATTGGCAAAGACAGTGGGTCAACTGCAGAACTGGAGTGAGGGGAGACAACAGGTCGGTAAGTGCAGGTGGGAAAGGGATTCAAGGCGGTCATGAAAATGCCCTGGGGCCCCAGAGAGCCGGCCTCCAAGCCAGATGTCTGGGTAAGAGGGTTCCCAGTCAAGCAGTGGGGGAGGCCCTGGGGCTGCAGAGGAGAGCTTTGGGAAAGGGCCCTGGGTTGCGGAATCTGAGCAGCTGGGGACCTTGAGCTGCAGCCCGGGCTGGGCAACCGCCCGGAAGGGTGTAGCCTGCCAGTAGGTCTGCTCGGTCTGCTTCCACATGACTACGTAGAAGCGGCCACTGTCTTGATAACTGAAGAGAAAGCCTGCGTAGTCATCATCAGTCACTGTGTTCACATGGAAGGTGCCTTCAAAGTCCACACCATTGAAGGCCGTGTATCCTGGGGTGGGGGTGGGATAAAGGTCAGGGGCAGCAAAGCTACTGGCGGCCCATCATGGGGTAAAGTTGGGAAGGGATGCCTGCTATGTATGTGGCCAGCTTGTGCCACTGCCTTCTCTCTCGCCACTTTGCCCATTCTCCCTGTCTGTTTCCTCCCCTACCCTCTGCCCCTATAGGATTCCTCCATTTGGAAGTGATTGAACTGCATATCCCTTACATACCAACTGCCAAGCCAGGGTCACTGTTCATGGTCTGAACGATTTCCATGCCCTGGGGTTGTATAGTAAAGAAAAAGCTGTGATGCAGGTGTGCTATCCCTCCCAGGCCCCCCGTCCCAGTAGCCCTGTCTGATAGCACCTGCCCAGCCCACTGCCCCGAGTTACCTGGTTGAGCACAACCCAGTTTGGGTCAATCTGAGCATCACCCTCAGGATCCAGGACGACGGTCTGATAGGCCCGAAAATCCGTAAGCGTTACCTCTGCACTTTCAGGACACACATCCAGGGGGTCGACCACAGCATCATTGTCAAAGTCATCCTCACACACATCACCAACGCCATTGCCTGGGCAGAGTGAGGCTGGGTGCTCAGGAAGGCCCTGGCCACTGCCATTAGGCAACAATACCATCTGTTGGGCCTGCATTCCTGACATCTTTCCCCACCTTGCCCTTCCTCACTTCCCAACAGGGCTTGCTGCCTCCACCTGGGCAAAGGCAACACCAGTCTAACGTGCTCTGGGTCCGCAGGCTTACCATCTGAGTCCTTCTGATTGGGATTGGGTACCAGGCGGCAGTTATCGGGACCAGGAGGCACATAATCTGGGATGCCATCATTGTCATCATCCCCATCACACTCATCTCCAAGTCCATCGTTATCAGAGTCCAGCTGGGAGCTATTTGGCAGCTGTGGGCAGTTGTCCTTGGTGTCCTGATGCCCATCCCCATCGCTAATCAGAAGAACAGGTACCAAATAAAGGATTTAAAGGTACTCCTTGTCCTTCCCTTCGCTTCTGCCTGGGAGTCTCTGGAGCCTGCTCTCCATACAATCAGACCCCTGGCAGTCAGCCAGGTGAGGTGAAGGTCTGGCAGTAGGAATGGAGGGATGACTGTAAGAATAAATTCCTGCTGAATAGCAATAGAGAATTAAGGCTAAATCATAGAAGGAATTTAGAATATACTATGGCCTGGGCACAGTGGCTCATGCCTGTATTCCCAGTACTTTGGGAGGCCAAGGCGGGCAGATCACCTGAGGTCAGGAGTTCGAGACCAGCCTGGCCAACACGATGAAACCCTGTCTCTACTAAAAACACAAAAATTAGCTGAGCTTGGTAGCACGCGCCTGTAATCCCAGCTACTCGGGAGGCTGAGGCAGGAAAATCGCTTGAACCCTGGAGGTGGAGGTCGCAGTGAGCCGATATCACTGCACTCCAGCTTGAGTGACAGAGCAAGACTCCATCTCAAAAAAAAAAAGGAGGCCGGGCACGGTGGCTCACGCCTGTAATCCCAGCACTTTGGGAGGCTGAGGCAGGCAAATCACGAGATCAGGAGATCGAGACCATCCTGGTTAACACAGTGAAACCCCGTCTCTACTAAAAACACAAAAAATTAGCCGGGCGTGGTGGCAGGCGCCTGTAGTCCCAGCTACTTGGGAGGCTGAGGCAGAAGAATGGCGTGAACTCGGGAGGTGGAGCTTGCAGTGAGCCGAGATCATGCCACTGTACTCCAGCCTGGGCGACAGAGCAAGACTCCGTCTCAAAAAAAAAAAAAAAAGGATATACTAGAGGAAAGTAAAATATCCCCTATAAGACCTTGCATTTCGCTGGCACAGTGGCTCACACCTGTAATCACAGCACTTTGGGAGGCAGAGGCTGGCGGATCACCTGAGGTAAGGAGTTCGAGACCAGCCTGGCCAACATGGTGAAACCCTGTCTCTACTGAAAATACAAGAATTAGCTGGGCTTGGTAGCACATGCCTGTAATCCTAGCCACTCAGGGAGGTTGAGGCATGAGAATCACTTGACCCTGGGAGACGGAGGTTGCAGTGAGCCAAGATCGTGCCACTGTACTCCAGCCTAGGTGACAGAGCAAGACTCCGTCTCAGAAAGACAAAAAAAAGAAAGACCTTGCGTCTCTTGACCAAGACCTTACCTGTCTTCATTAGTATCACAGACATCCCCCACCAGGTCGCTGTCTGCATCTGTCTGAGAGAGAGGGACCTGTTCTCACCATCTCCTCTTGATAACTCTGAAGAGGGTGATCTGACCACTTTCCATCCAAAGGGCTGGGGCTTCATCCATCAGTACCCTCATCCCTCCCCTGTCCTTACCATCTCCCTGTACCTGGGTAGGATTGCTCATTTCAGGGCAGCTGTCGCAAGCATCTCCCACCCCGTCCTCATCCCTGTCTGTCTGTAGTGGGTTGGGGACTTTAGGGCAATTGTCCAATCCATTGGGGATGCCTAGAAGACATGGGTAGCACAAGGTTGTTACTAGAACATGCCATATTCTCTCTTCTAGGTTGGTGAAAGTCCCGAACTTTGTCTCCCCACCCAGAGGACAACTGGCCAGGAAATCTGCCTGTTTCTTGTCTCACCCTCTAGTCCACACTCTGCCTAACACTACGCCCTACCTCACATTCCTATTGACATCTGCTGCAGGTAATCTCTCCTCACCCAGGCCAACGTCCACAAGCCTGCCTCCCTATTTCACAGAGACTTCCTAGCTTCCCTGCTTCATCCCCACCTGATCCAAATTCTCACAGGTCCCCCAGCCACCCCTTCAGCCCCAGGCCTGCACCATCCCCATCCACGTCGTTGTCACAGGCATCTCCTTCCCCATTGCCATCTGTGTCCTTCTGGTCATTGTTGGGAACGTTGGGGCAATTGTCACAGGCATCACCAAATGAATCTGTATCTGAGTTCTGCTGGTCTTTGTTGGGGAACAGCCGGCAGTTGTCCTGGGCAGAGGGGTGGGAGGGGAAGGGTCAGGTCTCCCCTAAATCACTTGTCATCTTGCACCTACCTTGTCTCTGTATCCTTTTCTAAGATCACACCCTTGTGATGGACAAACTGCTCAGTACAGTCCCACCCACCCAGCCTCCTTGTCCTGGGCACGAGGTTTTTGCCTCCCTGATTTGGAGTATTTGGCCCTTACTAGAGAGCTGCCAGATGAGGTAAGTGAGGCACAGAGAGGACAGGAGGAGGGGAGAGGAGCTTCAAGGGGCAGGGCAGTCTGGGAGTCACCTCAACATTCTTGATCCCATCCCCATCAGCATCATCATCACACTGGTCCCCCACACCATCATTATCAGCATCTTCCTGCCCAGAGTTGGGTGTCAAAAGGCAGTTGTCCTAAAGTTCAGGGGAAGAGGATGGATGAGTTCTGGCCTGACCCAGCTTGGGCTCCCCACTACGCCCCCTTGCCCGCCTGCTCCCTGCACCTGTTTGCAGTGTTTGTTGTTGTCCATGCAGGGCAGTGCTTGGTCTGGGTAGCCATCGATGTCTGTGTCAGTCCCACACACGTTCCCATTCCCAGCCCAGCCCACGTTACACTAGGGCAACACAAAGGGTAGGAGCTAGCAGTTTGGTCTGGCTCCCCTCCTCCCTATATTTTCCCTGCTTCAGGTCCTATTCTCCCCACCAAACAGTTCCTGGGCCCAGGCCCACCTCTCTCCTATGAAGACCCCCAACCCAGGCCCTAAACATAGCCCTACTCCTTTCCCCAGACCCTCCCTTTTCCTTCCACGCCTGAAGCCTAGCTCACCTGGCAGGACACTGCACCATTGCGTTCAAAGAGACAGTGAGCATGGATGTGGCAGGGGCTGTGGGCTGGGCTGTGGCAGGTCCGGGCTGGGAGGCAGCCCTGGCTCTGGTTGCCCAGGAAACCCAGGCGGCAGGGACCACACTTGAAAGAGCCCTAAGAGTGGAGAGGCAGCATCTTAGGAAGGAGGGTGAGCCCACCAGGCACCCAGGACCAGCACTGCTCCACCTGCGGAGTGTGGGCTGGGCACTCAGTTATGCCAGGCATATCAGTATCTCCTTTAGGTTATCATGACAACCTTTCAGGGTGGATAACAGCCTCAGTTTTCAGATGAGGAAGCTGAGGCTCAGAAAAGTTAAATAACCTGCTAAAGAGCTAGCAAGAGGCAAACCAGTATTCCAAACCAAGTCCATGTGAACACCTAATCTGTGTAGTGCCCTGGGGAGGAGGAAAGGCAGCAGGAAATTTGAAGGTAAGAAGGGGCGGGGGTTGGGGTTTTACCATTCCCACCACCCCAGAATACACTCAGGATATTCAGCTCACCACAGTGTTGGTGCAGATGGAGTTTGGGTCACAGCCACCATTGTTGCCATCGTTGCATTCATCGATGTCATTGCAGACCTGAAGGGGCAGACTTTGGGTGGAACCAGACCTATGGTGGGTCTCCTCAGATACAGCAGAGGACACTGGTATGGCCTTATCTGTGAACATCAACATTAAGCCCAGACCCAAAGCCGATGCAAAGCCATCCATGTCCCATTCATCACAAGGGTCCCATGTCCAACCCAGAAGCCCCTGGCCTCTACAAGGCCAAGATCCCTTGTCCACACACACTACCCAGTCTGACCTGTTTGCTGGCCCGGGCATAGTCAATGCCCACACCAGACACCTGTGTGCCCTTGTACCCTCGAGGACAGGCCTCACAGTGGAAGCCGGGCATGGTGTTGATGCAGCTGGAGCCCGGGAAACAGGGGTCAGCGTGAGCACACTGGGGACCAGATGAGAAGGCAGAGGTCAGGCCGCCCTCTGGGAAACTCAGGTCCCTGCCTGTGATCCAGGAACCATTGCTCCAGGTCTCCCCTTTGTGCAGCTCTCCCCACACAACTGCCTTGTGCTCCTGGTCCCCACCCCACTTCCCTCGGGGTTCCCTCTCTCCCTCCCCATGCCACTGGTCACCATCTCAAGCCTCCCCTGCAGTTTCCCCAGCTCCTTCCCTGTATGGCCTTCAGTCTTTGCCCCAGGCCTTCTGTCTCTCCCATCTTGCATTTCTCTTGCCTCTGACCTCTCCTAAACTCCAGATTCCTCTCCTCCGGACCAGCATTTATCCCACCCTCTTGGGTGCCTCCTGACATCCTCACCCCAGTTTTCTGTACCCTTCTGGGCTCTGACCTCCCTCACCTCATTGATGTCACTGCAGTGGGTGCCGTTGCCCTGCAGGCCAGGGGGGCAGGGCCCACAGCGGTAGCCTGGGTACTCGTACACTTCCATGCAGTCCACACCTCGGAAGCAGGGATTGGGGCTGCAGTGGGAACGCTGCTCATGGAAGCCTGAGGGGTGGACACAGTCAGAGCTACCCGGTGGTCACTATTTAAGCCACCAGAAGGGAAAGCCAAAGCCATTGGGTGGGGAACGTGGCACGGTCATGTGGAGCCTCCCCTGCTCTCCCACTCACCGCACACCTGACACTCCATAATGGTGTTTCGGATCAGGGACATTTCCTTCACCTGGAGAAGGATGGGGAGGAGTCAGCACTTGACATCTGCCACCCTACCCCAGAATCAGTGCCACCCTTCGCCAGCCCACCCAAACCTGGTCTCGTATATCATCCCGCAGCTCCACCAGGATCTGGTTGAAGAGGGTGAGTTGGGTGACCAGCGCCTTGGTCTGCTCCCCTGTCGGGACCCAGGGTGTGAGGGGTTCAGTACTGGAGCACCAGTCCTGGGCCCTCCATGGGCAATAAGCCAGTACCTGCCACGGCTGCCCACCCCTGCCTTTAAACCTACTACATTCCTGACTGAAGAGGACTTAGTTTCAGGCAGCTGCCAGAGCCTGGGGCCTCCTCCCCGCTCCCCGCTTCCGCTTCAGTGTGGCCTACTCACCTAGAATGGAGTGCAGTGCATTGGTCACTGGAGAGGAGAAGAAAACATAGTCAGAGGGGTGAGGTGAAGTGAAGAGAGGCCTGGTTGGTGAGAAGGAGGAAGGAAGGTGAGGACAGGGACAGGGCTGGAGCCCCAGAATAAAGATGGGGTGCTGGATGCTGGGAGGGCAGAGCTGGCAGACAAGCAGTGCCAGCTCCTTCTATGGGGCAAAAGGCCCTCTAAGGGAGTTGCTTCACAGGAAGTTAGAACCCAAATCCTCCTGGTTCCTAGGCATGGTAGTGGCAGAAGGGATGGACCCAAAGCAGGGCCAGGGCCCCAGTATATCCCCATTTTTTTTTTTTTTGAGTCGGAGTCTTGCTCTGTTTCCCAGGCTGGAATGCAGTGGCGTGATCTCTGCTCACCACAACCTCCACCTCCTGGGTTCAAGCAACTCTCCTGCCTCCGCCTCCCAAGTAGCTGGGACTACAGGTGCCCACCACCATGCCCAGCTAATTTTTTGTATTTTTTAGTAGAGAGGAGGTTTCACAGTGTTGGCCAGGCTGGTCTTGAACTCCGGACCTTGAGGGATCAGCCCACCTCAGCCTCCCAAAGTGCTGGGATTACAGGTGTGAGCCACCACACCCGCCATCCCATTCCCTTCTTCAAGAGCTCTCCCTCAAATATCTGGGAAAGGTGGGTCTTTTATTTAGGTGAGAGCTTCTGAACATCCCTGTCAGAGAGACCAGGCAGATGGGCAACACTCAGAGAAATTGCTGGTGACAGCTGCCAGTGAGAACTATAAAAGACTCGAGACCAGGCCGGGCGCGGTGGCTTACGCCTGTAATCCCAGCACTTTGAGAGGCCGAGGTGGGTGCATCACTTGAGATTAGGTGTTTGAGACCAGCCTGGCCAACGTGGTGAAATCCCATCTCTACTAAAAATGCAAAAATTAGCTAGGCATGGTGGAGGGCGCCTGTAATCCCAGCTGCTTGGGAGGCTGAGGCAGGAGAATCACTTGAACTCAGTGGAGACTGCAGTGACCCAGATTGCACCACTGCACTCCGGCCTGGGCAACAGGACAAGACTCCATCACCAAAAAAAAAAAAAATACTCGAGACCAGTATCTCTTGGTCAGCCAAGGCCAAGCAATTAACCAATTCTTCTCTTAGATCACTTTTTTTCTCGGATGGGTGTATTGGAGATTGTGGAGTCAGGTGAAAGATTTGGAATAACAGGGTTAGAAACCCTAGGAACAGGTGAGCCAAAGGAATGGGTTTTAAGGGAGAGGGAGATCAAGAAGACAGGAGTCACCAAAGGCCACAGGATCCGTGGTCCAATGTCAGCAAACAAGTCTCTGTGTTACCTGCACTGTGGATGGACTCGTCCCCTTGGAATGGACACTCACTCAGGGCTCCTACCCGGGCCATGGACCCACCCAGAATAATTTTCATAGATTCCACAAAGCCCTGGGGGGATAGCAGCAGAGTAAGGTGGGAAGGTCTACCAACCCCTTCCCCAGCTGGTGCAAACTCTATTTCCACAGAACTCAGAGGCTCCTCCCGGCTCACCTGCATCCTCAAATACGCCTTCTGTCCAGTCCTAATCTCCAGCCCATCGACCTCCGCTGGAGGAATGGGGGCCAGTGCTGGAAGGCCTGCATGTTGGTCACCCAGTTTGCAGTCCACGTAGAGATGTAGGGCAGGGCTGGGTCTGGAGGGACCTCGGAGTCGCAGGAGAACTGTGTGTGTGCGCCCATCAGCCAGGCCCGCTTGCTGTAGGTTCACGGCGTGGACTTTGCCATCCTCCCGCTGGTATCGCACCAGTACTGCCCAGGAGGGGAGATCAGTATGGGCGCTATCCCCCACCCCCTGCCTCCCAGCTGAGCCTTGGATCAACTCTGCTAGATACCACATCTCTAGGGCCCCTATCCCTAATTCTACTATGTGGCTCTCAACACCTTGTATTTAATAGGTACACAATAAATGTTTTTGAAATTGCTTTAGAGGCCAGGCACGGTGGCTCACACCTGTAATCCCAGCACTTTAGAAGGCCAAGGTGGGCAGATCACTTGAGGTCAGAAGTTCGAGAACAGCCTGGTCAACATGGCGAAACCCTGTTTCTACTAAAAATACAAAAGTTAGCCAGGCATGGTGGTGGGCACCTGTAGTCCCAGCTACTCAGGAGGCTGAGATAGGAGAATTGCTTGAACCCAGGAGGCAGAGGTTGCAGTGAGCTGAGATTGTACCACTGCACTCCAGCCTAGGTGACAAAGCAAGACTCCATTTAAAAAAATAATTGGTTTAGAGACAAATACTTTCTTAGTCTTCATTGGTATCAGATGACTGTATCCTCTCCTAGGGTGACAGCTGGTTTTGTGGCCACTGACCTGTTCCAGGGATCTGAAAGACCTTTCTGTATCACCGCTGAGGCACAGAGACATGCCTCACCCTCCTTCCAGGCATCCCCAAGTACAACCTCCCATCCCTATAAATATCAGGACTCAAGCCTCACCCTATTGTTTGGTACATGGGCTCCTAAAGCACCTTATAAGCACCCCATACCAGGTGCCCCTGATGTCTGGGCACAGCCTGATGGGACCTTGGTCCCTAGTGGAGGCCAAGGAGAATGAGGAAGCACTTGGGAAGTAGGGATGAGGGAGAGTGCTTAAGGAGGTCACCATTGCAAGAAAGGAGATGCCCACCAGTCACCTTTGTTGATCTTGCCTACAACAGAGGCCTCCAGCCATCGAGTGTTGTCTTGGCGAGAATAGAGGCCAAAGAGGACACCACCCTGCTTGGGGGGCAGGCGGAAGGTGGATAAGAGGTAGATGTCCCCAGCAGTGAGCAAGGCTGTCCGGATCTTCTCTGCCACAGCTACCATCTGCCGAGACTCGCCCACAGTCAGCAGGTCAATTACTGGTCAGGCAGGGGTTATCAAGGTTAGAGAATGGGATCAAATGCTAAGGTATGCCCTCCCCCGAGCCCACATCACCCCCTACCCCCACCACCAGGCAGCGTTAGTCACCTCAAAATTCAACCCTTGGCTGGGCATGGTGGCTCGCACCTGTAATCCCAACACCTTGGGAGGTTGAGGCAGGTGGATCGCCTAAGGTCAGGAGTTCGAGACCAGCCTGGCCAACACGGTGAAACCCCGTGTCTACTAAAAATACAAAAACAACAACAAAAAAGAAAAAAAAACCACCTAGCCGGGCGTGGTGGCGGGCACCTGTAATCCCAGCTACTCAGGAGGCTGAGGCAGGAGACTCGCTTGAACCTGAGAGGTGGAGGTTGCAGTGAGCCGAGATCGCGCCATTGCACTCCAGCCTGGGCAACAAGAGTGAAACTCCATCTCAAAAAGACAAAACGAAAACAAAAAAAAACCTCAACCCTTGTTGCTCTCAGAGGACAGAGGCACTGTGCCTTCCTTTCCCCATTATTGCCTATTACTACCTTCCAGGAACCTGCAGGTTTGAGACTCACTTGGAAACACAGAAACAGCACCCCACAAATTTGAGATGCCCCCACCAGGTGGCGCAAAGGAGATGCTGTGCTGATCCCCCACAGGAGTGGCACCTGGTGTCCACAACGTAGAAATGGAAGGCAGCTTCTCTTTCCACTCCTGGGTTTGGCTCGTTCCACACCCTAGTTCCCCTCCTCCCATCCTAGGGGCGCAGCACACTCGCTCTGGATAAGAACAGCTGCCCACTGAGGACTCTAACCCTCCCACCATCTGGGCTATCTCCCACGGGAATGTAGGACCCAGCTCCTCTGCCTCCTGTGTCCTGGCCAATCTGTGGTTTTCCCTCCAGCCAGTAAAGAATCTATGCCTGTGTCATCTGCTCCAGCTACCTCTCCCACATCCATCGGCCCATCCCACCACCAGACCTCCGGGAGAGCCCAGGCTTCTTGGTCCCCACCCCCGCCCTGTCCTTGGGCAGCCAGGAGCCCAGGGGGACGAAGCCCAGGGACCTACAGTACGCCCACCTTCAGGCTGCTCTCCCAGACCCTAGGGTGCCTACAGATGCTCAGGAACCACCCCAGCCAGGCAGCCTGAGCATCCAGTTCCTGAGTCCTCTGCCCTGGCCTCATGCCTGACCCTGTCCTGTTCCAGCTCCCCCACTACTCTCCGGTGCCCACTCCTCTCCACCAGGCCATAATTTCACCAACTCTAGGCAGTCTTAAGTTTTCCTCTGGCTCAATTTCTGGACTCTTCCCCTCTCCCCTTGCCCACATGTTCTCTGCTACTTGGGCTGAGGGCAAATGGGGAAGAAGCAGAGAGCGGTCTAAGAGGATGGAGACAGGCTTACCCTGCAGATCCTGACTGGCAGATGTGAAAAAGCAAAGGAGGAGAAGAGCCAGGGCCCCCCGAAGTTCCTGCGTCTCCATGCCTCTCAGCCGGCTCACTACCCCTGGCAGGCAGGCAGCTGGGAGGGGAAAAGGCTAGGCGGAGAGAGCAGGAGCCGGGGGGCGGAGGGACAGAATTGGAGGGGGGGCCAGCAGGCGGGTGAGGGGGGGCTGAAACAAAGAGCTGCCAATCACCCTGGAGGCATCATCAGCTCTGGGAACCAGGGGCACTGGGAAAGAATCCTGGAGGCCTCCCTGCTTTCTACCTCTCCCTAATGATCCTCCCCCAGGTGCCTCCCTCTCCGCAGTCATCATTGTTGGGGGTCTCGGCACACAGCGCTACCGAATGCCACTGTTTTCTGGAAGCCACGATTGTGGAAGGCAAGAACCCCTGGCAGGGGCAGTGCTAGACAGTGGGCATTATTCCACAGCTGGCAGGAAAGGATGCCAAGGGAGTGGCCGCAACTAGCTTGCTATAGTGCCCAGGGATGCCCACATGGCATGAATTTTGCTGTTCTGGCGGAGCAAGTGCTCTTTATTAGGGTGGGGGGTCCCCTGACAAGTGCCTGTTTCTCCATTTTCCCTCATTCGTAGGAAAGCTTGGGAGTCTGGAAGCGTCTGACGGGAACTGAAGGGAGAATCTAAAGCAGTGGTCAGTGAGGTCAGAGTGAAGAAACCAAAAAAGAGGAAAGGGACACCAGGGACAGGCGCAGAAGACCAGGGGTACAGGCGAGGAGCCAAGGACCAGACTGTGGAACACTGTGGGTACTAGCGGACGGGCCGTGACCCGGATGAAGCAGAGGGGCGCCTGAGTTCCCGTCACCTAAGCGACAGCCTGCGAGCCTCTCTTCCCCTCCCCCACCCAAGCCCCAGCCCGGCCTCCGCTCCGGCCGCCGCCACCGCCCCTGTTTTGTTTCCATGGCGACAGGCGGCGCAGGGCCCGCTCCAAACATAACGCGCTGTGGAAAACATGCTGCTCGGGGGACCCCCCCGCAGTCCCCGCTCGGGGACGAGCCCCAAGGGGCCCTGGAGCAGTACAGGCCACGTGCAGTTTGGCAAGAGCCCCCAGACCTGGCCCAGGCGCACAAGACCCCGCTCTCCAGAGCCTGCCGCGCCTTCAGGGGTTCGGGGCTCCACTTGGACGAGGCGCCGTGACTCTCCGAGGCGCGCCGGGCCGACAGCGCTGTCCCGCTACGTGGGCCACCTCTGGATGGGCCGGCGGCCGCCCTCCCCCGAGGCCCGCGGCCCAGTCCCCCGCAGTTCAGCTGCCAGTCGGGCCAGAAGAAGCCTCGCCTCCCCGGGGATCTCCCCAGGCCCCCTGACCGCAACGATCGGAGGGGCGGTGGCGGGGGGCGGGCCCAGGCAGGGGAGGGCAGAAGCACACAAGGAAGTGTTTCCGGGACAGAGGGTGGGCAAGATGGCGGCGCCCATGGAGCTGTTCTGCTGGTCAGGGGGCTGGGGGCTGCCGTCAGTGGACCTGGACAGCCTGGCCGTGCTGGTGAGGGGTGGCGCCGGCGCCCTCTGCTGTGCCCTGATGACTGGGGAGGGGGCCGAACTAGCCAAGCATCCAAACCTTGCCAGGGCTACTCAGCACGGGCGCAGTGGGGGAAACTGAGGCAGTCAAAGAGCGTACGTGGCCGATATGGCCTCAGTGCCCTATGCTGTAGTTTTCTAGGCTTAATGCAGCAATGAAAAGACGCCTGGTTGGGAGTTCAGGTGATGGGTTCTAGTCCTTGCTCATCCATTCACTGGCTGTGTGACCTTGCGGAGATCCTTTCTCTTTGGGCATTTTTTTTCTCCATTCGGAGGTTTACTAGGCTGGACTGTCTCAGGGACCTACTCTAGCTTGGAATTCCTGCCTTCTCCTCAGCCCCCTTCTCCTCTTCCTCCTCACTTAACAGCATTTACTGAGGCTATTGTTTGTTAGACCAAACGACTCACAGCCAGGCTTTGTATAAAGAGCTTAGCAATCAGACTTCCTTTGCTTCATTTATTCATTGACTCCTTGCTTTAAAGAGGATCTATTAGATTTCTTCCAAATATTAAACATTGCCAGGCAAAGATGAATAAAATTTGGTTCCTCCCTTCGAGTTTACAGAAAGGCAGATAGGTAAGCAAATAAATATAATAAAATATTCACATATAAGTTAAAGTAGGAACAGACCACAGATACTGCCAAAGAGAAGGGCATTATCAGTGCTTCCAAGAAGAGGGATACTGGTTAGGAAAAGCTTCTGAGGATAGATGTTCACCAGGTAGATGGCAAGAGAGGAGATAGAGGAAAGGATTTTCCTGGCTGTCCTGTAATCACAGACATGTCCGGAATCTCTCTGAGCCCTGTGTTGTCCATTTGTAAAATAGAAATGGTAGTGACTCCCCCTTTTTTTTCGAGACTAAGATACTAAGTATAGGGAATGGCACATAAGGTATTCAATAAATGTTATTTCTCTTCTTGATACCACTGTGGGGGACATGGCTCTGCCTCTCTGACTTCTGCTTCCTTCCCTGCAGACCTATGCCAGATTTACTGGTGCTCCACTGAAGGTACACAAGATCAGCAACCCCTGGCAGAGCCCTTCAGGTACCCAGTATCCCTTGGGGGTAAGGAAGGGTGTGTACAAGGGGAGAAGCAAGAAATAGGCAGGAATGTGTTGCAACTATGTATGACTAGGCAGCTAAGGGTCTGGTTGGTATACTTCCCTCTCAATATCAGGAACTCTGCCTGCCCTTCGGACCAGTCATGGAGAGGTCATCTCAGTTCCACACAAGATCATCACCCACCTTCGAAAAGAGGTAGGTGACTTGGATAGAGGGGGCTGCCAGTGAGAGAAGTTCAGTCAATTCTATACAATACACATTTATTGAGCACCAGATATATGCCATGCTAGATGCAGGTGACCCAGAGCATCAAGGAGCAACAGTCTTGTGGCAGAGACACACACAATGTCACTGTGATGTATTAAAGCAGTCGGCAAGAGATGAAACTTAGGGCACTGTGAGGCAGGGAGGGAGAGGAGCACAGGCTGAAGGAGAGTGGAAGACAGCAGTTGGCCTCTGATGGTGGGACTGGAGAGAGATTTCTAAGGGCCACTTCCTGTTTTCAGGGACTAGGTTGGGCTAGATATGGGGCTCAGGATGGACAAGGCTTAGAGCCAGGTTGGAGAAGATGAAAGAGCATTACTAGAGGAGTGGGGAGGCCTAGGCTATGCTCTTTACTCTGCCATTGACTATGTGATCTCGGGCAGGCCATGTAACCTCTCAGGGCTGTGCACTCCCTTATTTGTAAAACTAGAGGGCTGGGCCAGCATGTTTTCCAAGGGTTCTTCTAGCATTGACGGTCAGGTTCCAAGAGGGAACAGTGTCAGAAGTAGGACACTCTTCCTCATTTCTAACTTCCCAAAGGTTGAGGACCTGGGGAATTAATTGAGAGGCCTGGAAAGAGAGGATCCAGATAAAAGCCAAAGTTCCTGGCAGAGCCGAGGCCACTGCCCTGATTGCTTAGGTGTGAACAGAGCTTTTCCAGTTTCCAAAGTATTCTAAATTATTTCCTAACACAGGGGCATTCAGAGAAAGAGATTCTTACCCCCATTCCACAGGGGAGAAACTGAGGCTTAGGGAGATTTAAGGATCATGCTGAAGAGGTTATCTGGGGACAAAGCTTACTCAGGATGTGGAGGGGGATGCTGAGGAACAGGGACTGGAGCCTGGGAAGGTAGGGCAGGCTGAGACCTGGGGGTATGGGTGGAATGTGTATGTGGTAATGGTGTCTGAGCGATGGAATGAAGTGAAAGAAATAGCCAAGAGCTGGGCACTGAGGGAACAAGCTGGGGGGCCCTGGGCGTGGGTTCCCTGGATCCAGGGAGTGTGAGGATGGCTTTCTCTGGTTCCTGAGGCATGGACCGAGTCCTAGCCTGCATCTGAGCTCCGTTGTGCTAGCTTTGTGGTGTCTGGGTCGGGGAAGTTACTGTTAGAAAGTTGCCGTCAGCGGGCGTTGTTCCAGCTTTCCATGGAAATTCTGGGAGCTGCTCCTAGTTTGCGGCGGAGCCTTCCTTCCTTCCCTGCATTGGGCGCTGGACCTTCACGGCCAGGAGGCTCCAAGGCCCAGGCTTTTCGCCAACAGCAACAGGCTACTGGCTGGGCCCAGGCAAGGGGGCCTTGGCAGGAAAAGTTCCTTGCTGTACCTCCACTGCACTCAGAGGCCAGTGAGGGGGGTACCAGACAGGACTCCTTCCTCCCTGGTGAAGTGCCCTTGCAGCTCCCTAGTGTCCACGCCATGGATATTTCCTCCACAGAAGTACAATGCTGATTATGATCTGTCAGCTCGGCAAGGGGCAGACACCCTGGCCTTCATGTCTCTCCTGGAGGAGAAGTTGCTCCCGGTGCTGGTGAGTGTGCCCAGACCTCCCAGCATCCATGGCCAGCCGGGGAGGGTTCGGGAACACACAGACCCACACACAGGCTCAGGAAAGCATGGGGGTCAGAAGCCCACCTTGAATCAGACAGGTGCACTGGCTCAGACCTACCTGTTTCTTCCTGCCCACCCAATCCAGGTACATACTTTTTGGATAGACACCAAGAACTACGTGGAAGTGACCCGGAAGTGGTATGCAGAGGCTATGCCCTTTCCCCTCAACTTCTTCCTGCCTGGCCGCATGCAGCGGCAGTACATGGAACGGCTACAGCTGCTGACTGGGGAGCACAGGCCTGAGGACGAGGAAGAGCTGGAGAAGGAGGTAGCTCTGAGACCGGGGGCTATTGTATGAGATGAGCCCCAAGGATGCTGGCCAGGAATGGGAGTGCTTAGGTGGGGAGGTGGCACTGTTCCCACAGCTGCAAGCCTACCTGTGTCGCCCCTACAGCTGTACCGAGAGGCTCGGGAGTGTCTGACCCTGCTCTCTCAGCGCCTGGGCTCTCAAAAGTTCTTCTTTGGAGATGCGTGAGTCTGACTCCAAGAGGGTAATGGGTGGCTTGGAAGAAGATACAGGTTCAGATGGAGCAGCTGGAGCTGGGGCTGGGGCTGGGGCTGGCTCAGGCTCTGGATAGGAGGTCCCTGGGATAGAAACTGGCCCTAGTGACAGTGTGACTGTGTGGGGGCCAGAGCCTTCTCAGAGGTACAAAAGGGTAGGGTGGGAGGGCAGCCAGGCACAGGAGGGGCCTGAAGAGCTGTGGGGCACTGAATGTGCCCTTTATGCAGCCCTGGGATAGAGCCCTATTCAGGGCCAGGCTGGCGCCACCTGGGGATCTCTCCCCATACCAGGTCTAGAACTGTGTGTCCTGTCCTTCCCTGGTGGCCGCCTGCTGCCCAGAGCCCACCTCCCAAGGCTGACTCTTCCTCCAGCTCCATCTTTACCCCTTCTACCCCAGTGGTTCTCCTCCATCCCACCCTTCTCTCTCTGCTCCAGCCCTGCCTCCTTGGACGCCTTCGTCTTCAGCTACTTGGCCCTGCTGCTGCAGGCAAAGCTGCCCAGTGGGAAGCTGCAGGTCCACCTGCGTGGGCTGCACAACCTCTGTGCCTATTGTACCCACATTCTCAGTCTCTACTTCCCCTGGGATGGAGGTAAGGGGCAGATGGGAGGGGCAGCCCTGGGGAGAGTGGGCAGGGATCCAAGAACTAGTTCTCCTAACACACCTTCCTTCCTTGACCCTCAGCTGAGGTACCACCGCAACGCCAGACACCAGCAGGCCCAGAGACTGAGGAGGAGCCATACCGGCGCCGGAACCAGATCCTATCTGTGCTGGCAGGACTGGCAGCCATGGTGGGCTACGCCTTGCTCAGCGGCATTGTCTCCATCCAGCGGGCAACGCCTGCTCGGGCCCCAGGCACCCGGACCCTGGGCATGGCTGAGGAGGATGAAGAGGAATGATTTGTCCTCACGCTCCCAAGACTGGTTTTTCTACTCTCATGCATTCCAGAGGCCCCCGTGCCTCCTCGTTGTTGGTACAGCCGGACACGGGGTGCTGCCACCCAGAATAAAGCCACTCACACTGACTGGGCTCAAACATTTTCTCCTTTAAGAGCTGCCATTTTTCCTGGCTGGTGCCATAGGAATCATCTGGGTGCCTGGGCACACCCGCTGCTGCTTTAAGGCTTCCGCCCTGATGCTGACACTGCTGCTCCACGGGCCCAGTTCTGCATCTCCAGGAAAGACAAACAGTCTCCAGTTTTGGGCCCAGCTTTCCTAGTCTCTTCTTTTCCTTACCCTCAGCCCTGATCTTGTGTTTGTACGGACAGTGAGCTCACCCTAGGCCTGGACCCAGGCCCAGTTTCCAAAGCAAGCAGCACACAGCGCATGTTCACATAAGCATGGGGGCTGGGGGGACACTGGGGCTTACTGATCTTTTTCTAGGGGCCTCCAGCCCCTGGCACCACCTAGAGGGGAAAGTGAGTCACCCAAACCATTGCCCCTGGGCTTACGTCGCTGTAAGCTCACACTGGCCCTGCTGTGCCCTCTTTAGTCACAGACAGCGTGTGAGCTGACTCTGTCCCTTTAATGCCCAGGCTGAGCCCAGTGCCTCCTTGAGTATCTGCTCCATCACTGGCGACGCCACAGGTAGGTGTGAATGGAGTAGCCAGGTGAGATTGTCTCCAGGAAGCCCACAGCAGGATCCTTGATGGTAAGAGGCACATCCTTAGAGGAGCTAGGGAGCAGGGAGGAGAAGCTGAGAGTGTGATCCTGCCAAGGCCCCCAACGCTGTCTTCAGCCCACTTCCCAGACCTCACCATTGCCCTCACCGGTTTAGCACGACCACAACAGCAGAGCCATCGGGATGCATCAGTGCCACTGCGTCCGGGTCGTTCTTCTGACTGGCAACCAGCCCCACTCTCTGGGAGCCCTCAGGAATGAACTTGCTGAATGTGGGAACAGATGGTCAGAGTCCCTCGGGGTACCTCCCATGAAACCCTCATCTAAGAAGTCGCCCACCCACGGACCCACCCCATAACTCCTGCAAAGGCTCTGCCCTGGCTCTCTAGGCCTGGAGCCATGCTGCTGGGCACTGACCCTGCTTTTCTGCATCGCAGTCCAGCCTCAGGCATTGGGGTTTTCTGTTGCTACCTAGTCACTTCCTGCCTCCATGGCGCAAAAGGGGATGGGTGTGCCTCTTCCGAGGTTCCACCCTGAACACCTTCCTGCTCCCTCGTGGTGTAGAGTGATGTAAGCCATCCGATGTAGGAGATGATAGGCCTGGTATGGAATGGGGGTGCCCGCCCTCCACTCACCTGAAGTGGCCAAGGTGGTAGAACATGGGCTGTTTGTAAAACGTGTGCTTGGTGATGTCTACAATGATGGGTTCCAGTCGGTCCAGCCGACCACATGGTACAGGAGGTTCTAGGGTAAGGACAAAGGCAAGGAGACAAAGGCGCAACACTGGGGGTCCCCAGAGAGTGTAGGTAAGGGTCACGTGTGGGAGAGGCAGCTGTGGGTAGGTCAGCCCTGTGAGGGGCACATTCCTTAGTAGCTAAGGAGTTGGGGGTGTGAAGATCCAGGCATCTCAAGGGGAGCTGAGAAGTCTGAGGCAGCTGCAAGTGCCTCAGTAGTTGCAAAAGGGGCAATGAGGTGTGCAGACCTGTGAAGGAAAGGCAAGACAGGGAATCATGGTTCCCCAGAGTTGCCCAAAAGGGCAGGCTACCTGGGGAAAGCTGGACAGGAAGGGCTTCTATCAGTCTTTGGTGAGACTACTAATGGGTCTGAGGTCTCCTTTGCAGGAAGGGAGACTGGGGTGGCTTACTGTGATGATGCTGTGGCTGTACTGCATCCCTCGATCCCAGGAGCCTAGCCGCACACTCTGCTCCCAGAACTTGGAACCCACACAGGCCTCTGAGGCAAAGAGCATGGTGTTGGGGAACAGGTGGTGTGTCTCCCTTAGGGTGGCTTTGGCTGGAGCCAGAAAGTCCAGGTACCAATGTACAGCAATACCATGAACATACTTAGCTGCTTCTGGGTCTGTCAGTACCTGCAAAGGAAGAACAAGTCACCCTGGACCCTGCCCACAGGCTTCTGGAACTTCTAGTTCCTCTTGTAGGAATCCTGAATTAGGTGGTGGGAAGAATGCAACTACAGAGGTTTTGGGAGGGATTTTTTGTTTTTGTTTTTGAGACAGGGTCTCCCTCTGTCACACAGGCTGGAGTACAGTGGCACAATCATAGCTCACTGCAGCCTGAAATTCTAGGCTCAACTAAACCTCCCGCCTTAGCCTCCAGAATACTTGGGACTATAGGCGTGCCACCACCACACCCGGCTAACTTTTCTATTTTTTTTTTTGTAGAGTTAGGGTTTCACCATGTTTCCCAGGCTCATCTTGAACTCCTTAGGTTCAAGTGATCCACCCACCTTGGGTTCCCAAAGTGCTGGAATTATAGCCATGAGCTACCACCCCCAGCCTAGAGAGGTTTCAAGTCCCAACTGTGGGATCCATGGCACCCTGGAGGTCCCGGGGAATGGTGCTCTAGGATCCATAGTTGGGTAGAAAAATCCCTCTAAGTTTGGGAGCCAATCATTTGGATGCTGGATTTGAAGGTCACTGGAGCACCATGGAGGTCCAGGCCTTACCACCTTTGCCCAGTGGGGCAGCAGCAAGCGTTGGTCATCCAGCATGAGTAGGCGGACATTGTGGTGAGTACCGTTGGCAAGGGTAGGACCTAGGTCACGGGCAATGAAGTCTCGCTGATGTTCAGGGGTGAAGCCCAGGCACTGGAAGGGGTATCCACTCAACAGCCCAGCAGAAGGCTCATTTTCAGCTGTCACTGCCCAGAACTGTAACTTGTGCTCAGCATAGGCATCCAGGAACCTGGCAAGAGAAAGGTCATGAATGATCCAGCCAAGAAAGTGGGCCAGACCGAGAGAACAGGAAGCCTGATGGAGTGGGCAAGACTGACAGATCCAAGTTTGAAAGGCCCAGAAGGTAGAAAGGTGAGCTGAGGACAGGCAGATCTGGAAGTGGAACCAGGTTGAGGGTTGGGACACAGATCAGCATGGCCAAAGGGGAGGCCAGTCCTGATCCCACATCCTTGCTGATCCCTTACTTCACAATGTATCTGGCCCAGGTCTGGTGGTAGATGTCTCTGGGCTGTCCCTTGAGTGGCCCCTTCCCATTCCCCGCTCCCCTGGTCTTGAGCCGAGTGGGTGATGTCCAGGGGCTGGCAAGGAGTGAAACGGGACGCTGGGCCAACTGCAGGGCTCGGTGAATCAGGGGTATCTAGAGACAAAGGTAGTGAAGAGAGAAGCACCCAGAGTTGGAACACATACTAGCCCAACCAGTGCATCCGGTTCAGCCATTAGCCCCCACCCTCCCACCCCCAGGACAAAACAGCAGGGGACAAAATGTCTGTACAAGCAGACCTACCCTACAGTTTCTCAACCCCCAGACATCAGGGCCCTCAGGGCCTGAAAAAGCTAGAATGCCTACCTTGAGCTTGGTATCTTCCTCTGGGAGGCTGAAGTTGTGCAACTGGAAATCATCAGGGGTGTCTGCATAGGTGTAGGTGCGGATGGAGAAGTCACAGCTGGCCATGGGTACCCAGATGATGTTATATCCGATTCCTACAGAAAAGGATGATCAAGATATGGTAGTCCGAGTCAATAGGAGAGTATGGGACTCTGCTTATCACTTGCCAGTCCTAATAGTGTCTGAGTCAGGGCCAAAAGGAACTTGGGCTCCTGGGTTGGAACCTGTGGAGGCTGGCACCTGGGTGAAGCGCAGGCCTTTCTGAGCCTGAGTCCGTAGCAGTTAGCAGATGATAGGCGGCGAAATCTTATTTCACTGGCATTAAGACAGGAACCAAATGTCAGGGATGGGCAGAAGTCAGGGTCCAAAGAATTGGCAAAGAAAAGTGTCAGTGGCTCTATGTCATCCTGTCCCCTTCCTCCTCATCTTCTTCAGAGAAGTACCATTTAAGTAGCAAATTCTGGGCAGGGGGTGACAGGGCAAGGATGTTGAGGGCACCTGCATCTGTCACGGCCCCTCCAAATCCCTTCACTTTCTGGAACTTCTGGCTGCAGGATCAGTAGCAGGCCTGAGGACATCCACAGGGTTATCAGTGCCCAGGGGAGAAACTCCATGGTGATCACTGACACCGTTTACCTCTAGGAGGACCCAGCCTGGCCCGGGGGGTGAAGGGTGTAATGGTTACCTGTGCCGGTGCAATTAGCCTGTATGGTCCTGTACTCAGCTCCATCCAATGCCCACTGCTTCTGCTCTTGTAGCGGCTGAAGGCACCTAGGGCAGGAAAGGTCGGGGGGTCAAGAGTCACAGTATGTGGCATTGCAGACACAGACCACCGAGCTGTACTGAAGCTTTTAGGGATGCAGGGGCACCACCTGGGAGGGAGGGAGCACAAGCAGAGGTGAGGTCTGACAAGGATGTGGAGAACGGACACAGCTGTTTGGAGAGACTGAAGACGGTTTCAAAAATCCTCACCCCAAAGTTGGTCTCAGTCACTCAAAAGGATTTATTGAGCACCTACTAAAAGTCTACCACCAGCTTACTGGAAGGCTACCAAAGGACTATGAGGCAGAAGGGAGGCTCTGTGCTACCTCCCCACTGCCTTGACTCACTCATCTGATGCCCACGACACTGCCTGAAGTAGAAGCAATCCTGTGAGGCTGCCAGCCATGATGCTTACCCTACCCGAAGGCTTGGGACATTCCTGAGGACAGAATGAGGAATGACTGAAAAGCAAGTCCCTCTCCACCCCTCAACTACTCTCCCGGGCAGGGCTTAGCTGCCTTTGGGTGCCCATGGCCTGGTCTCCCACATTCATTAGGACAAGGCCCACAGACACCTGGGTGCAGCTCTCCCTGCAACCCTTCTGATGACAACTCTCTGCCCACCCCAAATCAGGATGCTCCCCACCACTCTTCCCACCCATTTCAACTTCGACCCCTCCCTCCATCTGTGCCTTGCTCAAAGAGCCATGATGGCCCTGGATTCAAAGAGAGTCTGTCATTCATTAAATTCCAGTGCCAGGATTCCAGAAGCACTGTGACAATGCTGATTGGGAGCTCTCTCTCTTACCTCTCTGGAAGGACTTGAAAACTCCATCACCTCAGGGTCACTAGATGAGGAGAAGAGCACAGGGGTTCCAGAGTCTCTGAAGGATAGAGGATCCACTAAACAAAAACAAGGATGCAGGTACCTGCCATAGCTATAGGCACTAGGTTACTCCTGCAAGTAATTCTGGCTTCCCAATGTGGATGGGTCATGTGATGACTAGGAGAGTCACATGACACAGGAAGTGAGGCAATTGCAGCCATATTTCTAAAGGGCAATTGGCTTCCTCCGAGTTGTTACAGATTATACACCCTATAAAATTCTGGAGGGTATATGTGAATGACAACTTTAGGAAGAGCCTAGAATACGAAAGACAGACTTGGATGGAGAATCGGGTAAAGATTCCTAAATCCCAGAGGATGGGAACCACAGCAGGCACGCTGCTTTTTTGATAAAAATTTCAAAATGATACAAATAAAGCTAATACCAAAAAAAAAACAAAGAACAAAAACAAAAAAACCTTCATTGCACAACATGCTGAGGCTACCGTGATGTTTAAGACACAGTCTTTGCCCTATAGAGGTGCATGAAGCATGGAAGTCAGACACAGATATTTACAGGTAAAAACAGAAACAGTAACAGGTGTGCATGGAGAGCTCTCTGAGATGAGGAGGGACCATTCGTGGGTGGGGAATTATCCAGGATGCCTTCAACACAGGAAAAAGTGAGGGGGGTTATTAGCCAGTGAAGTGTAGGGCGCAAGGAGGGTGGGACACTGGCAGTGGGGTGGCAGGACTGGAGGGAGGGGAGTGGTCAGCTTGGCTCCCCTGCAGCACCCCTCATTTACTCATTAAGGGCCTCGGAGAGTCACATGACACAGGCAGTGAGGCAATTGCAGCCATATCTCTAAAGGGCAATTGGCTTCCAGATGCAGATTGTAATAACTGTTCTTCCTTCCTCACAGGACAGTGAGGTTTTAAAGTAGTTCAGAAACCAGAAAGTGTTGTAAAAGGCCATATGCTTAGTGGACATGTGAAGGAAGTTGTCCATGCCATTTGCCTCATGAACCACATCAAATGAGATTTGGTGGGAGTGGCACACACAGTCATGACCAGACTAACCCCAGCTCTCAGCCTATTTCCTCACCTAGAAAATGGAGGCAATGCCACAACCTCAAAGGGGTCAGTGAGGTAAATGCAGTGCCTGGCAACTTGGGAGGCGCCTGGGAACTATTTGTCTGTTGTTTGTATCTTTTTTTGTACAGTTTTAGTGAGACGGCAAGGTTGGAATCCTTGCTACACCATTTACTGGCTGTTTGACCTTCAGTAAATCAATCACTCTAAGCCTCTATTTCATCTATAAAAGGGGAGTGATAACTCCTACCTCATAGAACTGTTGTGAGGTTTGAGTGTGATAATGTGTCTCTAGTACACTGCTTGACACTAAACATTGCAACATGTCAGGCCTCTGTTCCTGGAGTTCCTTGAAGGAATGTCTTACACATTCTAAATATCCTTGTAGACAGCCTGGCACAGGGGTAGTTGTCAAGTTGTAGAATTGAACTAGTTGCTTCACTATGTCAGTAGCCACCCCTTCCAGACTTCCTGCTTTTCTCTTTTTTTTTTGTTTTTTTGAGATGTTGTCTCACTCTGTCACCCAGTCTGGAGTGCAGTGGCCGATCTCAGCTCACCGCAACCTCTGCCTCCCAGGTTCAAGCAATTCTCCTGCCTCAGCCTCCCAAGTAGTTGGGACTACAGGCACGCACCACCACGCCCGGCTAATTTTTGTATTTTAGTAGAGATGGGGTTTCACCATGTTAGCCAGACTGGTCTCAATCTCCTGACCTCAGGTGATTCGCACACTTTGGCCTCCCAAAGGGCTGGGATTACAGGCGTGAGCCACAGCACCCGGCCTGACTTCCTGCTCTTCAAGGAAACGTTGCACAGGATTTGTTCTGGGTAGGGCAGGTAATTATCTAGTACCTTACTTCCCTCAAATTCATTCATCTCACAGATATTTCCTGAGCACATTCCACATTTGCCTCTCCTGCTTTAGCGAGTTTAGAAGTTCAACCATCTCCTTTCTCTTACCCTCTGTGTACAGGGAGTGAGCTGCTTCTTTTTTGGCCAGGTACTGAGCAAAATTTTTTTTTTTTTGAGACGGAGTCTTGCTCTGTCTCCCAGGCTGGAGTGCAGTGGCACGATCTCGGCTCACTGCAAGCTCCGCCTCCCGGATTCACGCCATTCTCCTGCCTCAGCCTCCTGAGTAGCTGGGACTACAGGCGCCTGCCACCACACCCGGCTAATTTTTTGTATTTTTAGTAGAGACAGGGTTTCACTATGTTAGCCAGGATGGTCTCCATCTCCTGACCTCGTGATCTGCTGGCCTCAGCTTCCCAAAGTGCTGGGATTACAGGCGTGAGCCACCACGCCCAGCCTAGTGTCTGTATTTTTTGTAGAAATAGGGTCTTGCTATGTTGTGCAGGTTGGTCTCAAACTCCTAAACCCAAAGGATCTCCTGCCTCGGCTTTGCAGAGTTCTAGGATTACACGCACAAGGCACCATGCCCGCCCCTCTTTTCTTCTTTTTATACTTCATTTTGTAAAATTTTTCCAGGGTGGCTGGGCACGGTAGCTCATGCCTATAATCCCAGCACTTTGGGAGGCTGAGGCAGTGGATAGCTTGAGGACAGGTGTTCATGGCCAACATGGCAAAATCCCATCTGAAATGAAAATACAAAAATTAGCTGGGTGTGGTGGTGCACGCCTGTAATCCCAGCTACTTGGGAAGCTGAGGTACGAGAATCACTTGAACCCAGGAGTCAGAGGTTGCAGAGACCCAAGATTGTGCCACTGCACTCCAGCCTGGGAGACAGAGTAACACTCTGTTTCAAAAAAAAAAAATTTCCAAGGTGGATATTATTTCACATTTCATATTTCCTGTACAATGTGATTTGTCCTTGAGGATTTTCTATTTTATTTTCTAAGTAAAGTTAGTTTTAATAAGGACTAATGTTTATTGTGCCAAAGACAAAATTACAACAAATTTAACGATCTCGACTGGATTCCTTCCTTCCTGCCTTCCTTCCTTCTTTTCTCCTCTTCCCTCCCCTCCCCTCTCTTCTCTTTTTTCTTTCTTTCCCTCCCTCCCTCCCTCCCTCCCTTCCTCCCTTCCTCCCTTCCTTTCTTTCTTTCGACGGAGTCTTGCTCTTTCACCCAGGCTGGAGCACAGTGGCTTGATCTTGGCTCACTGCAAACCCCGCCTCCTGGGTTCAAGCGATTCTCCTGCCTCAGCCTCCCGAGTACCTGGGATTACAGACGCACACCACCATGCCTGGCTGATTTTTGTATTTTTAGTCAAGACGGGGTTTTACCATGTTGGCCAGGCTTGTCCCAAACTCCTGACCTCAGGTGATTCACCCGCCTCGGCCTCCCAAAGTCCTGAGATTACAGGCATGAGCCACCATGCCCGGCCCTGATTGGGCTTTTTCTACAAAAAATTCTTGTGAAACTTTTCTGCAATATTTTATAATAAAGTCCTACTGATTTATATTTGATTTTATATTTGTAAGTCAGGTGAAATGAGTGAATTCTTCCTTGTGTATGAATGTACTACATGTTGCAGAATGTCTACCTTTCCTGGGCTCCATCCACTAAATTCTCAAAGTGCCTCCTAATCATTGTCTCTATTAAAGATGCCCCACAAATTTCCAAAATGCCCCTAGGGTGTGCCTGAGAGCCACTACCCTAGGTGCCTCTCTTCAAACACCTAGGCCTCACTGCAGTGGCCAATAGGGGCATACTAGGTGGCCACAATCACGTTCCTCTGTCCCCTTTGTATAGCACTTGAAAAAGAGTTTGCTAAGGCCTGGTACGGTGGCTCATGCCTGTAACCCCATCATTTTAAGAAGCTGAGACAAGAGGATCCCTTGAGGCCAGGAGTTCAAGACCAGCCTGGGCAACATAGAGAGACTCCGTCTTTACAAATATATATATATATTTATTTATTTATTTTTATTTTTTTTGGTAGAAAAGGGGTCTCCAGTGGCCGGGCGCAGTGGCTCATGCCTGTAATCCCAGCACTTTGGGAAGCTGAGGCGGGCAGATCACGAGGTCAGGAGATGGAGACCATCCTGGATAACACAGTGAAACCCTGTCTCTACTAAACCCCATCTCTATTAAAAATACAAAAAATTAGCCGGGCATGGTGGTGGGCACCTGTAATCCTAGCTACTCGGGAATCTGAGGCAGGAGAATCGTTTGAACCCGAGGTGGATGTTGCAGTGAGCCGAGACGCGCCACTGCACTCCAGCCTGAGTGACAGAGCAAGACTCTGACTCAGAAAAACAAGCAAACAAAAAAAGACAGCTATATACCTAGGGAAGACATAAATATAAGTGAAAAGCAGAAGTACAAAAATAGTTCGGCTGACCCAGCAGCAATTTTGATCCCATCCCAGCAAGACCTGTCTTGGAGTGTAGGTCTGGCTCAGATAGCAAACTCCAGCCCTTTCACACTGACAGGTATCATATCACAGGCTCCTAGGTCTTTAGGTCCCATGGAGAGTGCCACTCCCAGTTCCACTGTTAGTTACTTCTATGGTCTGTGTTCAAGTCAAATAAAGACATTTGTTCATTCCATGCACAGCACAGAGTAGGTGCTCAAAAAAGTACTTTTTATACAGATGAATGAACAACTACTACCAGTTAACCTAGAACCTGTCCTTTCAGCTCTAGTTTTTAATTGTAATTTTATTTTATTTTAGAGACAGGGTCTTGGCACAATCACAATTCACTGCAGCTTTGACCTCTCAGGCTCAATTGGATCCTCCCACCTCAGCCTCCATAGTAGCTGGGACTACAGGTACATGCCACCATGCCCAACTAATTTTTGAAATTTATTTTTAGAGATGGGGTCTTCCTATGTTGCCCAGGCTGGTCTCGAATTCCTGAGGTCAAGCAATCCACCTGCCTCAGCCTCCCAAGGTGCTGGGATTATAGGCGTGAGCCATCACTCACCTCTAGTTTCTGGCCTGAGGGTATATTACTCTCCCTGATTACTGACACCAAAAATGATTTCACTCTTGGGTGGGACCTCTGCTGCCCCTTACCCACTAGGGTGTGGGTTTTTTTGGTTTGTTTTTGTCTTTTTTAAGACAGGGCCTCACACTGTCATCCAGGCTGGAATGCAATGGTGTGATCCTGGCTCACTGCAGCCTCGACCACCTGGGCTCAAGGGATCCTCCCACCTTAGCCTCCTGAGTAGCTGGGACCAGAAGTGCACACCACCACACCAAGCTAATTTTTTAACTTTTTATAGAAACAGGTTGCCTAGACTGGTATCGAACTCCTGAGCTCAAGCAATCCTCTTGCCTTGGTTTCCCAAAGTGCTGGAATTACAGGCGTGAGCCACTGAGTCTGACCTTAGGGTGTGGTTTTACCATTGGATTCATGTGATTTACCAATGCTTCAACAGTAACCACAACATTCAATGTACAGCCCAGTGCAGATGGAAGGTCCTTGTACCTCATATGATCTCTTCCAATTTTTCGCAAGATAATAGTCAGTCTTTCATGAGTGCTTATTACATGCACTAGCCTGACAACTCTACATTACAGATAAGAAAATTAAGACTTAGAGGCCAGACGCGATGGCTCACACCTGTAATCCCAACACTTTGGGAGGCCGAAGCGGGCGGATCACAAGGTTAGGAGATCGAGACCATCCTGGCTAACACGGTGAAACCCCGTCTCTACTAAAAATACAAAAATTTAGCCAGGCGTGGCGGTGTGCGACTGTAGTCCCCGCTACTCGGGTGGCTGAGGCAGGAGGATGGCGTGAACCCGGGAGGCGGAGCTTGCAGTGAGCCAAGATCGTGCCACTGCACTCCAGCCTGGGTGACAGAGCGAGACTCCATCTCAAAAAAAAAAAAAAAGAAAAGAAAACTAAGACTTAGAGAAGTTAAATATGTGGCAGAGTGAAGCCTAAGCTCATATCTGTCCTAATCTAAATTCCAAGCAGTTCTGAGTCATCAGGTCACACAGACTGCTTCTCACATGCTTCAGGAATGCCTTTTCAGTCTTCCTTAAAGGTTGCAAACAGTTGCAAAGCAAATTTCATGGTTCCTGTTTCTTCAAAATCTCAAAGCTCTTCATTCAGCCAGGCATGGTCGCTGGAGCGTGTATATTCAACCACTTGAGAAGATGAGGATCTTTTGAGCCCAGGAGTTTGAGACGAACCTGGGCAACATAGGGAAAGCCCTGTCACCTAAAAAAATAAATAATACAACCAGCTCTTCATTTAGAGGCAAGCACAAAATAGGTGCTCAATGTTTGTTGAATGAGTGAGTTGTTACCAACCATACCCCATTATTCAAGGTCCTGCTTGTCAGTGTTTCAGGAAGTGTTCTTGGCAAAGGAGTGGTGAACTTCAGGAAGAATGATGCTGACTCCGAACACAATTATTTATTTATTTATTTATTTATTTATTTATTTATTTATTTACTTATTGAGACAGAGTCTCGCTCTGTAGCCCAGGCTGGAGTGCAATGACGTGATCTCCGCTCACTGCAACCTCTGCCTCCCAGGTTCAAGCAATTCTCCTCCTTCAGCCTCCCAAGTAGCTGGGATTACAGGCGCCCGCCACTACGATCGGAGAATGTTTTGTATTTTTAGTAGAGACAGGGTTTCGCCATGTTGGACAGGCTGGTCTCAAACACCTGACCTCATGTGATCCACCCACCTCGGCCTCCCAAACTGCTGAGATTACAGGCTTGAGCCAGTGTGCCCAGCCTGAACACAATTATTAAAGTCAAAGTGAGACCTAACAGTGGAACTTTGGTTGCGGCTACAGGAAATATGGATTCAAATACTGAACACCAGCTGGGCACAGTGGCTCACGCCTACAATCCTAGCACTTTGGGAGGCTAAGGTAGGAGGACAGCAGAGCCCAAGAGTTCGAGACAAACCTGGCCAACATGGTAAAACGAAAAAATTAACCAGGCATGGTGATGCACACCTGTAGTCTCAGCTGAGGTGGGAGGATCGCCTGAATTGAGGTAGTGGAGGCTGCAGTGAGCTGTGTTCCTGCCACAGCACTCCAGCCTGAGCAACAGAGCAAGACCTTGTCTCTAAATAAATAAACACAACAAAAATAAAACAAATACTGAGCCAGGTGTGGTGGCTCCTGCCTGTAATCTCAGCACTTTAGGAGGCTGAGATGGGCAGATCACTTGAAGTCAGGAGTTCGAGACCAGCCTGGACAACATGATGAAATCTCTACTAAAAATACAAAAATTAGCTGGGACTGATGGCGCTAATCCCTGCTACTCAGGAGGCTGAGGCAGAATTGCTTGAACCTGGAAGGCGGAGGCTGCAGTGAGCCAAGATCACCCCCACTGCTCTGGGTTGCAGTGAGCCAAGATCACACCACCTGGGTGACAGAGCAAGACTGCATCTCAAAAAAAAAAAAAAGAAAGAGAAAAGAAAAGAAAGAGAGAGAGAGAGAAGGAAGGAAAGAAAGAAAGAAAAAGAAAAAGAAAGAAAGAAAGAAAGAAAGAGGAAGAAAGAAAAATAAAAGCATAGAGAGTGCTGGAGCAGTGTGAGTGAGATGGATAGTGGTAAAAGGTGACCTTGGAAAAGGAAATTGGGAGGCCAGATTGTGTAGGGTCTTGGTGGCCATGGTAAGGAGTCTGAATTTTGTTCTAAGATGGAAATTCACTGTAGAGTTTGGTGCTGGGAAGTGACAAGATCACATGTGTATTTTTAAGAGATCACTTTGGGTGCTGTGTAGAAATCAGACTGTAGGAGTCAAGTGTGGAGGGAGACCAGCATCCAATTACAGCCTGCCATGAACTTGCCAGGTTCCTCTTCCCTTCCTTCAGCACACACTACTCTTTCCCACCGCTTAGCCTAGTTAACACTTATTCTTTCAAAATTAGCCCGGATGTCACTTTCTCTAAGAACAACCGCGCCCCCTGCCGCCTCCCCACCTCACACACCTCCTCTAACGCAAACTCATAGCCCTCACAACTTCTTTGTCACTTTTTCTCCCCCTTTTTTTGAGACAGGATCTCGCTCTATTCCCCAGGCTGGTCTCGAACTCCTAGGCTCAAAAGATCCTCCCGCCTCAGCCACCCGAATAGCTCCTTTGTCGCTCTTATCACTGTTGTGATTAATTGTACAAATGGCTTAATGGCAGTTATAGCGCCCAGCTCATCAAAGGCAGTGGCCTGCCAATCGTCAGCGGGCAGGGCAGGGACCAGTCCAGTCCATCCTGGCTCCCATGTGCAGCCCCAGTGCGCATCGCGACACCGGCGCTCGTTGCCGCGCTCCGTGAACGTTTGTCACATGTCCGAAGAATGAATGAATTATATACCTTTCTTCCCACTCCAGCCCTCAAAAAGCAAGTGGATACAAAGACTTGAAGATTTTATAATCGCTTCATTAGTAAAATTTGACCATCCTTACCATTAAAAATAATGATAATGATGAAAAAGGCTAAGTGCGAACGCCGGGAGGGGAGAGCTAAAATTCAAAGGGCGAAATATTTATAATGCCTACCGTCGGCGAAGAGAAACAGCAGCCCCAACCGAAGGCAAAAGGAAATCCCACCGCAGCCTCCAAAGGCGCGTGGGCGGGACTGGAGAATGGGGCCCTGCGCACTAGGCGCGGAAGTCAAGAAGCAGCCCCACCACCCGTGCCGCGAGAAAAGCAGCCCTGGGGAGGCGGGGCGGGGCCTCACTTGGAAAAGAGACGGTCACTCATCCAGAGGCGGGACTCAGAGCCCCTCCACAAGTCTCATTGGTCCATTTGAAGACGGACAACTCTCCCTGACCATCCGTAGCACAGACGGGGCGCAAGCGTATTGGAAAGGGAGCGGGTGCCAGACGCGAGAACTACGCATGCGTCTCAGCGCTTTCCCGCCAGCACACCCTTAGTGGGTGGGGGGGGGCGATTGAATTCCCACAGTGAGTCCAGCCCACCGAAGCTGAGAGGATTCCTAACCTTCCTCTTCAGAGAGCCTCAGGTTAGGGAACGTCCAGTGCCCAAAAGCTGCCCTGTGGGAATCCCATTGTCCACCGCCTCTTACCTAATGTTTCGTTCTGGCCTTGCCCCATCTCTTCCTGAGGCTGGGTTGTTACGATGGTGAATTATTCAAGATGTCTTGCAGCCTGACGCCATCTCTGGGCAGTGCTCCTGCATCCTCCCTGTCTTCCTTGGGAGGGCACCACGTTGCTCTTACAAGCACAGGGTCCTGAAACTGTTTACAAGGCCCCACTCTGCCACGTTAGTATCTTAACGAGTGTTTGTTGAGGAAGCACTGTGTGTTAGACCCAGTGCAATGAGCAAGTCCCTGATCTTGTGACCTTACATTCTACAGGACGACACAAACGTATAAACAAAAAATAATTTTAGATAGTGATACATGCTTAAAACATGGCTATGTGGCCGGGAGCAGTGGCTCACGCCTGTAAATCCAACATTGTGGGAGGCTGAGGCAGGTGGATCACTTGAGGTCAAGGAGTTCGAGACCAGCCTGGCTAACATGGCAAAACCCCGTCTCTACTGAAAATACAAAACTTAGTCAGGCGTGATGGCAGACACCTGTAATCCCAGCTACTCGGGAAGCTGAGGCAGGAGAATCGCTTGAACGCAGGAGATGGAAGTTTGCAGTGAGCCCAGATCACACCACTGCACTCCAGCCTGGGTGAGAGAGCCAGACTGTATCTCAAAAAAAAATAAAATAAAATAAAATAAAGCTATGTGATAGAATGACTGCGATGGGGATTAGGTCCTCACTGAAATGGTGAGAGTGGAGTTAAAACCTGAAATTAGGTGACAGCACCAGATATATCTGCCCGAGGGTTTCGTGCTTGGAAAATAGCAGGTGCAAACGTCCTTGTGCTGTGAGGAAATTTGGCTGGAACAGAAGGTGGGCCAGATTGTAGCTGACCATAGTCTCTGAGAGCTTGGAGATGATTCTAAATACAATGGGAAGCCATTAAATTGAGGCAGAGCCTTGATGTGACGTGCTTTATCATCATTTTGCTGAGTGGAGAATGGATTGCTGGGAAAAGTGAAAGATTGATTCAGAGGTTGTGGAGAGAGGGTGGCTGGAACTAGGTAGCTGGGGAGGTGGTGGGACGTGGATGAATTCAAGATAGGATTGGTTGTGTTGGATATGGGAAAAGAAGTCACCATGGTTCCTGGGCTTTTGGAATGTGCAAATGGGTAATGGAGGTGCCATTGAGATGGGAACAGTGGAAAAATAACCGGTGCTGGGGTGGGAATGAAGAGCTCAGTTGTGTGGCCGGGCGCAGTGACTCACGCCTGTAATTCCAGCACTTTGGGAGGCCGAGGCAGGGGGATCACCTGAGGTCAGGATTTGCAGACCAGCCTGGTCAATATGGCAACACCCTGTCTCTACTAAAAATACAAAAACATTAGCCGGGTAGCGGGGCCTATAATCCCATCTACTCGGGAGGCTGAGGCAGGAGAATCGCTTGAACCCTGGAGGCAGAGGTTGCAGTGAGCCAAGATCTCGCCATTGCACTCCAGCCTGGGCAACAAGAGCAAAACTCTGCCTAAAAAAAAAAAAGAGTTCAGTTAGTTCAGTTGTGGCCATGTTGAATTTGAAATACTCATTAGACATCCAACCAGATATGCTGAGTTGGATGGCGCTCAAGAGAGGTCAAGGCTGGACTTATGCATTAACACATAGAAAGATGGTACTTAAAGCCATGGACGTTAGTAGTAGGGCCACCTACAGAAAGAGTGGAAGTAGAAAAGAGGGCTTACGGTGGGCAATGTGGTTCACGCCTCTAATCCCAGCACTTTGGAAGGTCAAGGCAGGCACATCATTTGAGGTCAGGAGTTTGAGACCATCCTGGACAACATGGTGAAACCCCGTCTCTACTAAAAATACAAAAACTAGCCGGGTGTGGTGGCATGCACCTGTAGTCCCAGCTACTCAGGAGGCTGAGGCAGGAGAATCGCTTGAACCCAAGAGGCGGAGGTTGCAATGAGCCAAGATTGCACTGTTACACTCCAACCTGGGTGACAGAGCAAGACTCCATTTAAAAAAAAAAAAAATTGATGGCCGGGTGCAGTGGCTCATGCCTGTAATCCCAGCACTTTGGGAGGCCGACGCAGGCAGATCACGAGGTCAGCAGATCGAGACCATCCTGGCTAACAAGGTGAAAACCTGTCTCAACTAAAAATACAGAAAATTAGCCAGGCATGGTGACAGGCACCTGTAGTCCCAGCCACTCAGGAGGCTGAGGCAGGAGAATCGCTTGAACCTGGGAGGCGGGGGTTGCAATGAGCCGAGATCGCACCATGCACTCCAGCCTGGCAAAAGAGCAAGACTCCATCTCAAAAAAATAAATAAAATAAAATAAAAATGACGGCTGGGAGCAGTGGCTCACGCCTGTAATCCCAGCATTTTGGGAGGCTGAGGTGGGCAGATCACGAGGTCAGGAGATCGAGACCATCCTGGCTAACATGGTGATACCCTGTCTCTGTTAAAAATACAGAAAATTAGCCAGGCATGGTGGCAGGCACCTGTAGTCCCAGCTACTCGGGAGGCTGAGGCAGGAGAATAGCATGAACCTGGGAGGCAGAGCTTGCAGTGAGCCGAGATCGTGCAACTGCACTCCAGCCCGGGCAACAGAGCAAGACTCCGTCTCAAAAAAATATATAAAAAATAAAAGAAAAGAAAAAAAACAAAAACAAAGAAGGCTTACGTGAGACCCTTGGGGCCCTCTACTGTTAACCAGTTCAGGAGAGGTGTAAAAGTTTGTAAAGGATAACCAGAGCACAAAGTAGAAGAGCAATGTCCTCAAAGGGAAAAATTCAAGAAGATGCTGATTATGGAGATTAATTGCTGCTTCAAGGTCAAGTGAAATGCAGGCAGAGAAATGGTCACTGGGTCTGACACCACTTTTGGTCACTCAAATTTTGGTCAGAGCAGTGGCTGAAGAAACACAGGGGAAGGAGTCTGATGGGGGTGGGTGATAAGAGAATGGATGTTTAAGTGTGGAGGGAAGAAAAAGAAAACCTATTGCTATGAAAAGGAGCAGAGATAGAATTCGTGGTTGGAAAGTGTGTCTTGAAAGTTTCTTTTTTCTTAAAAGTTTCTTGTGCACCATATAGCACAAGATCAGCAACCCCTGGCAGAGCCCTTCAGGTACCCAGTATCCCTTGGGGGTGAGGAAGGGTGTGTACAAGAGGAGAAGCAGGAGATAGGCAGGAATGTGTTGCAACTACGTATGGATAGGCAGCTAAGGTCCTGGTTGGTATACTTTTCTCTCAGTATCAGGAACCCTGCCTGCCCTTTGGACCAGTCATGGAGAGGTCACCTCAGTACCACACAAGATCATCACCCACCTTCAAAAAGAGGTGGGTGATTTGGATAGAGGGGGCTGCCAGTGAGAGAAGTTCAGTCAATTCCGTACAATACACATTTATTGAGCACTAGATATATGCCATGCTAGATGCAGGTGACCCAGAGCATCAAGGAGCAATAGTCTGGTGGCAGAGACACACACAATGTCACTGTGATGTATTAAAGCAGTCGGCAAGAGATGCAGCTCAGGGCACTGTGGGGATATCCAGAGGCACGGTACCTTCTGCCTGTCAGTCAGGGAGGGAGAGGAGCACAGGCTGAAGGAGACTGGAAGACAGCAGTTGGCCTCTGATAGTGGGACTGGAGAGAGATTTCTAAGGGCCACTTCTTGTTTTCAGGGACTAGGTTGGGCTAGATATGGGGCTCAGGATGGACAAGGCTTAGAGCCAGGTTGGAGAAGATGAAAGAGCATTACTAGAGGAGTGGGGAGGCCTAGGCTATGCTCTTTACTCTGCCATTGACTGCGTGATCTTGGGCAGGCCATGTAACCTCTCAGGGCTGTGCACTCCCTTATTTGTAAAACTAGAGGGCTGGGCCAGCATGTTTTCCAAGGGTTCTTCTAGCATTGACGGTCAGGTTCCAAGAGGGAACACAGTGTCAGAAGTGGGACACTCTTCCTAATTTCTAATTTCCCAAAGGTTAAGGACCTGGGGAATTAATTGAGAGGCCTGGAAAGAGGATCCAGATAAAAGCCTAAGTTCCTGGCAAGGCCAGGGCCACTGCCCTGATTGCTTAGGTGTGAACAGAGCTTTTTGTTTCCGAAGTATTCTAAATTATTTCCTAACACAGGGGCATTCAGAGAAAGAGATTCTTACCCCCATTCCACAGGGGAGAAACTGAGGCTTAGGGAGATTTAAGGATCATGCTGAAGAGGTTATCTGGGGACAAAGCTTACTCAGGATGTGGTGGGGGATGCTGAGGAACAGGGACTGGAGCCTGGGAAGGTAGGGCAGGCTGAGACCTGGGGGTATGGATGGAATGTGTATGTGGTAATGGTGTCTGGGCGATGGAATGAAGTGAAAGAAATAGCCAAGAGCTGGGCACTGAGGGAACAAGCTGGGGGGCCCTGGGCGTGGGTTCCCTGGATCCAGGGAGTGTGAGGATGGCTTTCCCTGGTTCCTGAGGCATGGACCGAGTCCTAGCCTGCATCTGAGCTCCGTTGTGCTAGCTTTGTGGTGTCTGGGTCGGGAAAGTTACTGTTAGAAAGTTGCTGTCAGCAGGCATTGTTCCAGCTTTCCATGGAAATTCTGGGAGCTGCTCCTAGTTTGCGGCCCAACCTTTCTTCCTTCTTCTCAATGGGCCCAGGACCTTGACGGCCAGCGGGCTCCAAGGCCCAGGCTTTTTGCCAACAGCAACAGGCTACTGGCTGGGCCCAGGCAAGGGGGCCTTGGCAGGAAAAGTTCCTTGCTGTACCTCCACTGCACTCAGAGGCCAGTGAGGGGGGTACCAGACAGGACTCCTTCCTCCCTGGTGAAGTGCCCTTGCAGCTCCCCAGCGTCCACGCCATGGATATTTCCTCCACAGAAGTACAATGCTGATTATGATCTGTCAGCTCAGCAAGGGGCAGACACCCTGGCCTTCATGTCTCTCCTGGAGGAGAAGTTGATCCCGGTGCTGGTGAGTGTGCCCAGACCTCCCAGCATCCATGGCCAGCCGGGGAGGGGACGGGAACACACAGACCCACACAGAGACTCAGGAGAGCATGGAGGTCAGAAGCCCACCTTGAATCAGACAGGTGCACTGGCTCAGACCTGCCTGTTTCTTCCTGCCCACCCAATCCAGGTACATACTTTTTGGATAGACACCAAGAACTACGTAGAAGTGACCCGGAAGTGGTATGCAGAGGCTATGCCCTTTCCCCTCAACTTCTTCCTGCCTGGCCGCATGCAGCGGCAGTACATGGAACGGCTACAGCTGCTGACTGGGGAGCACAGGCCTGAGGACGAGGAAGAGCTGGAGAAGGAGGTAGCTCTGAGACCGGGGGCTATTGTATGAGATGAGCCCCAAGGATGCTGGCCAGGAATGGGAGTGCTTAGGTGCGGAGGTGGCACTGTTCCCGCAGCTGCAAGCCTACCTGTGTCGCCCCTACAGCTGTACCGAGAGGCTCGGGAGTGTCTGACCCTGCTCTCTCAGCGCCTGGGCTCTCAAAAGTTCTTCTTTGGAGATGCGTGAGTCTGACTCCAAGAGGGTAATGGGTGGCTTGGAAGAAGATACAGGTTCAGATGGAGCAGCTGGAGCTGGGGCTGGGGCTGGGGCTGGCTCAGGCTCTGGATAGGAGGTCCCTGAGACAGATACTGGCCCTGGTGACAGTGGGGCTGTGCGTGGGGCCAGAGCCTTCTCAGAGGTACAAAAGGGTAGGGTGGGAGGGCAGCCAGGCACAGGAAGGGCCTGAAGAGCTGTGGGGCACTGAGTGTGCCCTTTATGCAGCCCTGGGATAGAGCCCTATTCAGGGCCAGGCTGGCGCCACCTGGGGATCTCTCCCCATACCAGGTCTAGAACTGTGTGTCCTGTCCTTCCCTGGTGGCCGCCTGCTGCCCAGAGCCCACCTCCCAAGGCTGACTCTTCCTCCAGCTCCATCTTTACCCCTTCTACCCCAGTGGTTCTCCTCCATCCCACCCTTCTCTCTCTGCTCCAGCCCTGCCTCCTTGGACGCCTTCGTCTTCAGCTACTTGGCCCTGCTGCTGCAGGCAAAGCTGCCCAGTGGGAAGCTGCAGGTCCACCTGCGTGGGCTGCACAACCTCTGTGCCTATTGTACCCACATTCTCAGTCTCTACTTCCCCTGGGATGGAGGTAAGGGGCAGATGGGAGGGGCAGCCCTGGGGAGAGTGGGCAGGGATCCAAGAACTAGTTCTCCTAACACACCTTCCTTCCTTGACCCTCAGCTGAGGTACCACCGCAACGCCAGACACCAGCAGGCCCAGAGACTGAGGAGGAGCCATACCGGCGCCGGAACCAGATCCTATCTGTGCTGGCAGGACTGGCAGCCATGGTGGGCTACGCCTTGCTCAGCGGCATTGTCTCCATCCAGCGGGCAACGCCTGCTCGGGCCCCAGGCACCCGGACCCTGGGCATGGCTGAGGAGGATGAAGAGGAATGATTTGTCCTCACGCTCCCAAGACTGGTTTTTCTACTCTCATGCATTCCAGAGGCCCCCGTGCCTCCTCGTTGTTGGTACAGCCGGACACGGGGTGCTGCCACCCAGAATAAAGCCACTCACACTGACTGGGCTCAAACATTTTCTCCTTTAAGAGCTGCCATTTTTCCTGGCTGGTGCCATAGGAATCATCTGGGTGCCTGGGCACACCCGCTGCTGCTTTAAGGCTTCCGCCCTGATGCTGACACTGCTGCTCCACGGGCCCAGTTCTGCATCTCCAGGAAAGACAAACAGTCTCCAGTTTTGGGCCCAGCTTTCCTAGTCTCTTCTTTTCCTTACCCTCAGCCCTGATCTTGTGTTTGTACGGACAGTGAGCTCACCCTAGGCCTGGACCCAGGCCCAGTTTCCAAAGCAAGCAGCACACAGCGCATGTTCACATAAGCATGGGGGCTGGGGGGACACTGGGGCTTACTGATCTTTTTCTAGGGGCCTCCAGCCCCTGGCACCACCTAGAGGGGAAAGTGAGTCACCCAAACCATTGCCCCTGGGCTTACGTCGCTGTAAGCTCACACTGGCCCTGCTGTGCCCTCTTTAGTCACAGACAGCGTGTGAGCTGACTCTGTCCCTTTAATGCCCAGGCTGAGCCCAGTGCCTCCTTGAGTATCTGCTCCATCACTGGCGACGCCACAGGTAGGTGTGAATGGAGTAGCCAGGTGAGATTGTCTCCAGGAAGCCCACAGCAGGATCCTTGATGGTAAGAGGCACATCCTTAGAGGAGCTAGGGAGCAGGGAGGAGAAGCTGAGAGTGTGATCCTGCCAAGGCCCCCAACGCTGTCTTCAGCCCACTTCCCAGACCTCACCATTGCCCTCACCGGTTTAGCACGACCACAACAGCAGAGCCATCGGGATGCATCAGTGCCACTGCGTCCAGGTCGTTCTTCTGACTGGCAACCAGCCCCACTCTCTGGGAGCCCTCAGGAATGAACTTGCTGAATGTGGGAACAGATGGTCAGAGTCCCTCGGGGTACCTCCCATGAAACCCTCATCTAAGAAGTCACCCACCCACGGACCCACCCCATAACTCCTGCAGAGGCTCTGCCCTGGCTCTCTAGGCCTGGAGCCATGCTGCTGGGCACTGACCCTGCTTTTCTGCATCGCAGTCCAGCCTCAGGCATTGGGGTTTTCTGTTGCTACCTAGTCACTTCCTGCCTCCATGGTGCAAAAGGGGATGGGTGTGCCTCTTCCGAGGTTCCACCCTGAACACCTTCCTGCTCCCTCGTGGTGTAGAGTGATGTAAGCCATCCGATGTAGGAGATGATAGGCCTGGTATGGAATGGGGGTGCCCGCCCTCCACTCACCTGAAGTGGCCAAGGTGGTAGAACATGGGCTGTTTGTAAAACGTGTCCTTGGTGATGTCTACAATGATGGGACTGTCGACAAAGTTACGCACCCAATTGGGTCCTCCTTCGGGGTTCAGGGCAAGGTTCCAGTCGGTCCAGCCGACCACATGGTACAGGAGGTTCTAGGGTAAGGACAAAGGCAAAGAGACAAAGGCGCAACACTGGGGGTCCCCAGAGAGTGTAGGTAAGGGTCACATGTGGGAGAGGCAGCTGTGGGTAGGTCAGCCCTGTGAGGGGCACATTCCTTAGTAGCTAAGGAGTTGGGGGTGTGAAGATCCAGGCATCTCAAGGGGAGCTGAGAAGTCTGAGGCAGCTGCAAGTGCCTCAGTAGTTGCAAAAGGGGCAATGAGGTGTGCAGACCTGTGAAGGAAAGGGAAGATAGGGAATCATGGTTCCCCAGAGTTGCTCAAAAGGGCAGGCTAGCTGGGGAAAGCTGGACAGGAAGGGCTTCTGTCAGTCTTTGGTGAAACTAGTAAGAGGTCTGAGGTCTGCTTTGCAGGAAGGGAGACTGGGGTGGCTTACCGTGATGATGCTGTGGCTGTACTGCATCCCTCGATCCCAGGAGCCTAGCCGCACACTCTGCTCCCAGAACTTGGAGCCCACACAGGCCTCTGAGGCAAAGAGCATGGTGTTGGGGAACAGGCGGTGTGTCTCCCCTAGGGTGGCTTTGGCTGGAGCCAGAAAGTCCAGGTACCAATGTACAGCAATGCCATGAACATATTTAGCTGCTTCTGGGTCTGTCAGTACCTGCAAAGGAAGAGCAACTGATCCTGGACCTTGCACACAGGCTTCTGGAACTTCTAGTTCCTGTTGTAGGAATCCTGGAGTTGGGTGACGGGAAGAATGCAACTAGAGAGGTTTGGGGAGATTTTTTTTTGTTTTTGAGACAGGATGTCACTCTGTCACTCGGGCTGGAGTACAGTGGCGCAATCACGACTCACTGCAGCCTTGACTTCCTAGGGTCAACTGATCCTCCCACATTAGCCTCCTGAGTAGCTGGGACTACACGGGTGCCACACCCAGCTAATTTGTGTGTGTATGTGTGTGTATGTATGTGTGTGTGTGTATATATATATACATATAAACACATATATATGTATATACACATACATACATGAACCACCACCCCCAGCCTAGATAGTTTTGTTTTGTTTTGTTTCGAGATGGAGTCTCGCTCAGCCTCCCAGGCTGGAGTGCAGTGGCGCGATCTCGGCTCACCGCAACCACCATCTCCCGGGTTCAACTGATTCTCCCTTCTCAGCCTCCTGAGTAGCTGGGATTACAGACACCCACCATCATGCCCAGATAATTTTTTTTTTTTGTATTTTAGTAGACACAGGGTTTCAACACGTTGGCCAGGGTGGTCTTAAACTCCTGACCTCAGGTGATCACCCGCCTCGGCTTCCCAAAGTGCTGGGTTTGCATGAGTGAGCCACCTCGCCCAGCCCCTAGAAAGGTTTCAAGCGACAACTGTGGGATCCATGGCACCCTGGAGGTCCAGGGGAATGGTGCTCTAGGAATCCATAGTTGGGTAGAGAAATCGCTCTAAGTTTGGGAGCCAGTCATTTGGATGCTGGATTTGAAGGTCACTGGAGCACCATGGAGGTCCAGGCCTTACCACCTTTGCCCAGTGGGGCAGCAGCAAGCGTTGGTCATCCAGCATGAGTAGGCGGACATTGTGGTGAGTACTGTTGGCGAGGGTAGGACCTAGGTCACGGGCAATGAAGTCTCGCTGATGTTCAGGGGTGAAGCCCAGGCACTGGAAGGGGTATCCACTCAACAGCCCAGCAGAAGGCTCATTTTCAGCTGTCACTGCCCAGAACTGTAACTTGTGCTCAGCATAGGCATCCAGGAACCTGGCAAGAGAAAGGTCATGAATGATCCGGCCAAGAAAGTGGACCAGACCAGCTGGGTGTGGTGGCTCACACCTGTAATCCCAGCACTTTGGGAAGCCGAGGCAGGTGGATCACTTGAGTTCAGGAGTTCGAGAACAGCCTGGCGAAACCCCGTCTCTACTAAAAATAGAAAAATCAGCTGGGCCTGGTGGCAGGCGCCTATAATCCCAGCTACTTGGAAGGCTGAGGCAGGAGAATTGCTTGAACTCAGGAGGCAGAGGTTACAGTGAGTGAAGATGGCGCCACAGCACTCCAGCCTGGGTGACAGAGAGAGAGACTCCTTCTCAAAAAAAAAAAAAAGAAGAAAAATAAAAAGAAAGTGGGCCAGACCGAGAGAACAGGAAGCCTGATGGAGTGGGCAAGATTGACAGGCCCAAGGCTGAAAGGCCCAGAAGGTAGAAAGGTGAGCTGAGGACAGGCAGATCTGGAAGTGGAACTAGGTTGAGGGTTGGGACACAGATCAGCATGGCTAAATGGGAGGCCAGTCCTGATCCCACATCCTTGCTGATCCCTTACTTCACAAAGTATCTGGCCCAGGTCTGGTGGTAGATGTCTCCGGGCTGTCCCTTGAGTGACCCCTTCCCATTCACCGCTCCATTGGTCTTGAGCCAAGTGGGTGATGTCCAGGGGCTGGCAAGGAGTGAAACGGGACGCTGGGCCAACTGCAGGGCTCGGTGAATCAGGGGTATCTAGAGACAAAGGTAGTGAAGAGAGAAGCACCCAGAGTTGGAACACATACTAGCCCAACCAGTGCATCCGGTTCAGCCATTAGCCTCCACCCTCCCACCCCCAGGACAAAACAGCAGGGGACAAAATGTCTGTACAAGCAGACCTACCCTACAGTTTCTCAACCCCCAGACATCAGGGCCCTCAGGGCCTGAAAAAGCTAGAATGCCTACCTTGAGCTTGGTATCTTCCTCTGGGAGGCTGAAGTTGTGCAACTGGAAATCATCAGGGGTGTCTGCATAGGTGTAGGTGCGGATGGAGAAGTCACAGCTGGCCATGGGTACCCGGATGATGTTATATCCGATTCCTACAGAAAAGGATGATCAAGATATGGTAGTCCGAGTCAATAGGAGAGTATGGGACTCTGCTTATCACTTGCCAGTCCTAATAGTGTCTGAGTCAGGGCCAAAGGGAACTTGGGCTCCTGGGTTGGAACCTGTGGAGGCTGGCACCTGGGTGAAGCGCAGGCCTTTCTGAGCCTGAGTCCGTAGCAGTTAGCAGATGATAGGCGGTGAAATCTTATTTCACAGGGCATTAAAACAGGAACCAAATGTCAGGGATGGGCAGAAGTCAGGGTCCAAAGAAAGGGCAAAGAAAAGTGTCAGTGGCTCACGCATGTAATCCCAGCACTTTGGGAGGCCGATGTGGGCAGATCACGAGGTCAGGAGTTCGCAATCATCCTGGCCAACATAGTGAAACCCTGTCTCTACTAAAAATACAAAAAATTAGCCGGGCGTGGTGGCAGGCACCTGTAATCCCAGGTACTCGAGAGGCTGAGACAGGAGAATCACCTGAACCCGGGAGGTGGAGGTTGCAGTGAGCTGAGATTGTGCCACTGCACTCCAGCCTGGGTGACAGTGCGAGACTCTGTCTCAAAAAAAAAAAAAGAAAAAAGAAAAGTGTCTGCTGGGCTCGGTGGCTCACACTTGTAATTCCAGCACTTCGGGAGGCCAAGGCAGGTATATCATTTGAGGTCAGGAGTTTAAGACTAGCCTGGTCAACATGATGAAACCCTGTCTCTACTAAAAATACAAAAATTAGCCAGGTGGTAGTGGCGCACGCCTATAATTCCAGCTACTCAGGAGGCTGAGGCAGGAGAATCACTATAGCCTGGGAGGCAGAGGTTGCTGTGAGGGGAGATCACACCACTGCACTCCTGTCTCGCCGACAGAATGGGCAGAGTGAGATTCTGCCTCAAAAAAATTTTAAAAAAAGAAAAGAAAAACGAAAAGTTTCAATGGCTCTATGTCATCTTGTCCCCTTCCTCCTCACCTTCTTCAGAGAAGTACGATTTAAGTAGCAAATTTTGGGCAGGGGGTGACAGGGCAAGGATGTTGAGAGCAGCAGCATCTGTCATGGCCCCTCCAAATCCCTTCACTTTCTGGAACTTCTGTTCTGGCTGCAGGGTCAGTAGCAGGCCTGAGGACATCCACAGGGAATAAGGGTATCAGTACCCAGCGGGAAACTCCATGGTGATCACTGACACCATTTACCTCTAGGAGGACCCAGCCTGGCCCAGGGGGTGAGGGGTGTAATGGTTACCTGTGCCCGTGTGATTAGCCTGGATGGGCCCCATACTCAGCTCCATCCGTCGCCCACTGCGTGTACTCTCATAGCGGCTGAAGGTACCAAGGGCAGGAAAGGTCGGGGGGTCAAAGGAGTCACAGTATGTGGCATTGCAGACACACACCACCGAGCTGTAGCCGAAGCTTTTAGGGATGCAGGGGCGGGCACCTGGGAGGGAGGGAGTACAAGCAGAGTGAGGTCTGATGAAGACATGGAGAATGGACACATCTGCTAGGAGAGACTGAACACGGTTTCAAAATTCCTCACCCCTTGGCCGGGCGCAGGGGCTCACACCTGTAATCCTAGCACTTTAGGAGGCCGAGGTGGGCGGATCACCTGAGGTGAGGAGTTTGAGACCTGCCTTGCCAGCATGGTGAAACCCCGTCTCTACTAAAAATACAAAAATTAGCTGGGCGTAGTGGTGGCCGCCTGTAATCCCAGCTACCTGGGAAGCTGAAGCAAGAGAATCGCTTGAATCTGGGAGGCAGAGGTTGGAATGAGCCAAAATTGCACCACTGCACTCCAGCCCAGGCAACAGAGTAAGACTCTGTTTCAAAAGAAAAAAAACAAAATCCTCACCCCAAAGTTGGTCTCAGTCACTCAAAAGGATTTATTGAGCACCTACTAAAAGTCTACCACCAGCTTACTGGAAGGCTACCAAAGGACTATGAGGCAGAAGGGAGGCTCTGTGCTACCTCCCCACTGCCTTGACTCACTCACCTGATGCCCACGACACTGCCTGAAGTAGAAGCAATCCTGTGAGGCTGCCAGCCATGATGCTTACCCTACTCAAAGGCTTGGGACATTCCTGAGGACAGAATGAGGAATGACTGAAAAGCAAGCCCCTCTCCACCCCTCAACTACTCTCCTGGGCAGGGCTTAGCTGCCTTTGGGTGCCCATGGCCCGGTCTCCCACATTCATTAGGACAAGGCCCACAGAAACCTGGGTGCAGCTCTCCCTGCAACCCTTCTGATGACAACTCTCTGCCCACCCCAAATCAGGATGCTCCCCACCACTCTTCCCACCCATTTCAACTTCGACCCCTCCCTCCATCTGTGCCTTGCTCAAAGAGCCATGATGGCCCTGGATTCAAAGAGAGTCTGTCATTCATTAAATTCCAGTGCCAGGATTCCAGAAGCACTGTGACAATGCTGATTGGGAGCTCTCTCTCTTACCTCTCTGGAAGGACTTGAAAACTCCATCCCCTCAGGGTCATTAGATGAAGAGAAGACCACAGGGGTTCCAGAGTCTCTGAAGGATAGAGGATCCACTAAACAAAAACAAGGATGCAGGTACCTGCCTTAGCTATAGGCACTAGGTTAGCCCTGCAAGTAATTCCGGCTTCCCGATGTGGATGGGTCATGTGATGACTAGGAGCGTCACATGACACAGGAAGTGAGGCAATCACAGCCATATTTCTAAAGGGCAATTGGCTTCCTCTCATCTGTTACAGATTATATGCCCTATAAAACTCTGGAGGGCATGTATGGGTGACAACTTTAGGAAGAGCCTAGAACACAGATTTGCATGGAGAATGGGGTAGAGGCTCCTAAATCCCAGAGGATGGGAACCACAGCAGGCACACTTCTTTTTTGATAGAAATGTCAAAAAGGTACAAATAAAGCTGATATAATTTAAAAAAAAAAACTTCACTGTGCAAAATACTGACACTACCAAGATGTTTAAGACAGTCTTTGCCCTATAGAGGTGTGTGAGGCATGGAAGTCAGACACACAGATATTTACAGATAAAGACAGAAACGGTAACAGGTGTGCATGGAGAGCTCTCTGAGATGAGGAGGGACCATTCGTGGGTGGGGAATTATCCAGGATGGCTTCACAGAGGAAAAAGTGAGGGGGGTTATTAGCCAGTGAAGTGCAGGGCACAAGAGGGTGGGACACTGGCAGTGGGATGACAGGACTGGAGGGAGGGAGTGGTCAGTGCGGCTCCTCTGCAGCGTCCCTTGTTTCATCATCAGATGCAGATGGTAATAACTGTTCTTCCTTCCTCACAAGACAGGGAGGTTTGTAAAGTCGTTCAAAAACCAAAGTGTTGTACAAAGCCATATCCTCAGTGGACACAAGGAGGAAGCTGTCCATGGTGTGGCCTCATGAACCACATCAAATGAGATTTAGCGGGAGTGGCACACACAGTCATGACCTGACTAATCCCAGCTCTCAGCCCATTTCCTTGCCTGGAAAATGGAGGCAATGCCACAACCTCAAAGGGTGGTTACTGCAGTCAGTGAGGTAAGTGCAGTGCCTGACCACTTGGTAGGCACCTGGGAACTACTTGTCTCTTGTTTGTATTTTTTGTTGTTGTTGTTTTTTGAGACAGAGTCTCACTCTGTTGCCCAGGCTGGAGTGCAGTGGCGTGATCTTGGCTCACTGCAACCTCCACCTCCTGGGTTCGAGTGATTCTCCTGCCTCAGCCTCCCAAGTAGCTGGGATTACAGGTGCCCTCCAACATGCTCAGCTAATTTTTTTATTTTTAGTAGAGATGGGGTTTCACTATGTTGGCCAGGCTGGTCTGAAACTCTGGACCTCAGGTGATCTGCTGCCTTGGTATCCGAAAGTGCTGGGATTACAGGCATGAGCCACTGCGCTGGACCCCAGCCATCCTTTTTGTTCTTTAAATGATCTCAGTGAAGTCTTTCTAGATACACTCCAAGCAAAATTGATCATTTCTTCTTCTAGGTTCCTCCAGTAATTTTTTTTTTTTTGGTTTTGAGACAGAGTCTTGCCCTGTTGCCCAGGCTGGAGTGCAGTGTGATCTCGGCTCAAGCAATTGCCCTGCCTCAGCCTCCTGAGTAGCTGGGATTACAGGAGCCCACCACCATGCCCAGCTAATTTTTGTATTTTTAGTAGAGATGGGGTTTCACCATGTTGGCCAGGCTGGTCTCGAACCCCTGACCTCAGGTGATCCACCAGCCTCAGCCTCCCAAGGTGTTGGGATTATAGCAATGAGCCACCACACCCGGTCCCTCCAGTAATTAAGTACAGTCTCAGTGAGACAGCAAGTTTGGAATCCTGGCTACACCATTTACTGGCTGTTTGACTTTCAATAAATCAATCACTCTAAGCCTCTGTTTCATCTATAAAAGGGGAGTGATAACTCCTACCTCACAGAATTGTTGTGAGGTTTGAGTGTGATAATGTGTCTCTAGTACACTGCTTGACACTAAACATTGCAACATGTCAGGCCTCTGTTCCTGGAGTTCCTTGAAGGAATGTCTTATGCATTCTAAGTATCCTCGTAGATAGCCTGGCACAGGGGTAGCTGTCAAGTTGTAGAATTGAACTAGTTGCTTCACTATGTCAGTAGCCACCCCTTCCAGACTTCTCACTTTTCAAGGAAACATTGCACAGGATTTGTTCTGGGTAGGGCAGGTAATATCTAGTACCTTACTTCCCTCAAGTTCATTCATCTCACAGATATTTCCTGAGCACATTCTACATTTGCCTCTCCTGCTCTATTGAGTTTAGAAGTCCAAACATCTCCTTCCACTTCCCCTCTGCATAGTGAGCCTCTTCTTTTTTGGCCAGGTACTGAGCAATTTTTTGTTTGTTTGTTTGAGACAGGGTCTCCGTATGTTGCCCTGGATGGAGTGTAGTAGCTTGATTTCGGCTCAGTGCAACCTCTGCCTCCAGAATAAGCAATCCTCCCACCTCAGCCTCCAGAATAGCTGGGACTATAGGCGCACACCACCACACCTGGCTAATTTCTGTATTTTTTGTAGAGACGGGGTCTTACTGTGTTGCGCAGGTTGGTCTCAAACTCCTAAACTCAAAGGATCCTCCCGCCTTGGCTTTGCAAAGTGCTGGGATTACAGGGTGAGGCACTGCGCCCAGTCCGCTTGTTTTTTGTTTTGTTTTTTTTTTTGAGACGGAGTATCTCTGTCACCCAGGCTGGAGTGCAGTGGCACGATCTCGGTTCACTGCAACCTCCGCCTCCTAGGTTCAAGCGGAGGGTAGGGACCAGTCCATCCTGGCACCCATCTGCAGCTCCAGTGCGAATCCCAACCCCGACGCTCGTCGCCGGGCTCCGTGAATGTTTGTCACATGTCTGAAGAACGTATGAATTACATAACCTTCTTCCCACTCCACCCCTCAAAAAGCAAGTGGATATAAAGACTTGAAGATTTTATAATCTCTTCTTCATTAGTAAAATCTGACCATCCTTACCGTTAAAAATAATAATGATGGTTGGCCGGGCGCGGTGGCTCACGCCTATAATCACAGCTGTTTGGCAGGCCGAGGCGGGCGGATCACGAGGTCAGGAATTGGAGACCAGCCTGACCAACATGGTGAAACCCCGTCTCTACTAAAAGATACAAAAAATTAGCCGTGCGTGGTGGCGGGTGCCTGTAATCCCACGTACTTGGGAGGCTGAGGTCGGAGAATCGCCTGAACCCGGGAGGCGGAGGTTGCAGTGAGCCAAGAAGGCGCCATTACACTCCAGCCTGGGCGACAGGGCGAGACTCCCTCAAAAAATAATAATAATAACAATAATAATAATAATGGTGAAAAAGGTTAAGTGCGAACGCAGGGAGGGGACAGCTAAGATCCAAAGGTCGAAATATTCATTACGCCTACCGTCGGCGAAGAGAAACAGCAGCCCCAACCGGAGGCAAAACGAAATCCCACCGCAGCCTGCAAAGGCGCCTGGGCGGGACTGGAGACTGGGGCCCCGCGCAGTAAGACTCTGAAGGCAGGATGCAGCCCGACCACCCGCAGCCGCGAGAAAAGCAGCCCTGGGGAGTCGGGGCGGGACCTGGATTGGAAAAGAGACGGTCACTCATGCAGAGGCGGGACTCAGAGCCCTTCCTCAAGTCTCATTGGTCAAGTTGAACGAACAAGTGTCGCTGGCGAGCCGGAGAGAGAGAGAGAGCGAGAGCGAGAGAGCGAGCGAGAGAGAGCGAGAGAGCGAGAGAGCGAGCGAGAGAGAGAGAGAGAGAGAGAGGAGCCGGCGCGAGAACTACGCATGCGTGTCGGCGTTTTCCCGCCAGCACACTGTTGGTGGATGGGGGCGATTGAATTCCCACAGTGAGTCCAGCCCACCGAAGCTCAGAGGATTCCTAACCTTCCTCTTTAGAGAGCCTCAGGTTAGGGAACGTCCAGTGCGCAGAAGCTGCCCCGTGGGAATCCCATTGTCCATCGCCTCCTAATGTTTCGTCCTGGCCGTGCCCTATCCCTTCCTGAGGCTGGGTTGTTATGATGCTGAATTATTCAAGAAGTCTTGCAGCCTGACGCCATCTCTGGGCAGTGCTCCTCCCACCTCCCTGTCTTCCTTGGAGGGCACCACGTTGCCCCTACAAGCACAGGGTCCTGAAGCTGTTTACAGGGCCCCACCCTGCCACTTTAGTATCTTAACGAATGTTTGTTGAGGACCTACTGAGTGTTAGACCCACTGCAATGAGCAAGTTTCTGATCTTGGGACCTTAACATTCTATGGGACGACACAGATATATAAACAAAAATAATAATTTTAGATAGTGATACATGCTGAAACCATGGGTATGTGGCCAGGCGCGGTGAGTCACACCTGTAATCCCAGCACTTTGGGAGACCGAGGCAGGCGGATTACTTGAGGTCAGGAGTTTGAGACCCGCCTGGCCAACATGGTGAAACCCTATCTCTTCTAAAAATACAAAATTTAGCTGGGCGGGCATGGGGACGGGCGCCTGTAATCCCAGCTACTCGGGAGGCTGAGGCAGGAGAATTGCTTGAACCCAGGAGGTGGAAGGTTGCAGTGAGCCCAAATCACACCACTGCACTCCAGCCTGGGTAACAAAGCAAGACCCTGTCTCAAAAAAAGACAAAATGAAACAAACAAACAAAAAAAAACATGGCTATGTGATAGAATGACTGCGATGGGGATTGGGTGCTCACTGAAATGGTGAGAATGGAGCTAAAACCTGATATTAGGTGATAGCACCAGATATAGGGGCCAAGGGTTTCATGCTTGGAAAACAGCAGGTGCAAACGTCCTTGTGCTGTGAGGAAATTTGGCTGGAACAGAAGGTGGGCCAGATTGTAGCTGACCATAGTCTCTGGGAGTTTGGAGATGATTCTAAATACAATGGGAAGCCATTAAATTGAGGCAGAGCCTTGATGTGACGTGCTTTATCATCATTTTGCTGAGTGGAGAATGGATTGCTGGGAAAAGTGAAAGACTGATTCAGAGGTTGTGGAGAGAGGATGGCTGGAGCTAGGTAGCTGGGGAGGTGGTGGGATGTGGATGAATTCAGGATAGGATTGGTTGTGTTGGATATGGGAAAAGAAGTCACCATGGTTCCTGAGCTTTTGGAATGTGCAAATGGGTAATGGAGGTGCCATTGAGATGGGAACAGTGGAAAAATAACCGGTGCTGGGGTGGGAATCAAGAGTTCAGTTGTGGCCATGTTGAATCTGAAATGCCCATTAGACATCCAAGCAGACATGCTGAGTTGGATGGCGCTCATGGGAGGTCAAGGCTGGAGTTATGGATTAACACATAGAAAGATGGTATTTAAAGCCATGGACTTTAGTAGTAGGGCCACCTATAGAAAGAGTGGAGGTAGGAAAGAGGGCTTAGGTGAGGGCCCTGGGGCCCTCCAATGTTAAGCAGTTCAGCAGGACAAAGTAGAAGAGCCAATATTTCCCTTTTCAAAGGGACAAATTCAAGAAGATGCTGATTATGGGTATTAATTGCTGCCTCGAGGTCAAGTGAGATGCAGGCAGAGAAATGGTCACTGGGTCTGACACCACTGTGGTCACTGGAAAGTTTGGTCAGAGCAGTGGCTGTGGAAAGATAGGGGAAGGAGTCTGATGGGGGTGGGTGAGGAGAGAATGGATGTTTAACAGTGGAGGGAAGAAAAAGAAAACCTATTGCTGTGAAAAGGAGGAGCAGAGTTACAATTAGTGGTTGGAAAGAGTGTCTTGAAAGTTTCTTTTTTCTTTTTTTTTTTTTTTTGAGACATGGTCTTGCTCTGTTGCCCAGGCTGTAGTGCAGTGGCTCAATCACAGCTTACTGCAGCCTGGACTTCCCAAGCTCAAGTGATCCTCTCACCTTAGCCACCTGAGTAGTTGGGACTACAGGCGTGTCCCACCATGCCTGGCTAATTTTTTGTTTTTTGTAGAGACAGGGTCTCACTATGTTGCCCAGGCTGGTCTTGAATTCCTAGGCTCAGGCGATCCTCTTGCTTCGGCCTCCCAAAGTGCTAGGATTATAGGTGTGAGCCACCATACCCAGTCCTGAAAGAGTTTTCTTAAATATGAGAGACACTAGAACAAATTTCACTGGTGACAGAGAATGATCAAGAAAACAAGGGGAAAACTGAAATTTATTGAAGGCTTACATACTGTTAAGAGCTTTACAAACATTCTACCTTCACAGTCTTTAATGGAGCAGGCAATTGGGGTTACATAGCTTGCCCAAGGTCATGCAGCTAGAGGTGGCAGAGCTGAGAGGCCACCTAGATTTTTTGGACTCTTCGTGCCTGCCTTACCACCCCATTGCATAGGCACACGTCACCCTGTACTTAAACACCTGGGCCATGCCTTTGCCCTGACCATAGTGCCCTTGCAAATCAGAAAGAGCCACTCTCATTCTGAGGGGGACAAGAATTTGTTTTCCTCCTCCAGTGCTATAAGAAGGGGCATCTCCCCCACAGTCTAAATACCCATGCAGCACAGGACAGAAGCTCTCCCAGTCCAGAGCAGCAGAGGCAAGCAGCAAGAGACCCCAGAGGTAGGAGGGAAAGGGACACTTTGGGGGGTATACAGCAGGTTTCTTTTTGTGCCAGCCAGTGCAAGAGGATGCTGGGGGCTGCTGGTCCCAACCAGCTGGTGCCTGTGGCTGGATGTGTTCAGTGTGACAAGAAGCCTAGGTCAGAGCCCAGTCTCCCGGCTGCCCCCGTTGAGGCTGAGGCTGTGGGGGCGGGTACCACGCTCCAGCCTGCGGCCAGACAGGAGACGCCGCAGGGAAGAGCTAGAGCTCAGATCTCCGCAGCTGCGAAGGTGGAGGCTCTCTCGGCCAGGCCGGCCCCACAGGCTCCGGGGCACCTGGACAGGGACACAAGAAAGGGCATCATCAATAAGGCTCAATCTGAAGCTCCACGCTTTCCCAAACATCTTTCCTGGCTCCCCGAATTCCTACCTGCTTATGTCCATGAGCTCCAGTCCCACTGGGGTCTGGGGCTTTCCTGGATATCTGGAGGAAACGAGTGACCAGGCCCCGACCTGGCCAGCTGCCCTTTAGGTCCCCCAGGGAGTGGGCAGGTGCAGGGCCCGAGGGCAGGGGAACTTTTTGGAAGGTGGGCACAGGGCGCCGTTTCTCGGCTGACCGGGCACGTAGCAACTTGGGGGAAGGGCAGCGGGCTAGGCGGAAGAGGCAGGCTTCAGAGCAGAGCCCTGCAGAGAGACAGAGATAAGAGAATGGTATTGTAGGGTGGAGAGGGGGCTGGGCAGCCATGCCCAATCCCCATCCCTGGGGCGCAAACCACATGCCTGACCTGTATCTGCAGAGGAAACAGAAGCAGCTTCTTCCTCAAGCACTTTGGTATAAAGGTCCCTGAAGTCAGCTGGGGAGAAGAGAGAAAGGGAGACAGGGAGTGAGTGGAAGTGTTCTGTGGACACGCCCACCCTCCTGTGGGAACTCAAGCCCAGAGGAGCTTTCACAGCTCCCACGCTCCATCCCCAATCAAAGGGCCAGCATCTCTGTCCATATTAGCCAGCAACTAGATGGTACAATCCACCACAACAAGGACTGCAGTGGTGTTGTTCAGCACCTGGCGCACAGTGCTGAGCGTTCCCCAGTACTATCTCCTTTCTTATTTTTTTGAGATGGAGTCTCACTGTGTTGCCCAGGCCGGAGTGCAGTGGTACGATCTCAGCTCACTGCAACCTCCGCCTCCCAGGTTCAAGCGATTCTCCTGCCTCAGCCTCCCTAGTAGCTGGGATTACAGGCGTCCACCACCAGGCCCAGCTAATTTTTCAATTTTTAGTAGAGATGGGGGTTTCACCATGTTGGCTAGGCTGGTCTTGAACTCCTGACCTCAGGTGATCCACCTGCCTTGGCCTCCCAAAGTGCTGGGATTATAGGTGTGAACAGCCTTGCCCGGCCACTGTCTCCTTTCTCAGCATCTTCGAGTACAATGCCTATGGCTGAAGTACTGTTATTATACATGTTTTTTGTTTGTTTGTTTGTGTTTTTGAGATGGAGTGTGTCTCTGTCACCCAGGCTGGAGTGCAGTGGCATGATCTTGGCTCACGGCAACCCCTGCTTTCCAGGTTCAAGCGATTCTCCTGCCTTAGCCTCTCTGTTAGTAGCTGGAATTACAGGCGCGCTCCACCACACCTGGCTAATTTTTGTATTTTTAGTAGAGATAGGGTTTCACCATGTTAGCCAGGCTGGTCTCGAACTCCCGACCTCAGGTGATCCACCCACCTCAGCTTCCCACAGTGCTGGGATTACAGGTGCAAGCCACCGTGCCCGGCCTGAAGTACTATTATTATACATGTTTAACAAGTGACAGCTGAAGCTTGGGGAGGACAGATAAGTGGACCAAGCTGAGAGCTGTGGAACTGGTTTCAAAAAATAAATCCTTTTGGGAGGCCGAGGCGGGTGGATCACTTGAGGTCAGGAGTTCAAGACCAGCCTGGCCAAAAGGGTGAAACCCTGTCTCTACTAAAAAATACAAAAATTGCCCGGGCACGGTGACTCATGCCTGTAATCCCAGCACTTTGGGAGGCCGAGGCGGGCAGATCACGAGGTCAGGAGATTGAGACCATCCTGGATAACACGGTGAAACCCCATCTCTACTAAAAATACAAAAAAATAGCCGGGCGTGGTGGCAGGCATCTGTAGTCCCAGCTACTCACTACTCGGGAGGCTGAGGAAGGAGAATGGCGTGAACCCGGGAGGCGGAGCTTGCAGTGAGCCCAGATCGCGCGGCTGCACTCCAGCCTGGGTGACAGAGCGAGACACCGTCTCAAAAAAAAAAAAAAAAAAAAATATTAGCCGGTCATGGTGGCGCACACCTGTAGTCCCAGCTACTCGGCAGGCTGAAGCAGGAGAGAGTCACTTGAACCCGGGAAACGGGTTGCAGTGAGCCAAGATCATGCCACTGCACTCCAGCCTGGGCGACAGAGCCAGAGACTCCGTCTCAAAAAAAAAAAAAAATTCTCCTTTTTTAGCTGCTAAGCTATGGATGTTCTGTCCCTAGGAGGTGAGTACCTGAGAAGTGTCTACCAGAGGAGTGAACTCACCCTTTCTTCCTCCTCAGGGACCTCAACTGTGCCCCAATCCTGGTGGGCATCACTGGCCACCTAACTCCCAGTGCCTACCCTCTCCTGAGCCTGGGCAGTCGGGGAGGGGGCTCACCAGTGTCACTGGAGGTCGTGATGCCTGGGTCGCTGTGGGACCGTGGCAGCAGCAGCGGTGGTGGGGATGCCGGATGAGGAGGCCGGTGCCCCGGTGGGGTGAGGGAACCTGAGCTATCGCTGAAGCGACGAGTCGGGGCTCGGGTGGGCGGGGCTGCGGCTGGGCGGCCCCCTCCCCGGGGGACCCGCCGCCTCAGCTCGGGGAAGCAGGGTCCCACCCAGGGCGGCCAGCCCTCCAACCGGTGGCAGCTGCGGGCAGCTGTGGGGGCACCCAGTGGGGGTGGAGCTTCAGGGGCAGAGCAGGAATAGGAGCGGGCAGCCCGTGGGGGGCGCCGTGGCAGGGGGCTTTCCTCGAAGGGGCCCCGCAGGCCACAGTCCAGGCTGAGGCAGTAGCCGGCACGGCTGCGCTGGATGGAGCGAAAGAGAACGTAGTCCACGGAGCGCACGGAGCCCTGCAGCTCCAGCAGGCACGAGTCCTCCGACGGGCTAGAGCCCCCAGGGAGGTCACCAATGGCTGACAGCACCAGAGACCCGCTGTCCATGGACACTGTGGGCGGCAGGGGGCGCTGTGTAGCACCAGCCTGGCCTGGCCTAGCCCTGCCCAGGCAGTTCCTCTTCTCCCAAGCCCAGCCTCTAGGGGCCACTGTGCCTCCAGCTTTATCTCAGAGGAGAAAAATAAGTCCAGGGTTCCAAGTTGCCACAGCCCTCCTATGTCCCCAAACCACCAACTCCGCCTTGTTTTCCCCTTCTATTGTCTCTACCCACCCCAGCTATCCCTGGCAGCCCCGCCCTTGTCCACCCCTCATTACGCCCTGCTCACCGTCTACAATGGAGGCCACTCGTTCACAGATGCACGAGCCATCGTGAAGCTGAGGGTCAAAGAGAGTGGCCTGCAGAAGACACAGGGTCAAGGGTTCAGCCCTACACACTGAACACCCCCATGTGCTAGACAGAGCTCTGGAGACTTAGATTCCAGACCAGCCTTGTCCCTTTGTACAAGTCACTTAATTGTGCAGCCTCAGCTTCCACGTCTGTATGGCAGAAATGATAGCTTCCAACCCACTCACCTCACCAGGCTCTAGGGAAGATCAAAGGCAACAGTGGGCATGCTGGTGCTGTAAAGACCTTGACCACTGTTACTATCTTTATCCAGAGGCTACAGCCTGTTCAGCTTTCCAGGCTACAACCCGGCTCCCCAGCCCGCCCCAAGCCGTGCTGTGCTCTCACCTGGCTGTCTCCTCGTAGTCCCATGACTGCCTCATAAGAAGGGGGGCAATCGGTAGGGTACAAGGGCACTGGGCTGTCCATGGAGCCATTGTACGTGATGCTGGCAGATGAGGAAGAGGGTCAATGTAGGAGAAATAATTCCCCCTCCACAAAGATCCCTCTCTCCAGCAATCCAGGCCCAGCCCCAGTCCCCTTCCTTAGCTCCCCCAGCAAGACCCCACCAGGCCTTACCTCTGTGCATCTGTTTCTGAGCTGCAGGTATACTCTGGGGGATAGTAGGGCGGTGGGGGCACAGGCGGGACAAATTCCTCCAGGTCCAGCATGGTGTGTAGGAGAGGGGCTGGGGGCGGGGACGTGCAGCCCAGAGGTCCCAGTGGGCCTGAGACTGACCGCTCAGGGGCCAGCTGCTGGGGAAGCGAGCAGGTCAGCAAGTCTGGATTCTGGGAATACAGCTCCTCCTGGGCCCCCAAACTCCTCTCTCATCTACATTATTTTTTCTGGCCCTATCCCCTGAGAGAAGCTCTTGTTCTGGCCCCTCCCTCACCCAAAATCAGCTCTCCTTAACCCCACGCTCACCCTGTACCTCTAGCTCTGGCCCTGCCCACCCACAAATTCCTCTTTATGGCCCCACCTCCATCCAGAAGCTCCACACATTCTGTGTCTTCACAGGAATGTCCACCCTTTAGCCTCACCTCCATCTAGGACCTTCTTTTTTTTTTTGAGACAGAGTCTGACTCTGTTGCTGGAGTGCAGTGGCGCGATCTCAGCTCACTGCAACCCCCACCTCCCAAGATCAAGCAATTCCCATGCCTCATCCTCCTGAGTAGCTGGAATTATAAGGGTGTGCAACCATGCCCAGCTAATTATTATTATTATTATTATTTCGAGACGAAGTTTCACTCTTGTCGCCCAGGCTGGAGTACAATGGCTACATCTCAGCTCACTGCAACCTCTGCCTCCCAGGTTCAAGCGATTCTCCAGCCTCAGTCTTCCGAGTAGCTGGGATTACAGGCACCCGCCACCACACCCGGATAATTTTTGTATTTTTAGTAGAGATAGGGTTTCGCCATGTTGGCCAGGCTGGTGTCAAACTCCTGATATCTGGTGATCCTCCTGCCTTGGCCTCCCAAAGTGCTGGGATTACAGGCATGAGCCACGGAGCCCAGCCTAATTTTTGTAATTTTGTGTGTATATATATATATATATATATATATATATATATTTTTTTTTTTTTTTTTTTTTTTTTTGAGACGGAGTCTTGCTCTTGTCGCCCAGGCTGGAATGCAGTGGCACCATCTCAGCTCACTGCAGCCTCTGTCTCCCCGGTTCAAGCAATTTTCCTGCCTCAGACTCCCAAGTAGCTGGGATTACAGGCACCCGCCACCACACTTGGCTAATTTTTGTATTTCGTTTGTTTGTTTTTTGAGATGGAGTCTTGCTCTGTCGCCCAGGCTGGAGTGCAGTGGCACTATCTCAGCTCACTGCAAGCTCTGCCTCCCAGGTTCATGCCATTCTCCTGCCTCAGCCTCCCGAGTAGCTGGGACCACAGGCGCCCGCCACCACGCCTGGCTAATTTTTTGTATGTTTAGTAGAGATGGGGTTTCACCATGTTAGCCAGGATAGTCTCGATCTCCTGATCTCAGGTGATCTGCCCTCCTCAGCCTCCCAAAGTGCTGGGATTATAGGCACGAGCCACTGCGCCCGGCCCGATTTTTGTATTTTTAATAGAGACAGGGTTTCGCCATGTTGGCCAGGTGGGTCTTGAACTCCTGGCCTCAGGTGATCCGCCTGCCTGGGCCTCTCAAAGTGCTGGGATTACAGGAATGAGCCACCGTGCCCAGCATAGGACCTTCTTGACTCTACCCCACCATCCAGTCCCATTCTCTAAAGCACCCTCTCCTGGTCCCAGACCAGCATCACATACTTAACTCACTCCCTGCCATCTCCCCTTCTCATCCTCCCCACTAAACATCCATTCCTCCAATAGATGAGGATAATAGATAACCCATAGCCCCTGGTGCTCAAAAGCCAGATCTGTAGCCATTGTTCCCTCAGGCAAGTCTCAGCACACACACCCCTGCCCCCACCATACCTGCGTGCCCTGGCCCCTGCTCCCTTCTCACCGTATGCACGAGGTCCAGGGAGAAGATTTGGATGCAGCAGACAATAGCAGAGAGTGTACAGATTATAGCGGCACAAATGGTGAGCCCACAGACGCTGAAGAGCAGGTTCTGGGGAAGGGAAAGGAGGAGAGGAGTCAGGAGACGGCTAAGTTCCACACATTATGGGCCTGTGAGTACCCCAGCAGGGGAGGCAAGAGTGAGAACCAGGAGGATGTTTGCAGGGTGCAAGCTCACCTTGAGGGCCCCTCGGGCTTCATCACAGGTGGAGTTAGGGGCAACTTTCAGTTCCTGCCCCGACTCTGGACAGGGCCGGAGGAGGGGAACAGAGGGACAGCACACACAGACCTTTCCTTCCTGAGTGGAGCAGGGAGGGTGAGGCAGCCTGAGTCAGGACAAACTGAGGTGTCCTGCACACCTCCCCCAGCCAGTTCTTTCCAGCTCTCCCTCCTCAAATCTCACCAGAGAGCACTGTTGGAAGTCTCGGGCCAGTTGAGCATTCTTACAGGAGAGAACAGAGCCAGCCATGCTAAGCATGACACAGAGCACCGAAAGCAAGGAGAAGAAGGAGATCTGGGGAAAACAGGGTGCAGACTCAGGGCTGGGACCCTCATGAGTACTCCTCTGCCACGGACAGAGTCCCCCTCCTTCACAGACACTTCGTGCCCACCCGGCTGGCACCAACTGGGGAGCCAGTTCCCTTCTTGAGGACATAAATGGGCTTCCCCTTGCGTGCTGGGCACCTGCCTCCCAGTGGGCACTGGACCCTGGCACCTACCACTAGAGTGAATGGCCGCTTCCAGGACACAATGCCAACCACCCCGGAGAACGCCAGCTGGGGACAGAGTGGGCACAGGCTCAGCCTGGCAGGGGAGGCTCCTGAGTGAGCCCCTCACCACAGGATGCACCCAGCCCTGTAAGGAGGCAGAGGACCAGGAGAGGGAGGAGAGGCAAGCATGTGGACTTGCAGCTGGTGTGGAGGGTGGGGCCCGAGGAGCCTCCCCCACCCAACAACTGTGCACCCAACTCACCGAGAACCCAGCCCAAGACGGGCAGGACCTCTTGATGCTCTCGGTGGTGGTGACGGAAGAGGCCACCATGCTGAAGGTGACCACCAGGATGCCCAGGAGCACTTGGACCAGCCCCAGCGTAAGCAGGGCCTGCAGCCAGGGTCGGTGGAGGCGGAGGTGGGTAAGGCCCCTGGTGCTGGGCCGGCTGGTCAGCGAGCGGCTGGAGTCACTAGGCGAGGGCATCATGCCTGCTGCCCGGTTGCCTGCGCCTCGCTCGGCCCTCCCTGGCACTTGGGAGCATCTCAGAGGCGCCCAAGGCCCCGTCCTTTCTCCTCTCCACCCCACTCGCTCTAGAGCCCACCCCCTGGCTGGGTCCCCTGGGGCATGGCCGAGGGACGCCAGCTGTGGGGGGGGCCAAGCGAGGGGCGTCACGGAGGGACCGCGGAGTGCTCCCTCCCCACCACGGGCACTGGACGGGCACCGTGCCCGGGGCGACGATGAGGACGCGGGGGCACCGGCTCATCGCATCTCCCTAGGGAAGAGGGGCACCGAGAAGGGCCGGTCCAGGAGTGAGGAGGGGGCGGCGGCCTGGAGCCCAGGGAGGGGTGGGGAGGGTAAAAGCGGGAAGGATGGAAATAAGTCTAGAGAAGAGGGGAGGGGTCGGCGTGGGGTGACTCTAGAGGCGCGGTCGGTGTGCCCTCAGGGCGTCCAGTAGGATCCGGGGCCGCCTGGTGGGGAGAGGCCGCGGCGCCGCTGTCTCCTGTGTCGCCTGTCCCGCTCCCCTCCCCACCACGCTCCGCTCCCCGAGCTCCGGCTGCCGCAGGTCGGGGACTAGAGAAGGGGGATGGGAATGGGGATGGTGCGGGAAGGAGGGGCATGGCGGCGAGGGCCGGCGCGGTGCACCCCGGGAGTTGTAGTTCGGGACTGAGACCCTGTCGGGGTTGGGGGATCCCGCGGCAGGGCGAGGCAGTCGGATAAGCGCTCCTCCAGTCCCTGCCTCGCTCTGGACCCTGGCTAGGCTGCTAGTGATCCTTTGGGCCTCCACTTGAGCCCCATCCAGCTTTTCAGGCTCCAGGCCCGCGTATTCCTTGGCGTTCCCGGCAGAGGCGGTGGCTCTTCCCCGTCATTAATGGAGAGGGGTGGGGAGCAGGGCTCCCTGGCGTCTCCGGGTTTCGCGTTTCCGTGGACTTCCCACCTCCTTCCTGCGCCAGCCACTCGGGCTCCACCGCCCCGCCCCTCATATCTCCCAGTTTACACTAAAGCCGGGTCCGACCTTCCCACCTCACTCCACACTCTCCTTTCTCTTTCATAAGGCCTAATTCCCAATGAAGATTCAGGAAACGGGGATGTCAGTTCCAGTTCCACTTTCTTTTTATTTAAATAACCGAAGCAACAGCCGTGGCACAGCAGAGGGAAGCTGGGTTGGGGCGTGTGAGAGGTGGCAGCAGTGTGGCCTGATGGGGGGACTAGGTCACAGTGAACTCCCCACACGCCTGTCAGGTTCAGCAGTCATGGCCATAGGATTGGGAGCACTACGGAGGAGCCATCAGTTAGTGATGTCTCTCCAAGTCCCAGAGACCTTAGGGACGGGAGCTAAGTCAGCTCCCTCAAGTAGCAGGGCCAGGGCATCCCAGTCAGGGGTCACGGGGCCCGGAAGGCATTTTCAGCAGCCCCAGCGGCTGCATTGGCAGCTGCGGTTCGCACCGCAGGGTTGGAGAAGACACCAGCAGCAAATTCTTGCTGGGCCTTCTGAAAGCTGGCACCTGTGCGGCGGTATAAGGAGTGGATCTGCAAGTAGAGGACAAAGACATTACCGCCCATTCCAGCCACTGGTTCCCCACCCCAGCCTAACAGCATCACTACCACTCAGCAGCCTGCTGCCCAGCACACACACTCACACACAGAAACACACACCCCAGAGGTCCATTAGCTGAGAACAACCCAGCAGCCTGACCTGTGCCAGTTGCTCCTGAATGTTCCACCCACGCCCCTGGGGACCCATGATCTCACCATCCCGGCCCCACCTTCGACACAGCCCTCACCCGTTTCAGCATGACAATTCCTAGCACAGCAATGCCAGTGAAGAGCAGGGCGACCAGCAGCATGAGCACGGATACTGCTGTGTTGCCCTTCGGCACCACCAGAGCAGAGATCCAGCCACTGTAAAGGGAAGGATGTACCAGTGAAGAGGGGCTCCTCAGCTTCTCCACTGGTTATGTCACCAGCATCCCCTGTTCCTACCCTTCCCATCAGCAGTGGCTCCCTGTCAATCGAGCAGCATTCCAAGCACCACAATCCCAAACTGTATCTAATCTCTTCATAGTTTAATTCCAGTTTCTGAACCATTAGCCCTGAGCTCTCCAAGCTCTTCCAGGCACTCATCTGGGGATTCTTCTTCCTCCTTTCAACCATGGTTCTATGCCTCCTCCAGGAAGCCACCTTAGATTGGCCAAATGCAGCATTCTTCCCTTCAATCTATATGTGTCAAGAGTGCTGTCTGCGCTCTATCCTGGAAGTATGTCTTGTATCTCATTAAACTAGTACCTCCCAAGGATTAAAACCACATTTCCTTTTTCTGAACAACTCCTATCCCAGCACCCAGTGCTGGCTGGATCTAGAGGGAAAGGTGAGGGTGGATAACAGCCTCACAAACCTGAATCCCCAACCTGGGATACCAATGGCCTGGAGGACAAAGAGCACATCCTGGACGAAGAAAATGAAGAAGAAAACGAAGAAATTGAATGAACTGTCACTCCTACAAAGAGGAAAAAAATGGGGAGGGTGGGAGAAGAATTAGAGCTGAAGGATGGGCAGACGTGGGGCCCATCCCAGGTCTCCATCACTCTCCCACCACTAACACACTTACCGGAAAGCCTTATACATGGGGCGGTACCAGCAGACAAAGGAGCAGGGAGTGAAAAGGAGGACCCAGAGGATAGAAAGCCCAAAGCCTGCGCCATTGTTGGTTTCCACACAGAAGCTGGCCAGGCAGGCGAGGAAGTTCAGGAGAAGAGCCAGCGTGCTGCCTAAGGGGCAGAGGGACAGGATGAGGAGCCCTTCTGGACTGCAATGAAGGCTCCTTCCCATCTATGCTCATCCTATAATATTCACCAAACATGGCAGAGTAAGGAAATGAAGGCAGCTGCTGCCTTCATGGAATCCTCAACAGGGGAGATGGAGAAAGCAAATGTCAATAATGTGTGATCCCCTTGCAAAGACATTTTTTTTTTTGAGACGGAGTCTGGCTCTGTCGCGCAGGCTGGAGTGCAGTGGCGCAATCTCAGCTTACTGCAAGCTCCGCCTCCCCGGTTCACGCCATTCTCCTGCCTCAGCCTCCAGAGTAGCTGGGACTACAGGCGCCCGCCACCACGCCCAGCTAATTTTTTTTTTTCTTTTTTTTTTTTTGAGATGGAATCTCGCTCTGTCGCCCAGGCTGGAGTGCAGTGGCAGGATCTCGGCTCACTGCAAGCTCTGCCTCCTGGGTTCACGCCCATTCTCCTACCTCAGCCTCCTAAGTAGCTGGGACTACAGGCACCCGCCACCACGCCCGGCTAATTTTTTGTATTTGTAGTAGAGACGGGGTTTCACCGTGTTAGCCAGGATGGTCTTGATCTCCTAACCTCATGTTCTGCCCACCTGGGCCTCCCAAAGTGCTGGGATTACAGGTGTGAGCCACCGTGCCCGGCCTTTTTTTTTTTTTTTTTTTTTTTTTTTTTTTTTTTGAGATGGAGTTTTGCTCTTGTTGCCCAGGCTGGAGTGCAATGGCATGATCTTGGCTCATTGCAACCTCCACTTCCCGGGTTCAAGTGATTCTCCTGCTTCAGCCTCCTGAGTAGCTAGGATTACAGGCATGTGCCACCACGCCCAGGTAATTTTGTATTTTTAGTAGAGATGGGGTTTCTCCATGTTGATCAGGCTAGTCTCAAACTTCTGACCTCAGGTTATCCACCCACCTCAGCTTCCCAAAGTGCTGGGATTACAGGCGTATACCACTGCACCCAGCCCAAAGACATCTAAAGAATTCAAAATATATTCCTGCATATGGACAATAAAAAGTGGGGAGAGGGCAAGAACATTTGCTAGCAGGCTGGTGAGTTCTAAATAGAGGTGAAGTGTTTGGTTCTTGGTGAGCGGACCCCAGGGCAGTTAAGAGATCTACCTGTAACTTCCTCCAAAAGGCTTCTCACTACTCACACATCCAGAGGTAGTACATGGTGGATACAGTCTTCTGAAATTCTTGGGGGATCTCCATGGAGATGTCCTGGAAAAAGCAGGGCTGAACTGGACAAAAAGAAGGTAGAGGGGGCCAATTGTTCTGTCGAGCTGTAAGGCACAAAAAAACAGGTGGACCCCAGAAGTAAAACAGAGACCAACAAAGGAATCACTCCCCCTTCTCTCCATCCCTGGATCCTCTCTTTTTTTTTTTTTTTTTTTTTTGAGATAGGGTCTCTGTTGTTCAGGCTGGAAGGTAGTGGTATGATCATGGTTCACTGTAGCCTCAACCTCCTGGGCTCAAGCAACCCTCCCACCTCAGCTTTTTTTTTTTTTTTTTTTTCTCCTGAGATAGAGTTTCGCTCTTGTTGCCCAGGTTGGAGTGCAGTGGTGTGATCTTGGCTCAGTGCAATCTCCGCCTCCCGGGTTCAAGTAATTCTCCTGCCTCAGTCTCCTGAGTAGCTGGGATTATGGGCACATGCCACCACGCCCAGCTAATTTTTGTATTTTTAGTAGAGACAGGGTTTCACCATGTTGGCTGGTCCTGAACTCCTGACCTCAGGTGATCCACCCGCCTTGGCCTCCCAGAGTGCTGGGATTACAGGCATGAGCCCCGGCGCCTGGCCGTCCACCTCAGCTTCTTGAGGAGCTAGGACTACAGACAGGTACCATCATGCCCTGCTAATTTTTTTCATTAATGTTTTGGAGGCAGGATCTCACTATGTTGTCCAGGTTGGTCTCTAACTCCTGAGCTCAAGCAACCTGCCTGCCTCGGCCTCCCAAAGTGTTGGAATTACAGGCGTGAGGCACCATACCCAGCCCTGGATCCTCTCTTTTATCTCCAATTTGGGGTCCAAGGAGACAAGTGAGAGTGGAAAAATTAATACTGTTTATTATTATTTAAAACATCTAAGCACTGTACCAAGTACTTCACATATATTTTGTTTAACCTTCACAACAACCCTGTCAAACGGATGCAAACGTGGTTTTCATTTTATAAATAGGGAAACTGAGGCATTCAAGATTAAGTAACTTCCCTAAAAGCTCATGGTTAGTAAGCAGTATCTCTAAAATTCAAACTCAGCAGTCTGACTCCAGAGCCCAGGTTTGTGTTTTTTTTTTTTTTTGAGATGGAGTCTCACTCTGTCACCAGGCTGGAGTGCAGTGGCGCTATCTCGGCTCACTGCAACCTCCACCTCCCGGGTTCAAGCGATTCTCCTGCCTCAGCCTCCCGAGTAGCTGGGACTACAGGTGCGCGCCACCATGCCCAGCTAATTTTTGTGTGTGTGTATTTTTAGTAGATACAGGGTTTCACCATGTTGGCTAGGATGGTCTCGATCTCTTGACCTCGTGATCCGCCCACCTCAGCCTCCCAAAGTGCTGGGATTATAGGTGTGAGCCACCGCACCCAGCCGAGCCCAGGCCCTTAAGACCTGTTTTTGCTCCTCCCAAACTCTCAGATGCTCTTCCCCACTCTATTACTTACTAGCTGTGCCCCCCAGGGCAGCATGCTGCAGCTCTCGCTCCCTTCGGTCCAACTCCTCTGCCTTCCGGTTGAGCTCCTCCTGTTTCTTCAGCAGCTCAGCTGTGGCTGCTGCAGCTGAGGCCTGCCCAGTGTGAGCAGACGGAGATGTGAGCCCTGGGCCCCAGGACTGGCCCTTCTCCCCAGCCCTCACCTGCACACCTCCTGTACCTGAGTGCTGTATGAGCCATAGTTCTTAGGTTCTGTGGGGCTGAGCTTTCTCGAGGGCTGCAAGGAGGGAGCTGAGGGTGGAGGCAATGGGGCAGGGGCTGGAGGCTCATAGGCTGGTGGTGGCTGTTGAGGAAAAGACCTTAGTGATCATCTAGTCCCTCATAACACAGGAATCTAGAGTCTGCTTGAATACCTTTAGACCCAGAACTCATGATGTAAGGAAGCAGCCTTTCCCCCATTTGTTAGGAAGCTAGTTCTTCTGTTGAATTTCTGTCAGAGAACTCTATGATGACCTGTAGCAGCCTTATCATCCCTCATATCCAATTCCTTAGTGAGGACTCAAATCACTCATTTACCATATCTCCCCACTTAACTGTGTTTTTTTTTTTTCTTTTCTTCTGGGGATGGAGTGTGGGGTTGTCTCTCTGCCACCCAGGCTGGAGTGCAGTGGTGCAATCATCACTCATCGAAGCCTCAAACTCCTGGGCCCAAGCAGTCTTTCCATCCCAGCCTCCCAAGTAGCAAGGACTACAGGCATGTGCCACTACACCTAGCCAATTTTTAAAACGTTTCAAGAGATGGGGGTCTCGCTGTTGCCCAGGATGGTCTCCATCAAATTCCTGGGCTCAAGCAATCCTCCCACCTCAGCCTCCCAAGTGGGATTACAGGCATGCACACCATGCTTGGCTTTTTTTTTTAAGTTTTAAGTACCATGAAAACCCCTTAAATTCTTACAACTCACCATCTTCTAATCCAGTGGGACAAACAGGTGTAGTCCTCCTCATTCCTTGCTTTCAAACTGCACACCTAACCTAAACTCCAACCAGCCCCAACCTTTATTTTCTTCAAGAAAGCCTTCCCATACAGAACATTGGTTAAGGCCTTGCCAGCCTCCAGATCTTCCCAGGACTGACTTTTAGAGCTCAAACCATTTGGGTTGGTGGCCCTGGTGGCCCTAGAAGGATGAGGCATCCCATGGCTGACTAGCCTCTCTCAGGGAACTAAGATCACAGTGCCTCTTCCTTCCTGTGCATGCAGAAAAGTCCCCTGTACCCAAGCTAACTTGTCTCACTGGCAAACCCTTCCCTTCCTTGAACTCCTATGCTCTCCAGTAGCTCACCTCCCGGGTCTCAAAAGGGTTGTAGACGTCAAGCGTGGCATACTGCCGGCTGGGTCGGTGCTGGATCACAGCTGGGTCCTGAGGGCAGAGACCCGGGTCTCAGCTGGCACCCAGTGCCACCTAGGGGAATTCCCAGGGACCATTCCCAAACTGCCTGTGGCTCCAAGTACTGCACCTTCGGGGCCACGCCGTTGTCCCAGGACTGGGACAACATTTACCTCAAATCCATCATCCAACACTGCCAGCACCAGCCCATTAAGGGGCAGGGCCCGCCCCCCAGAGTGCTCACTGGTCTGGAGTCACTGTCACCCCACGTGGCGGCTCTTCCCAGGATCAAATGTCACAAATGGGGATACAAGTTAGCCCGACCCTACAGAACCGGGAAGAATCAACCTGACCGCCCAAAAGAGGCCGACTGGCGCAAGTCACCTGAAAGGGGTTGTCAAGCTCGCTGGGCTCGGCGAACGGGTTTCCGCCGTCTCTGCTCTGAGCCATGTTTGCAACTGCGGCCTCCGCGGCCCTCTGCCCTCCACGCCCCTGCCGCAGCAGTGGCGGTAGCGGTAGCCCTCAGAGTCCACTTCACTCGCCTCAGTTCGCCCCGCTTCTCTGTGCACGGATTGGTTCCACCGACCGGAAGGGCCACAAGGATCCCCGCAGCAGCCGTGGGTTGCGCCTGCGTCTTGTCCAAAAGCTAAGACGAAAGTGCCCCCACGTGATACCTCTAACCCAGTGCCCACAACCAACTACCGCCCCTCTTCCATGTGACTTCCTTCCACTAACGAACTACACTTCCCAGCAGGCCTCGCGTAGGAATCCGGCCTTCCTAGTCTCCCGAGATGGACGACGGGAGCCTTCTGACCGGTCGTGGCAATCCCCCCTAGGAGCCAGGTTGAGCACGTTTTCAACCTGAGTTTCTGGCTCTATACTGGGCCGCGGCCTAATGACTCTAGGAGTCAGATCTTTCCCAACTCTCATAATTCCACATCCGAGAAGTGCCACCTCATAACACTTCTCTGTTTTAATCTGAAAGAAATGCTGCCCCACCCATCACTACCCTCCCATATGATAAGGTGGACAGGGGAAATAAACTGGTAGCCTGGCTGTGCTTCATTTTGGAGGGTAAGGAGGACTCCCTTCATACCCAAACTCAGAAAGTTTGCCAATAGTTTCATCCCTCCACCCCAGCATTCCCAAACCTCCAACTCCAGGGATGGGGGTCAAATGAAGCACGTTATTTTATTTCACAAAGACTGTACAAAATTCCTTATAAAACATGGGGTAGATGCCACCTGGTTACCTCACTCGGCCCCCATCCAACTCCGTATGAGGGGGCAGGTGAGGGTGGAAACTGTGTGGATGGAATAGTATTATGTACAAGGCAGGGGTTGAAGTGATAGGTACAAGTTCTTTCATATTTACACTATTTCACATATTCACAGGTATATAGAGAGCCAGGAGGAAGGAGTGAACTCTGGCTCGTTCTCTTGTATAAAAAAGCACCAGTGTCCTGGACTGGACACCCACTGCTATAAAAGATGCAGGGGGGCCCAGGGCCTGATCGTCACCGACTGATATCCCGACTGGAGTCCCACAACTTGTTGGGCGGCTCAGCCCGAAGGCGGGCGAAGAAAGGATGCTGAAGGGCTTCACCCAAGGTCAGCCGCTTAGCTGGTTCATACTCTAGCATGCTTTCAATCAGATCGAAGAGCTGGTGGTGTTCCTCTGCCTCTGAGGTCAGATACCGCTGGTGGAGGAGGGCAGGAAAAAGGTGAGGCAGGATGCCTTACAAACCCTGCCTTCTTCAAGACCCTACCTTTCATTCTTGGAGAACCAAGGCTCTGCTTGCAACCAATTTGAAGGCTACCTAACCACGACCACACCAGGACCAACGTTTCTGATATTATAGCTCAACCTACCTTCCCACTAGCACAATTACTCCATAATCTTTGAAAGTTCTTTCTACTTGTATATCCTTGTCAACTTCATGAATCTTCTTTAGTTCCTCATTAAAATGTAAGCTCTTCAAAGGTAGTTTATTCTTTTCTGTCTGACCTAAAGAATCCAGGACATTGCTTTGATCTCTGGTTGTCTCAAGGTTAGGCTGTCTAACCTCCTTCCCTCCACAAAACCACTCCCTCTTATGTTTCCTCTGTTGACCAAAGATGTCTTCTTTCAGCTTTCCTCCCCTCCTTTCCTAACCCTCTGCTTGTGAAGAGCATTCCAGGGGGCAAACCACCCTAAGAAGGAAGTGACTTCTGGACGGTGGGCACTATTTATCCCGAGCCCAGCTCACCCGCAGCGGTTTGCAGTTCTCACGAACATAGCGCCCAGCTGATGTGTTCTCATCCCAATCCAGGCGACCCCGGTAAAAATATTTCTGCTTTCTAGAGGGGAAGGGGAGGTTGAGGAATCAGAAGGTCACCCTTGTTACAATTCCCTTATTTCCCCATCTGAAAGTAACTGGGGGGAGAGGAGGTATCAAAGAAAAAAGAAAATGATGTGAAATAGACCAATTCTGTGGAGAGAAAAGGAAAAGAGTTAACTAGTGCCCCCTCAAGGTTCACCTTGTCTTTCGGATCATCCGGGAAGGGATAGGACCCAAGATCCTTTCCATCATGGCTAGATGCTCTCTGTTGTCATGGGTCTGGGAAACAAAAACAGAACTGAGCATGGGACTGAAAAGGGCATGCTAAGGATCAGCTGCCAGGAAGGCAGGCAATGTGGAGAACTGAGTAGGCAGGTCCTCAGCAGAAAACAAAGGAACCAGGTAGAAGAATGCCAGGCAGTCAAGTAAGACATCCCATCACTTACCTGGAAGAGGGTGAATCCCACATAGTATTCAAAGATGATGCAGCCTATACTCCACACATCACAAGGCTGTGACCAGCCCAACTCTGGGTGAGAATGGGAGGGAAAAGGTGTTATGAGGCTTAGGTGGCCCCACCCTCACATCATCTCACACACTTGGACAGCCTTGCCCTCCCTTACCAAGGATGACTTCTGGTGCTCGGTAATGGCGAGTGGAGACAATGGTGCTATGGTGCTCATGGTCAAAGGTGGCACTGCCAAAGTCTACCACCCGCACAGCTGTGCTCTTCACACTGCGCTCATCTCGCTTCTAGGAGCAGAGGAGAAAGAGGATGAACCTCTGCACCCAGACTGAGATTCCACCAGTATTCTCTACATTGCTTCTGAGCCTTAAAAAAGGTACTGTGATCTCCTGCCTGGCCTTACAAGCCCTGGGAAATTCCTGTTTTACAGCTTCCACCACATCCAGCATAATACTTTTAGAAGTAGGGGAGCAAAAGGATTAAGAAATGATTATAGAACAGCGTGCACATCTGTAAGCATCTGAAGACTACACTCAAGTGCCAGATATATAGTTATTCTGAAAACATGTAACATGTAGCAAATGGGTTTTTCTGAAAAAATGTAACATGTAGCAAATGGGTTTTTCTGAAAAAATGTAACATGTAGCAAAGGAGTTTCTCTAAAAATATGTAACATGTAGCAAAGGGGTCAAAGGAGGGAGAGCTTCTTTAGGTCTGAGATCTCCATTATCTCCAGTTAGTCAAAGGAGCCGAGCTTTCCTACCTCACAGAAATACACATCTCAAAAAAGAAGTCCGGGCCAGGCACTGTGGCTCACACCCGTAATCCCAGCATTCTGGGAGCCCGAGACAGGCAGATCACCTGAGGTTAGGGGTTCGAGACCAGCCTGGCCAACATGGCAAAACCCCATCTCTACTAAAAACACAAAAACTAGCCAGGCGTGGTGGCGGGTGCCTGTAATCCCAGCTACTCCAGAGGCTGAGGCAGGAGAATCACTTAAACCTGGGAGGTAGAGGTTGCAGTGAGCCGAGATTATGCCACTGCACATCAGTCTGGGCAACAGAGTGAGACTCTGTCTCAAATAAATAAATAAATAAATAAATAAATAAATAAATAAAGTCCAAACCAAGAACCTTAAAAACTTTCACTCTACTGGAAAGTTATCTGAAGTCCCCTGTACAAGTTATCTCCCAATTTAAGTCTTCTTAAGAGATTTCTCCCTTTCAACCTATTTAGTTTTACCCAGTTGGAGCCAGACAGGGAGAAAATGTGGGAGGACGAAATAAAAGGGAGAAAACAAAGGGCTCGGCAGAAGGCAAAGTGGTGCAGCTGCCTGCCCCCAGTAACCAAGGGCAGACCCTATCCATCTTACCTTCTCTAGGTTGTAGGTGAGCTCATAGTCTGAATTCACAAACAGAATATTTTCAGGCTTGAGGTCTGTATGTGTCAGCTTGTTATCATGGAGGACTGTAGGGGAGAAGGCCAGGTCAGGCTTGGTGCAGGTGGCCAGAGCTAACTGGTATCAGCTGACCCCAGGCCTGGTTACCTAGGGCAAAGCCAGTGAGGAGACAGGTCCAGAATCACTAGGGCTGCTTTCTGCTCTACGTCTAAATGGAATGCCTGGTCTAAGAAGCTCTGCTCTTTCTAATGTAAGATACATATGTAGCTCAACTGATGTAAAAAAAAAAAAGTTTGCTTTGAGTTGTAGTGTGTACACACTTTGACATGTGTCTAGCTGGCATTATGTTAACTCAATTCTGTGAAACTGTATTATTTTGATGACTCCAGAGGAATGATATATTTCTTTGAATTCCCCACCTTGCCCCTTAGCTGAACTACATACTCTGTGTTCCCATCTCCTTTGCTGTGAATGAACATCTCATCCCAGACAAATGTAAGCCTTTACCCTAAGGAGTGTATTTTTGTCTCTTTATGTTTGCTGTCTGACTGATGCTTTCCCAAGAAAGGGAGAAAGGAAAAGGGGAGGGTAATTAAGTGCTTTGATTCCAAAGGCTTTCTCTTCTAGCTGCTGCTAGGCTAGGTGTAGAGTAAGAGCAATCAGTGACGATAAAGACATCAGTCAAGGAGTTAAGTCAGAAGACGTTTCAAGATGACAGTAAATCAAAGAACTGCAGATAACAGACAGCTGACTGTTTAGGGGCTTCACCAGTGCACAACCGACAGAGAGATCCAATGAAGGGAGGGACTGCCCCAGAGTCCACTTCGGCCCACCCCACTCACACTTGACAGCCTGGCACAGCTGGAAGGCCATGTGGCGCACTTGGTGGATGGGGTAGGGCAGGTAGTTGTTGTCTTTGAGGAAATCGAAGGTGCTAAGGCCCAGAAGCTCAAAGGAGATACACATGTGGCCATGGTAGTCAAACCAGTCAAACATCTGGACACAGAGGCTGAGAAGAGAGATGGGGGAAGGGGGGTTGTCTGATGAGCTCCCATCTGCCCATCAGCCATCCAACAAGGAGGTACTTCATAGCTGTTGATTCCACATACTTGTGTAAAACCATGCCAGCTAGTACTAACACCAAAATTCAGTTCAGCTAAGGAGTAGCCTCTACCAGACCCAAGAAGAATGGTACTATCTGCCAGGTTTTTTTCTTTTTTGTTTTTGAGATGGCGTCTCACTCTGTCACCCAGGCTGGAGTGCAGTGGCGCGATCTTGGCTCACTGCAACCTCTGCCTCCTGTTCAAGCGATTCTCCTGCCTCAGCCTTCCAAGTAGCTGGGACTACAGTTGTCCACCACCATGCCCGGCTAATTTTTTTATTTTTAGTACAGACGGGGTTTCACCATATTGGCCAGGCTGGTCTCGAACTCCTGACATTGTGATCCACCCGCCTCGGCCTCCAAAGTGCTGGGATTACAGGCGTGAGCCACCATGCCCAGCCCAAGTTTCAAAATATCTTCCTGCGTCATTTTAAATAGTTCAAAAACTATTTGCTGAAGAGCTGTGGAGTGCCAAGCTCCAAACAGTATAGATCCTGAATCATCAAACTGTCCATCCTAAATCCCAACCCCAGCCCAACTCCTGATATTCATTCACCACTAGCTACCACTGGGCTCCTATTTATACCTACTGGCCTCATATCTTGGCTTAAAGTCCTTATTCTATTTTTGGACTGTGAATGTATGTGAACAAAATATTACTGCATAAATGTCTGTGGCCTTATCAGCATAGTTCTACTTATAAAAGCTTAATTCATTGTTCGATGAGGTTGATGCTCAGTCCTAGGGCTATGTCCAGGGTATATCTCTACAGAAGCCATTCTAGGCTGGGGTCAAACGACAGAGCAATCTAACTTCCCTGAAAACAAGGGGAGTGGATTAAGGAATGTCATGGGCCCCCCCCCTTTCCTACCCTGATGTTCTACTACTCTAAGATGATGAACAAAAGATGAATGGATGAGAAGGTCTAGGACTCCCCTGTCTGCCTAAACCAGGTCTAGAAGTCTCTCCCGTGTAGGGGTTGGGGCTCTCAGCCTCCCTACATACTTCCTTGCTTGCTTACTTCTTGTTGTCAGGGTCTTTCTCATTGATTTTCTCTAGCACGTTGATCTCAAGTCGAGCTGCTTCCTTGTACTTCTCCACATTCTTAATGATCTTCAGGGCAACTCGAGCCCCACCCCTGTAAGTTGGCAGGAGAGGCTTTTGCTGGGTTCTCAAGAATGTCTCAAAATGAACAGGGCTGTAGGGGGACTAAGAAATTCTACCTCAGGTTAATTAGCAAAAAAGCCCCATATAACCCCAACCATCTCTTTAGCCCCACATAGTAGGGAGGGACTGACAGTTACCTGCGATGGTCAACACATTGTACAACTCGGCCGAAGGTCCCCTCTCCTAAGGTGCTAACGATTTCATCTGAAATGAAAGAGAGCAGGGTCGGGGAGAGGGAGGGAGAGAAGGTGGGGAATGAGCTGAGTTGGAAGAAAAAAGGGGACAGCAACCTGGGGTGGAGATGAAGGAAGGGGAACAGATACAGATGGTCACAGGGGAAGAAAACCCCTGCGTGATTCCCACCACCTTTAACCCAGGGGCCGTGAGAGCTGGGAGTGGACAACAGAGGTCAATTCTCAACAGCAACTCAAACCACCCAGATAAACAACACCACTGAGAAAAGGCAAGAGGCTGTGACTCAGGTTGGCTTGGGACGTTAGGATGGCTATGGGACCATTACAGGCTATAGGATTGTTACGATTTGGCTTGTACATCGCTCTTGTAGCCAGTCCCCGACGTGGTAGATGAGGTGGCCCTCAGCGTCGTCCTCTACACTCTTGGCTCTCCGGCTGCTGTGCTGCTGTCGGGGGGCAGGGGGGGTCGGAGCAAGCCAGGTGTCGGAGCGGGGGCCGGAGGGAGGCGGGGTGGGTGGTAGAGGGGTCACCGGTCACAGGCGCCCAGCCAGGGGGGACAGACGATGATGGGGGACAGTGGAAGGGAACACGTCAGATGCAGTAAGGTGGATCGGTGTGAGAAGAGAGAGCGGCGCATAATCCCAAGTCCCCAAACCCAAAACAGGAACAGGGAGAGGCATGGGCAGAGCAGAGAAGTGGTGTTGTTGCCAATGTCACCCACAACCCCATGCTCTACACAATGCCCTTCCGGGCAGACACAGATCTCCCCTTGCCCCCACCCAAGCCCGCCTGCCAAGGGGGCTACAGAGCCCAGGGCTTGGGGGAAAAAGGCAGTTCACAAGCAAGGTCCCCATTAAAGAGTGGAGGCCGCTGGGGCGGAGAAGCTGCTCCCAACACAATAAGCCCAACATGCCAGGGAGAGCACTGGGGGTCACAAATGCTCCGTGCCCATCCATCTCCAAAGCAGATCCAGGGCCCTTCAAGAGTCGGAGAGCTTCCAAGAAAGTAGGCAAACTCAGTGCCCACCTCAGTGTTCATGCCCCAATGTTCAGCTGAGAACAAGGATACTGCTCACTTACCAGAGTCCTAGAGGGCCTGCAGAAGAGTGGGGAGAGGAAGGGCCTGGGCTGGCACTCACCGAAGATGAGCGGCTAAATGTCCGGCTGCGCCTCCTCCGCCGTCTGTGCTTCCTCCGGCTGCTGCGCTGGCTGCGGTAACTGCTGTTCTCCCGCTGATATTCATAGGAATGCCGATAGTCTGTGTCATAGTAGGCATCTCCCCGATCCCGGCTATAATCGTTGCGTCTGTAGCTGCCACAGTATCGCCGGTCATACACCCTCCGGTCGGACGAACGATCATCATAACTGCTGTTGGATAACAAATACCAATGAGGTGTATCTGTTCAGATCACATTCCCTACCATACCCTGTGACAAGGTCCTGCCTTAGTGAGGACAAAGAGTAATGCTAGAAAACTGTTCTCAGACACTTGTTGAGTCACTGAGAGGACCAAGGGACCAGAGAAGTGAGGTAACAAGCACATCTGCCATGTCACCAAAACCTCTGAAAAGGCATCTGCAGAACCACTCCCTATTGGGGCCTTTTTCCCGCTGCAGTGATACAAAGAAACAAAGAGCCATTTTTTTCTCAAGCTTTCCTGAATGAAATCCCCCCTTGCTCTAAACCATCCTTAACCCATTCTTTCCACTGAACATACCACTAAAATATTAAAACTGGGCCGGGCACAGTGGCTCACGCCTGTAATCCCAGCACTTTGGGAGGCCAAGGCAGGTGGAGCACTTGAGGTCAGGAGTTTGAGGCCAACATGGTGAAATCCTGTCTCTACTAAAAATACAAAAAAAAAAAAAAAAAATTAGCCAGGCATGATGGCGCATGCCTGTAGTCCCAGGTACTTGGGAGGCTGAGGCACAAGAATCGCTTGAACCTGGGGCCATAGAGTTTGCAGTGAGCTGAGATCTTGCCACTGCACTCCAGCCTGGGCAACAGAGTGAAACTCTGTCTCAAAAATAAATAAATGATATTTTAAAATTTTTAAAAAATTAAAAACACAAAGATCTAACTTTGTCTTATCTGTTAGCTTATTAGTTACCTGTAGCTCCCAGTCCTTTGCACATGCTTTCCCTCTGCCCAAAGACACTTCCCCCACCTGACTCTACTTGTCCTCCAGACATATACAGATGTTGCTTTCTCTGCAATGTTTTATCTGAATTAACATCCTGCCCCACTCCAACCAAACGCACTGGGTACGTCCTCAGTTCCTCATTATGTATTCTAACACTTAACACTGCAGCCCAAATGGCTTCTTTGGTTATCTATCCCGACATTACCTTCAGCCAGCTACTTAAGGCAATGGTTTTAGCATATAACCAATAAGTATTTGTTGAACAAAGGAATGAGCGAGTGACCCTGTGTTTGAGTATCTCTTCCTGAGGCCTCACCTTCGAGAACGGACATGGTAGCTGTCCTCTCGCCGACGCCGTCGTGTCCGGTCACTACTACTTGACCAGGAGCGACTTCTTCGTCGCTTATGCTTTCGGCTCCGATAGTGTTCACGGTAACTCCCCCGGCTGCCTCGCTCTGAGGAGTGGTACCTTCGAGGATGCGGCATCTGGAAGGCAAGGGAAAGCGGAAATAGGAAAGTTTCGAGTTTTCAGAAATCTCCTCCAAGGACTGGCTGCTCCAAAGATGCTAAGCTGCTTTCCCCTCTTATTTCTGCCTCTTTTTACCAGGCACAACTTCCTCAGTCTTCCTCTGTACTTACAATTCCTCCTTATTGGAGTACAGCCACCTACTAACTCTGGCTGAAACTCTAGAAAGCCCCCAAACCCATCCCTCATTACCCACCCCTCAGTTCAAGTGTTCTTATTTTATTCTTGAGACAGAGTCTCGCTGTGTGGCCAGGCTGGAGTGCAGTGGCACAATCTCGGCTCACTGCAACCTCCACTTCCCAGGTTCAAGCAACTCTCCTGCCTCAGCCTCCTGTGTAGCTGGGATTACAGGCACGCACCACCACTCCTGGCTAATTTTTATATTTTTAGTAGAGACGGGGTTTCACCATGTTGGCCAGGATGGTCTCAAACTCCTGACCTCGTGATCCTCCTGCCTCGGCCTCCCAAAGTGCTGGGATTACAGGCGTGAGCCACCGCACCCAGCCAGTTCAAGTGTTCTATCCTTATTTTCTTCAAACACAGCTCCATGAAGACCTTCAGGTCTAGGACACAGTTCACTACAGAGCAAAGTGTATGACGACCGATGGAGACTGCCACAGTGTATCCCCGTTCAGGATCTAAGATATAGATCTGTGTGATGCTGAGTTCCTCACAAGTCAATAGAGTAAAGCTTTGGTTTACAGTTATGATAAATGTTGTACACTCATTAAGAGTACATCTCATCTCCTCAAGTAGACTATCAGTGTCCTGAGGGTAGGAATCCAGTCTCCCAGGTTTCTACATATACCAGGTAAACGCCAAATACTATCAGCTCCAGGGATCTGGGTCGGGCCCCTTGAATTAACTTAATCATCTCTCACATCTTTGGCCAACTCTCCCTTGAGAGGTTTTAATGTAGTAGGCCACAAAATACAGTCAGCATCCCATCTGGCCCCTCCACTCTTGTGCTTAAGACGTAGATAACAACTGTTTCTTGTGTTTTTTTTTTTTTTTTTGAAACGGAGTTTTGCTCTTGTTGCCCAGGCTGGAGTGCAATGGCGCAATCTCGGCTCACCATAACCTCCGCCTGCAGGGTTCAAGCGATTCTCCTGCCTCAGCCTCCCGAGTAGCTGGGATTACAGGCATGCGCCGCCACGCCCAGCTAATTTTGTATTTTTAGTAGAGACAGGGTTTCTCCATGTTGGTCAGGCTGGTCTCGAACTCCCAACCTCAGGTGATCCGCCCGCCTTGGCCTCCCAAAGTGCTGGGATTACAGATGTGAGCCACCGCGCCTGGCCAGTAAGTGGTTTTTAATTAATATCAGCCCTACTTAGCTGACAGCTGGCCACCTTCCAGTTAATGGAATTGGAATGGGATGGTTCACAAATCCTTTTTTTCCTTCAAGGAAAAAAGAGAAAAATCACTGTCACAATCCAGGAAGATGAGAATAGGAAGGCACAATAAAATGAAACAGGCCCAGGGACATAAGTCTTGGTGGGGGTGTATGAGAATCGCGTATGCAAAAGGTTTAATGATTCCGATGTCTGACCACCATTCTGTATCACTTCTTCCCAACCTCCCCAAATTGAGGAGGGTGGTATTTGATGCATTCTTGGTGTAACTGGGGCCGGTAGCATACCAAGCTGCAAGCACAAGATTTTCCCAGCATAGTTATCCTAATCAGCATAGCCACATAAATGCCATCTCACCACATACTACCATCAAACGGCCTCACAGCACTGTCCCCTCAAAACATCACTAGCCTACCTTTCTCAAGTTTGAAATCTTTTGCTTTTTCCTTTCTTACTCAGAAAATCCAGAACTCCTACAGGCAAATTCTTCCTGCATGTTCCAAGTGACACGGTGATGTATTCCTCCCCTCCAGCTTTGATTGGACCCGAGTCCAACTTTGATATTCCACTCCTTCACATCTCTGGAACCACTCCCATCCTTACTCTATCATCCCTTCTAGTCTGGTTCCGCCCAAGCTTCCTACAGGTCTTCTTGGTACATCTAACGCAGGCCGACCTCCTTCCCCCTCATCTCCCTACTCCGTCGCTTCGTAGGTCTCAACTCTCCTCCTCTCCAAATCTCGCCCCCGTCCCTTGCCCCCAACCCAAGCCTAACCCCGCCCGCCCCGCGGTCGCCATCTTTTCGCGCGGCCAGCCAACCCGCGCGCTCACCGTTCTGGCGGCGAGGCCCGTGCGCTTGTCCCACAGGAAGTCCGTGATGGCGGCGACACTGCGGCCGGAGTCCCGGCACCCCCGCGGCGACGAAATGCTGCTCCACCCCCCCAACCCGGGACCCTGGGACCTCCCGCCCCGTTCCCGGGCTCCGCTTCAGTCCCGCCCGCCCCGGCTCCGTCCCCGCCCCTAAGATCTGCTTGGCGCCGCTCGCACCGCCCCCGCCCGGGGCCCGATCCCAGCTCGGTCTCCGGCTCTGGCCTCTCCGCTCCGCCGCCGCCGCCGTGAGCGAGCACGTACGCACGGACCGACGTCCTGCGTCGCTTCCCAGCTACCCCCTGGGCTCCGCCCCCAGGACCGCGCGCGCCACCACGTGCTCACGTAGTTGGCAGGCATCCGCCTGTCAGAGCCTCGGAGGTACTGGGGGCGGAAGTTCATAGGGGCGAGGAGGGTCCACAGGGACAAGCTGGAAGCCTTCCAGGCCCGCTATGCCCCGCCTCCTGTCCTTTCCCACTCCGTCTTCAATCTTTTACCCTTTGCATGGAGACGTGTGGCTTAGTTAGGTTTGGAGTTTAAAAGAAAGGATTGTCATTGTCAATACAGTGTCGCTGCTCTGCAAGCCTGACTGTAGTGAGGCTTGATGGTGAAGTCTCATTCTTCTGCATAGCCTGAAAATAACCATTTCTTAAAACACTTCACCTACCTATCCCCAGGACAAAAGTCTGCCACCTTTTGTCATCAACAAAAGTTATGCACGACTCGGGGTGGGGACACAGCCATGGAGGAAAGGTTTGAGCAATGGAGGGTTGGAGAATCGGGTGCCGAAAAGGGGGACTTACTTGAGAACTGTATCCTAAGGTGGCTTACATAATGTGTGAGAAATACAAGTTTACTAGGGCCGGGCGCGGTGGCTCTCGCCTATAATCCCAACACTTTGGGAAGCCGAGGCGGGCGGATCACGAGGTCAGGAGTTCGAGATTAGCCTGATCAACATGGTGAAATCCCGTCTCTACTAAAAATACAAAAATTAGCCGGGCATGGTGGCGGGCGCCTGTAATCCCAGCTACTCAGGAGGCTGAGGTAGGAGAATCGCTTGAACCCGGGAGGCGGAGGTTGCAGTGAGCCGAGATCGGGCCATTGCACTGCAGCCTGGGTGACAGAGCGAGACTCTGTCTCAAAAAAAAAAAAAAAAAAAAAAAAAAGCGCGCATCACCACGCCCAGCTATTTTTTTTTTTCTTGTAGAGATAGTGCCTCACTTTGTTACCCAGGCTAGTCTTGAACCCCTGAGCTCAAGCAATCCTCCCCCATCGGCCTCCCAAAGTGCTGGGATTACAAGCATCAGCCACGGCGCTTGGCCAGTTTACTAAATCTTAAAAAAGAACAGGAAGGCTGGGCGAGGTGGCTCACGCCTGTAATACCAACACTTTGGGAGGCCAACGTGGGTGGATCACTTAAGCATAGGAGTTTGAGACAGCCTGGGCAACAGGGCAAAACCCAGACTCTTAAAAAAATACAAGGCCGGGCGCGGTGGCTCACGCCTGTAATCCCAGCACTTTGGGAGGCCAAGGCGGGCGGATCACGAGGTCAGGAGATCGAGACCATCCTGGCTAACACGGTGAAACCCCGTCTCTACTAAAAATACAAAAAATTAGCCGGGCGAGGTGGCGGGCGCCTGTAGTCCCAGCTACTCGGGAGGCTGAGGCAGGAGAATGGCGTGAACCCCAGGGGGCGGAGCCTGCAGTGAGCCGAGATTGCGCCACTGCACTCCAGCCTGGGCGACAGCGAGACTCCGTCTCAAAAAAAAAAAAAAAAAAAAAAAAAAAAATACAAAAATTAGGCCAAGCGCGGTGGCTCATGCCTGTAATCCCAACAGTTTTGGAGGCCCAGGAAGGTGGATCACTTGAGCACAGGAGTTCGAGACCAGCCTGGCCAACCTGGTGAAACCCTGTCTCTACTAAAAATACAAAAATTAGCCGGGTGTGATGGCAGGTGCCTGTAATCCCAGCTATTTGGAAGGCTGAGGCACGAGAATCGCTTGAATCCAGAAGGTGGAGGTTGCAGTGAGCCGAGATGGTGCCATTGCACTCCAGCCTGGGCGACAGAGTGAGACTGTGTCTAAAATAAAATAAAATAAAAAATAAAAATTAGCCATTCATGGTGTCTCCCACCTGTAGTCCCAGCTACTCGGGAGGCTGAGGTGGGAGGATCACCTGAGCCTGGGGAGGTTGAGGCTGTAGTGACCCGTGATCGTGCCACTGCACTCCAGCTTGGGCGACAGAGTGAGACTCTATCTCAAAAAAAAAAAAAAAAAAAAAAGAAAAGAAAAGAAAAAAAGAAAATGAGAAAGAGAAAGAGTTAGAGACTTTACAGAAGGAATTGAGAAGTGGTCAGAAAGGTCAATTGAAAGAGAAATAATATAATCTGAGAATAACGATATTAAAGTCAGGGAGCTGAGCAAGGTGGCTCACACCTGTAGTCCCAGCTACTCAGGAAACTGAGGTGGGAAGATTGCTTTGAGGCTGCAGTGGGTCATGATCACACCACTGCACTCCAGCTTGAGCAACAGAGCAAGACCCTGACTCTAGAATGAGTAAATAAATAAAGTCAGGAAATATTAGAGAGGAGCTGGATGAAGGATGGTCAGATGGAGGTTAGATCAGATAACCAGACATAGTTTAGAGAAGTTCCCTGGAATAGAACATGGAGAGCAATCAATGAAGGAGTCGGGGAGAGAGAAGTAAAGATTTCACTTCCACCTCCTGGAACATTTTCCTAGATTATTAATTCATTCAACAAGCATTTACTGAATGTCCACTATGTGTCCAGAATTATGCCAGGTGCAAGGTTCCTGTTTCTCAGAGTTTCACAATCTAACAGGAGAGAAAATCTGTAAATAAATAATGAGACCATGCTCATGCCTGTAATCCTAGCACTTTGGGAAGCCAAGGCAGGAAGATCACTTGAGCTCTGAGTTCAAAACCAGCCTGGGCAACATAGTGTGACCTCATCTCTAAAATAATAATAATAATGGTAGCCCTGTGACATGAGTTGCTCAAAACAGTGGTGCCCTGGCTGCTGTAAAAAAGCTCTAGAATAGACCCTACCTGAGGAAAGGAGAGTTGGAAATGTGTTCCTAGGTTTCCTAGAGAAAGCAAGATCTGAACCAACTGTTCGAAAGTGAATTGGAGGAGAATACCAGGCAGAGAAAATATTTGCAAAAGCATAGAGACAAGGCAGCACAAAGTCTTTCAGCATGATTGGGGCTGTGGCTTTCAAGAGAGGGACTGTCAGAAGAGAGACTGTTGAAACTAGGTCCAAATTTTTTGGGCCTGGTACACCATGCTAAGCAGCTTAAATGTACCCCTGTAGAAGATGGGAAAGCTTGATGGGCTTCAAGCAAGTGACACAGCCATAGTTGGATTTTAGGAAGGTAACTGGCAGGGAATGGAAGAAGAATTGGCCTGGAAGAGGTTGAAGACTCTTTTAGAGGTTTCCGAAGTAATTTAAGTGAAAAAATGCTGAGGGCTTGAAATGAGGCAGTGGTAATAAGAATTGGAGATGAAGGGGAGAATTTGAGATATTTAGGAATTTGTAGCACTTCGCATAGCACTGCAATTTACCTGTCTGTCGTTGGGCACAGATGAGCAGTGGCTTTATGGCTAGGCCTTTGTTTTTGTTTTGTTTTGTGTTGTTTTCCATTACTACATGGAGATGCTAAGACTAGGACTTTTGTATTCATTTTTGTTTCCTCAGCATCCACTCAATGACAGGCAGAGTTGCACTTGGTGAAGGCTGACAGAATGAATTAGGAAATTAAATACTAGGGGAAGCAGTTCGGAGGAGACCAAAAGACAAGAATATGCCTAGGACAGTGTTGAGAGAAGACGGGAGCAGGACAGAAGTCCCTGGGCGAGAGTGGAGAAGAATCCCAAAAGCCATTTCCACTTCTTCCATTGGTCCCCAATCCCTCTCCCTCCCAAGTCCTTCAAGCTACAAACCCGCGTCCGATTTTCCCGCCACTGCAGGGGGCTCCTCCTCCCTGGTTCTCAGTGGATGAAAGGCCAACGCTAGGCCACGCCCTCTCCCTGGCTCAGGCTGCGCTCCCCGCCTTCTTTGCTAAGCCACGCCCCTCTCGGAGTTCCTCCAGGATCCCGGCGTCCCAGCCCCGCCCGGTCTTGGCGCGGCCCTCGCCAGGGGGCGCCGCGCAGCCCGCCCGCCGCCCGCCAGTCTAGCACACACCCCCTCCGCCCCGCGCGCCGGCGATTCCGAGCCTACGACGCCTCCGCTAGAGCCCGCGGGGCTGCGCCGACTCCTGCTCTGGAGGGGTTGCGGGTACCTGATGGCCACAGAGGGCTCTAGGAGGCCGAGCGTGTAAGCGGGGTGGGCGCCATGGAGGCAGAGCAGCGGCCGGCGGCGGGGGCCAGCGAAGGGGCGACCCCTGGACTGGAGGCGGTGCCTCCCGTTGCTCCCCCGCCTGCGACCGCGGCCTCAGGTCCGATCCCCAAATCTGGGCCTGAGCCTAAGAGGAGGCACCTTGGGACGCTGCTCCAGCCTACGGTCAACAAGTTCTCCCTTCGGGTGTTCGGCAGCCACAAAGCAGTGGAAATCGAGCAGGAGCGGGTGAAGTCAGCGGGGGCCTGGATCATCCACCCCTACAGCGACTTCCGGTATTGGGGGCTTGGCGGGGAGGGCAGGGTACATCAATCCCACCCTCGCGGGCAGCGACACCGGGACCCGGCCCGCCCCACCCTCCACGGTCACTTCATTTCCAGCCCGGGGTCCCTTGGTGGGGCGGGAGAGTCACTTGCACCAGTCTAGCCTGGGAATTCCTGGGCGGGTATCCCCTGCCGGAGGTCCTCCGTGCCTGGACAGGCTGGGGGCACCAGAAGGGGCAAGCAGACATCAGGGGATCTCCAGAGACCTGGATTTCCTCTTTCAGGAACCCGGGACCCCATCCGGACCAAAGGAACTACCAGAGTTTGGGACCCCTGCCTCCTCCAGTCCTGCTTGCTGGAGATCTAGGAAATTATATTCTAAGTATCGGGGCCAGTCTGAGGGAGAAGCCGAGCTCCGCCATCTCCCATCCCCACACCCGCTCCTTAGCACCTGCCTAGTTCAGCATGACAGACTACCAGGAAAAATAGGGACGCTGAAGGGGGCGGGGGGTCCAGACCTCAGCTCTGGTCGCTGTCCCTAGTGCTGAAGGCGGGGGCGGCGGGGCGGGGCCGAGACTCAGAGTGACTGAGGCGGCAAAGCAGGGGCAGGACCACCACCCAGGTGACTCCCAGAGAAGGAACAGAGGGTGGGGGTGGGGCCATTTCACAGTCTCCGTCAGGGTGTACCTCTACATCAAGGTCGCTAGGGGAAGACAGCAGCCCTGTCCTTGGGGGAAATGAAGGACAGCTCTTGGATGAGGCAGGGATGTGTGCAAAGCACCTAACCTGGGGAACTAAAGAAGCAGAGAGGAAGAGGTGTGAATCTGGAGCCTCGAAATACAGTTGTAGACCCAGACATTATCTTGAATCCACATATATACACACTCCCTCTATGTCTCTCTTCCTCCCATTGTTCCTTTCACTCCTGTCTTTGCTGCCTCGTTCCCACCCAGCCAGTGCGCCTTTTCTAGTCTCCTGTGGATCTCACTCTCTTCCCTCAGTTCACTCGCAGACGGATCCCCAGAAGCCTGGTATCCCTCTGATTGTGCTTCTCCATTCTCTATACTACATCACCCGCCAGGCTTGTGACCCACCTGTGAGTCAGGCTGTGAAGATGCTTTCATGGCTAGGCGAACCCTCTTTCCCTCCCCTCTCTTAGTGTCTCACAATACAGGATTCCTCCTCAGCAGCCGAGGAGAGAAAAGAAGAATGGCCGAGGGTTTTTGTTTATTGAAAACATACAGTCTAAGGGGCTTCCCAGAGGCCCGGACTTGAGGAAGTTTCTTTCAGGGCTGAAAATTGATTTTGCAGTCCGAGTCAGAAGGGGCTAGCTCCTGAGTTGACACTGGGATTAGGTGTGTCCTAGAATTAAAACCACCATAGGTAACTGAGTCCCTGAGATTTTCCTGTGCCATTCTCTGAATGAGGGCTTCACACAGTTCCCTCTTGACCTCTTCTTTCCACGGTGTCTGCCACAGCAATGTCACTCACCCCTGCCCATGCCTCTGCCTGTGCTCAGCCAGAGTCCCAGTGGACACAGGGAGGCCAGAGGAGGAAAGGTATGCAGAACTCAAGCCTTGCTGCTTCATGATCTCCTGTGGAGCTTCTCTGTGTGTGCAGCCCTGTTTGAGGTTCTGTGGAGGGGGAAGGGCATCCCTGGAAAGCTCAATTCAGAGGAAGGCAGGATAGACCACCCCACCCTGAGACATGGATGAGCAAACCTCAGCAGAGGAACAGGATCCGTGGGTCCAACTGTGTTGGAGAAGAGGAATGGGGTGGAGAAGGCTGGGGAGGGCATGAGGTCCTAGACTAGAATGGGCAGATAACTGGAGATGGGGGAAGCAGCAGCCTTTTCAGAAATCTGGGGATAAAGAGTGAGTGAGTCATAATACCAACTAGTGCCTGTACCACACTGTCACATCTATTGTCTCCATGTAAATGTTTTCAGCAATGCTGTGAGATTAGCACAGGATACTTTAGCTTTTTTTTTTAACCTTAAAAATATTTAGCAATGGTGAGGTAAATGATATATAGTAGGGATATGTATGTAGATGGAAGAGTAATTTTATTTATTTATTTATTTATTTTTATATTTGTTTATTTATTTTGAGAAGGAGTCTCACTGTGTCGCCCAGGCTGGAGTGCAATGGCACAATTTTGGCTCACTGCAACCTCCGCCTCCCGGGTTCAAGCGATTCTTCTGCATCAGCCTCCTGAGTAGCTGAGATTACAAGCGCATGCCACCACGCCTGGCTAATTTTTGTATTTTTAGTAGACGTGGGGTTTCACCATTTTGTCCAGGCTGGTCTCGAACACTTGACCTCGTGATCCACCCACCTCAGCCTCCCAAAGTGCTGGGATTACAGGTGTGAGCCACCACACCGGCAAATTTTTATTTATTTATTTATTTTATTTATTTATTTATTTTGAGACAGAGTCTCACTCTCGCCCAGGCTAGAGGGCAGTGGAGCGGTTTCAGCTCACGGCAACCTTCACTCCCAGGTTCAAGCAATTCTCCTGCCTTGGCCTCCTGAATATCTGGGATTGGGATTACAGGTGCGCGCCACCACACCTGGCTAATTTTTTTTTTTTTTTTTTGAGACGGAGTCTCGCTCTGTCGCCCAGGCTGGAGTGCAGTGGCACAATCTCGGCTCACTGCAAGCTCCGCCTCCCGGGTTCACGCCATTCTCCTTCCTCAGCCTCCTGAGTAGCTGGGACTACGGGCGCCCGCCACCATGCCCAGCTAATTTTTTGTATTTTTTTAGTAGAGATGGGGTTTCACCGTGTTAGCCAGGATGGTCTCAATCTCCTGACCTTGTGATCTGCCCACCTTGGCCTCCCAAAGTGCTGGGATTACAGGCGTGAGCCACCACGCCCAGCTATTTTTTTTTTTTTTTTTTTTTTTTTTTTTTTTTGAGACAGAGTTTCACTCTTGTTGCCCAGGCTGGAGTGCAATGGCGCAATCTCGGCTCATGGCAACCTCCACCTCCCAGGTTCAAGCGATTCTCCTGCCTCAGCCTCCTGAGTAGCTGGGATCACAGGCATGTGCCACCACTCCCAGCTAATTTTGTATTTTTAGTAGAGATGAGGTTTCTCCATGTTGGTCAGGCTGGTCTCGAACTCCCAGCCTCAGGCGATCCGCCCACCTTGGCCTCTCAAAGTGCTGGGATTACAGATATGAGCCACCGCACCCAGCGCCTGGCTAATTTTTAATTTTTTTTTTTTTTTTTTTGAGATGGAGTCTCGCTCTGTCACCCAGGCTGGAGTACAGTGGCGTGATCTCTGTTCACTGCAGCCTCCGCCTCCCGGGTTCAAGTGATTCTCCTGCCTCAGCCTCCCGAGTAGCTGGGACTACAGGTGTGCACCACCATGCCCAGCTAATTTTTATATTTTTCGTACAGACGGGGTTTCACCATGTTGGCCAGGATGGTCTCGAGCTCTTGACCTTGTGATCTGCCCATCTTGGCCTCCCAAAGTGCTGGGATTACAGGCGTGAGCCACCACACCTGGCCTTCTTCTTTTTTTCTTTGAGGCAGAGTCTCACTGTTGTCACCCAGGTTGGAGAGCAGTGGTGCGATCTCGGCTCACTGCAACCTCTGCCTTCCGGGTTCATGCCATTCTCCTGCCTCAGCCTCCTGAGTAGCTGGGGTTACAGGCTCTCGCCACCATGCCCAGCTAATTTTTGTATTTTTTGTAGAGACGAGGTTTTGCCATGTTGGCCAGATTGGTCTCAAACTCCTGACCTCAGGTGATCCGCCAGTCTCAGCCTCCCAAAGTGCTGGGATTACAGGCATGAGTCACCAGGCCTGGCCTAATTTTTAACTTTTGTAGAGATAGGATCTTACTATGTTGCCCAGGCTGGTCTTGAACTCCTGGACTCAAGTGATCCCACTTTGGCCTCCCAAAGCGCTGGGATTACAGGCGTGAGCCATAGCTTTTCTTTTGAGACAGGGTCTCGCTCTGTCAGTCAGGCTGGAGTACACCTCAGCCTCCTGAGTAGCTGGGACTTTAGGTGTGCACCACCTGGCCTGGCTAATTTTTTTTATTTGTTGTTGAGATGAGGTCTCACTATGTTGCCCAGGCTGTTTCTTGCTTCTTTTGCTCAGCATTGCATTTGTGAAATTCATCCATAGGGCTGAATGTAGCTGTAGTTGGGTAATTTCACAGCTGTATGGTATGCCAGCCCATAAATAGTGTATTTATCTACTTATCTGTCTACATTTTTCTACACAAGGACATGTGTGTTGTTCTCAAATTTAATGCTGCTATAAACATTCCTATGTGTATCTCCTGGAGCGCATATTTTCCTTGGATGTGTCTATACGTAGGAATGGGATTGCTGAGTTGCAGGGAATGCAAATGTTTAACTTCACTAGATAATGCTGAACTATTTTCCCAAATGGTGGTCCCAACTTATACTCCCAACAGCTGTAAACAGTCATTCTGTTATTGTGTATCTTTGCCCATTCTTGGCCATGTCAGCCTATCTTCTGTCAGTCTAGTGGCTGGTGAAATATCCTCATGGTCTTACTCCTCATCTCACTCCCACCTTAGGTTTTACTGGGACCTGATCATGCTGCTGCTGATGGTGGGGAACCTCATCGTCCTGCCTGTGGGCATCACCTTCTTCAAGGAGGAGAACTCCCCGCCTTGGATCGTCTTCAACGTATTGTCTGATACTTTCTTCCTACTGGATCTGGTGCTCAACTTCCGAACGGGCATCGTGGTGGAGGAGGGTGCTGAGATCCTGCTGGCACCGCGGGCCATCCGCACGCGCTACCTGCGCACCTGGTTCCTGGTTGACCTCATCTCTTCTATCCCTGTGGATTACATCTTCCTAGTGGTGGAGCTGGAGCCACGGTTGGACGCTGAGGTCTACAAAACGGCACGGGCCCTACGCATCGTTCGCTTCACCAAGATCCTAAGCCTGCTGAGGCTGCTCCGCCTCTCCCGCCTCATCCGCTACATACACCAGTGGGAGGAGGTGGGGTGGGGAGATGGCGGGCGGGGCAGTGGGTGGGGGATGTTGGGGGAGAAGGGGGCGGGGCGGCTGGTGGACTTCTCTAGGAAGATGCTATGGGTGGGGCTCCTGGTGACCTTATAGTGTGGGGAAGATGGGTGGGGCTTCCGTGCGTGAGCTCTCTCCAAAACTGGTGGGGGAGAAGCAGGAACAGAATGAGGGTTCGGGGGATGGGGCCTGGGGTGAAGATGGTGGCACAGGAGGGTGGAGCACAGCTGCCGGACACACTTTAGAGTTAGCTGGATGCTGGGCGGAGGATGAGGTGTGGAAGAAGCTGGAGCTTCAGCTTCAGAGCAGCAGAGTTTAGTGGTTCAGACTGTGGGCTCTGCAGTCTCATTGTCTTTGGTCAGATCCCAGTTTTATTGTTTACTATAGGAGACTTGGTTTTCTGTTCTATAAAATGAGAGTGTTAAATACACTTACCTGTGATAAGACTGTTAGGATTAAAGGAATTAATACATGCAAATCACTTAGAAAGGTGTCTAGCACATACTAAGTTCTCAGTGAAGCCACTATTATATATTATTATTATTATTATTTTTATTATACTTTAAGTTTTAGGGTACATGTGCACATTGTGCAGGTTAGTTACATATGTATACATGTGCTATGCTGGTGCGCTGCACCCACTAACTCGTCACCTAGCATTAGGTATATCTCCCAATGCTATCCCTCCCCCCTCCCCCCACCCATTATATATTATTATGACTGGAAAGGAGAGGGCTGCTGGATTAATTCTTACACATATGCCCTGGAGACATTACACTGTGAAATGCCCTCTCTCTTTTCTAGGCTACACCTGGGCAGCTTGTGCAATAGATTTGTTTGATTCTCTGCTGTGACACTTACTATGTGGTTCTGGGCACATGACTGACCTCAGCTTTCCTATCTATAAGATGAGAGAAATAAGAAACTGCTTTGCATTAGCTATACATGTGTGCCACAAAACTCCACACAAATGAATAATAGTTGTATTTTTTAATTCATGGGGGCTGGGGCTAGGGAGTAGTTCAGAAGAGAATTTGCCAGGCTGGGAATGGAGGAGGACAAGCAGGGAGGGGTTCCTGTCCACAGCAGCTCCTCCTCGGACTCCTCAGATCTTTCACATGACCTATGACCTGGCCAGTGCTGTGGTTCGCATCTTCAACCTCATTGGGATGATGCTGCTGCTATGTCACTGGGATGGCTGTCTGCAGTTCCTGGTGCCCATGCTGCAGGACTTCCCTCCCGACTGCTGGGTCTCCATCAACCACATGGTGGTGAGAAGTCCCCACAGCTCTGCCTTTCCTGGGCCTTCTTAGGGCTCTTCTGCCTGAGTAGCAGGGATGGCCACAGGGAGCAGGAGGTGGGAGATGATCACAACAGAAAATAGGAGCGAGGAGGTGGGGAGGAGGGAGGAAAGGGGAAGGAGACCCAGAAGAAGTGCTCGTGTGTTGGAGGGAGCAGGCAAAGGAAGGGTACCTACCCGGAAGCTGAGGCCCCCAAGTTGCAATAGAGGACCCTTTTGCCTCAGGGCCCCCCAGAACCAAACTTAAGTGCCTGCCAGGAGGAAGGCCTGCAGTAGAAGGGGCAGACAGAAAGACCAAAGAAGGAAAAGGGGCAGGCAGAGAATGAGGCTCCGAGGGGCCCATGCCCAGCTCTGCAATATACTCTGCCCCTCAGAACCACTCGTGGGGCCGCCAGTATTCCCATGCCCTGTTCAAGGCCATGAGCCACATGCTGTGCATTGGCTATGGGCAGCAGGCACCTGTAGGCATGCCCGACGTCTGGCTCACCATGCTCAGCATGATCGTAGGTGCCACATGCTACGCCATGTTCATCGGCCATGCCACGGCACTCATCCAGTCCCTGGACTCTTCCCGGCGTCAGTACCAGGAGAAGGTCAGCAGGGACAGGAGAGGGAGGTGTGGCATGGAGGGGTGTTGGAGACTGGGTAGCCTGACTTGAGGCCCATTCTGATGTGTGCCCCTGTTGCGTCTCTGTTTCCTTTCCTGCCCTGTGTCCATTTGTTCCCTGCCCCTGCATGTACCTTTTCCTTGTTTGAACCTATGCCTGTGCTTGGCCCCTCTGCTGTCCACGCCTGGGTTTTCCTATGACTGTGCTCTGTGTCTTCCCGGTATCCATCATTATCCGTATTCCTCTGTGGCCCTGTGTATCCATGTCTGGTTCCACGTTTCACCCCTTTGAGTTTGACCTGTGTCTCTGACCTTCCGCACACACACCCCACTGTGCCGGCCCCAAATCTCTCCCTCTGTCCTCTTGCCCCTGGCAATGGGCTGGCCCTCCAGTACAAGCAGGTGGAGCAGTACATGTCCTTCCACAAGCTGCCAGCAGACACGCGGCAGCGCATCCACGAGTACTATGAGCACCGCTACCAGGGCAAGATGTTCGATGAGGAAAGCATCCTGGGCGAGCTGAGCGAGCCGCTTCGCGAGGTGGGGCTGGGTTGGGCCTGGAAGGGGGGCTCTTCAGGGACCTGGAGTGCTGTCTGGTGGTAGGGGCTATTGGTCAGCAGGTGCTCCTATAGGGAATGAGGCCTGCAGAGGGCCCCGTGGGAGGCCAGGTATTTGGGCTTTCAGGGGCTAGGGTCTTTCTTGAAGGCCCTTTGAGGGTGAAGGATACATGAGGAGGGACTATAGGGATCTCTGTTTTTGGGGGATGGTCCTGCAAGGGCTCATGGGAAAGATCTGAAGGCAGGAGCTTAGGGATGGTCCCAGGCCCACTGATGCCTCCCCATCCTTTGGCAGAACATGACCCCAGGGGTGGGGTTTCTGGAAGCGGATGAGCTCGGTGGGATCATCTCAGGTCAGGGGCACAGCCTGCCTGACAGGCCCCTCCCCTGTCCAGGAGATCATTAACTTCACCTGTCGGGGCCTGGTGGCCCACATGCCGCTGTTTGCCCATGCCGACCCCAGCTTCGTCACTGCAGTTCTCACCAAGCTGCGCTTTGAGGTCTTCCAGCCGGGGGATCTCGTGGTGCGTGAGGGCTCCGTGGGGAGGAAGATGTACTTCATCCAGCATGGGCTGCTCAGTGTGCTGGCCCGCGGCGCCCGGGACACACGCCTCACCGATGGATCCTACTTTGGGGGTCAGCAGGCCTCAGGGAGGGTGGCAGGGTCACGAGCAGACAGTGGAGAGGGCAACTGCTCCCAGGCTCTGGGTCCCTGCCTCAGTACGCTGCAGAATCACAGAGCTCCAGCCCCTCCCCAGGCCTACTCAGTGAGAATCTCTGGGCTGGGGTCTGGAGCTCTATAGTTTTTGTTTGTTTGTTTGTTTGTTTGTTTTTTGAGGTGGAGTCTCGCTCTGTTGCCCAGGCTGGAGTGCAGTGGCGCAATCTCGGCTCACTGAAAGCTCTGCCTCCTGGGTTCACGCCATTCTCCTGCCTCACACTCCCGAGTAGCTGGGACCACAGGCACCCGCCACCACGCCTGGCTAATTTTTTGTATTTTTAGTAGAGACGGGGTTTCACTGTGTTAGCCAGGATGGTCTCGATCTCCTGACCTCGTGATCCGCCCGCCTCAGCCTCCCAAAGTGCTGGGATTACAGGCGTGAATCACCGTGCCAGGCCTGAGCTCTGTAGTTTTTAAAGCTTCTCAGGAGATTCTAATGCACAGCCAGGTTGCAAACTACTGGGCCAGAGGGCCTTTTAGAACCCTTAGACAGTGAAATCCAAGGATCCTATGAGATGAGGGAAAGGCAGGAGTGAAGCAGAGCTGTCCTGGAGCATAAGCTTTTTGGAGCTGCCTGGTGGCGTGTTTCAGGGACCCAGCCTGTGGCAGTAGGGGCAGTTCAGCCTTCCACTGCCCAAAGTGACCTGAGGCTTATATAATCTCTCAGTCCCCAAACCACCCACTACTCCCATCATGTTGCACTTTGCTCTTTGATACTGCTTTTCTCCTTCAGGGCTGCCCTCAGTGTTTATTCAAGGGGGTGGGAGGGGTGGGTACACTGAGTTGCCCAGGTCTACCTCTTGGGATTGAGCAGTCGGGGAGGGGTGGGAGTTAAAGTGGAGTGGAATCACTGGGAATTTAGGGCCAGCAAGACCTGCCTGGTCATCAGCCTTCATATGGAGAGAGTAGGAAGGACAGGGAGCAGTAACCCAGTAATTGTGGGGGTCTGGAGAAAGACAATGCTTGGGGTGTTTAGGGTTCCTGGGGCACGGAGGTAATAGGTAATCAATGGTTTCTCCCAAGTCTAGGGAGGAGCCTTAGAAAGTTGGGTCCACTGCTGCAGGCTCAGCAAGAGGAGTTCTGGGGACAAGGACGGGGTTCTGAAGCTTCCTCCCAATTTCTGCAGAGATCTGCCTGCTAACTAGGGGCCGGCGCACAGCCAGTGTTCGGGCTGACACCTACTGCCGCCTTTACTCACTCAGCGTGGACCATTTCAATGCTGTGCTTGAGGAGTTCCCCATGATGCGCCGGGCCTTTGAGACTGTGGCCATGGATCGGCTGCTCCGCATCGGTGAGACCTGTCCACCCCATCTGCTCTGGGTCCAGACTGTGCTCTCACCCCACCTCCAAAGCAAGGAGCCCAGGCTTTAGGGCTCCAGGGTCATATCCCAATCCATTCAGTCCCAACAAATGCTCCCTAACAGGACTTTCAACACTGTGGCCCACTGTCCCTATCCCTCAGCATGTCCTTCCCAGGAGAGATAGCATCCCAAGCCCCCATGTCCTGAGTCCTCCTTCCCCTGAGTACCAGTCCCCTGACCCTCGCTGTCTCTGATACATACCCTCTTCCTCCAACCCCCATCTCAACCCCCATAGCCCCATTGCCATACTACTGACTCCCATCCCCTACCCTCAACCCCACCCCATCCTGATACTCTCATACTCTTTGATATCCAACATCCATCTTGGATTCCTTCCCTATCCTTAACTTCTCCCTCCCGGTACAACTTCTAGGCAAGAAGAATTCCATACTGCAGCGGAAGCGCTCCGAGCCAAGTCCAGGCAGCAGTGGTGGCATCATGGAGCAGCACTTGGTGCAACATGACAGAGACATGGCTCGGGGTGTTCGGGGTCGGGCCCCGAGCACAGGAGCTCAGCTTAGTGGAAAGCCAGTACTGTGGGAGCCACTGGTACATGCGCCCCTTCAGGCAGCTGCTGTGACCTCCAATGTGGCCATTGCCCTGACTCATCAGCGGGGCCCTCTGCCCCTCTCCCCTGACTCTCCAGCCACCCTCCTTGCTCGCTCTGCTTGGCGCTCAGCAGGCTCTCCAGCTTCCCCGCTGGTGCCCGTCCGAGCTGGCCCATGGGCATCCACCTCCCGCCTGCCCGCCCCACCTGCCCGAACCCTGCACGCCAGCCTATCCCGGGCAGGGCGCTCCCAGGTCTCCCTGCTGGGTCCCCCTCCAGGAGGAGGTGGACGGCGGCTAGGACCTCGGGGCCGCCCACTCTCAGCCTCCCAACCCTCTCTGCCTCAGCGGGCAACAGGCGATGGCTCTCCTGGGCGTAAGGGATCAGGAAGTGAGCGGCTGCCTCCCTCAGGGCTCCTGGCCAAACCTCCAAGGACAGCCCAGCCCCCCAGGCCACCAGTGCCTGAGCCAGCCACACCCCGGGGTCTCCAGCTTTCTGCCAACATGTAAAACCTTTGAGTACATCCAGCCTTAGTTCTTGGGGTGCAGTAGTATGTACCCAAGGGCAGATGCCTCTTGGGGAAGGCCATGGGGACCTGAAACATTGCCCCATGGAAATGTCGACCCTGTGCGGACATTCCGCATACTGCCATGAAGACGGTCTCTGTGTCCTCAGCTCAAGAATCCTGTAGCTTGTCCCATCATAATCCATTCACCCGTTCATCATGTGTACTGAGCAGCTACCATGTTCAAGGTAATATGCCAGGCGCTGTATGTCTCCACTGCCAAGTAGAAGTGACTCAAAACCCTCTGACAAGGATATTCCCTTGGCTATGGTCCTGCCAGGTGCAGGCCCAGGCCCATGACCCCACCTTTACTAAGCACAAGTACTTGCCACTGCCATCACTGCCAAGTAACTAGATGTCTCTGTTTCCCTGCCAATGATCCTGCAGGTTCTGCCCGGTCTGGTTATCTTCCTGTTCCTGTAGCATAGCCAGGCACTGCCAGTCACCTGTGCCCCCATTGCTGTCAGCAGATGTCTTGGGTCCTGAGTGTGGGTATCCACTTTTACCCGCTCACTGCCACCTGTGGACACTCTGTGTCTACCCTCTGAGTGGGAACATACTTCTAAGTTCCCTGCAGTCTCTGTCCTGTGGTAGACCATCTTTTTGTAAACTGCGAGCTTCCTCTTCCCTGTACCCTCTGCCCCAGTCGTGACCCCCTAAAAGTTAAGGGGTAGTTGGCACCTCCTTATTAATATGCCAGCCTAGATCCCCCCCGGTGGAGGGGCAAATGGCTGAATCCTTGTGTGATATTTTTTTCTTCGCTTGTTTATTTATTCATTTATTTAATTGTATTTATTCATTTACTAACTTTATGTGTTACCAATTAATTTTGTTTACCCATTCCTTTATCCATCCCTCCCCTCCTTTTCAGGTAAGGAGACAGGAGGAGTAGGAGGAGGCAGGGCCTCTCCATGCCAGCCTCTGTGGTCCTTGCCCAAACCCATCAGCGCAATACTTGAACCTTCTCCCAGGTAGGGGCAGGAGGAGCCACATGAGAGAGGGAGAAGGACCGCGTTTACCTTTAGAGTTTTGTTTTGTTTTTTCCTTCTGAGTTTGCTGTTGGTGCAGGAATAAGGGAAAGGCCCAAGGTATCCAAGCCTGGGGAAGGGCAGGCCAGCCAGCACCTCTGCCTTCTCAGGGACAAGAGTAGTCCTTTACCACCCTCACTCTGCCTGTCCCCTCTCCTACTCTACAGCATTAAAGACTGTGGGACCAGGACCCTAAGTCTCCTTTCCTTCTGGGTGGGGAGTTCTGGGGTTCTTGGTGTGTGGGAGAAGTTTTATAATTGCTTCCAAACAGCTGGGTTTAAATATAAAATAGACACACTCATTTTTGGCTCTTGGTTTGTGTGTGGGAACAACATGAGTGGGAAGGAATTTCTGGGTGCAGAAGGAAGCAGCCGGGGATTTGACCAAGCAGGGTATCAGGCAGGCATGAGAGCAGCCAGGACAGTGGTCTACAAGCCCAGCACGGAGGTTGTGAAGACAGTGACAAAATCAGCTGCCCAGCCCTCACTTCTCCCCAGCATCCATCCCACCCAGTTTTCCCAAAAGCGTGGACTTTCATGTAACTGTTAGTCACCATGAAGGGGTAGCCTGCCCTGGCACGAGATGCCCAGATTATCATGAGGGCTACATATGAGAATGGGAGACTGTGGACAAGATTGCCCTGTCTCCCCTCTCCCCCACCCCAAGGGATGGGATGCCTGGGGTTATGGAATTAACCAGCCAAACTGGGATTAAAGACTCAAGGCATCTTAGGGCCTGCTGAGCAGATTGGATGCAGGGAATGTACAATTGGTGCTGTTGGGTGGCCAGTGCATAATTGGACACAGACTTTCAGGACCTGTGTGAAATGGAGATGGGGAAGGGGCAACCTCGAAGGGGCTAGATGACAGTTATAGTCTCAGATAGGCCTCAGGTAGGGAGGGTCAGGAATAGAGAAGAGAGGACTTAAAGGTGGGGCTTTGGAGGGGTGTGGGCTGGAGAACGTAGACTGGGGAGGAAGGGATGGGGTACAAGGGTAGGCTGGGCCAGAGGAGGGAGGGGCGTCTCAGGATATGCTTAGCACCCGCATGATGTTGGTGTAGCCGGAGCCAGGTCGCCAGCCTGTCACCACAATCACCAGGTCTCCAACACGGAGGAAGCCACGGAGCTTTCCTGGGGGAGGGAAAGAAAACAAATCATTGGACAGGTGTGGTGGCTCACACCTGTAATCCCATCACTTTGGGAAGCCAAGGCAGGAGGATCACCTGAGGTCAGGAGTTTGAGACCAGCCTGGCCAACATGGTGAAACCTTGTCTCTACTGAAAATACAAAAATTAGCTGGGTGTGGTGGCGCATGCCTGTAATCCCAGCTACTAGGGAGGCTGAGGCAGGAGAATCGCTTGAACTCAGGAGGTAGAGGTTGCAGTGAGCCGAGATCACACCACTGCACTCCAGCCTGGGGACAGAGCAAGACTCCATCTCAAAATAATAATAATAATAATAATAATAATAATAATAATAATAATAATAATAATAAAAGAAGAAAAGAAAGAAAATTAGTCATTGAGGGACCAGGCCAGCCCTGTAACGAGAACCAGCCACCACCTTTCACCACATCAAGGCCATCCTGTAGGGAATGAGGCAGTGAAGTATGTCCCACGGGTGGCATGCAGGGAATGTGACCACTGCAGTATATTAAAGGTGTAAGAGATGCCAGCACGGTGGCTGACGCCTGTAATCCCAGCACTCTGGGAGTCCGAGGCGGGCGGATCACGTGGTCAAGACATTGAGACCATCCTGGCCAACATGGTGAAACCCTGTCTCTACTAAAAATACAAAAATTATCCAGGCGTGGTGGCGCATGCCTGTAGTCCCAGCTACTCAGGAGGCTGAGGTGGGAGAATCACTTGAACCCAGGAGGCAGAGATTGCAGTGAGCCGAGATCGTACCCCTGCACTCCAGCCTGGCGACAGAGCAAGACTCTCTCTCAAAAAAAAAAAAAGGTGCAGGAGTATCTGTGGGCTAGGGCAGAGTGTGTTGCTAAGTAGCACGGCCGTCTGCCTGTGTGGCTATGCTGATGGAAGAGGTATTTGTGATATGCCAGACTGATATCTCAGTCTTAGTGACTCTCACAGGGAAAACCTGGGACCACAGGAGAGAGGCAAGGCCCTTTGAGTGGGTATGGGAAGCTGGGTTGGGGGGCTCCTGATACAAATGGTAGGAGTGGCAGGGAAGGTCTAGGTAGCTCACCACTTTCAATGCCAAATTGCACCCGGCGATCTACATCATCTGCCCAGATGGCTTCTGGAGGTTCACGGTAAAGCAAGGGGAAGACTCCTCGGCATAAGTGGACCTGGCGGGCAGCCTGGGCAGAGCGGGTGACAGCAATGACTGCTGCCCGAGGTCGGTACCGAGACAGAAGCTGGGCTGAGCTGGAGGAGGCAGAGAAGGTCAGCCCAGAACAGCAAGAAAGTGGTGAACGAGGAAAGGAGAATCTTTGTTCCAGTTCCAGGTGTCACTAACAAGCTGTGTGACCCTGGGTAAGTCATCATACTTCTCTGGGCCTTGGTGTTCTCACCTGTAAAATGAGTGTAAGAATGCCTGCCTCCCAGGCCGGGAGCGGTGGCTCATGCCTGTAATCCCAGCACTTTGGGAGGCCGAGATGGGAGAATTGTTTGAGCCCAGGAGCTGGAGACCAGCCTAGGCAACATAGTGAGACCCCATCTCTGCATTAAGAAAAAAAAAAGAAAGAATGCCTGCCCTCCCTACCACACAAGAAAGATATGAGATAATACAGATATATCAAATGAGATAATAAGGAGAAATCTCTTTAAGAAATATAAAAGCTGGCCAGGCACAGTGGCTCATGCCTATAATCCCAGCACTTTGGGAGGCCAAGGAGGGTGGATCACCTGAGGTCAGGAGTTTGAGACCAGCCTGGCTAACATGATGAAACCCTGTCTCTACTAAAAATACAAAAAATATGCAGGGCGTTGTGGCATGCGCCTGTAATCCCAGCTACTCGGAAGGCTGAGGCAGGAGAATCACTTGAACTTGGGAGGTGAAGGTTGTGGTGAGCTGAGATTGCACCATTTTACTCCAGCCTGAGCAACAGAGCGAGCTGCCGTTCTCAAAAGAAAAACAAAACAAAACAAACAAACAAAAACCCAAGAGTATAAAACCCTTTTGAGAAAGTCCATTATGTGCTTAATTTACTATATAGATATTAAGTACTATCTAGTACTTAATATCTCCTGTTAATCCTGCCAACCCCATGAAGAACAAATCATTACCTTGTCCTGTTCATGAGGAAAGACAGCAGGCTAATAGAGCTACATTTCTGAGTAAAGACTTAAACTCAGACCTACTGGACCCTTCTGTAATACCTCAGTATTGGTAGGCTCTGTGGGCCGAATGGACTTGCCTCTGAGCCCCAGAAGCCCAAATGGCCTTGAAGCCAATGTGCCCAGTGATGCCGCTGTCCCCTTCCAGCCCCCAGAAGCTCACTGGCATTCTGTCTCTCCTGGCCTCCAGCTGTCATTGCTGCCTCTCCTCTTGTCTCAGGTGGACACTCTTCACCCCTGGTGACCAGACTAAACCCAAGCCTGGGGCCCGTCCCAGCCCACCCCTGACCCAAAGCTCCATCTGGACATTCCCAATATCCCCCTCACCGGCCAGTTGTGGTCAGCACAATGATGGCAGCAGCACAGCACTTGAAGGCAGCCTCCACAGCACCAATGGCGGTGACCTCAGTGGGATCACGGCTTAGTGGCGCTGCCCGACGTAGCTCCTCAAACAGCTGCCGGTGGTACACTGCGGCCTCTGCCTCCCGGGCAATCTGCAGGTGCCAGAATGTTAGTCTGGGAAGGGGCACTGGGGTATGGAAGGGATTTGGTTCCCTGGCCCATTTGCTTTTCATTCTGAGCTCCTACCGCATGCTGCATCTTCACCGCTTCCACAGGGAAGTTGCCCTTGGCAGTCTCCCCTGACAGCATGATGCAGTCAGCCCCATCCAGCACAGCATTGGCGACATCGCTTGTCTCTGCCCTCGTTGGCCGGGGCTTGGTAATCATGCTCTCCAGCATCTGGGGGACAGCGTGGATGTCAAAGTTGTAGGACTCACACTGTGACTGGGGACCCTGCCCAAGCTACTTCTCTGACACCCACACTCTCAGAGTGTCCCAAAATCCAGGGTCACAGTCACAACCCCTGAAAATAGGAGTCAAAGTATATTTAACTTTGTCGTTTGGTCACAACCCCTGAAAATAGGGGTCAAAGTATATTTAACTTTGTCGTTTGAGGATCAAACACTTTTCATCCAAATGTGCTATAAACCTACAGTGTGGGCTGGGTGCAGTGGCTCACACCTGTAATCCCAGCACTTTGGGAGGCCGAGGCGAGTAGATCACCTGAGGTCAGGAGTTCGAGACCAGTCTGGCCAACATGGTGAAACCCCGTCTCTACTGAAAATACAAAAAGTAGCCTGGCATGGCGGCGGTCACCTGTAATCCCCACTACTTGGGAGGCTGAGGCAGGAGAATTGTTTGAACCCAAGAGGCGGAGGTTGCAGTGAGCGGAGATTGCGCCACTGCACTCCAGCCTGGATGACAGAGTGAGACTCCGTCTCAAAAAACAAAACAAAACAAAATAAACCCCTACAGTGTGGGTATTCACCCACAGGTGTCCCTAAAACCCACAGAGTGCCGAACCTCAAGGCCTCACTCCAGACCTGTGTGGCACAGACAACAGGCTTGCCCGCCAAGTTGCAGCGCCCAATCATCATCTTCTGAGCCAGGAAAACCTTCTCTGCTGGGATCTCGATGCCTAGGTCCCCCCGTGCCACCATGATGCCGTCGCTCACCTCCAGGATTTCATCAAACCTGAGAGGTTGGGAGAATCAAGGCAGAGGCAGGCAGGAGAAGAAAGGTGATGGGGAATAGCGACAGGGCCGAAGGGGAACAGAGCCCAAGCCTCACCTCTTCACGCCTTCGTGGTTCTCAATTTTGCTGATGATCTTGATGCCGTGTCCTTCCGGACCCAGAGCAGCCCTGACGGCAGCCACGTCGCTGGCTTTCCGCACAAAGGAGGCAAAGACGATGTCCACCCCATGCTCCACCCCGAAGCGCAGGTCTCGGACGTCCTGCTCGGACAGCCCGGGCAAGTCCACCTGGGCCCCTGGCAAGTTCACGCCCTTCCGGCTGCCCAGGACGCCGCCGTTCTCCACTTGGGTCACCAGTCCCTCTGGGCCTGCGGACATGGAAAGAGCCAGCTGCGGTCAGGGGTGAGGACGGGGCACAGTTGCAGCAGAGAGGACACTGGGGCTTGGACCCGCAAGAGGTCAGGAACCATGTCCTCCTCATCTCTCCGCCCTTGTTCTGGGCTTCGCCCGGAAGAGGCACAGATGGACGTCCGTGGAAGAAACGACCCACCCATAGTCCAGCCCAAACCCAGGGTGAGCGCAGAGTCTACACGCTGGGGACTCCTGGGACGGGCTGGCAAAAACGCGTGGCCAGGGGAAGGTGTGATCGGTCTGAGGGCTGATGGGGGAGCCAAGGAGAAGGGAATGTGCCCAGCGCACGGATGTGGTCAGGGCGGGAGGCGCGTCCGCACCGATTTTCTGGACCACTAGGGAGATGAGCCCGTCGTCAATGTAGATGCGGCCCCCCACCGGCACGACCCGGACAATATTGGGGTAGTCCACCCACACGGTGTTCGCGTTCCCCCGCGTCCGGAACGCGGGGTCCACAGTCACCAGCACCTGGGAGCCCTTCACCAGCTCCACTTCCGACTCTGGACCCTAAGGAGGGAGCCAGAGGAGATGTGAGTTCTGAGCCCCGGAGTCCGGGACCCGCCCCTGCCCACGCCTGGGCCCAACCCTACAGGCGCCGCCTTTCCGGCCCTGGCCCAGCGAGTCCCAGCCCCACTGCTCACCCCCTGCAGGATCCCAGTGCGGATCTCCGGTCCCTTGGTGTCCAGGGCGATGGCCACGGGCCGGTAGCTGAGTGGGGAACCTGCAAAGCTCTCCACCGCCTCCCGGACGTTGGCGATGGACTCAGCATGGTACTGGGGGAGGGAGCGGAGCGAGGGTTTCAGGGGAAGGTGGCCAGGACCTCGAGGCATCCTCCTGCCCCACCCACTGCCCGGCGGCCCGTCCCGCACCTCGTGGGAGCCGTGGGAGAAGTTGAGTCGCGCAATGTTCATCCCGGCCTTGATCATCTCCTTGAGGCGCTCCACGGAGCGAGATGCTGGCCCTAGAACCAGAGATTCACGTTCAGACAACGTTCCCCCAGAACATGAGAGGCAACCAAACCCAACCCATTACCATTCTCAGAACGCCTCACGCCACAGGCGTCCTGTTACCTGATCTTTATTCCCTGATGCAACCCCTGCCCACAGATCACAGACTCCCCTTCCCTCTCAAGCCAACATCCATCCCCTTGGGGAGGCAGCAGTGTGGAAATCGGAGGGGAGTGCCCTCCGCCAGGCCTGAGGTCACTGTATGGGCATGTATGGGCACTGTATGGGCATGGGTATGTAAGTGCTGCTTGCCCGGCTACCCCAGGGTATGGGGTGTAGGGCAGGGGCTGGGAGCCAGGTGAGGGCGTTTGGGTGCGGGCTTTTAGAGCTAGGAGGCCTCATGGACTGAGGAGAGCTGAGTTCTATCCCATGCCTGCACTGCTATGGGGCAGCTGCTAGCCGAGAGCAGGTTGGCTCATTCTTCGGTCCCTATCTGTCTTTCCACTTGTGCACTAGGTCTCCTCCTTCTCACCTGCTCAAGGACATAAATTAAGCCATTCTGTGGTCCTCTGTGACACCCATGTTTTCCTTTTCTTTTTCTTTCTTTTTTTTTGAGACGGGGGGAGTTTCACTCTTGTCGCCCAGGCTGGAGTGCAGTGGCACCATCTCAGCTCACTGCAACCTCTGCCTCCCCAGTTCAAGTGATTATCCTGCTTCAGCCTCCTGAGTAGCTGGGATTACAGGTGTGCACCACCACGCCTGGCTAATTTTTTTGTATTTTTAGTAGAGAAGGGGTTTCACCATGCTGGCCAGGTTGGTCTTGAACTCTTGACCTCAGGTGATCCATCCACCTCGCCCTCCCAAAATGCTGGGATTACAGGTGTGAGTCACCGTGCCCAGCCATGTTTTCCTTTTTTACTGGATCATCCCCATCCGCAGGTAAACCTACTGTTATTTCTTTCATCATTAAAAAAAAATTCTCTTAATCTCCTGGTTTCCCCTCAGTCCCAGTATTTGCTCTCACTTGCAGCAAAACTCATCGCAAGAGTTATCTGTACTTGCTACCTCTAGTTCCCCTCCCCCATTCTCCCTTGAACCCACCCCACTCAGGCGTTGGCCTCCATCTCTCCACTGCATCTGTTCTTGTCAAGGTCACCAAGAACCTCTGTGTTTTTGCTCCATGTAATGCTCAATGCTCAGTCCTCCTCTATTGGCCCATCAGCAGCCTGAACATACATCCTTCTTTGACACACTGTCTTCACCTGACCTCCAGGGCTGCACCCTCTCTTGGTTGACTCCTACCTCACTAGCTGCTCTTTCCCAGTCTCCTTTCCTTGTTCCTCCCCTTAACGTTAGATACCCTGTTCTCTTCTCCGTCATTTCACCTACACTCCTTTGGTGGTCTCAACTAGTCTCATGGCTTGAGATACCATCTATATGTAGCCAACTCCCAAATGTCTCTCCAATCCAGACCTTTCTCCCAAACCCAGAGTTGTGTACCTGACTGCCCCCTCTATCACATTTGGATGGCTAATAAGCATCTCAGACTCAACATGTCCCAAGCAAACTTCTGCTCTCCCCCCAACCCCTTCCACCACAGTCTTTCCTGCTCAGTGGCTAATGCATCGTTCCAGTTCCTTATGGCAAAAACCTCAGAGTCACCTGTCACCTTTGACTCCTTTCTTTCTCGCCCACACTCCATACCCCATATCCGATCAATTAGCAAATCCTGTCAGCTCTACCTGCAAAATACATTCAGAATCTGACCACTTCTCACCACCTCACTGCCGCCAACTGGTCTGAGCCAGAAATACTGCAGGGGCACCCTTCCCCCCACCCCCCATCTATTTTCAGTGCAGCAGCAGGGGAGGGGAGGCTCTATTAAAACATAAATAAGAGCTTGTCATTCCCCTGCTCAAAACCCTGCAGCAGTTTCTCATTTCACTCGGAGGAAAACGCAACTCAAATTCTAAAAATGGCCTACAAAGCTGCACCTGATCTTCCTGTCCGTACACAGTCTCTTCATGTCTGCCGCTCTTCCCCCTTGATGGTTTCTAGCTCTTCTAACCTTCTTGACTTAGGCCTTGACACTGACTGATCCTTCTTCCTGGAATTCTCTTCCCCCAGGTCTCTGCATGGCTAATTCTCTCATCTCCTTCAAGTCTTCCCTTTGGTCTCATTTACTCAATAATAACTGACCTCCCTATTTAGGGCTGCAACCTGTCTTCACCCTCGTACTCCTGATGCCCTTATCACACTTGATTTCTTTCCCCATAGCACTTAAAACTTTCACTTTTTCTTTCTTTTCTTTTCTTTTTTTTTTAGATGGAATCTCGCTCTGTCACCAGGCTGGAGGACAGAGGTGCGATCTCTGCTCCCTGCCTTCCAGTTCAAGTGATTCTCCTGCCTCAGCCTTCCGAGTAGCTGGGACTACAGGCATGTGCCACCACGCCCAGCTAATTTTTGTATTTTTATTAGAGACGGGGTTTCACCATGTTGGCCAGGATGGTATCGATCTCTTGACCTCGTGATCAGTCTGCCTCGGCCTCCCAAAGTGCTGGGATTACAGGCATGAAACACCACGCCTGGCCTTTTTTTTTTTTGAGACGGAGTTTCGCTCTTGTTGCCCAGGCTGGGGTGCAATGGCACGATCTTGGCTCACCGCAACCTCCGCCTCCCAGGTTCAAGCAATTCTCCTGCCTTAGCCTCCTGAGTAGCTGGGATTACAGGCATGCACCACCATGCCCGGATAATTTTTTGTATTTTTAGTAGAGACGGGGTTTCTCCATGTTGAGGCTGGTCTCGAACTCCTGACCTCAGGTGATCCGCCCGCCTCGGCCTCCCAAAGTGCTGGGATTACAGGCGTGAGCCACCGCGCCCAGCTTTTTTTTCTTTTTTTAAAAACAAACAAACAAACAAACAGAGTTTCGCTCTTGTTGCCCAAACTGGAGTGCAATGGCGTGATCTTGGCTCACTGCAATCTCTGTCTCCCGGGTTCAAGCGATTCCCCTGCCTCAGCCTCCCGAGTAGCTGGGATTATAGGCACATGCCACCATGCCTGGCTAATTTTTTGTATTTTTAGTAGAAACAGAGTTTCACCACATTAGCCAGGCTGGTCTCGGACCCCTGACCTCAGGTGATCCACCTGCCTCAGCCTCCCAAAGTGCTGGGATTATAGGCAAGAGCCACCATGCCCGGCCAACTTTCACTCCTTTCTTTCTTTCTTTCTTTCTTTCTTTCTTTCTTTCTTTCTTTCTTTCTTTCTTTCTTTCTTTCTTTCTTTCTTTCTTTCTCTTTCTTTCTTTCTTTCCTTCCTTCCTTCCTTCCTTCTTTCTTTTCTTTCTTTCTTTCTTGCCTGCTTGCTTTCTTTCCTTCCTTCCTTCCCTCCCTCCCTCCCTCCTTCCTTCCTTCCTTCTTTCTCTCTCTCTTTCTTTCTTTCTTTCCTTCTTTCTTTCTTTCTCTCTTTCTCTCTAGGGTCTCGTCTGTCACCTAGGCTGGAGTACAGTGGCTCGATCATGACTCACTGCAGCCGTGACCTCCTGGGCTTAAGTGATCCTCCCACCTCAGCCTCCTGAGTAGCTGGGACTACAGGCATGCACCACCACACTCAACTAAGTTTTGTATTTTTTGTAGAGATGGGTTTTGCCATTTACCCAGACTGGTCTCAAACTCCTGGGCTCAAGCGATCTGCCAACCTTGGCCTCCTAAAGTGCTGGGATTACAGGCATGAGCCACTGAGCCCAGCCCACTTTTTTTTTTTTTTTTTTTTTTTTTTTTTTGTGAGATGGAGTTTTTCTCCTGTTGCCCAGGCTGGAATGCAATGGTGTGATCTCGGCTCACCACAGTCTCCGCCTCCTGGGTTCAAGCGATTCTCCTGCCTCAGCCTCCTGAGTAGCTGGGATTGCAGGCACGCACCACCATGCCCGGCTAATTTTGTATTTTTAGTAGAGACGGGGTTTCTCCATGTTGGTCAGGCTAGTCTCGAACTCCTGACCTCAAGTGATCTGCCCACCTGGGCCTCCCAACATGCTGCGATTACAGGCATGAGCCACCATGCCCGGCCTCACTTTCTAACGGAATAAATAATTTACTTATTTTAAATAATTTATTGTGCTTACTATTTATTGTCATACTCAGCTAGACTGTCAGCTCCCCAAGGGTAGGGATTTTTGTCTGTTTTTTTCACTGATCTACTCCCAGGGCCCAAAATCTTGTCTACTATATGCTCAACAAATTTTTGTTAAATGAATGACTGTGTCAAACATGGAGAAGTCTCAAAGGAGACAAAAGATGAAGAAGCACCTCAAGAAATACCAATAGGCCCTGTGTGGCTGCAGGGGGATGGGAGTGCTTACCGATGGTGGCAATGATGCTGGTACTGCGAGCAGCCACGGGCTCGGAGTCAATGTCCAGTAGGCAGAGGTGTTCCAGGAAGGTGTCTGCCATAGCAGCTGGCAGCTGCTGCTGCTGGAAGAAGGCAGTGCCCAGCTCCTGGGTCAGTTGGGCCACACTGGCCCGCCGCAGATACCCCGCTGGCCCTGTGGTAGAAGGGGGCTCAGGGACTGCATGTCACCTGCCCTTCCTCCCCATGCCTTCGTCTCTCAGCATACCCTCTGTTCCTTCCCTTCTTATGAGCTGGGCATCATGCATATATTATTTTATTATGTCACAAGGATCCTATAAAGCAGGTACTGTTAAATGTTCTATAATTATCCAATTTTATGGATAAAGAAACAGAGGCTGAGAAACAGGAAATAAATGGTCCAATATTATACAGCTTCTAAGTATGGATCAGCTAGGATTCAAATCTAGGTCTGACTAACTCTAGCCCAAGTTCTTGACCACTCAGTTATACTGACCCCGCACAACCCAGGACCCCCCGACCTGCAGCTACTGATGACCCTCAACCCCACCACCCCTTGATGTCTAGTCCCCAGCAGCCTCACCCTATGCAGACCCAGAATCACCCAGTTCCTGCTCCAAAGGTCTCTGTTTTCTCCCTTCCAACCCCTGGCTACTGGCTGGCTTCCCCACCCCATCCTCTGAGTCTCCCCAGGCTTCTCAAAGCTGCTACAGACACAGAGGTCCCTGTAGCTTGACCCATCCCAGTTCAGAGGAGCCCCCGATTCCAGCCGCACCTTCCATGCCACTGCACACCTCTCTGGGTCTCCCTCTCTGTGGGTCTGCTCCACACTGTTGGGTTGTCAGAGGCATGAGGCCCAGCTGGGCTGGGGATCAGTTCTGCAGACTGGTTAAAGTGTCACCACTGTCTCCTGTTCCATTGGAAGCCCTGTATGCCAGGGGCCAGAGTCCAGGAACCACGGGAGTGCCCCGTGGCTTACATGCTGTGGCTCTGGCCTGCCTATAGGGCCTGGAAAAGACCCAGGCCAGGGTCCATAATTTAACACACGGGAGGCTCTGAAGAACGTACGTTCCTCTCCAAAACCCACCTAGCCAGTGGCTGATGTGGATCATTTATGCCCTCCACCCTGGCTCCTAGTTTTCACCCTCATTTTCCTCCTATGTTCCATGGCTTCTGTCTCCCCTTCTTACCTCCTGGAGCCCCAATCAGGATGGACTTTGCTAAGTCTCTTTGGGACTTAGAGACCCATGACCGAAGCTGCAGGGATGATATGTTCTCCTGGATCGACATGCTTTCAGTGTGGGCCTGGGGCTGCGGGACCATGGAATGAGAGGGAGAGGATGACAAAACTGCTGGTCTTATCTAAGGGAGACAGAGAAGAGAAAAGGGGCACACCCAGTAGGCCACCCTGTCCCCACAGAATCCCTCCCCCAGAACGGCCTGCTCTCTGCCCTCATCTCCTGGCATTTCCTCTCATCCTTTTTTCCTGATAAATTTTCAATCCATTCATACTATCTGGTCATCCACGTGAATAGATATTTTTTTTTTGGCCAGTCATATGGCCCCATTTTCTTTGTACTTTACTGAAGTTAGCTCTAGTGAATCCAGGGAGCAGGGGCTGTAGGGTGGGGCTGGAGCCTGAAGAAAGACAAAAGGGATCACTGTGATAATATGGTGGGGGGAGGGTTACCCAGTTCTGACCACTTTTTTTCTCTGTCTCAACCAAGAAATGCAGAGTGCCTTCACCACTCTGTAACCTGGCCAGCTGCATGTTTTCGCCTACATGTTTGAACCCAAGATGGTACCTTGAACATTCTCAGACACTGATAAACTTGATTAGGTTGTTGCTGGAAACACTGAAAGATCGACTATTTTGCTAAACTTATAGACTCCTACCCCCAGGGAAATTTTCTTTCCTCCCTCCCTTCCTTCCTTTTTTCTTTTTCTTTTTTCTTTTTTTTCTTTTTTTTTTCACAGAGTCTCACTCTGTCGCCCAGGCTGGAGTGCAGTGGCGCAATCTCAGTTCATTGCAACCTCTGCGATCCTCCTGCCTCAGCCTACCGAGTAGCTGGGATTACAGACGTGCACCACCACACCCAGCTAATTTTGTTTTTCTTTTTTCTTTTCTTTTCTTTTTTTTTTTTTTTTTGAGACTGAGTCTGACTCTGTTGCCCAGGTTGGAGTGCAGTGGCGTGATCTTGGCTCACTGCAACTTCTGCCTCCTGGGTTCAAGCGATTATCCTGTCTCAGCCTCCTGAGTAGCTGGGATTACAGGCATGCACCACCACGCCTGGCTAATTTTTGTATTTTTAGTAGAGACGGGGTTTCACCATGTTGGTCAGGCTGGTCTCGAACTCCTGACCTCAGGTGATCTGCCCGCCACAGCTTCCCAAAGTGCTGGGATTACAGGTGTGAGCCACTGTGCCTGGCCTAATTTTTGTATTTTTAGTAAAGATGGGGTTTCACCATGTTGTCCAGGCTGGTCTCCAACTCCTGGCCTCAAGTATCCACCAGCCTCGGCCTCTCAAACTGGTGGGATTACAGGTGTGAGCCATCATGCCCAGCCTTGTTTTCTTTCTTTTTTTTTTAAAGGGTCTCACTCTGTCACCCTGGCTGGAGTGCACTCGTGTGATCATGGCTCACTGTAGCCTTGACTTCCTGGGCTCCAACGATCCTCCCACCTCAGCCTCCCAAGTAGCCAGTACTACAGGTGTGCACCACCATGCCTGGCTACTTTTTAAATTTTTATTTATTAAAAATATTTTTTTCCTTTCTTTCCACAGGTGCTGACTTTTTATTTTTGTAGAGACTGGTGTCACTCTGTTGCCCAGGTTGGTCTTGAACACCTATGCTCAAGTGGTCCTCCTGCCTTGGTCTCCCAAAATGCCAGGATTACAAGTGTGAGCCATAGTACTGGCTTCAAATTTCTTAAACACTCCTATAAACACCATACCCCGAACCCCTCCTTGAGAACATACCTGGGTAGAACACCCTTTGTCCCATTGTCCACAGCAAGGATGTGCAGTAGCTGTTCTGTAGGTAAGTTCCCCTAATGTATGCTTTGGCCTGATTGCCCTGGCATTTAGTGCTTCATTCACTGGAATCCCAACCAGCCCCATCTTGGGATGGTTTGGGGCATCCTTTGTGAGTGCTGCCCTGATGCCACTTTTGGTGTGACACTAGCTGTGGGTTCAGCTGATACTAACTGGTGGGATTCTCTGGAAGGGCTTTGATAGCATCATCATCATCATAGCATTCATTAGTTACCATTTGCCCATTCCCCACTGTCCAATCTTTATCGAGCACCTACGCTGTATCAGGCCCTAAGGACACAGTAGTGAGCAAAACAGACAGGGCCTTTGCCCTCTGTGAGATTTACAGTATAGTGGGGAGACAGACTATCAACAAGTATCAGAGAAATAAATATGTAACTACAAACCTTGCAAGTGCTACTAAGTAGTGGATCAGGGTGCTGGAACACAGAAGCCAGTGGGAGAAGAGAGAGGGTGTATTTTATTTTATTTATTTATTTTTTTGGAAGCGGAGTTTCACTCTTGTCACCTAGGCTGGAGTGCAGTGGCACGATCTCAGCTCACTGCCACCTCTGCCTCCTGGGTTCAAGCAATTCTCATGCCTCAGCTTCCTGAGTAGCTGGGATTACAGGTGCACGCCACCATGCCTGACCTAGAGGATATATTTTAGACAAGATGAGATGGTTGAGGAAGGCCTCTTTGAAGTGATTATTTTGAAGCTGAAATTTGAAGGATGAGAAGGAACCGGTGGGGGCAAATGGAGAAAGGGGTTTTCCATGGCGGCGGGGCGGGGGCAGAAATAATATATGCCAAGGCTCTGAGGAAGAAAAAGCTTGGTGCCAAGGAGACAAAGAGCTGCAATGAGGCTGAGTGCCTGGAGTGCAGGGTCGTGGCCCATAGTGAAGATAGGGGACCTGAGCAGGATCTTGTAATGTGGTGGGTTTACCCAGGGGATGGACATGATCCAACTGATGGTTTAGGTCCCTCCCGCTGCTGGGTAAAGAATAGATGGTAGCCGGGAGCGGTGGCTCACGTCTGTAATCCCAGCACTTTGGGAGGCCAAGGCAGGCGGATCACCTGAGGTCAGGAGTTTGAGACCAGCCTGGCTAACACGGTAAAACCTCGTCTCTACTAAAAACACAAAAAATTAGCCAGGTGTGGTGGTGCGTGCCTGTAATCCCAGCTACTTGGGAGGCTGAGGCAGGAGAATCACTTGAATCCGGGAGGCAGAGGTTGCAGTGAGCCGAGATCATGCCATTGCACACCAGCCTGGGCAACAAGAGCAAAACTGCGTCTCAAAAAAAAAAAAAAAAAAAAAAAAAGAACAGATGGTAGGTACAGGCAGAACTACTGCGGGCTTAGGAAGAATCTAGGTGGTAGGTGATGGACTAGCATGTTGGCAGTGAAGACGAAGAGAGGGGGACGGCTTGGAGATGCATTTTGGAGAAGAGCCAGCAGAGTGGAACGGCAAAACAGCCGTGGAGAGGGCGGCTTCTAGTGTCGAGGAGTCTGGCTTGAGCAGTTGGGTAGATGGTAGCGCCACTAACTGAGACTACGGAAGAAATAGGTTTGAAGTAGGGGGAAATTCAAGCTTTCTGTTTTGACAGGCTAAATTTGAGAAGCCAGTTAATCATTAAAATCCATAGTCAGACAGTTGGAGCTGTTCATCGAGCACACTTCCTGTGTGCTGGAACAGCATTCATGCCTCATGGACACCATCTCCTTTTATCATTGTGACAACCTAGAAAGAAGGTAGGATCAACAGGCTGTTTTACAGATGAGGGAACTGGGCCGTAGCAAGGTGTGTTCCTTTTCCACTCTGCTGTGGGGCCAGGAGGCTGACGGCTTTGCACAGTGGCGTCTGTAGGGTTTGGAGAGTGGCACCCATAGGAGATGAGATGGAGAGGGTGAGGTTGAGCATTTACCTCCCCAGTTGCCATTCTAGGGACCATTCTCTCCCTATCCCTTGGACCTTACAGGGGTAACAAAGCCCACTGTTATTAGATCTGGGGTAATGCACTATCCGTTGTGGTTTACCAACACCCTGCCCATTCCTTTGTATAATCCTGTTATGAAACACCTTCAAATTATCCCATTTAAGAGAATTCTTTATTTCCTGAAGAAACCCTACCGAATACACTTGTCTGATGCAAAAAGTCTTGTCAGGAGTGGAGCTGGGATTCAGGCCCAGATAGTGGAGCTCCAGAGCCCGAGCTGTAACCACTAAGCTCCATGCCTGCCCCTTGGGACTGTTTCAGTGGGTGGGAAAGGGAGAAGTCTCTGACTCTGGAGTTGGAAAAGAAAGAGAGAGATAGTAGAGAGGACTTCCGGAGGGAAATGAGCATGGGGCCTCATCTTTCTGTATATAGAAGACACAACAAATAAAGAGAGACAAAATTTGTACCCACAGAGAATGTGGCAGACTTCAGGGACTGGGGATTCAGGCCTTGTGCTTGTGGTGTTGGCAGAGACATGGGACTTTAAGGATGGTCTGGCATTACTTTGTTTTTGATACAGGGCCTTCCTCTGTAGCCCAGGCTGGAATGCAGTATCATGATCTCTGCTCACTGCAGTCTCAATCTCCTGGGCTCAGGTGATCCTCCCACCTCAACGTCCCAAGGAGTCGGGACTACAGGCACGCACCACAATGCCCAGCTAATTTTTTTTTTTTTTTTTTTGGTATTTTCTGTAGAGATGGAGTTTCACCACGTTGTCCAGGCTGGTGCAGAACTCCTGGGCTCAAGTGATCTACCCGCCTTCACTTCCCAAAGTACTGGAATTACAGGCATGAGCCACCACGCCCAGCTGTGGTCTGGCAATATTGAACTGACTCCAGAACCAGTTGGGAGGATAGGAATCCCAGATATCCCAGTCCCAAGGGATTAGCAGGAGGTGGGGGGCAGTTCTCCAAAGCAGCCCGTGTCCTGTCCAGCTAAGGGACAGACACTTTGACCTGAAATCAGGCCAGTTTCCTCAGCAGTCTGGCTGACCCTGGTCCACAAGTGACCACATGAAGCATGGTCTGCACTTTGTCACAGGATCATCCCTGAGCAAGAGGCCTGTGGGTGAGAAACAGAAGCCCAGCATCCAAACACAACACTCAGCTTTGTCAGTTGAGAGCCCTCCCTCCTGCCACAAACACACATGCTCCAACAGCCACACTCACACATGCACAGACACAAACGCAGGTGGCTTTTCATTCCACAGGCATGGACTGAACCCCCATATGGGCCGTGCCCCGACGCATGCCAGACTGGAGGAGGTGAGGCCACTGGGCCCAGGTCTCTGCTCAGTGTGGGGATGGAGACAGGAGCGAGGCCAGTCAGGTTTAATAAAGGAAGTCGGGGGGCACTGACAGAACTGTGCTCAGCACACAGAGGGACACCAGGAGAGACAGAGCATTGTGAGTGAGGGCAGAAGGAGGTCAGGGCAGCTTAACAGACGAGGTGCCCCCTGGTCAGACACATACACACACGTAAACATACACAAAGCTCCCCACCATTCCACACACACACACAAATACGTACTCCACTCTAACACTCACACAATATCCACACTCACACATGCAGATTTATGTATCCGGAATTGGTGGGTTCTTGGTCTCACTGACTTCAAGAATGAAGCCGCGGACCCTCGCAGTGAGTGTTACAGTTCTTAAAGGTGGTGTGTCCGGAGTTTGTTCCTTCTGATGTTCAGATGTGTTCGGAGTTTTTTCCTTCTGGTGGGTTCGTGGTCTTGCTGGCTCATGAGTGAAGCTGCAGACCTTCGCGGTGAGTGTTACAGCTGTTAAGGCCGCGCATCTGGAGTTGTTCATTCCTCCTGTTTCATTCCTCCCGGAGCGATCTCGGTTCACCACAACCTCTGCCTCCCGGGTTCAAGCGATTCTCCTGCCTCAGCTTCTCGAGTAGCTGGCACTACAGGTGTGCGCCACCATGCTGGGCTAATTTTGGATTTTTTAGTAGAGATGGGGTTTCACTATGTTGGCCAGGCTGGTCTTGAACTCCTGACCTCGTGATCCGCCCACCTTGGCCTCCCAAAGCTCTGGGATTACAGGCGTGAGCCACTGCACCCAGCCGTGTTTTGTCCAATTCTTTGTTCAAGATGCCAAGAACCTGGACACCCTCCACCGGTGACAGTACCTTATATACACGGAATCATACAGTATCTGTCCTTTTGAGTCTGGCTTATTTCACTTAGCATAATTGTCAGAGGTGCGTGAACCAGAGCAACTCCATCTTGAATAGGGACTGGGTAGAATAAGGCTGAGACCTACTGGACTGCATTTCCAGTTGGTTTAGGCATTCTAAGTCACAGGATGAGATAGGAGATTGGCTCAAGATACAGGTCATAAAGACCTTGCTGATAAAACAGATTGCAGTAAAGAAACTGGCCAAAACCTACCAAAACCAAGATGGCAACAAGAGTGACCTCTGGTGGTCTTCAACGCTATACTCCTACCACATGCTGTGTCGACATCAGGGAGTTAACTGTATATGGTCTACAAAGCAGAGGCATGAATAATCCAACCCTTGTTTAGCTTATAATCAATAAATAACTGCCTGGGCCAAGTGGCTCGTACTTGTAATCCCAGCACTTTCAGAGGTCGAGGTGGCTGGATCACTTGAGGTCAGGAGTTCGAGACCAGGCTGGCCAATCTGGAGAAACCCCCTCTCTACTAAAAACACAAAAATTAGCTGGGCATGCTGGCAGGCACCTGTAATCCAGGAGAATCACTTGAACCCGGGAAGCGAGGTTGCAGCCTCCCACGTAGCTGGAATTAAGGCGCGGACCAGCACACCTGGGTAATTTTTGTATTTTTAGTAGAGAAGGGGTTTTGCCATGTTGACCAGGCTGGTCTCAGATTCCTGACCGCAGGTGATCCGCCCAAAGTGCTGGAATTACAAGTGTGAGACTCATCTTTTTTTTTTTTTTTTTTTGAGACGGAGTCTTGCTCTGTCTCCCCAGCTAGAGTGCAGTGGTTCGCTGGATCTCAGCTCACTGCAACCTCTGCCTTACGAGTTCAAGCGATTCTCCCGCCTCAGCCCTCCTGAGTGGCTGGGATTACAGGCGCGCGCCACCACGCCCGACTAATTTTTTTTTTTTGTATTTTTAGTAGAGACGGGGTTTCACCACATTGGTCAGGCTGGTCTCGAACTCCTGACCTCATGATCCACCCGCCTCGGCCTCCCAAAGTGCTGGGATTACAGGCGTGAGCCACCGTGCCCGGCCCAAGACTCATCTTTCTTAAGCCCTTAAAGCACTTTGCACACATTACCTCATGGTATTACCACCCTCATTCAACAGATGAGGAAAGCTAGTTTCAAGCAAGTTCACTGAGGATCAGAGACGTTAAATGATTTGCCTAAAGTTAGAGAACTAATAAGTGAGAAAGCTAGTCCTGCTGCGTTTTACTAACGTGCCAATCAGCTGCCCAGGAAGATAATGAAAACTTGAGTAAGACAGGCAGCCAAAGCCACAGCGGGGACGTTCCCAGCCTGGCTCGCTTCCGGCACTGACGCCTCCAGCCGCGACCTCTAGACTTCAGCCCTTCCATTGGTCGTCCGTCACAGTGCCACAGTGCGCCATGCTCACACGACGGCCAGCAGCCAATCAGCGCGGCTCATCTTCGCCCAGCCAGGACACGCAGGATCGCGTTATCTGTCCCTCCCGCGGGCACATTGGGAGTTGTAGTCTAATTATATATTTCCGCCCTTAGTGTGGGGAGAGCGGGAACTACTCGACCCACAGAGCCGATCGCGGAGCGGATTCTGCTTTTAGGAGTACCCGCCAACAAGCGGGACCGAGCAGGAATCCGTATCTGGGAACAGGTGAGAGAGGATGTGTGCTGGGCCTTGGAGGAAGGGGGCCGAGACCGGGCCTTACTTCTGTAACGATACTGTGAGGCATCGGAAGGCCAGCCTGTTGTGTCCGTTTTGAAGGTCGGTGGGCTAGACTGGCTGGCCTTCTAGGGGTGTGGAGACTTCCCAACTCTGCCCTTGTGCTTTCCTGGAATCCCCAATATGCCCGGACCCCGGTTTACTCCTTTGCTGCGAGCCCTTCTCTCCCGTCCAGAGTTGCTCCGAGCCTATCTGCTCAGTCCTAGCGATTCCTGTGGGGCTTGGGACGCGCGGTTCAAGCACCCCGGACCATATGGATGCAGCACCCATGGGTTCTCGCTCCAATGCTTCTTTCCTCCTTGGGGCGTAACTCAGACCCTGGGCACCCCTCTCCACTGCCCAGGGGAGACCTGGGTTCTAGATTTGGCTCTGCCTCTACTATCTTCCTACCTCCTAGAGCCTCAGTTTGGCTTGTGTAAAATAGGATGACTTAAGGGTCCTTTCAGCCCCTAATCCTGGGGTACTTTACTCTGTACCGCCTCCTTACCCAGCCTTGTGCACGCCATCTTGAAGGCACTGAGTTCTAGCCTGTTTATTGTAAGTGGTGATTAGTTGGGTCTCAGTCACCCAGCCATACTTTTTTGTTCCCTGCGTATCCTTCCTGTAATTGTCCCCAAGCACATTCCACAAGAGGGAGGGGCACTCTGGGCTAAGGCTGGGGTGGGAGTTATCTGGGGAGCTGCCACCATGCCTCTGCCTTTGGTGCTTGCCCCTGCAGGGAGTGCTTAGTGCCCCCTCCCTATGCCACTCCCAGGATGCCCCTGTCCCGCTGGTTGAGATCTGTGGGGGTCTTCCTGCTGCCAGCCCCCTACTGGGCACCCCGGGAGAGGTGGCTGGGTTCCCTACGGCGGCCCTCCCTGGTGCACGGGTACCCAGTCCTGGCCTGGCACAGTGCCCGCTGCTGGTGCCAAGCGTGGACAGAGGAACCTCGGTGAGTGTGGTTGGGGTGAGGGGCCTTGGGGAGGGGAGCAGCTGATCAGGTTTCTGACTTGTTTTTCTTCTACTTAGAGCCCTTTGCTCCTCCCTCAGAATGAACGGAGACCAGAATTCAGATGTTTATGCCCAAGAAAAGCAGGATTTCGTTCAGCACTTCTCCCAGATCGTTAGGGTGCTGACTGAGGATGAGATGGGGCACCCAGAGATAGGAGATGCTATTGCCCGGCTCAAGGAGGTGAGGGATTCATGACTTGGGGGAGTAAGGCTTTGGTTCAGTTGCTCTGTACCTGTGTGGCATTCACCTGTGGCTTATGGGGGACTTTTGACAGATGTGAGAGAAAGCTTTTTTTTTTTTTTTGAGACAGAGCCTTGCTCTGTCACCTGGGCTGGAGTGCGATGGTGTGATCTCGGCTTGCTGCAACCTCCACCTCCTGGGTTCAAGTGATTCTCCTGCCTCAGCCTTCTGAGTAGCTGGGATTACAGGTGCGTGCCACCACATCCAGCAAACTTTTGTATTTTTAATAGAGACGGGGTTTCACTGTGTTGACCAGGCTGGTCTCGAACTCCTGACCTCAGGTGATCCACCCACCTCGGCCTCCCAAAGTGCTGGGATTACAGGTGTGAGCCACCGCGCCTGGCCGAGAAAGCTTTTACCTGAGGGACTCGAGTCTGCTCTGGAGAGGTTGGGGCCTGGGCAAGTATACTTACTCAGTCCATCAACCGGACTTTTGGCTCTGATGGAAGGTGGGTCATCCAAACTGCTTTGCTTTGGGGGTGGAGGCCTTGAACCTGGCAAGTCTTAGATTTTGTGTCCTGAAATCAGAAGCTGTTAGGTTGGCAGAGACCGGGGAAGAAGGCAGTCTGATATTGTCCTATCTCCCTGGGGCCTGAGTGAAGTTATTGTATCATTAGAAACCCCTATTCTAGAACATGAACTATTGCTGTGATACTTGCCAATTTTTTTCCTGTTGATTCTGGAGTATCTATTAAAATTCTTTTTATAAATGCTGTCTATCTCATATATCTCAGGGGAATGAAGGGAAAGGGGGGCTTTGCCTATACTGGAATGGGGATTAAAAGAGTCTTGGCCCGGCATGGTGGCTCACGCCTGTAATCCCAGGACTTTGGGAGGCTGAGGTGGGGGGGATCATGAGGTCAGGAGTTCGAGACCAGCCTGGTCAACATGGTGAAACCCCCGTCTCTACTAAAAATACAAAAATTAGCTGGGCGTGGTGGCGCCCACATGTAGTCCCAGCTACTCAGGAGGCTGAGGCAGGAGAATCACTTGAACCTGGGAGGCGGAGGTTGCAGTGAGCCGTGATTGTGCCACTGCACTCCAGCCTGAGTGACATAGCGAGATGAAGTCTTCCCTGTTAGTTAGGTCTGATTGATAGCCAGGCAGCAGAAGGCAAAGTGAGATGCAAGAGGAGACACTACTGGAGGAGTGGGAGATGGATCCCACAGCGTGGGTCCCCTGTAAGCTGTCTTCTGGCTGACTTTGGAGAGGCTTTGTTTTAATATAATGAAGGAGGCTTTTCATTTGCAGGAGGGTTGAACCCTGGTAGGCAGAGGTGGCTGGAAAAGTAGGGATGGGTTGTGAAGGGGAAGTCTAGGAGAGGTGGGGATGGGGAAGGAAACTGGGGAGGGACCTGAACAAGCCAGTCATCCCTATAGCATGTACTGAGTTTTCCGTGGGTTCAAGCCCTGTTCTGGGTTTGGGAGCAGCATTTAATCTGCACTATGGAGGTTTTAAATTTATTGGGAGGCCAAGGCGGGTGGATGACTTGAGGTCAGTAGTTCGAAACCAGCCTAGCCAACATGGTGAAACTCTGTCTCTACTAAAAATACAAAAATTAGATGGGCATGGTGGTGGGCACCTGTAATCCCAGCTACTCGAGAGGCTGAGCCAGGAGAATTTCATGAACCCGGAGACAGAGGTTGCAGTGAGCCAAGATCGTGCCACTGCACTCCAGCCTGGGTAACAGAGAGAGAATTCATCTCAAAAAAATAAATAAATAAATAAATAAATAAAAACAAAAAATAAATTTACTAGGGTAGACCATGCAGAAAGAATGTGCCTGGGTACTGGGACCTCTTCTAGCTTTGCTCCAGAAATTTGGGGAAGGAGTAAAGACAGTAGCAATTCCAGAGGCTCCTTGAAGAGGAGTTGGGGTTGGGGAGGATAAAGTTAGGTGGTGGTTGGAAATGGGAGAGAGCAAGGAGAAAACTCACAGTAGCTGCTGTATGGACCCTGATACCCTGTACCTCTTTCCTTGCCCTCCAGGTCCTGGAGTACAATGCCATTGGAGGCAAGTATAACCGGGGTTTGACGGTGGTAGTAGCATTCCGGGAGCTGGTGGAGCCAAGGAAACAGGATGCTGATAGTCTCCAGCGGGCCTGGACTGTGGGCTGGTGTGTGGAACTGGTGAGAGGGGTAGGGCAAGGGAGAAGAAGTTTCCTGCAATGGTGGTGACTTGGGTGGGAAGGGGAGGGATGGGCCTGAAACTTATTTCTGGGTTGTGTTTGTGTTTCTTTGTCTCTAGTGTGCTACGGCCAAATTTAGAGTGAATCACTCCAAGGGTTAACTAATGTGGGGAGCCTCTTTTGGCATTAGGTATGAAGATGGCTGTAGATAGTTGTAGACAGTGTGGACTGGGGCCTCGAGACTGGGCAGAGAGGTGTCAGCTCTTTCCTCTGAGCAGAGGATGGCTATAAAAGTGACAGAGGAGGCCGGGCATGGTGGCTGACACCTGCAATCCCAGCACTTTGGGAGGCCAAGGGGGAGGATCATCTGAGTTCTGGAGTTCGAGACCAGCCTGACCAACATGGAGAAACCCCATCTCTACTCAAAATACAAAGTTAGCTGGATGTGGTGGCACATGCCTGTAATCCCAGCTACTCGGGAGGCTGAGGCAGGAGAATCGCTTGAACCTGGGAGGCAGAGGTTGCGATGAGCTGAGATTGCACCATTGCACTCCAGCCTGGGCAACAACAGCGAAACTCCATCTCAAAAAAAAAAAAAAAAAAAAAGGTGACAGAGGTCTTCCAAAGGCTATTCAGAAGCAGAAATTGAAAACTGGCAGCTCACTGACAGTATTTTGAAAATGTTTTACAATTAAGTCTCCTAAATTTAACAAAGAGATTTCACACTAAAACCTAGATTTCTAGCATGGCTTGGGAAATTGTAAGATTTGGGTCCATGTTCCCGCATAGCAACAATTGGCTGAAGCTGAGTGGATGCAACTTCTGCAAGACGGCATGTGTTCTCCTGTGTGCTTTCTCTAGTTTGCTCCAATCCCCACATCCCCTTGTCTTCTATACCAGTTCGTCTTGGTCTTGAAGGTGTCTAGTTTGCTGGCATGGCCTAAAGCTTTCATTAGTGGCAGGGGGACTGGGTTCTGGGAGGGGTGCCATGCCCGAGGAGGGTGGCAGTGAGCCCAAAAGGGAAGAGCATTCAGAACTTGGTGAGTGACGATGATGCTGAGTGCCTGGCCTGAGAGGAGCAGCTGGCTCAAGGGAAGACGTGCTGAGCACAGTCAGCCCGGGTACGTTCTTGGTATGGGTGGAGCAGGTGGATCTGCCTGTCCTGTGGGCGGTGGAAATTCCAGTCTGGAACTTGTCGGGGAGATGGGTCTGGAGAATAGAGATTTGCTTCCAAGGAGGTAATAGGCCCATGGCATCCAGGGAGAGGGCCCTGGATGACAGGGATGCTGAGGGGCTGAGGGGTTCAAAATATGGAGATGACAGGCAAGGAAGGAAGGGAAGGAGGATGAGGGCAGAGCAGAGGAGTAAAGCTATGGGGGCCAAGGGAAGCAAGACCTTGAGGGGCCAGTGGTTAACTGGTAGAATCAGTTCATTTTTTTTTTGAGATGGAGTCTCTCTCTGTTGCCCAGGCTGGAGTGCAGTGGCACCATCTTGGCTCACTGCAACCTCTGCCTCCCAGGTTCAAGCAATTCTCCTGCCTCAGTCTCCTAAGTAGCTGGGATTATAGGCACATGCCACCATCCCTGGCTAATTTTTGTATTTTTAGTAGAGACGGGGTTTCACCATATTGGTCAGGCTGGTCTGGAACTCCTGACCTTGTGATCCATCTGCCTCGCCCTCCTAAAGCGCTGGGATTACAGGCGTTACAGGTGTGAGCCACTGCACCTGGCCTAGAATCAGTTCTTAACCCTAGCAGCACCCTAGTTTCACCTGTAAGTTTTTAAAAATTTTTAATTTTTTTTTTTTTTTGATACAGGGTCTTACTCTGTTACCCAGGCTGGAGTGCAGTGGCATGATCTTGGCTCACTGCAATCTCTGCCTCTGGAGCGGAAGCCACCCTTCCACCGCCTCAGCCTCCCAAGTAGCTGAGACTACAGGAGCGAGCCTCTACTTGGCTTTTTTTTTTTAGAGACTAGGTTTCACCATGTTGCTGAGGCTGGTCTTGAACTTGTGGCATCGAGTGATCTGCCCATCTCGGCCTCCTAAAGTGTTGGGATTACAGGCGTGAGCCACCACGCCTGGTCTAAATTTTTTTTTAGAGACAAAGCCTCATTCTGTTGCCCAGGCTTGAGTGTAGTGGTGCAATCATGGTGTACTGTAGCCTCGACCTCCTGGGCTCAAGCGATCCTTCCACCTCAGCCTCCCAAGTAGCTGAGACTACAGGTGCCTACCACCACGCCCGGCTTTTTAAATAGTTTTTTGGTAGAGATGGAGTGTCACTATGTTGCCCAGGCTGGTCTTGAACTCCCGGGCTCAAGTGATCTGCCTGCCTCGGCCTCCCAGAGTACTGGGATAACAGGTGTGAGCCACTGTGCCTGGCCTGGGTTTTTTTTTTTTTTTTAATTTCCCTAATAAATAGAAAGTGCTGGTGGGGTTAAGAATCAGTGCTAGGAGGCAGAGGAAATTTGGGGAGGCCATGGAATTAATTATCTTGGAGACCATCATGGTTGAGTGGTGGTGGCTGAAACAAGATTGTCCTTGCAGTCACCCTTGGGAGAGGCAGTGAATGGGTGGCTTCAGGGAAACCATGCTACTCCAAATAAACACAGAGTCAATTAAACATGTGCCTTTGATGTGGAAAGCCCAGGACCTCCACACTACTCTTCTGAGTTTAGGTCAGAGGTAAAGATGCAGATGGATGCCTCCTTCCCTGAGGACCCTGCCTATAACAGCAGTGATTGCAACGGTCCTTTCCCCACGGCCCATGCTGGGCTCTGGCAGGCGGTGTTGCATGCTTCCTTTGCAATGTGGATCCACTACAGCACACAGGATTAGGATGGGATAAAGTCTTAAAAACCATGTCTTCTAGGCCAAGTGTAGTGGCTCATGCCTGTAATCCCAGCACTTTGGGAGGCTGAGGCAGGTGGATCACCTGAGGTCAGGAGTTCGAGACCAGCCTGACCAACATGGGGAAACCCCATCTCTACTGAAAATACAAAATTAGGCTGGGCGCAGTGGCTCATGCCTGTAATCCCAGCACTTTGGGAGGCTGAGGCGGGCGGATCATGAAGTCAGGAGATCGAGACCATCCTGGCTAACATGGTGAAACCCCGTCTCTACTAAGAATACAAAAAAAATATTAGCCGGGCATGGTGGCAGGCGCCTGTAGTCCCAGCTATTTGGGAGGCTGAGGTAGGAGAATGGCGTGAACCTGGGAGGCGGAGCTTGCAGTGAGCTGAGATTGTGCCACTGCACTCCAGCCTGGGCAACAAGAGCGAGACTCTGTCTCAAAAAAAAACAAAAAACAAAAAACAAAAAAAAAATTAGCCAGGCGTGGAGGCACATGCCTATAATCCCAGCTACTCAGGAGGCTGAGGCAGGAAAATCGCTTGAACCCGGGAGGCGGAGGTTGCAGTGAGCCAAGATCGCGCTATTGCACTCCAGCCTGGGCAACAAGAGCGAAACTCCATCTCAAAAAAAAAAAAACACACAAACCATGTCTTCTGCTCAAGCCTGGGTGACAGAGTGAGATCCTGTCTCAAAAGAAAATAATAATAAAAATTAAAACCTGGGTATAGGGCCGGGTGCATTGGCTCACACTTAAAATCCCAGCACTTTGGGAGGCCAAGGTGGATGGATCACGTGAGGTCAGGAGTTCGAGACCAGCCTGACCAACATGGTGAAACCTTGTCTCTACTAAAAACACAAAAATTAGCCGGGTGTGATGGCACGTGCCTGTAATCCCAGCTACTTGGGAGGCTGAGGCAGGAGAATCGCGTGAACCCGGGAGGCGGAGGTTGCAGTGAGCCGAGATTGCGCCATTGCACTCCAGCCTGGACAATGAGAGTGAAACTCCATCTCAAAAACAAAAACCTGGGTATGTATCTAGAAGTGGAAAAACAAAAAAAGGAAATAAGTTATGAAAATAAAAACCATGTCTTGAGCTGGGTGCGCTGGTGTGTGCCTATATCCCTAGATTCTCAAGAGTTGAGACAGGAGGATCACTTGAGCCCAGGAGTTCAAGTCCAACTTGGGCAACATGACAAGACCCTTGTCTCTTTAAAAAAGCAACCCAAACCATGTCTTGAAAAGCTATTTAATGGTCAGACACGATGGCTCACGCCTGTAATCCCAGCACTTTGGGAGGCCGAGGCAGGCGGATCACTTGAGGTCAGGAGTTCAAGACCAGCCTGGCCAACATGGCAAAACCCAGTCTCTACTGAATGAAAATACAAAAATTAGCTGGCCTAGCAGTTGGTGGTGGCAGGTGCCTGTAGTCCCAGCTACTTGGGAGGCTGAGGCAGGAGAATCGCTTGAATTTGGGAGGCGGAGGTTACAGTGAACCCACATGGCGCCACTGCACTCCAGCTTGGGTGATAGAGTGAGACTCTATCTCAAAAAAAAAAAAAAAGAAAAGCTATTTAAGGAACCAAAACATAGTTTGACTGACTGCAAGAAGTATCACAGGGAATGTTAGAGTGTTTTATTAATTTCTTTGTCAGACAAGTGTTTAGGAAACTCTCACTCCAGGCCTAATGCTGTGCTAGGCTCTGCAAATGCTAAGAGGGGGAAGTTACTGTCCCTGCTTCCAAGGAGATCATGGTCTAGTGGGAAACCCGACACGTTCAGGTACCTTCAGATGGGCACTCAGAAGAGTAAGCCCTTAGTTAATGTTTAAAGATGTTTAAAGATGTCTGAGACTCATAGGTCAAAGTCAGATTTCAGTTCCACCTTATTAGACCTGCACTGCTAAGGAGCTGCTTTAGGTAAGGCTGTGTTCCTAGTCACCAGGGTGTTCAAACACAGTGCTGGGGGCAATGTGGGAATAGCCTTCTTTTATTTAGGAAGTAATGTGAAGTCAGTTTCATGAATAGATCTTACTTTAAGCATTCATTGAGGTTTTTGGCAAGAATAGAGTACGGTATATGAAGGTGTTTCCTAATCTCCCTGACACCAGGAATAATCTAGGGCTCATTAGAGATGTCAAAGATCTGTTCTAGTTTCTTAACCTAAAACAAGAGTGTTTTAGTTCCATTTTATAGGCGGGGAGTCTGAGCCAAACATGTTATGTCACTTTCCAAGTCTCCATAGCACAGAAGTCTTCTGTCTCCCCATCCTGACTTTCCCAGCTCATAGGGACTGTCAAAGGCAGCAGCTCTGGCCGGCTGTGATGCCTCATGCCTGTAATCCCAGTAATTTGGGAGGCTGAGGCAGGAGGATCATTTGAACCCAGGGGTTCAAAACCAGCCTGAGCAACATAGTGGGACCCTGTCTCTACAAAAAATAAATTAAAAAAAAAAAATAGCCAGGCATGGGGTATGTGCCTATGGTCTCAGGAACTCAGGAAGCTGAAGTGGGAGGATCACTTGAGCCTGGGAGTTAGAGGCTACAGTGAGCTGTGACTGCACCACTGCACTGGATAATAGTGAGACTCTGTCCCCTACCAAAAAAAAGCAAAACTATATACAGATATAAAGTAGCAGCTCTGTTGCTGATAGAAGGAACAGTAATGAGGAGCCCTGCAGGTCTTATTCCACTCTTTCTAGCTGCAAGCTTTCTTCCTGGTGGCAGATGACATCATGGATTCATCCCTTACCCGCCGGGGACAGATCTGCTGGTATCAGAAGGTAATGTGGGCAGGAAAATAGCAGTGGGTATGGGGACAGGCCACAGGGAGGTGGTTATATATGGCCTGGTTGAGGTGTTGGGGTGATGGCTCTTAGTATGAACCGAGACTAGAGATTGATTGCTTGTTTTTCTGTCTGTCATGACAGCCGGGCGTGGGTTTGGATGCCATCAATGATGCTAACCTCCTGGAAGCATGTATCTACCGCCTGCTGAAGCTCTATTGCCGGGAGCAGCCCTATTACCTGAACCTGATCGAGCTCTTCCTGCAGGTGTATTGCAGACAGGGCCCGATGCCCAGAGGGTGCCCATGGTAGCCTTGGCCTCTATAGGACATGCTCATCTAGCTGGTTTCAGGGTACAGGATTGCAGCGTGCCTGGAAGGGAAAGAAAGCGAGGAAGGGTGTTGGGAAGTGGGGTTGTGGTAGTGGCAAGAAAGGGCTTCTCTGTCCTGTGTAATTGGAAGAAAGGGTGATAAAGGACTGTGTGTATGAATATGGGCCTTAAGTTTTGGGGCTTTCTCCCCTTCTGTTGCCTTTCTGATTCTGCCCAGTTGTCAGCTGGTATGGGATGTTGGGCTTGGGATACCAGGGTTTCGCATATCTGGAGAAAGCCTGGCTCATGGACCGTCTTTGTCTTGCTTAGAGTTCCTATCAGACTGAGATTGGGCAGACCCTGGACCTCCTCACAGCCCCCCAGGGCAATGTGGATCTTGTCAGATTCACTGAAAAGAGGTGAGGGGAGGTGAGGGACAGCGCGAACCATGTCTGGACAGCGAGGGAGGGCTCAGGATGTGCATTGCCCTCCTGAGGAGTTTCTCTTCTCCCCTTACTCAGGTACAAATCTATTGTCAAGTACAAGACAGCTTTCTACTCCTTCTACCTTCCTATAGCTGCAGCCATGTACATGGTGAGTGAGCCTCCTCACCCCTCTCTGCTCTGCTGATGGGGGCTTTTGGACAGCAAGGCATAGAGCAGAAAACGTGAACACTGCTACCCCTGGTGAAAAACTGTGTGACCTTGAGCAAGTCGGTCTCGCTCAGTCTCTTTCCTCAGCTGGGGATAAAATTCCTACTTCACAGGACTGTAAAGATTAAGCAAGGCAAGGGATATGAAAGTGCTTAGCACATAATAGGGGAACAATATATCCTGTATCTGAGTATGGATAGGAGTGTGGAGATCATCCAGGTTGAGAGGGAGAAGAGTGGATTAAAGACAGTCAGTGGGATTAAGTGTCTACCCTGACCTTGCTTCTCTACATTTCCTTTTCATCTTGAAAGAAGTTGGAGGTGGCAAAAATATTAGGAAGGTGGATCAGAATGACTTGGGGACTGACATTTGTGAGGGAAGAGACAGGCTGTGCACCTCTAGAATGGATTCATCTCTTTTATGACTCCCAGGAAGGCCTAGCCAAAAATAAGTGGGATTGAGGTTGGACCATCAGTCAGGACTGTCTAGGTCAGGGAAGCCAAGATGTCTGAAGAGAGAGGAAAGATTTGGGGCTGCAGTAGGGCAAGACCCCATGGGAGGAAGCAGCCAGGAAGATGCCGGCACCCCTGGGGTTTGGCTTATTAACCCCCCTTTCCCTGCAGGCAGGAATTGATGGCGAGAAGGAGCACGCCAATGCCAAGAAGATCCTGCTGGAGATGGGGGAGTTCTTTCAGATTCAGGTAAGAAGGCAGGAGGCAGTAGCAGAGAACAGGCACCAGCTTCACTCCTCCTCTGCCCAGGAACCTCATCCTTCCTCTTTTGCTGCCCTCCCCCTCCCTGCCCAGGATGATTACCTTGACCTCTTTGGGGACCCCAGTGTGACCGGCAAAATTGGCACTGACATCCAGGACAACAAATGCAGCTGGCTGGTGGTTCAGTGTCTGCAACGGGCCACTCCAGAACAGTACCAGATCCTGAAGGTGCCTGAGAGAGGGTGGTGGGTCCCTGAGTTGGTGGAAAGGGATAGAGCAGTGGTTCTCAACTAGAGGCAGTTTTCCTCCCGAGGGGACATTTGGCAATGTCAGCAGACATTTTTTGCCATTGTCATTACAACTCTGTGTGTGTGCATGTGGTACAGACATCTAGTTGGCAGGAGCCAAAGATGTTGCCAAACATGTAGTACACAGAACAGCTCCCCCAGACAGGATTATCTGGTCCCAAATTTCAATAGTGCCAAGGTGGAGAAACCCTGGAGTAGAGGATGCCTGGTATGAGGCAATATTTGGGATAGGGAAGGGAAGCTTGGGATTTTAGCTACGTAGAGACACTTGAAAATTGGAGGGAGGAAAGGAGTGGGTGGCTTTGGAGATGTTCTGGAATATGTGAATGAGGGGAGTGGAGGGGTCCTGGAGGCTCTGGGGAAGGCCAAGCCCGTTTTCCTGTCTTTCAACCTCTTCCAGGAAAATTACGGGCAGAAGGAGGCTGAGAAAGTGGCCCGGGTGAAGGCGCTATATGAGGAGCTGGATCTGCCAGCAGTGTTCTTGCAATATGAGGAAGACAGTTACAGCCACATTATGGCTCTCATTGAACAGTACGCAGCACCCCTGCCCCCAGCCGTCTTTCTGGGGCTTGCGCGCAAAATCTACAAGCGGAGAAAGTGACCTAGAGATTGCAAGGGCGGGGAGAGGAGGCTCTCAATAAATAATCGTGTAACCTTCTTGTGGTTCTGTTCTTGCTCGGCCCAGCCAGAGTCTGGCTCTTTCCAGAATGTGCAGGGTGGGGTGCTGGGAGGACTCGCTGCACGGAACCAGGACCCAGGGGCCAAAAGCTTAGGATATATCAAACCCTCTAGGTGGGTGACAAAAGACGCTAAACGCTGGGGGCGGGTCTGAGCTACGCCACGCCCATGCGCGAAGGGGTGCAGCTGCGCAGCGCAGGGTAGGTTGTGCTAGTGCCCCTCCCCTCCCGCTCTGTGCCCCGCCGGGCGGGGACCGTGGGAGCCGCGGACAAGCCCAAGGCCGGAGCGGTTCCAGGAGGACCCTGGTGAGGAGGGCTCGGCCCATGGGTGTAGACCGATGGACCTGGGCACGAGGGGCGGGGCAGGACAAGGGAGCAGGAGAAATGAATAGAGAAAGGGTGCGGTGGTGGCTGAACGATGGAGACGAATGCGGAGAGAATGGACATACCGCTGTTCCGAGGGGCGAGGGCGCAGGCTGGAGCCCGGCCGAGGCAGCCAGCAGATGCGGAGTTGACAAGCTGACGGCTGCTCCATCCTTTTCCTCTCCAGCCCCCACCCCTTTCCTGCATTCACCAGACAAACTCTGCGTATTGCCCCACCCCCATCCTCCACCTCCTTTCAGGGCATCTGGGTGGGTCTCCCTGGGTCCCTTCCTCTGGGAGTAAGGGGTAGGCTGGAGGGCAGGGCCAGATTGCGGCAGCAGGGACCTGGAGGTCCATTCTGGGCCCGGACCTCTTCCAGGCCCCCGCCCCCCTTCGGAGATCCAGAGCGCAGCCGCGTTCTCTGACCCTCCCGGCTCCATTCCCGGGGGGTTACATTCGACTCCATCTGCAAACACTGCAGTGGAAACTAATGGTCAGTCGATTGCGATTTGCATCTCATTGAAATATCTTCCAAAGCAGCCAGAGCCTTCAGGCCTGCTGCTGCCGTCAAGTCACCTCGGTGTCCTTCCCCGCAGCTCTTGTCCTCACTGGCCGGGCTTCACCACCTCTGTCTTCTAGGTCTGCACCTGTGGTTGCCAGGTAGGTGGATGTGAGAGACCCTACCCTTCTGGTTCTCTAGAAGCCATCCCATCGCCGCTAGCATCATGCTGTCCCCTCAGAGAGCTTTACTCTGCAACCTCAACCACATCCACCTCCAGCACGTCTCCCTGGGCCTGCACTTGTCCCGCCGTCCTGAGCTACAGGAGGGGCCTTTGAGCACACCCCCTCCTCCAGGAGACACTGGGGGCAAGGAGAGCAGGGGCCCCTGCAGTGGCACCCTGGTGGACGCCAATTCCAACAGCCCAGCTGTGCCCTGCCGGTGCTGCCAGGAGCACGGTCCGGGCCTAGAAAACCGGCAGGACCCGTCACAGGAGGAAGAGGGGGCTGCCTCTCCCTCAGACCCAGGCTGCTCCTCCTCACTCAGCTCCTGCTCAGATCTTAGCCCCGATGAGTCCCCTGTCTCAGTCTACTTGCGGGACCTCCCTGGTGATGAGGATGCCCACCCTCAGCCCAGTATCATCCCCCTGGAGCAGGGCTCCCCACTGGCTTCAGCAGGCCCTGGCACCTGCTCACCGGACAGCTTCTGCTGCTCTCCTGATTCCTGCTCCGGAGCTTCTTCTTCACCCGATCCTGGCCTGGACTCGAACTGCAACGCCCTGACCACCTGCCAGGACGTCCCTTCCCCAGGCTTGGAGGAAGAGGACGAGAGGGCGGAGCAGGATCTCCCTACCTCTGAGCTCTTAGAGGCGGATGATGGGAAAATCGACGCTGGGAAAACGGAGCCCAGTTGGAAGATTAACCCAATTTGGAAAATTGACACAGAGAAAACTAAAGCTGAATGGAAAACCACTGAAAACAATAACACTGGTTGGAAAAACAACGGGAATGTTAACTCTAGCTGGAAAAGTGAACCTGAAAAATTCGACTCTGGTTGGAAAACCAACACAAGAATAACTGATTCTGGCTCGAAAACAGATGCAGGGAAAATTGATGGAGGATGGAGAAGTGACGTCAGCGAGGAGCCGGTGCCCCACCGGACAATCACGTCCTTCCACGAGCTGGCCCAGAAGCGCAAGCGGGGCCCAGGGCTGCCCCTTGTCCCGCAGGCGAAGAAAGATCGCAGTGACTGGCTCATAGTCTTCTCGCCCGACACCGAGCTCCCCCCCTCGGGGTCGCCGGGCGGCTCCTCGGCACCTCCTCGGGAAGTCACCACCTTCAAGGAACTCCGGTCCCGAAGCCGGGCCCCAGCCCCGCCAGTCCCGCCTCGAGACCCCCCAGTTGGCTGGGCTTTGGTCCCGCCCCGGCCCCCACCCCCGCCTGTCCCTCCCCGAAGGAAGAAGAACCGACCTGGACTGCAGCCCATAGCGGAGGGGCAGTCCGAGGAGGGCCGGGCTGTCAGCCCAGCGGCTGGCGAGGAGGCCCCAGCCGCGAAGGAGCCGGGCGCGCAGGCCGGCCTGGAGGGTAAGAGGTCGCAAGAAGCGGGAGGAGGGCTGGGCTTCGGCCGCTCACGCCTCCTAGGCTTCCAACCCGGCCCCCTGTCTTCCCTCCATTCTGTGTCACCCATCCTCCCCGCCCCTTCTACCAGGGAGCGCTCCGGGAAAGGGAAACTGGGTGGGTCATTGGGTTATGGGACTAACTGTTTGCTCCCTCTTCTTCCCGCCCCTTCTTGCCTGGCTGCCCATCCCGCTGCCCTCCTTCCCTCTGCGCCTGGCCCCGCCAATCCCGCCTGCAGCCGGTCCCCTCCTGCTCCCTCGGCCCCTGGTTTTCCGGTTCTCGGCCGACGGGCGCCCCCTGTTGGAGGGTGGGGGCGCAGGCGCAGCTGGGTCTCTGCTCCTGGCTCCTCTGGCCGGGTGGCCCGGCGCCGGGCTGCGGCTGCTGGGGGCGCCGAGCCCCCCAGAGGAGCAGCTGCTGCCCGTCCGCCTGTCCCCGGTGGGAGCCTATTCGCCTCCGACTCGGGGAGCCTTGCCCTGCCTGGCCAGCCCCGAGCTGGCACTGCTGCTGTCCCCGCTCTTTCCCAGAAGTAGCACCTTCCCCGCCGCGGCTCCCCCACCCCGCCAGGTACCCGCCCCCCCGCTGCCACCGCAACCTCGTCCGCCGAAGGCCCCTCGCTGGACCAGGAGCCCATCGCCTCCGCCCAGGCTACGTAAGACGGACCCGGGCTAGCCCCGCGGGCCACGCCTCAGGCGGGCCGCCCCGCCCACTCTCGCCCGGCCCCGTTTTCGCTTTTTTTCCGGGGTTGCCCAGCTTAGTCCCGCCCTTCAGTTTAAGCCGACTCCAAGCAAGTTTGTCGGCCTTGGGGAGTCTGGCCCCGTTCCTAGTGCTGGAGGGGGAAGTTGTTGCCTTTCCTGCTCCGTGGGCCGGCCCCCTCTCCCTCCAGACCCACCTGGGCATAGTGGACGCGGGCTTACCCAGCCTCCATGCCAAGTCTAGGGGGTCCCAGCGAGTCTGTTGTTAGGGGCTTTGGGTCACACCCTCTGTGGAATTCCTTGGCCTGTGCAGCTCGGGCCTGCCCCCCGACCTTGCTAGGGAGGGGTGGAGGGTGAAGCTCCCGGGAGCTCATTGGCACTAGAGGTTCTGGCCACGCCCTCTCCGCGAGTCCAGTCCCACGCGGGATGAAGAGGGCACCCTCCGCCAAGAGGCTGCTGCGGGACCCGGGTTTCCCCTTTCCGGCGCCTTCCAGCCTCCCAATCCTCGGGTCTCGCCTCCCTCCGTCTCCTCCCTTTCCCCTGTCTGTCTTTCCATTGGTCCATGCCGCCCACGTGCTCCCCGGGGCTCCGCAGGCAGGACTGGGCCCCGGGGCGGTGCGCTGGGCTACACCTCCCTCCCCGCGCCCCGTCCTCTCCCGCCCTACAGGCCCTAGCAGGGCAGGCGGGAGGTGAGCGCGGCCATCCCGCTCCCGGAGTTCCGGGATCCTGGAGGTGGGGGCTGTGCCCTGAGGGAGGGCACAGGGAACCGGGATGGGGCTGGGGGACAGCGAGTGCTGGGAAGTGTGCGAGATTTCACTCCGGGGCTCGGGTCGAGCTACCCCGTGCTTCAGGCGGTCCTGCGCCTCCTCTCCCCAAGACCCTTCGGGGACACAGCACTGCAGACCCGCCGGAGACAACTTGTGCGGGAGCCCGGAGTCCTCGGAATAACACTTGGTAAGTGTTACCGCGCCCTTCTTCCCTTACGCCAGTCCGTAGTTCGTGGTCCTTCGCCGGTGTCCCCGGAGCCCAGCGGCTGTGGATGGCAGAAGCCCAGAGTGGGACTGGTCAGCTGCAGGAGCAGAAGAAAGGTAGGGCACCCTGACTCCCGACCCCGCGCTTCCGAATAAACTGCCCTTCGCCCCCGGCCCTGCTCTCAGGCTGTCCGAAGGCAGTCTCTCCACGCCCCTCGGGCAAGCCTGGGTAGGGGCGCGGCCTCCTAGCGTCTTCCCTTTCCCACTCCTCCCAGGTCTTCTGATAGCCGTCAGCGTCTCCGTTGATAAAATCATCTCGCATTTCGGGGCCGCCCGGAACTTGGTGCAGAAGGTGAAGGTGGCTGGGGGGAGGCTGTTGGGATGAGGAGAGTAATGGAGCTCCGCGGGGGGTGCGGGAATGGTTGGCGGGAGGTGGCTGGGAGGTGTCTGGAGGGATCTCTGGAGCCATCGGCATCGCGCCACCTCCAGGCCCAGTTGGGTGATAGCCGGCTGAGCCCGGATGTGGGGCACCTGGTGCTGACCACCCTCTGCCCGGCCCTCCACGCCCTGGTGGCGGACGGGCTGAAGCCTTTCCGGAAGGACCTCATCACCGGGCAGCGCAGGAGCAGCCCCTGGAGCGTGGTGGAGGCGTCGGTGAAGCCAGGTGAGCCAGGAGGGCGTGGGACCCGGCAGTGCGCAGGGCAGGGCCGGGCTTGGCTGACTGCACCCCACGTTCTCAGGCTCCAGCACCCGCTCCCTTGGAACCCTGTATAGCCAGGTCAGCCGTCTAGCCCCGCTGAGCAGCAGCCGTAGCCGCTTCCATGCCTTTATCCTGGGCCTCCTCAAGTGAGTTGCCTTCTTTCCAGTGCCCTTCCCACGACCTGGGACTGCAGGAGCGTCATGGGTGGGACACAGTAGTAGTGCCTCACATCCCCAGAGAAGGCCCCCCCTCTTCCAATCTCATCTCCCATCCTCCACCCAGAGAGGACTGGAGTCCTCCACCTCCCTGAACTTCCATTCCCTCTTTTCTCCCCTAGCACCAAGCAGTTGGAGCTGTGGTTTTCCAGTCTCCAGGAAGATGCAGGTCAGAGGTTCAGATGGTAGAGGATGGGGCTGATGGGCTGGGAGGATGGGAAGGAAAGAGTTCTCTCCTGCTGGTTCCCACTGCTGCCAGAATGCCATTAATCCAGATCTCCGATCTTATTACTCTTCTAATTAAAACTTTCTAAGGAGGCCCATCGCCCATAGGATGAAAGACCCAAAGCCTTGGCTGTCTGGCCTCTGCCCTCTTCCCCTGCCTTGGAGGGTCTTGCCAACAGTCTTCCCGCCTGGCCCTTCCTGCTCCAGGGCCCTGCTTATGCTGTTCCTCTACCTTCTGCCCCTCCTGCTTCCTCTGAACTATCATTCATCCTTTGAGTCCTTCCCCAGTGAGGCCCTACCTCTACCCTCGGACTAGGCCAACCCCCACGCCTCATTTTGTATGTGCTTCTATGGCTCTCCTGTCCTCCTCCTCTGTAGCCTTTGCACTGTCTCTGTTACTTGTCACCACTTGCTGTGTGTGTCTTCCTATTTGGGCTAGGTTCCATGCAGGCGGGGATGTCAGTCCTATAGCCCACCACATCCTTCCTCCTCTCTGCCCCAGTGCCCAGCAGAGTGAGGCCTGGGAAGATGTGTGCTGACTGGTGGGCTGCTCTGGGGGGTCTTCTGGGACTAGGTCCAGGGCAGGAGCTGATGTTGGCCTGCTCTTTTCCAGGCCTGCTCTCCCTCCTGTACCTGCCAACAGGATTTTTCTCCCTGGCCCGCGGTGGTTGTCCCTCCCTGTCCACAGAGCTGCTGCTCCTGCTGCAGCCATTGTCGGTGCTCACTTTCCACCTGGACCTGCTCTTTGAGCACCACCACCACCTGCCCCTGGGCCCACCTCAGGCCCCTGCCCCTCCAGGCCCACCTCCAGCTCTGCAGCAGACTATGCAAGCCATGCTGCACTTTGGGGGCCGGCTGGCCCAGAGCCTTCGGGGGACTTCCAAGGAAGCTGCTTCAGACCCCTCTGACTCTCCAAACCTTCCCACACCAGGGAGCTGGTGGGAGCAGTTGACCCAGGCCTCCCGGGTCTATGCCTCTGGGGGCACTGAGGGCTTTCCTCTTTCCCGATGGGCACCGGGGCGTCATGGGACTGCAGCTGAAGAAGGTGCACAGGAGAGACCCCTGCCCACAGATGAGATGGCACCAGGCAGGGGCCTCTGGTTGGGAAGACTATTTGGAGTGCCTGGGGGCCCCGCAGAAAATGAGAATGGAGCCCTAAAGTCCAGGTAATGGGGTACCTTGTCCTTTCTATGACCTTCTGACTCTCTCAGATCTCCTAGCGGCTTCATTTGAAACTCTCTAGTGATGATCCTTTAGGGCAGAGATTGGCGGTCTGTTTTTCTACAGCCATGAGCTAAAAATGGTTACATTTTAATGGTTATGTTAAGTGCCTACATAATGATCTCAATTTTCTCTCTTGGCCCTAGGTCCTAAAATATAGTTATCCCCAGGTACATGTGGGGGATTGGTTCTAGGACCCTCACATACACTAAAATCTGACATACTCAAATCCTACAGTTGATGTATAGGAAAAGACAGCCCTCAGTATATGTGGTATTACATCCTGAGAATACAGTATTTTTTGTTCGGTTGAAAAAAACCTGCATATAGGTGAACTTGTGCATTTCAAACCTGCTTTGTTTAAGGGTCAACTGTATTTACTATCTGGTCGTTTAGAAAAATGAAAAACAGCCTGGGCAACATGGTGAAACCCTGTCTCTACAGAAAAATACAAAAATTAGCTGGGCATGGTGGCACACACGTGGTGGTAGTCCCAGCTACTCTAGGAGGCTGAGGTGGGAGGACTGCTTGAGCCTAGGAGGTCAAGGCTGCAGTGAGCTGTAATCACACTGCTGCATTCCAGCCTGGGCGACAGAGCGAGACCCTGTCTCCTCTCCAAACAAACAAACAAAATGCCAACCCCTGCTCCAGGCTTCAACAACTGGTGGCTCTTTAATGGCTTGAGATACTCTCTAGTGGCCATTTCATTCTGAGCCTGTCTAGACCCTGCTGGGTCCATAGGTTCCTTGTGATTTGTGGTGTTGTGGACTTTTGTTGTCATCTCCCTCATCAGCCTAAAAGTGCCTGTGTCCAATAATGAACACTCTGCCCTCAGCAGTGACTAACCCCTGACCTCTTTTGAACCACAATTAGGCCCCTTAGCCTCTCCCTCCCTCCAAACCCCAGGGTTCTTGGGTTTTCTGGAAGTGGGTTGAGCTGTGACCCTATGTCCCTTCTTTTAGGAGACCATCTAGCTGGCTGCCCCCGACAGTGAGTGTGTTGGCTCTTGTGAAGCGGGGGGCACCTCCCGAGATGCCTTCTCCTCAGGAGCTTGAGGCCTCAGCACCCAGGATGGTGCAAACCCATAGGTAAGGAGGATTGGGGAGAATGCACTAGTGTGTAACCATGTATGCTATCACAGCATGGATGGGAGGTAGTGTAAAAAACCCTGGGCTTTAAAATAAGACCGTGCTTAGTGTGCATTGCAGCTTTTCTATTTATTATCGATGTGTCACTCATTTGAGCCTTGGATTTTTTTTTTTTTTTAAGAGACAAGAGTCTTGCTCTGTCGCTCAGGCTGGAGTGCAGGGGCACAATCTCGGCTCACTGCAACCTCCCCTTCCTGGGTTCTCCTGTCTCAGCCTACTGAGTAGCTGGGACTACAGGTGCCCACCACCATGCCCGTTTAAGTTTTGGAATTTTTTTTTTTTTGAGATGGAGTCTAGCTCTGTCGCCAAGCTGAAGTACAGTGGCATGATCTCGGCTCACTGCAATCTCCGCCTCCCAGGTTCAAGCAATTCTCCTGCTAAGCCTTCTGAGTAGCTGGGATTACAGGCACATGCCGCCACGCCCAGCTAATTTTTGTATTTTTAGTAGAGACCGGGGTTTCACCATGTTCGCCGGGATGGTCTTGATCTCCTGACCTCGTGATCCGCCCGCCTTGGCCTCCCAAAGTGCTGGAATTATAGGCGTGAGCCACTGTGCCCAGCCAATTTTTGTATTTTTAGTAGAAACGGGGTTTCACCGTGTTGCCCAGGCTGGTCTAGAACTCCTGACCTCAGGTGATCCACCCACCTCAGCCTCCCAAAGTATTGGGATTACAGGCATAGCTACTGCACCCGGCCAGGATTCTTTCTATAAAAAGGATATGATGCAATACCTTTTTTATGGTTATAGAGACTAAACATAATTTTTTTTTTGAGACAGAGTCTCACTCTCGCCCAGGCTGGAGTGTAGTGGCATGATTTCGGCTCACTGCAACCACGCCTCCTGGGCTCAAGTGATTCTCCTGCCTCAGCCTCCAGAGTAGCTGGGATTACAGGCACCTGCCACCATGCCTGGCTAATTTTTGTAATTTTAGTGGAGATGGGGTTTTGCCATGTTGGCCAGGCTGGTCTTGAACTCCTGGCCTCAAGGAATCTGCCTACCTTGGCCTCCCAAAGTGCTGGGATTACAGGTGGGAGCCACTACACCTGGCTACTAAACTTTTTTTTTTTTTTTTTTGAGACAGTGTCTTGCTCTGTCGCCCAGGCTGGAGTGCAATGGCATGATCTCGGCTCACTGCAACCTCCGCCTCCTGGGTTCAAGTGATTCTCCTGCCTCAGCCTCCTGAGTAGCTGGGACTACAGGCGCCTGCCACCATGCCCAGCTAATTTTTTATATTTTTAATAGAGATGGGGTTTCACCATGTTGGCCAGGATGGTCTCGATCTCTTGACCTTGTGATCCACCCACCTCAGCCTCCCAAAGTGCTGGGATTACAGGCGTGAGCCACCACGCCTGGCCTAAACATTTTATAAAAGCATTTGGCGGCCGGGCGTGGTGGATCACCTGAAGTCAGGAATTCAAGACCAGCCTGGTCAACATGGTGAAACCCCGTCTCTACTAAAAATACAAAAATTAGCCAGGCGTGGTGGTGGTGGGCACTTGTAGTCCCAGCTACTCGGGAGGCTGAGGCAGGAGAATTGCTTGAACCTGGGAGGTGGAGGCTGTTGAGATCACACCACTGCACTCCAGCCTGGACAACAGAGACTGACTCTGTCTCAAGAAAAAAAAAAAAAAAAAAAAAAAGTAGATGGAGTAGTAGGAGATCCAAACACCAAACAGGTTTTGGTGATGGATTGGATGTATGGAGTGAGATGCCCAGGTTTTTACCAGGGGCAAGTGTGGGGAGAAAGTGGTGCTGTTTACCACTATAGGCGACACGAGGAGGAACTGGTTTTGAGGGTGAGTCATTTCATTTGCCTGTGTTGAATTTGAAGCACCATTGAGAAGTGCAAATAGTGTCAAATAAGCAGCTGGAGTGGGTTTGCCACTCAGGAGAAGGCTGGGGCCCCAGATAGAATCACCAAGTTGATGAATGGTTCTCAAGTCCTTCCAGAGCCCAGTCAATGTCCACTGAGCCAAACCAACAAGGGCACTCTAGAGGTGACGCCTGGGGACGGCTGGGCAGCCCCACCTCACCTCATCCCAGTATCTTCCTCTGGCTCCCCTCAGGGCAGTGCGGGCTCTCTGTGATCACACTGCTGCAAGACCTGACCAGTTGAGCTTCCGGCGTGGGGAAGTGCTGCGTGTCATCACCACAGTGGATGAGGACTGGCTCCGCTGTGGGCGGGATGGCATGGAGGGTCTGGTGCCTGTGGGGTATACCTCCCTTGTTCTGTAGCCCTGGGACCCTTTCCTGCGTATGTGTCTCCTTCCTGTCACCTGGGAATGGAATGGCCAGTGAACACCATCCCAGAAGCATTTTCCCTCTGCAAAATGACGTTTCTTCCCACGTCTGTTTCTGCTAATATTTAAAATAAACTTTCCTTCTTCCCTCCTATACCCACCTGTAAGGTGAAATCTGCTCTTCTTCCAAATATATAAAAAAGGAATTGCCCTCCAGGTAATCCCTTTCCTTTTTCCCGTCTATATAAGGGAATGTCTTCCTTCCTATCTATCTGCAAAATGGAAATCTAGACCTCCTTCTTCATCCATAAGTGGACTGTGCCAGTACAATACATGCCTCAGCCCCCAAGCCTAGAAGGACCTCTAGTCTCCTTCCTGTGTGGAATCTTCCCCACTCCATCCCTCCCAAGTTGCCTGTATTGATAATGTACTCACTCATGCTGTACTAGGTGCTGAAGCCTGGACACCCTTGGTGGGTGGGCCTGTGGTGATGGTTTGCATCCTTCCTCCTTTGTCCCAATAAAGTATGGGAGTTGAATGTGTGTCTTTCACTGTGGGTTTCTGGACATAGGCTATGGGGGAGGGGAAAAAGGACCTCCTATGGGAGGCATAAGGCAGATGTTTCTTCCTAGCCCAGGTTTAGTGCTTAATGCTCCCTGAAGAATAGAGAAGTAGTCCCTCATTGCTTCCTGAATCTCACAAGTGCTTCTCTAGTCTATGACTTTCTCTGTTTAGTTAGACTAATAGGATAGGAGCCTGCATAAATATGGGGGAGGAGAGAAGACTTAGCCCTTGAAATTGTACTTCATATCTGAGGTGAAGGGAAGGATTAAAGATTTGCACCGGGCACAGTGGCTCAGACATGTAATCCCAGCATTTTGGGAGGCTGAGGCAAGCAGATCACTTGAGCTCAGGAGTTCGAAACCAGCCTTGGCAACATGGCAAAACCCCGTCTCTACAAACAATACAAAAAATTAGCCAGGTGTGGTGACGCATGCCTGTGGTCCCAGCTAGTTGGAGGGCTGAGGCAGGAGGATCCTTTGAGCCCAGGAGGTCGAAGCTGCAGTGAGCTGAGATTGTGCCACTGCATTCCAGCCTGTGTGACAAAGGGAGAACCTGTTTCAAAACAACAAAGAGTTGTAAGAAATGTCACCATTTTTTCTACTGGCCAGGCCCGGTGGCTCACACCTGTAATCCCAGCACTTTGGGAGGCCAAGGGGGGTGGATCATGAGGTCAGGAGACAGAGACCATCCTGGCTAACACAGTGAAACCCCGTCTCTACTAAAAATACAAAAAAATTAGCGGGGCATGGTGGCAGGCACCTGTAGTTCCAGCTACTCGGGAGGCTGAGGCAGGAGAAAGGCGTGAACCCAGGAGGCAGAGCTTGCAGTGAGCTGAGATCGCGCCACTGCACTCCAGCCCGGGCGACAGGGTGAAAATCTGTCTCAAAAAAAAAAAAAAAGAAAAAAGAAGTATCAACATTTTTTCTACTTAGTATCTATCACTCTGTGATGATATAATTCCAAGTAACCCAGGCACTTGACAACAACAAAAAGTTCCAAGTAAAAGAGAGGCCAGGTATGGTGGCTCATGTCTGTAATCCCAGCACTTTGGGAGGCTGATGTGGGAGGATTGCTTGCGGTCAGGAGTTTGGGACCAGCCTGGGCAGTACAGCAAGACAGTCTATTAAAAAAAAAAAAAAGCTGGGAGTGGTGGCATGCACCTGTAGTCCCAGCTACTTTGGGAAGCTGAGGTGGGAGGATCACTTGAGCCTAGGAGTTCAAGACTGCAGTAAGTTTTGATTGCACTGTAGCACTCCACTCCACTCCAGCCTGTGAGACAAAGGGCCTCTCTCAAAAAAAAAAAAAAAAAAAGTGTATGTGTATATATATATATATATATATATATATATATATATATATATGATCTAGAATAGAACAATTGCAGTAGATACCAAAGTTTAAAAATTAGAAAAAACGCGGCTGGCTGCAGTGCCTCATGCCTGTAATCCCAGCACTTTGGGAGGCCAAGGTGGATGGATCACCTGAGGTCGGGAGTTTGAGACGAGCCTGACCAACATGGAGAAACCCCATCTCTACGAAAAATACAAAATTAGCCGGGCGTGGTGGCACATGCCTGTAATCCTAGCTATTTGAGGGGCTGAGGCAGGAGAATTGCTTGAACCTGGGAGGCAGAGGTTGCCGTGAGCCGAGATTGCGCTATTGCACTCCAGCCTGGGCAATAAAAAGCAAAACTCCGTCTCAAAAAAAAAAAAAAAAAAATTAAAGATAATCTCAAAAAAATGTAACAGTAACATATTGTTTTTGCAATCATGAAGAAACCATTATGTAACAGTAGGGCACTCTGATCTAGTCTTGAACCTCAAGTCCTTATAGGAATAGAGATTGAACTGTTGGAGTAAGCTGTCTTGCTACTTCTGAGCAATTGTATTCTAGCTGAACTCCCAGCCTGGTTTTTTTTTTGTTGTTGTTTTTTACGGAGTTTCGCTTTTGTTGCCCAGGCTGGAGTGCAATGGCAGGATCTTGGCTCACCGCAACCTCCGCCTCCCAGGTTCAAGCGATTCTCCTGCCTCGGCCTCGGGCATGTGCCACCACGCCCGGCTAATTTTTGTATTTTTCAGTAAAGACAGGGTTTCTCCATGTTGGCCAGGCTGGTCTTGAACTCTTGACCTCAGGTGACCCACCTGCCTCAGCCTCCCAAAGTGCTGGGATTACAGGCGTGAGCCACCGTGCCCGGCTTCCCAGCCTAAATGTTTAACTCATGTCTGGGACAAAGTTTTGGTAGGCCTTTCAGTTATCTGCAGGAATGGGTTTATCTTCCTTAATTAGTAGGGTCACTTTTGTCTATTTATGACACTTTTCTATTTGTGGAGGAGTACACAGACTTTGGAGTTCTGGCTCCAACACTAGTTACTGGGTGACCTTTGGCAAGTTACTTAACCTTCCTGAGCTTCAGTTTTCACTCTTACAAAATGGGAATAACTTCAGAGGACTATTATGAAGATTAACTATGTGATCTTGGGCAAGTTACTTAAATTGTCTTTTGCTTCAATTTCCTCATTTATAAAATTGGGATTTGGTACCTACCACAAAGGGCTTTTGTGAGGATTAATAAACAAATATATGGAAACTGTTTATGATAGAAATGGTCTAACACATAGTGGCCTAAAAAAACGTGGCCTAAAGTTATATATTGCCGGCCTCAGTGGTTGTTACTGAGAATTAATGAGATGATGATGCATGTGTGTGCAAAGGATGGAGATGTAGAATAGCATGGCATGGTTTTTTGTTTGTTTTTTTGAGACAGAGTTTCACTCTTGTTGCCCAGTTTGGAGTGCAGTGGCGCAATCTCGGCTCACTGCAACCTCTGCCTCTCGGGTTGAAGCGATTCTCCTGCCTCAGCCTCCGGAGTAGCTGGGATTACAGGCATCCACCATCACGCCCGGCTAATTTTTTGTATTTTTAGTAGAGACAGGGTTTCACCATGTTGGCCAAGCTGGTCTCGAACTCCTGACTTTAGGTGATCCGCCCGCATGGCATGTTTAAGAAATAGCTGGGGCTGGGTGCGGTGGCTCAGGCCTGTAATCGAAGCACTCTGGGAGGTGGAGGTGGGCGGATCATTTGTGGTCAGGAGTTTGAGACCAGCCTGGCCAACATGGTGAAACCCCTGTATCTACTAAAATACAAAAAAAATTAGCCAGGCATGGTGGCAGGCGCCTATAATCCCAGCTACTTGGGAGGCTGAGGCAGGAGAATCCCTTGAACCCGGGAGGCGGAGGTTGCAGTGAGACGAGGTTGCACCACTGCACGCCTGCCTGGGTGAGAGCGAGACTCCATCTCAAAAAAAAAAAAGAAAAAAAAAAAAAAGAAAAGAAAAGAAACAGCTGGGCCAGGCGTGGTGGCTCATGCCTGTAGTCCCAGAACTTTGGGAGGCTGAGTTGAGTGGATCACTTGAGCCCAGGAGTTTGAGACTAGCCTGGGCAACACAGGGAGATCCCTGTCTCTACAAAAAATAAAAACATTAGCCAGGCGTGGTGGTGCGCCCCTGTAGTCCTAGCAACTCAGGAGGCTGAGTTGGGAGGATTGCTTGAGCCCAGGAGGTTGAGGTTGCAGTGAGCTATAATGTGCCACTGCACTCTGGCCTGGGCAACACAGTGATGCCTTGTCTCAAAAACAAAAAAATTAAAAAAAACCCAACAAAACAGCTGGACTACGTTAGGCAACACGGTGAAACTCCGTCTGCACAAAAAGTGCAAGAATTGGCCAGGCATGGTGGTGCATGCCTGTAGTTCCAGCTATTTGGGAGGCTGAGGCAGAAGGATCATTTGAGTCTGGGATGTGGAGGTTGCAGTGAGCCGAGATTGTGCCATTGCACTCCAGTTTGGGTAACAGGGAGACTCTGTCTCAAACACAAAAAACAAAAAAGCAACTGGACATTTGGTGTGTGTTATTACTGTGCTGATTGATTAGGCTGAGTCCAGACTAGAAAGATCCTAGTACTGAAGAAATGACTTTATCCAGTAGTCAACGGCAGTGAGTGTGCTCATGTGCAGCCTAGCATGTTTATGATGTTGTTTCAGAAAGATCCCCTTGGAAACAGGATGAGGTTGTCTTGGAAGATAAATGGGGGATAAGAAGGAGGAAAAAATAGCAAGCTCATCAGTCCACAGTTAGGAAAAGTTTTTTCCATTTAATACTAGACTTTCAAGGATTGAGATGCAAGCTTTGTATGCAATTACATCCAATGTTAAAATTGGTAATACATAATTTACAAAGATTAACATCAAAACAATCATCTATTTAGATATGCTTTTGTAAAAAGGAAATATATTAGCAGCATTTATATTTTCCGCAATCACACAGCCTACAGACATGCAGACTAACTCTGTATCTATTTGCAGTGATGTAGTGCTTTGCCCCGCATTTCAAACACCAAAACCCGCCTGGCAGCTGGGGGGTTCTTTTTATTTCGTTATTATAAAATAACTGAAAAATAAAAAAAGGCATTAATTTCTACACCAGTAAGAAAAAACAAGTTTTTGCACTTACCTAACATTTGATTGTCTAAAAAACATTTCAGTTTTTTTTTAGTCTTTCAACAAAAGAAAGATAAAATGACAGAGCGTAGTGTCTTTTGCTTCTGTTCTCGCATTTTACAAAGTTTTTTTTTCTTTTTCATCTTTTTTAAAATTTTAGTGTTTAACACTATAAAGGAAACATTGAATTTTAATCTCTTTCTTGTCATTTTCTCGCTTTTGACTAAAAGGAGACCCCCAAAGTGCCCCTAGTCCCACCTCCCTCCCACCCACTCCCTGCAATGAAAAACAAAAGAAACCACTCAAACGGGCTTGGACATGCGATTTTTCCAGCTCCACATGTGAGTATCTTATACCCAGGTCTCTTAGTAATGTACAGTGCTTCTCTACAGTAAGAAAATACTCCAAACTATTTTCTTAATTCTCTTTTTTCTTTAATAAAATATTTATTTTGCTTTTTCTCTGCTCAAGGGGATCATTGGCATCCCCTCTCTCTTTTGTTTTTTCCTCAAGAATGACACAGAAAGGGGAAAAAGGAAAAAATATTTAATGGAATGGAAGGTGGTCAATGTGTCTACCTAAACGAGTCAGAGCATCGTCACCATAAGGGGAAATGTACAATTAGGACAGCATTGGTCCAATATTAGAAAAAAGTAATGGGGACATGTTTACTATTGTATTGCTTACCAATCACACAGCAGGTGTGTGTGTGTGTGTGTATATATATACACACACACATATATATATACACACACATACACACATATATATACACACACACACACAACTTGGCACATTTAAAAACCATCTTTTCTCTTATAAGAACATCTAAAACATATATGCATATGTATGTCTGAAAAGACAACAAAGCTTTTTAAATTTTATTTTTAAAGAGACAGTATAGTCTGTTAACTTCTGGTCAAGAGAGTAGGAAGGAAGGAGACACCCTGGATATACCTCCTGATGTCATTCAGGAGGGTGAGGGAAGATGGGCTAGGGGTGAAGAGAAATATACTGTCTCTTTAAGAAAGGGACATTGAAAACTGTACAATTAAGAAAACAAGAGTAGTGTTTTCAATTGATAATCTATACTCACAACAAATACTCTGATAGGTGAATACTGCTGAACAGTTTATGTAGTGACTTTTGTTGCAGGGGTGGGTTTAGAGTTCTTTTTATGTAGGTTTTTAAATGATTTTATTTTGAACTGAATCTCCATTTGCACAGCACAGCAGACACACAAGAACTACAGCGCATTAAAAACAGCATGTGTGCTGGCGGGGGCCTGGCTTTCTCATTAGAAAAAAATATGTTTGACAGGTTATGAAGGGTAAAACAAAAATAATTGCAAGAACTACCGTGCCCTTCTGACCCCATGGGGGCCTTCCCTATCCCATGATTCCATTTTGGGGAGTAGAGGTAGGGAGGGGGCAGCAGTTACAAGTGCTTTGAGCTGTCAACTCACATTTTACTTTGACCTGGTTGGGCAAGAAAGGAGAGACAAACTTCCCTAGTCAGGTATCTAGGAAGAAGCCTCAGCTACTGTTTCTGTTTAAGGTCTCTGGGGTAGCTCTTGGAGCCAACAGAGAATAGATGGGGTAGGAATAGGGATCCTGGCCCTATCCCTTTGGATTTTGAGTTATACCTGGGTATAGGAAGCAGCTTCTTCGCAATGCCTGTGGGATCTGAGGATGACAGAAAAACCTAAGCTGTGGGGTGGGGCAAATGCTATAAAGTACCAGTAGGTTCTGGTCATCAATGTGGTCCTCCCTCCTCTCTACATTATTAACCCTTAAGGTGAAGCAATGGAGAAGAAAATTAATTAACCTGAACTGTCTTGGACAGAACCCTTTCCTCTCCCTCTCCACTAGCTCCAAGGCTTATTAAGTACCTAATGTCAACAACATGGCCCCATTCCCCTTGCCCAGATGGACCCTTCCCACCCCTGTCTATACCCAGAGAGCAGGAGGCAGGACTGATTAGCTCCACTGGATCCCAGATGCTTGAGGTTCTCATTCTTTGAGGGTCACTTTCGAAAGCTGTTTTCTGGGATAAACAAAGTACGCCTTCGCAGTTTCCTGCCTGATCCTTCCTCCAGCAAGTAGGTCACATCAATGGCTGAAAACAGAACCAAGGAGGCTCATCAAAATACCAATCTCCTACTCCTTATTCCAGATTTGAGCTCTAAGGAGAGCACACGAACTCAATGATTCCTTTTCTGACCTATAAGCAATTTAGCCCATCCTCCAACCCTACGTGAAAAAGGTGGTTCTTTAGAGGAGATCATCTCACCTTCCAGTTTCACTACCAAGATACAACTAAAAGCAAGCCTATAAAAGAACTATACCATTTTCTTAGAATACTTTGGATGCTGAACCAGTAATTACAATTTTTTTCCATTCCCTCTCATTTCGCATTTATCTTAAACCCTAGATATGAACCTGATTCTTCTTACCATTTTTTCCAGGGATTTTTTCAAGGAGATTGAGCAAGATCTGGTTGAGTCGTTCCCGTTGGTTATGCCGTCGTTCCTCAGGGGTACAGGTTGACTGGGGTTCTTGACTACTTTCCTCTGTTTTTTTTTCACCCTCACTGACGTTAGCAGTGGCCCCTTCCCGTTCTGGCTCCTCCAGGCTGGGTATCTCATTGGCTGCTTGCTCTTGACTGGCTAGAACCTCTTCAATCAAGGGTAGAGCATCATCCTCCTGGCCCAAGTCTTTTAGGGGTGGCTTTGAGCGCTCAGACTTCCAGGATGATCTGCCAGAAGGATATCTGAATTTAGTGTAAGACACTTGAGGAGGAAAAGGGGATGAAGGGTAGGAGGCCTCAAGATGGCTTGAGATCCTGGAGTCCAGCAGTTAGAGCCTTAGCTTGAGGTAAGAAACTTGACTCTCGTTTTCACTTTATATTATTTGAATAAAACACTACCTTTACCAGAAATTTATTTGTAAAATTCAACTTTTATTATTTCTCTTAGGAATATTCACAAATGGTATAGGAATCCATAAAATATACAAGGGCTAATAAAATTGCTTAGCTGGTTCTAAATGACTGCTTCATGACTAGAGAAGCACGGCACAACCTTGTGATGCCAATAATCCAACTACAATAATAAATATTTAAATGGAGTTTTAAATTTTCGTGCTTCCCTTTTTCATATCAATAGTCTAATATTTTCTCCCTTATGGTAAGCTATTGGTGTAGGTAAAGCAGTTGTTATGCCCCCATTCAACAGATGAGGAGACTGAAGAAAAAGCCTTCTGTCATCTTTCTTCAGGAATAATCCTCACGTACAAAATAAGCAAAAATAAAAACTATGAACCCATAGTTCATAGCTCAGTGAAAACTGTACTGGCTACATCTGTTCCTTGATAGAGGTACCAAGAGCTGATATACCTTGAGGTAATGGGGAAAGCTTACAGACATCTAAAAGAAACTTTTCTGAGTCTGGAGTTCTGTTCCAAATCTCTGTCTCTACTCCCTGCACATCTCTCTGTTGCTCCAATTAAGGCTCCATAATGGGACCACATCTACTGAAATTTAGTTCTTCCATAGTGCTGGCACTACACTGGGCTACTCTGCAGAGAATACCCAGTCCTAGAAGTGGAGCTGAGTGGGTAGTTGTTTGTTTTCTTGATCCATTCAAGCTCTTAGTCAATCCCTTAGGATCCTCATATCCCCCCATGGGACTTACCGTCCTCCATTCCTCTTGTAGTTGTCTGGGACGTAATGAGGCTGCAGAGAAGAAAAGGAAGAGGTAAGCATATTGTAGAAGCTGGGAGAGCTAGCTCTTCTCTGGGGCCAGTCAGGATAAGGAACACAGTAGGGCAGTAGACAAGTTGGGTGACTTTGTTTTAAGATGAGAAATTTAGTACTTCTATGAATATGCAGGCCACAATGATTATCAGCATTTTGTGCTCCCAGGATGACAATGGGAGGGATAAGTGCACAATTTTCTCTATCCCATTTCACCTTTTAAATACAGTCATATGTCGCTTGGGGTCATACGGGGATATGTTCTGAGAAATATGTCATCACGTGATTTGATTGTTATGTAAACATCATAAAGCATCCTTACGCAAACCTAGATAGTATAGCCTACTATACACCTAGGCTATTTAGTATAGCCTATTGCTCCTAGGCTACAAGCCTATATATACAGCACAATACTGTACTGAATACTGTAGGCAGTTGTAATACCATGGTAAGTATTGTGTATCTAAACATAGAAAAGGTATTACATTGCAGTATGTTACGACAGCTATGACATCACTAGATGATAGGAAGGAATTCTTCAGCTCCATTATAATCTTACGGGATCACCGTTGTATATGCAGTCCAATGTTGACTGAAACATGTTGCACATGACTGTAGTTAAGGCTGGGGTTTCAAAGCTAGTCAGTAAGCTATTGATTGAGCAAGCAAAACCAAATAAGTCTAGATGCGAGGAAAGACCTGGTGGTGGGCAGAGAATACAAAAGACGGTCTGGAAAATTAAAAAAAAAAAATAGGGAAAATAGGAACATATTGCTTTGTTTTCTGGTTAGCTTATTTTTCTTTCTTTTTATTTTTTGAGAGTCTTGTCCTGTTGCCAGGCTGGAGTACAGTGGTGCGATCTTGGCTCACTGCAATCTCTGCCTCTGGGTTCAAGCGATTCTTCTGCCTCAGCCTCCTGAGTAACTGGGATTACAGGTGCATGCCACCATGCCCGGCTAATTTTTGTATTTTTAGTAGAGATGGGGTTTCACCATGTCGACCAGGCTGGTCTCAATCTCCTGACTTTGTGATCCACCCGCCTCAGCCTCCCAAAGTTCTGGGATTACAGGTGTGAGCCACCGCGCCTGGCCCTGGTTAGATTATTGCTAAGGATTCCAGGGTGACAGCTATGACTTTTGACAGGCCCACTAAAAGAAGACTCAAAGATGAGGAGCTCAGCCAGGGTTTTATTAGAGCAAACAGATGAATGGATGATCAAAATCTTTATGGAATGATGAATGACAAAACGTATAATTGGCACACGGTTCTCAACAATTTGAAAGAAAAAATACCAGGAAAAAGCCTGACAATGAAAATGTTAATAATGGTTATTTTCTGGATAGTGGAGTATATATATAACTTTTTTCCTCTTATGCTTCTATACTTAATTTTTTTTTTTTTTTTGAGACAGGGTCTCTGTCACTCAGGCTGGAGTGCAGTGGCACAATCAGCTTACTGTAACCTCAAACTCCTGGGCTCAAGTGATCCTCCTGTCTCAGCCTCCCAAGGTGCTGAGATTACACACGTGAGCCACCATGATGTTTATACAATAAACACCACCACCACAAATTTTGTTTTGTTGTTGTTGTTGTTTTGTTTTGAGATGGAGTCTCGCTCTGTCACCCAAGCTGGAGTGCAATGGCGCGATCTTGGCTCACTGCAATCTCTGCCTCCCAGGTTCAAGCGATTCTCCTGCCTCAGTCTCCTGAGTAGCTAGGATTACAGGTGCGCGCCACCACACCTGGCTAATTTTTGTATTTTTAGTAGAGACGGGGTTTCAATGTTCACAATTTTTTTTTTTTTTTGAGACGGAGTCTCGCTCTGTCACCCAGGCTGGAGTGCAGTGGCGTGATCTTGGCTCACTGCAAGCTCTGCCTCCTGGGTTCACGCTATTCTCCTGCCTCAGCCTCCCGAGTAGCTGGGACCACAGGCACCTGCCACCACACCTGGCTAATTTGTTGTATTTTTAGTAGAGAGGGGGTTTCACCGTGTTAGCCAGGATGGTCTTGATCTCCTGACCTCATGATCCGCCCACCTTGGCCTCCCAAAGTGCTGGGATTACAGGCGTGAGCCACCGCGCCTGGCTCACAAATTTTATATAATGATCGTGTCTTCCATTTTTAATGCAGGCATAAAAAGAAAAAGCACTGAATTATTTTCTGTGAAGGTTCTTCTTTTACGGGTGTGTTCTCAATGAGAGAGAGGAAAAAAAGGAGTTTTTCAGGGTTCTTGCTTCTTAAAATTATGGGTGTGAAAGACAAAACAAAACAAAAATCTACAGAATGGGGCTCGCCAGCAAAGGTTAAACAGACGAAAGAGAAAAGAGGAAAGGTATAACACTATATCAACAATTTTCTGAGATACAGTCTATGTGAGGAAATGTACTTATGCTGTTCAAATGTCCCAAATAGAGACAGAGATATCCATAGTTTGGGATGGAATTTGGATGAAGAAGCAGAGAACTACGTGAAGATTTTCGCTCAGTGAATTTCATGCATGAACCAGATTGTCCTAACATGTAGTGTTAAGAAAGGAAGGAGACTCACCGAGAAATCTTTTTTGGGAGTGAGCTTCTTGGGGAAGTGATCAAAAGCATAGGGTTTGGTGCAGACAGGATAGCGGTTCCGGTGGATCTTGTAAAACAGGTGTGCTGACTTGTCAAGCCGATAATCACAGATGTACACATCTTGCTCCTTTACTCCTTTGGGTCTCCCTATGGGTCCAACCAGTGTTAAGGAATCCTATTTAGCCATTTCTCCCCCTGAGCTGCCCAAAGACCCCATACACACCAATGGGAGAGCAGCTAGACCCTTAAAACCCTACATGGTAGCTATGTAGAGAGGCAGGACAACTAAGCATTTGGTAGTTGCTGGACAAAGAGTTCTCAGACACTAGTGTCAACAAAGGATAAAGTAAATATACAGCAGAATGGATGGAAATAAACCAGAAATGTAAACTGAGTGCTGCAGGGATGTGTGAGGGAGTATTTTGAGGGAAAAACTGAGCAGGTTACGAGGAGTTACAAGAAAAGAACAGAGGCATAAATTTGAGGGAAGCACATTTGTACATGAACACTTTTTAACTGAGACAAGGAGGACTCATCAGTATCACACAGAACTGCAAGCAGTCTGTCAGTTTTGGAATGGAATACGTAGTCTTTTAGACTATTTTGCTATGATTCTGAGAGAACAGTCTAGGCAACTGAACTCTGCTAATAGTGACAAATAACATATATTGAGCTTTTACTCTAAGCCATAAACTAGGCTGAGTGCTTTTGTAGATTATTTTATATAATCTTTTAAGAACTCTTTAAAATAGATAGTCCTTATTTTCAATGGGAAACTGATACTTAGATTAAGTAAATTCCACAAAGGAACATAGATAAAATGTGGTAGAGCTGGAATTTGAAATTAGTACACAGTATTAACAAAATTAACTAAATTTAATAAAAAAGAATAAACTTTTATTGAGTACTAAGCCCTAGGTAAAAGAAAGGAAAAAATATAGTAGAGCTCTCTGAAGTTTCATAGCTAGCCTTGGAGAATCTTTCATCATATACAGGCAATCATATACAGGCAACAAGAATGGGGTGGGCAATGAACAGGAGACATGAGGTCATTGAAGTCTTTTTTTTTTTTTTGAGGCAGGGTTTCATTCTGTTGCACAGGTTGGAGTGCAGTGGTGCGATCTTGGCTCACTGCAACCTCTGCCTCCCAGGCTCAGCAATCCTCCCAGTAGTTGGGACTACAGGCCTACACTGCCATGCCCAGCTACAGAGGCAGAGTTTTGCCACGTTGGCCAGGCTGGTCTCACACTCCTGGGCTTAAGCAATCTGCCTGCCTCGGCCTCCCACACCGCTGGGATTATCAGCGTGAGCCACTGCACTTGGCCGAGGTCATTTTTTAACTAGCCCAGATCACTTACCTTTACAATACGTATAAAGGTCCAACACACAGCAGGTCCCCACTACAGCCTCCAAGGGAATGATCTCATAGAGTGGCACCCGAAATAGTTCATTATGATAGAACCGACGGGATGGAGAGTGGTGTGTTTCGTGGGGACGGAAATAATGGTGACCAAAGGCAAACCGTTCCTCTCTAAAACAATGGAAAAGTGAGAAGGGAGAGGTTTAGCTGATTAGCAAGATCCTAGTGAACATTCAGCTCCACTGGTACAGCACGGCTGGAAGAAAAGGACAGGACCTCAGCACGTACTTTTCATTCTTCCAAAGCTTCTCAATGCGAAAGATGTCAAGTTTATCTCGGTTAATGTGAGATAACAGTCGATAGGACTGACGGACCGGGTGGCCATCAGGGGTGCGCCGACTATCCCTCATCAGATACACACAGTCACCTAGGAAGACCCAGAACACAGAAGAAACATAAAACAATTCTTGTATGAATTCTGTTAGGCATCTGTTTATCTGACTCAGGGTCTACATAGAACTCATAATCTGAAACAGTATAAATACAGAGAGCTAAAAGCAGCAGTGTTAAGTGATGATAATCAATTCTAGACTATGACAATAATATAAGGGAGGCATTCCATTTCTTGAGCTTCCTATATGTTTTTCCCAGTCTTAAAATTAGCTTTGTAACATGTCTATCATTTCAAATTAGTATTATTTGGTGGAGAGGTGATGCATGTAAGCACAAGGACTACAGATATAAAAACTTATATTCTATTGCTATTCGAGGCCGTATGGAGACAATGACTATGATGGAGACAGCAGAGACTTCCTACTATTCAGAAAGGTCACCTCTGACAAGTAGGATTAGCTCCTGTATACATACCCTGACGAAGCAGCAAGTCATCTCGGAGCAAACAGATGAAGTAGACACAGCCAGGTTGGGCATAGTGGGGCCGAGGGATCATGGGAACCTCCTGATAGGAGCAGAAAGCCAATGTATAAGGGCTGGAATTACTACATTCAGCCTACTTATTTCTCAACCTAGAATTCTCAATCAAAACTTACTGTTTAGTCATTTCAATATACCACAGATATACAAAAAAGATGAAAGCAACTAGAGCTGTTAAACCTGGAAAAGTGAAGGTAGAGGACAAAACTGATAGGCTAAGTATCTCAATCTATGTTTTATGAAGCACTAATTGTGTAGTTGCTCTACGTAATCTAGGGGCCATATGAAAATGTGTGAAGGGAGACTAATTATTACAATGATTGGGGTATGCTACTGGTATTTAATGCCCAGGGTCCAAGGAAGCCAAACATTCTGAAATGCATCCCTCACAACAAGAACTATTCACCTAAACATGACAACAGCAACATTGTTAAGAAATACTGCCTAAATCTCTTCTTTTTTTAAAAATGACTTGCCCAAAATCACACATATAAAGATAGCAGAGCCAAGCACAGAACCCACTTAATGACTTAGGCAAGCCACTTACCCTCTCTCCTATGAAGTGAGCCTAACACTAACCTTTGCTGATTCTGAGTCCAGTGCTCTTTTCACTTAAACCACTGTCTAACATAAATGACGTTAAGGGTACCAAGTTCTGGATTTTGTAAGCTATTCCTTTCATGGACATCTGATAGTGTTTATAAAAACCTCAGTTTTGTTTTTTTTTGAAATGGAGTCTCGCTCTGTTGGCAGGCTGGGGTGCAGTGGTGCGATCTCGACCCACTGCAACTTCCGCCTCCAGATTCAAGTGAATTCTCCTGCCTTAGCCTCCCGAGTAGCTGGGACTACAGGCACGCAACACCACGCCCAGCTAATTTTTGTATTTTTAGTAGAGACGGGGTTTCACCATGTTAGCCAGGATGGTCTTTTTTTTTTTTTTTTTTTTTTTGGAGACTGAGTCTCACTCCGTCACCCGGGCTAGAGTGCAGTGGCGTGATCTTGGCTCATTGCAACCTCTGCCGCCCAGGTTCAAGTGATTCCCCTGCCTCAGACTCCCAAGTAGATGGGATTACAGGCGCCTGCCACTGCACCCGGCTAATTTTTTTTGCAGTTTTTAGTAGAGATGGGGTTTCACCATATTGGCCAGGCTGGTCTTGAACTCCTAACCCCATGATCCACCCGCCTTAGCCTCTCAAAATGCTGGGATTGCAGCCGTGAGCCACTGCGCCCGGCCGAGGATGGTCTTTATCTCTTGACCTTGTGATCTGCCCGCCTCGGCCTCCCAAAGTGCTGGGATTATAGGTGTGAGCCACCATGCCCAGCTTTTTTTTTTTTTTTTTTTTTGAGACAGTGTCTTGCTCTGTTGCCCAGGCTAGAATGCAGTGATGCGATCTTGGCTCACTGCAACCTCTGCCTCCTGGGTTCAAGTGATTTGCCTGCCTCAGACTCCTGAGTAGCTGGGATTACAGGCACCTGCCACTGTGCCTGGCTAAGTTTTGAATTTTTAGTAGAGACAGGGTTTCACCATCTTGGCCAGGCTGGTCTCAAACTCCTGACCTCATGATCCACTGCACCCGGCCTTTTTTTTTTTTTTTTTCTAAGAGATGGGGTCTTGCTCTGTCGCCCAGGCTGGAGTGCACTGGCATGATCTTGGCTTACTGCAACATCTGCCTCCCGGGTTCTAGCAGTTCTCTTGCCTCAGCCACCCAAGTACCTGAGACTTCAGGTGCACGCCTCCATGCCCGGCTAATTTTTTTTGTATTTTAGTAGAGATGGGGTTTCACCGTGTTGCCCAGGCTGGTCTCGAACTCCTGAGCTCAGGCAATCCATCCGCCTTAGCCTCCCAGTGTGCTAGGATTACAGGCATGAGCGACCGTGCCCGGCCAAAAACCTTAGTTTTATATAGTGCCATTCCTTCCACAGATTTCTAAGTATTTTATTTTCCCTTTGGTCATACTCCTGAAATAGGGAAGAACAGAATTATGACCCTTAATGTAAAGTTTAAGAAACCAAGGCCCAGAGAGGCTGAACAACCTATTAAAGGAAATTCTGCAAAGCAGGAGCAGGACAGGTGAGATACCATGTGCTACCTCTCCTACTTATAGATCAGAGTTTTATCAGAGGTTCAGCTTACCCTGTCCACAGGCCTTGGGTCACACTGCTCACAAAGGTAGTGCTCCACATCTGAGTTCACTCCCATACAATCACAGTGCTGCCATACCTGTAGAAAAACATACAGTTTGGGGAACATGGAGGCTATGACTTATTGAGAGTGTCCTGGGAGCCCAGAATAAAAAATTAGCAATAGGTCAGGGTAAAGTAAAAGAGGAACTAAGGGATAACTGGGTGAATGATAAATTAGAGATAAATGGTAAAATAGGAGGAAAACAAAATAATGACTGTTCTAAGCAAAAGTATACCGATTGACTCATAATCTATAGATCTGGGCAAATAAAATGGGGAGATGGACAGAGAATAGGAAAACAAATAGACTACTGAACTATTACTAAGTAATTTAAGTAAATGCTACAGCTATTCTGCTTTCAGAATACAGCTACAAAATGTTTTATTTACTCCTGTCTAACTTTAGCCTCCCAACAATCCTGTGCGTTACTTACAGCCACTTTACACATAAAGTTATGCATTCACATATATTAGTGGGGACACTAAGGCTCAAATCCAGGCTTTGACTTCTTCATCAGGAGCCCTACATGTATTAACATATTTCACTCTATCAGAGGATTCAATTAATAGAGTGTATTATCACTAATGATTCAAAAGGCAAAGCACTATATGAAATACTGTCATTTTCCTTGATCCAGATTATGTGAGAAGTGTACAGTGGAAAGTGGGCAGAAAGAAGGAAAGAGCCAGGCGTGGTGGCTCATGCCTGTAATCCCAACGCTCTGGGAGGCCGAGGTGGGCAGATCACTTGAGCTCAGGAGTTCAAGACCAGCCTGGGCAACATGGTGACACCCCATCTCTACAAAAAGTACAAAAAATTAGCCGGGCATGGTGGCACGTGGCACATGCCTATAATCCCAGCTACTCGAGAGGCTGAGGTGGGAGGATTGCTTGAGCCTGGGAGGCAGAGGTTGCAGAGAGCTGAGATCGTGCCACCACACTCCAGTGTGGATGACAGAGCAAGATCCTATCTTATAAACAAAACAAAACAAAAAAACAAGAAGAGAGGAGAGAAGGAAAGAAAAAGAAGGGAAGGATAAAGTGAAAGAAAGATAAAAGGAGAAAGGCAATATAGTAAACACAGAAACCTAACAGAAACCAAGGCTAAGTTACAGTTCATAAACAGTCTTTCAAGCCAATCCAAAAGAGGCATGGGCTTCTTCTTTGAATATGGTCACCGTGTTCATCAGGACCAAGCTTCTGCTTCATTTCCTGACCCTCACCATGCACTTGTCACACTGGATCATGAGACCTTCATCCTTGTAGAGGCCACAGATACAGCGAATAACATCGTCGTCCTTCTCATGCCCATTCTCCTTTTCAGAGACTGAGGTCTCACTGCTGTCTGCCTCACTTGCTGTCTCTCCCACAATCTCATCAATCTGGGCTGATGCCTCATGCCGGGCATTGTAATAGGCCTTTCGTAGACGACAAACATCTCTCCCAACTGGGGATTTACGCCCATAGTACTTCTGAAGAAAGCAAATAAAGAAATCATGTTTGGTTCTCTCAATGTGGCTTAACAATTTACCTAAAGAGGTAGCAAGGTAGCATGACTTTCTTTACCCTCCCATTTTGGTTAACAGATTTTCAATAGTATCAAATATATGGCCAGATAGTTGGTAACAACTTAAACTGAACTAAAATGAATTCAAGTTAGAATCTGCATGTTATTTTTCCATTTGCTCAACTGATCTGTCATTCAATTCCTGTCACGGGCCTTCTTGTCCCCAGATCAAATACACAGAGATCATGAAATATGAATTGATATCACAAGCATAATGTACTGTAGAAGTTCAACATACACCTTTGTCTTGTGGATATCTGTGACAGATCTACAGGTGTTGAATCTATGTGGAAGCTGGGTTTCAGTAGGAAGAATGTTACAATTTAAGATTGCTCTAACTCTTCTCCCGCTTGTCTATTTTTCTTTCTCATTTTGTCTTTCAACTTCTATTATTCCTTTATCTAGTAGGATCTTTTGTCTTCCAAACACCTCTCCAAGGCATGTCAAAATTACTGAATAATTTCCTCTCTTCTATGCACCATACAATAGTCCATCCTGTCCTTTAAATCAGTTCAAGGCCACTTTCTCTCCAATGAGCTTCAGCTATTCCATAATCTATCACTGTGATACTCCTCAATTCCATCCTCAAGATATATTACTGGCCAGGAGCCGTGGCTCACGCCTGTAATCCCAACACTCTGGGAGGCCAAGGCAGGCAGATCACCTGAGGTCAGGAGTTCAAGACCAGCCTGGCCAACATGGTGAAACCCTGTCTCTACTAAAAATACAAAATTAGCCAGGCATGGTGGCAGGCGCCTATAATCCCAGCTACTCAGGAGGCTGAGGCAGGAGAATCGCTTGAACCCGGGAGGTGGAGGTTGCAGTGAGCTGAGATCACGCTATTGCGCTCCAGCCTGGGTGACAGAGCAAGATTCTGTCTCATTTAAAAAAAAAAAAAAAATATATATATATACACACACACACACACACACACACACACACACACATATAAACATTTACCTATGCATATTTCTGTATATTTCACATGTACTTATTTTCTTGAGGAAAGAAACTACAGATATTAGTTAAATGTATTAAAATATCTATATAACGCAGTCATAAAGGTTTAATACTAAATTAGTTTTTTACAAAAATTATTTTTTTGGGGGGGAATGATTTAACCTTCCATTCTAGTCCTATCAATGTCTTCATAGATAGCCTTCTATAATATTTAGTATACTGTAACACATACCCCAAGGATACTCAAAAATGACTGGCTTTTCCAACCAGAAATATGGCTGATAGAGGAGGGTAAAAATCTTAAACTTCTAGACTAATTCTTTTCAGAACAAACTTGTGAAATCTGTTTGAAGTCAGTGAAAAATACCTCAGCATTCCGAAAGACTTTGAGCATGTCAGCATCAAAAGCTTCCACTGTCTTATAGTAACCAGTGAGGATCTGCTTCTCTATGGTGATAAGATCTAGGGGATCAGAGATCTTCTCATAATAATCAGCATTCCTGGAACACAAAGCCAGGGTGTCAATCTGGCACACTTAGCACTTTTTAAAAACTCAGATGATTCCCACAAATGTGAACCTACTTTTTCTTTGGGGGAAGGTTCAAAAGTGGAGCTGCCAGTGCTTGCCGGGAAGAATCTGCAAAAGAATGTGAGGTTTAGTAGAAAGATTCCACCATACAAGGGAGGCAAGCATCTCCTAACTGGAAGAATAGAATCCCTCAAATTAAAAGTGAGAGAAAAATCCAAGTCTTTTTTTTTTTTTTTTTTTTTTTTTGAGACAGAGTCTCACTCTTGTCGCCCAGGCTGGTGTGCAATGGCATGATCTCAGCTCACTGCAACCTCCACCTCCTGAGTTCAAGCGATTCTCCTGCCTCAGCCTCCCGAGCAGCTGGGACTACAGGCGTGTACCACCACGCCAAGCTACTTTTTTTTTTTTTTTTTTTTTTGAGACAAGAGTTTCGCTCTGTTGCCCAGGCTGGAGTGCAGTGGCGTGATCTTTGCTCACTGCAAGCTCCACCTCCCGGGTTCATGCCATTCTCCTGCCTCAGCCTCCCGAGTAGCTGGGACTACAGGTACCCGCCACCATGCCCGGCTAATTTTTTGTATTTTTAGTAGAGACGAGGTTTCACCATGTTAGCCAGGCTGGTCTCGATCTGACCTCGTGATCTGCCCGCCTCAGCCTCCCAAAGTGCTGGGATTACAGGCGTGAGCCACCGTGTCCGGCCAATTTTTGTATTTTTAATAGAGACAGGGTTTCACCATGTTGGCCAGGATAGTCTCGAACTCCTGACCCTCAGGTGATTCACCTGCCTCGGCCTCCCAAAGTGCTGGGATTACAGGCATGAGCCACTGCGCCTGGCCAAAAATCCAAGTCTTTTTAAGGCCTGTGAAAAAGCCACTTTTTCAGATATGTAGATAAAGGCAGGGATCAAATGACAATTCTAAGATTGTCTAGGATATGAAAGATATAGTTGCATCTGCTTGAAAGGTAGCACAATGTTAGTTGGGTAATGAGAAGAACTTCCTGTGAAGAATGAGAGATGGGAACTTATTGAGGGTAATCTGCTTAGGGCAAATTACTACTCAACAAATCTTATAATAGCAAAAAGAATATCTTATCCAAAAAGTGCTTTCTAGTTCTCATTAACTGCCCTTAATTAATAGTAATTTGTTTGGCTGGGAATGGGTGCGGTGGCTCACACCTGTAATCCCAGCACTTTGAGAGGTCAAGGCGGGCAGATCATGAGGTCAGGAGATCAAGACCATCCTGGCTAACATGGGGAAACTCCATCTCTGCTATAAATAAAAAAATTAGCCGGGCGTGGTGGCATGCACCTGTAGTCCCAGCTACTCGGCAGGCTGAGGCAGGAGAGTTGCTTGAAGCCGGGAGGCGGAGGTTGCAGTGAACAGAGATTGTGCCACTGCACTCCAGCCTGGGCGACAGAACAGGACTCCGTCCTAAAAAAAAAAAGAAAAAGAAAAAGAAAAAAAAAAAGACCGGGCGCGATGGCACACGCCTATAATCCCAGCACTTTGGGAGGCTGAGGTGGGCAGATCACGAGGTCAAGAGATTGAGACCATCCTGGCCAACATGGTGAAACCCTGTCTCTACTAAAAACACACACACACACAAAATTAGCTGGCCGTGGTGGCACACGCCTGCAATCCCAGCTACTTGGGAGGCTGAGGCAGGAGAATTGCTTGAACCTGGGAGGCAGAGGTTGCAGTGAGCCAAGATTGTGCCACTGCACTCCAGCCTGGGCAACAGAATGAGACTCTGTCTCAAAAAAAAAAAAAAAATTAGTTTGGCGGGGCACAGTGGCTCACGCCTGTAATCCCAGCACTTTGGGAGGCTGAGGTGGGCAGAGAACTTGAGGTCAGGAGTTCGAAAACGGCTTGGCTAACATGTTGAAACCCCGTCTCACTACCAAAAAATACAAAATTTAGCTGGGCATAGTGGCGCACACCTGGAGTCCCAGCTACTCAGGAGGCTGAGGTGGGAGAATCATCTGAACCCTTGAGGCGGAGGATGTGGTGAGCCAAGATTGCACCACTGAACTCCAACCTGGGCGACAGACTGAGACCCTGTCTAAAACAATAAAAATAAAGGCCGGGCATGCTGGCTCACGCCTGTAATCCCATCACTTTGGGAGGCCGAGGCAGGTGGATCACGAGGTCAGGAGTTCAAGACCAGCCTGGCCAATATGGTGAAACACTGTCTCTACTAAAAAATACAAAACTTAGGCAGGTGTGGTGGTGTGCGCCTGTAGTCCCAGCTACTCAAGAAGGCTGAGGCAGGAGAATCGCTGGAACCCAGGAGGTGGAGGTTGCAGTGAGCCGAGATCATGCCACTGCACTCCAGCCTGCGTGACAGAGTGAGACTTTGTCTCAAAAAAAAAAAAGTAAAATAAAATAAATAAATAAATAAATTAATTACTATTACTCTGTTGGGTATGGATCCAATTAAATTCCAGATATTGAATAATTTAGTACTGTACTGTGAATATTTTCTGTAATTGATTTTTCCTGTAACAGTTACTCTGTATTATGAAAATGGAATTTACGGTGAGGGGCCACTTCTCATTTGCTACCATACTTAATTTCTGGCAATTTCACTAGCAGAGTAAAAGAGCCCGTGTTTCATGCTCAGAATGCAGTGACATGGTAGACATACTTACTGCAGTTTCATGTTCGGTGAGATGAGCCTACTTGAGAATGCAAGACAGACATGGTGGCTCATGCTTATAATCCCAGAACTTTGGGAGGTCGAGGCAGAAGGATCGCTTGAGGCCAGGAGTTCAAGACCAGCCTGGGCAACATAGCGAGACCTCCATCTCAAAAAAAAAAAAAAAAAAAAAAAAGACAGAATGCAGAGAGTGTGATTTATTTTGGGAATGTAAATGGAATAGGTGCCTCAAAATTCAAAACTTTACATCTTACATCTTAGGGCAGTTTGGTCCCCATTTTTCTCTTTATATCCTTAGGTTAAGAAAACTGCAAAAAGCCACTATAATATCAAAGATAATCAGGAGACAGAAAAAGAAATGAAAAAGAAAAGAAATGCCCACGAGCAGTAGCTCATACCTGTAATCCCAGCACTTTGGGAGGCCTAGACAGAAGGATCACTTGAGCCCAGGAGTCTGAGACTAGCCTGGGCAATATAGCAAGACCCTATCTCTATTTATTTAAAAAAAAAAGAAAAAGAAAAAGAAAAAAAGAACGAATTTGAAGGTGGTTATAGTCACCTTTATAAGAGATGATACCATCACAAATTTCTTTGAAGATCTGGGCTAGGCGGGCTGCCCGAGCCACTTCAATATTTTCCTCTGCAGCTGCCAACCGTCTTGTTCGAACAGATCGAGCTGTCTGCAGGGCAGAGAACTGGGTCATGAAGACATCTGGAAAAATAAAGTGAAAATTAAGTTACAGGAAACAAGGAGCTCTACATGTCTTTCTCTTTCCCAATGGATTCCTGCCATTTGCTCTATTTTCCCCTGAAGTGATTAGGTAGATTAGTGGGCACAGAGTTCTTTCTATCTTCTGTAATGAAAAATCAGGAAACACTGGAATTTACTGGAGACAAAATGCTGCAAGAGGGACCTTAGCTTAGTGCTCAAATGCAATACAGTATAGCAGTTGTAAGTCTGGGCTTCAAAATGAATCTATCAGCATCTGAATTCTGGTGTCACTGCTTATTAGTTGTGTGATCTTGGGCAAGTTATTTAACCCATGGGTCAGCTTCTCAAACATAAAATGAGAACAATGGTAGTACTTCCCTCATAAGGAAATAATGCAGGTTAAATGAGATAATGCTTTTAATGTGTTTTGCTCAGTGCCTGACATGTAAGCACTCTGTAAATGATATCTGTTATTATTAGAAGAAGTAAACTAGTTAGGATATAACTTCAAAGAATTTATGCCAATCAAATCATTGACAGGATGTAAGATTATGGGCAAATTTTTAAATCTATCTAGTTAGCATTCAGCATATCCCTCACACATCACATAGAATTGCTTCTACCTTTTGAGGGGAAGAAGGAAAGGATTAAAAAAAAGAGCATGATCTTTTGAACACTCTGTTTTCAGTTAGAAAGGATGCTTGGACATGCTAGTTCCTCTGCTTTCAGTCTCTTCTGGATAATATCTGAACTCAGGAGTGCTGTTATTGAAGGTTACAGAAAGGAAATCTGATGGTTTGTGAGTACAGTGCTAATCTGAATGTGAGAAAAAAAGGTCTTCAAACTGATAATGACCCGTCCCCCACTGAATCTGAATGTGAGAAATGACCCGTCCCCAGCTGAATCTGAATGTGAGATAAAAAGGTCTTCAAACTGATAATGACCTGTCCACCCACTGATAATTACCCGTCCCCCACCCCAATTTCCCCAGTGGATTTGGTATCACTATTTACTCTGTCTGCAAGTTATTTTCAAGGTAGGAAGTAACAAAGAGGGCCCACTATCTATCTGATACCTAATGACTATTTCAGACTACAGGTCATGTTTGAAAGGCTGTAGGAGGTTTCTTTCTATTCCCTAAAGAGAGGAAAGCTGAAGAACTGGGATGGATAGGTTATTACTGACTGATGTGTACATATTTGGATCATAACTTTTTTGGTCAATACTAAAAGGAGTTGTTAAATAGATTATCTGCTGGAAAGCAACTAAAATAAATTAATAGAAATTCGGCTGAGTGTGGTGGCTTACGCCTGTAATCCCAACACTTTGGGAGGCCAAGGCAGGCGAATCACCTTGATTCCAAGGCAGGAGGTCAGGAGTTCGAGACCAGCCTGGCCAACATGGCAAAACCCCCTCTCTACTAAAAATACAAAAATTAGCCGGGCATGGTGGCGGGCGCCTGTAATCCCAGCTACTCAGGAGGCTGAGGCAGGATAATTGCTTGAACCCAGGAGGCAGAGGTTGCAGTGAGCCTAGATCATGCCATTGCACTCCAGTCTGGGCAACAAGAGTGAAACTCTGTCTCAAAAAAAAGAAATGTTTCAAATGCCTTACCAGACTTGATATTCCCATCATCTCGGCAGATCCCATTCCAACGGGTATATAATGATGCTGAGTGAATATTATCACTGGTGTGCTTTACTTCCTCCTGTTTTTGACGAATCTTCTCCCAGTTTCGGACCAAGAATACATGATGCTTTAACACAAAGTTCCTGCAAGGAAGGAAAAAAAATCTTCCTTTATTCATTAATTAAATAAGCATGTATTACATGTCTACTCTATGGAAGCCATTGTTAGACGATATACGTGAATTGAGCTGTTGTAAAGAGAATTATATGGGCAAAGCATTACTCAATTTTGTATCTTCAATTTTTTTACATTACATAAAACACATAATATTTACATACATCTGGCAAACAACAATTAAAGGCTGCAAAAATGCTGGCAAGTGAAACAGCCTGACCAGAAGGCAGAGATTTATTTGTACAAATTCTAAATATAGTTGTCAAGATGAAGTAGGGTCTCAGGATCAGCTATAACAAGGAGAACTGGACTGGCAAATGAAGGCAAAGACACGTAAGATGGATACGCACTGGGCAAACTATGTTAGGTGCAGTGCTGCCATATGGTTCCCTAAACTTACTACTTTTTTTTTGAGTCGACGTCTCCCTCTGTTGCCTAGGCTGGAGTACAGTGGCATGATCTCAGCTCACTGCAACCTCTGCTTCCCGGGTTCAAGCGATTCTCTCAGCCTCCTGAATAGCTGGGGTTATAGGTGCCTGCCACCACGCCCAGCTAATTTTTGTATTTTTAGTAGAGACGGGGTTTCCCCATGTTGGCCAGGCTGGTCTTGAACTCCTGACATCAGGTGATCCACCCGCCTTGGCCTCCCAAAGTGCTGGGATTACAGTGGTGGCGTGAGCCACCGTGCCTGGCCCTGGTTCCCTAAACTTAAATGAATTATGTGTATCTTGACTGATCCTATACAATTTTGATGATTCCATTATTCAATTTCCACAACAGGACATATGTAAATAGATGTGATCTTGGATAAATCTCAAGGTATGGGTCTCACTTCTCACTTAAATGAAGATTAGACTAATTTTCTAGTTCCTGCACATTGGAATCCCCTGGGAGACTTTAAAAACTACTGATACCTGGGTTCTACCTCTGCAAATTCTCATTTAAGTGGTCTAGGGTGTGGCCTGGGCCTTGGGAGTTTTTCAAAGTTCCCCATGCTAATAGGCAGCCAAAGTAGAGAACCACTGGACTGGTTTTTCCGAAATTTAAAATTTCTACAACTCAAAGGGAAATAGAATGAAAGGGGCTAAAATTACACAATGGTTATAAATAAAGATAAACTTTCAACAAATAGGACATACTCACTTGTTTGCTTCTGAAAGAGACAATTCTTATCTGAATACAGGGAACAGCAGAAATTACCACTAAAGATCCTTTCTATTGCTCTGTTAATATGTCAACAAAGCAGGTATTCTGTTTTTTTTTTTTTTTGCTTTTTGTTTTTTTTTGTTTTTTGAGACGGAGTTTTGCTCTTGCTGCCCAGGCTAGAGTGCAATGGCGTGATCTTGGTTCACTGCAACCTCCACCTCCTGGGTTCAAGCAATTCTCCTGCCTCAGCCTCCTGAGTAGCTGAGATGACAGGCATGCACCACCATGCCTGGCTAATTTTGTATTTTTAGTAGAGACAGGGTTTCTCCATGTTGGCCAGGCTGGCCTCAAACTCCCGACCTCAGGTGATCCGCCTGCCTTGGCCTCCCAAAGTGGTAGGATTACAGGTGTGAGCCACTGCGCCCTGCCAAAGCAGGTATTCTTAATTTTTTCTCTACTGCGGACTCCTTTGACAGTCTGATGAAGCCTATGGAACCATTCTCTGAACAATTATTTTTAAATTACTTCAAAAAATTTAAATTATTGGCCAGGTGTGGAGGCTCACGCCTGTAATCCCAGCACTTGGGGAGGCTGAGGCAGGTGGATCACAAGGTCAGGAGATCGAGACCATCCTGGCTAACATGGTGAAACCCTGTCTCTACTAAAAAGTATAAAAAATTAGCCAGGCGTGGTGGCACGTGCCTGTAGTCCCAGCTACTCGGGAGGCTGAGGCAGGAGAATGGTGTGAACCCAGGAGGCGGAGCTTGCAGTGAGCCGAGATTGCACCACTGCACTACTGCACTCCAGCCTGGGCGACACAGCGAGACTCCGTCTCAAAAAAAAAAAAAAAACAACAAAAAACCAAGGTCTTTCCATGTTGCCGAAGATGGTCTTGAATTCCTGGGCTCAAGTAATTTTCCTGCCTCAGCCTCCTGAGTAGATGGGTCTACAGGGATATGTGGAAATGTTATTTCATTTAGAAATTAGGGAACATAAGATGGTTTGGTGTGCTGGCTCGTATCTGTAATCCCAATGCCTTGGGAGATCGGGGCAGGAGGATAGCTTGAGCCCAGGAGTTTAGGACCAACCTGGGCAACATAGTGAGACCTTGTCTCTACAAAAAATTTAAAAAAAAAAAATTAGCCAGGTGTGGTGGCATGTGCCTGCAGCCCCAGCTACTTGGGAGGATGATGCAGGGGGATCACTTAAGCCCAGGAGTTGAGCCAGGCCTCTGTATTCCAGCCTGGGTGACAGAGTAAGATCCCAGCTCTACACACACACACACACACACACACACACACACACACACACAAAAGGGTAAGACTTAAAAAAAAAAAAAAAAAAAAAAAAAAGATTGTATTTCTTCCATCCAGGTTCATAGATCCCCTGAACCCTTTGGCTTAAGACAAAAGAAAGTGGATCAACAATATAGAAGTTTCATAATTTTTTACACAGATAAGCAATCATGTAACTTACAAAGAACATGGATAAGGATATTTCCTTTTTACCTTTCACGATTGGACATTGGCTTCATCTGTAATTGGGGGGTCAATCTAGTTGGGGTGTTGATATTTTCACTGGGTTCCTCAGAGAGATGGCCTCTCTGAAAAAGAGATGGATCAGATTAGAGATTTAAAAAAATATCAGTCAGAAATAATCTCCAAGAATATTAAAACCACTCTTAAGATGCCACCCTCTGGTAATTCCCTTATTCCAGCAATTGCCTCAAAGCATCTCATGAACAGCTTTTGGGGAAAGTCATTAGATAATTATTCACCCTTTTCTTCAGCTTGTGCTTAGACTTTCTCTTCTCTTTTGACCGTCCAGATTTTTTGTGTGTGGCCATGGGCTGGCTGTTTTTGCTGCTGGTGAGTCCATTCACACGCTGACTCTTGCCTCCGATGATTCCTCGACATTTCTCAAAGCCACACTTACAAAGTTGCTTTGAAGGGAGAGAATAATTTTTTTATTTTTATTTTTTTAAGGCAGGGTCTTTCCTGTCACTCAGGCTGAAGTACAATAGTATGATCATGGCTCACTGCAGTCTCAACCTCCTGGGCTCAACTGATCCTCCTATCTCAGCCTCCCCAGTAGCTGACATTACAGGTGCGTGCCACTATGCCAGGCTAATTTTTGTATTTTGTGTAGAGACAGGGTTTCGCCATGTTGACCAGGCTGGTCTCGAACTCCAGGGCTCGAGCAACTCTCCCACCTTGGCCTCCCAAAGTGCTGGGATTACAGGTGTGAGCCACTGTGACCAGCTGAGAATAATTTTTTTTTAGCTTGCAGTCTCATTTACTAGCTTAAAGAGGATTCCTGAGCATTTGGACACACATTAAGTATAAATCAAGAAATTTGCATATAGGGGAAAACAACTGATTGAGAGTATAAATAGAAATGGGTTTCCACTGGAATAGAAATGATGGATTAAATTTTAGGAAAACTTCTTCCCCAGAAAAGTTAACTGAGTGGAGACCAAAAATCACAGGGCAATCTCTTTCTTCAAAGTAATTGGGCACTATGTATCTCAGAAAGGTGGAGTACAGAGTAAAAAACTGTCCTCTCCTATATACTTCTTTAAAAAAAAATTTTAAAAAGGCCAGGCATGGTGGCTCATGCCTGTAATCCAGCACTTTGGGAGGCCAAGGCGGGCGGATCACAAGGTCAGCAGATCGAGACCATCCTGGCTAACATGGTAAAACCCAGTCTCTACTAAAAAAAATACAAAAAATTAGCTGGGTGTGGTGACAGGCACCTGTAGTCCCAGCTACTCGGTAGGCTGAGGCAGGAGAATGGCGTGAACCTGGGAGGCGGAGCTTGCAGCAAGCCGAGATCACGCCACTGCACTCTAGCCTGGGAGACAGAGTGAGACTCCACCTCAAAAAAAAATTAATAAAAAAAAAAAAAAACATGAAATGCTTCAGTAATCTGTTTGTCATCCTTGCACAGGGGCCATGCTAATCTTCTCTGTATCATTCCAATTTTAGTATATATGCTGTCAAAGCAAGCACTTAATTAAAAAATTTGGCTGGGCATGGTGGCTCAGGTCTGTAGTCCCAGCACTGTGGGAGGCTGAGGTGGGAGGATCGCTTAAGTCCAGGAGTCTGTGACCAGCCCTGACAAAAGAGGGAGACCCCATCTCTACAAAAAATTTAAAAAAAAATTAGCGACGCACAGTGGTACACGCCTGCGGTCCCAGCTACTCAGAAGGTTATGGTGGGAAGATTGCTTAAGCCCAGGAGATTAAGGCTGCAGTGAGCCATGATCACATCACTGCATTCTAGTGTGGGCCACAGAACGAGATCCTGTCTTAATAACAAAAAACTTTAAACATTTTAGAGAAGGGGTCCCGTTCTGTGGCCCAGGTTGGCCTTGAACTCCTGGGCTCAAGTGATACTCCTGTCTCAGCCTCTTGAGTATGTGGGACTGTAGGTAGGTATGCACTACTGTGCCCAGGCTCCCATGTACTTCTTTTCTCCCTTTTTTCTTTTTTTGAGCTGAAGTCTCGCTCTGTCGCCCAGGATGGAGTGCATTGGCGCGATCTCTGCAACCTCCACCTCCTGGGTTCAAGCGATTCTCCTGCCTCAGCCTCCTGAGTAGCTGGGACTACAAGCATGTAACACCATGCCCAGCTGATTTTTGTATTTTTAGTAGAGAGAGGGTTTCACTATATTGGTCAGGCTAATCTCGAACTCCCGACCTTGTGATCTGCCTGCCTTGGCCTCCCAAAGTGCCGGGATTACAGGCGCGAGCCACCATGCCCAGACTTTTTCTTTTTTTGTGTTTGAGACAGGGTCTTGCTCTGTTCCACAGGCTGCAGTGCATTGGCGTGGTCCTGGCTCACTGCAACCTCCACCTCCCGGGCTCAAGCAATCTTCCCACCTCAGCCTCCCAAGTAGCTGGGACCACAGGCACATGCGACCACACTTGGCTAGTTTTTGCATTTTTTTGGTAGAGACAGGGTTGCACCATGTTACCCAGGCGGGTCTTGAACTCCCAGACTACAAGTAATCCGCTTGCCTCAGCCTCACAAAGTGCTGGGATTACAGGAATAAGCCATTGCGCCTGACCTCCCATATACTTTTTTTTTTTTTGAGACAGAGTCAGTCTTGCTTTGTCGCCCAGGCTGGAGCACAGTGGTGCAATCTCGGCTCAACGTAACGCAACCTCCGCCTCCAAGGTTGAAGCAATTCTCCTGCCTTAGCCTCCAATAAACTGGGATTACAGGTGCGCGCCACCACATCCAGCTAATCTTTGTATTTTTGATAGACAGGGTTTTGTCATGTTGGCCAGGCTGGTCTTGAAATTCTGAGCTCAAGTGATCTGCCCACATCAGCCTCACAAAGTGCTGGGATTAAAGGTGTGAACCACTGTGTCCAGCCTCCCACATACTTCTTAATGGCTCCAAGTCAATCATGTTTACAGAAAGCTCATGTTATTACAGCATTGTAAGGGATAAAGTTCAATCTCCCTCTAGGATTTATTATTCTTACCTGTTTTTCCACATTGAAGGAATGAAAGTTATAATCATAAGTGAGTTCAGTCCCAGCTGGCATGTCTTTAAGAGCATAGAGTCCAATCCGGTATACTCCATTAACAGACCTGTAAAGAGAGAAAACAGAGTTATAAAGGCTGGAAATTTTTTTTTTTTTTTGAGACGGAGTCTCCCTCTGTTGCCTAGGCTGGAGTGCAGTGGTGCGATCTTGGCTCACCGCAACCTCCGCTTCCCGGATTCAAGCGATTCTCCTGCCTCAGCCTCCTGAGTAGCTGGGACTACAGGTGTAAGCCACCACGCCTGGCTAATTTTTGTATTTTTAGTAGAGATGGGGTTTCACCATGTTGGCCAGGCTGGTCTTGAACTCCTGACCTCAGGTGATCTGCCCGCCTCGGCCTCCCAAGTGCTAGAATTATAGGTATGAGCCACCACGCCTGGCCTCCACTTTTAATCTCTTTTCTATCCTTGGCAGCCTGTATAATACTGCCAGAGTAAGAATCCTAAATAATTTTTCTTGAAAACATGTTCTATGTTGTCAATTAGGCTTCAACTTTTCCTGCTTGGTATTCAAAGTCCTAAAATATGGCTTGCCTGTATTCCCCGCACTTTGGGAGGTTGAGGTGGGAGGATCACCTGAGGCCAAGAGTTCAAGACCAGACCAGGCGCCGTAGCTCACGCCTGTAATCCCAGCACTTTGGGAGTCCGAGGCAGGTGGATCACCTGAGGTCGGGAGTTTGAGACCAGCGTGGCCAACAGGGCAAAACCGTCTCTACTAAAAATATAAAAATTAGCCAGGCGAGGCCACATGCAGTGGCTCACACCTGTAATCCCAGCATTTTGGGAGGCCGAGGAGGGCAGATCATGAGGTCAGGAGTTCAAGACCAGCCAGGCCAACATAGTGAAACCCCGTCTCTACTAAAAATACAAAAATTAAGGCCGGGTATGGTGGCTCACACCTGTAATATCAGCACTTTGGGAGGCTGAGGCAGGCAGATCACGAAGTCAGGAGTTCGAGACCAGCCTGACCAATATGGTGAAACCCCATCTCTACTAAAAACACAAAAATTAGCCGGGCATGGTGGTGTGCACCTGTAATCCCAGCTACTTAGGAGGTTGAGGCAGGAGAATAGCTTGAACCTGGGAGGCGGAGGTTGCAGTGAGTCAAGATTGCACCACTGCACTCCAGCCTGGGTGACAGAGTGAGACTCCATCTCACAAAAAAAAAAAAAAAAAAAAAAAAAAAAAAATTAGCCAGGCATGGTGGCATGTGCCTATACTCCCAGCTACTCGGGAGGCTGAGGCAGGAGAATCGCTTGAACCCGGGAGGCGGAGGTTGCGGTGAGCCAAGATCCTGCCACTGCACTCTAGCCTAGCCTGGGCAACAGGACGAGACTCCATCTCAAAAAACAAACAAACAAAAACTAGACAGGTGTGGTGGCGCATGTCTGCAATCCCAGCTACTTGGGAGGCTGAGGCAGGAGAATGACTTGAACCCCTGAGGCAGAGGTTGCAGTGAGCTGAGATCATGCCACTGCATTCCAGCCTAGGCAACAGAGCGAGACTCCGTCTCAAAAAAAAAAAAAAAAAAAAGGCTTAGTTCACTTATTAAATGAGTTAAAATTACTTTTTATGGCTTACCTATACAAATCTTCCAGTTCTACCAATCTCTATCACATGAGTGCCTCTCTTGTTCTATTATATGTAAGGTAATGATCATTTAGGATTTTAGGTGTTTTTTTGTTTATTGTTTTTGAGACATAGTCTTGCTCTGTCCCCAGGCTGGAGTGCAGTGGCAGAATCTCGGCTCACTGCAACCTCCAACTCCCGGGTTCAAGAGATTCTCCTACCTCAGCTTCCTGAGTAGCTGGAATATAGGCACGTGCCACCACGCCCAGCTACTTTTTCATATTTTTAGTAGAGACAGGGTTTCATCATGTTGGCCAGTACGGTCTCAATCTCCTGAGCTCGTGATCCGCCCGCCTTGGCCTCCCAAAGTGCTGAGATTACAGGCATGAGCCACCGTGCTTGACTTTGTTTTAGGTGTTCAGGAGTTTGTGACTCGCCTGGGCAACATAGTGAGACCTTATCTTAATATATTAAAAAAAAAAAAAGAATATAGTCATTATCATTATAGCTAACATTTACTGAATGCTTTTTATAACATTTTATATTATTTCATCCTCCTAACAATTATATAAAAATATGTAATATTATTAGTTATTATAACCCTCATACTACAAATAAGGCAACTGAGGCACACAGGGAGCCACTTGCCCAAAGTTACACAGCTGATAACTTAGGGAATCAAGTTTCAAATTGACATTGTGGCTTCAAAATCTTAACTACCATGCCATACTGATAACAAGTTATATCATCAATTCTCAAAACAATCCTATAGAAAAAACCCCAATCCTGTAAGATAGGCATTATGATATCTATTTTATATATGAAGTATATACGCCTCAGAGTTTGTTTAGTTATATAGCAATTAAGTGGCATTCAAACCCAGGGGATTAAAACCCAGGCTGTTTGACTCAGCCTTTTTCTTCTTGTCTCCTTACCAATGTGGAACACATTAAGGGTTAGCTTAGATACTGCCCTATTACATGTAACCTTGCCTAAAATTTTTAATTTTTAGTATTTTTCCATCCTGAATTCAGAAAGCATTTAAAAATTTTTATTTATTTATTTATTTTTTGAAATGGAGTTTTGCTCTTGTTGCCCAGGCTGGAGTGTAATGGCGGGAACTTGGCTCACTGCAACCTCCGCCTCCTGTGTTCAAGCGATTCTCCTGCCTCAGCCTCCCAAGTAGCTGGGATTACAGGCACATGCCACCACGCCTGGCTAATTTTGTATTTTTAGTACAGACGGGATTTCTCCACGTTGGTCAGGCTGGTCTCGAACTCCTGACCTCTCGTGATCCGCCTGCCTTGGCCTCCCAAAATGCTGGGATTATAGGCGTGAGCCACCGCGCCTGGCTAATTTTTTATTTTTAAACAGTATCTCACTCTTGTATAGGCTGGAGTACAGTGGCGCAATCTCAGCTCCCTGCAACCTCTGCCTCCTGGGCTGAAGTGATCCTCCCACCTCGCCACCACGACTAGCTAATTTTTGTATTTTTAGTAAAGACAGGGTTTAGCCATGTTGCCCAGGCTGGTCTCAAACTCCTGAGCTCAGATGATCTGCTTGCCTCGGCCTCCCAAAGTGCTGCGATTACAGGCATGACCCACGGAGCCTGGCTGCAGAAAGCATTTTAAATGTATACCAGGAGTTGGCAAACTGCTCCACAGGCCACTGCTCCCATCTTTGTGAATAGTTTTATAGGTGCAAAGCCAACAAGTTTGCTGATATATACTGTAACTTTTCTTTTTTTTTGAGACAGAGTCTTGATCTGTCACCTACCTTCATGCCTGTAATCCCAGCACTTTGGGAGGCCTAGGTGGGCAGATCACTTGAGGCCAGGAGTTCGAGACCAGCCTGGACAACATGGCGAAACACTGTCTCTACTAAAAATATAAAAATTAGCCGGGTGTAGGGACGCATGCCTTTAGTTACAGCTACTCAGGAGGCTGAGGCACGAGAATCGCTTGAACCCAGGAGGCGGAAGTTGTGGTGAGCCAAAATGGTGCCACTGCATTCCAGCCTGGGCGACAGAGCAAGACTCTGTCTCAAAAAAACAAAAACAAAAAACCAAAAAAAGGTATCTTCTGGCCGGGTGTTGTGGCTCATACCTGTAATCCCAGCACTTTGGGAGACTGAGCAATGAGGATCGCTTGAGCCCAAGAGTTTGAGACCAGCCTGGGCAACATGGCAAAACTCCATCCCTATCAAAAAATACAAAAATTAGCCGGGCAGGGTGGCATGCACCTGTGGTCCCAGCTACTTGGGAAGCTGAGGTTGCAGTGAGTCAAGATCGTCCCACTGTACTTCAACCCTGGTGACAGAGTGAGACCTTGTCTCCAAAAGAAGGGGAGAAAAAGATATCTTCTAGTTGACATTCTTGCACAAGTCTAGCACAAACACTAATTTCCGCTGGGGACATACTTAGGATTAGAGTTGCTGGTTTACCGGTTATGTTTAGCTTTGGTAGGTTGTGCCATTTTTTGAAAGTGGTTATACCAATTTACACTTCTACCAGCAAATCTAAGAGCATTTATGCTGCTCTACCTTTGCCAATACTGTCAGTCTTTAATTTTTTACATTTTGGAGGGTATGTAGTGGTTTTCCAATTTAGTTTAATATTTCCCCTAATAACTGTATCTAACATATTAAGCGCTGTTGTATATTTATTGACCACTTTGATATTCTTTTTTAAAGTACCCATTCTTTTACCTATTTTAAAAACTGGCTTGTCAGGCCCGGCATGGTGGCTCACACTTGCAATCCCAACACTTTGGAAGGCTGAAGCGGGCTGACTTATTGAGCCCAGGAGTTCAAGACCAGCCTGGACAACATGGCACAACCCTGTCTCTACAAAAAATACAAAAAAATTAACCAGGCATGGTGGTGTGTGCCTGTAGTCTCAGCTACTCAGGAGGCTGAGGCAGGTGAACGGCTTGAACCTGGGAGGAGGAGGCTGCAGTGAGCCAAGATCATACCACTGTACTCCAGCTCTGTCTTAAAAAAAAAAAAAAAAAAAAAGGCTGCTCTGCGCCTATGGAGTAGCCATTCTTTTATTCCTTTACTTTCTTAATAAACTTGCTTTCACTTTATTCTATGGACTCACCTTGAATTCTTTCTTGTGTTCTTTCTTGTGCGAGATCCAAGAACCCTCCCTTGGAGTCTGGATCAGAACCCCTTTCTGGCATCTTTCTGGCGATCACGAAGGGATGATACTTAAGAGACCCACAACCCAAAGGAAATAGACTGCAACACTGATTGGCTGAAACTTTTGAGTTACTGACAGCTTTGTTTTTTTTTGAGATGGAGTTTTGCTCTTGTCGCTCAGGCTGGAGTGCAGTGGCACAATCTCAGCTCACTGCAACCTCCACCTCCTGGGTTCAAGCGATTCTCCTGCCTCAGCCTCCTGAGTAGCTGGGACTACAGGTGTATGCCACTATGCCCGGCTGATTTTTTTTTTTTTTTTTTTTTTGTATTTTTAGTAGAGATGGGGTTTCACCATTTTGGCCAGGCTAGTCTCGAACTCCTGACCTCAGGTGATCAACCTGCCTCAGCCTCCCAAAGTGCTGGGATTACAGGCATGAGCCACCATGCCTGGCATATTGACAGTTCTTAACAATTGAGTAAAACTCCTGTGAACAAAATTTAAAGGATGTTTGTTTCCCTCTACCTCATTTCTCCAAAATCTGGAAACCAGATGATACAATTGGAGAAACTGGTTATTTTACCAAGGCTTTGATTGGAATGGAGTGCTTTCTATTAAGGAACCAAACTTGGCTTAGAGAGCCAATAAAAGCCCCTTGGGAAAACTGGCCTCATACCTTTTCCACAAAGTCCCTGTATAGGGTTCCTGACCCGTGATATCACCTTTTGTCAGAACTATGAATGGCCCTTACCATACTGACACTTTCTGACTGATCTCTTCTCTACCTTGGATACAAGAGACCCTAATAGGCAGGAATATCATCACCGCTATTCAACCTGAAGAAATTACTAAAGATGGATCTTCATCCCTGTTTACCCCTAAGGATTAAGGGTTCTCTTATAAAAGGGAGGGGGAAAATGTCAGAAGCGTTTAAACCAGAGCGACTCCATCTTGTATAGAGGTTGGGTAAAATTAGGCTGAGATCTGCTGGGTTGCATTCCCAATAGGTTAGGCATTCTTAGTTACAGGATAAGACAGGAGGTTGGCACAAAATACAGGTCATAAAGACCTTGCTGACAAAACAGGCTGCAGTAAAGACGCTAGCCAAAACCCATCAAAACTAAGATGGCAACGAGAGTGACATCTGGGCGTCCTCACTACTACACTCCCATCAGTGCCATGACAGTTAACAAACACTATGGCAACGTCAGAAAGTTACTCTATATGGTCTAAAAAGTGGAGGAACCCTTAGGTCTGCGAATTGTCCACCACTTTCCCAGAAAACTCATGCATAATCCAACCCGTGTTTAGCATATAATCTATAAAGAACCATAAAGATGGGCAACCAGCAGCCCTCGGGGCTGCTCTGTTTATGGAATAGCCTTTCTTTTCTTTTATTCCTTTACTTTCTTAATAAACTTCCTTTCACTTAAAAAAAACTGCCAACACTCAACCCTTGAACATTGTGTATTTTTCCATTAATTTAGGTCATCTTTATTTTTTCCCAACTTCTGACAGCTTCTAGTATAGAGGTCCTACAAACTTTCATAAGATTTATTCTTAGGGACTAGTCTTTTATGAAGCTATTGTAAATTGTATTGGTTTTTATTTATTTATTTATTTTGACACGGAGTCTTGGTGTGTCACACAGGCTGGAGTGCAGTGGCACGATCTCGGCTCACTGCAAACTCTGCCTCCGGAGTTGAAGCAATTCTCCTGCCCCAGCCTCCAATAGCTGGGACTATAGGCGTGTGCCACCACAACCAGCTAATTTTTGTATTTTAAGTAGAGACAGGGTTTCAGTCATCATGTTGGCTAGGGTGGTCTCGAACTCCTGACCTCAGGCAATCTGTGCATCTTGGCCTCTGAAAGTGCTGAGATTACAGGCGTGAGCCATTGCAACTAGCCTGTAATGGGTTTGGTTTTTTTTTTTTTTTTTTTTTTGAGATGGAGTCTTGCTCTGTCACACAGGCTGGAGTGCATTGGTGCAATCTCAGTTCACTACAACCTCCGCCTCCCAGGTTCAAGTGATTCTCTTGCCTCAGCCTCCCAAGTAGCTGGGACTACAGGTGCATGCCACCATGCCCGGCTAATTTTTATATTTTTAGTAGAGACAGGGTTTCACCATGTTGGTCAGACTGGTCTCAAACTCCTGACCTCATGATCCGCTCGCCTTGGCCTCCCAAAGTGCTGGGATTATAGGCGTAAGCCACTGCACCTGGCCTTGTAATGGTTTTTAAATTTCACTTTCTACTTGGTTGTTGCTAATATATTAAAATGTACTCAATACATTAATTTTTATATACTGACCATCTTTCCATTAATCTTGCTAAATTCACTTATGTCTGTAGAAATTTCCCATGTGTATAATAATGTCATCTGCGAATAATGGTAGTTAAATTTTTTTTCATTTCTAATCTTTATACTTTTTTCCTTTTCTTATTGTATTGGTTAGACTCTTCAAATGTAGATATGACAGTGGATATCCTTATTTATGTATAATGGTAGCTAAAGATTTTTTAAAAATGGATTTCCTTTGGCAGATTTGTTAGTTCCTTTTTATTCCTAGTTTGCTGAGTTTTAATTATCAATGAGTGTTGAATACTGTTTAATGCTTTTTCTGCTTCTATTGAGACAATATATGATTTTTTGTCTTTAGTCCATTATTGTGATAAAATTACATTGGTTTACACTGATTTTTGAATGTTAAACCAAACAATCTTTTATTCCTGGAATAAACCCCACATAGTCATGATGTATTAAGCTTTTTATTTATTGTTAAATTTTATTTGTTGATATTTTATTTAGGATTTTTGTGTCTATGTTCATGGAACACACTGGCCTATATTTTTTCCTGGTTAGATTTTAGAAGAAGGTAATGCTAGTTTTATAGAAGCAAAGAGTTTATAAGTGGTACTGCCATTATTTCTTCTTCTTCGTCTTCATTTTTTTAAATAGACACAGGGTCTCTGTCACCCAGGCTGGAGTGCAGTTGCATGATCACAGGAAACTACAGCCTCGAACTTCTGGGCTCAGGCGATCCTACCACCTCAGTCTCCCAAGTAGCACCATCACACCCAGCTAATATTTAAATTTTATCTTTAAATTTTTGTTGAGACAGGTCTCACCATCTTGCCTAGGCTGGTCTTGAACTCCTGGGCTCAAGCAATCCTCCCACCTCTACCTCCCAAAGTGCTGGGATTGCAGGTGTGAGCCACTGCACCCAGCCTATTTGTTCTTTAAGTATGTGGAAGAATTATCAGTGAAGACATCTGGTTCTCCAGGTTCTTTTGTTAGATATTTTAGTTACATTTTCAATTTTGGGGGTACATGTGCAGATTTTCTATTTTGTCTTATGTCAGTTTTGGAAAGGTATGTTTTTCTTTTTCTTTCTTCTTTTTTTTTTTTGAGACTGAGTCTCACTCTGTTGCCCAGGCTGGGGTGTAGTGGCACCATCTTGGCTCACTGCAACCTCCGCCTCGCGGGTTCAAGCAATTCTCTGCCACAGCCTCCTGAGCAGCTGGGATTACAAGCGCCTACCACCACGCCCGGCTAATTTTTGTATTTTTGGTAGAGATGGGGTTTCACCGTCTTGGCCAGGCTGGTCTTGAACTCCTGACCTTGTGATCCACCCACCTCGGCCTCCCAAAGTGCTGGGATTATAGGCGTGAGCCACTGTGCCCGGCTGGAATGTTTTTCAAAGGATTTGTTCATTTCATCTAACTTTTCAAATATAAAGTTGTTCACAGTAATTGATAAACAAACTGGTAAATTCACACAAAGAAGTATTACTCCACATTAAAAAGTAACAAACCACTAATGCATTCAACATGGATGAACTGCAAAAACATGTTTTTAACAAAAAAGACGCCAGACACAAAAGAATACATTCACATGAAGTTCTGGAATAGGTAAAACTCATCTGTGGCAATGGAAATCAGATCAGTGCTTGCTTTGGGGGATTGGGAGATTGACTTAAAAGGTAACTTTCTGAAATGACAAAGTATGTCATATTTTCATAGGGGTGTTGGTTATATGGGTGTATACATTTGAAAAAATTAATGGAAATGTACACTTAAGATCTATGTATTTCTAGACGGGCGCGGTGGCTCACGCCTGTAATCCCAGCACTTTGGGAGGCCGAGGCGGGCGGATCACAAGGTCAGGAGATCGAGACCATCCTGGCTAACACAGTGAAACCCCGTCTCTACTAAAAATACAAAAAAGAAATTAGCCGGGCGTGGTGGCAGGTGCCTGTAGTCCCAGCTACTGGGCAGGCTGAGGCAGGAGAGTGGCATGAACCCAGGAGGCAGAGCTTGCAGTGAGCTGAGATCGCGCCACTGCACTCCAGCCTGGGCAACAGAGCGAGACTCCGTCTCAAAAAAAAAAAAAAGTCTATGTATTTCTCTGTATATGAATTACACTTTAATTTTTAAAAACTTAACAAAAAACCCCAAAGTTGTTCATACTATCCTCATATTATCTTTTTAAAATTATTTTTTAGGTGTGACTTTTTTCCTTCTCAATTAGATGCTAATCTATTTGAGGGGAAGGGACCTCCAGATTCACTTTTTTTATTTCTCTTTGTGAGAAATGCACCAGGTATTTAATAAGCATGCAGTAGAGTGGCTGAATGAACTGATATGAGATGATCCATGTAACACAGTGCCTAGCACATAGTAAGAACTCAATAAATATTAGGTATTATTATTATTTTTTTGAGATGGAGTCTTGCTCTGTCACCCAGATTGGAGTACACTGGTGTGATCTCAGCTCACTGCAACCTCGGCCTCCCGGGTTCAAGTAATTCTCCTGCCTCAGCCTCCCAAGTAGCTGGGATTATAGGTGCACGCTACCATGAGTGGCTAATTTTTGTATGTTTAGTAGAGATGGGTTTCACCATGTTGGTCAGGCTGGTCTCAAACTCTTGACCTCGTGATCCGCCCACCTTGGCCTCCCAAAGTGCTGGGATTACAGGCATGAGCCAACACACCCGGCCTATTATCATTATTTTTTGTTTTTGATTTTTTCTTGCTATGTTGCCCAGACTGGCCTGAAACTCCTGGGCTCAAGTGATCCTCTCACCTCAACCTCTCAAATAGCTGGGACTACAGGTGTGTACCACCACCCTGGCTATCATCATCATCATTATTATATTTTTCTAGGACATAGATCCTGAAACTACTTGCATGCCAAACAAAAAAACCAAAAAAGCAAAACAAAAAAACAGAACACAAATAAAAACAAAAATATCTGTCTGGGAGTGAGAAGTTAGGGTGAAAACGAAGCAGCTTACTCTGCCCGTGGGATCTGGGGTAATGGGGAACAGCCTGAGCTGCTTTGTGTAAGCTGACTGACACTGGAAAGATCAATCCCTTGCTGCACTCAATGCTTATTCTGCTGGATTCTTGTCTTCACCTTCTTTTGCTTCCTTACCATTTCTGCATTTCACAATTTGGGTCACAGCTATGGTTGATGAATCGGGCCTCATTTCCCATGCGGTAACTGTCAATCACCATCCCACTATCCAGGTTCAGGCAGTAGTGGTCACTGTGATTATGATACTGCTCAATCATCCTGTTCCTAAAGAGAAGATAAATGATTGAAAGACAATTAAAGAGTAGCTGAAAGTAAATTTCACATCTTCCATTCTCCATTCTAATCTTATACCTTGGCATTTTATTAGAGTATCATCATTTACCACCGTACCTGAACTCCTGTTCACTGACGACCTCCCCTAGGTATTCAATGATGAACTGCCCAGCTTTTAGGGGCTCTTTGGTTCTGATTCCCCAACCTTTTTCCTCAGCTCGAAATCGTTCTAGACATTGCACCCATTCATGCCTCTGTATCCTCTGGTTACAGCATTGCTCGCCACATGGGCAAGTGTTGGGGGAACACTCAGCAAAGATCATTCTAGAAAAAAAAGGAATAACTGTACATCAACTTACATGATACATACCTTGATGCATCCATTTTTAAATTTTACAAACATTTAAAAATGAATACATGAAATCAATTTTTATTTAATAAAAGTACCCGAATCACTAAGATTAAAATAATAAATGTCAAAAATTAATAATATTCAGAATTTCCAAGTCGGGCTGCAAATCCTGAATGCTTCTTGTAAATGATTAAGCTAACTGTCCACTCAGCATCCTGGGTAAACATTATCATATTTATCTATTCCAAGAATAAGGCTGGGCAAGGTGGCTCATGCCTGTAATCCCAGCACTTTGGGAGGCTGAGGTGGGTGGATTACCTGAGGTCAGGAGTTCAAGACTAGCCTGGCCAACATGGTGAAACCCTGTCTCTACTAAAAATACAAAAATTAGCTGGGTGTGGTGGTGTGCACCTGTAATCCCAGCTACTTGGGAGGCTGAGGCAGGAGAGTCCCTTGAACCTGTGAGGTGGAGGTCGCAGTAAGCAGAGATCGCACCACTGCGCTCCAGCCTGGGCGACAGAGTGAGACTCCGTCTCAAAATAAATAAATAAAATAAATAAATAAATAACTGTGATCCAAAGAAGAATCAGTAATTTGATGATGATTTCACTGTACTCTTATTTTGAAGCACTCATGCCCATTTACTGATTTAAAAAAAAATTGTGGTAGAATACCTAATTTACTTTTTTTTTTTTTTTTTGAGATGGAATCTGGCTCTGTTGCCCAGGCTGGAGTATATTGGCACAATCTCGGCTCACTGCAAACTCCGCTTCCCAGGTTCAAGAGATTCTCCTGCCTCAGCCTCCCGAGTAGCTGGGATTACAGATGTGTGTCACCACACCCGGCTATTTTTTGTATTTTCAGTAGAGACAGGGTTTTACCATGTTGGCCAGGCTGGTCTCAAACTCCCAACCTCAGGTGATCCGCCTGCCTCGGCCTCCCAAAGTGCTAGGATTACAAGCTTGTGAACCACTGCACCCGGCCGCTAATTTACTCTTATTTATTTTTTTGAGACGGAGTCTCACTCCATTGCCCAGGCTGGAGTGCAGTGGCATGATCTCAGCTCACTGCAACCTCTGTCCTCTGGGTTCAAGCAATTCTACTGCCTTATCTGGGATTACAGGCGCATACCACAACACCCGGGTAATTTTTGTATTTTTAGTAGAGATGGGGTTTCACCATGTTGGCCAGGCTGGTTTCGAACTCCTGACCCCAAATGATCCACCCACCTCAGCCTCCCAAAATGCTGGGATTACTGGCATGAGCCACTGTGCCCAGCCAGTTTTTTTTTTTTTTAATTTATTTTTATTTTTTTGAGGCAAAGTCTCGCTCTGTCACCCAGGCTGGAGTGCAGTGGCTAAATTTCAGCTCACTACAACCTCTGCCTCCTGGATTCAAGGGATTCTCCTGCCTCAGCTTCCCAAGTAGCTGGGATTACAGACATGCACCACTACGCCCAGCTAATTTTCGTATTTGTAGTAGAGACGAGGTTTTGCCATGTTGGCCAGGCTGGTCTCGAACTCCTGGCCTCAAGTGATCCGCCCACCTCAGCCTCTCAAAGTTCTGGGATTACAGGCGTGAGCCATTGTGCCTGGCCTTTTTTTTTTTTAATTAAAGAGGGGGAAGTCTCCCTCTGTCACCCAGACTGGGGTGCAGTGGCCTGATCACAGCCTACTGTAGCCTCGAACTCCTTGGCTCAAGGGATCCATCCTGCCTCGGCCTCCTGAGTAGGTGGGATTACAGGCATGAACTACCACACCCAGCCTTAACCATTTTTAAGAGTACAGTTCAGTGACATTAGGTATATTTGCTGCTGTTGTATTACAGGAATTTTATATTACATTAATTGAAATGACATTTCCAGGCTATATGACTAGCTGAACCCATAGTAGTTAGGGAATTAACAAGTTAAAAATTCTAGATGGGTGCAGTGGCTCATGCCTGTAATCCCAGCACTTTAGGGGGCAGAGGCAGGAGGATCATGTGAGGTCAGGAGTTCAAGACCAGCCTGACCAAGGTGGCGAAACCCCATCTCTACTAAAAATACAAAAATTAGCTGGGCGTGGTGGTATGTGCCTATAGTCCCAGCTACTCGGGAGGCTGAGACAGGAGAATTGCTTGAACTTGTCCGGCGGACGTTGCCGTGAGCTGAGATTGCACCACTGTACTCCAGCCTGGGCAAAAGAGTGAGGCTCTGTCTAAAAAAAAAACAAAAAAAAAACAAAAAAAAACTGAACATAGAAGACAAAAGAAGTCACACACATCTTGTCACTGCTTTCTTTACTTTTTTTTTGGAGACAGGGTCTCGCTCTGTCACCCAGGTTGAAGTACAGTGGCACAATAATGGCTCGCTGCAGCTCTGACCACCTGGGCTCAAGCAATTCTCCCACCTCAGCTTCCTGGGTAGCTGGGAACACAGGCGCGCACCACCGCATCTGACTACTTAAAAAAAAAATTATTTGTAGAGGTGAGGTCTTGCTGCTATGTTGCTTAGGCTGGTCTCAAATTCCTGGGGGTCATGGGATCCTCCCTCATCGGCCTCCCAAAATGCTAGGGATTACAGCATTTTGTGAGCCAATGCACCTGGCTGTTTTAATGGGAGCTGTTTAGTTTTGGTGTATGGTTTGAAATCTCATCTAGGCTGTTAAGCATTATTTTTTGGTTTGTTTTTTGGATACAGGGTCTCATTCTGGTTGCCCAGGCTGGAGTGCAGTGGCATGATCTTGGCTCACTGCAGCCTCGACCTCCTGGGCTCAGGTGATTTTCTCACCTCAGCCTCCAGAATAGCTGGGACTATAGGCACACGCCACCATGCCCAGTTGATGTTTTGTATTTTTAGTAAAGATGGGGTTTTTCCATGTTGCCCAGGCTGGTCACAAACTCCTGGACTCAAGTGATCCGCCCACCCTGGCCTTCCAAAATGCTGGATTACAGGCGTAAGCCAACATGCCTGGCCTTAAGCATGACTAAAACAAGGAATGATCAAGAAAATAATCGTCAAAATATCATGTTATATTTATAATAATAATTTTAAAGGCCGGGCACGGTGGCTCATGCCTGTAATCCCAGCACTTTGGGGGGCAGAGGCGGGAGGATCACGTGAGGTCAGGAGTTCGAGATCAGCCTGGCCAACACGGCGAAACCTCGTCTCTATTAAAAATACAAAAATTAGCCAGGCGTGGTGGCAACTGTAATCCCAGCTACTTGGGAGGCGGAGGTAGGAGAATCGCTTGAACCTGGGAGGCAGAGGCTGCAGTGAGCCGAGATGGTGCCACTGCACTCCAGCCTGGGTGACAGAGCGAGACTGTCTCAAAAAAAGGAAAAAAAAAAGTGAAAAGTTTTGTAAAGAAAATATATAACAGTTTATACCTTAAAGTACTTTCAGAGTAATCTGACTTACTCTAAACAAAAATACCACCACGATTCTAAAGGGCACACGGCACACAGTGTCAAATCATGTAAATAGGAGCAGAGAAAGTATCGACTGGATTATTCTTCAATTTAAGATAATCAGCTTCAGCTGTAAAGAAGACAGTGCCTTAACATCAAATTCAACCACCTTTACTCTTCCGTTTGCTGACTTCTTTGGTACATGAATATTATTGAATACCCCTCTTGAAATGCCTTCCTTTTTTGGCTTTCCTCATTTTTTATGATACTGGATTTCCCACCTTGCCAATACCAATTCCTGTCTTTTCTGGTAGAAATCCTTTTTTCCTCTACCATATTCCTTTTTCTAGAGAGCTGATCTATAATCATGGCTTCAAATGTAACCTCTAGTTCATAATATTCCACACCTATATTTTCTTCTTTTCTTTTTTTGACACAGGGTCTCACTCTGTCACCCAGCCTGGAGTACAGTGGCGTGATCACAGCTTACTGTAGCCTCAACCTCCAGGCTCAAGCGATCCTCCCACCTCAGCCTCCCAAGTAGCTGGGACTGCAGGCATGCACCACTATGCCTGCTAACTTTTGTATTTTTTGTAGAGGTGGGGTTTTGCCATGTTGCCCAGGCTGGTCTCAAACTCCTGACCTCAAGTGATCTGCCTACCTCAGCCTCCCAAAGTGTTGGGATTACAGACGTGAGCCACTGTGCTTGGCTGGCACCAAGTATTTTCATAATACCTAATAACACATACTATAAACTGCATCCGGATTTAAAAAAACCCTGAAGTATAAATAAAAGAGTGCTCAGATAAGAGAGATTTAAATTTTAAAAGATTTCTTCCAGGGAACAATCATTCAGAGGTTACTGAAAATTTGTAGTTTCTAGAGTTCAAGGCATTGAAATATATTCCCCATTTGTTTTGACAACCAGAATAAGTCCTTAAATTATATAAAACCAAAACATGTTTCTATTTGTTGTGTCTGGAAACCAAACTAAATTTACCAAAATCTGAAATTAGATGCTGTAAACTACAATGTGAGGTCTTTGATTTAGTACAATTTGTCATTATCTTTAGCCAGATAATGCCCTTGAAAAACGAGAGTTGGGCTGGATGCAGTGGCTCACACCTGTAATCCCAGCACTTTGGGAGGCTGAGGCAAGAGGATCACCTGAGGTCAGGAGTTCGAGACCAGCGTGGTCAACATGGCAAAACCCTGTCTCTACTAAAAATACAAAAATTATTAGCCGGGTGCAGTGGCAGGTGCCTGTAAATCCCAGCTACTCGCAAGGATGAAGGATGAGGCAGGAGAATCGCTTGAACCCGGGAGGTGGAGGCTGCAGTGAGCTGAGATTGTGCCATTGCACTCCAGCCTGGGCAACGAGAATGAAACTTCGTCTCAAAAAAAAAAAAGAAAAATGAGACAGTCGCACCCCAGCCAGCTACTAAACGTAGATCTAGGTTGTCCTTCATATAGTGAGATTTAAGGGTTCAGGACCGGCCTCGGCTAAGTATCGAGATCCCGTCTCTACTTTAAAAATAAATAAAATAAATAAATTAGCCAGGCGTGGTGACACGCGTCTTTAGTCTCAGCTACTCAGGAGGCTAACATGGGAGGATTGCTTGAGTCCGGAAGGTAGAAGTTGTAGTGAGCTGTGATGGCGACACTGCACTCCAGCCTGGGCAACAGAGTGATATCCTGTGTCATAAATAAATAAAAATACTGAGCTTGTGGACCACACTGTTTAATAAAAGTGTGCATTTAAAATATTTGTGAGTAAAGAAAATCAGTATGCAAAACACTATGTGAACCTGTATGTACATAAAATGATAAGGTGTGAATTTACAGTGATGCAGGTAAGGTAGAATTTCCCAACTGGCATGCTGAAGCAGGAAGAACTAAAACATTGATTCCCTTCAGACCACATGGACAGCTGACTAGAGATCAAAGAAGCTACTTTTGGCCATGAGAACTATCCAGAACAGGAAATACTGATGTAAAATTCACTGATTCTTTTTTATTTTGCTGCACATGTGCATTGTTACTAAAACAACAAATTCTATATCCACTCCTTTGTCTATTAGACATTTCTATTTTGAAATTTCAGTGCCGTTTAAAATTATATACTCTCTTGGCCAGGTGTGGTGGCTCATGCCTGTAGTCCCAGCTACTCGGGAGGCTGAGGTAGGAGAATCACTTGAACCTGGGAAGTGGAGGTTGCAGTGAGCTGAGATCGTGCCACCGCACTCCAGCCTGGCGACAGAGCGCGACTCTGTCTCAAAAAAATAAATTAAAAAAATACAAAAATTAGCCAGGCATGGTGGGGGGCACCTGTAATCCCAGCTACTTGGGAGGCTGAGGCAGGAGAATCTCTTGAACCCGGGAGGCAGAGGTTGCAGTGAGCCAAGATCGCGCCACTGCACTCCAGCCTGGGTAACAGAGCTAGACTCCATCTCAGAAAAAGAAAAAAAAAAAATTACAGACTCAAATCAAAGTCATAACTCATAATTCTTTTTTTTTGGGGGGGAGATGGAGTTTCCCTCTTGTTGCCCAGGCTGGAGTGCAATGGCAGGACCTTGGCTCACTGCAACCTCTGCCTCCCAGGTTCAAGCAATTTTCCTGCCTCAGCCTCCCACGTAGCTGGGATTATAGGCATGAGCCACCATGCCCGGCTAATTCTGTATTTTTAGTAGAGATGGGGTTTCTCCATGTTGGTCAGGCTGGTCTTGAACTCCCGACCTCAGGTGACCTGCCTGCCTCAGCCTCCCAAAGTGCTTGGATTATAGGCATGAGCCACCATGCCAGCCAAATTCATAATTCTTATCTCCAATTCAGTTAGATTCCACACTTTATTTTCAGAGAGAGAATATATCCCCATATGAAGAGCATATCCCCTATATGCCGATGGTTTATCAACATACTTTTCTTCTAAAATATATTATGCCCTTCCTCTTCACTCTCACTGCCACTGTCCTATTCTGCTTCCTCATTGTGGCAACCATATATTGAGAGCTAGGAAGGTACCTAGGACTGTGCTTAATGTTTTATGAGCTGGGCACAGTATCACATACCTATAGTTCCAGCTACTCAGGAGGTTGAGGTAGGAGGACTACTTGAGCCCAGGAGTTTGAATCCAGCCTGGGCAACACAGTGAGACCCTATCTCTAAAAAAAACAAAACAAAACAAAACAAAAACCCCAAAACAAGAAAGCCAAAACTTCACAAACATTGTTTATCAACAGTCTCATATAATCTCCACAAACCCTCCATAGAGAAGGTAAGGTATTACTTTTATTAGATGCATTAAATAACTTTTCTCAGGTCTCATAAATAGTAAAAGGATTGGCTGGGCGCGGTGGCTCACGCCTGTAATCCCAGCACTTTGGGAGGCCGAGGCTGGTGGATCACGAGGTCAGATTGAGATCATCCTGGCTAATACGGTGAAATCCCATCTCTACTAAAAATACAAAAAAAATTAGCTGGGTGTGGTGGTGGGTGCCTGCAGTGCTGGCTACCAGGGAGGCTGAGGCAGGAGAATGGTGTGAACCCGGGAGGCGGAGCTTGCAGTGAGCCGAGATCGCGCCACTGCACTCCAGCCTGGGCGACAGAGGGAGACTCCGTCTCAAAAAAAAAACAAAACAAAACAAAACAAAAAAAACAAACAAAAAAAAAGTAAAAGGATTTAAACCAACGAAGGCACACACAAGACTCTAAATCTCATTCATTTTCTGTTTCTGTATTCCGCCCACCCATTATGGTTTATATATCTTTGTGCAACTTCTTGAAAAAAATCAAAGAGCCTATTTAACTGTACCCTCCAAAGGAAGTGTTGTATGTATACCTTAAAGCCTATGCTTTAGAGAAATCAAAGCATGACAGTACCTATTGAGGCAGTCATCAACACAGCCCTTCCTGGTGTCATCATCTGGCTTCTTACAGTTACAGGTGGTAGCTTCGTAACCAGAAAGGGGTTTGACATCAACGTAGACATCTTGAAAAGAAAGCAAAGAATAGTTTGTGAACATACAGGATAATTTTTCAAGTGCTAGGCTCAGAAGAACATTAACGTATAGAGGCAGAAAAAATAGCTCCTAAGTTACTCACTTGAACGAATTTTCTTATATAGTGGGACATCTGGCTTTTTGTATAGCTAGAAGAAAAGAAGAAAAATCTTGATATAGCATTTAACTTCAAATGCCAGACGGCAGCATCAATCACTAAAAATACAGGAAATTTTCTATGTGCTCTGCTCATCTGGAAATATTTACAAGACATTTTGGGTTGGATACATTTGAGGGAAACTCTTGGTGTGATCTCTTTTTACTCTGAAATAAAAGGTGAGAGAATAAGATTCAACAGAAGAAGCACTAAATAGTTTATACAAGTGGAATTACATGTTTCTTCAGCATGTTGTTGGATAGACTTAAATGAAAATCACACTGGAGACCAAAGCTATTCATTTGGACAAATTAAGATTCTATTTGCTTCTATCAAAAGAAAGGAAAACAACATGCATAGGACTTACTTAGATGTCTGGGTGGGTACATGAAATTAAAAAGATGAGTACCCTGGCTTTTCAGGTTGAGAATTATAGGAAAACATTTCAAATTTTAATTAAGGCAATTAATTTAGTGAATAAAGGAGAGAGGGCAGGCAGGCAAAATGGAGCTCTCACATTATAATCAAGAAGATATTAGAAAGAAAAAAAAAAAGAATGCATTAGAAGAGAGGCAGTCTTCCAGCATTTTGCCATAAGGGACTGTACAAAACAAACAGCAACTTGCACAAAGCTAGACTGTTTATTAATATATTGGAATAATCCCACCATTATTTTCTAGTCAGTATGTTCAAAGCATTCTCTCCTTCATTGTTAAAAACTCTGAGACAAATACCTAACATATTAATACTCTCAGAATTCAAGAGAGGCCATTGGAGAAGACAACGCAGAGGGGAATGTCAATTTTGGCTTTCCAAAATAAACCTTTGGTGGCATTTTGGCAGAACTCAAGAAATCTATTCACCTCAATTGCATGACTATTTCTATTTCCCAATGGTTGTTCTCAATATGAGACCTGGGGGCTATAAGCTAATACAAAAATCACTACGGGAAACTTTTCAATTTGGGAAGCAAGAGAAAAAACACGGCATCTTCCTGTTTTTAGTTACCAATATATTTAAAGATTTTTTAAAAGTGCAAGAGTGTTAAACATTTCCCTGCTTCCTTTGATAGAAGAATCTCTTTTGCATGTGAAAAATAAATTTCAAACTGATAAGAAGGAGCCAACAAAAATAAAGTCTGAAATTTCTTAGTGCTGCTGGCAGTACATCTAAATTCTCCTGAGACCTGCATCAAATAGAATTCTTACAGAACAAAATCTTTGCTACCAAAATAAAAGTCCAGAATAACAACAGAAGGTTGCCTAGGAAAGCAGGAACTTACTGCTATTTTGCAGTAAGAGTAAAGGCAAATAGGTCACATTAAAGATGGATGCAAATTCATTTTTCTTAGTCCTAACCTTCACAGGGACACTTCTGAAAACCTCCTAAGATGAAAACATAACAAGGGGAGAGAAAAACACTTGCATTTCCACCCCTCCCCCTTTACCACTTAAGAATGAAACCTGGTAAAACAGGCTCTCTGTACCTGATTGTGTTTCCACTGCCAAAGGATATCATAAGGAAGCTGGAAGTCAATTCTCTTTTGTCTTAGATACTTTCCTGAAACAAAAAACACTATTAATTTCAATACCTTTTCTAATATTTGCTTATACAAAGGTGTCAAACAGCTACAAGAACTAACATGTACTGACTAAAAAAATAAAGATTTAATTCTTTAAGGATTTTTCCATCACCAATTTTTAATTTTAGCTCTTCTTTCCCACTATACTCCACACGATATATGCCGAAGATATATTTTAAGTATAATAGTCTACATAAAACAACAAATACAGCAAAACTACAACCAAAAACACACAGGTCATTATGAAGCTTATTAAATATTTTATTATTATTAAAAATTATTAAGGGTACAGCATCTGGCACCTGCTCTTCATTATTACACATAACCTAAGGTTGATTACAAAAAGGAGAAATTCTTGTGTTTAAATAACTCGAGAAGTTTTCCAGGCAAATTTATGATCTTTTAACATTTTTTCCTACCTATTGAAATAGTATTTTTGTTTGATTTTTTTGTTTTTGTCTTATATAAAATTATTCAGCCTTAAAAAGAATGAAATTCTTTTTTTTTTTGAGATGAGGTTTCGCTCTTGCTGCCCAGGCTAGAGTGCAATGGTGCGATCTCGGCTCACTGTAACCTCCGCCTCCTGGGTTTAAGCGATTCTCCTGCCTCAGCTTCTTGAGTAGCTGGGATTACAGGCATGTGCTACCACACCCAGCTAATTTGTATTTTTTTTTTTTTTTTAGTAGAGACAGGGTTTCTCCATGTTGGTCAGGCTGGTCTTGAACTCCTGACCTAAGGTGGTCCACCTGCTTCAGCCTCCCAAAGTGCTGGGATTACAGGCATGAGCCACCGCACCTGGCCAAAAGAATGAAATTCTTATACATATAGTCATGTGCCAATGTTTTAGTCAACAATGGACTGCATATATGATGGTGGACCCAGAAGGTAATAAGGGAGCTGAAAAATTCCTCCTAGCTGTCATAACTTTGCAGTGCAAAGTGTTAATCATGTGTTTGTGGTGATGCTGGTGCAAATAAACCTATAGCGCTACCAGTTGAATACAAGCATAGCAGACATAATTAGGTATAATACATAATACTTGATAAAATGTCTTTGTTGCTGGTTTTATAATTAATATACTATACTTTTCATCATTATTTTAGAGTATACTCCTGCTTATTAAAAGACATCCTTGGCTGGGTGCAGTGGCTCATGCCTGTAATCCCAGCACTTTGGGAGGCCGAGGCAGGTAGATCACGAGGTCAGGCATTAGAGACAAGGCTGGCCAACATAGTGAAACCCTGTATTAAAAATACAAAAAATTAGCCGGGTGTGGTGGTGGGCGCCTGTAATCCCAGCTACTCAGGAGGCTGAGGCAGGAGAATTGCTTGAACCTGGGAGGCAGAGGTTGCAGTGAGCCAAGATTGCACCACTGCACTCCAGCCTGGACAATAGTGCGAGACTCCGTCTCAAAAAAAAACAAAAATCAAACAAACAAAAAAACCAACCTTGGCTGGGCGCAATGGTTCATGCCTGTAATCCCAACAACACTTTGGGAGGCTGAGGCAGGCAGATCACTTGAGGTCAGGAGTTCAAGACCAGCCTGGCCAACATGGTGAAACCCCAACTCTACTAAAAATACAAAAATTAGCTGGGTGTGGTGGCACACGCCTGTAATCCCAGCTACTTGGGAGGCTGAAATAGGAGAATCGCTTGAACCTGGGAGGCAGAGGTAGAGGTGGAGGTTGCAGTGTGTCAAGATCACGTACTGCACTCCAGCCTAGGCAACAGAGTGAGACACGGTCTCAAAAAAAAAGGAAAACAAAACAAAACAAAAAAACAGCCTTGCCAGGAGTGCTGGCCCACACCTGTAATCCCAGCACTTTGGGAGGCCGAGGTGGGTGGATCACTTGAGGTCAGGAGTTCGAGAACAGCCTGGCCAACATGGTGAAAGCCTGTCTCTGCTAAAAATACAAAAATTAGCTGGGTGTGGTGGCGCACACCTGTAGTCCCAGCTACTCAGGAGGCTGAGGCAGGAGAATTGTTTGAACTGGGAGGTGGAGGTTGCAGTGAGCCCAGATCGTGCCATTACACTCCAGCAGGCAACGACACAGACTCTGTCTCAAAAAACCAAACCAGGCTGGGCGTGGTGGCTCACGCCTGTAATCCCAGCAGTTTGGGAGGCCGAGGTGGGCAGATCATGAGGTCAGGAGATCAAGACCATCCTGGCTAACATGGTGAAACCCTGTCTCTACTAAAAATACAAAAAATTAGCTGGGCGTGGTGGCGGGCATCTGTAGTCCCAGCTACTCGGGAGGCTGAGGCAGGAGAATGGTGTGAACCCAGGAGATGGAGCTTGCAGTGAGCTGAGATTGTGCCACTGCACTCCAGCCTGGGCGACAGAGCAAGACTCTGTCTCAAACAAACAAACAAACGAACAAACAAAAACCCAAACCAAACCAAAAAACAGTCTTAGGCAGATCCTTCAGGAGATATTCCAGAAGACATTATTACCATATCAGATGACAGCTCCATGAGTGTTACTGCCCCTGAAGACCTTTCAGTAGAACAAGACATACAGCGAGAAAACAGTGATATTGATGATCTTGCCCCTGAGTGGGCCTAGGCTAATGTGGGTTTGTGTCTTAGCTCTTTTTTTTTTTTCAAGACAGTGTCTCGCTCTGTCACCCAGCCTGGAGTACAATAGCAGGATCATGGCTCACTGCTGCCTCAACCTCCCAGACTAAAGCGATCCTCTCACTTCTACCTGCCAAGTTGCTGGCACTACAGGCATGTGCCACCATGCCTGGCTGATTTTTTATTTTTTGTAGACAGGGTCTTGCCATGTTGCCCAGGCTGGTCTCAAACTCCTGGGCTCAAGCGATCTGCCTGCCCTGGCCTCCCAAAGTGTTGGGATTACAGGCGTAAGCCGCCATGCCTGGCCCTCTTTTCGCTTTTAACTAAAAAAGTTTAAAAAGAAGAAAAAATGTTAAAAATAAAGCTTATAAAATAAGGACATAAAGAAAATATTTTCTTGTACAGCTGTACAATGTGTTCATGTTTAAAGCTAAGTTATTATGAGTCAAAGTGTTAAAAAATTAAGTTTATAAAGTAAAAAAGCTACAGAAAGCTAAGATTAACTTAACTATTGAGGAACAAAAAATAAAAATTTAGTGTAGCCTAAGTGTGCAGTGTTTATAAAATCTACAGTAGTTTAACAGTGATGTCCTAGGCCTTCACATTCACTCTCCACTCAATCACTGACCCACAGAGAGGAACTTACAATCCTGTAAGCTCCATTCAGGTAAGTGTCCCATAGTGGGCTGCCATTTTTTATCCTTTATATTGTATTTTTACTGTACCTTTTCTACATTTAGATATGTAAATACTTACCACTGTGTCACAACTGACTACTGTATTCAGTATACTAACATGATATACAGGTTTGTAGCTTAGGAGCAAGAGGCTATACCATACAGCCTGGTTAGTATATTCTGTTTGCATAATTATAAGATTGCCTAACAATGCATTTCTCAGAATGTATCCTCATCGTTAAGCAACACATGATGGTACTACAACATGGATGAACCTTAAAGACATTATGCTAAGTGAATTAAGGCAGATACAAAAGAACAGGTATTATACAACCCCACTTTCAAAGAAATAGACAGTGATTACCAGAGGCTGAGGGGAACAGAGAATGGAGAGTTACAGTTTAATGGGTACAGAGTTACAGTAGGGGATAATGAAAAAGTTCCGGGGATGGATAGCAGTCATGGTCATACAACAATGCGAATGTACCTAATGACACTGAATTGTCCACTTAAAAATGATCAAAATGCAAATTGTGTTATGTATATTTTACTGGAAGTTAAAAAAAATGTAATATATCAAAAACTATAGTCTATTTTAAAAGAGTAAATTGGATGGTCTGTGAATTGTATCTTAATAAAGTTGCTAAAACAATACAGCAGTGTTAAAACTTTTTGCTTCAATGATTAAACGTAACTTAGAAAAAACTCAAGAGAAGGAAAGCCTATTGTATATATCCATGTTTTTGCTTACTGTATTCTTCCTTCCTAATGTTCCAAAGTGTCTTTTTTTTAAAATTGTTTCCTTTCTGTTCACAGAACTTGCTTTACTCATAGGGTACATCTGCTGGCAACAAACTCTCTTAGTTTTCCTTAATCTAAGAATGCCTTCATTTCTTCTTAATTCCTGACAGATATTTTCATTGGTTAGAAGATTCGGAGTTGACAATTCTTTGCTTTTAGGATGTGAAAAATGCTGTATCACTTCCATTTGGCCTCCATAGATTCAGATGAGAAATCTACTGTCATTTGAATTGTTTTATCCTTATAGGTAAGGGTAATTTCTCTGTCATTGCTTTAAAATTGGTGTGGTTTTTTTTTGTTTTTTTTATTTTTTCTGAGATTCGTTCTCCTGAGTAGTTGGGATGACAAGCATTTGCCAACCATGCCTGGCTAATTTTTTTTGTATTTTTTGTAGAGACAGGGTTTCACCATGTTGCTCAGGGTGGTCTCAAACTTCTGAGCTCAAGCAATCAGCCTCCCAAGGTATTTGGTATTACAGGAGCAACCTATCTCGCCCAGCCTAAAATTGTTTTGTTAGTGTACTGAAATGTGATTATGTGTCTCGGCATATATTTGTTTGAGTTTATCCTGTTCGGAGTCTGCTAATCTTCTTGAATACAGAGATTTCTGTCTCCTGCCAAATTTGGTAAGTTTCCAGTTGTTATTTACTAAGGTGCTTTTCATCTATGCCCTTTTTTTTCCCTCCTTCCATGACTCCGATAACACAAATTTGCTTTTTTTGTCATATTCTCACAAGCTCCTCAGTCTTTCTGTTTTTAATTCTATTTTCTATGTTGTTGTATACGCTGAGTAATATGTATTATTCTATCTTCTAGTGCATAGATTATTTCCTCTGTCCCATTCATTCTGCTGTTAAGTCTATCTCTGAATGTATTTTTTTTTCTGGTTCAATTTCTCTCATAAAAGCTCTGAACTTTTTATTTCAATTACTGAGTCAGTTATAAAAATTCTAATTTAAAAAAATTATTGGCCAGGTGCAGTGGCTCACGCCTGTAAACCCAGCACTTTGGGAGGTGAGGCGGGCAGATCACTTGAGGTCAGGAGTTCCAGACCAGTCTGGCCAACGTGGTAAAACCCCGTCTTTACTAAAAATACAAAAATTAGCCAGGTATGGTGGCACATGCCTGTAACTCCAGCTACTCGGGAGGCTGAGGCAGGAGAAATCACTTGAACCTGGGAGGTAGAGGCTACGGTGGGCAGAGATTGTGCCACTGCACTCCAGACTGGGCAACAGAGCAAGAACCTGTCTCAAAAAATTAAAATAATAAATAAAATAAAATATGAAAAATTATCTTCTTCTATTTCTTGATTTGTTTCAAGCATGTTCACAATTGCTCACTAAGGCATTTTTATCAAGACTGCTTTAAAAATCTGCCAGATAATTCTAATGTCTTGGTGTGGACATAAATTGTCTTCCCAAAGTGCTGGGATTTCAAGGCATGAGCCACCATGCTTGGCAAATAACATATGATTTTAAATTCAAAGTTAAACACTTTTGTAGTAGTATAAGGTTCTAGATTTTATGAAATTTGTATTTTAGCTGGCTTTTTCTGAAACTGCTCCAGCAGAAAAGGGATAAAGCTGCCTCATTACTGCCAGCTGTAAGTAAAAGACCAAGTTGCCTACTAGGCCTCCACTGAAACCTGAGTGTTGGGGGATGGGGAAGCTCCCCATTACTGCTAGGGAATGGTTAGAATTCCAATTTCCCAAGGGGTCTCCACTGACATTGTGGTGGGGTAGTTATGTTACTGCTAGGTGTTGGTAAAAGTCTGACTCGGCTAGACCTCCTCTGACACCATGGCAGTGGAGGGAGAGACATATGATTGTTGGCCACGTATATGTCTTTTGAGAAGTGTCTGTTCATGTCCCTTGCCCATTTTTTTTTTTTTTGGAGATGGAGTCTCACTCTTGTCACCCAGGCTGGAGTGCAGTGGTGTAATCTCAGCTCACTGCAACCTGTGCCTCCTGAGTTCAAGCGATTCTCCCGCCTCAGCCTCCCAAGTAGCTGGGATTACAGGAGCCCACCACCGTGCCCAACTAATTTTTTTGTATTTTAAGTAGAGACAGGGTTTCACCATGTTGGCCAATGGTCTCAAACTCCTGACCTCAGGTGATCTGCCTGCCTTGGTCTCCCAAAGTGCTGGGTTTACAGATGTGAGCCACTGCGCCTGGCCAAGAGTCTTTAAAAAAATTTTATTATTATTGTTGTTTTGAGACGGAGTCTTACTTTTTTGCCTAGGCTGGAGTGGAGTGGCATGTTCTCAGCTCATTGCAACCTCTGCCACCCGGAGTTCAAGCAATTCTGTCTCAGCCTCCTGAATAGCTGGGATTACAGGCACGTGCCACCATGCCCAGCTAATTTTTTCTATTTTTTTTTTTTAGTAGAGACGGGGTTTCACCATGTTGGCCAGGCTGGTCTCAAACTCCTGATCTCAAGTGATCTGCCTGCCTTGGTTTCCCAAAGTGCTGGGATGACAGGCGTGAGCCACCACACCAGGCCTTGCCCACTTCTCAATGGTTTTTTTTCTTGTATATTTAAGTTCCTTATAGATGCTGGATATTAGATCTTTGTCAGAAGCAGTTTGCAAAATTTTTCTCCCATTTTATAGGTTGTTTACTCTGTTCATAGTTTATTTTGCTGCGCAGAAGTTCATACTATTTGTCCATTTTTGCTTTTGTTACAATTGCTTTTGGCATCGTCATGAAGTCTTTGCCTGTGCCTATGTCCTGAATGGTACTGCCTAGATTGTCTTTCAGGGTTTTTATAGTTTTGGGTTTTACAATTAAGTCTTTTTTTTTTTTTGAGACAGAGTTTTGCTGTGTTGCCCAGGCTGGAGTGCAGCGATCTCAGCTCAATGCAACCTCCACCTCCAGGGTTCAAGTGATTCTCATGCCTCAGCCTCTCAAGTAGCTGGGATTATAGGCATGTGCCACCACACCCAGCTAATTTTTGCATTTTTGTTAGAGATGGGATTTTGCCATGTTGATCAGGCTGGTCTCGAACTGCTGGCCTCAAGTGATCCACGTGCCTCAGCCTCCCAAAGTGCTGGGATTACAGGCGTGAGCCACCACGCCTGGCCTACATTGAAGTTTTTAATCCATATTTTGTTTTTGTATATGCTGTAAGGAAGGGGTCCAGTTTCAACCTTCTGCATATGGCTAACCAGTTATCCCAGCACCATTTACTGAATAGGGAATCCTTACCCAATTGCTTGTTTTTGTCAGGTTTGTTAAAGATCACGCAGTTGTAGGTGTGCAGTCTTATTTCTGGGTTCTCTATTCTGTTTCACTGGTCTATGTGTCTGCTCTTGTATCAGTACCATGCTGTTTTGATTACTGTAGCCCTGTAGTATAGTTTGAAGTCAGGTAGCATGATGCCTTCAGCTTTGTTCTTTTTTTGTGTGTAGGATTGCCTTGGCTATTTAGGTTCTTTTTTGGTTCCATATGAATGTTAAAATAGTTTTTTTCTAGCTCTATGAAGAATTTCAATGGTAGTTTAATGGGAATAGCATTGAATCTATAAATTGCTTTGGGCAATATGGCCATTTTAACGGTATTTATTCTTCCAATCCATAAGCATGGAATATTTTTCCATTTGTGTCTTCGCTGATTTCTTTGAGCAGTGGTTTGTAGTTCTCCTTATAGAGATCCTTCGCTTCCCTAGTTAGCTGTATTCCTAGGTATTTTATTCTTTTTGTGGCAATTGTGAATGAGAGTTCAATCATGATTTGGCTCTTGGCTTAACTGTTATTGGTGTATAGGAATGCTAGTGATTTTTGTACATTGATTTTGTATCCTGAGACTTTGCTAAAGTTGTTTATCAGCTTAAGGAACTTTTGCTTAAGCAAACACTCCCCAGTGGGTGTTTGCTGGTGTAAGTTTGAGAGAGGTGTGAAAGTTGATTAGACAAAACGGAATCATTCATACCATATCCAACTAAAATGGAGTCAGGAGGCCATGGGGGAGGGCACTAAGGTCCCTGATCCAGGAACTGATTTTGCATTTCAACAGAAAATTCACTCTAACTATAATTAAGACTATGTCTTATATAGTAACTGCTGCCACTCACCAATGACAACTGTACCAGTGACCTTTTTCTTTTCTTTCTTTGTTTTTGAGACAGGATCTCACTCTGTCTTTCAGGCTGGAGTGCACTGGTGCAATCTCAGCTCATTGCAGCCTCAAGCTCCCAGGCTCAGGTGATCCTCCTGCCTCAGGCTCCTAAGTAGCTGGACCACAGGTGCATGTCACCATACCTGGCTAAATTTTTCTTTTCTTTTTAAATTTTTGTATACATGGGTTTTCATTATGTTGTCCAGGCTGGTCTCGAATTCCTGAGCTCAAGCAATCCAACAGCCTCAGCCTCAGCCTCCCAAAGTGCTGGGATTATAGGCTTGAGCCACTGGGCCTGGCTGACCTTCTTCCAACCTTCCTCTTTTGCTCAATACAACCCCAGCCTTTCTCTTTGTTTTTCAGACACACTTAGGGACTACCCTGGTCTATGTGTCCTGAATTGCGATTCTTTTTTTTTTTTTTTTTCATAGAAAACAGGGACTTGATCCATCACCCAGGCTGGAGTGCGCTGGTGCAATCATAACTCACTGCAGCCTCGATCTCCTGGGCTCAAGTGATCCTCCTGCCTCAGCCTCCTGAGTAGGCATGTACCACCGCACCCAGCAAATGTTGTTATTGCTTTATAGAGAGAGGTTCTCACTACATTGCCTAAGTTGGTCTCAAACTCCTGGCCTCAAGCGATCTTCTCTCCTCGGCCTCCCAAAGTGCTGGGATTACAGGCATGAGCCACCATGCCTGGACTAATTCTTTTTTTTTGAGACAGAGTCTTGCTCTGTCACGCAGGCTGGAGTGCAATGGTGTGATCCTGGCTCATTGCAACCTCCACCTCCTGAGTTCAAGTGATCCTCCTGTCTCAGCCTCCTGAGTAACTGGGATTACAGGCATCCACTATCACTCCTGGCTAATTTTTTTCTATTTTTAGTAGAGACCATGTTGGCCAGGCTGGTCTCGAACTTCTGACCTCAGGTGATCTGCCTGCCTCGGCCTCCCAAAGTGTTGGGATTACAGGTGTGAGCCACCACGCCAAGCCTAATTATTGTATATTATTCCCAAATAAACCCTTTACTTGGAGATATATATTTATATTATCTGAATATATGTTTATTTAAGACTTTAAAAAAGAGGCTAGGCGCGGTGGCTCATGCCTGTAATCCCAGCACTTTGGAAGGACGAGGTGGGTGGATCACTTAAGGTTAGGAGTCTGAGACCAGCCTGGGCAACATGGTGAAACCCCGTCTCTACTAAAAATACAAAAATTAGCTGGGCATGGTGGCGCATGCCTGCAGTCCCAGATACTCAGGAGGCTGAGGTGCAAGAATTGCTTGAACCCAGGAGGAGGAGAATGCAGAGAGCCAAGATCACGCCACTGCACTCCAGCCTGGGCAACAGAGCGAGACTCCATCTCAAAAGAAAACAAAAACAAAAACAAAACACACATCTATATGCAGGTTTTTCTTTTCAATAGATATGTTTTCAAATTATTTGAGAAAATACCAAGGAGCATGACTGCCACATCAAATGTTCAGAGTATATTAAGTTTTATAAGAATACAATTGATTTTTTAATACTGATGATTTTCCAGTAACCTTGCTGCTACTACTACCAGTAGCTTTTTTTTTTTTTTTTTGGTGTGGATCTCTTTGGATTTTTTTTTTATATAAACAATCATGTCATCTATAAACAGAAACAGTTTCATTTCTTCCTTCCTGATCATTATGATGACTCTTACTCATCTTCTTGACTTAATACACTGCCTAGAACATCCATGTAATGCTGAGTCAGAGTGGACAACTCTATCTTCTTCCCAATCTTAGGAGGAAACATTCAACATTTCACCATTAAGAATGATATTAGGCCAGGTGTGGTGGCTTACCAGTATCCAAAATAAAAAAAGTTGATCTCACTATAGGTCCTAGACTCATTAAGAGACTAATAAGGGAATGTTATAAATAATGTTATGCCAGTATCTTTAATAATTTAGATAAAATGGACAAATTCCTTTAGAAATACAACGTATCAAAACTGAGTCAAGATGAACATCTGAATAGTCTAGATCTTTTAAATAAATTGAGTACCTTACCATATTATTCACATAAAAAATTTCAGTTCTAAATGGCTTCCCTAGTGAAGTCTGGTATATGTTTGAGAAAGAAGTAATACCAGTCTTCCAGAAAACAGAGGAGGAAAATAATTTTCCAACTCATTTAATGAAGCTAGTGTATGCCTAATACAAAACTTGACAAAGACTTTAAAAGAAAAAACAACTATAGAACAAAATTAATTCTAAAGACTTCTGCAGAAAGCTCTCAGAACTAAAAAGGAATTTCCTTATCTTATTAAAGATATCTGTAGTTAATATCATTCTCCCCCCCCCCCCTTTTTTCTTTCTTTTTTTTGAGACGGAGTCTCGCTCTGTCACCCAGGCTGGAGTGCAGTGGCGTGATCTCGGCTCACTGCAAGCTCCACCTCCCGGGTTCACACCATTCTCCTGCCTCAGCCTCCTGAGTAGCTGGGACTACGTGCGCCCGCCACCACGCCTGGCTAATTATTTTTTTGTATTTTTAGTAGAGACGTGGTTTCACCGTGTTAGCCAGGATGGTTTCGATCTCCTGACCTCATGATCTGCCCGCCTTGGCTTCCCAAAGTGCTGGGATTATAGGCGTGAGCCACCACACCTGCCTGTGTTTTTTTTTTTTGAGACGGAGTCTTGCTCTGTTGCCCAGGCTGGAGTACAGTGGCGCAATCTCTGCTCACTGTAACCTCTGCCTCCTGGGTTCAAGCGATTGTCCTGCCTCAGCCTCCTGAGTAGCTGGGAATACAAGTGCATGCCACCACACCTGGCTAATTTTTGTATTTTTGGCAGAGATGGGGTTTTGCCATGTTGGCCAGGCTGGTCTCGAACTCCTGACCTCAGGTGATCCACCTGCCTCAGCCTCCCAAAGTGCTGGCATTACAGGTGTGAACCATCACACCTGGCTGACAATTTATATTCATATACTTTCAAGTTCAACTGACACTTCTGCCATCTTCAATCTGTTATTAAACCTACATTTTGTGTTTTAAAATCAGACATATATGTTTTAGTTCTGGGACTTTCATTTGCTATTGTTCATTTTAAAATTTTTATGTTTCCATTTTTAAGATTTATCTGCTTGTTCATTATAAGCATATTTTCCTTTACATCCTTGAACACAGTTATAACAATGACTTTAAAATCCTTGTCTGCTATTTTCAGCATCTGGATGACCTTGGAAATTGTCAGTGTTGACTGCCTTCTCTCTTAATATGAATTATATTTTCATGTTTATTAACGTCCAGTAATTTTGGATTGAATTATGGACATTATAAGTAATACGTTACAGAGATTCTCAATTGTGTTATTATCCTATGAAAATAACTGGTTTCGGCCGGGCACAGTGGCTCATGCCTGTAATCCCAGCACTTTGGGAGGCTGAGGTGGGCAAACTGCTTGAACTCAAGAGTTTGAGACTAGCCTGAGCAACATGGTGAAACCCTATCTTTATCAAAAGTACAAAAAATTAGCCAAGTGTGGTAGTGCATGCCTGTGGTCCCAGCTACTTGGGAGGCTGAAGTGGGAGAATCACTTGAGCCTAGGAGGTAGAGGCTGCAGTGAGCCAAGATTGCACTACTGCACTTGAGCCTCAACAACACAATGAGATTCCATCTCAAAAAAATAGAAATAAAAATAAAAAAATAAGAAAGAAATAAAAGAAAATAAGTTTTTCTTTGCATTAGAGCAACCAGTTACTGTGGGTTAACCAAAATCTGTAACACTCTCTTCCGTGGGGTAGGCAGCAGCTGAAATCCCTACTTAGTATCTTTAGTCTCAACTAACTATACTGGATTCTGGCTGCATATACATAGTTTAGGGGGTCAGTTACCTAGATAAGTGGCTTGAGTTTATATGCAAAATTTGCAGTTTCCCCTATTAGCATTTTATCCCTCACTTTCCTGCTGCTGTAGCTGTCCTGAAACATGGCCCTTAAATAATCAGTAAGATTCAAGGTTTCTAAGTGCTTACTTGTACTGCTAACTGGGACCTGGCCACAGATAAAAAGAGCTATACAAGCGGGAAATGCAACCAGTGTGCTTCTCCTCTTCTAATTATTGATTTTTCTTCAGTTTGTGCCTGCTTTTGGTTGCTCTCCAGTGACTTAGGATTACTATGTTTTAAATTTGTCCAGTTGATGCATTTTTTTCTTATTTATTTATTTATTTTTTTGAGAGTCTTGCTCTGTTGCCCAGGCTGGAGTATAGTAGCATGATCTCGGCTCTCTGCAACCTCTGCCTCCCAGGTTCAAGTGATTCTCGTGCCTCAGCCTCTTGAGGAGCTGGGACTACAGGCACACACCATTATGTCCAGCTAATTTTTGTATTTTTAGTGCAGATGGGGTTTCACCATGTTGGCCAGGCTGGTCTTGAACTCCTGACCTCAGGTGATCCACCTGCCTCGGCCTCCCAAAGTGCTGGGATTACAGGTGGATAATTGTTATTCCCGGGAGGGTTAGCCTGATGTAATCTACTCTTTCAATACCAAAAGTAGAATTCCTCGTCTTTTTTTTTTTTTGAGATGGAGTCTCACTCTTGTCACCCATGCCGGAGTGCAATGGGGTGATCTTGAACTCCTGGATTCAAGGGATCCGCCCACCTCAGCCTCCCAAAGTGCTGGGATTACAAGTGTGAGCCACCGCGTCCAGCCTTGTTCTTATTTTCAAAGCCTATTTATCATTAGCAGATTTTAAATTTGCTGAGAGCCTGCTTCCGCTGCTATGATCTCACTAGTAAATACAAAAGACTCTTTCAAAAGAGCTTTGGCACTAATCCTAGAGAATAAGGAACTTACTCTTACCTTCATTAAGTAAGCACACGTAAAGTTTATGTAGCTGAGAATTAAACCTTGTAACTTCATGTTGTAGTTAAATCTGTCTCCAGCCACCCAATACAGAATAATTCAAGCAAACTAATCTTTACTGAAGAACTTGTTTATGTCTGCTGATTAAAAAACTCTGCTGGTACTGAACTCTCTCAGGGAGAAAAGGAGATTAGTTAATCAGAATATAAACAAGAGCTCCACAGTCAAGAGAGTTAAGAGAATCATAGTTGAAGAAAACACTACAAGACATAGGATCAACATCAAGTATACAATTAAGGTGTTCCTGGTTTCATACTATGTGTTTAATGAACCCCTTTAAAGCAATTTTGTTTAAACAAACTGAATATATGAAGAAAACCTGACATTTACATTCAATATTTTATCCTTATTTCTTTTCTTTTTTTTTTTTTTGAGACTGAGTCTCACTCTGTCGTCCAGGCTGGAGTGCAGTGGTGCAATCTCGGCTCACTGCACACTCCGCCTCCTGGGTTCACGCCATTCTCCTGCCTCAGCCTCCCAAGTAGCTGGGACTACAGGTGCCTGCCACCATGCCCAGCTAATTTTTTATATTTTTAGTAGAGACAGGGTTTCACTGTTAGTCAGGATAGTCTCAATCTCGTGACCTCGTGATCCACCTGCCTAGGTCTCCCAAACTGCTGGGGTTACAGGTGTGAGCCACCGCACCCAGCCTTCTCCTTTTCTTTCATTTGTACGGCAAATATTTGATAAACTTCTATTATGTACCAGGTGCTGGGAAATCCAGGGAGAGTAAGAAAGACAATGATCCTGTACTGCCGGAGATTATAATCTAATGGAGGAGCCAAATAAATATTGTAATTATAGATATAGAGAGTGATGTTATCTAGAACAAAGAGAGACGAAGCCTCTTTTGATGAGACTATCAGGAAAATTATTTTAAAGAAAATAAATCGTATTGAAGCTGATACTAACATTAAGATCATCCTTAAAAGATGAGCAGAAACCAACCATGGGAAGACTGAAAAAGAGCTTTTCAGGCAATGGGAATAACAAGTATAATGACCCTCCAGTGGGAAAAAGCTTGCTATGTTCTAAAAACTGAAAGAAGGCCAGTATGACACAATATAGTGAATAAGGTTGAGATGGGAATGAATAAAAGGAGAGAGATGGGGTAATCAGGAACCAGATCATTCAAGTCAAGAAGTTTGCATTTTAATCTGATGGTAAGCCATGCAAAGCTTTTAAGTATGATCTGGGTTAAGTTAAAAAATAATTTCTGTTTTTACTGAATGGAGGCTGGGCCACATGGAAACACAACTGGAAATAGATCTGTTAGATGGCTATTGCAGCAGCCTGAAGAAAAGATACTACTGTCACAGACTTGAGAGATAGCAATGAGATTTGGAGAGGAGTAGGATATATTTCAGGGATAGAAACACAACAGAACTTGAGATGAACTGGATAAGGGACAGAAAAAAATGGGAGGAACTTAGAATGACTTCTTGGTACTTTTTACTTATCTGATAAGCTCAATAATAGGGTCCTGGAAGGTACTACTATCCAAATGCTAAACAAAGTCTTGACATTTTTGCCAAGAATGAACAGTAGAATAAATATCACTCCACTTTCAAGCAGATAAATACTCAGTAAAAGCAGTGGGGCTTCTTACTCTGATCATATGTGTGTATAAATCATCTATTTTTGAACGTGGAAAATATTTGACACTGAATGGCTACTACTTGGTTTTTCCTAGGTGACATACCTATGGAAACAAAAGGTACAGACATAGTGTTATTTATTTAATTTTTTTTAGAGACAGGATTTCTCTCTGTCAACTCAGGCTAGAGTGCAGTGGAAGGATCATGACTACACCATAGCCTCAAAATCCTAGGCTTGGGTGATCCTCTCACCTCAGCCTCCAGAGTGGCTGGGACTACAGACCTGTGCCACCACGTCCAGCTAATTTTCATATTTTTTGTAGAGACAGGGTGTCACCAAGTTGCCCAGGCCATCAACTCCTGGGCTCAAGCAATCCACCTGCTTCAGCCTCCCAAAGTGCTAGGATTATAGGCATGAGCCACCATGCCTGGCCCAGTGTTATTTATTAAGGCTCCAATGAACAAGATTTATGCCACTGTGACCCCCTGACTATCAAACAGTGTATAAAATTCTTCAGAGTAAGTTTAAGTAAAATGGTAAAGAAAGAGCTTGATCCCACTGGAGAAATAGAAATAATAACAAGATTAAAAAGACATTTCCCTCAAACCCAGGAAATACTGTTTCTTCTCAGCAATACATTGTGTGGACTCGGTACTTACCAACATGAATGGGCGCTGGAAATAATCCATATTCATGCTCTCCTGGAGTATACTCCAGCTTCTCTTTCTTTAATTGGATCAATCGACTCTTTGGGCTGTGATAAAAAAAGAATGGGAAACAGTCAAGAGGCAAAGAAATTTCCTCCTGTGGTCAAATACAGATAACAGATCATCCTATGAGGAGAGGGTACCAAGTACATTGATAAATTAAAAAAAAAAATCTTTACTTCTGAAACTGTCCTTAAGAAAGAGGCTCCTGGCTGGGCGTGGGGGTTCACGCCTGTAATCCCAATACTTTTGGAAGCTGAGGTGGAAGGACTGCCTGAGCCCAGGAATTTGAGACTGGCCTGGGTAACAAGTGAGACCCTGTCTCTACTTTTAAAAAAAAAGAAAGAAAAGAAAGATGCTCTTTTATTTTCTCCAACAGTTTTGGAGAAGGAACACAAATTTTAGATCGGATTATAATGACTGCCTTATATTTGGTTACTTTATATCAATACTGTGAAGTAGGTAAGAGGAAAGATGCTCTATAAGACTGAGTGACTTGCCTTGATTTTAGTAGTTGGGAAGGAGATTTAAGCTTCAAAACCTCAGTTTCTTGCTCAACATCTACTCACTATATTATTCTATATTATTCTCTTGCTTTTATTCCACCATGTCTCTCTGGGCTTGTGTCTTCTACTCACATTATTGGTTTGTTTCCTAAAGTTTAAAATGCGATCTCAAGAGATTTCATAAATATATAAAAGGGGGAAAAAAAGAAGGAAAACAAAAAAGGAAAATGAGAAAAAAGGGCCTTAGAAGAGTCTCATTTAAGATATTATGACTATATTTTAGCTTAAAGTTCCAATTAATTCTTTTTTTTGTTTTTTTCAGATGGAGTTTCGCTCTTGTCACCCAGGCCGGAGTGCAATGGTGTGATCTTGGCTCACTGCAACCTCCACCTCCCAGGTTTAAGCGGTTCTCCTGCCTTAGCTTCCCAAGTAGCTGGGATTACAGGCATGCGGCACCACGCCTGGCTAATTTTTGTATTTTTAGTAGAGATGGGGTTTCACCATGTTGGTCAGGCTGGTCTTGAACTCCTGACCTCAGGTGATGCATCCGCCTCAGCCAAAGTGCTGGGATTACAGGCGTGAGCAACTGTGCCTGGCCTAAAGTTCCAGTGAATAAGACAAAGCTGATATATTTATTTCCTTTAACGAAATTATAACATACTGACTTTTGGCCGGGCGCAGTGGCTCACGCTTGTAATCCCAGCACTTTGGAAGGCCGAGGCGGGTGGGTTATGAAGTCAGGAGTTCGAGACAGGCCTGGCCAACACAGTGAAACCCCATCTCTACTAAAAATACAAAAATTAGCTGAGCATAGTGGTAGGTGCCTGTAATCCCAGCTACTTGGGAGGCTGAGGCAGGAGAATTGCTTGAACCCAGGAGGCAGAGGTTGCAGTGAGCCGAGATCGTGCCACTGTACTCCAGCCTGGGAGACACAGCTAGACACCATCTCAAAAAAAAAAAAAAAAAGCTGGGTGTGGTAGTGCATGCCTTTGGCCCCAGCTACTCGAGAGGCTAAAGTGAAAGGATCACTTGAGCCCGGGGTGGGGCAGAGGCTGCAGTAAGCCCAGATAGCACACTGCACTCCAGCCTGAGTGACAGAGCCAGACTCTGTCAAAAAAAGAAAAAAAAAAAAAAAAAGCATGGTAACAAAAGGCAATGCATGATCATGGATTATATCCTGAATCAGTGTAAGAAAGATTGCTGACCGGACAGGGTGGCTCATGCCTGCAATCCTAGCACTGTGGGAGGCCAAGGCGGGTGGATCACCTGAGGTCAGGAGTTCAAGACCAGCCTGGCCAATGTGATAAAACCCTGTCTCTACTAAAAATACAAAAATTATCTGGGTGTGGTGGAGCGCGCTGGTAATCCCAGCTACTCAAGAGGCTGCAGCTGGAGAATCGCTTGACTCCGGGAGACGGAGGTTGCAGTGAGCCGAGATTGTGCCATTGTACTACAGCCTAGACAACAAGAGCGAAACTCTGTCTCAGAAAAAAAAAAAAAAAGAAAGAAAGATTGCCATCATTATGAAGACAACCTTCATTTATTTATTTTTTTCTTGAGACAGAGTCTCACTCTGTTGCCCAGGCTGGAGTGCAGTGGCATGATCTTGGTTCACTGCAACTCTGCCTCCCAGGTTCAAGTAATTCTTGTGCCTCAGCCTCCCGAGTAGCTGGGATTACAGATGCCAACTACTGGGATTACACTATGCCTGGCTATTTTTTGTATTTTTAGTAGAGACAGGGTTTTATCACATTGGCCAGGCTGGTCTTGAACTCCTGACCTCAGGTGATCCACTTGCCTCAGCTCCCAAAGTCTTGGGATTACAGGCGTGAGCCACGGCACCTGGCCAGGTTATCTTAATAATTCATAAAACAGGTAATAAACATCATGTGCTTTAGGAAAATATTAAATGATTTTTAATTTATTTACTCTCATAATTTATTATGATTAATATTTAAACAAGTATAAAATTATTTAGTACCAAATAACCAGAGGAAAAATAGGATCAAAATCATACTGACAGGGAAAGAAAAACTGTCTTGGATTTAAAACAATGTTCCAGTAAAAACAATATATTTATAAAGACTGTTATGATCTGAGTCTATTAATATACATCTAGGACTATAACATAGATGTACTTAAACACAGCACAGCTCACTCAAACGCAGATATATGTAAAAGCACTTTATAAACAGCAAAGGAGAACACAAACATAACTTAATAGATGTAATAAATGTTGCTCACAGAAACTGTTTTGGATAGAAATATAAAGTCATTTGTCATTTGATAGTGATACATTCTGACAAATGCTGTGTGAACATCATAGAATATACTTACACAAACCTAGATGGTATAGCTTATAGGTCCTAGGCTACAAACCTGTTTAGCATGTAACTGTACTGAATATTGCAGGCAGTTGTAACACAATGGTAAGTATTTGTGTATCTAAACATTTCTAAACATAAGAAAGATAGAGTAAAAATACGGTTGTAAAAGATAAAAAGTGGTACACTTTATAGTATAGAGTACTTACCATGAATGGACCTTGCAGGACTGGAAGTTGCTCTGGGTGAGTCAGTGAGTGTGTGGTGAATGAATGTGAAAGCCTAGGAAATTACTGTACATTGTACAAAAAAATGTACAAAAAAGCCAAAATGCTAGGAAAGCTATGACATCACTAGGTGATAGGAATTTTTATTTTTTTGCTTTTTTGAGACAGGGTCTCATTCTGTCTCCCAGGGTAGAGTGCAGTGGCGAGATCTCAGCTCACTGCAGCTGCAGCCTCAACCTCCCAGACTCAAGTGAACCTCTCGCCTCAGCCTCCTTGCCCTCCGAGTAGCTGGAACTACAGGTGCATGCTACCACGAAGGGATGGGACATTTTATTTATTTATTTATTTTTGTAGACACGGTGTTTCACCATGTTGCCCAGGCTGGTCTTCAACTCCTGGGCTCAAGCGACTTGCCTGCCCTGGCCTCCCAAAGTGCTAGGATTACCGGTGTGAGCCATTGTGCCCAGCCTACAAACTTTTCAGGATAAAATTTGGCACTTAATCCATTTTGAAATGTCTATCTTGGGTAGATATGAAATTGATGAACCAAAATAATTTCCTCATATTTGTTACCACATGAGAGGGCAGATGCATTTAAATCTCTTTAAGGAGATTTTAAGTCATAGATATTTTAGTAATTATATGTAGAAAATGCTGCTGGGTTCTACAAGGCATCCAAGTTGAACAAAGGGTGGCCCTGGCCATAAGAAGTTTACAATTTGGTGGGACAACAAGTATGTATGTAGATATCTAGATTATCTATCAGAATGTGATAAAACTTTGAGGCCGGGAGCAGTGGCTCACATATGTAATCCAAGCATGTAATCCAAGCACTTTGGGAAGTAGGGGCGGGCAGATTACCTGAGGTCGGGAGTTCAAGACCAGACTGGCTAACATGGCTAAACCTTATCTCTACTAAAAATACAAAAATTAGCTAGGCGTGGTGGCACCTGTAATTTCAGCTACTTGGGAGGCTGAGGCATGAGAACTGCTTGAACACAGGAGACAGAGGTTGCAGTGAGCTGAGATGGCACCACCGCACTCCAGTCTGGGTGATAAAGTGAGGCTGTCCCACCCCAACCCCCACCCCCCAAAAAAAACAGAATGTGATAAAACTCATAACACTACTTACTAGGAGGAGATACTAAGTTCTACAAAAGGAGAAAGAAAAGTAATTGTAATTAGGAAAGAATTAAGAAAACTTATTTGAAAAGATAAATGGGATTTTGACAAGGAAAGGTGAAGTAGGGAAGGTAGTTCATACTACACAGAGCAGACATCTAGGATAAACCCCAGGAGAAAAGTGTAGGATGGAGGAAGTAAGGAAAATGATCAGATGTGGCTAAAGGAACAAGTATTTGAGGACTATGACTGGACAAATAACTAGAAAAATAGGTTACACAAGATAAGGGTGGGACTTAAATATTATGCAACAGTTCTGCAGGAAGTAACAAGATTTCAAAGGAATCTGGGTAGGGAATAACGACCCCAATGAGGACATATGCTGGGCGTGGTGGCTCACGCCTGTAATCCCAACAGTTTGGGAGGCTGAGGCGGGCAAATCACGAGGTCAGGAGATTGAGACCATCCTGGCTAACACGGTGAAACCCCGTCTCTACTAAAATTATAAAAAATTAGCCAGGCATGTAGTCCCAGCTACCTGGGAGGCTGAGAAGGAGAATCGCTTGAATCTAGGAGGCAGAGGTTGTAGTGAGCCGAGATCGCATCACTGCAATCCAGCCTGGGTGATAGAGCGAGACTGTCTCAAAAAAAAAAAAAAGAGGACATATTACTTCTAAAGAGGAAGAGTCTTAGAGGAGTAATTTGTCCAAGGTCACAATATAGTGATTGTGGAGTAAGACATTAAATAATATTTTGAATGCCTACTTCATGTATGGAAAGCATTCTGACATTGATAACTGAGTAACAGGTACTATTTATCATTGCCATTTTAAAGCTGAGGACACTGAGGATCAAGGGTTGCCCAAATCAATAACTTGCCCAAATTCATATAACTAGTAACTGACGAAGCTAGGATCTGATAAATTCTATAACCACAAATGACAATTCTATTCTATATTCCACTGGCAGTTAAACTTTTCTGAAAATACTGTTTTCATAAATTACCTTCCTAAAGATGTTAACATTTCTCTCAAAACAATCTATCCACCAAAGTACAGTCTACTTTCTGGAACAGATTTATTTTGCTAATTTTACTAAATTTAGATAAACATAAATTTACATACTTCAGCATAATCACCTATTTACAGGGAGAGACGGTCCAGACCCAGACAAAAGATAAATTAAGATCATGCCAGTGATGTGGTGGCTCACGCCTGTAATCCCAGCACTTTGGGAGGCTGAGTCAGGCAGATCACTTGAGGCAAGGAGTTTGAGACCAGCCTTGGCCAAGAAGGTGAAACCCCATCTTTACTAAAAATACAAAAATTAGTAGGGCGTAGTGGTGTACGCCTCTAATCCTAGCTGCTCATGAGGCTGAGGCACGAGAATCATTTGAACCAGGGAGGTGGAGGTTGCAGTGAGCTGAGATCGTGCCACTGCACGCCAGCCAGGGTGACAGAGTGAGACTCTCTGTCTCAAAAAAAAAAAGTGTTAAAAAAGATCGCCGGTGGCCGGGCATGGTGGCTCACACCTGTAATCCTAGCACTTTGGGAGGCCAAGGCAGGCGGATCACTTGAGGTCAGGAGTTCAAAACCAGCCTGGCCAACATGGTGAAATCCCTTCTCTACTAAAAATACAAAAAATTAGCCAGGCATGGTCGTGGGCACCTGTAATCCCAGCTACTCAAGAGGCTGAGGCAGGAGAATTGCCTGAACCTGGGAGGCGGAGATTGCAGCGAGCCAAAGTCATGCCACTGGACTCCAGCCTGGGTGACACAGCAAGACTCCATCTCAAAAAAAAAAAAAAAAAAGATTGGTAGGGCACGGTGGCTCACGCCTGTAATCCCAGCACACTGGAAGGCCAAGGTGGGTGGATCACCAGAGGTCAGGTCAAGAGGTGGAGACCAACCTGGCGAACATGGTGATATCTTGTCTCTACTAAAAATACAAAAAATTAGCCGGGAGTGGTGGTGGGCACCTGTAATCTCACCTACTTGGGAGGCTGAGGTAGGAGAATTGCCTGAACCCCGGAGGTGGAGGTTACAGAAAGCCAAGATCGTGCTATTGCACACCAGCCTGGGTGACAGAGTGAGACTCTAAGAAAAAAAAAGAGCATACTGGCTTCCGGGAACAGTGGCTCATGCCTGTAATCCCAGCACTTTGGGAGGCCAAGGCAGGTGGATCACCTGAGGTCAGGAGTTTGAGACCAGCCTGGCCAACATGGTGAAACCCCGCCTCTACTAAAGATACAAAAAATTAGCTGGGCGTGGTGGCAGGCGCCTGTTATCTCAGCTACTTGAGAGGCTGAAGCAGGAAAACTGCTTGAACCCAGGAGGTGGAGGTTGCAGTGAGCCAAGGTTGCACCACTGCACACCAGCCTGGGTGACAGAGCAAGACTGTCTAAAAAAAAAAAATCATACTAGCTGGGCATGGTGATTGTGCCACTGCCAGACTCCGTCTCAAACAAACAAACAAACAAACAAACAAACATCATATCAGGGTTAAAATACTTCTGAACATCATCTACAGACAACAGGAAAACAGACTCCCTTAATGTTCTTTCATAAACAATATGGCAACTTTTGCCCTGGGGATATGAATTTGAAGAAGGGGGAGGCATCATTTTTTCATAATGTCACCTTTCCCTAACCTTGCTCCAATCCAGACCATTTTACTGCACAACTTAAAATCCTCAAGGAATACGGCACTTTTAGATAAAAAGGTAAAATTATATTTCAGATTACTATATAAACTTTATGCTAAAAAGTACAGAATGTAAAAAATGGACATGTTATTCTAGAGCTAATCTTTTAAATAAAAAAAAGGAATTAATCAAATGGTCCAGACAAGTTATCCATGTTTTACTGCTTTGTTTTGTTTTTAAAGACAGGGCCTTGTTCTGCCACCCAGGTTGTACAGTGGTGCAATCATAATTCAATGCAGCCTTGAACTCCTAAGGCTCAAGCAATCCCACCATCCCAGTCTACTGAGTAACTAGGACTACAGGTCTGTGTGCCACTATGCCTGGATAATTATTTAAAAACTTTTTGTAGAGATGGGGTCCTCACCATGATGTCTAGGCTGGTCTCAAACTCCTGGCCTCAAGCAATCCTCCTACCTTGGCCTCCCGAAGTACTGGGATTACAAGTATGAGCCACCACACCCAGCCAAGTTATACTTTTTTTTTTTTTTTTTTTCAGCATAAAAAGACATTGAAGGCCGGGTATGGTTGCCTGTAATCCCAGCACTTTGGGAAGCTGAGGTGGGTGGATCACCTAAGGTCAGGAGTTCAAGACCAGCCTGGCCAACATGGTGAAACCCGTCTCTACTAAAAAAAAAAAAATACACAAATTAGCCAGGTGTGGTAGCGCACGCCTGTAATCCCAGCTACTTGGGAGGCTGAGACAGGAGAATCGCTTGAACCTGGGAGGCAGAGGTTACAGTGAGCCAAGATCGTGCCATTGCACTCCAGTCTGGGTGACAAGAGCGAAACTCCATCTCAAAAAAAAAAAAGAGCTGGTGGTGGTGCAAATGCCTCTAATCCCAGCCTTTTGGAGGTTGCAGCTGAAGGATCATTGTGGAAGGATCCCAGGAGTTTCAGACCAGCCTAGGCAATGGAGTGAAACTCCTGTTTCAAAAAAAACCAAAAAAACCCACAAAAGATATGTCAGTACTGTAGAAGCTAAGTAAAGTAGGGAAAAGTACAAACAACTCTGCAGCCAATTATTGCCAGAACTCAAATGTTAACTATGCTATTGACTAACTGTAAAACTCTAGACAAATTACTTAAGTTTCTCTAATTCTCTAAGCCTTAGCTTCTTCAATAATATTAATAATACCTGTTCTCTCACAAGGTTCTTGAATAAATTTATAAGATAACATATATAAACTCATTAGCACAGTAACTGGCACATAATAGGTATGCAAGAAGTATTAACTTTCTTTTTACTTCTTCAGTATTAGCCCAGACTAATATACCTGAAAAAATTCCAAATATATTAGGGAACTAGATGCAAAAATTGAATCCAAGCAATTACCAGAAGAAAACAAAAGTAAATTTCTTACTTGCTTAAAATTTGTGTGTGGGAGAGCTTTTCTAATGACTTGAAATACAGAAGCTTTTTTTGGAGGGCGGCGATCTATTCTGCAGAAGCTGTATCCCCTCTTTCACTTCCTGCTGCAGCCAATAAAGGCCGTTCCTACCATTAAAAAAAAAAAAAAATAGCCAGGTATGGTGATGCCATGCCTGTAATCCCAGCTACTCGGGAGGCTGAGGCAGGAGAATCGCTTGAACCTGGAAGGCAGAGGTTGCAGTGAGCCAAGAACGCACCATTGCACTCCAGCCTGGGCAACAAGAACGAAACTCCGTCTCAAAAAAAAAAAAAAAAAGGAAGCAACCTGGGCACGGTGGCTCACACCTACAATCCTAGCACTTTGGGAGGCCAAAGAGGGACTTGACTCAAGAGTTCAAGACCAGCCTGGGCAACATAGAGAGACCCTGTCTCTGAAAAAATAAAAAAATTAGTCCAGTGTGGTGGCATGTACCTGTAGTCCCAGCTACTGGAGGAGGCTGAGGTAAGATGAACGCTTGAGTCTAGGAGGTGGAGACTGTAGTGAGCTGGTATTATGCCACTGTACTCTAGTCTGGATGAGAGGTAGACTCTGTCTTTAAAAAAGAAAAAAATCCAGAAGCAATTTAAAAATAAAGGCCAGATATAGTGGCTAACCCCTGTAATCCCAACACTTTGGAAGGACAAGGCAGGAGGATCACTTGAGGCCAGGAGCTCAAGACCAGCTCAGGCAACATGGCAAGACCTCATTGTCTCTACAAAAAATAAAAAAATTAGCTAGATGTGGTGACGATGTGAATGATCTTAAGCAAAGTCAAGACACACATGACGGAATCCACTAAAAGACTCTTAGGACTAACACCTAGGTTACAGGAGACAAACTCAATACATGAAACACATCTGTCAGGGTAAACTGGTGGGAAAAAAAAATCAATTGTATTTCTATACATAGCAATAAACAATCCAAAAATTTAATTTAAAATATCCAATTGGAGGGCTGGGCGTGGTGGCATGCCTGTCATCCCAGCACTTTGGGAGGCTGAGGCAGGCGGATCACGAGGTCAAGAGATCGAGACCGTCCTGGCCAACACGGTGAAACTCTTTCTCTACTAAAAACACAAAAATCAGCTGAGTGTGGTGGTGCGTGCCTGTGGTCCCAGCTACTCGGGAGGCTGAGGCAGGAGAATCGCTTGAACCTGGGAAACAGAGGTTGCAGTAAGCTGAGACCGCACCACTGCACGCCAGCCTGGTGACAGAGTGAGACTCCATCTAAAAAAAAATAATAATAATAGAATAAAAATAAAAAAATAAAAATAAAAAATCCAATTCCAATTACAACAATTACAATAGCAGTAAATTAAAAAAAAATTCTTGGGAACAAGATTAACAAAAGAAGAATAGCACCTGTACACTAAAAACTATAAAACACTGTTAAAAGTTTTGAGGCCAGGGGCAGTGACTCGTGCCTGTAATCCCAGCACTTTAGGGGGCTGAGGGGGGGGCAGATCACTTGAGGTCAGGAGTTCGAGACCAGCCTGGCCAACATGGTGAAACCCTGTCTCTACAAAAATATAAAAATTAGCCAGGTGTGTTGGCATGCACCCATATTCCTAGCTAATCAGGAGGCTGAGGCACGAGAATCACTTGAACCCAAGAGGGGGAAGTTGCAGTGAGCCGAGATGAAGCCGCTGCCCTCAAGCCTAGGCGACAGAGTGAGACTCAGTCTCATTAAAACAAACAAACAAAACAACAACAACAAACACTGTTAAAAGTTTTGGTTAAAGATCAAAATAGGTCGGGCATGGTCACTCATCCCTGTAATCTTAGCAATTTGGGAGGCCTAGGTGAGTGAATCACCTGAGGTCAGGAGTTCAAGATCAGCTTGACCAACATGATGAAACCCTGTCTCTACAAAACTACAAAAAATTAGCCGGGCATGGTGGTGTGGGCCTGTAGCCCCATCTGTTTGGGAGGCTGAGGCAGGAGAATCACCTGAACCTGGGAGGTGGAGGTTGCAGTGAGCCAAGATCAGGCCACTGCACTCCAGTCTGGGTGAGAGAGCGATTCTCTGTGTCAAAAAAAAAAAAAAAAAAGTCAAAATAAATGGAAAGACATCCCATATTCACAGATATGGTGATGACCAAATACTGTTAAGACAGCAAAACTTGGCCAGGTGCTGTAGCTCACGTCTGTAATCCCAGCGGTTTGGGAGGCCGAGGCGGATGGATCACTTGAGGTCCGGAGTTCGAGACCAGCCTGGCCAACATGGCAAAACCCTGGATCTACTAAAAATACAAAAAGTAGATGGGCATGGTAGCACATGCCTGTAATCCAAACTACTAGGGAGGCTGACAGAAGAGAATTGCTTAAACCCAGGGGGCGAAGGTTGCAGTGAGCTAAGATGGTGCCACTGCACTCCAGCCTGGGCGACAGAGTGAGACTCTGTCTCAAAAAAAAAAAAAAAAAAAAAGATGACAAAACTTCCCAAATTGATCTAGAGTCTGTGAAGATTCCAGTTGCATTTTTTGCAGAAATAGATAAGCTGATCCTAAAAAATCACAGAGAAATGGCAAGGAATCCAGGAATAGCCAAAACAATCTTGAAAAAGAACAAAGTTGAAGGAATCACACTTTCTGATTTCAGGCTTTCTTACAAAACTCCGGTATTTGGCCAGGAGCAGTGGCTCACGCCTATAATCCTAGCACTTTGGGAAGCCAAGAGGGGAGGATTGCTTGAGGCCAAGAGTTCGAGACAGCCTGGGCAACATAATGAGGCCTTGTCTTTACAAAAAATTTAAAAAATAGCTGGGTGTGGTGGTGAATGCCTATAGTCCAGCTACTCGGGAGGCTGAGGAAGGAGGATGGTTTGAGCCTGGGAGAAAGAGGCTGAAGTGAGCTGTTTGTGCCACTATACTCCAGGCTGGGCCTTAGAGTGAGACCCTGTTTCTAAAAAATAAATAAATAAAAAAGCTATAGTAATCAACACAGTGTTTGAACAGTAACAATATATTATTACTGGCATAACAATAGTCACGGTCAATAAGCACAAAAGTCAAATAACAAATTGACAAAATATATCTACAATTTATATCACGGACAAAGGCAAATCTAATAGATAAAGAACTCTTAAAAATCGAGGATAGAATTTCCCCTGATAGAAAATGGGGAAACACACATGAAAAGACAGTTAAAAGAAAAAGATAATTAAATGGCCTTCAAAGATATAAAAAGATGCTTGACAGTATTACTTACAAAAAAAAGGGGAATTGAACCAGCCTGGCCAACATGGTGAAACCCCATCTCTACTAAGAATACAAAAATTAGCCAGGCGTGGTGGTGCACACCTGTGGTCCCAGCTACTCGGGAGGTTCGGGCAGGAGAATTGCTTGAACCCGGGAGGCAGAGGTTGCAGTGAGCCAAGATTGCGCCACTGCACTCCAGCCTGGGAGACAGAGCGAGACTCCGTCTCAAAAAAAAAAGTAAATTGAAATTCCTCACCTATTAGATTAATAAACATATAATCGTTTGACAACATAGGACGGGCTGTGGAAAAGTAAGACAGACTCATAAATTTCTAGGACTACAAAAGGATACAATTCCCATGGAAGCAGAATTTAGCAATATTTACAATATTATATATACAATTACTATTTAACCCAGTAATTCAATTTCTAGGAACTTACCCTTAAGATATACCTCCAAAATATCAAACAATGTGTGGATAAATTTATTCACTGGGCATTATCTATAGGAGCAAATATTAGAACAACCCTTCCTTACTAGACTGGTTAGATAGACTATGAAGTATCTATATAATCTAATATCATACAGCTATAAAAAATAAAAACGTGGATGTACACAAATGTTCATAGCAGCATTACTTGTGATAGCCAAAAGCAGAAACAACCCAAATGTTCATTAACTGATGAATGGATAAATAAAATGTGGTATACATATGCACAATGGAATATTATTTGGCAAAAAAGACAGGAATTATATATACTACAACATGCATGAAACCTGAAAACAATATGCTAAGTGAAAAAACTCAGTCACAAAAAAACACATATTGTATGATACTAAATATCCAGGACTGGTTAAAAAAAAAAAATTGTATTTATATTACATATATTCCACACATTAAATATCTAAATGGACAGTTGCCTAATGGTGGGGAAATTAGGGAGTGATTGCCTAGTGATGTGGGTTTCTTTCTGGAATAATAACAATGTTTTAAAACTGATTACTGTACACTTAATATCTCAATAAAGGCTTAGGATTGCTCTCAGTCCAGAGTCTTAAAGAAGCAGACTGTCTTTGTTGAAGACTTGAAGAAGCAAGCCACCAACCATGAGTTACACAACTGCAAAGAAATGAGTTTTACCTACATCCATGTGAGTCTGGAATACAGCCCCAGCCTCGGATGGTACCTTGATTCTGGCTTATGAAACTCAGAACAGAGGATCCAACTAAGCCAAGACTAAACTGGAATCTGTGAGATAATAAATGGATGATATTTAAGCTGCTAAATTTGTGATAATTTCTTCAACAGCAATATAAAATTTATACACTTGTGTGTACGCACATTTTTTTCATTCCATGGTACTGAAAGGGGCTAGAAGCATGGCATCATAGCAGTAACAAATACCCTAGTAGAAAAAGCACATGAAAAATTCAGATTTTGACTTCTAAATAATAATCCTCACTAAAAGAAACCAAAGCTCCTTGAGGGAAATAGTTGATTCCAGATACAGGCCAAAGAAAGAACAAGTCTGATAAACAACAGCAGAAAAGTAAACCAAAACAAAAAACTAAATCCTCACTACTCCGAACAGCAGAAAGCAGGGAAGTGCTCAAAGATAAGTAATCTGAAGACATGTATAAAGGAAACAGGGGCCAGTTTAAAGGGGCTCCTGTGGTAAAATCAGGGAATTTTGAGCAGTTTCCTATAAAATGCTAATAGATTATAATATAGTCAATTTTATGCCAAGCATGATAGCTTATGCCTCCTAGCACTTTGGGAGGCTGAGGCAGAAGGACTTCTTGAGCCCAGGAGTTAGAGTCAAGCCTGGGCAACATAGGGAGACCCTGTCTCTGGAGAAAAACAAACAAAACCACCCAAACAAAAAAAATTCATGAGTCTATAAGGTATTCAAAAAAACAAAACAAAACAAAACAAACAGAGAGTTTACGGAGAAAAAAAAAGAGAAGCTCATCTTCACCAGAAAATGTCAGCTAAAAATCAAGAAATAATGGAATTAGAAAATTTTCTTTTCTTTCTTTTTTTTTGAGACGGAGTCTTGCTCTGTCGCCCAGGCTGGAGTTCAGTGGCGCAATCTCAGCTCACTACAACCTCTGCTTCCTGGGTTCAAGCGATTCTCCTGCCTCAGCCTCCCAAATAGCTGGGACTACAGGTTGCATGTCACCAGGCCTGGCTAATTTTTGCATTTTTGGTAGAGATGGGGTTTCACCATGTTGGCCAGGGTGTTCTTGAACTCCTGACCTCAGGTGATCTGCCTCCTACAGTTCTCGGATTACAGGGATGAGCAACCACACCCAGCAAAAATTGTCATTTTTCAACCATCAATGTAATTATTAAACTTAGGGAAAAAACATTAATGGATGATTAAATGTTAGATTAAAAAAGACTGATAGAGAACAAGCCATAGCCTTAAATATCAACCCATGGTTTATGTACCAATTACAATGGGAAAAAATGTAGTATCTTTGCAATGAAAAGACTTGGTGGATACCACCTTCACTAAGTAATCAAAAATGGCACCATCAATGCTGGGACAATAAGTGGGATGCAAAAAGAAGTATAAAGTATCACATATGCAATATTCCTGCCATGATTTTTAAATTTTATTAAGTTTTATTTATTTTTATTTTTGTAGAGACTGGATCTCACTATGTTGCCCAGGCTGGTCTTGAACTCCAGGCCTCAAGTGATCCTCCAGCCTCAGCCTCCCAAAATGTTGAGATTACAGGCATAAGCCATCTTTCCCAGGCCTCTGCCAAGATTTTTTTAAACCTAAATTTAATCATGAAGATAGGATCAAAGAAATCCAAAATGAAGGGCATTCTAAAAGACAACAAAAGCCTGAGTTCTTAAAAAATGGTCGATCTTGGCCAGGCGTGGTGGCTCAGACCTGTAATCCCAGCACTTTGGGAAGCTGGGGCGGGCAGATCACTTGAGGTCAGGAGTTTGAGACCAGCCTGGCCAATATGTGAAACCCCGTCTCTGCTAAAAATACAAAAATTAGCCAGGCGTGGTGGTGGGCACCTGTAATCTCAGCTACTCGGGAGGCTGAGGCAGGAGAATTGCTTGAACTCCATCTCAAAAAAAAAAAAGTTCGTATTATTTTCTCTTTCTTTTTCTGAGACAGGGTTTCAAAAAAAACGCTTTGTCACTTAGGCTGGAATGTAATGTCATGAACACAACTCACTGCAGCCTCGGACCCCTGGACTCAAGTGATCTGCTCACTTCAGTCTCACAAGCAGCTGGGACTACAGCTGTGCGCCACCACACCTGCTGGATTTTTATTTTATTTACTTATTTATTTCTGAGACAGAGTTTTGCTCTGTCACCCAGGCTGGAGTGCAATGGTGCGATCTCGGCTCACTGCAACCTCTGCCTCCGGAGGTCAAAGGATTCTTCTGCCTCAGCCTCCCAAGGAGCTGGGATTACAGGTGCCTGCCACTGCGCCCAGCTAATTTTTGTATTTTTAGCAGAGACAGGGTTGTGTCATGTTGGCCTGACTGGTCTTGAACTCCTGACCTCAAGTAGTCTGCCTGCCTTGCCTTCCAAAGTGGCCTCAAGCAATCCTCCAGCTCCAGCCGCCTAAAGTGCTGGGATTACAGGCGTGAGCAATCGCACCTGGCCTTTATTTTTATTCTGTTGTATGATATTACAACAGTAGATACATGTCAGTATACATTTGTCGAAACCCATAGAATGTATATCACCAAGAATGATATACAGGATTACAGGCCTGAGCCACTGCGTCTGGCCTGAATTCTTAAATTTTTAGTAGAGACAAGGTCTTGCTATGTTGCCCAGGTTGGTCTTGAACTCCTGGGCTCAAGCAATCCTCCAGCTCCAGCGGCCTAAAGTGCTGGGATTACAGGCGTGAGCAATCGCACCTGGCCCCTTTATTTTTATTCTATTGTATGATATTACAATAGTAGATACATGTCAGTATACATTTGTCAAAACCCATAGAATGTATTTCACCAAGAGTGAACCCTAAAGTAACTACGGACTTTGGGTAATAATGGTATATCAATGTAGGTACATGGATCATAACACATGTATCACAATGGTGTGGTGTAACAGTGGGCAGGTTGTGTGTATGAAGAACAGGGTGTATATGAAAACTCTGTACTTTCCACTCAATTTTGCTGTGAAACTGAAACTGCTCTAAACATAAGTTTATTAATGAAACTGCTAACAACAAAATAGCCAGCCCACAATAATATCCTGGCTTCACATCTTTCAAGAATGCATACATGTACTAAACTGATCAATGTTCTTAAAAATGCTTAAAGAATAAACCATTTTCTTCCTACTTATTTTTGGGAGAGGAAGAGCTAGTTCTAACATACATAAAGTGATATTTCAGTCCATTTTCAGGTCAAATCTTTTGTATGACCAGAGACACTTACAAATCACTGATACGGTTGTATAATTTGATGTGAAATCAAATTACATCAAAAGATCAGAATCTTCCATTTTTAAATCTTTAATCAAGAAAAAGCACAAAAGTAAAAAACAGAAGTGTGGTCTTATGATATATATAAATATAAATATGAATATAAATAAATAAATAAATATATATATATATATATATATATATATATATGTTTTCATCCATGGTTCCTGGCTCTTAACTCCCATAGTCCCTGTTATAATGTTGGGGCACTTTAAGTCTCAGGAGTGGGCCTCAGGAGATAGAATCTCTCTTTGACCTTCTCCTGTCTTCCTTTCACCTACCTAAGGCAGGACTCTAATCTGATTCTGGGCCAAGAAAACCCTCACTCCAGAGAGGGTCCTGCCCCATACCCTAGAGAAAGGAATGTGACACAGAGAGGCCAAGAAGTCTAGACAGGACATGCTGGGTTTACATCCTCTACATTTTGTTCAATCACATTTCTACATGGCTGTCATTGACGCCTATGAAGCTTCCATAAAAACTCAAAAAGAGGCCGGGCGCTGTGGCTCACTCCTGTAATCCCAGCACTTTGGGAGGCTGAGGTGGGCGGACTGCCTGAGCTCAGGATTTCGCAACCAGACTGGGCAACATGGTGAAACCCCGTCTCTACTAAAATACAAAAAATTGGCTGGGCATGGCGGTGTGTGCCTGTAGTCCCAGCTACTCAGGAGGCTGAGGTAGGAGAACTGCTTGAACCCAGGAGGTGGAGGTTGCAGTGAGCCAAGATCTTGCCACTGCACCCCAGCTTGGGCAACAGAGCACGACTCCGTCTCAAAAAAAAAAAAAAAAATTTAGCTGGGTGTGGTGACAGGTGCCTGTAATCCCAGCTACTCTGGAGGCTGAGGCAGGAGAATCACTTGAACCTAGGAGGCAGAGCCTGCAGTGAGCCAAGATCATACCATTGCACTCCAGCCTGGTTGACAAGAGCGAAACCCCATCTCAAAAAAACAAACAAAACCACAAAAAACAAAACTCAAAAAGAAAGGTTCAGAGAGTTTCTGGATAGCTGAACATGTGGAGGTTCCTGGAGGGTAGTGCGCCCAAGGAGGGAATGAAAGCTCTATGCTCCTTCCCCAGTATATGTCTTCATCTATAGCGTCTGTAATATCCTTTATAACAAACCAGTAAATGGAAGTACATGTTTCCTTGAGTTTTGTGAGCCATTCTAGCAAATTAATCAAACCCAAAGGGGGGATTGTGGAAACCCCAACTTGAAGCTGGTTGGTCAGAAGTTCTAGAGAGCCAGAGTTGTGACTGGTCTAAAGGGAGGGTGGCGGTCTTGGGAACTGAGCACCCAACCTATAGGATCTGACCCTATATCCAGGAAAACAGTGACAGAATTGAATTGAGGACACCCAGCTGCTGCCTATTGCTTGGTGTATGGGAAAACCCTCATACCTTTGGTTACAGAAGTCTTCTGTGTGTTTTTTTTTTTTTTAATTTTATTGAAAAAAATGGTTTTTTTTAAACCAGCAGTTTGCTCTTACAGACTTCTTTGTTGATGATTATTGTGATGTGACAGCAGAGGAAAAACACAGTCTGAGAGGTTCTCCCTAAGCAAGAAATAAAACTTGAATTTTATTTAGCAGAAAAGTTGATAATTATATTTCTGCTCTATTTAGCAGACTCTGTTCCAAAATTATGACTGAATTAGATGTGTCCCAAAGTGTATTTCTACTTTCTCATTTCTACTGACAGAATGTTGATTTTTTTTTTCCTTAACAGCTATTAACACCTAGAGTAATGACCATTATTTCCGCAACCTGTCTTATGGCTAAAGTGTGGCTATGCAATTTAAATTCTAGCCAATTTATATAAATGCGGGTTTGAAATTTTCTTACAAAGAAGGAGCATGGGCCAGGCATGGTGGCTCACGCCTGTAATCCTAGCACTCTGGGAGGCAGAGGAGGGCGGATCACCTGAGGTCAGGAATTCAAGACCAGTCTGGCCAACATGGTGAAAGCCCATCTCTACTAAAATTACAAACAATTAGCTGGGCACGGTGGTGGGTGCCTGTAATCCCAGCTACTTGGGAGGCTGAGGCAGGAGAATCGCTTGAACCCAGAAGGCAGAGGTTGCAGTGAGCCGAGATCGTGCCATTGCACTCCAGCCTGGGCAACAAGAGTGAAACTCCATCGCAACAAACAAACAAACCAGAAAACAAAAAACAAAGAAGGAGCATGCTTTTCCTCCTCTTTTCTGTCTGTAACAAACATCAAATGGCTGGACTCTAGTAACTATCTTGGAACATGAGGGAATCTTAGGAATGCATAATTAGTGCTGAGATAGAAGGGAGAAAAAGGAGCCTAGGTCCCTGAAGACATTGTGAAGGTACCATTATGAACTTTGAACTACATACTTCACAACTTCTCTTAAATTAAAAAAAATAGTTAAGTGCCTATCTTTTTAAAGTCTTGGTTATTTGAGATGATTTATTATTATAATTAGCTAAACTTAAGCTTCATTAGTAAAATGTTTTCATGACCTAAGAAGCACGTTCAGAGTATAAAAATTTTGTGATATCTACCTCAGTGACAAATCAATAAAAATCTTTTAAATGCAAAATAAAGTGGTATGGTTTACATGTCAATTACTTTAACACCACCAAACGAGATGTACCTCTAAAATCTAAGGTTTCCTCTTTCAATCTTATTCTTCTCTTTGTCTAAATTCAGATATTCATGACTTTTTGACAGAAACTGTGAGGTGAGAGTTTTTGCCACTAGTAATTCATTCCATTTATTTTCCACCCTGCTGCTGGAGTTATCTTAAACAAACCTATACCTTTCACATCCATCCCCCAAACTCATTTTTTATTTCCTATAGCAAAATAGCATTAAAAAAATTTCTTTTTTTTTTGAGATGGAGTTTCGCTCTTGCTGCCCAGGCTGGAGTCAATGGCTCGATCTCGGCTCACTGCAACCTCCGCCTCCCAGGTTCAAGCGATTCTCCTGCCTCAGCCTCCCAAGTAGCTGGGATTACAGGCATGTGCCACCACACTCGGCTAATTTTGTATTTTTAGTAGAAACGGGGTTTCTCCATGTTGGTCAGGCTGGTCTCAAACTCCCAACCTCAGGTGATCCACCCGCCCTGGCCTCCCAAAGTGTTGGGATTATAGGTGTGAGCCACCACTCCCATCCAAAACCAAATATCTTAAAGTTAACTAAATATCTCAAAGTCCATGGTTATATGTTCCTCATCATATAATGCTTATTTACCACAGGGCCACTACATTTCAGAAGCCCTAAACTTTCAAGTTGTTTTGATATATGAAAAATCTTTGTATCCTTTTTACATGCTGTTCTGACTGGAATATCCTTCTCCATCTGGTAAACTACTACCACACCTCTAAATCCTAACTCAACCAGAAAATATTTCTTAATTGATGATAATTTGCTATCCCTTTGATGCTTTAAAAATTCTCAATTAGAGTGCTTATTAAATTGTACTCTGCCAAGATAATACAAAGTTCTTAAAAGCAAGGCAAATATTTTATTCATCTGACAAAGCTCATGGAACACAGCGTCCAATCAGTGAAAAATGAAGTCACCAATATAAAAAATGAAGTCACCAATATCATTTTAGTTACACAGAGCCATTTATTGCTTAAGTTAATAAGAAAAGCATCATTAGGGCCAGGCACGGTGGTTCACGCCTGTAATCCCAGCACTTTGGGAGGCCGAGGCAGGTGGATCACGAGGTCAGGAGATCTAGACCATCCTGGCTAACATGGTGAAACCCCGTCTCTACTAAAAATACACAAAATTAGCTGGGCGTGGTGGCGGGCCCTGTACTCCCAGCTACTCGGGAGGCTGAGGTAGGAGAATGGCGTGAACCCCGGAGGCAGAGTTTGCAGTGAGCCAAGATCGCACCACTGCACTCCAGCCTGGGTGACAGGGCGAGACTCCGTCTCAAAAAAAAAAAAAAAAACAAAAAAAGAAAAGAAAAGCATCATTAGAATCTCAATCTAGAAAGGCAGAGAGAAGATAACCATCAGAAAGACAATTAGTCTCATACAACATAAGACAGTACAGTAGTACAGTGAACACTGGTATTTGTGCATATTACTTTTGTACTGATTTCCCCCCACATCAGAAAGGGTAATGTATTGACCTTGACACAAAGTTTGAGGGAGGCGTACCTCATACATGAGTGCAAAAACACAATCATCACGCTTATGAAACACAAAAGAATCTATATTGTTTTTTGATAGTCAAAGTATTTTTCCAAATGTGGAAGAAAAAGGGATGTTAGCTAATAGGTACTACTACTTACTCTGTAGTTTTGTAAACGTCAGAATACAGCCCTGCTTTCTGATACTTCTTCTTTGGGGGACGTGGGGGCTTCTTTTCCCTTGGGATGAGAGAAAGCACAGGCTGCAAGGTACTTTCAGGTTCAGAAGGTTTAGCTGGGGTTTCAGAAGGACTGGGAATCTCAACTGGTGCTTCATTAAAGCTAGAAAGAGAAGTTTAAAGATAATTTTATTATGAAAAAAAAGTTTTCCTACAAATAATTGTCTACTTAAAAAAAAAAAACCATAGCAATTAAAAAAAGAGATATGGGGACTTCCTTATCTGGCCATGTTTAAATAACTGGTACCAGACTTCTCCTGACAAGAAGTAATAGAAATATGGTAGTCTACTAGATACTTAGAGAAAATTTTATTTTATTTTATTTTTTGAGTCGGAATCTTTCTCTGTCACCCAGGCTGGAGTGCAGGGGCACAATCTTGGCTCAAGGCAACCTCCGCTTTCTGGGTTCAAGCAATTCTCCTGCCTCAGCCTCCCGAGTAGCTGATATTACAGGGGCACGCCACCAGTTTTGTATTTTTAGTAGAGACGGGTTTTGCCATGTTGGCTAGGCTGGTCTTCAACTCTTGACCTCAAGTAATCCACCTGCCTTGGCCTCCCAAGTGCTGGGATTATAGGCATGAGCCACCGTGCCCGGCATGAGAAAATTTTAAAAGACAATTATTATCAGATACTGGACAACAGTTAATGCAGCACTGTTATCCCTGAGAAATCTGAAAAAAATGCGGTGAGTCACACAACCACCTTGCCTTTCTTTTATCTTTTTTTGTTTATTGAGATGGAGTCTCGCTCTGTTGCCCAGGCTGGAGTGCAGTGGCATGATCTCATCTCACTGCAACTTCTGCTTCCTGGGTTGAAGCGATTCTCCTGCCTCAGCCTCCTGAATAGCTGGGATTACAGGCGCCTGTAACCACATCTGGATAATTTTTGTATTTTTAGTAGAGACGGTTTTTAGTTTCACCATGTTGGCCAGGCTGGTCTCAAACTCCTAACATCAGGTAATCCGCCCACCCAAAGTGCTGGGATTACAGGCATGAGCCACTGTGCCCAGCCCCACCTTGCCTTTCCTTTCCTTCCTTTTCTTCCTTTCCTTCCTTCCCTCCCACCCACCTTCCCTCCTTCCTTCCTTTCTTTTTCTTTTCTTTCCTTTTCTTTTTTTTTTTTCTTTTTTGAGACGGAGACTTGCTCTGTCTCCCAGGCTGGAGTGCAGTGGTGTGATCTCGGCTCACTGCAACCTCCGCCTCCTGGGTTCAAGAGATTCTCCTACCTCAGCCTCCTGAGTAGCTGGGATTCCAGGCATGTGCCACCACACCCAGCTTATTTTTTTTGTATTTTTAGTACAGACAGGGTTTCACCATGCTGTCCAGGATGGTCTTGAACTCCTGATCTCAGGTGATCTGCCCACCTCAGCTTCCCAAAGGGTTGGGATTACAGGCGTGAGCCATCACGCCCAGCCTCCACCTTGCCTTTCTAAGAATGACTGTGGTGCAGAAGTAGAAACCAAGCAGAGAATGGCCAAACTGATGAGCTGAAAAGGGATATATCAGAGTACAGAGGGACTGAGATAGCTGGAATTTGTGGAAATGAGTATCAGAATGGAAAAACCTATGGAGAATTATAACTCTAGAAATCTAACTATGGGTGTCTCTTTTAGTATACTGCTAAACACTACGTTGTGCATGTGAAGGGTGAAATTCCATATGGCTGAACAAGGAACTACCAGAAAACTGTAACCTGAGCAATTCACACAACTCACACATGATGGCAGATACTCATTCCATTAGGCAAAGTAGAAAGACATTGTTCAACAATAGGGGACATTAAACAGCAAGCCCAGAGGGTAATGTTATCCACTGTTAGAGGGCTTAATTATCCTGAAAGGAAGACTAGCCTTCACTGGTGGGGCGCAGTGGCTCACGCCTGTAATCCCAGCACTTTGGGAGGCTGAGACAGGCGGATCACCTGAGGTCGGGAGTTCAAGACCAGCCTGACCAACATGGAGAAACCCCGTCTCTACTAAAAATACAAAATTAGGCGGGTGTGGTGGTGCAAGCCCGTAGTCCCAGCTACTCGGGAGGCTGATGCAGGGGAATCGCTTGAACCTGGGAGGCGGAGGTTGTGGTGAGCCCAGATAGCGCCATTGCACTCCAGCCTGGGTGACAAGAGCAAAACTCCGTCTCAAAAAAAAAAAAAAGACTAGCCTTAGCTAAGTTTAAAAACAATATGAGAATCCAAACTGATCCATAAGTAACTTAACTGCCTACCAAAATAAAATTGAATATTTGTAAAGGAAACCAACAAAAACCAGACATACAATAATGCGACATCACAATGTCTTGCATCCAATAATAAATTCCTACATATGCCAAAATGCAGGAAAATGTGACCCAGGGGAAAAAATCATTCAGTAGAAACAGCAACAGAAATAGAAATCACAAAGATAGAAAAGAAAATAACTTTAAAATACTACTCTACAAGCATAAATCAGGAATTTAGAAGAAAATACAAAGATAATGAGGAGAGGAAGAGAAGACTTAACAACAACAACAAAAGGAATATTGAGAATTGATAAATACGAAATCTGAAATGAAAAACTGGAGAGTACTTAACAGCAAATAAGGCACTGGAGATCAGTGAACTTGAAGACAGCAATAGAAACAACACAAACTGATAGAGATTAAAGAAAAGAATAAATTATGTAAAGAATATAATACTAACAGAATCTTAGAATCCCGGGAAAGGAGAAAACTTACTACTAAAACAATTGGACACTTGTAAAGGAAAACAACAAAAACCAGATATACAATGATGTAACATTCACAAAATAAAAAATTCACAATGAAAAAAATTGAGAATTATGGCTAAAAAGTTTCCCAAAATGATAAAAAGCATAACCTCAGAGTTAGAAGAAAGTAAGCAAACCATAGGCAGGATAAATAAAACAAGGTCCAGTATATCGTAATAAACTTGTTAAAAACTACTGATGAAGAAAACAAAAGAAGCTAAAGAGGCTGGGCGCAGTGGCTCACGCCTGTAATCCCAGCACTTTGGGAGGCCGAGGTGGGTGGATCACGAGGTCAGGAGATTGTGACCATCCTGGCTAACACGGCGAAACCCCGACTCTACTAAAAATAAAAAAGAAATTAGCCAGGCGTGGTGGTGGGTGCCTGTAGTCCCAGCTACTCGGGAGGCTGAGGCAGGAGAATGGTGTGAACCCGAGAGCTTGCAGTGAGCTGAGATCGCACCACTGCACTCCAGCCTGGGAGGGCAAATAAATAAATAAATTAATTAATTAAACAAAAAAGCAGCAGCTAAAGAGAAAACACACGTTATAAAAAGGGGCCGAGCACAGTGGCTCATGCCTGTAATCCCAGCACTTTGTGTGGCTGACGCAGGAGGATTGCTTGAGCCCAGGAGTTCAAGACCAGCCTGGGCAACATAGCAAGACCCATTTCTTAAAAAAATAATAATAATAAAAAAGTTTAGATCTCATATCCAAAACAGTGCAAACCAGAAGACAATGTAATGACATCAAACAGTGTTAAAAGGAGAGGCAAAGGGGAAGCTTATCAAAATAGAAATCAAAATAAAACAAAAACATTAAAAAAAAAAAAAGATGTGCTTGATTCAGCAGCACATATACTAAAATTGGAACAATACAGAGATGAGCATGGCCCTGGTGCAAGAATGATATGCAAACTTGTGAAGTGTTCCATATTTTTAAACAAAGCATTTTACTTAAAAAATAATACAGGTGATTCTTGTTCCACACAAAAATCGAACAGATGCACATCTACCTCTCATTTTACTAAGTACAACTAAAAACTCTGGAAATTGTCTATAAAATAAACATAAGCAAATGTACTGGCAATGACCAGGCAGGAAGTTTCCCAGATATTTGATTTGCCTCATATGTACAGGTTAAATTGCATAAAGTTTCCCTATTATTAAGGACAAGGCAAACATATGCTTTCATCATATATGTTCAGTATCATAACAGAGGTCCTAGCCAGTGCAAAAAGGCCAGAAAAAGAAAACAATATTGAAAAGGAAGAATTACAAACTATCTCTACTCACACATTGTGTGATTGTCTATATAAAAACACCCAAAGACTCTACAAAAGAGAAAGTACTACAATTAGTGAAATACACAACAATGTTGCAGAATCCAAGGTCAAATTCAACTGTATTTGTATGTTCTATCAATGAGAAAACTGAAATCAAAATTAAACAATGCTACTTAAACAGTAGAATAGTAGCCAGGCAGGGTGACTCACTCCTATAATCCCAACACTGTGGGAGGATGAGGCGGGCGGACCACCTAAGGTCAGGAGTTTGAGACCAGCCTGGTGAACATGGTGAAACCCCGTCTCTACTTAAAATACAAAATACAAAAATTAGCTGGGTGTGGTGGCACACACCTGTAGTCCCAGCTTCTCAGGAAGCTGAGGCAGGAGAATCGCTTGAACCCAGGAGGTGGAGGTTGAATTGAGCCAAAATGGTTCCATCTTGGCTGGGCAACAGAATGAGACTCCATCTCAAAAAAAAACACTCCAGCCTGGGCAACAGAATGAGACTCCATCTCAAAAAAAAAAAAAAACAAAAACAAAAAAACAAGAAAAGCATTAAATGCTTAGATATAAATCAAACAAAATAATACAGAAATATAATTTCTTTATAAATGTATAAATATAATAAAGTACAAATTTAAAAGAAAACCAAAATATAAATCTAACAAATACATGCAGTACATAAGAGTATAAACAAAACAATGAATTTAAAAAAAAAAAGGCCAGGTGTGGTGGCTCATGCCTGTAATCCCAGCACTTTGGGAGGCCGAAGTAGGTGGATCACTTGAGGTCAGGAGTTTGAGACCAGCCTGGCCAACATGGTGAAACTCCATCTCTACTAAAATATAAAAATTAGCCAGGCATGGTGCCAGGCACCTGTAACCTCAGCTACTCGGGAGGCTGAGGCAGGAGAATCACTTGAGCCCGGGAGGTGGAGGTTGCAGTGAGCCAAGATCGCACTACTGCACTTTAGCCTAGGTGACAGAGCAAGGCTCCATTAAAAAAAAAAAAAAAATCAAAGATAACCTAAAATAAATGCAGTAACATACCATGTCCATGGATGTCCATGGAATTAAACACTGAATGTCATTAAGATGGCAATTTCTGTCCAGGCTTGGCAGCTTTCACCTGTAATCCCAGCACTTTGGGAGGCTGAGGCAGGAGGATCACTTGAGCCCAGAGGTTGGAGACCAACCGAGGCAACATAGTCAGACCCCATCTTTGCAAAAAATTTTAAAAAACTAGCCAGGTGTGATGGCTTACACTTGTAGTCCCAGCTACTGAAGAGGCTAAAGTGGGAAGACTGCTTAAACCTAGGAGGTCAAGGCTGACAGTAAGCCATTGCACTCCAGCCTGGGCAACAGAGGAAGATTCTGTGTCTTAAAAAAAAAAAAAAAAAAAAAAAGTTGGTGATTGCAACTTTCCCCCAAACTGATCTATAGATCTAACACAATCTCAAGTACCAACAGTTTTTTTTTTTTTTTTTTTTTTTGAGAAAATGCCAAGATAATTCACAAATTGCTATGGAAAGACAAAACCTAAGGCCAGGCATGGTGGCTCACGCCTGTAATTCCAGCACTTTGGGAGGCCGAGGCAGGTGGATCACGAGATCAGAAGATTGAGACCATCCTGGCTAACACGGTGAAACCCCGTCTCTTCTAAAAATAGAAAAAATAGCCGGGCATGGTGGTGGGTGCCTGTAGTCCCAGCTACTCGGGAGGCTGAGGCAGGAGAATGGCATGAACCCGGGAGGCAGAGGTTGCAGTGAGCCGAGATCACGCCACTGCACTCCATCTTGGGCGACAGAGCAAGACTCCATCTCAAAAAAAAAAACTAAAAAAAAATTGGAGGATTTATCTAATTTCAAGACTTACTGTAAATGTATTGTAATCAGGACAATGTGATACTAGCTACACAAAATAAATGTAGAACAACGTAATAGAGTGTAGAAATAGATACACATATGACTAATTTTTTTTTTGAAAAATTGTGGTAAAATGCATATACCATAATATCTACCTTTTAAACCATTTTAAGTGGTCTGGACAGTTCAGTGACATCAAAGTACATTCACATTGTTGTACAACCATCACCAGTATCCATCCATCTCCACATCTTTTTCATCCTCCCAGACAGAATAACTGATCCTATTAAAGAAAAACTCTATTCCATCCTCCCTCCAACCCCTAATAACCAATATTCTACTTTCCGCCTGTATGAATTTGTCTATTCCAGGTTCCTCATACTAGTGGAATCATAAAATATATGTCCACTTGTGTCTGGCTTACTTCACTTTTATTCTTTTTTGAGTCAGAGTCTCATTCCGTCAACCAGGCTGGAGTGCAGTGGCACGATCTCGGCTCGCTGCAACCCTACCTCCTGGGTTCAAGCGATTCTCCTGCCTCAGCCTCCCGAGTAGCTGGGATTACAGGGTCACACCACCACGCCCAGCTAATTTTTTTTTTTTTTTTTTTTTTGAGATGGCATCTTGCTCTTGTAGCCCAGGCTGGAGTGCAATGGCATGATCTCGCCTCACTGCAACCTCCGGGCCACCAGGGTCTGCTAATTTTTGTATTTTTAGTAGAAGCGGGGTTTCACCATGTTTGCCAGGCTGCTCTTGAACTCCTGACCTCAGATGATTTACATGCCTCTGCCTCCCAAAGTGGGAGGCATGCCTGGGATTACAGGCATGAGCCACTGCGTCCGGCTGCTAATGATTTTCTTAATAGCATCTGGGAACTTGTCTACTGCCTCTTGGTTGGCAGAAGCTTCTCCTTTTACCTTGATTTTTTCTTTTTCTTTCTGTTTTTTTTTTTTTGAGACTGAGTTTTACTCTGCCGCTGAGGCTGGAGTGCAGTGGCGTGATCTCGGCTCACTGCAGCCTCCACCTCCTGGGTTCAAGCGATTTCTCCTGCCTCAGCTTCCTGAAGAGCTGAGACTACAGGCACCCGCTACCACGCCTGGCTATTTTTTTGTGTTTTTAATAGAGACAGGTTTCACCATGTTGACCAGGCTGGTCTTGAACTACTGACTTCAAATGATCGCCTGCCTCGGCCTCCCAAAGTGCTGGGATTACAGGCGTGAGCCATTGAGCTGGCCTTTCTTTTTTTTTTTTTTCAGACGGAGTCTCGCTTTGTTGCCCAGGCTGGAGTGCAGTGGTGCGATCTCGGCTCTCTGTAAGCTCTGCCTCCCAGGCTCAAGCAACTCTCCCTGCCTTAGCCTTCCGAGTAGCTGGGATTACAGGTACCTACCACCATGCCCAGCTAATTTTTGCATTTTTAGTAGAGACAGTGTTTCGTCATGCTGGCCAGGCTGATCACAATCTCCTGACCTCAGGTGATCTACCCACCTCGGCCTCCCAAAGTGTTGGGATTACAGGCGTGAGCCACCACGCCTGGACATGTATGCTTTTTTAAGGCAATCCTGCATCCACATAAAAACTGCATTTTCGGCCAGGCATGGTGGCTCACACCTGTAATCCCAGCACGTTGGGAGGCCGAGGCAGGCAGATCACGAGTTCAGGAGATTGTGACCATCCTGGCCAACATGGTGAAACCCCGTCTCTACTAAAATGCAAAAAATTAGCCGGGTGCGGTGGTAGTCCCAGCTACTCGGGAGGCTGACGTCGGGGAATTGCTGGAACCCGGGAGGCAGAGGTTGCAGTGAGCCAAGATCGTGCCACCGCACTCCAGCCTGGCGACAGAGCAAGACTCTGTCTCAAAAACAAAACAAAACAAAACAAAAACAAAAAAACCCCTGCATTTTCAATATGAGATAAAAAGATACCTTGGAAAAAGTACTAAGTTTTCGCACTTGCTGGCACAGCTACGGTGATGGCTTTGCAAAATTCCTTTTCTTTTTTCAAGTCCTTATGCTAGATTCATTTATCTTTCTTCTTTTGAGACGGAGTCTCAGTCTCTCGCTCAGGCTGCAATGCAATGGCGTGATTCGGCGCACTGCAACCTCCACCTCCCAGGTTCAAGCAATTAACCTGCCTCAGCCTCCGGAGTAGCTAGGATTACAGGCGCCCGCCACCACTCCTAATTTTTTGTATTTTTAGTAGAGACAGGGTTTCACCATGTCGGCCAGGCTGGTCTCGAACTCCTGACCCCATGATCCGCCTGCCTCGGCCTCCCAAAGTGCTGGGATTATAGGTGCGAGCCACCGTGCCCGGCCCATTTATCTTGAAATGGTGGGCAACCACAGCTGCAGACCCCAATCTATGGTACATATCAAGCAGTTCAACTTTTTGTTTTCTTGTAATGCCATGACTTTTCTCTTGTTCTTGGAAGCCCTTCTAACATCACTAATGGCACTTCATATAGGTCTCATAGGGTCATTCAAGGTTTATGGAATCGTAGTAAAAACGATGAGAAATAAAGAACTTCAAGAGATCACTTTGTACTGTGATACGTAATTTACTGGAGAGATTCCAGTAAACTGCTCACTTGGAGATGATTAGTGTCATATGGCTTTGAAGTGGATTCTGGCAACACTTTCTTCATTGCAATAACAACAAGAGGTGGCTATGAAATTATTACAGTAGTACAGTATGTATTACAGTTTTTTTTTTTTTGAGACAGAGTTTCGCTCTTGTTGTCCACGCTGGAGTGAGATGGTGCGATCTCGGCTCACTGCAACCTCCGCCTCCTGGATTCAAGCGATTCTCCTGCCTCAGCCTCCCGAGTACCTGGGATTACGGGCATGCGCCACTACGCCGGGCTAATTTTGTATTTTTAGTAGAGACGGGGTTTCTCCATGTTGGTCAGGTTGGTCTCCAACTCCCAACCTCAGGTGATCCGCCTGCCTTGGCCTCCCAAAGTCCTGGAATTACAAGCATAAACTACCATGCTCGGCCTATTACAGTTAATTTTATGATTAATGCTGTATGTCTTTGTTTACATTTCTCATAACTGAGAATGGCGTCATGTATAGTTTGTGTTTGTAAATTTTGATAAATTTTAACTTTTTATTTGAGACAGAGTCTTGCTTTTTTGCCCAGGCTGGAGTGCAATGGCATGATGTTGGCTCACTGCAACCTTCGCTACCCAGGGTTCAAATGATTCTGCCTCAGCCTCACAAGTAGCTGGGAGTATAGACACCCACCACCTCACCTGGCTAGTTTTTGTGTTTTTTTTTTGAGACAGAGCCTTACTCTGTGGCCAGGCTGGAGTGCATTGGAGCAACATCAGCTCACTGCAATCTCCGCCTCCCAGGTTCAAGTTATTCTCCTGCCTCAGCCTCCTCAGTAGCTGTGATTAAAGGCATGCACAACCATGCCCGGCTAATTTTTGTATTTTTAGTAGAGACAGGGTCACCATGTTGGTCAGGCTGGTCTCGAACTCGAACTCCTGACCTCAAGTGATCCACCCACCTTGGTCTCCCAAAAGTGCTGGGATTACAGGCATGGGCCACCACGCCCGGCCTAGTTTTTTTTTTTTTTTTTTGAGACAGAGTCTTCCTCTGTCGCCCAGGCTGGAGTGCAGTGGCGCGATCTCGGATCACTGCAGCTTCTGCCTCCTGGGTTCAAGTGATTTTCCTGCCTCAGCCTCCAGGTAGCTGGGATTACAGGCACTCACCATCATGCAGGGCTATTTTTTTTTTTTTTGAGGTGGAGTCTCGCTCTGTTGCCCAGGCTGGAGTGCAATGGTGCGATCTTGGCTCACTGCAATCTCTGCCTCCTGGGTTCAAGCGATTCTCCTGCCTCAGACTCCTAAGTAGCTGGGATTACAGGCATGTGCCACCATGCTTAATTTTTTGTATTTTTAGTAGAGACCAGGTTTCACCATGTTGGTCAGGCTGGTCTTGAACTCCTGACCTCATGATCTGCCTGCCTTGGCCTCCCAAAGTGCTGGGATTACAGGCGTGAGCCACCACACCCGGCCAAGCAGGGCTAATTTTTTTATTTTTAGTAGAGAAGAGGTTTCACCACGTTGGCCAGGCTGGCTCGAACTCCTGACCTCAGGTGATCCACCCACCTCAGCCTCCCAAAGTACCAGGATTACAGGTGGGAGCCCCCATGCCTGGCCTAATTTTTTTTGTGGTGTTTTTTTTTTTTGAGACGGAGTCTCGCTCTGTCACCCAGGCTGCAGTGCAGTGGCGCGATCTCGGCTCACTGCAAGCTCTGCCTCCTGGGTTCACGCCATTCTCCTGCCTCAGCCTCCCAAGTAGCTGGGACTACAGGCGCCTGCCACCATGCCCGGCTAATTTTATTTATTTATTTATTTATTTTTTAAGACAGGGTCTCACTCTGTCACCCAGGCTGGAGTGCAATGGCACGATCTTGGCTCACTGCAACCTCTGCCTCCCAGGTTCAAGTGATTCTCCTGCCTCAGCCTCCCTAGTAGCTGGGATTACAGGAGTGTGCCATCATGCCCGGCTAATTTTTTTTTTTGTATTTTAGTAGAGATGGGGTTTCACCATGTTGCCCAGGCTGGTCTCGAACTCCTGAGCTCAAGCAATCCACCTGCCTTGGCCTCCCAAAGTGCTAGGATTACAGGCATGAGCCACCGCACCCAGCTTTTTGTATTTTTTAGTAGAGACGGGGTTTCACCGTGTTAGCCAGGATGGTCTCGATCTCCTGACCTCGTGATCCGACCGCCTCGGCCTCCCAAAGTGCTGGGATTACAGGCGTGAGACACCGCGCCTGGCCCATTAATTTTTATATTTTTAATAGAGATAGGGTTTCACCATGTTGGCCAGGATAGTCTCGAACTTCTGACCTCAGGTGATCTGCCCACATCAGACTCCCAGTGAAATTTTAACTTTTTATAATAGATTTGTGTATATCTTATGTCTTTCTGCAAACAATAAAATGGATTAACATCTACAAATATTTTATCCGTTCATGACATACTTTTTAATTTTTTTGACTATTTCTAGGCTACACCTACTATGTATCCACAAAAAATAAAAATTAAAAACTAAAAAATTTTTTTCTAGGCTACACAGTTCATCTGTGAGTTTAAGTATCGCAAATCTCAAATCTGTGTTGTTCAAGGGTCAACTGTATTTAATCAACTGGGAGTTGATTTTTTGTATAGAGGATAAGACAGAATCCAATTTCCTTCTGATCCCCAGGGATTTCAACTTACTGGGCACAATTTGTTGAACAGTTCTTTATATGCCTCTGTTACCCAGCAAGCTTCCATATATGTGTAGGTCTGTTTCTTTTATCTATTCAATTCCACACCACCTTAATACTCCATAGCTTGAAATTAAGTCTTGGGACAAATCCTTTATTTTATTCAGTAATTACCTTTCCAGGTATATACTCTGATATAATTTTTTTTTTTTTTTTTTTTGAGACAGAGTCTCGCTCTGTCACCCAGGCTGGAGTGAAGTGGTCTGATCTCAGCTCACTGCAACCTTCACCTCCAAGGTTCTAGCAATTCTGCTGCCTCAGCCTCATGAGTAGCTGGGATTACAGGCATGCAGCACCACACCTGGCTAATTTTAATTTTTCTTTTTTTTTTTGAGATGGAGTCCCGCTCTTGTTGCCCAGGCTGGAGTGCAGTGGCCAGATCCCGGCTCACTGCAACCTCCGCCTCCCGGGTCCAAGCGATTGTCCTGCCTCAGGCTCCTGAGTAGCTGGGACTATAGGCGCCCACCACCTGGCTAATTTTTGTACTTTTTAGTAGAGACAGGGTTTCGCCGTGTTGGCCAGGCTGGTCTCAAATTCCTGACCTCAGGTGATCCGCCCACCTCGGCCTCCCAAAATGCTGGGATTACAGGCAAGAGCGACTGCGCCCGGCTAATTTTTCTATTTTTAGTAGAGATGGGTGTTCACTATGTTGGCCAGGCTGGTCTTAAACTCCTGACCTCAGGTGATCCACCCACCTCGGCCTCCCAAATTGCTGGGATTACAGGCACAAGCCACTGCACCCGGCCCCTGATACAGTTTGGATGTGCGCCCTGCCCACATCTCACGCTGGAATGTAATCACCAATATTGGTGGTGAGACCTGGTGGGAGGTGACTGGACCATGGGGGTGGTTTTCTCTTAAGCAGTTTAGCACCATCCCCCGATGCTGTCGTTGCCATAGTGAGTGAGTTCTGTTGAGATCTGGTGCTTTAAAAAGTGTATGGCACTTCGTCCTTCTCCTTCTTGCTCCTGCTCTAGCCCTGTAACCAGTATACTCCCCATGACTGTAAGTTTCCTGAAGCCTCCCCAGAAGCCTAGGAGATGCCAGCATCATGCTTACTATACAGCCTGCAGGACCATGAACGAATTAAACCTCTTTTCTTTATAAATTACCCAGTCTCAGGTATTTATAGCAATGTGAGAACAAATTAGTATAATGCCTTAAGTCTGGGTGCAGTGGCTCACGCCTGTAATCCCAGCACTTTGGGAGGCCAAGGCAGGTGGATCACCTGAGGTCAGGAGTTCAAGACCAGCCTGACCAACATGGTGAAACCCCGTCTCTACTAAAAGTACAAAAAAATTAGCCGGGTGTGGTGGTGGGCGCCTCTAATCCCAGCTACTCGGGAGACTGAGGGCAGGAGAATTGCTTGAACCCAGGAGATGGAGGTTGCAGTAAGCCGAGATTGTGCCACTGCACTCTAGCTTAGGCGACAACAATGAAATTCCGTCTCAAAAAAAAAAATATATATATATATGTTGGGAACAGGCCCCCCAAAATCTGGCCATAAACTGGCCCCAAAACTGGCCATAAACAAAATCTCTTCAGCACTGTGACATGTTCATGATGGCCATGACACCCACGCTGGAAGGCTGTGGGTTTACCAGAATAAGGGCAAGAAACACCTGGCCCACCCAGGCTGGAAAACCGCTTAAAGGCGTTCTTAAACCACAAACAATAGCATGAGCGATCTGTGCCTTAAGGACATGCTCCTGCTGCAGGTAACTGGCCAAACCCATCCCTTTATTTCGGCCCATCCCTTTGTTTCCCATAAGAGATACTTTTAGTTAATCCCGTTTCCCATAAGGGATACTTTTAGTTAATCTAATATCTATAGAAACAATGCTAATGACTGGCTTGCTGTTAATAAATACGCGGGTAAATCTCTGTTCGGGGCTCTCAGCTCTGAAGGCTGTGAGACCCGATTTCCCACTTCACACCTCTATATTTCTGTGTGTGTGTCTTTAATTCCTCTAGCGCCACTGGGTTAGGGTCTCCCCGACCGAGCTGGTCTCGGCATATATATATATACAATGCTTTAGAGAAATTAGTGTCCATATCCACCAGTGGACATTAGAGGAATATTAAAAGCAGTTTTTTTGGGCAATAACCTCAAGTTGAAAATAATCCAAGAGTAAAATCGAAGAACTGTATTACACACAAACAATGAAACAACACATTAAAACTACAGCAACATGCATTAACATACATAATTTAACATGACTATGTTGAGCAAAAAAAGGTGAGACACAATAGTATATGTCCTCTGTAATTAATTTTGTTTGTTTGTTTTTGCTTTTTTGAGACAGGGTCTCACTCTGTCACCCTGGGTGGATTGCAGTGATGTGATCTTGGCTCACTGCAATCTCTACCTCCTGGGCTCAAGTGATTCTCCCACTTGGCTTCCTGAGTAGCTAGGACTACAGGCGTGTGCTACCACAACTGGCTAACTTTTTGTATTCTTAGTAGAGACGATGTTGCCTAGGCTACTCTCAAACTCCTGGGTTCAAGCGATCCACACGCCTCGGCTTCCAAAATTGCTGAAATTACAGGCATGATATGGCACCCAACCTGTATAATTAGATTTACATGAAATTCAGGAAGAATAAGCTGTATTGTTTAGAGCTGCACACATAAATAGTATTTTAAAAGGTAAATATGTGGTTACCTTAAAAGTCAGAAGATTGGTTATAGCTTCTGGCAAGAAAAGGGGTTTACAAACAGGGAAAGTATGGTCACCTCCTGAATATTTATATGGGTACGACCTCTACAGAAAATTTACTTAGCTTATGTTATGTATTCTCTTGTTTGTCTCTTATTTGTTTTTTAAGACAGGTTCTCGCTTTGTCACCCAGGATGGAATGTGGTGGCACGATTATGGCTCACTGTAGCCTCGACCTCCTGGACAAGCTCAAGCAATCCCTTAACACCTCAGCCTCCCTAGTAGCTGGGACTACAGGCACACATCAGCACGTCCAGCTGATTTTTAAGTTTTTTTTTTTTTGAGACAGAGTCTCACTCTGTCGCCCAGGCTGGAGCGCACTGATGCGATCTCAGCTCACTGCAACCTCCGCCTGCCAGGTTCAAGCAATTCTCCTGCCTCAGCCTCCCGAGTAGCTGGGATTACAGGCATGCGCCACCACACTTGGCTGATTTTTAAGTTTTTTGTAGAGATGGAGTTTCCCTATGTTGCCCAGGGTGGTCTTCAACCCCTGGGCTCCAGCAATACTCCTGCCTCTGCCTCCCAAAATGCTGGGACTACAGGTGTGAGCCACCTCATCTGGCCTGTTTATGTATTCTCTTTAGATGTATCCTCTTCTGTTTGCAGCCCATATTCTCTTTAATGAGATGGGAATAATATTTTTCTTGAAAGTGTGGTAGAAGTTAAAATTGGGTCTGATGCTGTTCTTGGGGCAAGACTTTAAATAATAGATTCAATTTAGGCAATAGGAGTGCTCAGGTAATTTCTTTTGAGTATGTTTTGTTAAAATTGTATTTTTCTAGGAACATGTCCATTTCAACAGTTTTCCCATTTGATGGGCTTAAAGTTCTCACAGTAGTAAATTTTTAATCTCTTATATACACTTTATTTCCTTTTAAATCCCTATTTATTCCCTTTCTCATTCCTATTGATCGGCTTTACCAGAAGTTTGTCTATTTTATTAGTTTTCAAAGAACTTTGGTCTTAAAAGTGACTCTTACTGTTATACATTTGCCTTATTTTATTAACTTAAGGTGTATGTTTTACATTCTTCCAATATCATTTTCAGGCTCATTCACTTGTTCTTTTAATTTCTTATTTTCATAAAATTGTTTTTAGAAATAGGGTTTTGCCATTGCCCAAGCTGGTCTCAAACTCCTGGGTTCAACCAATCCTCCAGCCTCAGCCTCCAGAGTAGCTGAGACTATTGGTGTGGCCAGCAAGCTCTTAACAATTTTTTTCGGTCAGGTGTGGTAGCTCACGCCTGTAATCCCAGCACTTTGGGAGGCCAAGGTGGGCAGACTTGAGGTCAGGAGTTCGAGACCACCCTGGCCTATATGGTGAAACCCTGTCTCTACTAAAAATGCAAAAATTAGCCGGGCATGGTGGCAGGACCTGTAATCCCAGCTACTCCAGAGGCTGAGGCAGGAAAATCGCTAGAACCCAAGAGGTGGAGGTTGCAGTGAGCCAAGCCATTGTACTCCAGCCTGGGCAACAGAGCAAGATGCCGTCTCAACAACAACAAAAATATATATATATATAATATTTACATATAATATACATTATAAGATACATATTTTTAGAGACAAAGTCTTGCTATAATATATATGTATTTTTAGAGGCAAGGTCACACTCTGTCACCAAGGCTGGAGTGCAGTGAAGGAACACAGCTCATTGCAGCCTCAACCTCCTGAGTGCAAGTGATCCTCCCACCTCAGCCTCCCAAGTAGCTAGAACCACAGACACGAGCCACCACGCTCATTTAATTTTTAAATGTTTTGTAGAGATGGACCAGGTGCGGTGCTCACACCTGTAATCTTAGCACTTTGGGAGGTCAAGTTGAGAGGATCGCTTGAGTGCAGGAGTTCAAAACCAGCCTGGGTAACATAGTGAGACCCCATCTCTACAAAAAACACAAAAATTAGCCAGGCCTGGTGGCCCCCGCCTGCAGTCCCAGCCACTGTGGGGGAGGGATGGGGGTGGAGACGCTTGAGCCCGGGAGGTGGAGGTTGCAGTGAACTGAGATTGTGCCACTGTAGTCCAGCCTGGGGGACGCAGCAAGACCCTGTCTAAAATAAACAAACAAACAAACAGTTCTTTGTAGAAACGGTAGCTACAACCAGCCACACTGCTCAGGCTGTCTTGAACTCCTGGCCTCAAGTGATCCTCCTGCCTCAGCCTGACAAACTGCTGGGATTACAGGTGTGAGCCACCACACCTGGCCTGATTTTATTTTTTACAGCAAAAATTTATAAGTGTTTTAAAAATATACCTTTTTCTTTTTAAAACCAGGATTTGAACCTAGGTTTTCCGAGTCTAGAAGCCCACCTCATAACCATTAAATTCTTCCTGTGCATTCTGGTTTTATATTAATCAACAAATAGTGACCAAAATCTTTAATATATCATACAAGGTTCTTGGCACAATCTGATCCCTACAACCTCTATCTGTATCCCATGCTACTCTACTCCATGTTTTGACCACAAAAGCTTTCTTTCGCTTGCCTGAAACTATCATGCTTTTTCAGACTTTTGTGTATGCTCTCTCCTCACTCCTTTAAATAACAGATGAAGCCTATTCTTCACATTTTTAGCATAGTCCTTACTTTTTCTGGGAAACTAAGTTAGTTATTTCTATTATATACAGTACTCTTATAACTCTAAGTAACTCTTCATAATAGCACTTGGATGGTTAAAATCCATGAAGGTAGGAAAAGTTTCTAGATTTATTCACCACTCTATCAATTCTAAGTACATGAAACATAATAATCTTCCAACAAATACTAATTGAAAAAATAAATGAATACATATTATATAACAAGTACTAGTGTAAGCTCCAATTAGAACAAGTTGAAAAACTGTTGCTATCTCTGGGAACTCAGTGTGTCATGTCCTTCCCTACACAATCTCTTGAGGGCAGAAATTTTATCTTTCTCTTTATAATCTCTTCAAATCTCAGAATACAATCTTGTGAAAAAGTATGTGTTTAATTTTGCTGACCATGATACTAGAATTTGCTGGAATAGAAAGGCTAACCTATTCAAAAGCCTTTTTTGTCGTTGTTGAGACGAAGTCTTACTCTGTCATCCAGGTTGGAGTGCAGTGGTACAATCTAGGCTCACTGCAACCTCTGCTTCCCTGGCTCAAGCGATCCCCCCACCTCAGCCTCCCAAGTAGCTGGGACCACAGGCGTGCAACACCACCACGCCCAGCTAATTTATTGTATTTTTTGGTAAAGACGGGGTTTCACCATGTTACCCAGGCTGATGAAAGCCTTTTCTTGAAGCACATTTTAAAGATGACCCTTCCTAACATAAATGGTCAAGATGTCTCAAACTACAGTAAAGGCAGAAATCATCCTCCTTGTCAGTGTTTTAAAGCTTCAATAATTAAACTGCTATGACAGAGATACCAAAATAGACTGATAGAAAGGAATATAAAAATATTTGACATTTCACCAGGCCCCCAGCTTGGGGCGCCTTCCTTCCCCATGGCGGGACACCTGGCTTCGGATGCCTGCCTTCTTGCCCCCTCCAGGCGGTGGAGGTGATGGGCCAGGGGGGCCGGAGCCGGGCTGGGTTGATCCTCGGACCTGGCTAAGCTTCCAAGGCCCTCCTGGAGGGCCAGGAATCGGGCCGGGAGTTGGGTCAGGCTCTGAGGTGTGGGGGATTCCCCCATGCCCCCCGCTGTATGAGTTCTGTGGGGGGATGGCGTACTGTGGGCCTCAGGTTGGAGTGCGGCTAGTGCCCCAAGGCGGCTTGGAGACCTCTCAGCCTGAGGGCGAAGCAGGAGTCAGGGTGGAGAGCAACTCCGATGGCACCTCCCTGGAGCCCTGCACCGTCCCCCCTGGTGCCGTGAAACTGGAGAAGGAGAAGCTGGAGCAAAACCCGCAGGAGTCCCAGAACATCAAAGCTCTGCAGAAAGAACTCGAACAATTTGCCAAGCTCCTGAAGCAGAAGAGGATCACCCTGGGATATACACAGGCCGATGTGGGGCTCACCCTGGGGGTTCTATTTGGGAAGGTGTTCAGCCAAACGACCATCTGCCGCTTTGAGGGTCTGCAGCTTAGCTTCAAGAACATGTGTAAGCTGCGGCCCTTGCTGCAGAAGTGGGTGGAGGAAGCTGACAACAATGAAAATCTTCAGGAGACATGCAAAGCAGAAACCCTCTTGCAGGCTCGAAAGAGAAAGCGAACCAGTATCGAGAACCGAGTGAGAGGCAACCTGGAGAATTTGTTCCTGCAGTGCCCGAAACCCACACTGCAGCAGATCAGCCACATCGCCCAGCAGCTTGGGCTCGAGAAGGATGTGGTCCGAGTGTGGTTCTGTAACCGGTGCCAGAAAGGCAAGCAATCAAGCAGCGACTATGCATAACGAGAGGATTTTGAGGCTGCTGGGTCTCCTTTCTCAGGGGTACCAGTATCCTTTCCTCTGGCCCCAGGGCCCCATTTTGGTACCCCAGGCTATGGGAGCCCTCACTTCACTGCACTGTACTCCTCGGTCCCTTTCCCTGAGGGGGAAGCCTTTCCCCCGTCTCCGTCACCACCCTGGGCTCTCCCATGCATTCAAACTGAGGTGCCTGCCCTTCTAGGAATGGGGGACAGGGGGAGGGGAGGAGCTAGGGAAAGAGAACCTGGAGTTTGTGCCAGGGCTTTTGGAATTAAGTTCTTCATTCACTAAGGAAGGAATTGGGAACACAAAGGGTGGGGGCAGGGGAGTTTGGGGCAACTGGTTGGAGGGAAGGTGAAGTTCAATGATGTTCTTGATTTTAATCCCACATCATGTATCACTTTTTTCTTAAGCCTGGGACACAGTAAAAAAAAAAAAAAAAAAAAAAAATTGAAAAGACCCTAAGATCTAACAGTATATAAGAATTTAGGATGGTGGGGCGCCGTAGCTCACACCTGTAATCCCAGCACTTCGGGAGGCCGAGGCGGGAGGATCATCAGGTCAGGAGTTTGAGACCAGCCTGACCAATATGGTAAAAACCCGTCTCTACTAAAAATACAAAAAAATTAGCCAGGCATGGTGGTGTGGTGGTGTGCGCCTGTAATCCCAGCTACTCAGGAGGAGAATCACTTGAACCTGGGAGGCAGAGGTTGCAGTGAGCCGAGATTGTGCCACTGTATACCAGCCTGGGCGACAGAGCGAGACTCCGTCTCAAAAAAAAAGAAAAAAAGAATTTAGTGCTGGGTGTGGTGAGTCATGCCTGTAATCACAGTACTTTGGGAGGCCAAGGCAGGCGGATCACTTGAGGTCAGGAGTTCAAGACCAGCCTGGCCAACATGGGGAAACCCCGTCTCTACTAAAAATACAAAAATTAGCTGGGCATGGTGGCGCATGCTTGTAATCCCAGCTACTTGGGTGGCTGAGGCATGAGAATCACTTGAACCCAGGAGACAGAGGTTGCAGTGAGCCAAGATTGCGCCACTGCATTCCAGCCTGGGTGACTCGGTCTCAAAAACAATAACAACAACAGCAACAACAAAAACTTAGTGTATGATAAATGTATCATTCCAAATAAGTTGGGAATGGCTAAACTAATCAATAGTACTGAAAGAAAATTAAACCTCTAACTCATAGCTAATATTCAGTATTACATAAGTGACATAAAGAGCTAAATATAAAAAAGCAAGATCTAGTCAATCACAACAGTGTAATTACATAAATTATGATATATTCCTACCACAGTATAAGGTAATTCTGTATGTTCTGATGACAAGCTCTCAGCATTAAAGAATACACAATGTACTGTTAATAGCGTTATCCATGGAGAGAAGAATGGGATAAGAGCAAGTGAGAGCATGTGAAAAGAGACTTTTACTTTTAAATCAGTAAACTACTAGTTTAATTAAATTATTTATTACCAGCGTGTATTGCTCCTGAAATTAAAAAATATATTCTCTAGAAAAAAGCAATTATTTTTATATAGGTGGATGGAAAAAAAAAAAAACCCTCTCTATACAGGATTCACCAGGAGAGATGATAGAGAATATGAGTAAGAGTGAACATGCCACATTAAGAAAAGCCATTTATAAATGATGAACATTAAATTGGTTCATTAAAAAATATTAAATATGGGCCAGGCGTGGTGGCTCACGCCTGTAATCCCAGCACTTTGGGAGGCTGAGACGGGTGGATCACCTGAGGTCAGGAGTTCGAGGCTAGCATGGCCAACATGGTGAAACCTCGTCTCTACTAAAAATACAAAAATTAGCCAGGCATGGTGGTGCGCACCTGTAATCACAGCTGCTCAAGAGGCTGAAGCAGGAGAATCACTTGAAACCACGAGGTGGAGGGTGCAGTGAGTGGAGATCGTGCCATTGCACTCCAGGCTGGGTGACAGAGTGAAACTCCATCTCAAAAAATAAATAAATAAAAATAAGAATGGTTTATTGCCTGTGGCTTTGTTATTACATCTAAGAAATCACGGCCAAATTCAATGCTGTGAAGCTTTTGCCCTATATTTTCTCCTAAGAGTTTACAGTTTTATTTTTATTTATTTATTTATTTATTTTGAGACAAAGTTTCGCTCTTGTTGCCCAGGCTGGAGTGTGATGGTGCAATCTCGGCTCACTGCAACCTCTCCACCTCCCGTGTTCAAGGGATTCTCCTGCCTCAGCCTCCTGAGTAGCCGGGATTACAGGCATGTGCCACCATGCCCAGCTAATTTTGTATTTTTAGTAGAGACGGGGTTTCTCCATGTTGATCAGGCCGGTCTCGAACTCCTGACCCTCAGGTGATCCAGCTGCCTCAGCCTCCCAAAGTGCTGGGATTACAGGCGTGAGCCACCATGCGTGGACTTTTTTTTTTTTTTTTTTTTTTTGAGAAGGAGTCTCGCTTTGTCACCCAGGCTGGAGTGCAGTGGCGCAATCTCGGCTCATCACAACCTCCGCCTCCTGGGTTCAAGCAATTCTCCTGCCTCAGCCTCCCAAGTAGCTGGGATTACAGGCACACACCACCACGCCTGGCTAATTTTTCTATTTTTAGTAGAGACGGGGTTTCACTATGTTGGTTAGGCTGGTCTTGAACTCCTGACCTCGTGATCCGCCCACCTTGGCCTCCCAAACTGCTAGAATTACAGGCGTGAGCCACCACGCCTGGCCAAGAGTTTCTGGTTTTAGATTTTACATTTACATCTTTGATCCATTTTGAGTTAGATTTTGTATATGGTTTAAAGTAAGACTACAACTTCATTCTTTTGCATGCAGATACCCAGTTTTCCCAGCATGATTTGTCAAAAAGACTGTCTTTTACCCTGCTGAATGGTTTTGGCACCTTTGTCAAAAATCATCTGACCATGCATGCAAGGTTTTATTTCTGGGCTCTCTATTCTACTTCGCTGGTCTATATGTCTCTCTTTATGCTACTACCATACGGTTTTGATTACCATAGCTTTATAGATAAAACAGACAATTGGACTTCATAGATATCAGAAAATTTTGTACGTCAAAAGACAGCATAAACAAAGTAAAAATGCAATCCACAGAATAGGAGAAAAGATTTGCTTATATGCCGGTTAAGAGAATAATATCCAGAATATATTGAGAACTGCTAAAACTCAACAACAAACCAAATAGCCCAATCAAAAAATTGAAAAAGCGATTGAGTAGACACTTCTCTAAAGATACATAAATGGCCAATAAGCGTATGAAAATATGTTTGTCACTAATCATTAGGGAACAGCAAATTAAAACTACAATGAGATACCCATCTCATACTCATTTGGATGGCTGCTATAAAAAAAAAATTGAAAATAGCAAGTGTTGGTGAGGATGTAAACTGAAATCCTTGTGCATTGTAACTGAAATCTTTGTGCATGCAAAATGGTACAGCCCTTCTGGAAAACAGTATGGCAGTTCCTCAAAAAATTAAAAATAGAAATGTCACATGATCCAGCAATTCCACTTCTGAGAATATGCCCAAGGTTAAAGCAGGGTCTGAAAGAGGTATTTGTATACCCGCTGTCATAGCGGCGTTACGGCATGGAAACACCCCAGGTATCCATCAATGGATGAATGGATAAGCAAAATGTGGTATGCACATAAAATGATCACAGAGCTCATACATCTCTATATTGGATAAAATACATAATCTTTCTGGGCCTTGATTTCCTTTGTCTGTAAAGTGAGTGGGTTCAGAGTGGATGGTTACTTGCCCTTTGCTTCTTTTGTGTTTGTTTTTGAGACAGGGTCTCGCTCTGTCGCCCAGGTTGGAGTGCAGCGGTGCAATCTTGGCTCACTGCAGCCTCCTGGATTCAAGCAATTCTCCCTCCTCAGCCTCCTGAGTAGCTGGGATTACAGGAATGCGCTGCCACATCTAGCTAATTTTTATATTTTTAGTAGAGAAAGGGTTTACCATGTTGGCCAGGCTGGTCTTGAACTCCTCACCTCAAGTGATCCATCCACCTCGGCCTCCCAAAGTGCTGGGATTACAGGTGTGAGCCACTGCACCTAGCCTCTCTGATTCTTAATTATAACTTGTAAAAGCAATACATAAGAACAGTTTTTGAAAAGAAATGGTCTCATATAGTAAAAAATGAAAGGTTATAAGATGAAATAATTCAGCTATAGAGTTACATTACAGTTTTTCAAAGCTAGTTTCCTCTACTCAGATAATATGTTAAATGAGGAATTACCTTTTATTATTCTCTTGCTCTTCTTCCTCTGGTAATGGCTTCTGCTTTTTTCTGGTCTGTTCTTCCAATAGCCAACCTTTTCTCTTCAACCCCTTTTTATGTTCTGGGTTCAGATTTACACTCTGAACAACAGCCTCAATTACATCTGTAACTGTGTCAGGACTGAGGTGCAGTGCTGCTCCTTCCTCGTCTCTGTTCAATTCTGGGTTGACAAACTGAGCAGCCTGGAATGCTTGCATTGATACGACAGCCTGAAGGGGACATTTCCGAGGTCGACCTGGCCTACGTTTCACAAAGTTATTCCCTGTCCTGGCCTGCCTTTGAAGTTTTTTGGCTTTTAAGATTTTATTGACATGGTCTAGGTTTTTCTTTGTGGCCAAGATTTTGTCGTAATTGCACATTTTCCGAGCTTGGCGTTGCATAGCTTCCACTACACTTCTCTTGATATGATGGGGGGAACAGCTGCTTGTCAACTTTTCAGATAGGAGTGAGATGCTATTATTGCAAGAGTCACTTGTGACTGCAGGCACTAAAAGGCTGTCTGGTTTTCCCAGGGTTCGGTCCTTGCTGTGGCTACGGCCTGGACTGGAAGAAGGTGGTGCAGAGGCAGTTGCAATCACAGCATCAATACTTTTCTCCATGGGCTCTTGGTCCTCATTTTGTACCATCCGCTGCAGCAGACTATCCACAGAGTCATCCCCAGAAGCAACTAATCTTGGACTTCGAGAGGGAACTCCGTTTACTGAAAGAGACAATAAATCACACATAGACAAAATTGGACACGGCTAGTTATTTAAATAAGTTTTTACACAGATAAAAGGGAGTACTACTCTATTTTCCATAGCAAGATTACACATCATAGGTAAATTGATGGTTTACTTTCCTGAAAAAGGTTATTACAACAAGATAAAACCAAAGTTGGCCTATATTTCTCTAATAATATGTAAATTTAAAAAGAACAACTCTCACTTTGAGGTAAGGATTAGAAAGAAAAAAATTTAATTCTTCAAAAATGAAGGTCAAAAATAAAAAATAAATAAAAAATAAATTAAGGTCCAGTTAAGCTAAGGGACTTAAATGTTGGATAAAGAGTGGGCACAGTGGCTCATGTCTGTAATCCCAGTATTCTGGGAGGCCAAGGCAGGAGGAATGCCTGAGCTAAGGAATTCGAGATCAACCTAAGGAACATAGCAAGAAGATGTCTCTACAAACAATATAAAAAAATTAGCCAGGCATGCTGGCTGAAACCTATGGTCACAGCTATTTATGAGGCTAAGTTGGGAAGACTGCTTGAGCCTGGGAGGTCGAGGCTGCAGTGAGTCACTGCACTCTAATCAGGACGACAGAGCGAGACCCTGTCTCAAAAAATACTAATAATTTAAAAATCAGTTCAAAATAAGTCACTTCCCATGCTGCCTAGTTTACTACTATTATTCATGGGTCATACTTCTCCAAAGTTAATTAATGGATTTCTTATCTATATGACTTTTAAATGTGATAACTATACTAGATATTCCTTTATTAGCCTCAGGCATTCTAGATTCCAATATCATCAGACTGTGGAATTTTTCTCAAATTACCAATAACTTTCTTCAAATAATATCCAATAGCCTTGTCTAAATTTTTAAGACTTTTTTTTTTATTTTATCATCAACTCTGGCCTATAGACCCTTGTCTCAATTTGATATTTAAACATTTTCAGGCCAGGAACGGTGGCTCACACTGGTACTCTCAGCATTTTGGGAGGCCGAGGTGGAAGGATCACTTGATGCCAGGAGTTCGAGACTAGCCTGGGCAACGTACTGAGACCCTGTCTCAACAAAAAATAAAAATTAGCCCAGTGTGGTTTCCTGTACCCGTAGTCCTATCTACTCAGGAGGCTGAGGCGGGTGGATTGTTTGAGCCATGGAGTTTGAGGCTGCAGTGAGCTATGATCACGCCACTGCATTCCAGCCTGGATGACAGAGCAAGACCCTGTCTCTAGAAAAATAATAAAATTTAAAAAAAGGAAAAAATTTCAAACTCTCAGCTATATTTGATTTCATAATTCTTTAAAATCCTGCCTACACTATTTCTATAATATCCTTTGATTAACTTTCAATTACTTGCAACTCCATTAAATTTAACTGCGGAGGTCCTCAATACAGAGTACTTGTTATTTACCTTTTATACTTACTTTCCCACTGGGAACATGTTTATTCTCATAGTCTCAATTATCATCAGTATGTAAGTGACTTCTAAATATTCATACCAATCTTCAGTTTTATCTGAAAATTACCAAAACGAAAAATGACCCCTTCCTTTTCTCCAACCTTTAAATGCTATAGTTTTTAAAAACTTTCTAGCCTGAGCTTTTTTCCTGTCTGACTCTCTATTCTCTCTTTAGCAATTCTTTTAACTATCATCTATATTCTGATGACTACTGAATTTCTATTTTCTGAATAGACCTTTCTTCTAATTGTCTACTTTTGCATGTTTCACAGATTTCTCAAACTCATATTCACATCTCATTTCATTTTCGCTCCCTTCAAACTAGCTCCTCCATCCAGATTCCCTACATCAGTGAATGATACCATAAAGCTAACATTATGTATACTGACCATCCATCGTGTGGCAGGACGTTGGTTATCTAAGCTCAGGCCACATCATTTATTCTGGCTCCTTCACCCTCCCCACAAATCATAAAATTCTGTCTTCTGTTAGTTTAAACTCTTGAACCTGTCCACTTTCCTTTCTTCTACTACAGCCATCAAGACTAAGATAATGTTATCTCCCTGCCCTGAAGCAATAGTGTAATTCCTTGTGGGGCTATTAAAATACGTACATTAATCTCTTGAAGTTTCCCTATCAAGTTGTAGTCTAGTCCCTCTCTGCTGCCACTGAAGACTTGCCTTAGCAAAGAAATTCAATAGAAGAATGTGATGATTTCCAATGTTAGGTTAGAAAAGGTCTGTCTCTCTCTCTATCTCCACCCCCCACTCCCACCCCGGCCCCGCCACAAGCCCTTGGATTCAAGCTTCCAAGCTGCAAGGAAGCCCAAGCAATGAGTTGGCATACTGGCCAACAGATCCTGCTGAGGTCACAGCCAACAACCAGTATCAACCACCAGATATTTGAATAAAGAATCCTTTTTTTTTTTTTTTTTTTTTTTTTTGAGACGGAGTCTTGCTCTGTCACCCAGGCTGGAGTGCAGTGGCATGAACTTGGCTCACTGCAAGCTCCACCTCCTGGGTTCACAGCATTCTCCTGCCTCAGCCTCCTGAGCAGCTGGGACTACAGACGCCCAGCATCACACCTGGCTAATTTATTTTTGTATTTTTTAGTAGAGACGGGGTTTCACCATGTTAGCCAGGATGGTCTTGATCTCCTGACCTCATGATCTGCCCGCCTCGGCCTCCCAAAGTGCTGGAATTACAGGTGTGAGCCACTGCGCCTGGCCTTTTTTTTTTTTTTTTTGGAGACAGGGTCTCACTATGTTAACCAGGTTGGAGTGCAGTGGCACAATCTCAGCTCACCGCAACCGCCACCTCCCAGGCTCAAGCGACCCTCCCACCTCAGCCTCCTGAGTAGCTGGGACTACAGGCATGCACCAACATGCCCAGCTACTTTTTTGTATTTTTTGTAGAGATGGAGTTTTGCCATGTTGCCTAGGCTGGTCTCAAACTCCTGAGCTCAAATGATCTGACCACCTCAGCTTCCCAAAGTGTTGGGATTATAGGTATGAGCCGCCTGCCTGACCAAACAAGGAATATTTTGAGATGACTTTACCTCACCACCATGTAGTTACAACCAAAGGAAGGGAATCCTGAGAAACTGTGAGATGATAACTGATTATTACTGTTTCATGACAGTAAGTTCAAGGTGCTTTGTTATGCAGCAATGGACAACTGAAACATTGTTCTTCCTGCTTCTACTTTCACCATCCTCCAACTCATTCTTTAGACAGCAGCCTGAGTGATCTTTAAAAAAAAAACACAAAGGCCCGGCAAGGTGGCTTACGCCTGTAATCCCAGCACTTTGGGAGGCTGAGGTGGGCGGATCAGGTCAGGAGTTTGAAACCAGCCTGGCCAACATGGTGAAGCCCCGTCTCTACTAAAAATACAAAAATTAGCCGGGTGTGGTCGCAGGCGCCTTTAATCCCAGCTACTTGTGAGGCTGAGGCAGGAGAATTGCTTGAACCTGGGAGGCAGAGGTTGCAGTGAGCCGAGATCACGCCACTGCCCTCCAGCCTGGGCGACAAGAGCAAGACTCCATCTCAAAAAAAAAAAAAAAAAAAATCAAAAAAAAAAAACCTCACAAATTTTATCAGGTTTCAGCTTCTGCTTACAACTCTTAAAAAGGCTCTTACCACATAAAACAACTTCAAAATTATTATTACCTTTTCTTCTAGCATCAATCTCATATTATCTTAGACCCTAATTCTAGTAATAATAAACTTCAGTTCCTTAAACTCATCATGTTTTTTCTTGATTCAAGGCCTTTGAGTCTGCCTTTCTCTCTACCTGGAACAATCTTTCTCCACAAATTCATCTGCTTAATGACTATTCATTCTTTAGTTTACAGTGAGGACATAATTTCCTGAAAGGTTATTTACCTGACCAGGAAGCACCCTCTTCATTCTTAATTTAGGTCCCCTATTAAGAATTATCCTAATACTTTCTCCTTTCCTAACACTAATCACACTTCAAATTAGTGGTTTAATGTATGTAATTCTCAAACAATGTTTGGTCCATTAACGCGGTGACTATATTCACCAAAATCACTTTTTATCTCCAATGACCAGGACATAATTCATTAACACGTAGTTGAAGAATGAATCCTGGGATCAAAATCTTGGAATTATTTTTATCTCCTCTATCCCTTCATCAACTACTCAGAGCTACCAATGCATTTAATCCATGAATATCAGTTTAAAAGAGAATCCTAAAATGGGTACACACTTTTGAAGCCTCCTTCCTGGGCCATTCACCTAGAGCTATTAATACCTCACACTTCATTTTTGAATTGTTCCTATCTTCACAAATTCTGGCCTGCCAATTTATGTTTCTTGGTAGTCTAGGACATGATGCTGCACACTATATTTTAGATGTAACTTATTTTCAAAATTAACTTCACTGTGGTAAAGTACCACATAAAATTCAATGCATGTTTTTTATATATACATTTTTGAGTTTTGAAAAATTTACCATGTAGCCATCATCATAACCAATATATAGAACATTTCTGTCACCCTAAAAAGTTACTGTGTGTCCTTTCCAAGAAAATAAATTGCCTGTCATCCACAGCCTCAGAGAAGAAACAACTGATCTGCTTCCTGTTATATATTAAGTTTGCTTTTCTAGAAGTTCATATACATGAAAAGAAAGAATATGTATTTTATTGTACGGCTTCATTCACACAGCATAAATCTGAGAATCATTCACATTGCCACATTTCTTTTTACTGTTCCTTTTTACTATTCACATATTTCTTTTTACAACTGAATTATATGAATATACCACAATTTCTTTACATATTCACCTGGAAATCTGCGTTGTTTCCAGTTTTTAGTCATAAAGAAAAAATATCCTATGAACATGTGTGCACATGACATTTTGTTTAAACATATTTTCATTTCTCTTGGGTGAATACCTAAGACTGGAATTACTAAATCTTTTTTTTTTTTTTTTTTTTTTGCGACGGAGTCTCGCTCTGTCACTCAGGCTGGAGGGCAGTGGCGTGATCTTGGCTCACTGCAACCTCTGCCTCCCGGGTTCAAGTGATTCTCCTGCCTCAGCCTCCCGAGTAGCTGGGACTACAGGCACCTGCCACCATGCCTGGCTAATTTTTGTTTTTAGTAGAGATAGAATTTCACCATGTTGGCCAGGCTGGTCTCGAATTCCTGACCTCAAATGATCCACCTGCCTTGGCCTCCCAAAGTCCTGGGATTACAGGTGTGAGCCACTGCAACCTGCCTAGAATTACTAAATCAACTAATTGTATGTTTAAGAAATTTTTACAAAGTGATTGTTCTATTTTATAGTCCCATCATCAATGACTGAGTTAAAGATCCTATACATCCTCACCAAGACTTGGTATTATGCAGTCTTTTACATTTTAATCATTCTAATGGGTGTGTTCTCATTTATAAATTTAATTTGCATTTCCCTGATGTTGAGCATATTTTCATGAGCTTATTGGCAATTCATATGCATTCTTTTGAGAAAATTCTATTCAGATCTTTTGCCGATTATTTTTATTGGGTTCTTTTATTTTTTGGCTTACATTTTCATTTTCTTAAATAATGTTTTCTGTTTGTTTGTTTTCTGAGATGAAGTCTCGCTTTATCACCCAGGCCGGAGTACAGTGGTGCAATCTTGGCTCACTGCAACCTCCACCTCCCGGGGTTCACGGGATTCCTGTGCCTCAGCCTCCTGAGGAGCTGAGATTACAGGTGCCTGCCACTACGCCCGGCTAATTTTTTTGTATTTTTAGTAGAGACGGGGTTTCACCGTTTTAGCCGGGATGGTCTCGATCTCTTGACCTCGTGATCCGCCCGCCTCGGCCTCCCAAAGTGCTGGGATTACAGGCGTGAGCCACCGCGCCCGGCCAAGTCAAATTTTTTTAAATGGTCCTTGCTTTTTATACTATTTAAGAAATCTTTGACCATCCCCCAAGGTCTTAAAGATTTTTTCCTATTCTTCTAAAAGTTTTATTATTTCCGAAATTTCATAGGGGTATATGATCTTTTTTGATTTAAATTTTTCATGTGGTATGAAACAGGGTCAGTGATCTTTTTATTCCATAAGGATATCCAGTAGTTACAGCACCATTTGTTGAAAAGACTATCCTTGTCCCATTGAAATAGTCACATTTGTCAAAAATCAATTGAAAGTTAGCGGAGTTTCACTCTTGTTGCCCAGGCTGGAGTGCAATAGCGTGATCACTGCTCACTGCAACCTCCACCTCCCAGGTTCAAGCAATTCTCCTGCCTCAGCCTCCCGAGTAGCTGGGATTACATGCACCCACCACCATGCCCAGCTAATGTTTTGTATTTTTAGTAGAGATGGGGTTTTGCCATGTTGGCCAGGCTGGTCTCGAACTCCTGACCTCAGGTGATCTGCCCACCTCAGCATTCCAAAGTGCTGAGATTACAGGGGTGAGCCACTACACCTGGTCTAAATTTCATTTTTAATAATTAAAAAAAAATAAGCCACGAAGTGTCTGTCGCCCAGGCTGGTCTTTAACTTCTGGGCTCAAGTGATCTTCCTGCAGTGGCCTCCGAAAGTGCTGCGATTATGTGTGAGCCACCACGGCTGGCCTCTATGTAAATTTTAGAATCAGTCTGCCAGTTTATATTAAAATCCTGTTGCAACTGTATTGAGTCCACTGACTCTACAGAGTGATCTGGAGAAAGGTGACATCTCAACAATAATGAGTCTTTCAAAAATGCCTCTGACATATCTCTCCCACTTATTCTTCAATTTTTCTCAAAAAGACTTTGTATTTTTTTAATTTTTTGTGATTTAATTTTAATTTTAGTGAGTACATAGATTGTGTGTGTGTGTGTTTGTGTGTGTGTACATTTTTTATTTTTTATTTTTTCCCTAAGGGACAAGGTCTCACTGTTACCCACACTGGTCTGAATCTCCTGGCCCCAAATGATCTTCCTGCCTCATTCCCCCATGTTGCTAGGACTACAGGCATGAACCACTGGGCCTACACTGTACTTTTTTTTTTTTTTTTTTTGGTATTTTTAGTAGAGACGGGGTTTCACCATGTTGGCCAGGCTGGTCTCGAACTCCTGACCTCAAATGATCCATCTGCCTCGGCCTCCCAAACTGCTGGGATTACAGGCGTGAGCCACCGCACCCGGCCACTGTACTTTTTATTATACAGATCCCGTACATGTTTTTCTAAATTTATCGTTAAGACTTTAATGGCTTTTAATACAACTGTAAATAGTATTATTTATATTTCAATTAATTAATTAAATTTTTTTTTTTTTTTTTTGAGACAAGGTCTTGCTCTCATCCAAGCTGGAGTGCAGTGGCATGATCTTGGTTCACTGCAACCTCCACCTCCCGGGTTCAAGCAATTCTCATGTCTCAGCCTCCCGAGTAGCTGAGACTACAGGTGTGCGGCACCACGCCCGGCTAATTTTTGTAATTTTTGCAGAGATGGGGTTTCACCATGTTGCCTAGACTGGTCTGGAACTTCTGGGCTCAAGCGATCCACACACTTCTGTCTCCCAAAGTGCTGGTATTACAGGTGTGAGCCACCATGCCTGGCTACATTTCAGTTTCTTTTTTTTTTTTTTCTTTTTTTTTTTTTGAGACGGAGTCTCGCTCTGTCGCCTAGGCTGGACTGCAGTGGCGCGATCTCGGCTCACTGCAAGCTCCGCCTCCTGGGTTCACACCATTCTCCTGCCTCAGCCTCCCCAGCAGCTGGGACTTCAGGCGCCCGCCACCGCGCCCGGCTAATTTTTTTTGTATTTTTAGTAGAGACGGGGTTTCATCGTGATCCTGACCTCGTGATCCGCCCGCTTCGGCCTCTCAAAGTGCTGGGATTACAGGCGTGAGCCACCGCGCCCGGCGCTACATTTCAGTTTCTAATTGTTCACTGTATGTAGAAATACAATTATTTCTATATGTTGAGCTTAAACACACAGAAATTGTACTGTTAAACTCATTTATTAAGTTCCAGCAACTTTTTAACAAATTCCTTGGGAATTTTCTGCAAATTGTATTATTTCTGAATAAGACATTAAGACTTCCCTATAATGCTGAATAGAAGTAGTGGACATCTATACCTTTTCCCCAATCTTAGGGAGGAAGCTTTCAGTCTTTCAACATTAAGTGTTAGGTTAGCTGTAGGTTTTTCTGCAAACACCCTGTAATGGGTTGAGCAAATACTATTCTAGTCTTATTTTCTAAGAGCTTTTTTTTAAAAACCATGAATGGATGTCAAATTTTGTCAAATATGTTCCCTTAATCTACTTAGACAATTAGGTGATTTTTCTCATGTATTGTTTTTCTTAAAAAATATTAATTTATTAATTGATTTGAGACTGGGTTATGAGACTGGCTAATTTTTATATTTTTGGTAGAGACGGGGTTTCATGTGTTGCTCAAGGCTGGTCTCGAACTCCTGAGCTCAGGCAATCCGCATGCCTCAGGCTCCCAAAGTGACAGGATTACAGGAGTGAACCACCACACTCAGCCTTGTTACTGCCTGTCTTTTGGGTATAAACCATTTTACCTGGGGTGAGATGATATCTCATTGTAGTTTTGATTTGCATTCCTCTGATAATCAATGATGTTGAATACCTATGCCTGTTGCCATTTGTAGCATCTTCTTTTGAGAAATATCTCTTCAGTCTTTTGTCCATTTTTTAAACAGATTATTAGACTTTTACCTATAGAGTGGTTTGAATTTACATATTCTGGTTATGAACACTTTGTCAGATGTGTAGTTTGCAAATATTTTCTCCCATTCTGTGGGTTGTCTCTTCACTTTATTGATTGTATACTTTGCTGTGCAGAAGCTTTTTTACTTGATTTGATCACATTTATCCATATTTGTTTGGCTGCCTGTGCCTGTGGGGTATTGCTCATAAATTTTTGTTCAGATCAATATCCGGGAGAGTTTTCCCAATGTTCTCTTATAGTAGTTTCATACTTTTGAGATCTTAGATTTAAGCCTTTCATCCATTTTGATTTCAGTTTTTGTATGTGCTGAGAGACAGGGGTCAAGTTTTTCTTTTGCATATGAATATCCAGTATTCCCAGCACTATTTATTGAAGAGACTTTATGCTCTTGGGACCTTTGTCAAAAATAAGTTCACTGTAGGTGTGTGGATTTGTTTCTGGGTTCTCTCTCCTGTTCCACTGGTCTATGTGTCTATTTTTATGCTAGTACCATGCTGTTTTGGTTATCATAGCTCTGTAGCATAACTGAAGTCAGGTAAAGTTATTTCTCCCTTTCAGCTTAGAAATAGCTTTGGCTATTCTGGGTTAATTTTTATTTTTCTTTTCGTTTTGTTGTTGTTGTTGTTGTTGTTGTATTGAGATGGGTCTTGCCAAGGTGCTCAGACTAGCCTCAACCTCCTTGGCTTAAGTAGTCTTTTCCCTGCCTCAGTCACGCAGGTAGCTAAGACTTCAGGCACAGGGGTGCCACACCACCCAACTTTCACTTTCTTCTTTTTTGAGACGGAGACTTGCTCCGTCACCCAGGCTGGAGTGCAATGGTGCGATCTCAGCTCACTGCAACCTCTGCCTCCCAGTTCAAGCAATTCTCCTGCCTCAGACTCCTAAGTAGCTGGGATTACAGGTGCGCGTGACCACGCCCAGCTAATTTTTGTATTTTTTTAGTAGAGACTGGGTTTCACCATGTTGGTCAGGCTGGTCTCAAACTCCTGACCTGGTCATCTGCCCGCCTCGGCCTCCCAAAGTGCTGGGATTACAGGCGTGAGCAACTGCGCCCAGCCCACTATCTTCTTTCTAATGCAGGTTTTACTTGCTCTTCTTTTTTCAGCTTCCTAAAGGTGAGAACTGACTTAGATAGATCTTTGGTGTTTAATAATCTCAGCTATAAATATTCTTAGATTATCCCACAAATTTCTATGTGTGTGTGTGTTTTTTTTTTTAAACGGAGTCTCGCTTTGTTGCCAGGCTGGAGTGCAGTAGCACGATCTCGTCTCACTGCAACCTCCACCTCCCGAGGTCAAGTGATTCTCCTGCCTCAGCCTCCCAAGCAGCCGGGACTACAGGCATGTGCCACCACGCCCAGCTAATTTTTTTGTATTTTTAGCAGAGATAGGGTTTCACCATGTTGGCCAGGATGGTCTCGATCTCTTGACCTCATGATCCACTCGCCTTGGCCTCCCAAAGTGCTGGGATTACAGGCGTGAGCCACCACGCCCGGCCCTATGTGTCTTTCATTTTTATTCATTTCAAAGTATTTTCTGATTTCATTTTTGGGGATTCATCTTTTACTTATGAATTATTTAGAAGTGTGTTATTTAATTTCCACATATTTAGAGAATTTCATAACTTGTGTTACTGAATTCTAATTTAATTCTGTTGTGGTCTGAAAATATATTCTGCATGAGTTTAATCTTTTAAAACGTATCAAGACATTTGATTACCCAGAATAGGATGGTATCTTGGTATAATTCCACACGCACTTCAAAAGAATATGAGAAAAATGTGGTTGTTTTTTTTTTTTTTTGAGACAGAGTCTCGCTCTATCACCCAGGCTGCAGTGCAGTGGCACGATCTCGGCTCACTGCCAGCTCTGCCTCCCAGGTTCACGCCATTCTCCTACCTCAGCCTCCTGAGTAGCTGGGACTACAGGCGCCCGCCACCATGCCTGGCTACTTTTTTGTATTTTTGGTAGAGATGGGGTTTCACCATGTTAGCCAGGATGATCTCGATCTCCTGACCTCATGATCTGCCCGTCTCAGCTTCCCAAAGTGCTGGGATTACAGGCGTGAGCCACTGCGCCCAGCCGAGAAAAATGTGTTTTATATTTTCCCATTGGTTGACAATTTCTGGCACTCTTTACTCCTTTGGTAGATCCATGTTTCTACCTACTATGTTTTCTTTCTATCTGAAGAACGTCCTTTAGTGTTTCTGCTACTGTAGGTCTACTGGCAACAAATTCTTTAAACTTTTCTTTTTCTGATAATGTTTATCTTGCCTCCATTTTTGAAAGATATTTTTGCTGGTTAAAAAATTTTAAGTTGACAGATGTTATTTTTCCTTTCCACATTTAAAGACATCATTCCATTGTGTTTTGGCTTGTAAAATTTCTGACAATATGTCTGCTGATAGTTGTTACTGTGTTCCTCTGTATGTGTTTGTATGTATGTGTTTTTAATTTTCTTTCTGCTGGTTAATTTTAAGATTTTCTCTTTACAATCGTTTTCCAGAAATTTGGTAATAATGTCCTTTAATATGTCTATGTATGCTGTCAGTGTGTTTATCCTACGTGGGATTCGTAGAGTTTCATCGATCTGTGGGATATAGTTTTAATGAAAGTGTGAAAGAAATATTAAACATTATTTCTTCAACTGCTATTCCCAATTTGTTCTTTATGAGACTCTATCCCATGTATATTAGCCCTCTTGATATTGTACCACAGGTCACTAAAGTTTCATTCATTTTTTTGGTCAATCTTTTATTCCACTCTGTACTTCATTTTGGATAACTATTAAGTGTTTGGATTTTGTTGTCTTCCTTTAAAAAATGTTGAAGTTGAAAAAACTGGAACATTTGTACACTGTTGATGGGAATGTAAAATGGCACACCATTGTGGAAAACAGTAGGACAATCCATCAAAAAATTAAAAATGGAATTACCATATAATCGAGGAATTCCACTTCTGGGTATATACCAGAAAGAACTGAAAGCAGGGTCTGGAAGAGGTATCTGTTCACCATTGCTCATAGCAGTATTATTCACAAATGGCCAAGGTTGGTAGCAACCCAAGTAACCATTTATAAACAAATAACAATAAACAAAATGTGGTAAAACATACAAAGGAATATTATTCAGCCTTAAAAGGGAAGGCAATTCTGACACATGCTAAAAAATGGATAAACCCTGTCTGGGTGCAGTGGCTCACACCTGTAATCCCAGCACTTTGGGAGGCTAAGGCGGTCGAATCACCTGAGGTCAGGAGTCTGAGACCAGCCTGACCAGCATGAAGAAACCCTATCTCTACTAAAAATACAAAATTAGCTTGGCATGGTGGCACATGCCTGTAATCCCAGCTACTCGGGAGGCTAAGGCGGGAGAATCACATGAACCCAGGAGGTAGAGGTTGCAGTGAGCTGAGATCTCTCCATTGCACTGCAGCCTGGGCACCAAGAGCAAAACTCCACCTCAAAAAAAAAAAAAAAAAGAAATAAAAATAAATAAAAAATAAACCCTGAGGAACTTATGCTCTAAGTTAAGTAAGCCAGTCACAAAAAAACAAACACCGTATGGTTCCACTTTAGTGGGTGATTGCCAGGGACTGAAGGGACAGGGGAATATGAAGTTCTTATTTAATGGATACAGAGTTTCAGTTTTGCAAGATGAAAAAAGTTACGGAGATTGGTTGCACAATAATGTAAATGTACTTAACACTAGTGAATTAACTGTACACTTAGAAATGGGGAGTCTAGGCAGGCGCGGTGGCTCACGCCCGTAATCACAGCACTTTGGGAGGCCAAGGCCAGCGGATCACCTGAGGTCAGGAGTTCAAGACCAGCCTGGCCAGCATGGCAAAACCCCATCTCTACTAAAAATACAAAAATTGGCTGGCGTGGTGGTGGACACCTGTAATCCCAGTTACTTGGAGGCTGAGGCAGGAGAATCGCTTGTACTTGGAATCCAGCCTGGGCGACAGGAGCGAGACTCTGAAAAAAAAAAAGAAAAGAAAAGAAATGGGGAGTCTAGCTCCATCTCCTAGGCTGGAGTGCACTGGTGTGATCTCAGCTCACGGCAGCCTCCGCCTCCAAGTTCATACGATTCTCTTGCCTCAGCCTCCTGAGTAGCTGGGACTACAGGCATGTGTCACCATGGCCGGCTAATTTTTATATTTTTAGTAGAGATGGGGTCTCACCATGTTGGCCAGACTAGTCTTGAACTCCTGACCTCAGGTGATCCGCCTGCCTCAGCCTCCCAAAGTGCTGGGATTACAGACGTGAGCCATTGCACACGGCTTTAGAAATGGTTAAGATGGTAATTTTTTTTTTTTTTTTGAGACAGTCTCACTCTGTCACCCAGGCTAGAATGCAGTGGCATGATCTTGGCTCACTGCAACCTCCACCTCCTGGGTTCAAGCGATTCTCGTGCCTCAGCCTCCCGAGTAGCTGGGATTACAGGCGCCCGCCATCATACCTGGCTAGTTTTTGTATTTTTAGTAGAGACGGGGTTTTGCCATGTTGGCCAGGCTGGTCTCCAACTCCGGACCTCAGGTGATCTGCCCACCTCGGCCGCCCAAAGTGCTGGGATTACAGGCGTGACCGACTGCGTCCTGCCGGTAAATTTTATATTGTCTGTATTTTGCCACAATTAAAAAAAATTTTTGTTTTTTCACAATTAAAATGTTTTTAAATGTTGAACTTTGTTTTAAAAATCAGTTATTTGTAGAACAGTTTGACAGTTTGATTCCTTGAATCCTGTTTTAAATCATTACTAGGGTCTAGTGTAATCTTCATTCCAGAGATACTTTAGCCCTGCTAAGGTGTAACCTTTTTTTTTTTTTTTTCCTTTTTGAGACAGGGTCTTGCTCTGTTGCCCAGGCTGGAGTGCAGTGGTGTAATCTTGGGTTTACAACCTCTGCCTCCTGGGTTCAAGCAATTCTCCTGCCTCAGCCTCCCAAGTAGCTGGGACTACAGGTGTGCGTGACCATGTCTGGCTAATTTATATGTGTTTTTAGTAGAAATGGGGTTTTGCCATGTTGGCCAGGCTGCCCTCGAACTCCTGGCCTCAAGTGATCTACCCGCCTTGGTCTCCCAATGTGCTGGGATAACAGGTGTGAGCCACCACGTCTGACCAAGATGTAATCTTTATGGGGGCCTTCATAATTGTCCCCAAGGACTCTACAGTTGGTAGTCAGAGTTCAAATGTCTCATGCCACATGTAAACCTTAGGAATTTTTCATATACAACTCCCTAGTTTTTCTTAGGCCATTTTTTTGGAGTTTCACTCTATGCAAGGAGGGCCTAGTAGCCAGCAAAGATTTAAGACTACTCATCACATGTGGCTAAACAGGCCAGGCACAGTGGCTCAGGCCTGAAATCCCAGCACTTTGGGGGGCCGAGGCAGGCAGATCATCTGTGGTTAGGAGTTCAAGATCAGCCTGGCTAACATGGCAAAACCCTGTCCCTACTAAAAATACAAAACTTAGCCAGGCGTGGTAGCACACACCTATAGTCCCAGCTACTGTGGAGGTTGAGTCAGGAGAATCACTTGAACCCGGGAGGCAAAGGCTGCAGTGAGCCATGATCATGCAACTGCACTCCAGTCTGGGTGACAGAGCAAGACTCCATCCCATAAAAAAGAAAAAAATGTGGCTAAACGCCTTTGCAATCTTTTTTTATGCTTTACCACTATACTCCGTCTCCCTTGTATATGACCTAATTCTCATTCCATACCGTCATAATAATGGCAGGAGGGCCAACGGTAGCAACAGTAACAACAGAAGTTACCATTTATGGCTGGGTGCAGTGGCTCACGCCTCTAATCTCAGCACTTTGGGAAGCCAAGGCAGGTGGATCACCTGAGGTCAGGAGTTCAAAACCAGCCTGGCCAACATAGTGAAACCCCATCTCTACTAAAAATATAAAAATTAGCTGGTGTGGTGGTGCACATCTGCAGTCCCAGCTACTCGGGAGGCTGAGGTAGCAGAATCACTTGAACCCGGGAGGCAGAGGCTTCAGTAAGCCGAGATTGCACCATTGCACTCTAGCCTGGGCAACAGAGGGAGACTGCGTGTCAAAAAAAAAGAAAAAACAAAAAGGCCGGGCACAGTGGCTCACGCCTGTAATCCCAGCACTTTGGGAGGCTGAGGCGGGCAGATCACGAGGTCAGGAGATCCAGACCATCCTGGCTAACACGGTGAAACCCCGTCTCTACTAAAAATACAAAAAGAAATTAGCGGGGCGTGGTGGCAGGCGCCCGTAGTCCCAGCTACTCGGGAAGCTGAGGCAGGAGAATGGCATGAACCTGGGAGGCGGAGCTTGCAGTGAGCCGAGATCGCACCACTGCACTCCAGCCTGAGCGACGGAGCAAGACTCCATCTCAAAAAATAAGAGAAGTTACCATTTACTCAAAAACTAATTCAGTGATAAGAATTTCTTATCCACTTACTCTAATTCCCACTAGTCTGCAAGATAAATAGAAGTAGTAGCCTCATGTTACAGATAAGAAAGCCATGGGTTGAATGGTTTATGTAACTTCCACAAGGTTACATGATATTGCTAAATGTGAATCAACTAGATCTAAGTCAAAAGTACATAGTTTTCCCATTACATCAAAATGCCTTCTCCTCTTCTCCCACTTACCTCTTCAGTCATGGCATATGTATGATGTCTTTTAAACCTCAATACAAAGATTATGGAAGCATTTTCTGATTAACTTTCCATCATTTCAGCATTCGGTTATGTGTAGAATAATACTATACAGGTCAGGAGTGGTGGCTCAGGCCTGTAATCCCAGCACTTTCGGAGGCCGAGGTGGGCTGATTACTTGAGGTCAGGAGTTCGAGACCAGCCTGGCCAACATGGTGAAACCCCATCTCTAGTAAAAATACAAAAATTAGCCAGGCGTGGTGGCACATGCCTATAATCCCAGCTACAAGAGAGGCTGAGGCAGGAGAATCGCATGAACCTGGGAGGTGGAGGTTGCAGTGAGCTGAGATCGTGACACTGCACTCCAGCCTGGGTGACAAGAGCGAGACTCTGTCAAAAATAATAAATAAATAAATAAATAAATTTATGTAAAATCACTAGCATATTTTATTGTTGCTCTCAAGATAAATTGATCTTAACATAAGTTCCTTGGTATTATGGAATGTCTCTTATAGTCTTTTGGCTTAAAATAGTAGTTGAATTTGGTAGCCTGAATATAATAGTTGCTCAGTAATAAAATTATAAAAGAACTACCTCTCTCATCAATGTAACAATATTTGTAAACCAGCTATAAAAAGACGAAATGATTCTGTGAAACACTATTGAAGGGATTTATGTTCTCTAGAATGTGAAAATTACCATGGATTTGTGTCCTAATTATAAAAATCTTCAGTTATGTCAAATACCTGAGAAATGAGCAAAGAGACATAAATATCTTAAAAGCTACAAATATTTAAAAAAAGACCTCTAAGAGAGATGTAAACTTTAACAGAGTATTTGCAAATACTCATTTCAGAAATGAAAATAGTTATCCTCATATTACATCCTAAAGACCTAATAAGATATTAAAAACCTCCAGAAAAGGCTTAGATTGTACTCATCAATAATAATTTTGTTACTATGGGTTCCTGATATGCATAATAAAGACTACAGATTTCAGTAAAATCATATACTGTTAGTATATTATCCCTTTGGATTTATCTCAAAAACAGGAATTTAGTTCAAGGATGGGCCTTGAGGCATCTTATCCAAAATACAAATTGCTTTTTGTTTCTACAGTTGTTTACATACCTCAGTTTACTAAACAGATGGTTTCTAGAGGTATGGTATTCCTTTGACTATACCTAGAAGGTTAGGACATGATTCTGGTTTATTTCTTTGCCTTTAAATTGCAAAATAAAGGCTGTCATTCCCTGTGTTGCTACAATATATGAGAAAGCTAGGTCAACCAAAATTGTGAATACAGTGATTTTGAAAGCTCAGGTTTATATTTAATGGCAATTCTCTAGAGTATTTGCATTTGGCTCTGCAATGCAACTGGGAACATTACAAACCTATGACAAATTTTATTTTAACTTTTTTCTGGGTCTGACAAACAATATAAATCTGTAGGAGAGGCAGAGAATTAGTAAGAGCTTGTGGTCAGGAACTCCTTTTTCTTCCTCCTTCCAAAGCCAAAACTAAAACAAGAAACTGTCCTTTTCTATGATAGGTTTATTTCTATTTTCCCGTACATTGTTAAGTGTCACCTTTTGGGGGTTCCAACTTTATGCATATGTGGTTTTTTGTTCTACTAGAGTCCTAGGCTCTGTCTTTTGTCTCTTCCAGCTGGATGTGTTCCAATTACCAGACTCCCAGCCACCAGGGATCAAGCAGATGTCAAGCAGCTCTAATGCTCTTTATCTCTGTTGAATTGAACTTTCTGAAGTTTCTGGTTTCCTATTTAGTTACTTCAAAGTTCAGTCATACTGTAAGAAATGTTGTCCATGTATTTTCAGGTTTTAGATAACAAGGTGTTTGCTTGCTCTGCACACCTAATCTACCACATTGCTGGAAATAAAGAGCTCTAATTTATTTCAATGCCACCTGAATTTTAAGTCTCCTTTCCCTCTTTCAAGCTCCAAACTTTCACATTCTCAGACTATTTTTTCTTATTTTCTCAATCATTTGACACTTTCTGATCGAACTCTTCTTGATCTCTTTGTGACATCTAATGTTGACTAATCTATTCCATTCTGAAGTCTTGTTTAGGCTTCTGTGACATATACAGTTTGATGTTTCTTATTTAAGTGTCCTTCACTAAACATCTTTTCTTCCACTTCCCTCCAAAATGCTCGAGTTTCTTAGGTCTCCGTCCCCATCACCTCACTTAACACATTCTCCCTGGATGATCTCTTTCACTGCCAAATTCAAGTTCATATATATACTGGTAGATCTCTACCACAGATGTCTCTAAAAGTATAAACCACTGCTTCTAACGGTCTATTCAATATCTCTACCTAAATAGGCCAAAGACAGTCCAAATTTAATATATCCAAATCTGAAGCCCTTATCTACTCTGTCTGCATGCATTTGTCACACTCCATTCTTCATATTGTAATGTTATAGCATTTTTTAACATACACATATGATAGACTATAATATTACTTACAAATATTTGCTATCCACCCCCCACCGCCAAAAGGATTATACTTTCTAGTCCCATTGACACAAGACTTAACCACATGACTTGCTTTGGCACTGAAACTGAGAAGTAACATTTAATGCAGAAATTTTAATAGCCACTTAGTGCTTTACTATGGCCCTTTCCCCTCCGCCAGAAGACAAGCAACATTCAAGGTACAGGTTCTCTGTTAGCCGGGGTCCTAGAGGGAAGGCAACATGGAGTGGACTCTTGATGGTCACACAGCATGAACAAAAAATAAGCCTTTGTTGTTTTAAGCCTCTGAGATTTGGGGATCATTTTTTAACACTCCAAGACCTATCCTATTCTTACTGATAGAGCATATCAAATAATTTATCTTCCTTGTTAGAAATTGTTCAGTAGCTCCCAATTGCATGTACAATGAAGTTCCAACTCCTCTGAATGAAAAAAACATACCATATATGATATAGTCCCCATTATTGCTTTTACAACCTCCTTTTCCAACCACCATCACCACCACTTATGTACATTAGTCATATCCAACAATGGGTTATTCTTCAAAAACACTATGCTATTTCATGGTTTTGTGCCTTTCTTCGAAAGTGCTGTTGTTACTGTGCTACATTATTACCCTTTATGTTGTCCCACTTGCCTACTTAAGTAAATTCAATATACAGTAGTGTGCGTGACTTATTCAGTGATATCTTCTTCAGTCATTTCAAGTGGTTAGTGCTTGAATTTCTCTGTGTCATAGCATTTTGTACACTGCTCTGTTACAGAATTTAATACATTGCTTTTCAGTGAATATGTCTGAATTATTGAGGGCAGTAACTCAATCTTACTCGTATTTGTATTCCCAGTGCTCACTACTCACAGCAACCCTCAACAGAAATCTAATTCAATGAACAGAATAGTCTCATTGCAAAAGAAACATTATGAATTTAGATATTCTTTCTTTTGTTTACAAAAGTAAAATATTTTGGTGATTTTCAACATTGATATGTCCCTTATCAAAATCTCATTCATTTGTTCAGGGGTTGGTGAACTTTTTCTGTAAAAGGCCAGAGAGTAAATATTTTAGGCTTTTGAGGACATATATAATGCTTACCTCATATTATACTTCATCTTTTCTCCCCAAGCCTTTAAAAACCTAAAAATAATTCTTAGCTTGAGGGCTACACAAAAACAGGCCTTGGACTGCATTTGGCCCATAGGCTGAGTTTCCTTACCCTGGTCTAGGTAAACATCAGAGAAATTAAGTCACTTCTTGTTAGAGTACAAAAGTCTCTCCATGGTAGTATAAAAACAAAGCACCAAGAGAGATACAACTATCACTTGCTGCCAAGCAGACAACTGGACTAACAAAGAGCTTCTAAAGATAATCATCAACTAAATTCAACAAATACCATATTGATACAATTTGAAAGGCCTTCTACTTCTTCAAAGACCTAGAGATAGAAAGGCAGGAGATAATGTCACTTCCTTGTTTACGTTTCCACAACTTCCAACTGTGTTTAAGGCTCTACATCACTAATTCTCTACTACGTTTCCAGCCTCATATTAAAAAACCATCTTTGGCTGGGTGCGGTGGCTCATGCCTGTAATCCCAGCACTTTTGGAGGCTGAGGCCGGCAGATCATCTGAGGTCAGGAGTTCGAGACCAGCCTGGCCAACATGGCGAATTTTAGTCTCTACTAAAAATACAAAAATATTAGCCGGGTATCATGGTGGGCACCTGTAATTCCAGCTACTCAGGAGGCTGAGGCAAGAGAATCACTTGAACCCAGGAGTCAGTGGTTGCAGTGAGCCGAGATTGCACCACTGTACTCCAGCCTGGGCAACAGAGTGGGACTCATCTCAAAACCAACCAACCAACCAACCAACCAACCAACCAACCAACCGTCTTTAGTCTGACCACACTGGCTTTTTTATTTATTTTCCTGAACACTCTAAATTCTCTTTAATATATTCCTCACTATCTGGAATTAATCTATCACTCTCCATCTCTCTCAGTAAAATTAATACATTAAAAAAATTATTTCTTACTCTTCAACCATCAGGAAAAGGCAGAAAACAGGTATAAATCATCCTCTCTCTTTTTTTTTTTTTTTTTGGTAAACACACAAACTATCCATAAAAAGAAAATTGGAAGCATACCCTAAATTTCTGTATAAATTATACAAATATGTTGTATGTATTAACAGGTTGTAAATATATAAACATTAGCAATTAAGAAGTTTAAAAATAACTATTAATAGAGGTTCTCCTCATGAACTCTTAATTATTTTGCATATCCCTAGAGATTTCTGAATGCTACTTTGGAAATTACTAGTTTACTAAACAATTTTTTTTTTTTTCAGACAGAGTCTCACTCTGTCACCCAGGCTGGAAAGCAGTGGAGTGATCTCCGCTCACTGCAACCTCCGCCTCCCAGGTTCAAGAGATTCTCCTGCCTCAGCCTCCCAAGTAGCTGGGATTACAGGTGCACGCCACCATGCCTGGCTAGTTTTTGTATTTTTAGTACAGATGGGGTTTCACCATGTTGAACAGGGTGGTCTCGAACTCCTGATCTCAGGTGATCCACCCACCTCAGCCTCCCAAAGTGCTGGGATTATAGGCGTAAGCCACAGCGCCTGGCCTTAAGCAATTTTATATGTATCTAAATCTTTATTAAACAGCTACAATCCACATTCCCCTATTATTCCCAACACACACTTTTACTTTAATTCAGCTTTGTAAAGGGGAAGACTACTATATTGTTTCAATGTACATTACTGATTCTCAAATACCAAGTCTATTGTTTCAACTCCTTTGAATGGAAAAATAAAATACCATATATGATACAGTCCCCATTATTTTTTCTACAATATTGTAACTCCTTATTCACAAATAACAAATGGGAAACTATCTTGAAAATCTGGTAAAACAAATAGCACTAGCCTGTTGAAGAAGTACTCTCAGATGAAGACCTTTTCCGGGTAGGGCTACAATTTGTGCTCTCTGATGGCCGCTGGGAGGGTTTATCAGAGGTTGGCTGGGAGCCTGGAGAAAGAGAAAAAGATAGAAATCATAGGAAAATTCAACTTTAAAAATAATGTGAAACCATCTTTTGTTAGAACTTGTTACAGTTTAGTTGCTGCCACTGTCATCCCCTGTAATAACATGACTTGTAACCTGATATTAGGAGGAAAATAAGCAGAGGACAAATCACACTATATGTTGTTGTCAGAATTTCACAGATCTTATATACATAAGTTCTCCTGTTACATTACCAGAGGAAAAACTAATTTTAATGGAAGAATAAACAAGATATGATTTAGTTTTCATGTGTTACTAGCCTAAAACATTATTTAAAATATTGATACAAATTACTAACAATATTTTAACCAAATCTGTTCTGGATTATTGATTAAAATTCATCATATAAACTGACAAAATTTACAATGTAATTTATTAAAAAGTTGATGTGAGGGCCCAGCGCAGTGGCTCACGCCTGTAATCCCAGTACTTTGGGAGGCCGAGGCGGGTGGATCACAAGGTCAAGAGTTTGAGACCAGCCTGGCCAACATGGTGAAACCCTGCCTCTACTAAGAATACAAAAATTAGCCAGGCATGGTGGCACATGCCTGTAATCCCAGCTACTCGAGAGGCTGAGGCAGGAGAATCGCTTGAACCTGGGAGGCAGAGGTTGCAGTGAGCCGAGATTGCGCCATTGCACTGCAGCCTGGGCAACAGAGCAAGACTCCATCTCAAAAAAAAGAAAGTAAAGCCTCAAACCTTAAACCCACACATCCTATCCAATTCACAGAAATTATTTTCAGATTCTATGTTTTTCTTCCTTTTGCAAATTCTAGAAAAACTGGTAATTAATTTATCCATGAAATACAGTAAGTTTCTTTTAAAGCTGTACACTTAAGGATCCTTGGCTATATACATAAAAGCTTATGAAGACAAAGAAACTCAATTTCCTTTCAAAAACTTTCATGCTTTTAGCAAAACCGCAAATCTATAGAGCATATTACATCTCCCGCTCAAAAGAAAAGTATGTTGTTGATGTAAGATTATTTTCCTGAATAAAATATACTTGATTCTTATATTGGATTCTTTATAATCTAAAATGCCAGCTATTAAGAGTTGGTAATGAATGTCTACCTCATGTTTGTCAAAAAACTAGTAATCTGAAATGCTTATTGATGGGAAAAAATTACAAATAAAAAAACTTACATGTAACTGGAGCCGCAAAAGGTACAATAAATCAAAAAGTTGAAGATTTTCAAGATCTGCCTCTAAATGAAAGTTCACTCCTAAAAGAAGATGTGATTAATTCTCTAAGAAAACTTAGGGTCAGAAGAACTGAATGGAGCTAAGTTGCTGTTTCCTTTTCTCTAAGAGAAATAGACCATGAGCCTTGTTTCAATTAAGTAGTATCTTAAATCACATTGCTGTAAATAGTCTTTTAGCAGGCTATGGGAAGCACTGCTCAGGTGAGATGTAAGACTATATGCTGTCATTCAAGAGTAACACGTTAAATTTTTTTTTAGAAAATTGATGTGATAGTACATCCTACTTCTGAAACACAATGATGACTGATGTAGACCTATTCAAGCAGCAAGATTGTTTATTGTTGAATCTTAACAACAGATACAAGATGGATTTTTATATCTGACAGTATAATAAATCCTCCTCGAGTGTGGTTCAGATGAGATATTTCCATTAAATAACTGAATGTCGCAATGAAACATCTAAGAAATAAAAAGCCCAGGCATCAGAGAAGACATAACTTTAAGTATTAATACTGAAAACTTAATATACAGACAGATACATATTTCCTACCCAACACATAGTCAAGACAGAAGACAATAGTGGCCAAGAAGCCTGAGATAATAGTCAACTGTATCACCATTCCTGATCATGGATTAAGTACTAAGAAAAGAGGGGTTTGAGGGTTTTTTTTTTTTTTTTTTGGGAGACGGACTCTGTCTCCCAGGCTGGAGAGCAGTGGTGCAATCTTGGCTCACTGAAACCTCTGCCTCCCGGGTTCAAGTGTTTCTCTTGCCTCAGCCTCCTGAGTAGCTGGGATTACAGGCATGGGCCACCATGCCCAGCTAATTTTTTGTATTTTTAGTAGAGACGGGGTTCCATCATGTTGGCCAGGCTGGTGTCAAACTCCTTACCTCAAGTGATCCGCCCGCCTCAGCCTCCCAAAGTGCTGGGATTATAGGCATGAGCCACTGCGCCCAGCCCTAAGAGCACTTTTTATATAGTCTTTTCTCTCAGTAATAAACTAACATTTATTAAGTGAGTATAGTTTATATGTTTGGTACTATGCTAGATATTGTGAAGGTAGGGGGAAGACTACAAATGGTGTAATGGTCTCTGCCCTCAAGGAGCTTACTAATCATCGTGTATATCATCATGCACTACATTTTAGGTGGCACTTGTGCCATCCATTCTTGAGCTCCATCTTCAGTTCTTAGGCTATTTGGTAGTGTTTCCTGAATTTCTTGGTCATCTTCAAGAAAGTCTTGATGAAGGCTTCAACTGTACCTTTGATAATCAGGATATCCTGAGAATCACCCTGCCTGGCCTCACCCACCTCAGGGTAAAAAGAGGGTACAGGCACTTTCTTCAAAGCTCCTTCTTTTGGTGACATCTGGAGCTTCAGAGGCAGTGGGAGATGGAATGGGGGTCAGATCCATGGAGATCATTATTGGCAGCATTATTGGCAGCAATTCCTGAGAAACTGAAACAATTGAGAGAGAGATGGCTTACTTAGCTCACTTAGCTTCTAAGCCATTTTTCATTTCCTGAAAGTAATGGAAGCCAGCAGCCTATTCTTAGGATTTAATAGGAGATTTGAGTAAAATTTCATTCAGGAAGGTTCTCATTTTTCATTTTTAAAAGTTTGAATTCCCTGTTCATACAGAGCAGAGCTATTCTTAACAATATTCCATATTTAAAAAGAATCAAGTTGTATCCTTGAGATACAGATCTCTATCGCTTGGTAATCATCAGCTCTAGCATCTTATTTCACTTAAAAGCAGTGCTCACAGAGGCAGTAAGAAGATGAGGATAACTGAAAAAACATTAACGATATAAAGCAACCAAGTTTAAGACTGGAAAGTGATGCTATCACTTATGTAAAAGAAATAGCAACCAGTTAAAAGATGTTCAAAGTATGTTAAAATTAGCCTAACAGTAGGAATCATATGAAATCTGCAAACATCTGTAACATTGCCAGAAATACACTGTTTTATAAACGCCAATTTGCAGTTGGGCTTCCAGAAAGAACCAGATAATGCCCAGAGAACTAGTATGTCCAATTCAACAGAGACCAATATATATGTATGTGTCCAAACCTAAAACATAATGCAGAGCAGAGTCGAGTGCGATATCGTGTTCAGTACATGGACTATGGAGTAAAGCATCCTTGGGTTTGACTCCTGGCTCTGCTACAAATTAAACTAGAGAGAATCTATAGAAGTAAATGTGCCTGGGCTTTGGTTTAATAAAGCTAAGTTACAGCATTGTTGTGAGTCCCAAAACGAGATAATGTAATCCAAAAACAATTTTATAAAATTCAAAATGTTTTATAAATATTAGTGACTACTATATATTAATTGAGTCCTTAGGTTTATTATGGAATTTTTACATAGGCAGGTGTGGGGGCTCATGCCTGTAATCCCAGCACTTTGCTAGGCCGAGGTAGCCAGGTTGCTTGAGTTCAGGCGTTCAAGACTAGCCTGGACAATATGGCGAAACTCAGTCTCTACAAAAAAAAATAAAAATTAGCTGGGCATAGTGGTGCATACCCTGTAGTCCCAGTTACTTGGGAGGCTGAAGTGGGAAGATCGCTTGAGCCCAGGAGGTAGAGGCTTCAGCAAGCTGTGATCGCACCACTGCACTCCATCCTGGGCGACAGTGAGACCCTTGCCTTAATAATAATAATAATAATGATAGAAAGAAGAGCAGTGAGTTATACCCAGTAGGGAGCTAGAACTAACCTATTAACATCAAGCATTTACCTTAAACATAGAGTGAATCCAATTAAGAAGTACTACTCATATAGGCACCTCCAGGGCTGGTAGGTACTTGCAGGGTAGGAAAAAGTTACTCTGAGTGAATCTTCTAATTCACTGACTCTTCGCCATAGCTTTTGCAGAGTATGCCCAAGAGATGAGTCAGAACCAGAAGACGTCTGGCTTTCTGCTCAGTTTTTTCCCAAGGGAGAAAGTAGTTTTCTGCTTCCCCTACTTAGCCCTTTTCCTTGCTGTCTCCATCATGTGACAAATGTTTGCTCATGTCTCAAGAGTAGCCATTTTAGATCTGCCTGGAAGGATGTGTGGAGGCTCCCCATTCCACAAAGGACAAGAGGTTTATATGAATTCTAGTTCAAGAAAATCTGACACTTCCTCAAAGCATACACACAAAGAACACAATTGTAGATATCAAAGAGTTCCCATCATTTTTCATTTCAAAATACTATAAAGCAGAATAAGTATTTCAGAAGTGAATAAAGACTACAAATAGGAATTCCTTAGTTCACAATATTACTACGTAGACCACCGCTGTGTCTCATCACTCAGATGATGACAACTTCAGAATATGTTTGGAAATTCTACACACATAAATGCAGGAAGTAGAAATTATAGGCAAGCTGCAAAAAAAAAAAGTACCTAAATAAAATTGGATTTCAGAATAAATATAAGTAGATTATTAAGGGAAATAGTTTTTCTTCCGTTGGAAATAAAGGCCCTCATGTAAACAAGGCAGACTACTAGTAAAGAGGAAGACAGAAAAAGAGAATACCATAAATTGGAATAATACAGAGAAAATTAAGAATTAAAACCAAACTTGCAAATGTGAAGGAACCTTGGAAGTGATTTTAATTATAGACTCTCTGGATTTTATTTGGCCAGTATTTGATGAACTTTTGAAGATAAAGACAGGATTTACAGAAACATTTTTGCCAATTTAAACAAGAGGGGAAAGGTAGTGCTTTTACAGCAAAACTGTAAGATGAAATCAGGGATACAAACTGTCAAAGTTGAAAAAGTAAAAAAAGAACATAACTGGATCATAAAGAAATAAGATTATGAAAATCTTTATAATAAACAGAAAATGAGCAGAAACCAAGAACCTGTTTTCAAATTGATTTGCCACAAAAAATCTTGATTGACATTTCCACTGGAGGAACTAAAACAAACCAAAGATATAAAAGTAATGCTACTTTTACAGATGCCTGGGTGTGAAGACAGTAAAACAGGCAAAGATAGCAGAATAGATAAAATTCTCACTGATAATAGTGTCTGCAGTGGTGGAGGCATCCCAAAGAAATCATGAGAATAAAGATTCAACTAACTACTCATTGAAGCCCTGAGCATCCTAGCCTAGAAAAACAAGGAATTTCCCTGGTGCCAAATACAAATTAGCAAAAAAAAAAAAAAAAAAAAAAACAGTGAATTAAATCAATAGTTGGTTGGACAAAACATATGTTTCTTTAGCCTAAGTTCACTATTAAAGCTTTTATAACTTAATATAGTATGAATTTTAGTCACACTCTGGAGATCAACACTAAAGACACAAGTAACTAAGAAATCATTTATATGAGTGGAATGTTTGATGTTTGCAATGCTAGAAATATCTTTGGGTGAATTACAGAAAAATAAATTAAGTATGCTAATTTGGAAGAATGCTATGCAGTAGTCAGTTCTAAGATATTATCGATTTTAAAATAATTTACTTTAAAAGTTTCTAACACTGAAATTGTTCCTTCCCACCAAAATTAAATTGTTACAAAAGTTTAGTTTTAAAAAAGATTTCTCTTCTTTCATTATTTATAAGTCAAAGCTATTTGGGAATGTGTGTTAAACAACGACTGAACCAAAATTGGTTGTAATAAAAATGGCTACCATAGTAAAGGAATATGAACATAAAATATCAAACTATTTGAGAACTTCTGGTCAAGATTTTTTTTGTTCCCAGATTCAAGTTCTGAATCCTTTGGTATGGTTCACAGTTGATAGCCACCTTGGAACCTTCTTGTGAATGAGCTGAATGCTAAGGTAAAAGCTGGGTCCACAATAAAAACAGCTGTTTTCAATTGTGGGAAATACAGAAAGCAATACATTTTATCTGATGCACCAACTAAATGCACTACAAGAGAGTATGACTCAGAGCCTGTTCTGGCGATTTTTAAGCTATAAAGTCTGTTTTGGCCGGGCGCTGTGGCTCATGTCTGTAATCCCAGCACTTTGGAAGGCCGAGGCAGGCAGATCACGAGGTCAGGAGATTGAGACCATCTTGGCTAACACGGTGAAACCCCGTCTCTACTAAAAATACAAAAAATTAGCCAGGCGTGGTGGCGGGCACCTGTAGTCCCAGCTACTTGGGAGGCTGAGGCAGGAGAATGGCATGAACCCGGGAGGCAGAGCTTGCAGTAAGCCAAGATAGCACCACTGTACTCCAGCCTGGGCGACAGAGTGAGACCCCGTCTCAAAAAAACAAAACAAAACAAAACAAAACAAAAACTCTGTTTTTTTCTCTAACTAGGCTATTTTTCATAATGCCCAAATGACATCATTCACTGAAATGGAATTCTTCTGGAAATTCCCCTAACTGCACTAACCACACCACAAACAATTTTCTTTCATCTCTGTAGGTTCACACTTCCTTTATAGGCATATCTTTTTTCTATCATGTTTTAAATCTTTTTAAAATTGATACATAATAGTTGTACATATTTATTGGGTACATGTGATATTTTGTTACATGTATAGAATGTATAAGAATCAGGTCAGAGTATTTTGGGTATCCATCACCTTGCGTAGTTATGATTTCTGTGTCAGGAACATTTCAAGTCCTCTCTTCTAGCTATTTTTGAAAAACACAATATTGTGCTGTCACCTATAGTCACCCCACCCTGCTACTGAACATCTGAACTTATTCCTTCTAACTGTTGCATAGGTGTGTCTTATAAACAGCACTAGAGAAATTGTTTGAGATCAGTATATTCTGATCAAAGCTTATACTCTTCAGTTAAAGAGAAAACTCAGTATTCTTTGCTTCAATCTATATGCTTGTACAGTGAATATACTTTTTCCAAAAAAAAAAGGTTTAAGCCTCACTTATTCTTGGAGGACAAAATATTCATCATCACTGAATGCACCAAATAATGTATATAATTTACATGTAGTAAATCATTTATAATAATGTTCCATTGTCTGCTTGTTCTATGACTTGTAAGCTATAAATGCTAAATGAAAATACTCCATTCTACTGCTCTGCCAATTTTAGAATCCAGGTTTGTAAGTTCTGTCATGTGTAGCCAGCCATGAGTCACATATGCTGAAAAACAGGGATGAAATAACTGACATTCCAGGTCAGAAACTCTTGCTCATCCAAGTCAGAAACTCTTGCCCATGAGACCTATTTCATGTCTACCTAACATACATACATAAATTAAATAGAATCACTATCAGGATTGGGAGAAACCAGGAAACCTGGCCTTACTTAAGTGTGTAATTTTACTGTAATTTCACTTGCATCAAGCTGATTTTATAGCTGTTAGTCTGTACAGTACAGAACAGTATATGTTAGAAAAATAAGCTAACTACCATATGCACATAATTTATAAAAGTGATTATAGCTGTTATTCCTTTTAAGTCTTCATAAGATTTAATTTTACAGTGAATATACTTGTTTACTTTAAAAATGCTCAAAGTGATAAGTCAGTTTGATTCCCCATTTTTGAAACAAGGAGAGAAGGGTTAAATGCCTTGGTCCAAGCTACACATTCCAGTGTCCCTAATCTGGTTTCATTTATTTTTCCTGAAATTTATATCAACATGATTTATCAAATATGCCTGTTTTACCCCCAACCAACACTTATGAGGAATCCACTCAATACAAATAGTAAATAACCTTTATTTCTTATTTCATCAATTATCAGTTTGAGATATGTTTTACTTAACAATTTGTATTCTGCTGTATTAAAAAAACTCATTATTCTGGAATAAATTCAGATTTACATAAAAGTTACAAAGATAGTACAGAGAATACTCGTATGTCCTTTACCCAACATCCCCCAATGTTAACATCTTACATAACTACAGTACATTTGTCACAACCAAGAAATTAATATTGGAATAATACTATTAACAAAATTCCAGACTTTGTTTAGATTTAGCCAATTTTTTTCCACTCATGTCCTTTTTTCACTGTCAATCTGGGATATCACATTGTATTTAGTTGTCATGTCTCCTTAGTCTTCTCTGTTCTGTAAAAGCTTCTCAGACTTTCCTTGTTTTTTCAGGTCCTTGATACTTTTTAGTACTGGTCAAGTATTTGTAGAATGCCCTTTATTATTATTATTATTTTTTTTTTCTGCTTAGATTTAACACATTCTATCAGAGAGTACATGATATCACCATGCCTTATCATTGGTGAAGTTAACCTTGAACTTGGTTAAGGTGCTGTCTGCCAGGCCTCTTCACTGTAAAGTTACTGCTTTTCCCTCTTCATACTCTGTTCTTTAAAAGTCAGCAGTCCAGTCCATATTCAAGAAGAGGTAAATTAAGTTCCACCTCCTGAAAGTGTGTTCTACATATATTATTTGGAATTTTTCTGTAAGGAAGATTTGCTTCTTTTCTGCCAAGTATTTATTTAGTCAATCATTTATTTAAATCAACATGGATTTATAGATATTGACTTTATTTTTTAGGTTATAATCCAATCCTCTCATATTTATTTTGTTGCTCAAACTGTCCCAGCTTGGACCACTGGGAGACATTTCAGGATAATAATATCCTGAAGGTGATCAACAATATTGCAATACCTATTATACAGTAGGTAGTTTTGGGAGCATTTTAACATGATACCAAATGTAAAATGAATCTACCTTAAATTTATATATGGAAAAAATCAACTGAAGACCGAGAAGATCACTTAAAAATCATATGTAATTATGTATTTCTTAAACCTTTATACTTCAAAAAGCAACCTGACATCACAGATTGAGAAAATGTAATTACATCTTCAACAGAATGCTATAGAATAACAATGTCATTGTAAGGAAAAAGCAAATAATAAACCAGTCAGAAGTGCTACAAAAGAAAACACTGAGGAAAAAATAGCAAAATGTAAAGGTGTAAGAATTTTAATTGTCTGCATTTCCTAACTTCCATTCCTCAGCCTCCAGAAATCTAACATTTGCCACTATACAAATGGCTCTCAGACACAAGACAAACTAACCGCCAAAGCCAATCATCCACTTTCAGTACTTACCTAACCAATCTCCCATAACACTTGACACTCTTTTTTTTAATTAATTAATTTTTTTTTTTTGAGACGGAGTTTCTCTCCTTGCCCAGGCTGGAGTGCAATGGCGTGATCTCAGCTCACCACAACCTCCACTTCCCAGGTTCAAGCAATTCTCCTGCCTCAGCCTCCTGAATAGCTGGGATTATAGGCATGTGCCACCACGTCCGGCTATTATTTGTATTTTTAGTAGAGATGGGGTTTCGTCATGTTGGTAAGGCTGGCCTTGAACTCCCGACCTCAGGTGATCTGCCCGCCTCAGCCTCCCAAAGTTCTGGGATTACAGGCGTGAGCCACCACGTCCACCCACTTGACACTCTTGACTATAATAAACTCACTTAAGAAACCCACTGAATTCACCATAAATATTGTCATTCCTTCTCATAGCCTTAATAATAAAGTATCTATAATTATCTTCAGGTTTTACCTCTCCTTTGAGCTACAGATCCATCTGTCCTACAAAACAGGCTTGAAATCCAAATTTATTACCTATTTCCAACCTTATCCTTTTGCATATCTCATTTCACTTAATCACATCATCTCTACCTTGGCTCAGAGCCTCATAATAAGAGCCTCATAATATTTTGTGGGAGCAGTTTCCAAACTGATCTACCTGATCTCTTTTCACTAATCCATCTATCACACTGCTGTCAATGTAATCTCAACAAATTATTCCCCATCTTAAAACCCTTAACTTCTCATACCTTATAAAGTAAACTCTATACTCTTGGGAGTCTCATATAAACGAGGACTTTATGATCTGCCTATCTTTCCAGTCCCATCTCTTGGGTCCCATATCAAACCATTAACACTTAACTAAGCACAGTAACACATCCCCATGCCCTTGCAAAGCTGATATCTAGTGTAAGAAACACGTGTCACACATTATTCTTCGCTGCTAAATTCAAAACTCCCTCCTCCTTCCCAAGACCTTTAAAGTCAGTCCCTCACTTCTCTGCTCCCCAAAATGCCTTGTAAGTATCTCAATATTAAGAACCGTCAGGCTGTGCGCGGTGGCTCACACCTGTAATCCCAGCACTTTGGGAAGCCGAGGCGGGTGGATCACCATAGGTCAGGAGTTCGAGACCAGCCTGGTCAACATGGTGAAACTCCGTCTCTACTAAAAACACAAAAATTAGCTGGGCATGGTGGCACACACCTGTAATCCCAGCTACTCAGGAGGCTGAGGCAGGAGAATTGCTTGAGCCTGGGAGGCGGAGGTTGCAGTAAGCCAAGATTGTGCCACTGCACTCCAGCCTGGCCAACAGAGTGAGTCTGTCTCAAAAAACAAAAAACAAAAAAAAACAAAAAAAAAAACTGTCAATAACTATTCATATACATGTCTAAACTATAAATCAACTTTAAAGCAGAAATTACCTTTTTTTTTTTTTTTCTGAGACAGAGTCTCGCTCTGTTGCCCAGGCCGGAGTGCAATGGTGCAATCTCGGCTCACTACAATCTCCACCTCCTGGGTTCAAGTGATTCTTGTGCCTCAGCCTCCCGAGTAGCTGGGACTACAGGCATGTGCCACCATGCCTGGCTAATTTTTGTATTTTTAGTAGAGGCAGGGTTTTACCATGTTGGCCAGGCTGATCTCGAACTCCTAACCTCAAGTGGCCCACCCACCTCGGCCTCCCAAAGTGCTGGAATTACAGCATGTTCCTTCTCCTGGCACACAATAGGCACAAAATAACTGTTTGCTGAAAGAACAGCTACCATCATAAGGGAATAGTTAAGAATAAAAATCAAATACATAAAATACTCCTAAACAAAACCAGTTCTGACTTTCAAAGGGATCAAAACAAAAGATATCTGAGCCTGAATTAATATTTTTATTTAGTATTCTGCTTAACTAAAAACTTTTCCTCGACTGGTTTTTGTTAAGACAACTAAACCTATTCTCACATCTACCTGAAAAAAGTATATTAAGTTTCTATTAGAAAATCAAGTCACATCTCCATGTACTTATCAACAGTAATTGTGAAGAAGATGGAGAGATTCCAAGATAGAGAACAATTAACAAAAGAATTTAGACTTATGATCAAGTAAAGAATATAGCTGGTCTTTGTCCCTGGTTCCTGGCACAGAGTTTCAAAAACCCTTGTAATTACCCAAGTGACAGGAATGTCTCTGTTACGACAGTGAGATGAAAGCCTGAGGTAACTTCAAGATGGGGGCCGGTGACCAGAAAGACCAAATCACATAATTAAAAATCTGAAACTTTGGGTCACCCCAACCTCAAGGGAGTGGAGAACTGAAAATTGAATTAAAAAACATGGCCAATGATCTAATCAATCCGGCCTACCTAACAGAGCCCCAATAAAAACTCTGGACACTGAGGTTCACTGGAGCTTCCAGGTTGGTGAATATAGTGATGTGCTGGGAGGGCAATGTGCCCGGATTCCACAAGGGGAAAGGCATGGAGGTCTGTGGACCCTTCTTGCACCAAACACTGCTCTATGTATCTCTTCAACTAGTTGTTCTTGATCTGCATCCTTTGTAACAAAACTGTAATCATACTATAGTGCTTTCACAAGTTCTGTGAGTCCTTTTAACAAGTTACCAAAATTGAGGGGGTTGCACGAAGTTGCAAATTTTTAGCAGGCCAGGCAGAAGTATGGATGTCTCAGGAACACCAAAATTTGTGACTGGCATCTGCAGTCTCATGATGAACTCTGCTCTTAACTTGAGGTCTTCACTAGCTTCAGGTAATTTGTATTCAGAATTGAACTAAATTGTACAACATCCAATTGGTGATAGAGAACTAGTGTCAGAGCAGTGACTTCAGAGAGGTCTTTGTGGTTTCTGTATGTTATTTTATAAAGAAGAAAAAAAGCCAAGTGCAGTGGCTCACACCTGTAATCCCAGTACTCTGGAAGGCTGAGACAGGTGGTTCTCTTGCGGTCAGGAGTTTGAAACTAGCCTGGCCAATACAGTGAAACCCCGACTCTACAAAAAATTCAAAAATTAGCCAAATGTGGTGGTGCACTTCTGCAATCCCAGCTACTCGGAGGCTGAGGCAGGAGAACAGCTTGAACCCAGGAGGCGGGTTTTGCAGTGAGCCTAGATTACGCCACTGAACTCTAGCCTGGATGACAGAGAGAGACTCCATCTCAAATAAATAAAGAAGGAAATTTTTAAAAAGACAAATTCGTACTTAACACAGGTACTTTTGCATAAACTTCCCTGCTATCTTTCTCATTCCCCAAGGACCCTGAAACCAGGTTCACATCCACCATTTTCACCCCAACTTCTGTAACTGTCCTCTTGGGTAATTTCAATGTCCATGTAGATGATACATTCAACATCCTAACCTGTCATCTCATATCACCTTCACCTCAATTTACTCATCCTTTATAATCTCCTTCTCATGACTCTGAAATTAGGGATCTCAAATCCAAAAGTTCCCTCTTTAAATAGCTGAAGAGGGCCAGATACAACACACAACAGAAAACAGTGAGGACTGTGGCGAACAAAAGAATACAAGCAGCAATGAAAAAGGGCCTGCCAATACTGAGCCCCAGCCATCCCTATTATCCACGAAATGTGGACTAATTGTTGCCAGATGTTCTGATTTTTCTGAGAAGCAGAATTCCACATTTTTATGTAAAATTGCTACATTTTTTAATATGAGCAATTTTTTAAAAAGTGTAGAGATCATCACAAAGAATCACATGTGGGCCAAAAGCTGACAGTTTTTTAAGCACTACTTTAAATACTGCAGTTCCTCAGAGCTACCCAAGGCTGTTTGTTTTTCACTCCCTATTCTCTCCCAAGGAAAATATCATTACTCTCATGATTATACATATAAAAATTCACAAAGGTATACAGTATGTTTTGTTATTGTATGTGTTTCTATATAGTTAAATAGCTCTTGTATCATTGATAAATACAAGAATGATACCAGAATATGGAAGTTGTATTGGTTAATACATGACTTTTAAAGCACATAAATATTTTGCAGGACAAAACTAGCAGCTGAACGAAGGAGTACACCAACACAAACTAAATGAAGAAAGCCATAAGCAATGTAGTTCTGTTCAAAATGTACATTCATCCACATTCTTCCTCTTGGCTCCTACTGGCAACAGACTTTTCTGCAAGTGTTTTTATTGTGTGGCTTCTCTCAATGTTTGTACAAAAGAAACAAACAGGTACAATACACTAGAACCAGCTATGTCTGGCATTGCTACATTTATCTACCAATGACATCCTTCTGTGCCTACAGTTGAGCAGCTTCAACCCTTCTTTATATCCCTACAAGCGACCTTCATCTTTTCCTGGAAGGTTAATGCCTATATTTATTGTAGTATTTCTATTTTTTTTTTTTTTTTTTGAGACAGAGTATCACTCTGCCAGCCCAGGCTGGAGTGAAGTGGCACGATCACAGCTTACAGTAGCAGCCTTGAACTCCCGGGCTCAAGTGATCAACTTGCCACAGCCTCCTGAGTAGCCAGGACTACAGGCGTATGCCATCATGCCCAGCTAATTTAAAAAACATTTTTCTGTAGAGATGGGAGGCTCCTATGTTGCCCAGGCTGGTCTTCAACTCCTAGGCTCAAGTGATACTTCAACCTCACCTCTCAAAGTGTTGAGATTACAGGCATTAGCCACCATTCCCAGCCTCTTTATTTATTAAGACATTTAGTCTTAACAATATATATACATATATTTTTTTTGAGACAGACTCTCACACTGTCATCCAGGCTGGAGTGCAGTGGCACAATTTCGGCTCACTGCAACCTCTACCTTCCAGGTTCAAGGGATTCTCCTGCCTCAGCCTCCCGAGTAGCTGAGACTACAGGCACATACCAGCACTGCTGGCTAATTTTTTTATTTTAGTAGAGACAGGTTTCGCCATGTTGGCCAGGCTGGTTTCGAACTCCTGACCTCAGGTGATCTGCCTGCCTTGGTCTCCCAAAGTGCTGGGATTACAGGCATGAGCCATTGTGCCTGGTCTAGTATGTCTTTTTAACTGCTGTTTTTGAAAATTATTACTTTTCTTGATGCTCTGCTTATAAAGTTGCACAGGTTTTTGAGAGTCTGTTCCTAACTTTTATTTCACCCAGAAGCCCTTTTTAGTGAATGATATTGCCTAACACAATTTTTCAAATACTCAGAGGAAATGCTCTTATCTCCAGGTCAAGCTTCTCTACTAAGCCTGAGAACTAGATACCCAACGACCTTCTCAAATCCTCCGCTTCAACGTTCAGACACTTCAAACTGTATGTATTAAAAAGTGGCTCAGAGTGGTGACTCAGGCCTATAATCCCAGCACTTTGGGAGGGCAAGGTAGGAGGGTCCCTTTGAGCCCAGGAGTTCAAGATCAGCCTGGGCGGCATGGCGAAACCCCATCTCTACAAAAATACAAAGAAATTAGCCTGGCATTGGTGGCTTGCACCTGTAGTCCCAGCTACTCAGGAGGCTGAGGCTGGAAAATGGCTTGAGCCCAGGAAACAGGTTGCAGTGAGCCAAGATCGTGCCACTGCACTCCAGCCTGGGCAACAGAGTGAGAGCCTGTCTCAAAAACAAAAGAAAAAAAAAAACTGTGTTCTCCTCTAAATCTGCTCCTCCTATAGTCTTCTCTCTCTTAGTGCATGTTATCTCCAATCTCCCATATGTTCAGACATAAGCCTGCCACTAACCTAATCTAAGCACCATCATGTTATCTAGACTACTGCAATTGCCTATTAACCAGTTTCCTTCAAATTATTTTTATCCTCTCCATCCAGTGTTCATGCAGAAGGCAAAATCATCATTTAAAAATGCAAACCTAAAATCAATACTCCTTTGTCTTTTGTTCTTAATATAAAATCCAAAATTCTTAACACATTGTTTGGTCTCTTCTTTTGCCACATTTCTCACTACTCTCTCTGTATTTCCTCTTTCACCACGATGAAGCTTTTTTCAGTTTATCCAATATCTAAACTCCTTCCCAACTGAGAATCTTAAAACATGTTCTTCACTGTGGCTTTTTTTTTATTTTTATTTTTTGAGATACAGTCTCACTCTGTTGCACTGGCGTGATCTGGGCTCACTGCAATCTCCGCCTCCTGGGTTCAAGCGATTCTCCTGCCTCAGCCTCCCAAGTAGCTGGGACTACAGGCACGTGCCACCATGCCCGGCTGATTTTTGTATTTTTAGTAGAGATGGGGTTTCACCGTGTTGGCCAGCTGGCCTCAAACTCCTGACCTCAAGTGATCTGGCCACCTCAGCCTCCCAAAGTTCTGAGATTACAGGCGTGAGCCACCGCGCCTGGACTTCACTGTGGCTTCTCATCCTTTAAGTCTCAACTTTTTATCCTCAGCCATAACTAGTAACTATCTAATTAGATCCCCTTCTGCCAGCCCTTTAATCTGTATCATAACACTCCATGGTATTAACTTTATAGCATTTTTCTCAATTAAGCCATTATTTATTTGCTTATCACTCTATGGTTTGTCTTCCTTCACTAAGCTGAAAATTATGAGGTCAGATATCAGGCATTTACTATTGTATATGCCAGTGACTAGAATAGTCCTGTATGTTTCAGGAATTCAACATATGAACCAGTAAATGAATGAATAATGAATGAGTCTGTTTATCCAGTTAAATGTTGCACATCTGCCAGGTCTCAGTTTAGGATCACCTTCTCAGGAAAGACTTCTCTGGGTTAGGCTCCCCATTTCATGCTGTACTCTCTCCCTTTTACAGTCCTTATCACAATTTTAACAACACGTAATGTGATTTTTTGTTTATTATCTACCTCCTCTACTATAATCTCCATGACTCAATGAACCTGTGTGCCTCATTCTCTATTATATAACAAGGGCCCACAAAGTAGAATGCCTGGTAAATACCTGATATTCAGTAACTATTACTGATTAAATAAACTATTTGTTGAATGGACCTAAGCATAAGACTTTTTCTCTCTTTACGTTGTTAAAAGCTGGCCGGGTGCAGTGGCTCAAGCCTGTAATCCCAGCACTTTGGGAGGCCGAGGTGGGCGGATCACGAGGTCAGGAGTTCGAGACCATCCTGGCTAACACGGTGAAACCCTGTCTCTACTAGAAATATAAAAAACTAGCCGGGTGTGGTGGCATGCACCTGTAGTCCCAGCTACTCGGGAGGGTGAGGCAGGAGAATCGCTTGAACCCGGGAGGCGGAGGTTGCAGTGAGCCGAGATTGCACCATTGCACTCCAGCCTGGGCAACAGAGCAAGACTCCGTCTCAAAATAAAAAAATGAATAAATAAATAAACACTGTTAAAAGCTAAGGAACACTCAGATTCTCCACTAAGTTTTAATTTTTCAAAAGTTCATGAATAATGAAAATCAGGAACAAAAACTCTTTGTATTCGAGGGGTTTATCTTTTCCCTAATACACAAGTCTTTTTTTGTTTTTTGTTTTTTTTTTAAGATGGAGTCTCGCTCTGTTGCCCAGGCTGAAGTGCAGTGGTGCTATCTCGGCTCACTGCAAGCTCCACCTCCAGAGTTCACGCCATTCTCCTGCCTCAGCCTCCCGAGTAGCTGGGACTATAAGCGCCTGCCACCATGCCTGGCTAATTTTTTTTGTATTTTAAGTAGAGATGGGGTTTCATCGTGTTAACCAGGATGGTCTCGATCTCTTGACCTCATGATCCGCCCACCTCGGCCTCCCAAAGCACTGGGATTACAGGTGTGAGCCACTGCGCCTGGCCTAATGCACAAGTTTTTAATCTTTTAGGGGAATAATAATAATAACTAATATTTGCATGCTTACTATGTGATTACTTTTCATAATACCCCTACAAATCCCATTATATAGGAGGTTTAGAGAATATACTGAGGTTTAGAGAATTTACTTGGAAAATCTGATGAAATTTTTCTAGATTATCACTAAAAAAGATGCACAAACATATATACCCGTAATTTTACTTACAACATCAGAGGGTTTATGGACTTCCTAGAGTTATTTTACAAACTCTTAGGCTTAAGATCTCTCACAAAGAACTTCTAATCTTTTATTCGAGTGGCAAATGCTTACTCTTTGTTTTCTATCTTCTCAATTCTTAAAAGGTGTATAATTAAGAGAGAAAAAGATGTACAATTCTTTCTAGATGTACAAATGCATTTTCCAGATTTCTTTTTTTTCTATCTAATTGAAGCAGCTTTTATGAAAACATCAAAAGGTATGCTGCAAAATGAAGTCTGTCTGAATGAATATTCAGTTAAATTTTACAATGCTGAAAATGTCCAATGTTTGAATTTTTATTATGAGACATACAGTATTAATAACATATTCTTCCTGTAACAAAGATGCATTTATAACTACTGGATTAATATACATTAAAAATCCTTCCAGCATTACCTTTTACCTCTTGGGGTGGTGGGGGCAGGGGGTGGTGGGAGATCCTGCATACTACTAACAGACCTATGAGCCATTTGTCTTTATAAAAATTGTGTAATAACCTGTCTACATAAAAAAGATGAATGATTTTTCCTGGTTTCCAAAAGTTATGTATATTTCTTTCTTTTTTTCTTTTTGACAATAGCTCTTCTCAAAACAAAAAAATAATATAGACATTCCCTACTTCTTAAATCTTAAGGAAAAGGAATACTGAGATTTCAAAATACACTTATTAAAAAACAAAAAAAGATATATATATTAAAAGTTCATCTACATTTATCAGGCACCTGTGGAAAATAACCTATTTCTTTAACAAATAACAGGTAACAAAATAACCCTCTTACCTGCCAAAGTCTGTACTGCCCTTTCGTTAGAAGGCAGTGACTCCTTTCTGTGAAGCCGATTTAGTGAAGTGTCCTGTGCAGAAAAGAGTCCAGGGCTGTCAGTTAATTTCTTCCGGCCACTGGAGTTAGGGTTTGAAACTCTGCAGCTGCCTATTGCACTTGTGAAAAGGTTTGTATGTTCATCACTGCTGGCTGGCTCAGAGTTGGGAGTGAATCCTCCAAGGGATAAGCTTGGAGAACTTTCTGAACAGTCAATCTGTAAAGGTGTCTGCAATCCCAAGGCCAATGGACTAGATTCTGAAGGCTCTCGGTGGACCCACTGTTCCTCTCTGTTTATTAAGCTTTTTGAAGGAGAGAGATGAGGGCAGGACATGTGACAACGGTGCTTTTCCTTATGCTTATATCGCTCTCCAACAGCATCCTTTCCAAATCTATAGCGCTTCAAAGATTCCAGGACAGATCGGGAAGAGCCAGTGTCCATAGAAACCTGGGGTTGTTCAGAAGAACGGTGTTCTCTGTGTTTGTGACGGTGCCTGTGTTTGTGCTCAACCATCCAACCATAGGCCATCTCAGGAGGAACACTGGGGTAGGTACTCATGGAAAGGAGGGGAGTCCTGCTGGTTGTAAGAAAGGCCTCCTGTCGAAGTAGCTTATGCTTTTTCTTATGGTATTTGGCAGGATTGAGAAGTAAATGACCAGCATGCATATAGGAAGGAGGTGGAAGTGGCGTGGTGAAAGAAGGAGATGGAGGAGGTGGATAAAGAGTGGGAGGATACCTTCCATAGTAACCTAATCCTATGGGAGCAGCTGTAAGGGGTGAAGGAGAGTAAGGCATACCATAAGATGGATAGAATCCAGTACTAGAAAGAGGAAAACTAAGGCTGTGCATAAAAGGCATTTCAGCCATTGCCTCCCTCATCTTAGGGGGTCTCCCTCTTTTCTTTTTTAAGTCAGGTTTTCGAATGTAGTGCAAAGGGTCTAAGGGGAAAGAAGGATGTGTATAGAAACTATTAAAGTTGATTCGAAAGATAGTTGGCAGAAGATCTCGGGGGATAAAATGATGACTTCGATGAGTGATCCGAATTTCACTTAGGCGACTTATTAGTTCCTCCAGCTCTGCAATAAAGTCTGGATCCTGTCTATTTCGAAGCTGGGGATATTTCTTTTTCCGTTTTCGTTTCTGCCTTTTCATCTTGTCATAGCTGAGGTAATCATGATTCCTGCGCTTACATTTGTGTTTATGTTTTTCTTTAAGACTGCTTAGCACTGTAGAGGTTTCAGGGGGAATCAGAGAAACATGCTCAAAAGAATGCCTCCTCTTTTTTTGCCCACAAAATTTCTCTGCCCTGTCTGATGTGCTGTTATTATCTGTTCCAATTCCACTATCACTGGGAATGGTCTCATCACTATGAGACTCACTGATTGGGGAAGGAGTAGCTTCTTTTAGAGATGTGAGTTCACTCAAGTGCGAAGGAGAATTTGGCAACAAAGTAGGAGGAGATAACCGCCTCCTCCCCTTTGAGGCCTTCTTCATTGCAAGAGTCTGAATCATACTGCCCTGTCTGGAGTGTAAATGCAAATATGGCACTGAACTGGGTTCAACAAAACCTGCATCACTACTTACAGGGCTCTGACCTCCACTAGTCCCAGAAGACTGAGAGCAAATAGGTGATGGAAGAATCTCAGAACTACTAGCAGATGAAGGCAGTAATGGGGGAAGAATCTGTCCTAATGCTGACCCAGCTGCCTGTTGAGCTGTTTGCTCAAGAACAGCAAGGCTAGTAGGACTACCAGAAAGAATACCATTTAAGACAGTTTTTGGTTTGCGACCTCTTCTCTTTCCTATATAAATGGTTCCTTTCTTGCTGACATTTATCTGTTGGCCCAATTTAGAGCCAAATGTGGCAGCAAGACTTGATACCGTATTATGGAGTTTGGATTGCACTTTCCCTTTATTACTTGATTCTACAGAACTTGAAAGAATCTGATTCAACAGTTTCTTTCTCTTTAAAGTCTTCATTTTATTTATTTTGCGGATAATTGTTTTCATTAATTGTCCATTGTTTCTCTTGGTAATTTTTTTATCTGGTTCCATCTCAAGGTCACTCATACTACAGACACTTGGCCTATGACTGTCATCTAGGTCATCTGGATCCTGAAGTTGATCCTCGCTCTCAAAGAAATCACTGCTACTTCTATGGTTGTCACTTTCAGATTCTAGCTTGCTTGGACTTTCAGTGGCAACAAATGGAGCCACTGACAGTACAGGTGGCTTCATCTTGACTGGTGACCTCATTTGCCTCTTAGGCCTGCCTCTCTTTTTTGGAAAAGGAGACACAGACAGACCTTGTTTGAAGGAAGGGATTTCAATTTCTGGCTGTAAAATTGGGGGTTCTTGTTCTTCCTTAGACTGTAAAGAAAACACTTTAGAAGCAGGGATTTTTAAAGTCCTTTTAGGTGGCCCTTCCAGTTGAGGCATCTCCTTAGATTTAGGCCTTCCTCTTTTGGGCTTATAAATATCAGACAAAAGGTCACTAGAGACACACATACTGGAGGATAGTTTGTGAGTAGCAAAAGACTTATGAGATGGTTTTTCACTATCAGCTAAGAGAGCAAGAGATGGAGCTGTGGATTTGCTCAACTTTGGCAATCGGCGTTTAAGGAAGTCATGATCTACAAATGAAGGGGGTCCAATGTTTTTCATAAACTTGGCTGGCTCAGAATTACTATTTGATAGTGAGCTACATGAAACGTTTTTAAAAAGCTCTGATCTTTCTAATTCTAGCCCTTTTGGAGACCGGCATGTGCTTCTTGCCACCACTTTAGTCCACCGAGGTTTTCTTCCTTTTCTTTTTTTTAATGGTTTGGACTGCAAACTAGTACTTAGGCTTTCAGCAACTTGGCAGTGTTTGTCTGATGCAGATACTGCACCCAGTTTTAAAAAAGGCTTATTACTAAATAAACTAGTGAAGTTAACAACTGAAGGAGTAATAGTATGAATGCTGGATTCAGAAGTCAAACTTGGCTTTTTTCCAAGGGAAGAGCTTATTCTTGGAATATCTATATGGGTAGTTTTTGAATCATTTACCTCTTTATCAATCCCTTTACATTCAATACTTATACTATGACCAACTGACCTATGACCAACGTTCAAGTGGGTACTTTCAGAAGTAAACTGGTTCTTTCCAACAGATTCAGAAATTTCTTCGATTAGTTCTGTAGTAGAACTTAAAAGTAATGGATTAGGAGCCAACTGTGAAGAAGTTTCAGGGGGACTTCTGGTTAAAGGATTAACAGATACAGTAGGTGATGGGGAAGGGAGATTGCTTTCTCCTACTGCACTGAATGGGGATTTAGCGGTAGATACATCAGAAGCACCTCCCATTTTAAAGTCCGGAGAAGTGCAATATACAGGAGGCTGCTTTTCATGCTTTGAGGTTTCATAAGATCCCTTTTCACTGGATGAGAAACTGTCTTGCTGAATGCATGTTCCTTCATTAAACATTTCTTTCTCCAAATTAATGATTTCTTTTCGTACTGAGAACTTTTCCAATATGCTTTCTTTATTCTGCCGTACAACATTCTTTTCAAAAGTTTTGCTGGTGGCACTATCTTTCAGGGATTCAGAAAGTTCCTGACTTTCCTGATTATTGATGTTTGTACTACAAGAAGCCTTAAGCGGTTCCTGAGTGGGGAGCAGTGCTTCGGCTTTAAGGTTTATGGCATCTTTACTGATCAGACCTGCCAAAGGACAACTCATTAGTTTCTTTCCAATGTCCTTATTAACCAATCCCATTGCTGAACTTGCTACAATCTTCTTTGCACAGTCCTTGGCCACTAGGCCAACAGTAGAACCCAATTTCTTTCCCAAATCTTTATTAACCAGTCCAACCACAGTGCCAAGTCCTAACTTCTTGCCAGACTCTTTATGCACTAAACCTGGAACAATACCAATTCCTAGCTTCTTTCCTGAATCTTTGCTTAGCAGTCCTACTGTAGTGATAGTTCCTGGCTTTTTGCCTAAGTTTTTATTAATGAATACCGCTGTAGTGCCAGTTCCCAGTTTTTTCACAGAGTCCTTATTGACCAATCCTACTGCTGCATTAAACACTGGCTTTTTCCCAGGATCTTTAGTTACCAATCCAACTGCTGTGCTGATGGTTGGCTTTTTTATTAAGTCCTTATGTATTATTCCAGCTACAGAGCCAACACCTGCTTTCCTGATCAAATCCTTGCTAACCAATCCTGCTGTAGTGCCAGTTCCTAACTTCTTCGGTTTTGTCTTGGAAGACTTGGAAGGAGGACAGGTAGCAATCAGCTGTGCCAACTTTTCTGTTACACTAGTTCCTCCATTAAGTAATGCTCTGTCCTTTAAATCAGGATCCCGGCTACCAAGAAGAGTAGATGGCGTTGCATTAATATAATCTGCCATTTCTGAGTGTACTGGAGACAGCTTCTTAGACAAAGGATTGTTTTCTCCCTGTGAATGAAGACGGATGACTTCTTCAGACTGGCATTCAATGGCTGCAACATCATCTGCTTTCTTGTACAACTTTGAAGGGTCCTAAAATTTGAACAAGAAAAAAGTTAAAGAGGGAGTAAACCTTACACCACTTTAGCTTAGCTTAACAATCCAACAAACTAATGGATCACATATCAGATAAACAATAGGCAACAGTGGTTTTTAAAAAACCTAATATTATACTTATGTCACAGTATGTTAGCTCATCTGCTGCTATACGAGAGGCTATCATGGTATATTATCTTTGTTGACTTTCAACACGATAAAACTATACATTAGAGGGTCTTTAGAAATATCCCTGATATTTTTGACATTTTTTAAATGGCAAATCAATAGTCTACTTTCATCTTACTTTTGACTGGGTAAATATAAATGAAGCATATGAAGTTACCATTTTTGAAAAGAAAATTATTTTTAGTTACAGTATCCTATGGTCGTCATCTAAAATAATAGTTTACTGCCTACCTCCTTCATTGACTTAAATGATTCTAAACCTATAGAAGACAATCCCTAACCTACTTCTACTCTTTTATAACTCATTCTCAATTATGGTCTTGAGTGAGCAGTAGAGCTCTCTCTTAATGTGGAATAGGAAAGACAATTTAAAAATTCATATTTTCATCAGAATGTGTTTTTATATAAAATCTTAGAATGGGAAGTAACATTTAAGTCATTTACCGTAAAATGCTAATTCATGAATCCTCACTATATACTCTAGAAATGAATTCACTACTTCACACAATAGTCTGTTTTACTTTTGGATAACCACTAAAGAGTTCTTCCTAAATATAAAATACTCAGAACTGAACAAATGTAAAGTTATACTGTGTTTGTGGATAGGAAGACATAAAGACGACAATTTTCCCTAAGCAAATTTATAAATTTAATGCAATCTCAATAAAAATACCAACAGATTTCTTTGGCATTTAGAAAAATTGATTGTGATGTTCAATGGGGAAAATAGATATGCAAGAATAGCTAGAAAAACCTAAAATGTAGAAAAGCCAGGGAATAACCATACCAAATATCATTTTTCAAAGCCCCAATCATTGAAACAGTACAGAAGTGACAAATGAAAAGACAAACAAACCAATGAAACAGGACAGAAAACATAAAACCAAATTCAAGCACGTATGAAAATGTACTGCATGGAAAACGCTACAATCTAGTTATAAACTAGAAAAATTCCATATGCATTTAACTACATCCTTTGACCCAGAAATCCTACTTTGAGGGTCTACCCAAGATACACTCTTAAAAATATAATGTCTGCACAAGGGTCCAAAATGCACCACTATTTTAATATAAAAAAAAAAAACCCTAAAAAAATCCAAACAATTATCTACAGAAAACTGGCTGAATAAAGTAAGGTACATCTGTACAATGGAATATTGAGAAATTGTCAACAAAAACAAAAGTAGGAGGAGTAGGAAGAGATATCAATATAGTGCTATGGAGTGATTTCCAGGATATATTATTAAATGAAAAAAAGCAAGGTTGAGAACAATGGTTATAATATGCTATGCTATGCTATGCCTTATACATATAATATACCTTCTGTATAAGAAAATGGGGATGAAGAATATGAATATATATATGCCTACCGATTATATTTTAAAATGGAATGAACCAAAGATTAGCGAAAATAGTGACTTATGGGAAAGTAAACAGGGTTAGAAACTAGACCCCTATGCATCTAACTTTATGGTTTTCAGTTTGGAAGTGTTTTACATAGTTATGAAACAAAGTTATATATAATAAAGGAAAGCATCCCAGATCTCCAAATATTAAAAGCAATAGGCCGGGCATGGTGGCTCACGCCTGTAATCCCAGCACTTTGGGAGGCTGAGGTGGGCAGATCGCCTGAGGTCAGGAGTTCGAGACCAGCTTGGCCAACATGGTGAAACCCCATCTCTACTAAAAATACAAAAATTAGCTGGGGCTGGTGGCACGTGCCTGTTATCTCAGCTACCGGGAGGCTGAGGCAGGAGAATCGCTTGAACCTGGGAGGCAGAGGTTGCAGTGAGCCGAGATTGCGCCACTGCACTCTAGCCTGGGCGAAAGAGCAAGACTCTGTCTCAAAAACAAACAAAAAAGAAATTCATCTATTCAATATATAGAAAATTAGTTATATAAGTATATGAAAAGTAATTATTTTGAATTACTATAAAACACAATATTGAGAATCTACATCCTAAATCTCAAAACATTACCCAAAAAACAAACAAACAAGCAAGCCAGCCAGGCGCAGTGGCTCATGCCTGTAATCCCACCACTTTTGGAGGCCGAGGTGGGCAGATCACCTGAGGTCAGGAGTTTGAGACCAGCCTGGCCAACATGGTGAAACCCCATCTCTACTAAAACTACAAATATCAGCCGGACGTGGTGGCGGGCGCCTGTAATCCCAGCTACTTGGGAGGCTAAGGTATGAGAATTGCTTGAACCTGGGAGGGGGAGGTTGCAGTGAGCCAAGATCGTACCACTGCACTTTAGCCTAGGTGACAGAGTGATGCTCTGTCTCAAAAAAAAAAAAAAACAAAAACAAAAACAAAAACAAAAACCAACCAACCACCCGGTGCAGTGGCTCATGCCTGTAATCCCAGCACTTTGTGAGGCCAAGACGGGTGGATCACCTGAGGTCAGGAGTTTGAGAGCAGTCGAACATGGTGAAACCCCATCTCTGGTAAAAATACAAAAAATTAGCTGGGCATGGTGGCGCATGCCTGTAGTCCCAGCTACTCAGCAGGCTGAAGCAGGAGAATCACTTGAACCTGGGACGGGGAGGTTGCAGTGAGCCAAGATAGCACCACTGTACTCCAGCCTGGGCGAAAGAGCGAGATTCCGTCTCAAAAAAAAAAAAAAACCCAAAACCAAATACCAAAGAACCTCTACCTCTCTATTTTTTATTTTTATTTTTATTTTTTTTTAAGAGATGGGGTCTTGCTCTGTCACCCAGGCTGGAGTGCAATGGCATAGTCATAGCTCACTGCAGCCTTGAATGCCTGGGCTTAAGCCATCCTCCCCCCGCTCAGCCTTCTGAGTAGTTGGGCTAACAGGCACAAGCCATCTTGCCCAGCAAAAGAAAGTGGTAAATTGCCCTCAGTGAGCATATTACTGGTAATACATATAGTAATTTTGAATTTAGACAGATAGATGACTAACAGATACATAGATAAAATAGGTAACCATGTGAATATCACTAGGAACCAAAATGTTAGAAGCAAAAAACGTACAACTATAAAATCAAAGAAGTAAAAGGCTATACTTTTAAGATAGAATTAAAAATATATGAAGTCTATCTACCTCTCTATCCATTAAAATGCCTACAAACATCGACAACCCATTAGCAATGAACACCTCAAGACCGTGGTCTCTAAAACCATTTCCCATTAAAATGAATCAGGGCTCCTGCAGAAATGACTGTTTCCAAATATTAGACAAGAAATATAAAAGATGATCCTAGTGACAGGTATCTAACTCTAGTATCTTCACTTTGAACTAGTCACTATGTTTTTGTATTAAATTTCCCATAATGAAATGTGTCTATTGAAAAAAAAAAAAAAGTTCTTCCTAAGAGTAAAGTGAAATATATTTTTTTGCAACTTTCAGTTACTGGTCCAAGTCTCACTTTCTAAAAATCACAGAGTAAGTCTAATTCCTCTTCTTCCCAATGGCTGTCAGACATTTGAACTCAACCAAAATATTTAACTTCCTGACTCAACAGTTTCACTTCTTTCTGGTCATTTTCTGATGCAAGTGTTTTAAGTTTGTAAATATCCCTCTTTACATGTGGCACCTTTAAATGAACACAATACATGTGGTACTTGATTGACTCAGAATAAAGGGAACTATCTCTTCTTTTGGACTGGACCTTATAATTTTGCCCAAGGGCAAACTGGCTTTGACAGTCTCATATACTCAGACTTATGTTAACTTGAAAATTAAATAAACCCCACACACTTTCTTCACATTATATTAAAGAATCCCGGGGAGGTGGGGAAGGTTAATGGGTACCAAAAATAAAAAAAAAAAAATAGAAAGAATGAATAAATAAGACCTACTGTTGACAGCACAACAGTGTGACTATAGTCAATAATCATTTAATTGTACATTTTGAAATAACTAAAAGAGTATAACTAGATGGTGTGCAACACAAAGGATAAATGCTTGAGGGGATGAATACCTCATTCTCTATGATGTGATTATTACACACTGCATGCCTGTATCAAAACATCTCATGTATCCCATAAATACACTATGTATCCACAAAAATTAAAAATGAAAAAACAATTCCCATTCATTACTTTTATACTTTTAAAAACAAATATTAAGCAGTTTGTTTTAAATATTTTTAAACATATTTATGCCTGAAAATGACACTTCCAATTTTAAAACTTATCCTTAAAAATGTGAACTATGATTACACGCAATACCATGTATTACAGTTTAAAAAAAAAAAAAGAAAAAAAAAGCTCTGGCTGGGCACAGTGGCTCACGCCTGTAATCCCAGCACTTTGGGAGGCTGATGCGGGCAGATCACTCAAAGTCAGGAGTTCAAGACCAGACTGACCAACAGGGAGAAACCCCGTCTGAAATGAAAATACAAAATTAGCCGGGTGTGGTAGCACATGCCTGTAATCCCAGCTACTCGGAAGGCTGAGGCAGGATAATCGCTTGAACCCAGGAGGCGGAGGTTGCAGTGAGCTGAGATCATGCCATTGCAGTCCAGCCAGGGCAACAAGGATGAAACTCCACCTCAAAAGCAAACAAACATACAAAAAGCCTCACGAACAACACTGAATTAATGGAGCCAGAAAAACAGAGTACCTATTCTGACTTCATTTATATAAAGACCACAAAGAGGAAAAATTTATTATGATATTAAAAATAAAAAAAATTATTACTCATGGTAAGGACAGTAATGAGAAAGAAGCCCAAGGGGTTCTTACTGGGTGCTAGCAATGTCATACTACTTTTTTATTTTTTTTAAGACAGGGTCTCACTCTGTGGCCCAGGCTGGAGTGCAGTGACCTGATTCTAACTTTGAACTTCTAAGCTTAAGTGATCCTCCCACCTCAGCCTCCCAAGTCTGGGACTGCAGGCACAAGCCACCATGTCTGGCTAATTTTTTTGTGTTGTTTTTTGTTTTTTGGTTTTTTTGTAGAGATGAGGTCTTGCTTTGTTGCCCAGGCTAATCTCGAACTCCGGGGCTCAAGTGATTTTCCCTCAGCTTCCCAAAGTGCTGGGATTACAGGGGTGAGCCACCGCACCTGGCAAACACATTTCTTAATCTGAATGTTGGTTGTCCCATATGGCTGAGTTCATGAAAATTCGCTGAGCTGTTACATTTATGATGGGTATTTTTCTATATGTATGTTATACTTAAATAGGAAGTTATTTTTTAAATTCTGTCTAAAAGTAAAGTAGAAACATATTCAGCTTCCTTAATTGGCTAATGAATGTGTTCAAGCCTGGTTTTTCACTTTTTTTTTTTTTTTGAAATGGAGTCTTGCCCTGTTGCCCAAGCAGGAGCGCAGTGGCGCCATCTCGGCTCACTGCAACCTCCGCCTCCCGGGTCCAAGCAATTCTCTGCCTCAGCCTCCTGAGTAGCTGGGATTACAGGAGCCCGCCAGCAGGCCCAGCTAATTTTTGAATTTTTAGTAAAGACGGGGTTTCACCATCTTGGCCAGGCTGGTCTTGAACTCCTGACCTCGTGATCCACCCGCCTCAGCCTCCCAAAGTGCTGGGATTACAGGCATGAGCCATTGTGCCTGGCCTGGTTTTTCACTTTTACCTGAAATAAATATCTGAGAGAAATTAAAAGCAGTTTAAAACAGAGTTCATATCCCACAGTAAATGGTCTATGACTAAATAAGGCACACAGATAATTTGATGTTGGTTTCAAAAATCTTTTCTTCCAAATCCTGATACTATATAAAATAAATGAATGAGACAACATTAAGATTTTGAAGCCGGGTACGGTGGCTCATGCCTGTAATCCCGGCACTTTGGGAGGCCGAGGTGGGCAGATCACGAGGTCAGGAGAGTGAGACCATCCTGGCCAACATGGTGAAACTCGCCTATACTAAAAATACAAAAAAAAAAAAAAAAAAAAAATTAGCAGGGTGGCGCATGCCTGTGGTCCCAGCTACTCAAGAGGCTGAGGCAGGAGAATCACTTGAACCCAGGAGGCGGAGGATGCAGTGAGCCGAGATCACACCACTGTACTCCAGCCTGGGCAACAGAGCAAGACTCTGTCACAAAAAAAAAAAAAAAAAAAAAAAAAAAAAGATTTTGAAAACTGTATTTGGTACTGATGATATTATCCTCTTACACTTGTAAGAACACTTTAAAATGACTGATAAGAGTTATCACTTTAAGAGAGCATATTATCAATTAGGCACTGAAAAAGATGCTGTATTAAAACATGATATTAAGCATGTAATTTTTTCCAACAGAAAAATAGCTTTAGTCCACATATAAAATACTCTCATTTAAAAAAAAGAACCAAAGTATAAATAATACCTTTCATGAATAAAGACTTTACATTTCAGATATTTTACCATATACATCAAAATAAACAAGTGTACATTCTTTTATACAAATGGAGCCAACAATGCTTGCTGTTTTGTAGCCCATTTGCTTTAAATGATATGACACCTTTATGTGTAAATAAGAGTTAGATGTTAAATTCAACAGTTTCACAATAGTTCATAATTCATAAAATCAACCACCTACTGACTGTAATTAAATAGTTTCTGGCTTTTTGTTACTATAAATAATATGTGGGCGCGGTGGCTCACACCTGTAATCCTAGCACTTTGGGAGGCCGAGGAGGGCAGAACATCAGGTCAGGAGTTTGAGACCAGCCTGATCAATATGGTGAAAACACCATCTCTACTAAAAATACAAAAAAATTAGCTGGGTGTGGTGGTGCGCACCTGTAATCCTAGCTACTCAGGAGGCTGAGGCAGGACAATCACTAGAACTCGGGAGGCAGAGGTTGCAGTGAGCCGAGATTGTGTCACTGTACTCCAGCCTGGGAGACAGACCGAGGCTCTGTCTCAAAAAAAAAAAAAAGGGCTGGGCACGGTGGCTCACACCTGTAATCCCAGCACTTTGTGAGGCCAAGGCAGGTGGATCACGAGGTCAGGAGATCAAGACCACAGTGAAACCCCGTCTTTACGAAAAATACAAAAAATTAGACGGGCATGGTGGCGGGTGCCTGTAGTCCCAGCTACTCGGGAGGCTGAGGCAGGAGAATGGTGTGAACCTGGGAGGCGGAGCTTGCGGTGAGCTGACATTGCACCACTGCACTCCAGCCTGGGCAACAGAGGGAGACACTGTCTCAAAAAAAATAAATAAATAAATGGGGAGACACTGTCTCAAAATAAATAAATAAATAAATAAATAAATAAATAAATAAATAACAATATGGTAAACATCCAATTGCATTTTTCTTTCCATACTTGTTCAATTACTTCCTTCAGGTAAATTTTTAAAGGTGAAAGTACAAAGCTGAAGGGCATATGCATTAGTTACACACTAGACAATGACATGTAAGACTTTTTTTTTTTTTGAGACGGAGTCTCGCTCTGTTGCCCAGGGTGGAGTGCAGTGGTGCCATCTCGGCTCACTGCAAACTCCGCCTCCCAGGTTCACACCACTCTCCTGCCTCAGCCTCCCAAGTAGCTGGGACTACGCCCGCCACCATGCCCGGCTGATTTTTTGTATTTTTAGTAGATATGGGGTTTCACCGTGTTAGCCAGGATGGTCTCGATCTCCTGACCTTGTGATCTGCCCACCTCGGCCTCCCAAAGTGCTGGGATTACAGGTGTGAGCCACCATGCCCGGCCAAAAAAGACTTTTTATTTCCAATTGTCAGTATGTAAGATGTCACAACCTTATATAAAGACATCCAGGGTTGGGCGTGGTGGCTCATGCCTGTAATCCTTGCACTTTGGAAGGCCAAGGTGGGTGGATAATTTGAGGTCAGGAGTTCCAGACCAGCTTGGCCAACATGGTGAAACCCCATCTCTACTAAAAATACAAAAAAAAAAAATCCAGCTGGAAGTGGCAGCACATACCTGTAATCCCAGCTTCTGAGGTAGGCTGAGGCAGAATTGCTTGAACCCAGGAGACGGAGATTGCAGTGAGCAAAGATCGCACCACGGCACTCCAGTATGGGCTACACAGCCAGACTACGTCACACACACACACACACACACACACACACATACACACACACTCTCTCTCTCTCTTTTTCTGGCCAGGCCTCGTGGCTCACACCTGTAATCCCAACACTTTGGGAAGCTGAGGCAGGAGGATTACTTGAACCTAAGAGTTTGAGACTACCCTGTGCAACACAGGGAGACCCCCTTCTCTACAAAAAATAAATCTCCAAAATTAGCTGGGCACAGTGGTGCATGCCTGTAGTTTCAGGTACATGGGAGGCTGAAGTGGAGAATGGCTTGAGCCAGGAGGTCAAGGCTGCAGTGAGCCATGAGCCATGATCACACCACTGCACTCTAACCTGGGAGACAGGGTGAGACCCTGATTCCAAAAAAAAAAAAAAAAAAAAAAAAAAAAAAAAAAAAAAAAAAAAAAGACTTCCTATTGCATTTGTTTATATTTGACTTATCTATTATTCTAAACGTCTTTTCACATGATTTTGCTGGCCATCTGTATTTCTCCTGCAGTGAAAAGCTGTTCAAGATCCTGGTCCATATTTTTCTAAATTGTGGAGGTCATTTCTAATTTAGATGGGCCCTTAATATAATACTTCTTTCTCACATGTTGCACATTTTTCCCAATTTACCAGCTCTCTTTCACCTACTATTCTTCTTGAAGTTAAAATCTTAAACAAAAGGTTTTAAAAATTTTTATTAAAAAGTGAAAGGCCCAGGCTGGTCTTGAACGCCTGGCCTCAAGCAATCTCCTGCCTCAGCCTCCCAAAGTGCTAGGACTACAGGTATGAGCCACTGTGCCTGGCCAAAATCTTTTATGTATTCAAATACTTATGAAAAACTGTACTAATTACCTCACATATTCCTTACAACCACCATATAGTGAAATTACTATAACTATCCTCATTTAAAAGATTAAAGAGTGGTTTAGACATTGGCTAACTTGCTCAAGGTCACTTAACCAGTAAATGATTAAGAAATAATTTAAACATAGTCTGATTTCATAACTAAAGTGCTTAATCACTGCATTAAATAAAATAGTCTCTTTAACTTTATAGGTTTGTTTTGGGGTTTTTTCTCTCTCTCATTTTTTTGAGACTGAGTTTAGCTCTATCACCCAGGCTGGAGTGCAGTGGCTCAACCTCGGCTCACTGCAACCTCCGTCTCCTGGGTTCAAGCAATTCTTGTGCCTCAGCCTCCCAAGTAGCTAGCTGGTTTACAGGGACCCACCACCACGTCTGGCTGATTTTTATATTTTTAGTAGAGATGGAGTCTCACCATGTTGGCCAGGCTGGTCTCGAACTCTGGACCTCAAGCGATCCACTCACCTCAGCCTCTCAATGTGCTGGGATTACAGGCGTGAGTCACCGTACCCAGCTCTCTTTTTTTCATTCATGAAAAAATATATTCCAGCCTAAGGTGGAATATAGTTTTGTTTACTTTTTTTTTTTTTTTTTTTTGATGGAGTTTCACTCTTGTTGCCCAGGCTAAGAGTGCAATGGTGCAATCTTGGCTCACCGCAACCTCTGCCTCCCAGGTTGAAGTGATTCTCCTGCCTCAGCCTCCCGAGTCGCTGGGATTACAGGCATGTGCCACTGCACATGCACAGAATGCCTGGCTAATTCTGTATTTTTGGTAGAGACAGGGTTTCTCCACATTGGTCAGGCTGGTCTCGAACTCCCAACCTCAGCCGCCAGCCTCGGCCTCCCAAAGTGCTGGGATTACAGGCGTGAGCCACCACGCCCAGTCTTGTTTTCTTATACTTGGAAAAATCATGTCCTTCTAGACGACAATCTTCACTACACTTTCAATTAATTATTTTTCGGTTTCTTTTCGTTTTTCCTTTATTTGCCATGTTAAATTCTAAAAATATAATCTGGGGGTAGGGAAGCAGCCTTTATTCCAAAAGGTTTGCTCATTGTTCTAAGAACATTGCTCATTGTTCTAAGAACATTACTCATTTCATGCCCATTGATTATTTATAATTAATGTAATGTAATAACATACTTATTACATATTCTTATTCGTATTTGGATCTTACTCTAAATTCCTAAGGTTTTGTTTCATTCATATTTATGATTATTATTGTGCCACTAATATATGGATATTATAACTTCATAATAACGTTTGAATATTTGAAAACAAGTAGGTTTTTTTTTTTTCTTGTATTCCTATAGAAATTCTCTATTTTATTTACAACATTACTGAGATTTAACTCACATGCCATAAAATTCACCTTGTTTTTGTTTGAGACAAGGCCCGGTTCTGTTGCCCAGGCTAGAGTGCAGTGTCAATCTCAGCTTGCCACAACTTTTGCCCCCCCAAGCTCTAGCCAACATCCCACCTCAGCCTCTCAAGTAGCTGGGATCACAGGAATGCAACACCATGCCTGGCTAATTTTTTCTAGAGATAAGACACTCACTTTGTTGCCCAGGCTGGTCTCGAACTCCTGAGCTCAAGTGATCTGGCTACCTCAGCCTCCCAAAGTGTTGGAATTACAAGCATGTGCCACTGCACCCAACCAAATTCACCCTTTTAAAGTGCACAATTCAGTGGGTTTTTTTTAACTATAGTTACAGAATTGTGCAAATATCACCACTACTTTAATAACCTTTTCATCGGACTGTTTTTCCATACGTATACTTCCTCACAAACTTGAGATATGATTGAAGTTTTTAAAAAACCTCACATGGCTTTAACTTTGTATCTTAATGTAGAAAAACATATCTCAACATTAACTTTAGCTCTACAATAACAAAGTAAATGTATTTAGTCAAGCTTTTTCGTGTTTCTGGGTATTTATATCTATATAAATCCTAAACATGTGCTGTTAAATATATTTCTAAGTATTTCATAGATTCTGCTGTTTCTTTTATTAATAAATTCTTCTTGCTGTTACAGAATACTTTCTAACTATAACTGATAGTATTCAAGAACACTTGATTTCATTTTATAATATTAAATTCTTGCTTCATCAATAATTCATTTTTCAGGGGGGGCATGGCGGTTCACGCCTGTAATCCCAACACTTTGGGAGGCTGAGGCAGGAGGATCACCTGAGGTTGGGAGTTCAAGACCAGCCTAGCCAACATGGTGAAACCCCATCTCTACTAAAAATACAAAAAAAAAAATTAGCTGGGTGTGGCAGTGTGTGCCTGTAATCCCAGCTACTTGGCAGGCTGAGGCGGAAGAATAGCTTGAACCAGGGAGGCAGAGGTTGCAGTGAGCTGAGATCGTGCCACTGCACTCCAGCCTGGGGGATAGAGCAAGACTCCATCTCAAAAAAAAATTTTTTTTTCATTTTTTCAGCAAGTATTTACTAAGTACCTACTATTGAGCACTGAGGATAACAGCAGTTAAAAAAAAATCCAAAAACATCTTCCTCCATGGAGATGTCATTGTAATGCATGAGCAAAGTAGAGAAAATAAGTAAAATATTTGGTATATCAGATGATAAAATGCACTATGGAGAAAATCAGAGCATGGAGGAATTGAAAAGGCCAGGGATGGAAAGAATTTACAATGTTAAAACGGGCTGTCGGAAAGTTCTGATTGAAAACTCAATTGTGCAGAAATGAAAAGGAGGTGAAAGACAAAGATGGATCCATGTAGGTATGTGGGAAAAAACAGGAACCAAGAAAGCAAAGGCCCTGAGCCAGGAGCTTGTCTGTTTAAAGAACAATAAAGAATCCATGTTTGCAGTACTAGAGTAAGCAAGAGAAGAGTAATGTTGCAGGTGGTAGGAAAATGGACATTTTTCAGTCCAAGAAAGAGGAAGCCATTCGAAGATTTTATGAAGAGGTATATGACTTGACCATTCATTCAACAATATTTATGGGTACTTACTGTTGTGGATATGTCAAGGAAAAGACAGACAATTGCAGAGAGGACAGTAAAGAAAAAACACAAAAAACTTTTAAAGATTATTATTTGTTAGAAGGTGGCAAGTGTTAGGGGATAAACAGCAAGTGAATACTAGGAGAGGGCTTGCAAAATTAATTAGGCAATTAGGTTATGCTGCGATGATCAGCTAACATTTTAGTAACGACAGAAGTGAGGAAATTATTAACTCACTTAGAGGAAGACTGAAAATGATGATCAGGAGTTTAGTTTGAGACATGTTAAAATTGAAATACTTACTAAACATCAAAGTAGAGAAGCCTAAGAAGAAAGATTCAAATTTAGAAGTCAACAGCATATTGACATTTAAAAGCTTGAGACTGGACATAACCGAGTGAGGGTGAATGTAAACCGAACAGTAAACTAAGGACTGATAACACCAAGGTATTGTAACATTAAAGATCATGAAGATTGAGAAGCCAGAAAAGAATAAGGAAAAAGAGAGAGAGAGAGAGAGAGAGAATGAATGTGTGGTATCTTGGAACCCAAATGAAGCACATATTTCCAGGAGCGACAAATGCTGCTGACAAGTCAAGTAGAAATGAGAACATACATTTGTTTGTTGGATTGGAGTCACTGGTAATCATGCAACAGCAGTTCCTTTATTAAGGAGCAAAAACCTGGTTGAAATGGGTTTGAAAGAGAATGGAAAGAGAAATCTAAAAAGTAAGTAAAGAATAGCAAGGGAAACAGTGAAGTGGGGTGACAGCTAGATGATGAAGTAGAATCAAAGTACGGTGTGTGTTACCTAACAATGGGGATAAATTCTAAGAAATGTCTCTAAGAAATGTGATTTTTGTCATTGTATGATCATAGTGTGTAATTACACAAATCTAGATGATATAGCCTGCCACACACCTAAGCTGTATAGAATAACCTATTGCTCCTAGGCTACTAACCTGTACAGCGTGGTACTGTACTGAACACTATAGGCCACTGCAAAAAAAATAGGATTTTTGTATATAAACATAGAAAAGGTACAGTAAAAATATGGTATAAAAGATAAAAATCTACTTATAGAAAATATAAGTACACCTGTATAGGGTACTTATCATGAATGGAGCTTGCAAGACTGTACGACACTCTGGGAAAGTCAGTGAATGCTCAGTGACTGTGAAGGGCTAGGACATTACTGTACACTACTGTTGACTTTATAAACACTGAACACTTAAGCTACATTAAATTTTTAAAAATTTCCCTTCGTCAATAATAAATTCATCTGGCTGGGCACAGCAGCTCAACGCCTGTAATCCCAGTACTTTGGGAGGCTGAGGCCAGCGGATCACTTGAGGTCAGGAGTTTGAGACCAGCCTGGACAACATGGCAAAACTGTGTTTCTACTAAAAATACAAAAATTAGCTGGTCATGGTGGCAGGAGCCTGTAATCTCAGCTACTCGGGAGGCTGAGGCAGGAGAATTACTTGAACCCAGGAGGCGGAGGCTGCAGTGAGCCGAGATCGTGCTATTGCACTCCAGCCTGGGCAACAAGAGCAAGACTGTCTCAATTAAAAAAAAATAAATAAATAAAACAAAACAAATTAACCTTAGCTTCCTTTTTTACTTTATTACCTTTTACATTTTTTTACTTTCTGACTCTTTTGTAGTAACAGCTTAAAATGCAAATATAACATACAGCTGTACAAAATCTTTTCTTTGTATCTTTACAATTATTTATTTAAAAATTTTTAAATTTGTTTTTACCTTTTCAACTTTTTTGTTAAAAACTAAAACACAAACAAACATTAGCTTAAGTCTACACAGGGTCAGGATCATCAAGACATCATTAGGTGACAGGAATTTTTCAGCTCCATTATACTCTTATGGGACCACCAAAATGTGATCTGTCATTGATCCAAACATGATTACGCAGCACGCGACTGTAGTTTCTTTTGAATGTGGAAAATGACATCTTTGTCTTCTCAAAGTAAATGTAGCCATAAAAAGAAAAAAGACATGCACTCATGAAGTTTAATATATATGTATGCATGTATATGCGTGTATGGTAATATAAAATCTACTACAGAACTACCGGTTCTAATGGAATTGACTGAATAATTCCATCTTTCATCCTCTGATTTGAAATGCTACACTTCCCATGTACTAAATCCTCACGTATACACGAGTCTACTACTAGTTTTTCTTTTCTTCTTCCTTTTTCTTTTTGAGGTGGAGTCTTGCTCTGTCACATAGGCTGGAGTTCAGTGGCAAGAACGTGGCTCATTGTAGCCTTGACCTCCTGGGCTCAAGCAATCCTTCCACCTCAGCCTCCTGAGTAGCTGGGATCACAAGCATGTGCAATCACGCTTGGCTATTTTTTTTTTTTAATTTTTGTAGAGAGGTGGGGGTCTCACTATGTTGCCCAGGCTGGTCTCAAACTCCCGGGCTCGGGCAATTCTCCCGTCACAACCTCCCAAAGTGCTGAGATTACAGGTGTAAGCCACCCCACCCAGCCAATTATTAGATTTTCTATTCGGCGTCAGTGATTTTCCGTCTGCCAGTCCACCACAACCACAATATTCTAACCCTTTTAATTTCTGTTTTATTATCTAATAAGCCTGATTTCTAGTTACTGTTCTTTTCAGAAAAGTTGTGGCTACTCTTGCTTATTTTTCCATACAAACCTTACAAGTAACTTATCTAGTGCCAATTTGATTTGTTTAAAATTTTGATTCTTAAACTTGCAGACACCCAGAAGAAGTGAAAGCAGGAACTGGAACAGGTATTTGTAAATCCATGTTCATGGAAGCATTAGTTAGTCACAACAGCCAAAAGCAGGCTGCTTCACAGTTCATCAATGGATGAATAAATGAAATATGGTATATACAACTGATTCTTGAACAACAAAAGTTTGAACTGTGCAGGCTTCATAGCATATGGAGATTTTCTTCCACCTCTGCTACCCCTTAGACAGCAAGACCAACCCCTACTCTTCCTCCTTGGCCTATTCAAAATGAAGACGATAAGGATGACAACCTTATCAACTTCAACTTAACGAACAGTGTAAATATTTCATTTTCTATTCTCTTACTTTAAGAATATAGTACATAATACATATAACATTAAATATGTGTTAACAGGCTATGTTATCGTTAAGGCTTCTGGTCAACAGTAGACTATTAGCAGTTACGTTCTGGGGGAGTCAAAAGTTATACTTGGATTTTCAACTGTGTGTGGAGTTGGTGCCCATAACTTCAGCATTGTTAAAGGGTCAAATGTACACACAATGGAATATTATTCAGCCATAAAAGAAGAAAATTCTTTTTTTTTTTTTTTGAGACGGAGTCTCACTCTGTCGCTCAGGCTGGAAGTGCCGTGGCACGATCTCGGCTCACTGCAAGTTCCGCCTCCCGGGTTCATGCCATTCTCCTGCCTCAGCCTCCTGAGTAGCTGGGACTACAGGCGCCTGCCACCAGGCATGGCTAATTTTTTTTTGTATTTTTAGTAGAGACAGGGTTTCACCGTGTTAGCCAGGATGGTCTCGATCTCCTGACCTTGAGATCCACCCGCCTCGGCCTCCCAAAGTGCTGGGGTTACAGGCGTGAGCCACCACGCCCGGCCAAAAGAAAATTCTAACGAATGCTAAAACATGGATAAACTTTAAAGATACTATGCTAAGTGAAACAAGCCAGTCACCAGCAGACAAATATTGCATGATTCCACTTACATATGAGGTAACCAGAACAGTCAAATTCATAAAGACAGAAAACAGAATAGTGGTTGCCAGGGGCTTCTAGGAGGGGTAACAGGGGAGTCACTGTTCAATAGATACACAATTTCAGTTGCAGAAGATTAAAAAAAAACTGTAGAGAAGAACGGATGGTGAGGGCTGCAAAACAATGTAAATGTACTTAATGTTACCTCAGCCTCCTGAGAAGACGGGACTACAGGCACACACCACCATGCATGGCTAGTTTTTTTGGTTTTTGTTTGTTCATTTTTTTGTTTTGTTTTGTTTTTTGTATTTTGAGACAGAGTTTCGCTTTTGTTGCCCAGGCTGGAGTGCAATGGCATTATCTCGGCTCACCGCAACCTCTGCCTCCCGGGTTCAAGCGATTCTCCTCCCTCAGCCTTCCAAGTAGCTGGGATTACAGGTGTGTGCCACCACGCCTGGCTAATTTTGTAGTTTTAGTCGAGATGGGGTTTCTCCATGTTGGTCAGGCTGGTCTTGAACTCCCGAACTCAGGTAATCTGCCTGCCTCAGCCTCCCAAAGTGCTGGGATTACAGGCATAAGCCACTGTGCCTGACCAGCCGGCTAGTTTTTAAAAATGTTTTGTAGAGACAGGGTCTCTCTATGTTGCCCAGGCTGGTCTTGAACTCCTTGGCATCAGCCACTGCGCCTGGCCCAGAAAACACTTTCAAGAAAAGTACGCTTCAGTTTGTGGCATATAATCAAAAGAGAACCAAAACATCTGAGAACAGGAGTAAAAAAAAAAAAAAAAAGCCAAAAAGAAATATTAAAGAAAATTAAACATATAGGTCAAGAATGCATTTTAATAGAAAGTCACCAAATATTTTCTTTTCAAAAGCAGACCACAATGGGCTTTTCTTAAATTACAAAACCATTAGATGCTGAACTTGAATTTTATATTCCACACTGAAGCCCCAAATTCTATCCTCATTATATGGCCCTCATAGGATCAAGAGTAAGCCAAAACATGTTACTAGCATAATTTCTTAAATAAATTATGATAAAATAATGGCAATACTAATATAGAAATCATCATGTGATGTAAACTTCCACCACCCAAGAAGTTCTTCTTGCTATATAATTTAAGGAATAGACATAAGGTGTCAATTTGTCCCAGTGGCAGAGGACAAAGTCTTCAGGGTCTTTTTAACACCTCTTTTATTCCCAACATGAAAAACCACTGCAAATCTGACTTCATCTATAGTCTTTCTCACAGGATTTCTCCCTATCCCCATCTAACTAGTTACGAAAGAGGTACAATTTTGAACTATGTACTCAGTGATTTTGACTCACAAAGTGAGGTCAGAGAGGAAACTTTTCTTTCATCATTAAGTTTCATCTTGTCTTCCTATTAATGAATTTTCATAAAAGTTCCAGGTTTTGTCATCTTATCATATAGGACCTTTAATTCTGATGTCTCTCAAAAAGCTTTCATTCATTTCCATACAGCTGTAGCTCAGAATTAATTAGTAATGTGTAATTATTGAGCAGCCGTATGTGAGGATCTCTGGAGTGATTTACAATCATTAAAATGAAATCAAAGATATGAGCAGACAACCATAAAAAGCAGTATACGAATTAGTGAGTGAAAGTAATGATATTTAGGCTTAATTCTCTGGGACTAAAGAAGATATACCTTCTAACAATTTGGTTCAATAATGATTTTTTTTTTCCATTAGCAAGATCAACAATGAAATGAGAAACATTCACATTCACCATATATACACCATTAAAACAAACCACAATACAGACTCCAGCAGATATCCTAGCTATGAAAGTGAACTCTTCAATCAGCCAAATGCAGTACTGATTAGGGAAGTTCCTACTACATAATGAAAGCAAGAATTGAGGATGAACCTGATTAAACTAATTACGGTAGTTTTAATCTTCCTGGCACATTTATAGCAGAGGCTGCAGAGCCCAATGGCAGGGATTTGCTTTGCCCTTCCATTTAAGGGAGCTCATGCTTCCGTAATAGAAGTCATTTTGAGAAAAGAGTGACATCCTGTTTTATCTCCAAGGCTTTAGGACAGATCACAGCCCCTTAGCTGTCTATTTTGTGTATGTAAAGGGGGAAGAAAGGTTTTACTGAAATGTAAAGATCCAGGATAATTTGCATAATTGCTGCTGCCATGGAGAAGCTGGGCTCTGTGCCAACTGTTCTCTTCTCTACCATAAAAATACCTCTAGCTTAAGCAGCTTTTAAAGTAAACAATCAAGATGAAGGTAAGACTACAGAATCCATCATAGCAAGACTCAGAGATACCTACATACAATCGGGTCTTCTTGCTTGAATAGCATTTGTCAACAAGAACATGGAAGTGAAAACGCAGCAGTCAAATAATGTAGACATGCATTCTGGACCTCTTCATAAATAGGCATAAGGAAAAAAAAAAGCACTCTGAGATGGCACGCAGCCCATAGGGCACAAGTAAGATGACAGAATGTGCCTATCTTCTCCTATTAACAAGTCCCAAATTCTCTGGTAAGAGCTGAGGAGCCTAGACTGGGCGTGGTGTCTCACACCTGTAATCCCAGAATTTTGGGAGGCCTAGGCGTGCAGATCACTTGAGGCCAGGAGTTTGATACCAAACTGGTCAACATGGCGAAACCCTGTCTCTACTAAAAATACAAAATTAGCCGAACATGGTGGCACATGCCTGTAATCTCAGCTACTCAGGAGACTGAGGCATGAGAATCGCTTGAACCTGGGAGGCAGAGGTTGCAATGAGCTGATATTGCACCACTGCACTCCAGCCTGGGCGACAGAATGAGACTCTGTCTCTAAATAAAAAGAAACTATATTTAAAAAAAAAGAGCTAAGGAGCCTAAACACAAAGAATTGGTTTAAAAAATAAAAACAAAACAAAAGGCAATTGGAAAAACACAATACCCCATAGTATTAATAATAAAATTGTTTGACTTGGGTTCATATGGTACCACCTATTTGGGGTAAGTCATTAAGATGTGTTAAACTCTTTCAAAAGGTGTTTGACATCTAAAAATGTTTTGTCTTTCTTCCTTATTTTTAAAATCAGAAATGGGGTCTTGTTACGTTGCCAAGGATGGATTTAAACTCCTGGCCTCAAGCAATCCTCCTGCCTCAAGTCTTCTGAGTAACTGGGATTACAAGCCTAAGCCACCATGCCCAACTTCAAAATGTTTTCTTAAACTAAGATTACTTTCAGATGTTCCTAATTATTTATTACATATTGTCTCACTCTATCACCTAGGCTGGAGTGCAGTAGCACAATCTCAGCTCACTGCAATCTCCACCTCCCGGTTTCAAGTGATTATCGTACTCCATCCCTCCAAGTAGCTGGGACTACAGGTGGGTGTCACCATTCCTGGCTAATTTTTATATTTTTAGTAGAGACCAGGTTTTGCCATGTTGACTAGGCTGGTCTTGAACTCCTGACCGCGGGTGATCTGCCCACCTTGGCATCCGCAATTTCTTAAAAATAGCAATCTACAGATTGTTTTATTCATTCATTTTTTTGAGACAGAGTCTCGCTCTGTCACCAGGCTGAAGCGCAGTGGCGCAATCTCGGCTCACTGCAACCTCCACCTCCCGGGTTCAAGCGATTCTCCTGCCTCAGCCTCCCAAGTAGCTGAGACTACAGGCACACGCCACCATGCCCAGCTAACTTTTGTATTTTTAGTAGAAACGGGGTTTCACCATGTTGGCCAGGATGGTCTCGATCTATTGACCTCATGATCCGCCTGCCTCAACCTCCCAAAATGCTGGGATTACAGGCATGAGCCACTGCACTCGGCCTAGAGATTGTTTTAAATAGGCATGAAAGTTTTACTATATATTTTTAGCAAATGAGAGAAGAGGAAATATTTGAGTAATACAGTTATGACAGTTTTCTTTTCTTTTCTTTTCTTTTTTTTTTTTTTTTTGAGACAGAGTCTCACACTGTCATCCGGGTTGGAGTGCAATGGCGCGATCTTGGCTCACTGCAACCTCCGCCTCCCGGGTTCAAGCAACTCTTCTGCCTCAGCCTCCCGAGTAGCTGAGATTATAGGCACGCACCACCACACCCAGCTAATTTTTTGTATTTTTAGTAGAAATGGGGTTTCACCATGTTGGCCAGGATAGTCTCGATCTCTTGATCTTGTGATTCGCCCGCCTTGGCCTCCCAAAGTGCTGGGATTACAGGCATGAGCCACCGCGCCCGGCAGATAGTGTATTCAAAAGCAAAATCTTAGGAATAAGGAAATAAATACTCACATTCTCAAGCTATATTTTAAGCACTGAATTTTTGGTAATGATGATGGTATTTGTTTTATGCTTACAGATCTTTTCTTCAGTCTTACTGAACTGTTTTTAAAGCATTTTCTGTGTTGCTCATAAAAAGCACAAACTTAAAAGATCACCCTGACACTGAAGGAGCCAAAGAAATAGAGAAATCAATTAATAATTATTATACAATGTGCTATATGTTAAAAACAGAAATATATGCAATGGAAACACAGAGGATAGAGTAACCTCCTAGAAAGGTTCAGGGAACGTTTCACAGAATTGGGGGATGTCTAAGCTGAGTCTTTCCATTCCCTCATCCTCCTTCCTTTCTCCTTGCACAGTGAAACTTTTTTATCCTTTTTGCTTTTTATTTAGAAATTTAGTGATTAAATTTGCTTTTCTAATTTTTCTCATTTATCTTAGGTAATTTTAGTTATCGAGGTTGAGACAAATAGAATTTTTAAGAGTTACCAAGTATGCTTAGGAGAATTTCCATATTTCATAATTCCTAACCTTCATAATTGCCCTAACCGTTATAATCAACAAACAGCTTAGAAAGAAAGGTTACCAAGCTCCCCTGCCTTGGCTTATAATTTTCAGCATCTGCTTTTGATCTCCTCAGCAATCTTTTGGAGCCCCCAGCCCGTAAAATCAAAGACTAGGCAAGGAACTACACAATAATCACACTCAGTAATTTTGCTAAGAAATGAAAAAGTGAGGCTGAGAAGCAGGTGCCATTTTGTTTCACTGTTTTTACTGTGAGAGTTACTATCAAATCCTACAGAAAGATGTTAGGATCATTTTTGTGCCTTCATATATATCCTCAGATGTTAGTAATTCAATGTAGCTTCACTCAATACAGCTAAAATATTCTAGTGTATCTACCATCTGTGCATTTTTGTCAAAATGCCTTTGTGTACCTCCTAAACTCTGACTTCCTAATATAGTAGAACTTTTTATTGCAAGCTTGTATACTTTGATATGTTTTCCAAAAATAAAAGTAAAATATACATAGTAAATTAGGACTTGGCTGTTAAAAAATAAACACTAGTTCAGTACCTGTTTTGTTTCAAAAGTGAGTTCTGGTTACAATTTCACCTTAATAACATTTCTGACATCTTTGTTGACATTATCTTCTTTTAATAATCAGTATTCTCTCAATTTAGGTCATTGATTTTAGAGAAACTAAAGCATTAGTATGCATAATCCAGATTATAGAAAGATCCGTATTTACATTAAGCAGTTCCAGGGAAGCCACAGTTAATATGTAAACTACCACCCTCTTCCCTGTAAGTCCTTATCCAATCATATATTCCACTTCATCTCTCTATCACCTAGGCTGCAGTACAGTGGCATGAACACAACTTACTGCAGCCTCGACCTCCTGTGCTCAAGTGATCCTCCTGCCTCAGCATCCTGAGTAGCTGGGACAACAGGTGTAAGCCACCATGCCTGGCTAACATTTGTATTTTTTGTACAGGGGGGTTTCACCATGTTGCCAGACTGGTCTTGAACTCCTGAGCTCAAGCCACCCACCCACCCTGGCCTCCCTAAGTGCTAGGATTACAGGTGGGAGCCACCATGTCCAGCCCATAACTCTTGACATAAGGCATCTGCTGGTGCAAAATGACATTCATTTGTAAAGAAAAGGTAAACGTTATTAAGTAGGCCCTGGATGACACCCTCTTATTTTTCAACTGTTTAGTTTGGGATATGGAAAGGTAGGTATTAGACATAAAACATTATTTTCCCTTTCTTCTTGGAAGGTAATTCTTAATTGCTATATTTTTTAGTGGTTAGTTTAAAAAAATATATACACATACGGAGAATCTTCTAACAGATCAGCAACACCCAAGGGTCAAGCTGAGCTTTGCCAGTTGTACCCTGAATCCCCAATATGTGTTACTTCCCTTCCTAATAGTGGCAACTATTAAAAATACGTTGCAACTCACCCTTAAACCTGATCTCTAATGCCACCTGCTGTTGCAGTTCTGTAAGATAAAGAAGCTCTACGAATCTGCCCCAATATTATATAGCTTGACTTTCACTCTCTCATGAAGACCAGGGTAGTTCACTATTAATTATGCACATATTTGTAAAATAAAAGTCAGGTACTTATCTGACTTTGTTAGTATTTACTGGCTGGGCGCGGTGGCTCAGGCCTGTAATCCCAGCACTTTGGGAGGCCAAGGCAGTCGGATCACCTGAGGTCAGGAGTTCAAGACCAGCCTGACCAACATGGTGAAACCGCATCTCTACTAAAAATACAAAAATTAGCCAGGCATGGTGGCACACAACTGTAATCCCAGCTACTCGGGAGGCTGAGGCAGGATAATCTCTTGAACCCAGGAGGCAGAGGTTGCAGTGAGCTGAGATAACACCATTGTCTCCAGCCTGGGCAACCAAGACTGAAACTCCATCTCAAAAAAAAAAAAAAAAAGATTTACCATTACAGCTATAAATGACAGGGCCCCTACTTACCAAAGCAAACCCAAATTTCTGAAACAGAAAAATAGTCCAAAAAAGTGGTTTTATCTTTTAATTTTTCCTCTAAGAGGAATCCTACTACAAAGTAGGACCACAAACTTAAAAACAAACAAACAAACAAAAAACCAAAGAAAAATCCTAAGAAAAAATAAGTATGGTCATGCAATTCTTTTTGTTTTTTTCCACTGCGCCCGGCCTCATTATTTATATTTTCTTACTATTTACCTACAGTAAAGAACTGTCAAATTCTTGTTTTACAGCACAACTGAGAAAACCCTGTGAGACATCCTAAGTGTGCATTTTCCCTTTATTATTTACTTTGTCCCAAAAGCCTTTCTCTTTCCAGCAAATTCTGACAAAGTTGTCAACACCTAATTTTAAGCATGAGCCCTTCTTTGCATATTCTCTTGCTCACCACCTTCTCCAATGATTCTGCGATTCACATATACACTCCGTATGTATTTCTATCATGGCAGTTATCATGTCATAGCACAATTTTTTTTTACAGCACGTGGAAAAACAAATCAAAGAATGTTGTGACTCTGCACTAGAGACTATGGGCAAAGTTAAGTGATATAAAACTGTAACCTCCTTTGTGAAAGTATAAATCAAAATATTAGTCCTTTTGATCAGTTATTTTAAGTATAAAAGGCACACGAAAGATACAAATTTAAGATGAAAATGTTTATTAAGATGACAATGTTTAAAATTATTAATAATGGTTTCGTAACTCTGTATACACTTAACATACTGAATATACTAAAAACACTGAACTGTACATTTTAAAAGGATAAATTTTACAGTATTTGAATTATATCTCAATTTAAAATATATACATTTTATAGAAAACTGGGCTAACTTAAAATAGGGTATAATTTAAAGGAACTATTATTATCTAGAAAACCTAACACACTATTATTATCATTATTTTTTATTATACTTTAAGTTCTAGGGTACATGTGTACAACGTGCAGGTTTGTTACATATGTATACCTGTGCCATGTTGGTGTGCTGCACCCATTAACTCGTCATTTACATTAGGTATATCTCCTAATGCTATCCCTCCCCCCTGCCCCCACCCCACGACAGGCCCCGATGTGTGATGTTTCCCACCCTGTGGCCAAGTGTTTTCATTGTTCAATTCCCACCTATGAGTGAGAACATGCAGTGTTTGGTTTTCTGCCCTTGCAATAGTTTGCTCAGAATGATGGTTTCCAGCTTCATCTATGTCCCTACAAATGACATGAACTCATTCTTTTTTATGGCTGCATAGTATTCCTTGGTGTATATGTTAATACACTATTATTATCTAACAAATACAAAGGAAAAAAATCCAAAACCTAGGTAATGTCATACCAATTTTTTTCCAACAACTCTATTTCAAAATAATTGGAACTTGTTTGCAGCACTTTAAAAACTGCCAGGCAAATAATCTCTACCGAGCAAGAACTAAGGCACTATTATTATCCATTTTTCTTATTTAAGAAACAACATTAGGCTGGGCACGGTGGCTCACGCCTGTAATCCTAGCACTTTGGGAGGCCGAAGTGGGTGGATCACCTGAGGTCAGGAGTTCAAGATTAGCCTGGCCAACATAGCAAAACCCCGTCTCTACTAAAAATACAAAAATTAGCCAGGCATGGTGGCGTGTGCCTGTAGTACCAGCTACCTGGGAGGCTGAGGTGGGAAAACTGCTTGAACCTGGGAGGTGGAGACTGCAGTGTGGCCAAGATTATGCCACTGAACTGCCTGGGCAATGGACCGAGACTCCATCTCAAATAAAAAAAAGAAAAAGAAACATTAATCTACCAGTTATATAGCATTATAAAATTTTAAATTCCAGGACAGGCTTTAAGTCTAATACTTGGATTCATGTGGGTTTTAATAATTCTCAGCCGGGTATGGTGGCTCACACCTGTAATCCTAGCACTTTGAGAGGCTGAGGTAGGAGGATCGTTTGACCCCAGGAGTTCAAGACCAGCCTGGCCAACATAGCCAGACTGTTTCTACAAAAAAGAAAAATATTTAACTTTATCAAATTTTGTTTAAAAAGTAATAATAATTCTCCAAAAAAATCACTTAGGCCAGGCGCAGTGGCTCACGCCTGTAATCCCAGCACTTTGGGAGGCCAAGGCGGGCAGGCCACCTGAGGTCAGGAGTTCGAAATGAGCCTGACCAACATGGAGAAACCCTGTCTATTAAAAATACAAAATTAGCCAGACATGGTGGTGCGTGCCTGCAATGCCAGCTACTCGGGAGGCTGAGGCAGGAGAATCGCTTGAACCCAGGAGGTGGAGGTTGCGGTGTGCCGAGATCGCGCCATGGCACTCCAGCCTGGCCAACAAGAGCGAAACTCCGTCTCAAAAAAAAAAAAAAACGCTTCACTGAAATTCAAAATTATTTCTTCAACGAACTGCTTCTTAAATCTATTAAGATGGCATAGAATTTTCTTTTCTAAACAGAAAACCATTTTTGGACTGGAAATTATAATTATGGCTATAAATTTTACTTGTAATTCATTGTGCTCATGAAATCCACTCATCTAGACTAAAGTAACATCAAATAAACTATCCAATGACAAAAATGTTAGTCAACAAAGCACCAAATTTCAATGCTATTTGACTAATACGTAATCTGCTCATCATAATCATGAGACATGGTATAATGATATGACCAAATGCAGTGGCTCACGCCTGTAATCCCAGTATGTTGGGAGGACAAGGCAGGAGGATCGATTCAGCACAGGAGTTCGAGAACAGCCTGGGCAACACAACAAGACACTGTCTCTATAAAAAATAAAATAAAATTAGCCAAGTGCGGTGGCACACACCTGTGGTCCTAGTGATTCCGGAAGCTGAGATGGGAGGATCACCTAAGCCCATGGGAGCCAAGACTGCTGTGAACCATGATCATGCCACTGCACAGCCTTGGGCAACAGACTGCCTCTTTAGAAGAAGACCGTGTCTCTTAAAAAATGTTATGTATCCACCATTTGTGCATTTTTGCCAAGATGCCTTTGTGTACCTCCTCAACTCTGACTTCCTAATATAGTAGAACTTTTTATTGCAAGCTTGTATACTTGACTTTTTTTTTTTTTTTGGCTAAGCATACTAAATGAACTACAATCACGTATTATGTAACTCCAAAAACGGAATTTTCTTTAAATGCTGGAAAGAAATGTACCATTGCTCCATCTCCTTTTAAGTTACTGTGTGATAAATACAAGTAAATATTGTGACTTCCATCTCTACTTTCACTTTCTAAAATACTGCTGTAGAAAAATGAATGTACCATTCTGACAGCTTATGAAATGGCAGACACCACATGTAACTGCATCAAAGCCAAACATAAATTTTTAGAGAAAAATTACAAGAAAGTTTTTCTTTCCACTTGGGAGGAAAAAAGAAAACAGGAAAACCTGCTATAAAATTAATAATGAGTCCAAGCATGGTGGCTCATGCCTGTAATCCTAGCACTTTGGAGGTCAAGGCAGGCAGATAACTTGAGGCCAGGAGTTCGAGACATGCCTAGCCAACATGGCAAAACCCCATCTCTACTAAAAATACAAAAATTAGCCAGACATGATGGCATTCACCTGTAATCCCAGCTACTCAGGAGGCTGAGGCACAAGAATCACTTGAACCCCAGAAGGCGGAGATTGCAGTGAGCCAAGATTGCACCACTGCACTCCAGCCTGTATGACACAGTGAGACTCTAGTCTCAAAAGTAAAAATAAAATAATGAACATTATTTCTTATAAAACAATCAGGGGCTTTCTACTTAGAGCAATATGCTACGCTAAATACTGTGAAGAGTCTTCTATTACAACAAAATAACTCAAACCAGCATAAAATACGTTTCTTACACTGCTGCCTCATAGGAGTAAGAAGAAGCTCCAACAGGACCAAAAGAAAAGAATAAAAAGGGCTGACCTAAATAGGCACAATAATACAGTGGGTAAGTGCATCAAGTCATGCGCTAGGGGCAAAATAGAGACCCCAGGAAAGGTGTCAGTAACGTACCCTAACTCCTGGAAAACTAAAGTCAAAGCCTCTCAAAGTAGTCATCATCAAATTAGGCTCCAAATTCAACCACAGATAAAGATGAACAATATACAAACTTTATAATCAGCCACATTCTAGAAAAAAAAAATTATTTTCACTGAAATTACATTGTTTATAAATTAATAGGCAAAAGTACAGGGAGCACACTAAAATACAAGTTAGGAGGATGGATTAGTCCTACCTATAAAACAAAATACTTAAAACTGTATCATGGTGGCCGGGTGCCATGGCTCACACCTGTAATCCTAATGATTTGCCAGGCTGGGACAGGAAGATAGCTTGATCCCCAGGATGATCCCCAGGAGTTCAAGGTTACAGTGAGCTATGATCACACCACCGCACCACAGCCTGGTTAAAAAAGACAAGACTCAGACTCTTAAAAATAAACAAACAAAAAATGTAAATAAACAGAAACATCATTGATACTAAAAGGAAAATCAGACTAGAACCAAGTACATAAAGAAATTCAGTGTATGACAAAGCAGCCTCTCAAATCAGAGAAGTAAAGATGGACTTCTTAAAAATAGTGTTGAGGCCGGGCTTGGTGGCTCACGCCTATAATCCCCAGCACTTTGGGAGGCCAAAGCAGGCCGATCACCTGAGGTTAGGAGTTCGAGACCAGCCTGACCAACGTGAGGAAAGCCTGTCTCTACTAAAAATACAAAAATTAGCTGGGCATGATGGTGTGTGTCTCTAATCCCAGCTACTCAGGAGGCTGAGGCAGAAGAACTGCTTGAACCCAGGAGGCAGAGGTTGCAGTGAGCCGAGACTGCACCACTGCACTCCAGCCTGGGCGACAGAGCGAGACTCCATCTCAAATGATAATAATAATAATAATAAGTGTTGGGACAACCATGTAGCCATTTGGAAAGAGATAAATTTGGAACCATAACTCATAAACCATAACAAACTCCAAATGGATCAAGGATTTATATGTTAAAAAACAAAACACTACAAAGATCTGCAAAACAACATAAGGAAATCTTTTATAAACTTCGAAGGAAGAAGGTCTTTCTAATGACACGTCAAAAATCCAGAAGCCTTAAAAAGATTTATAAATTACATCAGGTAAAAAGCTAAATATTTCTGCATGGCAAAATAACATAACCAAAGTCTAAAGACAAATAACAAACTGGAAAAAGAAAATTATATGCTGGGCGCAGCGGCTCGTGCCTATAATCCCAGCACTTTGAGAGGCTGAGGCGGACGGATCACAAGGTCAGGAGTTCGAGACCAGCCTGACCAATTTGGAGAAACCCTGTCTCTACTAAAAATACAAAAATTACCCAGGCGTGGTGGTGCACACCTGTAATCCCAGCTACTCAAGAGGCTGAGGCAAGACAAAAGCTTGAACCCGGGAGGCGGAGGTTGTAGTGAGCCGAGATCGCACCACTGCACTCAAGCCTGGACGACAGAGCAAGGCTGCCTCAAAAAAAAAAAAAAAAAAAAAAAAAATTATATAAGCCACATTTCCAAGGGCTAAAGAAGTTCTCATAGTCTTGTTATGGAAAAATCTTTAGTATATACTATTTAATAGAAAAAAGATACAGAGCAGTAGGTACAGTGTGCTACTATTTACATTTTAAAATGGGGAAAGAACATGTATGTAGGGGATGCATACTGGTTTGTAAGTGCAAATATGTTTCTGGAAGATACCAAAGATAGCAATGTTGGAGTTACTCTTCTGGAAGTTTCTTTGTACCAACTTTGATTCCCAACAATTTATTCTTAATGTGATATGATTCTCCAAGCGAAGATGAACCTGAAAACACATTTTTTTTTTTGGAGACAGGATCTCGCTCTGTCACCCAGACTACCCAGCTAAAATTAAGTCTTGTTTTTTAACTAAAATAGGCTGATGGAAGCCACAGTAAACATATACAGAACAAAAATTTTCACTGAAAGTAAACTGATTAGATAATTAACTTTTATATAGCAAAATATTACCCAGAAAAATGACACCTGAACAAATCTAGAAATTGACAGTTGAAAATCATGTTATTAACCTAAAAATTCTCAACTTTTGAACCTCAAATATGAGTCTGACATTTTAAAATAAAAATTTCCAAGTAATAAAAGTATGAAATATGACATAACATACTATGCATTAACCATCCATGATATGTGATACATAAATCATCAAGCAGAATAACCTTTTCTTAAAGGAAATAAAGAAGACGAATATACTGAAAATGTCTTCAGGTTTCCCTTTGTTTGCAAAACACCACCACAGTTAAGAACTCACTGGAACCAAAGTTTATGCAAAGAAACATTAGAACAGTAATCTAAATGTGGCATTCTATTTTTGAGTCTAATTCATTAGCCATCTTCACTACACTGAAACTACAAAATTCCCACAGGGATCACTGCAGTTTGATATACTTAACAATGTTTTTCTAGATTCAGGAGATTCTGAGGTTTTATTCCCTCTCTGGAGACTTTCCAAACTTCAATCCACTGTCAATTATTCCTTAACAAGGTATTACAATTAAGAGTAGGACACAAACAAATCAAGATTCTTTCATGAACAAACCAAGACTGTTTCTTGTTTGTTTGTTTTTGAGACAGGGTGGAGTGCAGTGGCGCAATCTCGGCTCACTGCAACCTCCGCCTCCCGGGCTGAAGTGATTCTCCTGCCTCAGCCTCCTGAGTCACTGGGACTACAGGCGTGAGCCACCACACCCAGCTAATTTCTGTATTTTTAGTAGAGACAGAGTTTCACCATGTTGGCCAGCATAGTCTCGATCTCTTGACCTTGTGATCCACCCACCTTGGCCTCCTAAACTGCTGGGATTACAGGGGTGAGCCACCACGCCCGGCAAGATTGTTTCTTTCTTTTCTTTTTGAGATGGAGTTTTGCTCTTGTTGCCCAGGCTGGAGTGCAATGCCGGGATCTCGGCTCACCACAACCTCTTCCTCCTGGGTTCAAGCGATTCTCCTGTCTCAGCCTCCCAAGTAGCTGGGATTACAGGCATGCACCACCACGCCCGGCTAATTTTTTGTATTTTTAGTAGAGACAGGGTTTCTCCATGTTGGTCAGGCTGGTCTCGAACTCCCGACCTCAGGTGATCCACCCGCCTGGGTCTCCCAAAGTGCTGGGATTACAGGTGTGAGCCACTGTGCCCAGCCAAGATTGTTTCTTATTCTCTTATTTCCCTATGGTCAGTAAAGGAGAAAATACTATCCTTTATCACAATCCTTTATCACAATCTCAATAGGAGTTCCAGGGCTGCTTCTTTTGGAGCACTGAAGATAAAGTAGAAAGGCAAAAGATCCGCCAGGCGCAGCACAGGGCGTGGTGGCATGCACCTGTAATCCCAGCTACTCGGGAGGCTGAGGCAGGAGAATGGCTTGAACCTGGGCAGCAGAGGTTGCAGTAAGCCGAGATCACGCCACTGCATGCAAGCCTGGGTGACAGAGTGAGACTCTGTCTTTTAAAAAAAAAGAAAGGCAAAGGATCTTAGACTTTTTTTTTTTTTTTTTTTTTGAGATGGAGTCTCACTCTGTGACTCAGGCAGGGGTGCAGTAGTGTGATCTCGGCTCACTGCAACCTCCACCTCCTGGGTTCAAGAGCTTCTCTTGCTTCAGCCTCCTGAGTAGCTGGGGGTATAGGTGCTCACCACCACACCCAGCTAATTTTTGTATTTTTAGTAGAGATGGGGTTTCACCATATTGTTCAGGCTGGTCTCAAATTCCTGACCTCAAGTGATCCACCCGCCTCGGCCTCCCAAAGTGCTGCGATTAGTCTTATGTTTAAAAAACAAAAAAACACATATCAAGCTGGGCACAGTGGCTCACTGGCACGGTGGCTGACACCTTGTAATCCCAGCACTTTGGGGGGCTGAGATGGGAGGATCACTTGAGCCCAGGATTTCAAGACCAGCCTGGGCAACATAAGGAGCAACATTTCTACAAAATATAAAAATATTAGAAGTGTGGTGGCACACACCTGTAGCCGCGGCTTCTTGGGAGGCTGAGGCGGTAGGATTGCTTGAGCCCAGGAGGTCAAGGTCAAGGCTACAGTGAGCCTAATCACATCACTGCACTCCAACCTAGGCAATAGCAAGATGCTGTCTCAAACAAACAAAACTATAGATATATAATAATAAATTATAAATATAATGAGTAACTCCTACACATTAGGATGGCTATAATTTTTTAAAAATACAGAATAACTGTTACCGAGGATGTGGAAGAACCAGAATACTTGTGAGTTCCTGGTGGGAATGTAAAATTGTACAGCCCCTGTGGAAAACAGTATGGTAATTCTTTCAAAAAATTAAACATAGAATTATAATGCCCCAGCCAGGCACAGTGGCTCACATGTAAATCCTAGCACTTTGGGAGGCTGAGACAGACAGACTGTCCAGCCTGTCCAGGAGTTCAAGATCAGCCTGGGCAACATGGTGAAACCCCCATGTCTACTAAAAATACAAAAAATGAGCCAGGAGTGGTTGTGCATGCCTGTAGCCGGTCTACTCAAGAGGCTGAGATGGCAGAATCATCTGAGCCCAGGAGGTCAAGGCTGCAGTGAGCTGTGATTATGCCACTGCACTCCAGCCAGGGCAACAGGAGTGAGATCCTGTATCAAAAAAAAAAAAAAAAAAGAATTACAATGTCCAGCCTGGGTGACACAGCGACACCCAATCTCTTACCAAAAAAATTGCAATACGACCAAAAATTCCACTTCCACATATATACATACCCAAAAGATGTGAAAGCAGGGACTCAGATATTTCTACACACATGTTCAGCATTAGTCACAACTGTTAAAAGCTGGAAGCAATACCAGTGGCCATCCATAGATGGACTAGATTAACTTATCTAGTAAAATACTACCCAGAAAAGTAATAGCTGAACAAATCTAGAAATTAATAGTTGACAATCACATTAACCTAAAAATTCACAAACAGCTTCTGAATCTGACATATCCATAGAATGAACAAAATTTGGTATATACATACACTGGAATATTATTCAGCCTTAAAAACGAAAGCAACTCTGACATACTCCAAGATGGACAACCTTGAGGACATTATGCTAAGGGAAATAAGGCAGTTACCTAAGGACAAATATTGTATGATTCTACTTATATGTGGTAATTACAGTAGTCAAATTCAAAGACAGAAAGTAGAATAGTGGTTTCGCTAGGGGCTGCAGGAGGGAGAATGAAGAGTTAATAGAGTGTCAGCTGGAAAATGTCAAAAAAAGATCCAGAGCTGGTGGGTGGGCATGGTCGCACAAAAAGTGCATCTACCTAATGCCACAAAATTATACACTTACAAATGGTTAAAATGGAAAAAGTTCAGGTTATATGCAGCCTACCACAGTTTATATATACGGATATACATACATATACACACATTTATTTTTTAAAACTATATAATTGTTATAAACTATAAATAAAACAGGTAATACTGGTGTAAAAGTAACTACAGTTTTTGCACTGTTGAAATTTGCCACTTGATATTGGAATACGTTCTTAAATGTGGTTATGTTATATATCATTTTAATGCGCATTTCTCACTTTATGTTTTTTTGCTAATGATTACTTGCTGTTTATTTTATATTTATATTTATATTTATTTTAGACTATGGAAATGTTAGACTAAAAGCAAATTCAAGCGATCTTCTTATTTGGGTTTAAAATGGGTCATAAAGCAGTGGAGACGATTTGCAACATCAACAACGCATTTGGCCCAGGAACTGCTAATGAATGTACAGTACAGCGGTGGTTCAGGAAGTTTTGCAAAGGAGGTAAGAGCCTTGAAGATAAGAAGCACAGTGGCTGGCTGTCAGAAGCTCACAACAACTGAGAGCAATCATCGAAACTGATCCTCTTTTAACTACACGAGAAGTTGCCGAGGAACTCGGCAACTTCAACCATTCTACAGTCATTCGGCATTTTACACACCAACAAGGAAAAATTTCTCAGACTGTGATGTGTGACAAAAAGTGGATTTTATATCACAACCGGCAACAACCAGATCAGTGGTTGGACCCAGAAGAAGCTCCAAAGCACTTTTCAAAGCCAAACTTGCACCAAAAAAGGTCATGGTCACCGTTTGGTGGTCTGCTGCCAGTCTGATCCACTATACCTTTCCAAATGCCAGCGAAACCATTACACCTGAGACGTATGCTCAGCAAATTGATGAGATGTACCAAAAACTGCAATGCCTGCCGCCAGCACTGATCAACAAAAAGAGCCCAATTCTTCTCCAGGACAACGCCTGACTACATGTCACACAATCAATGCTTCAAAAGTTGGACGAATTGGACTACTAAGTTTTGCCTCACCTGACATATTCAACCGACCTCTCGTCAACCAGCTACCACTTCTTCAAGCATCTCAACAATTTTTTGCAGGGAAACAGCTTCCACAACCAGCAGGATGCGTAAAATCCTTCCCAAGAGTTTGTTGAATCCAGAAGCACAGATTTTTATGCTACAGGATTAAACAAACTGATTTCTTTTTGGCACAAACTTTTATTGTAATGGTTCCTATTTTGATTAATAAAGATGTGTTTGAGCCTAGTTATGATGATTTAAAATTCATGGTCAATGGCCGGACACAGGGACTCACTCCTATAATCCCAGCACTTTGGAAGACTGAGGCAGGCGAATCACCTGAGGTCAGGAATTCGAGACCATCCTGGCCAACATGGTGAAACCTCATCTCTACTAAAAATACAAAAATTAGCCAGGTATGGTGGCAAGCACCTGTAATCCCAGCTACTCAGGAGGCTGAGGCAAGAGAATTGCCTTAACCCAGGAGGCGGAGGCTGCAGTGAGCCGAGATCAAGCCACTGCACTCCACTCCAGCCTAGGCAACAAAAGGAGACTCTGCCTTAAAAAAAAAAAAAAAAAAAAAAATGCATGGCCCAAAACTGCAATTACTTTTGCACCAATCTATATATACATATATATCAATATAACTCGGAGATTAGCCTACATACTATACTAGCATGGATTATGGACAGAAAACTTTATCCTTTGAGGTAGCCTGATGGCACTTTATCATCATCCTTTCCTCTTGTTTCTTACACTGCCTTCTATCGTTCTGTTTTCCTCTTCTTTTGTCTTCCTGCTATAGTACCAGCAACTACTACTTTCAGTATACTAGTTGTTTAAGTTCTTCTACCGGTAAGGACCACTAAAGAGGTTGCTTGACCACATTCAAAACACTGTATGTAACCTATTCAGTAATGGCCATTGGGAGTTTATAATTTTAAAAATATGAAAAAAATTATATATAATATTTCAGTAGACAAAAGAACACTATTTTCAGTAGCTAACTCACTGAACAGAAAATAACCTACTCTCATTTCACAGTAAGTAAACCTAGTGTTTCCCAAATCTGCTGGAATGTAAGAAATACCTGAGGCATATATTAAAATACTGAATTATCTCTGTTGGCAGACGACACAGTTTTATATGTAGAAAACCCTAAAACATCAACAAATTGTTCAAGCTAATAAATGAATTCAGCAAAGTTGCAGGATACAAAACCTACATGCCAAAATCAGTTGTGGCCAACACAGTGGCTTACACCTGTAATCCCATCACTTTGGGAGGCCAAGGAAGGAGAATCATTGAGGTCAGAAGTTCAAGACCAGCTTGGGCAAAACAGCAAGACCCCATCTCTACAAAAATAATTTTTTTTTATTAAAATAAACAAAAGGAGGCTAAGGCAGGAAGATTGCTTGAGTCCAGGAGTTTGGGGCTACAATGAGCAATGCCACTGCCCCTCCAGCATGGGCAGCAAGACCCTGTCTCTAAAAAAAAATTAAAATTAATAATTAAAAAAACTAGTTGTATTTCTATATATTTACAATGAGCAATCTGAAAAGTAAATTTAAAACAATTCTGGTTGCAATAGCATCAAAAAATAAAATACACAGGAATAAATTTAAGGAGGTGAAAGGCTTGAACACCACAAATTTTATAAAATATTGCTGAAAGAAATTAAGGAAATCTTAAATAAACAAAAGACATCCCACATTCCTGGATTTCAAGACTTCATATTAAGATGACAACACTACCTAAAGTGATCTGTAGATTCAATGTAATTTCTATCAAAATCCCAACATTATTGTTTAAAGAAACAGAAAACCCCATCCTAAAATCCATATGGAATCTCAAGGAACCCCAAATAGCCAAAACAATTTTGAAAAATAACAAAGTTGGAGGACTCACACTTTCTGACTTCAACTTACTACAGGCCAGCCATGATGGCTCATGCTTATAATCCCATCACTTTGGGAGACCAAGGCAGGAGGATCACTTGAGCCCAGGAGTTTGAGGCTGCAGTGAGTAGCGTAGCCTGGATGACGGAGCAAGACCCTCTCTCTTTAAAAACAAACAGGAAGGGCACGGTGGCTCACACCTGTAATCCCAGCATTATGGGAGGCCGAGGCAGGCAGATCATTTGAGCTCAGGAGTTTGAGACCAGCCTGGCCAACATGGTGAAACCCTGTCTCTACTAAAAGTACAAAAACTAGCCGGGCGTGGTAGCAGGCACCTGTAATCTCAGCTACTTGGGAGGGAGGCTGAGGCAGGAGGCAGGAGAATCACTTGAACCCAGGAGGCAGAGGCTGCGGTCTCAAGCCGAGATCATGCCACTGTACTCCAGCCTAGGCGACAGAGTAAGACTCCATCTAAAACAAACAAACAAACAAACAAACAAACAACTTACTACAAAGCTACAGTAATGAAAACAGTGTGGTACTTGCAGAAAGACAGACATATGGACCAATGGAATGGAAAGGAAGAGTCCTAAAATAAACTCTCACATATATGGCCAATAATTTCTTTTTTTTTTTTTTTTTTTTTTTTTGAGACGGAGTCTCGCTCTGTCGCCCAGGCTGGAGTGCAGTGGCGGGATCTCGGCTCACTGCAAGCTCCGCCTCCCGGGTTCACGCCATTCTCCTGCCTCAGCCTCCCAAGTAGCTGGGACTACAGGTGCCCGCCACTACGCCCGGCTAATTTTTTGTATTTTTAGTAGAGACAGGGTTTCACCGTTTTAGCCGGGATGGTCTCGATCTCCTGACCTCGTGATCCGCCCGCCTCGGCCTCCCAAAGTGCTGGGATTACAGGCGTGAGCCACCACGCCCGGCCCAATAATTTCTTTAACAAAGTTGCCAAAACCATTCAATGAAGAAAAGATACTCTCTTCAAGAAACGATGCTGAGAAAACTGAATATCATGTAAAGGAATGAAGCTGGACCCTTACTTTAAACCATATACAAAACTTAAATACAAAACGGATCACAGATCTAAACATAAGAGCTAAAACGATAAAACCCTCAGGAAAACATAGGGGGAAGACTTTCACAACATTGGATTTGGCAGTGATTTCTAGGCTATGACACTAATAATACAGGTAATAAAGGAAAAAATAAACTGGACCTGGTTTTCATCAAAATTGAAAACTTTTTTTTGCATCAGAGGACACAAAAGGAAATTAAAAGACTATCCACAGAATGAGAGAAAATATTTTTAAAATCCTATATACAGATTATATAAAGAACCTGGACAATTCAACAACAAAACACAATTCAAAAGTAGTCAAATAATTTGAACAAACATTTCTTCAAAGAAGATACACAAATGGCCAATAAGCACATGAAAAATTGTTCAACATCATTAGTTGTTAAGAAAATGCAAATCAAAAACCACAATGTGCTACAGCTTGAGAACGGGGGCGGTGGGGGGGCGGTGGGAGGAAGGAAAGAGAGAGAAGGGAAGGAAGAAAACAAAAGGAAGGGGAGGGAAGAGAGGGGGAGAGGCAGAGACAGGGAGCAGGAGAGGTAGAGGGGAGACGGGGAGAGGAAGGAAGAAAGAAAAGAAGGAAGGAATGGAGGGAGGGAGGGAGGGAAGAAAAATTAAGAAAACCTCATGAAGACTCAGAGAAATCAAAAACTCATGCATTGCTGATGGGATATGAAACAGTATAGCCACTGTAAAAGTGTACAGTTCCTGAAAGCGCTAAATAAATAATTACCGTATGACCCAGCAATTCTATTCCCAAGTAAATACCCAAAAATTCAAAGCAGGAACTTGAATAGATAACTGTATGGCAACATTCACTGTAGCATTACTCACAATAGCCAAATAGTGGATGTGAACCAAGATTCCATCAAGAGATGAATGGATAAAAAATAAAATGGTGGCTGGGTGTGGTGGCTCACGCCTGTCATCCCAGCACTTTGGGAAGCAGAGGTGGGCGGATCACCTGAGGACAGGAGTTTGAGACCAGCCTGACCAACATGGAGAAACCCCATCTCTACTAAAAAATACAAAAATTAGCCGGGAATGGTGGCACACGCCTGTAATCCCAGCTACTCAAGAGGCTGAGGCAGGAGAATTGCTTGAACCCTGGAGGCGGAGGTTGCAGTGAGCCGAGATCGCGCCATTGCACTCCAGCCTGGGCAACAAGAGTGAAACTCCAACTCAAAAAATAAATAAATAAATAAATAAAAATAAAGTGGTATATCCACACAATGGATTATTCAGCCATGAAAAGGAATGAAGTTTTGGCACATGCTACAACATGGTTGCACCTTGAGGACATTCTGGTAAATGAAATAAGCCAGACACAAAATAACAAATATTGTATGATTACACCTATATGAGTTAGCTAGGATAGGCAAATTTATAGTTGCTAAAAGTACATTAGAATTTTTTGGGGGGTGAGATGGAATTTCGCTTTCATTGCCCAGGCTGGAGTGCAGTGGCGCAACCTGAGCTCACTGCAACCTCTGCCTCCTGGATTCAAGCGATTCTCCTGCCTCAGCCTCCCAAGGGCTGGGATTACAGGCACCTGCCATCATGGTTGGCTAATTTTTTGTATTTTTAGTAGAGACGGGGTTTCATCATGTTGGCCACGCTGCTCTCAAACTCCTGTCCTCAGGTGATCCACCTGCCTCAGCATGCCAAAGTGCTGGGATTACAGGCGTGAGCTACCACGCCCGGCAAGTACATTCGATATTACCAGTCGCTGCAGACAGAAGAAATGGAAGACATTATTTAATGGTTATGGAGTTTTAATTTGGGATAATGAAAAAGGTTTAGAAGTAAATTATTTTGGCTGGGTACAGTGGCTCACACCTGTAATCCCAGTACTTTGGGAGGCTGAGGTGGCTGGATCACCTGAAGTCAGGAGTTCGAGACCAGCCTGGCCAACATGGTGAAACCTCATCTCTACTAAAAATACAAAAATTAGCTGGGTGCGGTGGTGGGCGCCTGTAATCCCAGCTACTCAGGGGGCTGAGGCAGGAGAATAGGAGAATCGCTTGAACCCAGGAGGCGGAGGTTGCGGTGAGCCGAGATCGCACCACTGCACTCCAGTCTGGGCGACAGAGTAAGACTCCATCTCAAAAAAAAAAAAAAAAAAAAAAAAAGAAAGAAAGAAATGATTTCACATAAATTTTTAAAGCTAATAATGAAATACCCTAAAAATCACTGAATTTAAATGGGCAAACTGTATGGTATATGAATCATATCTCAATAAAGATTTCTCTTTTTTCGGTCAGACACAGTGGCTTACACCTGTAATCCCAGCACTTTGGAGTTTTGCCTTTAAAAACTGCATAAATAGGCCAGGCGTGGTGGCTCATGCCTGTAATCCCAGCACTCTGGGAGGCTAAGGTGGACGGATCACCTGAGGTCAGGAGTTTGAGACCAGCCTGGCCAACATGGTGAAACCCCGTCTCTACTAAAAACACAAAATTAGCTCGGTGTGGTGGTGGGTGCCTGTAATCCCAGGTACTCGGGAGGCTGAGGCAGGAGAACTGCTTGAACCCAGAAGGCAGAGGTTGCCATGAGCCGAGATCACACCATTGCACTCCAGCCTGGGCAACAAGAGCAAAACTTAATCTCAAAAAAATAAATAAATAAAATTTTAAAATAATTTTACAAGTACAAATACATACATGGTTATGCTATTAACTTACATCTTTGACAAGCCTTGGGGCTTATTTTAAGGCTCACAAAAACAAACTATCTGGAAATAACATAGATTAAAATCAAACTCCCGGAAATACATATATAGGATAAAAATTAATAGGGAAATGAAAATATTGTCAATAACCACATATTGTTAGGAATTCTACTTACTCGTTTTGAAGGACAGTGTTCATTCTTTTCATCCGTCATCTTTCCACTTTTAAGTGCTTTCCTTGGGTGCTTAATAGTTGTTTTTATGGCAGGTCGACATACATAGTTCTCCAAGTTCTTTGGAGGTTTTTTAGTTCTCTTAGCCTGGAGGCCAATTTTCAATTTTAAATTTCCCTCTGAAAAGTTTGTTTCTTTCACTGAAAACTGTTGCTGTGCATCAGTCAAACCATCATCTTTCCCAGCTTCGATGTTTCTTTCTCGATTCCGTTTGCGAAGGTCCTCTTCCTCCTTTGTGTTTTTTTCTAGCTCTACTTCTCTCTTACTGACCAATGTGCCAGTACTGATGGCAGAAGGACTCTTTCTTGAAAAACCTTCGGAATCAGAACCCAATCCTAACATAGCAGTATTTCTAGGGTCCATCACAAGCGTATGTTATTGCCAAGGAATCTTATGAAAATTTTACAGAACTGTGTTCCATAAAAAACAAGGATCTCCAAAACTCGAAACCAGCATCTTTCTCTGCAGAACAGATCATAACAAAAATTTATCAGAAAAGAGGCAACTACTGATTAACATAAGTAATGGGTATAGGGGAAGACAAGGAGGTCAACAACTACCCAAAAAAAAATCACAGTTAGATCGAAATGTTAATTCAAAATAGATGTAAATCCATTTAGTTATAAATACATTTAAAATTCAGAATAAGTTTATCATTCTACAGATATCATAAACAAGCCATAGTGGTATGGTGCAAATGCAAATTTAAGAATCACCAAGAAGCTTCTGAAACTTACAGTCAAGCAAACATTGCCTAAAATCAAAATAACTTTCATATATTTTCGCACTCATCAGTTTTAAAAGAATATATTCCCCACTCTTCTGCTGAAGTACACTTTTATTTCCTACAGTTTTATTGAAGGTAAAAAATCATCTTTTTTTGATACTCCATTGACTATGTGATTATTACACATTGTATGCCTGCATCAACATATCACGTTCACCCCATAAATATTTAAACACGCTATGTACCTATAAAAATTCTTTTTAAATTATCTCTTAGGCTGGTTTCAGTATTCCAAACTTTTAGAAGAGATTATCAGGCTTTTTGAGGTTAGGACTCTCTGATGCAGGAACTTATGCAGATATTATCTTTGTTGTTAGGATACAATTCAACTCTGAATCATTCACTTGTCCATTCAAAAAATATTTCCAAACATCTATCATATGCCAGGCATCATGCTACACTCTGAAAATACAGTATTCAACAAAATGAACCCAGTTCCTAAATTTTAAGGTTTATACTCTAGTGAGAAGGGCAAACATTAAGCAAATATTTATACAAATAATCACTGTTGTTATAAGAACCTTAAAAATCAGCAATTTATTTTTACAAGTTTTCCTAATAGCAAATAGTAGGCATGTGTCAATTCCCCAAATACACAAAATGTTTTAAAACTAGCGTGCTAATTTATTATTTTACAATAGGTGATACACCTAATCTCAGAATCTCCACAAAGCACTCCCATTTTAAATATAAAGATCCTCAGGAAACCAGATTACCATATAATCATTAGGGAGATTAGTGAATTTTTTTTTTTTTTTTTTGAGATGGAGTCTCGCTCTGTCGCCCAGGCTGGAGTGCAGTGGCGCGATCTCAGCTCACTGCAACCTGCGTCTCCTGGGTTCAAGAGATTCTCCTGCCTCAGCTTCCCGAGTAGCTGGCATTACAGGCACAAGCCACCATACTCACCCGGCTAATTTTTGTATTTTTAGTAGAGACAGGGTTTCACCATGTTGGCCAGGCTGGTCTTGAACGCCTGACCTCAGGTGATCCGCCTGCCTTAGCCTCCCAAAGTGCTGGGATTACAGGTGTGAGCCACCGTGCCCAGCCAGAGACTAGTGAATATATTAATAAAACCAAAACAAAACAAGTCAGTATTCTTGAAGACTGACAGACTAGTCTTCATGTCAAACATATGTCTGAGTCAAGATCTAGAACTAGTATCTGGAAAACGGAGAACATCTTATCCCTTAGAAAGTTCCATTTATGAAGTAGAATATTTTAAACGATGTGCCCTGAGACTTTTCATTACAACAAGAGAGTAAGATTCCTGGCCAGGCATGGTGGCTCACACCTATAATCCCAGCACTTTCAGGGACTGAGGTGGGTGGACTCTTTGAGCCCAGGAGTTTGAGACCAGACTGGGCAACATGGCAAAATCCTGTCTCTAAAAAAGTACAAAAATTAGCAGGGTGTGATGGCACACACCTGTAGTCCCAGCTCTCAGGAGACTGAGGTGGGAGATCACTTGAACCTTGAAGGTCGAGGCTGCAGTGAGCTGTGATCAAGCCACTGCACTCCAACCTGGGCAACAGGGCAAGACCCTGTCTCAAGGGAAAAAATAGTTGTCTTATGACTTCTACAAGGAATGTAAGTAAAATACCTCGCCCAATGACTGGCACATAGCGAGGGCTCAATAAAAGGTACTGGCCGGGTATGGTGTCTCATGCCTGTACTCTCAGCACCTTGCGGGGGCCAAGGCAGGTGCATCACTTGAGGTCACCAGTTCGAGTCTAGCCTGGTCAACATGTCGAAACCCGTCTCTACTAAAAGTACAAAAATCAGCTGAGTGTGGTGGCAGGTGCCTGTAATTCCAACTACTCAGGAGGCTGAGGCATGAGAATCACTTGAACCTGGCAGGCGGAGGTTGCAGTGAGCCAAGATCATGCTATTGCACTCCAGGCCAGGTGACAGAGCAAGAAAAAAAAAGGTGCCAATAATTTAGTAGTAGTAGGAGCAGCAGCAGTGTTTATAAGTACTCAACAAATTTTGGCCGATTGGGTAACTCCTTAGCTTGTTATTGCTCCATTCAATCATATAAACAGCTGGAAAACTAATCTTCCAATCATTTCACTCTGATGATTCTTGTCTACCATTTCATGTATTAACATTTCACAATGGCATTCAAGGCTTTTAATAACCTCACTCTCCTCTAACTATTCAAACTTATCTTTACTTCCCAACACACACCCACTATCATTTAGTCAATTCAGTTTTCTTTACTGTCCCTAACAAATCATGTTCATTTCTGCTTATGTGTCATATAAACATACACACTCTCCCTTTAAACATACAAAGTAGGCTGAGCATGGTGGCTCATGCCTATAATCCCAGCACTTTGGGAGGCTGACGGGGCGGATCAGGAGGTCAGGAGATCGAGACCATCCTAGCTAACTCGGTGAAACCCCATCTTTTAAAAAAAAATACAAAAATTAGCCAGGCGTGGTGGCGGGTGCCTGTAGTCCTAGCTACTCGGAAGGCTGAGGCAGGAGAATGGCGTGAATCTGGGAGGCAGAGCTTGCAGTGAGCCGAGATTGTGCCACTGCACTCCAGCCTGGGCAACAAAGCAAGACTCCGTCTCAAAAAAAAAAAAAAAAAAAGTACAAAGTTAGCTGTGCACAGTAGCTCGCACCTACAATCCCAGCACTTTGGGAGACTAAAGTGGGAGGATCGCTTTAGCCCAGGAGTTCAAAGCCAGTATGGACAACACAGTGAGACCTCATCTCTACAAAAATAAAAAATAAAAAATTAGCCAGGTGTGTGGTGTCATGTGCCTATAATCCCAGCCACTCAAGAGGCCGAGGTGGGAAGATGGTTTGAGCCCAGGAAGTTGAGGTTACACTGAGCCGTGATTGTACCACTACACTCTAGCTTGGGCAACAGAACAAGACCCTGTCTCAAAAAAACAAATACATAATTAGGGAAGGGAGAAAAAATAAATAATAAAATGCTGTGTATAAAAAGTAATTAAAATAACCCAAATGTTTTTTTAAAAATAAATAATAATTTTAAAAGTTCAAATCCTGCCTGGGCACGGTGGCTCACGCCTGTATTACTGGCACTTTGGAAGGCTAAGGCAGGAAGATCACTTGAGCTTAAGAGTTTGAGACCAGTCTAGCAAACACAGCAAGACCCTCTCTCTACAAAAAATAAAAAATTAGCCCAGCATGGTGGTGCACACCTATAGTCCCAGCTACTCGGGAGGATGAGGCAAGAAGATGGCTGGAGCCTAGGAAATCGAGGCTGCAGTGAGCCATGTTCATGCCACTGGACTCCAGCCCGGGCAACAGAGCGAGACCCTATCTCAAAAAGTAAATTAAAAAAATAAACTCTAAAACAAAAAATAAAAAGTACAAAGTCCTATCTTCTCCATGATGGGCTCACAATCCTGAAGTCCAAAAAACTCTGAAATCCAAGTTTTTTCAAAACCTAGTGATAAAACTTGACACGGACCCATTTTAGTCTTAATTACCCTAATTTCCATGAATAATGATAAATTACAATGCAGAAGTATTAATGGGCTTGATTAAGTTAGTAAAGGATGCTACTACTCCCAAACACCACTGTGCCAGTTCACCCAATCTACATTTCTAAAAGCCAAAAAAAAAAAAAGAAGAAGAAGAAAAATAAGAAAAAAGAAAAACGTGTAACACTTGCAGGGAATTTTTTTAAAAAGAAAAAAACTTACGGCACCAACATTTGGGTAATGGATTCTAGACCTATGTTCTCAGACCTATATTTAAGCTTGCACTGACCTGATCCATCCCTGAATATTTATGATCCATATAAGATCACAATTAGGGCAATTAACTTTTTTCTTGTTCTGTATTTGTCAGCTATACCCCTCAACAGATTAAGTCCTCCCACCTCCCATCCCACCCCCTCAGATACCAAAATCTGACGATGCTCAAGTCACTTATATAAAATGGTATGGTATTTGCATACAGCCTATACACATGCTCCTGTATACTTGAAATCATCTCTGGATTACTTATAATACCTAACATAATGTAAATGATATATAAATAGTTATTAAACTGTACTTTAAAATTTTGTATAATTTTTTATTATTGTATTGTTATTTTTAATTTTTTCTAATATTTTTCATCCGCAGTTGGTTGAATCCACAGGTGCGGAATCACAGATAGGGAAGGCCAACTGTATAATTAAAATATAAGCTTCATGAGGATAGGAACCTCTTCTGGCTTGCTCACCACTGTAACCCCAGCAGCTGAAACAATGAATAGCACAAATTTTAGTACCCAATAAATAGCTGAATAAATGAATGAGTGAATTTTAAGGTTCCTGTAACTTCTAATACAATGATTGGCATGTAGCAAATGTCTTTTTTCCTGTTTTACATAACTTTATCTTGTGTTACAATGAGAAAACTATACACAAGTTTTTTCTTAATATGTTTATATTTCACATAGGTGGTTTTCTGTAAATTTACTAAAATATCCTAATTTCAGCACTAACATACTTCCAAATCATATTTTATACATCTTCTGTCTCTGTACCATCACAGCTAGTCTAAGAAAAACAATAACACTCAATGATCTCATTTTATATTCCTGACCACTAACTCCGAGTAAGCCCTTGGTGCTGCCAATACACTTCCCTAATCTATTCCCTCTACCACTCTCCTAAAAAACTATTTCATCCCATCTCCCCTTTCTTCATTGTCCCTAATTTTGCTTCCTATCTGATCACAGCAGTAGTCAGATAGGAAGCAGTAACAAACAGAAAAGTGCCACAAGTGCCCACCATATATCTACCTACCTTCCTACCTGTGTCTGTTCCTATAGTCTGACTGCCTTCCTATCACAATATATAAACGATCTCTCCTTTCAACCTCTTCATTTAGGCAACTATCTCCTTTCTCTCTCACATCATCCATTTCTCATATTTCCTCTGAATAATGCCAATAAGCCTGAAAACAAAAACATACTATAATATCTCTCATGGAAGAAAATTCCTCTTAGCCGAGCAAGATGGCTCACGCCTGTAATCCCAGCAGTTGGGAGGCCAAGGCGGGCAGACCTCACTTGAGGTCAGATACTCAAGACCAGCTTGGCCAACGTGGTGAAACCCCATCTCTACCAAAAATATAAGAAATTAGCCAGGTGTGGTGGCGCATGCCTGTAATCCCAGCTACTCAGGAGGCTGAGGCAGGAGAATTGCTTGAACCCGGGAGGCAGAGGTTGCAGTGAGCCAAGATGGTGCCACTGCACTCCAGCCTAGGTGACAGAGCGAGACTCCGTCTCAAAAAAAAAGAAAAAAAAAAATTCCTCTTGACTCCACATCCTCCACCATCTTCCCATTTCTCTGTTCCTCTTCACAACAAAATTGTTAGAATTCTCTATATTGTCTATTCTCCCTGACCTCCAATCCTTGCTTTTTCTCTTGAACATACTGATTATACTTTCACTGCCACCCCTCCATAGAAACTGCTAGTCAAGGTCACCAACAACCTCCACATTGCTAAGAAGAATGATCAATTCTCAGTCCTCTCATCTTACCTGACCTATCAACAGAATTTGGCACAGCTAAACAGCTCCCTCGCTACCTCACTTGACTTACGGGATACCTTTTTTTTTTTTTTTTTTTTTTTGAGTCAAGGTCTCTCTCTGTCACCCTGGCCAGAGTGCAGTGGCACAATCATAGCTCACTGCAGCCTCAAAATCCTGGGCTCAAGTGATTCTCCTGCCTCAGACCCCAAGTAGCTATTCCAAGTAGCTAGAAATACAGGCATGTGCCACCATGTCCAATTTTTTTTCACTGTTTTAGAGACAGGGTCTCACTAGGTTGCCCAGGCTAGTCTTCAAGTCCTGGCCTCAAGCAATCCTCCGACCTCAGACTCCCGAGTAGCTGGGATGACAGGCATGAGTCACCGTGCCCAGCTCTGGGACTCCTCTCTTGATTGTTCTTCCTCACTGGCTACTACCCTCTGTCTCCTTTGCAGGTTCTTTCCTTCCTCCATGACCTTTAAATACTGGAGTGACGCAGGGTACCCGGACCTCTTCCTTTTTCTATCTACACTCAGTTCCCAAATGACCAGATCCAGTCTTACGGCTTTAAATTTCATCTAACATTGATGATTCACAAATTTCTATCTTCAGATAGAGACTAGCTGAGACCTCTTTCTGGAACTTCAGATTCACATATCTAAATGCTTACTTGACATACTGACTGGATTGTGTAATAGATAGGCACTTAACATGTTTAAAATCAATTCATCTTTGCCCACTGCCCCAAATCTATTCTTCCTACAGGTTTCATTTCAAAATATGGTAATTCCAAAGAGAAATATTTAGGCCAAAAATCTCTACCCATCCTTAATTGCTTTTTCTCTCAAACCCCTCATGTCCATTTGGTCAGCTAAGTTTGTCAGCTTTACCTTCAAAATGTATGCAGAATCTAACCAGTTGTCATTACTCTGACAGCTATTAGATCCAAGTGATGATAAATATGTGAATGGATTATTGCAATAGCTTTTTTTTTTTTTAAAGAAAGAGGTTTATTTAAAGGAATTGCTCACATGATTATGGAAGCTGGCCAGTCCCAAAATCTGCAGGGTGGGTCAGTGGCAGGCTGAAGACCCAGGAAGACCCAATGTTTTCATTCTGCTGGCAGACTTGCCTCTTACTGAGGAGAGGTCAATCTTTTGTTCTGTTAATGCCTTCAGTTGAGTAGATGAAGTTCCTCCCCAACATTATGGAGGGTGATCTGCTTAACTCAAAGTCCATTGATTTATTGATTTTTTAATATATTTAACTTTTATTCTAAGTTCAGGGGTACATGTGCAGGTTTGTTACGTGGGTAAACTTGTGTCATGGGGGTTTATTTCATCACCCAGGTATTAAGCCTAGTACCCATTAGTTATTTTTCCTGATTCTCTCCCTCTTCCCACCCTCCACCCTCCAATAAGCCCCAGTGTGTGTTGTTCCCCTCTATGTGTCCATGTGTTGTCATCATTTAGCTCCCATTTATATGTGAGAACATACAGTATTTGATTTTCTGTTCCTGCACTAGTTTGCCAAAGATAATGGCCTCCACTCCATCCATGATCCTGCCAAGTACATGATCTCATTTTTTTTTTGTGGCTCCATAGCATTTCATGATGTATATGTACTACATTTTCTTTATCCAGTCTACCATTGGTGGGCATTTAGGTTAATCCCATGTCTTTGCTATTGTGAATAGTGCTGCAATGAAGATACGCATGCATCTGTCTTTATGATTTATATTCCTTTGGGTATATACCCAGTAACGGGACTGCTGAGTCAAATGTTATTTCTGTTTTTAGGTCTTTGAGGGATGACCACAGTCTTCCACAATGGCTTAACTAATTTACACTCCCACCAATAGTGTATAAGCACTCCTTTCTCTCTGCAACCTTGCCAGCATCTTTTTTTTTTTTTTTTTGACTTTTTAATAGCCATTCTGAATGATGTGAGATGGTCTCACTGTGGTTTTGATTTGCATTTCTTGAATGATCAGTGATGTTGAGCTTTTCCTCATGATTGTTGGCTGCATGTATGTCTTCTTTTGAGAAGTGTCTGTTCATGTCCTTTACCCACTTTTTAATCATTTTTTTTCTCATAGATTTGCTTAAGTTCCTTACAGATGCTGACATTAGACCTTTGTCAGATGCATAGCTTGCAAAATGCAACATGCTTCTAACTGGTTCCTTGCTTCAACCCTCATATCTCTTCCAGTCTTCTCAATTCAGTTGCAGGGTGATCCTTTCAAAGCCTGATTCAGATCATGTCACTCCTCTGCTCAAAACCCTTTCGTAGGCTTCCTATCTCCCTCAAAGCAGAAGCCAAAATTTTTTAAATGGTCTAAAGATCCAATTTAATTTGTCCTAAAGTCCTCTCTACCTCTCTTCCATCGCCTACCAGTCTCCTCACTTAGTTCCAAGAAGGAGGTACAAAAGTTTCCCTTCTGGTGGAGATTGCAGTGAGCCGAGATTGCGCCACTGCACTCCAGCCTAGGTAACAGAGCAAGACTCTGTCTCAAAAAAAAATAAAAAAAATAAAAAAAAAAGAAGTTTCCCTTCTGTTTCTCAAACACAACAAAAATACTCTTTACCTTGGGACCTTTGCACTTACCATTCCGCTTGACAGAACACCCTTTCCCCAGATAATTGCATATCTTGCTCTTTCACTTCCTTCGTATCTTTGTCTAAACGTAATTTTACAGAAGAAGCATTTCCTAAAAAAAACACCTATCCCCCCACCACCCTCTACTCACATTCAGTATCCTATTTTATTCTCATACTCTTCTTACCACCTGGTGTACTATATATTTGTTGTGTACATCTTTCCATTGAAATTTGAACTCTACCAGGAAATAGACTTATCAGTTTGGTTCACTGCTATATCCCAGCACGTAGAACACTAGCTGGCATATAGTAGGTGTTCAATAAATATTTGTAGAATTAATTCCCTGACTTATGTGGGTTATATTTTACGAGCTTCAAATTGTCCCCTTTCTAGGCCGGGCTCAGTGGCTCACGCCTGTAATCCCAGCACTTTGGGAGGCCAAGGCAGGCAGATCACTTGAGGTCAGGAGTTTGAGACCAGCCTGGCCAACATGGTGAAACCCCGTCTCTACTAAAAAAAAAAAAAAATACAAAAATTAGCTGGGCATGGTGGCACGCTCCTGTAATCTCAGCTACTCAGGAGGTTGAGGCAGGAGAACTGTTTGAACACAGGAGGTGGAGGTTGCAGTGAGCCAAGACTGTGCCACTGCACTCCAGCCTGGGTGACAGACCAAGACTCTGTCTCGGGAAGGAAAAAAAAAAATCAAAAAAATTAGCTGGGCATGGTGGCACGTGCCTATCGTCCCAGCTACCCAGGAGGCTGAGGTGGGAGGATCACCTGAGTCTAGGAGGTCGAGGCTGCAGTGAGCCATGATCACAGCACTGTACTCTAGCCCGGGCAATCAAACAATAAGCTGGGTATGGTGGGACACACTTGTAGTCCTAGCTACTCCAGAGGCACTCCAGCCTGGCCAACAGAGTGACACTCTGTCTCAATCAATCAATCAATATTAAAAAATTAGCTGGGTGTGGTGGGACACACCTGTAGGCCTAGTTACTCTGGAGGCTGAGATGAGAAGATCACTTGAGCCCAAGTGTTCAACACTGGAGTGAGCTAGAATCGTGCCACTGCACTCCAGTCTGGGCAATAAAGAGAGACCCCCATCTCAAAAAACAGATGTAACAAAAAACCCACAACATTTTACAATTTGGAAAAAAAAAAAAAGAATTGCTTTTATATTCATTACTCACAAATGCATACATTTTAAATTTTCCCATTACAATTTTTGTAATGAAAGAATTCCATGTCTTAATATGTATAACTGCAAAATTTATATGTATAAATGAAGAATTTCAGCATTTTTCCAAAGAATTCTTTTTTTTTTTGAAACAGAGTCTCCCTGTCACCCAGGCTGGAGTGCAGTGGCGTGATCTCGGCTCACTGCAACCTCCGCCTCCCGGGTTCAAGCAAAGAATTCATTTTTTATCTGCACTTAATTCCCTTTCAAAACATTACAGAGAAAGGTCTGACAGAAACATGATTCTCATTTTAAAAATGAAAAAAAATTATAAAACTTAATCCAAGTGACACATATTATTACATAAATAGCAGAGTACCAATAAACTGAAAAGAGATTTGAAAACATTTATTTCCCCCCCTAAAAATGTATATGAGAAGAGAGAAATACTACATTTCCCTAACATGATCAAGGAGAAAAACGAACAGTATGCTTACAGGCATATTTTGAGAATCCATTTAGGTAGTAAAACTGGAAAATCATGATTGGCAAACCCCACATACCAAATTTAAGAGTTTCTAGTCAAGATAAACCCAAATTCTGAAGATATTTCACAACAGAGTGCTTTTTATCTGCTGAATGTAAACTGCTTGAAAAACAGTCCCTACAGCAGCTGCCAGAATGCTGTTTTTTGAACTTTCAAAGCAATGTTCATTGAGAATATCATTCTTTCAGCTTTTGGAAAAATATCTAAACAATCTAGGTTTTCCATCCAGGGGCAAGGATGCCATGTTGTAACACAACTTATTTTGGTTTCTACTACAATATATTCAACTTAAAATACATTTCCAAGGAAAAACACAGACCTAAGATTGCTAGAATCTCTTCACTCAAACAGGCAAACTCAATATTCATCTCACATGCAATTTTGGGATTTATGTTTTCAAATCTCTGGAACAATGTGGGACAGTCTGGTCCAAATTCAAAGGAAAGTAACACTGTACCTACAGCATTAAATACTTTTGCACAAATCATTACAGCATTAAGTAAACTCTTTAGAAAATTACTAACCATATGTTTTTTAAAAAGGAAATTACTAATTATATTAATAGGACATATACATTGTATAAAAACAAAGTATGATAATCTAACAATATGTTAAAAACTACCTACAAATTTACAAATACATATTCTCTACAAAATGAAGACCTCTATCCACCCCAACACCTGCCATTCTAATCCCACATCCAAGTAACAAACAGTGGATCTGATAAAAATTAACTAATACACTGTTATTAATATAGTGGTCTGGGCTGGGCGTGGTTGCTCATGCCTATAAATCCCAGCACTTTGGGAGGCTGAGGCGAGTGGATCACCTGAGGTCAGGAGTTCAAGACCAGCCTGGCCAACATGGTGAAACTCCATCTCTACTAAAAATACAAAAATTAGCCAGGTGTGGTGGCAGGTGCCTGTCATCCCAGCTACTCAGGAGGCTGAGGCAGAAGAATCACTTGAACCCAGGAGGCACAGGTTGCAGTGAGCCGAGATTGTGCCACTGCACTCCAGCCTGGGCAACAGAGTGAGACTCTGTCTCAAAAAAAAAAAAAAAATTATATATATATATATGCACACATATATATGTGTATATATATGTATATATATATGTATGTATGTATATGTATGTATGTGTATATATGTGTGCATATATATGTGTGTGTGTGTATATATATATGGGGGGAGAGAGAGAGAGAGAGAGTGTGTGTGTGTGTTGGTGGCGAAGGTCTGGTCTGAGATACAGAACTACTCTGGAAGACAACTATGTTTGGAAATCATTTTATATGTAAATACCCCATCTATTTTCAGGGGTAGAAAGGGAATAGCCATGCTTTGATGGAACACTATTCAGCAAAACAATATAAAATCAACCAAATTTTTTAAAGTACTACAAATGAGTCCTCACAGTGAATTTAGCATCAGTAAAAGTAATAAAATACTTACTGAGTTCTTAGCATGTACAAAGCTCTATGCCAAATGTTTTACATATATTATCTCATTTAAGGCTCACAATCAGCATGCGGTAGTTACTATTATTATTCCCTTTTTAGACATGAAAAGACAGGCTAATGGCCAATAAAAGGCAGAAACAGGTCTGTTTCGCTCCTCTTAACCACTATGCTTTGCTGCCTCCCAAAGATCATCTTTAGGCTGGGCGTGGTGGCTCACACCTGTAATCACAGCACTTTGGGAGGCCGAGGCGGGTGGATCATGAGGTCAGGAGTTTGAGACCAGCATGGCCAATATGGTGAAACCCCGTCTCCACTTAAAAAAAAAAAAAATTGGCCAGGCGTGGTGGTGTGCACCTGTAGTCCTAGCTACTCGGGAGGCTGAGGCAGAAGAATCACTTGAACCTGGCAGGCAAAGGTTGCAGTGAGCCCAGATCGCACCGCTGCACTCCATTCAGCCTGGATGACAGAGCGAGACTCCGTCTCAAAAAAAAAAAAAAAAGAAAAGATCATCTTTAGTCTCGATCTTATTATTTCTCTCTGCTACATTTGGCATATTTGCTACGTTTGAAACTCTTTGGTTTCTATGATACATTCTACTGGTTCTCCCAACACCTCTCCAACCATTTCATCATTTCCTTTATGGATTCATCATTCTTAATCTATTCCTTCATTCATTCAACAAATGTTTTCTGAGAGCCTCAAAATATGTTTTGAGAATTGTGACACACACTGTAGATACCGTCATGAGTAACACAAACATGGTCCTTGGTCTCATGAACTTTAAGTGCTTTCTTTCCTTTAAATTTTTTTATTATTATTTTTATTTATTTATTTATTTTCTGAGAGTTCCCAGCTGCTTGAGCCCAGAAGGTCAAGGCTATAGTGAGCCATGGTGGTGCCATTGCACTCCACGCTGGAAACAGGCCGAGATCCAATCTCAAAAAAGAAAAAAAAAAAAAATTTGGAATTCACAAAGAAGGTATTAAAGGGCTCTGAGAAGGACAATAACAAGATACAAGCCTACATTTTGAGAAACATCTGTTTGCTGAGGAAGGAAGATTATTCCAAAGACAGCAAAAGTTGGTTCTGGAATACCAGTCATATCAGCATACTAGATTAGGATGGTAACAATGGAAATAGAGAAAAACGGGTGGATTTAAGAGACATGTTAGATATTTGTCAATATAATGTGAGAGGATGAGGGTGGAAAAAACTGAAGACTTGACCAAATGGTAAATGGTATGGTGGTACCATTTGGAGACTCATTCAACAAATATTTACCAAGTTATATATCAAGAACTGGAGATACAATAGTACAAAATATAGACAAAAACCCTTGCTTTGTGGGGCCAATATTCTAGAAGTATGCCAGGATGAGACAGAAAGGGAAGATCAAAGGGTTCAGTAATAAGTACATTAAATTTTAGGTACCTGTGAAACATTTAAGTGGAAAGTCAAAGAGAGAGCTGAAAATATATGTATATGCTATATACAGAGGGAGGCAGTGTAACAACATACAAATGAAAAAGTTAACGGAATTTTATAAGATTTTTAGCCTGGAAGAACAATGAAGAACAATTCTTTTTCTTTTTAGATAAGTAAACCTATTTAAAATTGCCATGTTATAGATTAAACAATGCAGGTAGATTGTTAGCTTAAAACAAGTAAAATCTGGCCAGGTGCGGTGGCTCATGCCCATAACCTCAGCACTTTGGCAGGCCAAGGCGGGTGGATCACCTGAGGTCAGGAGCAAGACCAGCCTAGCCAACACAGTGAAACTCTTTTCTCTACTAAAAATACAAAAATTAGCGGGACATGGTGGCACACGCCTGTAATCCCAACTACTCGGGAGGCTGAGGCAGGAGAATCGCTTGAACCCAGAAGGCAGAGGTTGTGGTGAGCCAAGATCGTGCCATTGCACTCCAGCCTGGGCAACAATAGTAAAACTCCATTTAAAAAAAAAAAAAAAAAGTAAAATCTAACTTGTCTTATCTGAGGATTTTTTTTTTTTTTAAGACTGGGTTTTGCTCTGTTGCCAAGGCTGGAATGCAGTGGCATCTTCTTAGCTCACTGCAGCCTCAAACTCTGGAGCTCAAATGATTCTCTCACCTCAGCCTCCCGCGCAGCTAACAGGGGGCAAGCCACCATGCCTGCTCATCTACAAGGAATTTTTGTTTTCCTTTGTGATCTTTATTAAACATGGCTAGAGACTTTTTATTTCTAAACATTACAACATTATTTCTTAACATTAAAAACCAGTTATAGGCTGGGTGTGGTGGTTCACGCCTGTAATCCCAACACTTTGGGAGGCCAAGGCAATAGGACTGCTTGAACTCAGGAACTTGAGGCCTCAGTAAGCTAAGAAAATATCACTGCATTTCAGCCTTGGCAACAGGGCAAGACCCCATCTCTTAAAAAAAAAAAAAAAAAGTATAAATTAGCGACACAAGATTTTATTTAAAAATGTATAGCACATTAGGCCAGGCATGGTGGCTCACACCTGTAATCCCAGCACTTGGGAGGTTGAGGCAGGCAGATCACCCGAGGTTGGGTTGGGAGTTTGAGACCAGCCTGACCAACATGGAAAAACACTGTCTCTAATAAAAATACAAAATTAGCCAGGCGTGGTGGCGCATGCCTGTAATCCCAGCTACTCAGGACGCTGAGGCAGGAGAATCTCTTGAACCTGGGAGGCAGAGATTGCAGTGAGCCGAGATCGTGCCATTGCACGCCAGCCTGGGCAACAAGAGCAAAACTCCATCTCAAGAAAAAAAAAAAAAAGAAAAAAATTTATAGCACATTATTCATTTAAATTTGTGCTGGGCTTCAGACTCTTTAAAATTTCCACAGATAACCATCATATTTCTTAGGATATATCAAACTAGCTAAGTAATCACATACCCAGGAAATGGAGGTTCTAGTCAAGCCAAAAAGTAAGTGCGAAGGTCTTGAGGTGGAAGTATTTTTGTTGTGTTTCAGAAATAGAATGGAGACCTTTGCCCAACCCGGCTTCCTGGAACTGAATGAGTACGCAGACTGAGAGGGCATGCAGGACTTATACAGAGGGCCTTGCAGACTTATAAAGACTTTAGCTTTTACTTTGAGACAGGAAGCCATCAAAATGGTTTTAAGAAATGACATGATCTGACTCAGGCCTTGAAAAGATCATCTGCTACTGAATTGAGATGACAAATTTTTGGCCTAATAACTTGTTATCATCCTTGACTCCTTCCTTTATCTCAAATCCTACACACGCAGTCTGTCAGCAAAATCTGTCAGCTTTACCTTCAAAACATATGCAGTCATTTCTCACTACTCAACAGCTCCCATATATGAATACGCTATGTCTGTCAAAAGTAGAACCCATGCTTTTAATACTTCTACATAATGAGGGAGGCTAATCCAGGATGACTGCTCAAGCCCAGAAGTTCAAGGCTGCAGTGAGCTATGATCATGCCACTGCACTCCAGCCTGGGTGACAGAGTGAGAACCAGTCTCTAAAAAAAGTTAAAAGAAAAAAGAAAGAGGCCAGGCGCAGTGGCTCATGCCTGTAATCCCAGCACTTTGGGAGGCTGAAATGGGCAGATCACAAGGTCAGGAGATCGAGACCATCCTGGCTAACATGGTGAAACCTCGTCTCTACCAAAAATACAAAAAAAAATTAGCCGGGCGTGGTGGCGAGTGCCTGTAGTCCCAGCTACTTGGGAGGCTGAGACAGGAGAATGGTGTGAACCCTGGAGGCGAGGCTTGCAGAGAGCCGAGGTCACACCACTGCACTCCAGCCTGGCGACAGAGCAAGACTCTGTCTCAAAAAAAAAAAAAGGGAAAAAAGAAAGAAATTCAACACAGAAAGGCAATTATTTATCAAATGTTATCAAACAAACCCAAAGAAGTCAAAACTCCCTAAAACATGCCTGCAGTGCATTTGCTGCCTAGAGTTTAAAGCTGATAGACTTTAAGATTAAGAGGTAATTTCAAGGGATTAAATATTACAATGATTATATCTGAAAACCAAAAGCTTGGGCATTATTCACTCACTGAAACGAATTTAAAGAAACAAACAAGAAGAGTATTTGGGTATCCTGGGAGTGTTTTTCAAACTCCACTAACATTTATCTATCTTAGTCCTACTAGGCGCCATACACTATGCCAAAGTGGTTTCACTTATTGTCTCATTTGTTTCATTCTGACAATAATCTTATTAGATTTAACTAATCACATTTTATAGATGGGCAAACAGGCTTCGAAACGTGATTAACTCTAAGACTGTAAAATTAGTAAATAGAAGAACTTGGATTGAATGTAATCTTCTCACTCCAAATCTACTACAGGATATCCATCTGCAAGAAAAGAACTCAGACCCTTACCTCACATCATACACAAAAATTAACTCAAGTGGATCACAAATCTAAATTCGAAAACGAACTATAAAATTCCTAAAAGAAAATGTAGAAGGAAATCTTTGTGACTTTGGGTTAGGCAAAATTTCTTAGATATGACAGCATGATTTTTTTTTTTTAAAAAAAGCTGGTAAACTGAACTTCACCAAAACTATAAACTTCTGTCCTTCAAAAAGGCAGTACTAAGAAAATGAACACAAGACACAAACTACTACAGGTTACTGTGATAGTACACATTCCTGCCACCTCTCTGGAAGCCACTCCTGAGTCTTATCTGCTGATCTGATTTGGCCTACCAGACTTCCAGATGTTGGAATTCCTTAGGTTCAGTCAGTCTTTTCTTTCTCTAAAATATTTTGGCATTTTTTAAATTTTTTAATTTTTATTTATTTTTTATTTTTATTTTTGGAGATGGAGTCTCACTCTGTCACCCAGGCTGGAGTGCTGTGGCACCATCTTGGCTCACTGCAACCTCTGCATCCTGGGTTCAAGTGAGTCTCCTGTCTCAGCCTCCAAAGTGGCTGGGACTACAGGTGCGCATCACCAGGCCAGGCTAATTTTTGTATCTTTAGTACTTATATTTTGCATTTTGGAGATGGGGTTTCACCATTTTGGCCAGGTTGGTCTTGAACGTCTGACCTCAAGTGATCTGTCCACCTCAGCCTCCCAAAGTGCTGGGATTACAGGCATGAGCTATGGCACCTGGCGTTTTTTTGTTTGTTTGTTTGTTTGTTTGTTTTTGAGATGGAGTCTCACTCTGTCACCCAGGCTGGAATGCAATGGCGCAATCTCGGCTCACTGCAACCTCTGCCTTCTGGGTTCAAGCGAGTCTCCTGCCTCAGCCTCCCGAGTAGCCGGGACTACAGGAACGCACCACCACATCCGGCTAATTTTTTATATTTTCAGTAGAGACAAGGTTTCACTATATTGAACTCCTGACCTCGTGATCTGCCCGCCTCGGCCTTCCAAAGTGCTGGGATTACAGGTGTGAACCACTGTACCCAGCCTTTTTTTTTTTTTTTTTTTTTTAATAAAGACGGCTCTATCATCTGGCCTGGGGTACAGTGGCATAATAATAGCTTACTGCAGCCTCCAACTCCTGTGCTCAAGGGATCCTCCCACCTCAGCTTCCCAAGTAATAGGGACCATAGGCATGTGCCACTGCACCTGGCTCCTACTCTAGATTCTTTCCCTGTGTAATTTATTATACTACTTAAGACTTTTAAGCTCCAGACAGTATATCTGAAACCTGGTTCAATATCTTTACAAAGTTTAATCCTCCTCCAATCTTTCCCATTTCAGTACCACCAATTGCTCAAGTCAGAGCTACTACTAGTCAAACTACTACAGGTTACTATGATAGTACACATTCCTGCCACCTCTCTGGAAGCCACTCCTGAGTCTTATCTGCAGATCTGATTTGGCCTACCAGACTCCCAGATGTTGGAATTCTTTAGGTTCAGTCAGTCTTTTGCTTCTCTAAAATCTTTTGGTATCTTTTTAATTTTTTAATTTTTATTTTTTATTTTTTGAGATGGAGTCTCACTCTGTCACCCAGGCTGGAGTGCAGTGGCACTCATCCTGACTATTCTCACTCCCTTATTGTCAACCTTCAACCTAACACCAAAACTTCTGAATGTCACATAAATAATCTGTGATTACATAGAGTTCCTCTCCAATTCTCCCACTGACTTGTCCAAAAAAACCAACAATTCTCACCCAGAATATAGCAACAGCCCTCTAACTTCTTTGTACATCTACCTTGCTCTCCTCCAGCCCAAGCTACATCCAGAAAGGTGTTTTATTTTATATATATATATATATTTTGTTCTTGTTCTTTGAGAAAAAATCTTGCTCTGTCACCCAGGCTGGAGAGCAGTGGCACGATCATAGTTCACTGCAGTCCCAACCTCCTGGGCCCAAGCAGCCTTAGCCTCCTGAGTAGCTGGGACTACAGGCACACACCAACCATGCCCAGCCAATTTTTTATTTTTGTAGAGACAGCATCTTGCTATGTTGCCCAGGCTGGTCTCGAACTCCTGGGCTCAAACGATCTTCCAGCCTCGGCCTCCCAAAGTGCTGGGAATGCAGGCGTGAGCCACTAGAGATTGTTTTTCTCAAAGGCCCAGTGGCTCATGCCTGTAATCCCAGCACATTGAGGCCAAGGCAGGAAGATCGCTTGAGGCCAAGGCAGGACGATCGCTTGAGCCCAGGATTTTGAGACCAGCCTGGGCAACACAGCAAGACCTCATCTCCACTAAAAATAAAAAATAAAATAAAAAATCAGCTAGGTGTTGTGGCACACCCACCTGTAGTACCAGCTACTCAGGAAGCTGAGGTGGGAGGATTCCTTGAGCCCAGGAGGTCAAGGCTACAGTGAGCTATGATTGCACCACTGACTCCAGCCTGGGTGACAGAGCAAGACCTTGTCTCAAAAAAAAAAAAAATTCTGATAATGTAATTTCCCTGCTTAAAATCTTTGAATGTTTTCTCACTGCCCTTCATATATAAAAGTCCCTAATCACACTCATAACTTGCAACTTACAATCTGCAGCATGGTTTGGTGGTTAAGAATATAGTCTCTGAAGCCAAAACACAGTCTCAGAAGCTAGTCCTGCTATATTAATTTTGTGCAAAGTACTCACGGCCTCAGTTCTCTCAAATGTGAATAGAAATTGTTGTAAGGGTTCAATAAACTAATATATGAAAAGTACTTAGAACAGCACTTCACAGTATCACTGTTTACTTTTTGTTGTTGTTAACTGCCCCTACATATCTCTGGCCTCACCATTCCCCACACTGTTGTGAGCAGAGCAAGAGCAAATAACCACCACCAAAAAAAAGCAAGCACTCAGCTGGGTGCAGTTACTCAAACCTGTAATCCCAGCACTTTGGGAGGCCAAGGCAGGCAGACTGCTTGAGTCTAAGAGTTTGAGATCAGCCTGGCAACACAGCAAAACCCCATCTCTACAAAAAATGCAAAAATTAGCTGGATATGGTGGCTCATGCCCATAGTCCCAGCTACTTGGGAGGCTGAGGTGGGAGGATCGCTTGAGCCTGGGAAGTCAAGGCTGCAGCGAGCTAAGATCACACCACTGCACTCCAGCCTGAGTGACAACACGAGACCCTGTCTTAACAACAACAACAACAGGAAACAACAAAAAAGCAAACACTCATACATCTGTGATACATGTGTTTGAAGCACTTTTCAGTTCCCAAATAACTGTTTTCCCTCCTTTAGAACATACAGTTAGTTCTCTCTGCCTGGAACTCTCTTCCAGCATCTTTCCATATGACTACTTCTCTTCCTTTCCATCTTAGTTTAAAAGTCATTCCCTCGGGGAGACATTTCCTATTCCCCTAGACTTGGGAGGCTGAGGCGGGAGGATGGCTTGAGTCTGGCAGATCACCCTGCTAAGTGCATATCCATACTATAAGTCTCTTAATATGCATTATACCAATTAAGTTATTTAATATCCATATCTTCCACTAGACCATGCATTACATGAGAATAAAAATCCTGTTTGCTGTATTCACTGCTACATCCTTAGCAAAGCACCTAGAACATAAAGGGCATTCAAAAAATATCTATTGAATGAGTAAACAAACATTAATTCTACATTTTAAAACGTGTATATAGATAAAAGAGAATAGGCAAAATGAAACTTAAAATATTAAAAATTGATATTTTTCTTTAAATATTATATAAATTTTTCAGTTTCTATAATTTAAAAAATAAGCACTATATACACCATGTAATGTGCTTTCCAAAGGTAAAAGAGTAACCCATGCCCTAATTAGTTTGAAGATATTTTACATGAAACTACTAAGTCACTAATATTATATAAGTCACTAAAATCACAAAAAAATTAGAATAGCTTCATGAAGTTACCAACAAAATTGGAAGCAATTTCTACAATATAAACTATACTTACAAAGTTAGACAAATTTTTTACTCAACTATAGAACCCTTCACTGAAAAGATGACAATCAGTAACCATTTCTAACTCTCAAAGTACTGATATCCAATAAATCTAGTTAGTTTCATATTTATGTACTCTATATATTTCTTCAATTTCAAGAAGCTGCTGATTTTAAGAAGCTTCATGAATCAATAACCATATTTTTAGGGGTGAGGGAGCACTACTAGATTAAATGTAAACATCAATTATGTTATTTCCTAATTTTAGAAATATTAAACTGGGAGGAAAGTATGCATCTCATGACCAAGAAAATACTGTATTATACCAACAAGTCCTTCTAGAAACTTAGAACAGGAAAGTGAAATAGACATAAATTTCCAATTACCAAGTCACAAGGGGAAAAGTAAGCCCCAGAAAGCAGTCCCAAGGCTAAAAATCTTGATGGAAAAATTATACTCAGACTGCCATACAGATTATCCAATCAAACCTTACTTAGCTTACCTGAATAGCAAAGTTAACGTAGATCAAAAATATAACTGCAATTCTGTTTTGTTAAAAAAGAGGGGGAGGGGGATAGGAATGTAGGATTGTGTTTCCGAGAAATATATAGGAACACTGATCTCAATCTTTAGGGAATTCTAAAATGACAACAGGAAGAAAGTTCAAGTTGTATCAGAAAGATTTTCCCATTAATAAATTATTACATTTTGGGCCACGCACGGTGGCTTACGCCTGTAATCCCAGCACTTTGGGAGTCTGAGGCGGGCGGATCACGAGGTCAGGAGATCGAGACCATCCTGGCTAACACAGTGAAACCCCATCTCTATCAAAAATACAAAAAATTAGCCAGGCGTGGTGGTGGGCGCCTGTAGTCCCAGCTACTTGGAAGGCTGAGGCAGGAGAATGGCGTGAACCTGAGAGGTGGAGCTTGCAGTGAGCCCAGGTTGCGCCACTGCACTCCAGCCTGGGCAACAGAGCAAGACTCTGTCTCAAATAAATAAATAAATAATTACATTTTGGCGATGATTACAGCCTGTCAACTGAAGGCCACTGAACATGCTTATATTTTAAACAAAAGAGCCACTTCTAAGAAGGCAAAATTCATGCTGTAATTAATTAATTAATTTTTTTTTTTTTTTTGAGAAGGAGTCTCATTCTGTCACCCAGGCTGGAGTGCAGTGGTGCAATCTTGGCTCACTGCAACCTCCACCTCCCAGGTTCAAGTGATTCTCCTGCCTCAGCCTCCTGAGTAGCTGGGATTACATGTGCCCGCCACCATGCCCAGCTAATTTTTTGTATTTTTAGTACAGACAGGGTTTCATCATGTTGGTCAGGCTGCCTGACCTCAGGTGATCCACCTGCCTAGGCCTCCCAAAGTGCTGGGATTACAGGCGTGAGCCACCATGCCTGGCCAAAACCATTAAATCTTACACCTTGTTATTACTTTTTTTTTAAATATTTTAACGGCACTGTGTGGCTGCTGGGGAAAAATTGTACACTTTAAATTACTATATATGAATTATATCTCAGTAAAGCCACCTAAAAATCCTGGAAGATCAAAATTAAGTATCTTGTAGAAGGAAATCCTTTCCTATTTTGCATAAAAACAAAATATGGATTAGTGGCAGTCCTGTGAAAATGAAAACCCTTTTCAATTAATAGATTTCAGTCAGCCGGGCGTGGTGGCTCATGCCTGTAATCACAGCACTCTGGGAGGCCAAGGCAGGCAGATCATTTGAGGTCAGGAGTTCGACACCAGCCTGGCCAACATGGTGAAACTCTATCTCTACTAAAAATACAAAAATCAGCCAGGCATGGTGGCAGGTGCCTGTCGTCCCAGCTACTTAGAGGGTGCAGCAGGAAAATTGCTTGAACCCAGGAGGCAGAGGTTGCAGTGAGCCAAGATCACACCACTGCACTCCAGCCTGCATCACAGAGTGAGACTCTGTCTCAAAAAAAAAAAAAAAAAAAAAAGATTTCAGTATGACAAGGAGATGATTTATTTGATATATGTGGCTATATGTTGACATAACTGGATATCCGTTGGCAGAAAACAAAGTTCCACCCATTCTTTGCATCATAAACAAAAATAAGGCTGGCATGGTGGCTCACATCTATAATCCCAGCACTCTGGGAGGCTGAGGTGGGAGGGTGACCTGAGGCCAGGAGTTCAAGACAAGCCTGGGCAACATAGTGAGACCCCATCTCTACAAAAAATTTAAAAATTAGCTGAGCCTGGTGATATGCACCTGTAGTCCCAGCTACTTGGCAGGGGCTGAGGTAGAAGAATCAATTGAGCCCGGGAGGTTGAGGCTGAGGCTGCAGTAAGTCATGATGGTGTCACTGCACTCCAGCCTAGGCGAAAGAACAAGACCTATCTCAAAAAAAACACAACAAAACAAAAAAGCAATTTCCTCATGGATTTATTTTTTATTTTTATTTTTTTGAGACAGGGTCTTTCGATGTCACCCAGACTGGAGTGCAGTTGTTTGAACATGGCTTACTGTACCCTCAAGCTACTGGGCTCAAGCAAGGGGTGTCTCACTATGTTGCCCAGGCTTGTCTCAAACTCCTGGCCTCAAGCAATCCTCCCACCTCGGCCTCCCAAAGTGCTGGGATTACAGGTGTGAGCCACTATGACTAGCCCTACTCGTGGATGTAAACACTACATACAAAAGTAAAAGTATCTGAATGTTCATGACTATTTCTATAACCTATGGTGGAGAAACCCCCTTTTTTTTTTTTTTGAGATATAGTCTCACTCTATCACCCAGGCTGGAGTACAGTGGCAAGATCTCGGCTCACTGCAAGCTCTGCCTCCCGGGTTCATGCCATTCTCCTGCCTCAGCCTCCCGAGTAGCTGGAACTATAGGTGCCTGCAACCACGACCAGCCAATTTTTTTGTATTTTTAGTAGAGATGGGGTTTCACCGTGTTAGCCAGGATGGTCTCGATCTCCTGCCCTCGTGATCTGCCCGCCTCAGCCTCCCAAAGTGCTGGGATTACAGGCGTAAGCCACCGTGCCCGGCCGAGAAACCCTTCTTAGGCAAATCAGGAAACTAAAAACCATAAAGAAAAATAGTGACAAGTATGATTATGTTAAAGCAGTATATATCTGTAGACTAAGACATTGTAAATAAAATAAAAAGACAAATAAGATTGGGAGAAAATATAAACATGAAAAAGGATTAATATATCTTAATATAAAATTATCTTAAATAAGATATACAAAAAATATGCATAGGCAATTACAAGAGAGATAAAAATAACAAATATAAAAAGATATACCACCTCATTAGTATAGTCAGGGAGGTGTGAATAAAAACAAACTATTGGCCGGGCGCAGTGGCCCACGCCTGTAATTCTAGCACTTTGGGAGGCTGAGGCGGGCGGATCACCTGAGGTCGGGAGTTCGAGACCAGCCTAACCAACATGGAGAAACCCCGTCTCTACTAAAAATACAAAATTAGCCGGGCATGGTGGTACATGCCTGTAATCCCAGCTACTCGGGAGGCTGAGGCAGGAGAATCGCTTGAACCCGGGAGGCAGAGGTTGCGGTGAGCCGAGATCGCGCCATTGCACTCCAGCCTGGGCAAGAAGAGCAAAACTCCATCTCACCAAAAAAAAAAAAAAAAAAAAAAAAAAAAAAAAGCTATGTTTTACTTATCAATTTGGTTGAAATTCAAAATAGCAAGTAATACTGATAATGTATGGTAAATGGGCACTAGTGGCCACCATCATTTTAGAAAGTAATATTTATACTATCCATTACAAACTTTTACATTTTACATACTCTTTGACTCCAAAAGTAATCCTACTTTTGAGACTCCTATAGAAAAATAAAAGTACCAATAAAAAGATTTATTATATGAAGATTTCCTTCATACTGACCAAAAATATTTTTTATACACACACACACAAAATATATGTCTGCTATTTCTTAGTTAAAAGCAAGCAAGATCTCATATTTGGAAAGAGTAGGACAAAAATCCTATATAGAGAAAAAATTATGAATGATTACACACCAAATTGATAGTGCTAGTCATTTAAAGGAGAAAGGTTTGGAAGGAAAAAAAAAAAGGAAAAAAATTATATATACACATATATATTCCTATTACAGAATTTGCATTAGTTTTACAATAAAACAAAAATCCATTAAAAACTTATTTTAAAAAGATTTGAGGCCAGGTGCAGTGGCTCATGCCTGTAACCCCAGCACTTTGGGAGGCTGAGGCAGGTGAATCACTTAAGGTCAAGAGTTTGAGACCAGCCTGGCCAACGTAGTGAAACCCCATCTCCATTAAAAACATAAAAATTAGGCTGGATGCAGTGGCTCAAGACTGTAATCCCAGCATTTTGGGAGGCCAAGGCAGGCAGATCACTAGATGTCAGGAGTTCGAGACCAGCCTGGCCAATGTGGTGAAACCCCATCTCTACTTAAAATACAAAAAAACTAGCCAGGCGTGGTGGCGTGTGCCTGTAATCCCAACTACACAGGAGCTGAGGCAGGAGAATCGCTTGAGCCTGGGAGATGGAGGCTGCAGTGAGCTGAGATGGTGCCACTGCACGCCAGCTTGGGCAATAACACGAGATTCCATCACCAAAAAAAAAAAAAAAAACAAAAATTAGCCAGGTGTGGTGGCATGCACCTGTGGTCCCAGCTACGTGGTAGGCTGAGGCAGGAGAATCGCTTGAACTCAGGAGGCGGAGCTTGCAATGAGCCGATATCGTGCCACTGCACTCTAGCCTGGGCAACAAAGCGAGACTCTGACTCAAAAAAAAAAAAAGAAATTATTGCATTACCATAATGGTAAAGGGGAAAGGGAGGTGAACAGGTGACAGTGAGTAAAGATTTGCTTATATCGTCATCTAACCACTAGCATTCCTTACATGAGTTTATTTCCACTTTTAAGAGCACTCTGGGTTGGGCGCGGTGGCTCATGCCTATAATCCCAGCACTTTGGGAGGCCGAGGCGGGCAGATCACGAGGTCAGGAGATCTAAACCATCCTGGCCAACACGGTGAAACCAGTCTCTACTGAAAATACAAAAATTAGCTGGGCATGCTGGCACATGCCTGTAGTCCCAGCTACTCGGGAGGCTGAGGCAGGAGAATCACTTGAACTCGGGGGGCAGAGGTTGCAGTGAGCTGAGATCACGCCACTACACTCCACCCTGGTGACAGAGCAAGACTCCGTCTCAAAAAAAAAAGCACTCTGGTAAAGAACAGGTAAACAACGCAACTGTCATTCCATGATTTTCATAATTAAGACACTTATATAACAAAGAATATTGGCCTACAATCCAAAGTGCCAGTGAACCCCTTACATTCACATTTTATGTGCATATATACACTTTCTGGGAAAGACTACAAAGGTTTCATCACATTCTTTTTTTTTTTTTTTTTTTTTTTTTTGAGATGGAGACTCGCTCTGTCACCAGGGTGGAGTGTAGTGACGTGATCTTGGCTCACTGCAACCTCTGCCTCCCAAGTTCAAGCAATTCTCCTGCCTCAGCCTCCCGAGTAACTGGGACTACAGGCATGTGCTACCATGCCCAGCTAATTTTTGTATTTTTAGTAGAGACAGGGTTTTACCATGTTGGCCAGGATGGTTTAGATCTCTTGACCTCGTGATCTGCCCGCCTTGGCCTCCCAAAGTGCTGGGATTATGTTTCATCATATTCTTAATGAGGGCCATGACTACTCACCACAACTACCATTTAAAAAAAAAAAAAGTTAAAATCCTCTGAAGACACATGCACATGTGTTTCTGTTTACTGCAGCACTATTTACAATAGCGAAGACATGGAACCAACCCACATACCCATCAATGATAGACTGGATAAAGAAAATATGGCACATATACACCACAGAATACTATGTAGCCATAAAAAGGAATGAGATCGGCTCGGTGAGGTGCACTTTGGGAGGCTGAGGCAGGCAGATCACCTGAGGTCAGGAGTTTGAGACCAGCCTGGCCAACATGTAGAAACCTTATCTCTACTAAAAATACAAAATTAGCCAGGTGTGGTAGCACATGACCGTAACCCTGGCTACTCGGGAAGCTGAGGCAGGAGAATCGCTTGAACCCGAGAGGCAGAGGTTGTGGTGAGCTGAGATCATGATGTTGCACTCCAGCCAGGGCAACAAGAGTGAAACTCAGTCTCAAAAAAAAAAAGGCCAGGCACAGTGGCTCATGAAGTCAGGAGATTGAGACCATCCTGGCTAACAGGGTGAAACCCCGCCTCTACTAAAAATACAAAAAAATTAGCCAAGCATGGTGGCAGGCGCCTGTAGTCCCAGCTACCCACCAGAAGGCTAAAGCAGGAGAATGGCGTGAACCCGGAAGGTGGATCTTGCAGTAAGCCGAGATCGCACTACTGCACTCCAGCCTGGGCGACAGAGCGAGACTCCGTCTCAAAAAAGAAAAAACAAAGGAATGAGATCATGTCCTTTGCAGGGACATGGATGAAGCTGGAAGCCATCATCCTCAGCAAACTAACACAGGAACAGAAAACCAAACACCGCATGTTCTCACCCATAAGTGGGAGTTGAACAATGAGAACACATGAACACAGGGAGGGGAACAACATACTGGGGCCAGTCAGTGGGTTGGGGGGCAAGGGGAGGGAGAACCTGAGGACGAGTAACTAACGCATGTGGAGCTTAAAACCTAGATGATGAGCTGGATGCAGTGGCTCACGCCTGTAATCCCAGCACTTTGGCAGGCCAAAGTGGGTGGATCACATGAGGTCAGGAGTTCAATACCAGCCTGACCAACACGGTAAAACCCTGTCTCTACTAAAAATACAAAAATTAGCCGGGCGTGTTTGGCACATGCCTGTACTCCCAGCTACTCGGGAGGCTGAGGCAGGAGAACTGCTTGAACCTGGGAGGTGGGGGTTGCAGTGAACCTAGATGGCACCATTGTACTCCAGCCTAGGCAACAGAGCCAGACTCCGTATCAAACAAAAGAGAGATAAAAAATAGACATTCATTCACCAACCATTTTACATTTGTCTCTACATCTTGACTAGTTAGTACTTGTTAGAGTTTCTTAGCCAGGAAGGTGTTAGTCCTCAAATTATCAAAAGATTCTCTTTTAGTTCTGGTATTCTAGATAAATTTCTCCCAGTATCAAAAATATTTATCCAGCAACTCAGTCTAAGAACTTCATCTTTTCTCTATCTACACTCACTCTCTGGGTAATTTCATCAAGTTCTTTGGCTCTAAATAGCATCACTATGCTGCTCAGCTCCCAAGTTTATATTTGCCCTGACCTCAAGACTTGTACACCCAACTGCCTATTCAATATTTCAACTTTAAACACTTAGTAGAAATCTCAAACCCTGTACAGTCAGCCCTTTGTATCCATGGGTTTCACATACGAGGATTCAACCAACCACGGATCAAAAATATTCCAGGGGCAGGGGTGGAAGAAAAGGATAATTGTGTCTGCACTGAATATATATACTTTTTATGTCATTATTCTCTAAGCAACACAGTATATTTACATAGCATTTACATTGTATTAGGTATTATAATTAATCCAGAGATGATTTAGAGTATACAAACAGGGAGGTCGAGACGAACCTGGGCAATAAAGCATGACTCTCTCTCTACAAAAACCAAAAAAATTACCCGAATATTGTGTCGTGAGCCTGTAATCCCACCTACGCAGGAAGCTGAGGTAGGAAAATAGCTTTACCTGAGGAGTTTGAGGTTGCAGTGAGCTATGGCCATGCCACTGCACTCTAGCCTGGATAACAGAGAGACCCTGTCTCAAAAAAAAACTTTTTGGCCAGACACAGTGGCTCACGCCTGTAATCCCAGCACTTTGGGAGTCCAAGGCGGGTGGATCACCTGAGGTCAGGAGTTCAAGACCAGCCTGGGCAACATAGTGAAACCCCACCTCTACTAAAAATACAAAAATTAGCCAGGCACGGTAATCCCTGCTACTTGGGAGGCTGAGGCACGAGAATCACTTGAACCCAGGAAGCGGAGGTTGCAGTGAGCCGAGATCGTGCCATTGCACTCCAGCTTGGGTGACAGAGCAAGACTCAGTCTCAAAAAAAAAAAAAAAAAAAATTTAAGTATACAAGATGATACACATAGGTTATATCCAAGTAGTATACCATTTTATATAAGGGACTGGCACATCCACAGATTTTGGTATCCTCGGGGGAACCAATCTCTCACAGATACCGAGGGATGACTGTATATCCAAACCAAATCCCTCATTTCTGTACTCCTTATAATTTGCTTTTCCCACAGTGTTCCTCATCAAAGAAAAAAGCATCCAACTGCTCAGGCCATCACTGAAGTCATCCTTGACTCCTCTTTTACCCTGATCCCACATCCAAACCATCAGCAAGTTATTATCTCCACTACCTCCAAAATATACCTCAAATCCACCCACCAGTACACTCAACACCACAATCAGCTGTTGCCTCAACTATCACGATAGCCTCTTTTTTTTTTTGAGACAGAGTCTCGCTCTGTTGCCCAAGCTGGAGTGCCGTGGCGTAATCTCAGTTCACTGCAATCTCCACCTCCCGAGTTCAAGCAATTCTCCTGCCTCAGCCTCCTGAGTAGCTGCGATTACAGGTGTGCACCACCACGCCCAGCTAATTTTTGCTTTTTAGTAGAGATGGGGTTTCACCATGTTGGTCAGGCTGGTCTCAAACTCCTGACCTCGTGATCCACCCATCTCGGCCTCCCAAAGTGCTGGGATTAGAGGTGTGAACCACTACGCCCAGTCCACGATAGCCTCTGAACTGGTCAACCTGGTTGCATTATTCATCTTTCAAAGTGCATATATCAGATCAAGTCATTTCCCTGCTTCCAATCAAACTTGAAATACAAAACTAGATACCTATCAAGTCTTTAAGTCCCTATGTTATCTGGTCCCTGGCTACCTCTTCTATCTCCTATCACTATTCCCCCCTTTACTGTTTTAGCCCTTTTCTATTCCTTGAACACACCAACAGGTACTCCTGTCTCAGGGCTTATGCTCATGCCCCAGATAGTTGCACTGGGTCCTTCATATAATTCAGGTATCTCCTGAAATATTAGTGCCTCAGAGGACTTCCCTAACTACCCAACATCCCTTACCTTGTTTATACTTCCTTTACCACATCTATCATCAAAATGCTAGGACATATTTCCCATTTATTTAATATTGTCTATCTTACTCAAAAGGAAGCACTATGAAAGCAACAACTTTTATCTGTTTTATTCACTGTTGTATACTCTGGGCTTAATACAGTACTTGACATAAAGATCCAGATGGGATCTCATCTTGTTGCCCAGGCTAGAGTGCAGTGGTGCAATCATGGCTGACTGCAGCCTCGACCTCCTGGGCTCAAGAAATCTACTGCTCAGCCTCCCAAGTAGCTGGGACTACAGGTATGTGCCACAATGCCTGGCTAATTTTTAAAATTTTTTTAGAGACATGGTCTCACTATGTTGCCCAGGCGGTCTGGAACTCCTGGGCTCAAGCAATCCCCCCACCTCAGCCTCCCAAAGTCCTGGGATTACAGGGGAGAGCCACCATGCCCAGCCTTTATTTATTTGACTCTTTTTTTGTTTTGTTTTTCACTTTCTTCCTGCAGCATTTTATTTGATTCTTAACAGATGATTTAATCCACTGATATCTCAAAGGACTAACTATCCAATGGAATGCCTGGATGAAACATAGGCACACAGTATCTTTTCCTCGGGGGGGAAAAATTTTTGTCACATAATTGATTCACTTTAGCAGAAAAATAATCATATACCAGGAATTTCTTCAGGAATCTTGAGTCTATCTTAAGAATCTACGGCCGGGCGCAGTGGCTCACGCCTGTAATCCCAGCACTTTGGGAGGCCGAGGCGGGCGGATCACGAGGTCAGGAGATCGAGACCATCCCGGCTAAAACGGTGAAACCCCGTCTCTACTAAAAATACAAAAAATTAGCCGGGCGTAGTGGCGGGCGCCTGTAGTCCCAGCTACTTGGGAGGCTGAGGCAGGAGAATGGCGTGAACCCGGGAGGCGGAGCTTGCAGTGAGCCGAGATCCCGCCACTGCACTCCAGCCTGGGCGACAGAGCGAGACTCCGTCTCAAAAAAAAAAAAAAAAAAGAATCTTGCAGGCCAGGAGTGTTGGCTCACACCTGTAATCCCAGCACTTTGGGAGGCTAAGACAGGTGGATCACAAGGTCAAGAATTTAAGACCAGCCTGGCCAACATGGTGAAACCCCGTCTCTACTAAAGATAAAAAAAAAAAAAAATTAGCCGGGCGTGGTGGCGGGCGCCTGTAATCCCAGTGACTTGGGAGGCTGAAGCAGGAGAATCACTTGAACCTGGGAGGCAGAGATTGCAGTGAGCCGAGATCATGCCATTGCACTCCAGCCTGGGCGAAAGGTTGAGACTCCGTGTCAAAAAAGAAAAAGAATCTTGCTTGAACAACACGTAATATACTGGCTAACAGTATGTTATATCAGTACTAAAAGATCTATATCGAAAAAAGAAAATGCCCAAATTATTAAGTCCTAAGACAGCAAAGCAGGGATCTTGTTTTGTCCATCACTGTATCCCAGTACCTAGAATAGTGCCTGGCACATAGTAAGCACTAAATAAATATATGAAGGCCGGGCACAGTGGCTCACGCCTGTAATCCCAGCACTTTGGGAGGCCAAAGCAGGAGGATTACCTGAGGTAGGAGTTCAAGACCAGCCTGGCCAACATGGTGAAACCCCGTCTCTACTAAAAATACAAAAATTAGCCGAGCGTGGTGGCGCATGCCTGTAATTCCAGCTACTCGGGAGGCTGAGGCAGGAGAATTGCTTGAGCCCAGGAGACGGAGTTTGCAGTGAGCCGAGATCGCGCCACTGCACTCCAGCCTAGCCGACAAGAGTGAGACTCTGTCTCAAAAAAAACAAAAAGAAGTTTTGATAGAAACTACAACAGGGTGGTGTCATGCACTGGTAGTCCCAGCTACTCAGGAGACTGAAACAGGAGAACGGCGTGAACCCGGGAGGCAGAGCTTGCAGTGAGCCGAGATCGCACCACTGCACTCCAGCATGGACAACAGAGCGAGACCCTGACTCAAAAAGAAAAAGCCAAACACGAAAACCTAGGCTAAAATGAAGAGGGAAAATACGAAATTGGAATTCACATGTGAGAAAAGATAAATAGTATGCTAAAAATTGAAAATGGAAAAAATATGTATACAAATAAGGACATTGCTTATATACACTTCAAAAGTGTATTTTACATATTCTTACCTATGAGGGAAGTAATCTGCTTTGCTATATTCTTTTTTGGAAATGAAGAAAATAAATAACTAAAATAATAACAAATACACATTATTTGCTTGCTGCATGGCACACATTATGCTAAACACATTATACATATCATCTCGTAGAATCCGCCAACTCTATGCTATAAATATTATCATTACTATATCACCATATTTTACAGTCAAGGAAACCAAAGATTGTAAGTATTTTGCTCAAAATTACAGTCAATAAGTTAGCAAAACTCAGATCTGAGCCTAATCAATCTGATTTCAGAGTCTATGATCTTAATGACTATTTGGGATTTTCAACAAATTGAGGGGAAATATACCAATGCAGATGCTGAGAGATTCATTCATTATTAAGACAACTAATTATACATTTTTAGATCTGGCTAGATACTTATTATAATCAAGGCCTGATTAACTAGAATGCTGAGTGGGTTACATTCTAGTAAAAATTTTCTGAGTAACTAAAATATAACCAAATATTTTATTGACATTAATCTTTGCTAGAAATTACTTTTATAACAATAGTTTTTTGTCTAAGAAAAGTATTTTGAACATATTTCCATCTTTATTTGATAGAAGATATCTAATTACAAAGGCCAACCTTATATAGCACTGAAGACACAGGAAATCATAAGAGAATGGGTTGAAAATTTACCGATCCAAATTACAGTGCACTCATCCTGCTGTGTCATACGTTCATACGTTTGCAGATGATCTCCCTCTACCTAGAACGCCCTCTCTTAAGTCTGAATGTCTCACACTTATCCTTTAAAGCCTGGCTCTTCCCACTTGTAGGAAGCCACCCTAACCTTTCCTTTCTCACCACAGATTGAATAACTTCCCCACCTTGGACAAAAACATTACATAGTATGTATCGTAGTATGTTTGTTAACATAGGCAAATGTATTACATAATATTACTGTAATATGTTTGTTAACATGCTCCTCCTATTAGAATTTTTTTTTTTTTTTGAGATGAAATCTCACTGTCACCCAGGCAGGAGTGCAGTGGCAAGATCTCGGCTCACCGCAACCTCTACCACCCAGGTTCAAGCAATTCTACTGCCACAGCCTCCCGAGTAGCTGGGACTACAGGCGTGTGCCACTACGCCTGGCTAATTTTTGTATTTTTAGTGGAGATGGGGTTTCACCATGTTGGCCAGGCTGGTCTCGAACTCCTGACCTCGTGATCTGCCCACCTCAGCCACTCAAAGTGTAAGCCACTGCGCCCGGCCCGAGTTTTTTTTTTTTTCCTTTAGAGACAGGGTCTCACTCTGTCACACAGGCTGGAGTAGAGTGGTGCGATTACAGTTTACTGCAGCCTCAATCTCCCAGGCTCAAGTGATTCTCTCACCTCAGCCTCCCAAGTAGCTGGGACCACAGGTGGATGCCACCACACTTGGCGAATTTTTTTTTTTTAATTTATGTATTTACTTTTTGTTTTGGAGACGGAGTTTCACTCTTCTTGCCCAGGCTGGAGTGCAATGGCACAATCTCGGCTCACTGCAACCTCTGCCTCTCGGGTTCAAGCGATTCTCCTGCCTCAGCCTCCCGAGTAGCTGGGATTAAAGGCGTGTGCCCCCACACAGGGCTAATTTTGTATTTTTAGTAGAGATGGGATTTCTCCATGTTGGTCAGGCTGGTCTCAAACTCCCAATCTCAGGTGATCCACCCGCCTCGTCCTCCCAAAGTGCTGGGATTACAGGCGTGAGCCACCATGCCCAGCCTGAATTTTTTATTTTTTTAGTAACCAGGTCTCCTTATGTTGCCCCCAGGCTGGTCTTAAACTCCTGGGCTCAAGCAATCCTCCTGCCTTGGCCTCCCACAGAGCTAGGATTACATCTGAGATTTAAAAAACAAAAACAAAAACAAAAAAAAACACTGTATGTCTTTTCCCCACACCTAAGCACAGAAATGGGTATGGTGGAAGCACTGGAAAAATGTTAGTCAGTGGAGTGAGGAATGAATGAATACAAAACAAACAAATGAATGGCTTGTTAAAGTAAATTAAACTCAGCTGGGTGTGGTGGCTCACACCTGTAATCGCAGCACTTTGGGAGGCTGAAGCGGGCAGATCACCTGAAGGTCAGAAGTTAGAGATCAGCCTGGCCAACATGGTGAAACCCCATCTCTACTAAAAATACAAAAATTTGCCGGGCATGGTGGCATACACCAGTAGTCCCAGCTACTCAGGAGGCTCAAACAGGAGAATCGCTTGAACTCAGGAGGAAGAGGTGCAGTGAGCCGAGATCGTGCCACTACACTTCAGCTTTGGGGACAGAGTGAGAAACCGTCTCAAAAAAAAAAAAAAAAAGAATTAAAGTCTGACCTACAGTTATTTGACTTTCTTCCTCTTAAAATTAAACACACAGGCCAGTGCAGTGGCTCACACCTGTAATGCCAACAGTTTGGGAGGCCGATGCGGGCTGATCACTTGAGGTCAAGAGTTCAAGATCAGCCTGGCCAACATGGTGAAACCCGGTCTCTACTAAAAACACGAAAATTCACTGGGCATGGTGGCTCGCACCTGTAGTCCAAGCTACTCAGGAGGCTGAGGCAGGAGAATCACTTGAACCCAGGAGGCAGAGGTTGCAGTGAGCCGAGATTGCGCCACTGCACTCCAGCCTGGGCAACAGAGTGAGACTCTGTCTCAAAAAAAAAAAAAAAAAAAAAATGGAAAACAAAAAAATGAAAATCTAGGGACTAAAAACTAGACATTTTTTAGCATCTTGTCGCTATGACTAAAAAACTGTAAGAAACCCTTTGTTTCTCTCTTGTGCATTTGAAAAAAGCTGATAAGCTATTCTGAATAGCATAGGAACTGTTCTAAATGTTCAATGCAAACATCGAAAAGCAATGATGTGAACTATTTACCTCATTTCTTCTTAGCTGGCACAGGGAATTCCCTACTGATAAGTAATATGGATTAGAAGTAGATGGTGTAAGTAGTTTAGTTCCAACTATGATCAGATACTTAAAAGTTATATAAACCTAACTATGAAGGAGTAATTCCTCACTTAACAGTGAAAAGAATTTTTAAATACTTAAGTATTTATGGATGAAATTATACAATAACTGGAAGATCTGCTTTAAAATAAGCAAGAGGGGAAGGAGGGACAGGGGCTGGTAGATGTGGAAACAGTGTGTTAACTGTGTTGATAACTGCTGAAGCTGGATGTTGAGTACATGAAGGCTCATTATACTATTCTCTTTATTTCTATATATGTTTGCAATTTGCCACATTAAAGAAATAAAAAGCTGACTGGGCATTGTGGCTCACATTTCTCAGCACTTTGGGAGGCCAAGGTGGGAGGACCACATGAGTCCAAGAGTTCAAGACCATCCTGGGCAACACAGTAAGACTCTACCTGTACATAAAATTTAAAAATTAACCAGATGTGGTGGCACATACATGTGGTGGCACATACCTGTGGTCCCAAACACTTGAGTGGCTAAAGTGGGAGGATCAACTGAGCCTGGGAATTCAAGTTCAGTCTGGGCAACACAGCCAGACCCCAGCTGTAAAAAATTATAAATATAAATATACATATATATACGTGTGTGTGTGTGTGTGTGTGTGTGTGTGTGTGTGTGTATGTGTATATATATATATTTTTTGAGACAGAGTTTCACTCTGTCACCCAGGCTGGAGTGCAGTGGCGTGATCTCAGCTCACTGCAACCTCCACCTCCCAGGTTCAACTGATTCTTCTGCCTTAGCCTCCCGAGTAGCTGGGACTACAGGCACATGCCACCTGCGCCTAATTTTTTATATTTTTAGTAGAGACGGGGTTTCACCACGTTAGCCAGGATGGTCTCGAACTCCTGACCTCGTGATCTGCCCACCTCGGCCTCCCAAAGTGCTGGGATGACAGGTGTGAGCCACTGCACCTGGCCAAAAATATTTTTAAATGAACAAAATTGCCCAGGTGTGGTAGCTCATGCCTATAATTCCAGCAATTTGGGAGTCTGAAGAGGGAGGACTGCTGAAGTTCGAGACCAGTGGGGGCAACACGGTGAGACTCCATCGCTACAAAAAAATTAAAAATTAGCCAGGCGTGGTGGCATGTGCCTGTAATCCCAGTTACTTGGGACAATGGAAGGACTGCTTGAGCCCAAGAGGTAGAGCATGCAGTAAGTTATGCTCGTACCACGGCACCCTAGCCTGGGTGACATAGTAAGACCCTGTCTCAAAAAAATTTTTTTAATTAGATGGAAAAAAGTATACAACCTTGTCATCAACTTGTGTATGTCTGAGGGCAAATGACTAAAGACTATGAAAAGCAAATATAATACTACAATAAAAATTTCATAGATTTCCAAACATGAAAACTTAGCTGTTCAATGAAAAAATACAACTCTGAAATAGCAGTAAGATTATTGGTTAAATTTCTGTCATCACTAGAAGTCATTATTTTATTTATTTATTTTTTTTTTGAGACAGAGTCTCGCTCTGTCACCCAGGCTGGAGTGCAGTGGCGCAGTCTTGGCTCACTGCAAGCTCCACCTCCCAGGTTCACACCATTCTCCTGCCTCAGCCTCCTGAGAAGCTGGGACTACAGGTGCCCATCACCATGCCCGGCTAATTTTGTTTTTTGGGTTTTTTTTTTGTATTTTTGGTAGAGACAGGGTTTCACCATGTTAGCCAGGATGGTCTCGTTCTCCTGACCTTGTGATCCGCCCACCTCGGCCTCCCAAAGTGCTGGGATTACAGGTGTGAGCCACCACGCCCGGCCTAGAAATCATTATTTTAAAGTTAATTTTGATAAATATCACATTCTGCCAATTACAGGCCTGATGAGGCAGTCACTAAAAAAGCGATTTCTAAAACGTGAAATATAAGACTATTATTAACTATGATGACAAGCAATAAGAAAATCTAGCCTCTTCATATGAAAAAATATAAATGAAAAAACACTAAAATTAATTTTAAGGAAAATGATAACAGAAACTAGCAGCATACCTCAAAACAAAACAAAAATGAACTAGTTGCATTTCCACCTCTTGCGGCACCCAGGTTTAAAATACTACATGCTGCTGAAAAGGCTGGCCTAAGCAGATCTCACAGCAGATTATAGTGAGGTTGTATACTACCTTTAAAAGACTCAGATCAATACACATTATTCAAATAGCAATACAAAGTTATTTTAAATGGAGACCACCACCACCACAATCTTACACATAGTAAGACTTCTCCACTGTGTGCTTCCACATTGTCTTGGGCAGAAATGAAGGTGGCCAATTCAATATTAATAAAGCATGGAGGAAGACTCAGAATAAAGACTCAAGTGGAATTGCTAATACTATAAAGACACAGTACCTAGCAAGTTATTAAGAAGTGATGTGCAGGTGCGGTGGCTCACACCTGTAATCCCAACACTTTGGGAGGCCGAGGCGGGTGGATCACCAGAGGTCAGGAGTTTGAGACCAGCCTGACCAACATGGCAAAACCCTGTCTTTACTAAAAATACATAAAAAATAGCCGGGCGTGGTGGCACACACCTGTAATCCCAGCTATTGGGGAGGCTGAGGCAGGAGAATCCCTTGAACCCAGGAGGCAGAGGTTGCAGCGAGCTGAGATCGCGCTGTTGCACTCTAGGCTGGACAACAAGAGCGAAACTCTCTCTCAAAAAAAAAAATTTAAAAAGTGATGTGCTGTATTCTATTTCACAATATAACTCAAGAGTAGAACATGAAAATCCTTTTCCTTTTTTTAAAGAGACAGTGTTTCACGCTATTGCCCAGGCTGGAGTGCAGTAGCACCACCATAGCTCACAGCAGCTTCCAACTCCTGGGTCAAGTAATTCCCCTGTCTCAGCCTCCAGAGTAGCTAGGACTGCAGGTGTTCATTCTAATTTTTTAACTTTCTGTAGAAATGGGGTCTTCCTATGTTGGCCAGGCTGGTATCAAACTCCTGGGCACAAGTGATCCTCCTGGCTCAGCCTCCCAAAGCACTGGGATCATAGGGATAACCCACTATGCCAGGCCCTAGGCCCCTTTTTCTTTTCTTTTTTTTTTTTTTTTGAGAGAGTCACTCTGTCGTCCAGGCTGGCGTACAGTGGTGGATCTCGGCTCACTGCAACCTCCACTTCAGGGATTCAAGAGATCCTCCTGCCTCAGCATCCCAACTGGCTGGGACTACCGGCACACACACCATGCCTGGCTAATTTTTGTACTTTTAGTAGAGACGGGGTTTTGCCACGTTGGCCAGGCTGGTCTCAAACTCCTGACCTCTGGTGAGCCACCCTCTTCAGCATCCCAAAGTGATTACAAGTGAGAGCCACCATGCCCAGCGACATCAAAACCTTTTTACATAAACGCACTGTAGAAATATATCCCAAAAGAAGGTAAGAAATATAAATGTTTGCCTTCTTCTCAAACCAATAGTTCCTTTATACAAAAACACCAGATGAGGCCGGGCGCGGTGGCTCACCCCTGTAATCTCAGCACTTTGGGAGGCCGAGGCGGGTGGATCATCTGTCAGGAGTTCCAGACCAGCCTGACCAACATGGAGAAACGCTGTCTCTACTAAAAATACAAAATTAGCAGGGCATGGTGGCACATGCCTGTAATCCCAGCTACTCGGGAGGCTGAGGCAGGAGAGTCACTTGAACCCAGGAGGCAGAGGTTGCAGTGAATTGAGATAGCGCCACTGCACTCCAGCCTGTTAACAAGAGTGAAACTCAGTCTCAAAAAAAAAAAAAAAAAGCACAAGATGATACAAAACATATTTTTTTAAAGTACAAAGCTGCATACAGAGTATAAACACTTTATGCTTATTCAAAGAGTAAGTAGTGGCAAAAATCTCTTTGCAATTGGGTAACAAAATTTCAACTTCTAGGAATGTTTCCCTCTTCCTTGTCCTTTTGAGAGCTGCCACCATCAAACAATTCAGACTCAACTGAATTAGCATCTCTTCAAGCACAGAGACCATATATTATTGATTTTTGTGTCTCCTGCATAGGATTAACTCAGTGTTTGTTATAACTAAGCTAAACTCCAAGACAGGAGCTTCAAATCACCTCAGGCCCAATCCAAAACTGAAAAAAGACAAACCCACTTCTCAGAGTTTAGGAACAAAAAGATACTGACAAAGAACAAAGCCATAGATACTTGTGCTATATTATATTCCCTTATCACCAAATTCAGAGTCCTTTACTAATACTGCAGAAATAAGTTTGCAGATGATAAAAAGAATAAAAAACATGGACCCTAAAGTTCTCCTGTCAACATGTTCAAATACCATAGACTCTTTCATCTTAAACTCATACTAACATCCACACACCCGAACAATGAAAATGAAAGGTTTTCAAATGAGACCTAAATATAAATTGGCTCTATTTTATTACATTTTAAGTTCCTAAAATCATATATATAAATCATGTGATTGTGCTTATGCTCATCTTCTAACTTGAGGGCCCAGTGTCTTTCATCAGATTCTCAAAAGGATAAGTGACCCCAAAAAATTTTAAGAACCACTCATCTAGCCTATCAAGAAACATCCCATTTTTCAGAAGAATACGGTTAAGTGGCTTAGTTTATGCATTCTTTCTTCATATTCATAGAGGGGATTCTTACTATATGAAATGAGTCTTTCAAAGGATTCCTTCAGCCCAGCCAAGAAGTTCCAACATCCACAGGCACATGTATTAACAATTACCAGAACCCAAAAACAGTTCTCTGGTTTTAATTCCACACCGCCTCCCTCAACTTAATACCCACCACTGTCAAAACAACTCCCCTCACGTTGTACCCAGGCTATTTACAGAGACACCTTGATTATCCTCACGCCAAGGCATGGACCATTTATTGAACAGGCAGTCAACAAATATTTGTTGAATGAATGAAAAAGGATCCTTCCTCCCACAGATTTCAAGTTAAGCTGTCAGCACCCATGCAGCTGCTCTGGTACAAGTTAAGCTGTGAAAGCCTTCTCTCCCTCACACATACAACCTCAAGTGTCAGAAATGCTCTGCTTCCTCCATAAATCCAAAATAATATAGTCATGGATATGCATTTCATACAGGTCAGACTCGGCAAGGACAGCTACGTTCCACATACATATCTGACACAATCGGTCTCCCCCAAATACAAGCCAACCAGTCTTATGTGCTCCTATCTTTCCAGCATACTCAGATTTGCCGACAAAGACTTCCTGAGGCACCATGGTATGCTGAATATACTGCTGCAGTAGTAGTGAAAATATGGGAGTTACAGTTCCAACTTTGTCACCAATTTAACATGCGGCCTTGGAGAAGTTCTCTCCTTATGCCTAAATTTCCTATTTTGTAAAATGGAAGAAAGCATCCTACCATTTTCACAGAGATTCAGTATCACAAAAAAACTGAAAGAGCTTTCTTATTGTATTGTAAACTATTACTATAAACCCGCGACAACAAATAAGGCCACCCATTCTTTACAACTTTGTAGTAATGATTCTGTTAAAGATATTTTGGCCCTTCACATTTACACAACTCACTCTAACCAAAGGCACAAACTATTCTTAAGACCACAACTGGCTATGCCAAGTTTCTCCCCTCCCTGACCTCACAGACACATGCTGTACAGAACACTACCATTGCCGCTCTTTCCCAACAAGTAACTAGGGGCTCCCAATCCCTAAAATACACACACATATCAACCTGCAAGGAACCTCCCAACATTTATTCAAGAAATAAGCTAACTTATAAGGGGAACTCCATTACACTTACACAAATAAAGGCAAACTCTTACGGAAACACTTGCCATCCTCACATACACACACCAACACAGCCGCTACACACCAACAGACCATCTGTCTGCTAGACCAAAAACATCTCTTTCCATGTACAAACTAACCAGTGACATTTATTAAACTTACAACACTGAGATCATCCTGTCGTTCCCACATACCGTTCAACGCGGCAGGGACACCACAGACCTTGTCACACAGGTAAAATCCCCTCTCAAGATCGTGTCCTCGACCACTCTTATCCCTTAATTAAACACACACAAACTGGACTATGGGGGAGGCTCCGATCATGCCTACAAACACAAACTAACCTGTCAGGGGCACAGCCGACTCCGCCTCCACTCGCTTACTTCCCAGCCCCCTCCGGGAGTCTGCCTGTCAGGGACACCCCTTCACCCCGCCTGGAGGGACTTCCCGGTAGGCTCAGGATCCCCCTCCCTGCTCTCCCCTCCCCCATCTTCACCACTGCTCTCTCAGAGATCCAGGTCCGGGAGATGACAGTGGCTCCCAGAAAGCCCAGGATTCAATCGCTGAGAGAGTGCTTAGGCCCGAATGCCGGCCCAAATCGTTCTACTCACCGTGTCGGAGGCCGAGGCCGAGGCCGAGAGCGATGAGAGTGCAGGGAAGTGGGGAAGAGGGGGTGGCCGCCAGGCTCCTCCGCTTCCCTGGGTCCACGGCGGATCCCTCCCGCTTGTCAGGAGGCGGCCAGCGGGTAAGCTGACTGGCGGAAATGCGAGAGAGGAGAAGGGAAAGGTGGAAGGCTAAAGGGGGCAAACTGAGGGGAGGCGGGTCCCGCAACCGAGACTGGGATCGTCTCCCCTCCGCAAAGCGAACCCAAAATGGCGGCGGGAGCGGCGGCGGCGGCGGCGGCAGCAGCAGAGTGGCGGCGGTGGCGGCGGCAGCTCCTCCAGAGGGAGGGAGCGAAGGGCGCCTAGCGCCCCCCTCAACCTTCCACTCCTTCCTCCTTGCGTTCTTTCCCACCGTCCCCCGCTCCGCCCGACTCCGTCCGCGTAGCGCGCACGCCCGCCCGCACGCGTACGAGTGTCTACGGGCTCGTCGCTGGCTGCTCCCACCAACCACCACCTTCGGCCGCCCCGCGCGCCAGCCAGCCCGTACGCGCTCACCCACAGGAACCCCCTCGTCCAGTCCCTCACTACCCCTCAGGCCCTGTCAAGCCGGCGCCGGCGCAGGCCCTCACGCGTACCTTCAACGGCGCAAGCCCAAGCCTCCTCCTCCTCCTCCTCCACCTCCTCTTCTCTCCTCCCCCCCCTTCCCCGCCCCCACGGCCACCAACCGCCGCCACGGCCGCCGCCGCCGCCGCCAGCCCCCCCTACCACCCTCCACCCCTCGCGCGTGCGCCTCCCACAATCCCCCCCGCGGGACTGTTCCATTCCTGTCGGCTGCAGGGGCAGGAGAGGAAGGGACGGGCCGAGCGGGTCGGGGCTTGCCGTTTGACTGGAATTGCCAGAATGGCGGACCGAGCCCCACGACAACCTACCTCCCTGGGCTCCTCGCCGCAGCGCTGCGGCTCGCCTCCCTCTGCTCCTCCTCCTCCGCCGGATCGCGGCGAGCGGATCGAGGACTGCCTAGCGCCCCTCTGCCCACCGGTGGTTGGAGGCCGCGGCGGCTGCGCGTTGAGTCGTTTCCTGCCGGTTGACCTGAGCCTACTTCGCAGTAGCAGGACCGCTGCTGTGGAGCTGGTCGCAGGCGGTGTGTGCCGGTCGCCTAGTCAGGAGAACTAGTCCTCGACTCACGGTGAGGGAATGGACCGACACGGGTATTGTACCGCTGAGGGAAAGGAGCGGGACTCCGGACCTCCAGGAGGTAGGGAGTGAGGCCAGTAGGACCGGCGCGCCTCCGGGGGGATTCCTCCCGGGCGTTGAGTTGCCAACCTGGGACCCGAGGAAGATCGGCGTGGTGGTGTGCTTTTTGTTGTTGTTAACCCTCCTCGGATTTCTCGAATTTCACACCACTGTCCATATGCGATGATGTTTGTTTGCCCTTGACGCACTTACTCATGGATGGTACTTCTTCAGCCTCGTTAGACAGCCTGGTGATGGAGGATGAAGAAACCATGTGCTTTTCATTCAGTTCTGGACTTAGTCTCCCTTTTCTTCCTTCAGCAAGTTATTTTTGTTAGTTCCTTATCAAAAAGTGTACATAAAAATTAGGCAACTCCAAACATGCCTCCAGGGTTAATGTGTGAAATAATAAGATAATATATGTAAAGTGGAATTAGCTCCTAGGCATAGGGAAAGTGCAGAATATTGCCGTGTTGTCATTTACAGTTCTGTTGATGTCGATAACGTTTGTGGGTGTAATTGGTAGTGTTCTGTCCCTCCAAGGAGTTAATAAAACAAAGCAAACATAGGCCTGTTAGGTTTCTGTGGCTACTGAATATTTGTTTCTCAAAACACTTGACTGATATTTGATAATTGAATGCAGCAGAAATACGGACGATTAAAGTCCACAAATAATTCCAAAGTTTACTTGATCTAGTAGTTTTTACCTTTACCTAAAGGGTAAAGCAGAATAAATTACCGGAAGGATCTACTTGGGTTTCCCTTTCCTTCACATTTGTGGACTCCTGGGGATCCAGGAAGTAATTCAGAAATGACTGTTCAAAAGCCCATGCAAGGCCGGGCGCGGTGGCTAACGCTTGTAATCCCAGCGCTTTGGGAGGCCAAGGTGGGCGGATGACCTGAGGTCAGGAGTTCGAGACCAGCCTGGCCAACATGGCAAAATCCCGTCTCTACTAAAAATACAAAAATTAGCCAGGCGTGGTGGTGGACGCCTGTAATCCCAGCTACTCAGGAGACTGAGGCAGGAGAATCGCTTGAACCTGGGAGGCGGAGATTGCAGTGAGCCGAGATGGTGCCATTGCACTCCAGCCTGGGCAACAAGAGCGAAACTCCATCTGAGGGAAAAAAATAAAAATAAAAAGCCCTTGCAACCTCCAAAATTCAAGTAGACAGTCCCAAATTTCCCCTTTAGGATACGTGGATTAAGTGTTGTTTACTTGTTTCGTTTCTTTAAGGTAAAGAGGAAAGCAGCCTTAATTACCTCATTGTATATTTTCCTAACCAAGTCCCACACTTTCATGGAGCCCACTTGTTTACCGATCTTTTGTTAGTTGCTTCATGCGTGCAAGTGTATTATGCTACCAATAACTTGTTTTATCTGAGAACAGGGACTATGTCTACTACTTAATTTACATAAAGCATCACAGGCTAGCGCAAAGCAAGTCACAGAAATATTGAAATGAGGCTGGGTGTGGTAGCTCACGCCTGTAATCCCAGCACTTTGGGAGGCCAAGGCGCATGGATCACGAGGTCACAAGTTCAAGACCAGCCTGGCCAACATAGTGAAACCCCGTCTCTACTAATAATACAAAAAATTAGCCGGGCGTGGTGGTGGGCGCCTGTAATCCCAGCTACTCGGGAGGCTGAGGCAGGAGAATTGCTTGAACCCGGGAGGCAGAGATTTCAGTGAGTGGAGATTGCACCACTGCACTCCAGCCTGGGCAACAGTGCGAGACTTTGTCTTAAAAAGAAAAAAAAAATCCAAAAAAAATCAGGTGGGCATGGTGGAGCGCCTGTAGTTCCACCTACTTGGTAGGCTGAGGCAGGAGAGTCGCTTGAACCCAGGAGGGAGAGGTTGCAGTGAGTCGAGATCACGCCTTTGCATTCCAGCCTGGGAGACGAGAGTGAAACTCCTTCTCAAAAAAAAAAAAAAAAGAAAAAGAAAAGAAATATTGAAATGAATGTTAGATACTTAAAATACCAGAAGAGAAAGACAATTAGCATTTGTGGACTACTGTGCCAGGGGAACACGTATTCCTGTTTAATCCTTATAATAAACAACACTTTGAGGTAGATAATCTTACCCTCATTTTACAAAAGAGAAGCCTGAGGCCCAGAGAAGTCCAGTAACAATCTTTAGACTCTAGTTTGCCTGTCTTTTAAAAACCTTACTTTTTTCACTATACCACATTTTCTTCAAAGTAAAATTTCTCATCAGCAGCATAATTGCTGTGCTTCAAAGAAAAAAAAATGCCTTTACTGGAATTTCACCACACCAGTGTATAGGGAGAGTTACTTACATATGGTCTCTGTGTTAAAATAAGTTTCATTAACTACACTGATCAATGAATTATCAGCTACATACAAGCAAATGAGATACGATTCTGTTTTTTCATGTATGCCCCAGAGCCAACTAGAGACTAAAATATATTAAGTGCTCAATAAAATGACCTCACTGAATGAACAAACCCTGAATTATTTGAACCAATGAAGATAGAATAATGGTTTCCCCAAGGATATCCACTTCTTAATCCCTAAAACCTGTAAATATGATATGTTACATGACCAGGGAAAATTCAGGATGCAGAGGGAATTAAGGTTGCTAATCAGCTGACATTAAACTAGGGAGATTATCCAGGAGTGAGCTCTCTGCAATGGCCCTCTTCAGTTTTACTTCTGTAGCTGCCCATGCTTGTGTTCCTTTTCAGAAAGACAATAATGGAAAAGCATGTAAGCTGCCAGCACCACAGCACCACCGTCGAAGCTCCCTTTCTTCAAATTGGAGTGCTTGTCATAATACCTGTAGTAACCTCTCTGAACGCTCCAACAGTGCCTTCTTGTGTGAGATCACACGTTAATATTTAGTTTGGCAGTTCTGCTAGTTTGACATCCAGGAGTTTCTTCTCCTTCACTGGTACAGCCGACTCCATCTTGGGGTCCTGGTCTGATAAAAACTTTTAAAATGAGGTTTCAGGCTGGGCGCAGTGGCTCATGCCTATAAATCCCAACACTTTGGGCGACTGAGGCAGGAGGATTACTTGAGGCCAGGAGTTCAAGACCAGCCTGGTTAACATAGCAAGACCCCCATCTCTACAAAAAATAAGAAAAATTAGCCAGGCCATGGTGGCATGTCCAGGAGTTTGAGGCTACCGTGAGCCATGATCACACACCACTGCACTCCAGCCTGGGCAAGAGAGTGAAACTCTGTCTCTAAAATGTAAAACAAAATAAAGTTAATTTTTTTTTTTTTATTCTTGAGACAGAGTTTCACTCTTGTTACCCAGGCTGGAGTGCAATGGCGTGATCTCGGCTTACTGCAACCTCCGCCTCCCGGGTTCAAGCAATTCTCCTGCCTCAGCTTCCCAAGCAGCTAGGATTACAAGCATGTGCCACCACGCCTGGCTAATTTTGTATTTTTAGTAGAGATGGGGTTTCTCCATGTTTGTCAGGCTGCTCTTGAACTCCCGACCTCAGGTGATCCGCCCGTCTCGGCCTCCCAAAGTGCTGGGATTACAGGTGTGAGCCACCACACCCGGCCAGGTTAAAATATTAACCTGCTCTTACTATGTTGCCTAGGCTGCAGACTAGCTCCCATGCTCAAGGGATCCTACCGCTGCCTCAGCCTCCTCGGTAGCCGGGACTACTGTTGGGCAGGAACTTGTTTTTTCTAAGATAAAATTTACTGAAGTATGGTCAGGGTTGACTTTACATTTGACGAGTTATGGTAAATGCTATGTAATCATAAGAGTTGGTTTTTTTTTTTTCCCCACAGAGTCTTGCTCTGTCACCCAGGTTGCAGAGCAGTGGAGCAATCTCAACTCACTGCAACCTCTGCCTCCCGGGTTCAAGTGATTCTCCCGCCTCAGCCTCCTGAGTAGCTAGGACTACAGGTGTGTGTCACCACGCCTGTCTAATTTGGCTAATTTTTGTAATTTTTTTTTTTTTTTTTTTTTGAGACGGAGTCTCGTTCTGTCGCCCAGGCGGGAGTGCTGTGGCGCGATCTCCGCTCACTGCAAGCTCCGCCTAACGGGTTCACGCCATTCTCCTGCCTCAGCCTCCCGAGTAGCTGGGACTACAGGCGCCCGCCACTGCGCCCGGCTAATTTTTTTGTATTTTTAGTAGAGACGGGGTTTCACCGTGGTCTCGATCTCCTGACCTCGTGATCCGCCCGCCTCGGCCTCCCAAAGTGCTGGGATTACAGGCGTGAGCCACCGCGCCCGGCCTAATTTTTGTATTTTTAATAGAGACAGCGTTTCGCCATGTTGGCCAGGCTGGTCTTGAACTCCTGGCCTTAGGTGATCCACCCGTCTTGGCCTCCCAAGTTCCTGGGATTTAGGCATGAGCCACTGTGCCTCGCCAAGAGCCATTAAAAATATTGGCTGGGCGTGGTGGCTCATGCCTGTAACCCCACACTTTGGGAGGCCAAGGCAGGTGGATCACCTGATGCCAGAAGTTCGAGACCAGCCTGGCCAACATGATGAAACCCCGTCTCAACTAAAAATACAAAAAAATCAGCTGGGCATGGTGGTGGGCGCGTGTAATCCCACCTACTTTGGGAGGCTGAGGCAGGAGCATCACTTGAACCCAGCAGGTAGAGGTTGCAGTGAGCGGAGATTGCACCATTACACTCCTGCCTGGGCAACAAGAGCGAAACCCTGTCTGAACAAAAAAAAAAATTATTTATTTTATTTTATTTTATTTTATTTTATTTTATTTTTTTTGAGACGGAGTCTCACTCTATTGCCCAGGCTGGAGTGCAGTGTCACGATCTGGGCTCACTGCAACCTCCGCCTCTTGGGTTCAAGCGGTTCTCCTGCCTCATCCTCCCAAGTAGCTGGGATTACAGGTGCCCGCCACTGTGCCCAGCTAATTTTCGTAGTTTTAGTAGAGATGGGGTTTTACCATCTTGGCCAGGCTGGTCTTGAACTCCTGACCTTGTGATCCACCCACTTCAGCTTCCCAGAGTGCTGAGATTACAGGCATGAGCCACCGCGCCCAGCCAAAAAAAATTTTTATTTAAGACGGAAGAAATTTGAGATTTTTGTTTGGGTACAGGTTGAGTTTTTTTTGTTTGTTTTTTGAGATGCGGTCTCACTCTGTTGCCCAGGCTGGAGTGCAGTGGTGTGATCTCAGCTCACTGCAACTTCCGCCTCCCGGATTCAAGTGATTCTCCTGCTTCAGCCTCCTGAGTAGCTGGGATTACAGATGCTCGCCACCACACCTGACTAATTTTTTGTGTTTTTAGTAGAGACAGGATTTCACTATGTTGGCCAGGCTGGTCTCAAACTCCTGACCTTGTGATCCACCCGCCTCAGTCTCCCAAAGTGCTGGGATTACAGGCATGATCCACTGCACCCAGCCAGTTTTTTTGTTTTGTTTTGTTTTGTTTACGAAAATGTTTGGGAACAAAAATGTTTTGAATTTGAGATTTGAGCTACTGCCCCCGGCCTTTTTTTCTTTTTCTTTTTCTTTTTCTTTTTCTTTTTTTTTTTTGAGAAGGAGTCTCACTGTGTTGCCCAGGCTAGAATGCAGTGGTGCAGTCTTGGCTCACTGCAACCTGCATCTCCCGGGTTCAAGTGATTCTCCTCCTGCCTCAGCCTCCTGAGTAGCTGAGATTCCAGGCACCCACCACCATACCCAGCTAAGTTTTGTATTTTAGTAGAGCCGGGGTTTCAGCATGTTGGTCAGGCTGGTCTTGAACTCCTGACCTCAAATGTTCCACCTGCCTCGGCCTCCCAAGGGTTTTTTATTTTTATTTATTTATTTATTTATATTTTGAAACAGAGTCTTGCACTGTCACCCAGGCTGGAGTGCAGTAGCGCGATCTCAGCTCACTGCAAGTTCCACCTCCCGGGTTGAAGCCATTCTCCTGCCTCAGCCTCCTGAGTAGCTGGGACTACAGGCGCCCGCCACCACGCCCAGCTAATTTTTTGTATTTTTAGTGGAGACAGGGTTTCACCATGTTAGCCAGGGTGGTCTCGATCTCCTGACCTCATGATCCGCCCATCTCGGCCTCCCAAAGTGCTGGGATTACAGGCGTGAGCCACTGCGCCCGGTCTTTTTTTTTTTTTTTTTTTTTGAGACAGATTCTCGCACTGTCACCCAGGCTGGAGTGCAATGGCGCAATCTCAGCTCACTGCAACCTCCCCCTCCCGGGTTCAAGCAATTCTACTGCCGCAGCCTCCCGAGTAGCTGGGATTACAGGTGCCCGCCACCACGCCTGACTAATTTTTTGTATTTTTAGTACAGACAGGATTTCACTATGTTGGCCAGGCTGTTCTCAAACTCCTGGCCTTGTGATCTACCCTCCTCAATCTCCCAAAGTGCTGAGATTACAAGCATGATCCACTGCACCCGGCCAGTTGTTTTTTTTGGTTTTTTTGTTTTTTTAGGTTTTTTTTACGAAAATGTTTGGGAACAGAAATGTTGTGGATTTGAGATTTTGTTGGATTTTGGAATATTTGTATTATACCTACTGTTTGAACATCCCAAGTTTGAAAATCTGAAACCTTAAGTGTTAACATGAGCACCTTAATAAAGTTTGGACAGTATTTCTTTTATAAACAATATTATTGATATTGCTAACTATTAACATTAGAAATGAAAGTCGAGAAAGATAATTACCTGGAACGTTAGTACCCAGAAATACCCAATTGTGTTGGTATTTGTTTTAAGTTTTCATTTTTATGCATCTCCACCTCAGAACCATAATCTAAATTTACAGTTGAATTCATTTCAATACCTCAGTGGTGTACCATTGAGTCCTAAAATTCTAGAATGTTAATCCCAGTCATGTGTGTACACTAACATGCCTTTTTTGAAGTCTTTTGAAACCTATCAGATACAGTGTGGAGTCCATTTTGCTGAAGAGTATCTAGAATATCTGCTACCCTAAGAAGCAGTCATAGTCCCTTCCATAGTAGTTTAAGTTTTAAATTGTCCACTGTTCTGAGTAACGTGATGAAATTTTGCACCACCCTGTCCTGGATATGAATCAACATAACCACGCTGTACGTGCTCCCATTGGTCAGTCATTGACATCATCGGCTTTTGACATCCATCTGTGGACATCAGCATGACTCAGTGATTCAGGATCACCCTAAGATGATCCCCCTTCTTAGGTATAGTCAGAAGGTTGATATTAGCTACATCAGAATTCCTAAGTCATTCACTTTATCTTATCTTATAAGCGTTTTATCATCTCACTTCAACACAAGAAGGGTGAGCACGGTACTATGAGATATTTTGAGAATGAGCGAGACCATGTTCACATAACTTTTGTATGGTATATTGTTCCGTTTTCTTATTGGTTATTGCTGTTCATTTGTTACTGTGCCAGATTTATAAATTAAACTTGATTATAGGTATATACCTATAGGAAAAAACTGTGTGTGTGTGTTTGTGTGTGTGTTTATTTATTTAGTGATCAGTACTCTGTATGGTTTCAGGCATCCCCTGGGAATCCTGCAGTGGGATCTCCCGAGGATAAGGGTGGACTACTGTATTTCCTTCCTTCTTGCTTTCTTCATTGCAGAAGAGCTAATGCAGCTTTAAAAGCTGGGGAGCTTTAAAAAGTGTATATTGTATCATCACTTGCACTGTTATCAGAATTGTAAACCACATGCATTATTTCTAGCAAAAACACCTATAGCTACAAGACTGAGGTTGGCCGGACACAATGCTCACATGTATAATCCCAGCACTTTATGGGAGGCCAAAGTGGGAGAATTGCTTCAGGCCAGGAGCTGAAGACCAGCCTGGCAACATAGCCCCATCTCTATAAAAAAGTAAAAATTAGCCAGTCATGGTGGTACATGCCTATAGTCCAAGCTTGTCGAACCTGTGGCCCATGGGCTGCATACAACCCAGGACGGCTTTGAATAGGGCCCAACACAAATTGATAAACTTTCTTAAAACATTAAGAGCCTTTTTTTTCTGTGATTTCATTGTTGTTGTTGCTATTTTAGCTCATCAGCTGTTGTTAGTGTTGGTGTGTTTTATGTGTGGCTCAAGACAATTCTTTCGACGTGGCCCAGGAAAGCCAAGATTGGACACCCCTGCTGTAGTCCAAGCTCCTCAGGAGGCTGAAGGGAGAGGATCACTTGAGCCCAGGAGTTCAAGACTGCAGTGAGCGATGATACCACTGCACTCAAGCCTTGGAGACTGCAGGAGACCCTATCTCAAACAAAAACCTTAGAGCTTGGAGAAGTTAGCACTGTTGAAGTTTGTGATAATCAGTAAATTTCAGAACTCTTTTACTTTTATAGCTCTAACATTGCTCTAGGAATCCAAACCTGGGGAGATAGATATTATTAAGATGAGAAAATACAGCATAAGGAATTCTGCTTTTTCTCTCTGAAATTATGAAAACAATGAAATTACTCTTTGTGGCTTGGCATGGTGGCTTACGCCTGTAATCCCAGCACTTTGGGAGGCCGAGGAGGGCAGATCACTTGAGGTCAGGAGGTCAGCCTGGCCAACATGGTGAAACCTCATCTCTACTAAAAATACAAAAATTAGTCGGATGTGGTGGCAGACACCTATAATCCCAGCTTCTTGGGAGGCTGAGGCAGGAGAATCATTTGAACCCAGGAGGCGGAGGTTGCAGTGAGCCAAGATTGCGCCACTGCACTGCAGCCTGGGCGACAGAGTGAGACTCTTGTCTCAAAAAAAAAAAAAAAAAGAAATTAGTCTTTGTGAGCCAAACTTTTCCTATGGGACTTGGGATTTAGGACAATCTCAACCTCAACACTGTTGACATTTGGGGATGGATCATTCTTTGTTGTGGGGGACTCCCTGTGCATTGTAGACTTTAGCAACATACCTGGCCTCTACTCACTCGATGCCAATAGCATCCTCCCTTCCCTCCCTCAGCTGTGACAACCAAAATGCCTCCAAACATTCATTGTCAAATGTTGGGGGAGGGGACAAAATCCCCCTGGTAGAGAACTACTAATTTAGAGAAAGAATTACTGATCATGAGGAATCAGTCTGGGTTTAGTACAAAAGAAAGTCATGACAGACAAATATATCCTTCTTGTTAGAATTCCTGGAATGGCCGGGTGCGGTGGCTCACGCCTGTAATCCCAGCACTTTGAGAGGACAGGCTGGTGGATCACGAAGTCAGGAGTTCAAGACCATCCTGGCCAAGATGGTGAAACCCCGTCTCTACTAAAAATACAAAACTTAACCAGCCATGGTTTCGGGCACCTGTAATCCCAAGCTACTCGGGAGGCTGAGGCAGAGAATTGCTTGAACCCGGGAGATGGAGAATTTTTTTTTCTTTTTTTTGAGATGGAGTTTCGCTCTTGTTGCCCAGGCTGGAGTGCAATGGCATGATCTCGGTTTGCTGCAACCTCCGCCTCCTGGGTTCAAGCGATTCTCCCACCTCAGCCTCCCAAGTAACTGGGTTTGCAGGCATGCGCCACCACGTCTGGCTAATTTTGTATTTTTAGTAGAGATGGGGTTTCTCCATGTTGGTCAGGCTGGTCTCGAACTCCCGACCTCAGGCGATCCACCCGCCCTGGCCTCCCAAAGTGCTCAGATGACAGGTGTGAGCCACTGCGCCAGTCAAAAAAAAGAATTCTTAGAATGGTAGATCAAATTCCATTATTGGTATGTCCTCATTAAAGTTAGGCATTTGATAATCTCGCACAGTGGCTTTTTGGAGAAATGTATACTGAATGTTTAATTGGTTGAATAACCATACCCAAAGGCTACATGTTAGCAAAATGGGTTGAAGTTCCCTTAACCATGGACATACAGGCAGTGGTTATCACTCTTGGCTGCACATTGGAATAAGCTGGGGAGCTTTAAAAATATTGATGCCTGGGTCACTATCAGAGGCTGATTTAATTGATCTGAGGCACACTCTGGGTATCAGAATTTTTAAACTATACCCAAGTGGGCCAGACAGTGGCTCACATCTATAATCCCAGCACTTTGAGAGGCCAAGGCAGGTGGATCGCTTGAGCCCAAGAGTTTGAGAGCAACCTGGGCAACATAATGAGATCCTTTCTCTACAAAAAAGATAGAAAAATTAGCTGGGAATGGTGGCACACGCCTGTAATGCCAGCAGTTGAGAGGCCAAGGTAGACAGATCGCTTGAGCTCAGGAGTTTGAAACTAGCCTGGACCACATGGCGAAACCCTGTCCCTACGGAAAAAAAAAATACGAACTGACCAGGCGCAGTGGCTCACGCCTGTAATCCCAGCACTTTGGGATGGTGAAACTGGCTGATCACCTAAGGTCAGGAGTTTGAGACCAGCCTGGCCAACATGGTGAAACCCTGACTCTACTAAAAATACAAAAATTAGCTGGGCGTGGTGGCAGGTGCCTGTAATCCCAGCTACTAGGGATGCTGAGGCAGGAGACTTGCTTGAAACCAGGAGACAGAGGTTACAGTGAGCCGAGATCACGCTATTGCACTCCAGCCTGGGTGACAAAAGCAAAACTCCATCTCACAAAAAAAAAAAAAAAAAAATTACAAACTGTACCCAGGCTATGCTAGGCAATCGTATCCTGTTAAATAGTTGTATCAATGACTTGAATGAGATCGATGTGGATATATTTTTCAAATTTATACCTTTTGCAAAATTTTTAAAGGGTGGGTAATATGTTGGTGACAGATTTTAAAAAACAAAAAGATCTTCAGATGTGGAATCTTCTGTTGGATCTTATAACAAAAAGAAGACATTAGGCTGGGTGCAGTGGCTCACGCCTGTAATCCCAGCACTTTTAGGAGGCAGAGGCAGGCATATCGCTTGAGCCCAGGAGTTGAAGACCAGCCTGGACAACATGGTGAAACCCCATCTCAACAAAAAACACAAAAATTAGCCAAGTGTAGTGGCATATGCCTGTAGTCCAAGCTACTTGAGAGGCTGAAGTCCAAGGATTGAGGTGGAGATTACAATGAGCCAAGATCACGTCATCACACTGCAGCCTAGGTGACAGAGCAAGACCTTGTCTCAAAAAAAGAAAAAGACATAGCAGAAAAGCTGAGGAAATCCAAATAAAATCTGTAGTTTAGTAAATAGTATTGTTCCAACTTTAATTTCTTAATTTTGATAACTGTCCTATAGTTGTATATATATATATAGACATATATATAACATTAAGGAAAGCTGAATGAAGAGTGTACGAAAGCTCTTCGTACTACGTTTGCAACTCATCTGTAAGTTTACATTGGTTTGTTTGTTTGCTTGCTTTCAAATAGGACCTCACTCTGTTACCCAGGCTGGAGTGCAGTGGTGCAATCCTAGCTCACTGCAACCTCTAGCTTCTTGACTCAAGGGATCCTCCTGCCTCAGCCTCCTGAGCAGCCAGAACTACAGGCACAGGCAACTATGTTCAGCTAATTTTTTTTATTAGTAGTAGAGATAAGGTTTTCCTATGTTGCCCAGGCTGGTCTCGAACTCCTGGTCTCCGAAAGTGCTGGGATTACAGGCCTGAGCCACCGTGCACAGCCTCCACTATCTAATTTTAGAACTTTTTCTTTTTTTTTTTTTTTTTTGAGACGGAGTCTCCTGTTGCCAGGTTGGAGTGCAGTGGCACTATTTCGGCTCACTGCAACCTCCACCTCCCGGGTTCAAGCGATTCTCCTGCCTCAACCTCCCGATTAGCTGGGATTACAGGCATGCGCCGCCATGCCCAGCTAATTTTTGTATTTTTAGTAGAGACGGAGTTTTGCCATGTTGACCAGGCTGCTCTCAAATTCCTGACCTCGGGTGATTCACTCGCCTCAGCTTCCTAAAGTGCTGGGATTACAGGTGTGAGCCACCATGCCAGGCTAATACTTGTACTTTCTATGAGTAAAAATAAATGAGTTCTTTGACCCTCAAAAAAAAAAAGAGAGAGAGAGAATCCCAGTTTTTCCAGATCCTGTCCAACACATATCATTGTCAGTTCTTTTGATTTGAGCCATCCTAGTGGGTGTGAAGTGGTATCTCATTGTGGTTTTTATTTGCATTTTCTAGATGACTAATAATGTTGAGCATTTTTCATGTGCTTATTGGCCATTTGTATAACTTTTATACTTTGGAGAAATGCCTGCTCAAATCTTTTGCCTTTTTTTTTCTTAATTTGAGTCAGGGTCTCACTCTGTTGCCCCCGGCTGGAGTGCAGTGGTGCAATCACGGCTCACTGCAGCCTCAGCCTCCCAGACCCAGGTGATCCTCCCCGCTCAGCCCCCCAAATAGCTGGGTCCACAGTGGCACGCCACCGCACCTGGCTAATTTTTTAAATTTTTTGTAGAGAGCAGGTCTCATTATGTTACCCAGGCTGGTCTCAAACTCCTGGGCATAAGCAATCCTTCTGCCTCAGCCTCACAAAGTGCTGGGATTGCAGGTGTGAGCCACTGCACCTGGCTCTTTTGCCTATTTTATTTATTTATTTTATTGTTTATTTTTGTCTTATTTTATTTTTATTTATTTATTTATTTATTTATTTATTTATTTATTTATTTTTGAGACAGAGTTCGCTCTGTTGCCCAGGCTGCAGTGCAATGGCGTGATCTCGGCTCACTGCAACCTCCACCTCCTGGGCTCAAGCGATTCTCCTGCCTCAGCCTGCCAAGTGGCTGGGACTACAGGCACACGTCACCACGCCCAGCTAATTTTGTATTTTTAGTAGAGAAGGGGTTTCTCCATGTTGGCCAGGCTGGTCTCAAACTCCTGACCTCAGGTGATCCGCCTGCTTCGGCCTCCCAAAGTGCTGGGATTACAGGTGTGAGCCACCCCGCCAGGCCCCCCATTTTTAAATTGAGTTGCCTTTTTATTAAGTTGTAAATGTTCTTTATATATTATGGAGATAAGTTAAGTTCTATGTGATTTGCAAATATTTTCTCCCATCCTGTGGGTTGTCTTCCACTTACTTGATGGTATCCTTTGAAGTACAAGTGTCTGATTTGGATACAATTCGTTATCTATTTATAGTTTTTTTGTTTTGTTCTGTTTTGTTTTTGTTTTTGTTTTTTGAGACGGAGTCTCTGTCACCAGGCTGGACTGCAGTGACGCGATCTCAGCTCACTGCAACTTCCGCCTCCCGGGTTCAAGTGATTCTCCTGCCTCAGCCTCCTGAGTAGCTGGGACTACAGGTGCGCACCACCACGCCCATCTAAGTTTTGTATTTTTAGTAGAGATGGGGTTTCACCATGTTGGCCATGATGGTCTCGATATCTTGACCTTGTGATCCGCCCACCTCAGCCTCCCAAAGTGCTGGGATTACAGGTGTGAGCCACTGTGCCCAGCCTATTTTTAGTTCTTTTGCTTGTGCTTTTGATGTTATATCTAAGAAACCATTGCATAACACACGATAATGAAGATTTACTCCTGTATTTTCTGCTATAGAAAATTAGAGGCTGAGCGCAGTGGCACACGCCTGTAATCCCAGCACTTTGGGAGGCCAAACTGGGTGGATCACCTGAGGTCAGGAGATCGAGACCATCCTGGCTAACATGGTAAAACCCCATCTCTACTAAAAATACAAAAAATTAGCCGGGCGTGGTGGCAGGCGCTTGTAATCCCAGCTACTCGGGAGACTGAGGCAGGAGAATGGCTTGAACCCGGGAGGCGGAGGTTGCAGTGAGCCGAGATCGTGCCATTGCACTCCAGCCTGGGCAACAAGAGCAAAACTCCGTCTCAAAAAAAAAAAAAAAAAAAAAAAAAAAGTTAGAAAACTCACCCCTGCAAGTTTTTTTTTTTGTCTTTTTTTTGTTTGTTTGTTTGTTTTTTGAGATGGAGTCTCGCTCTGTCACCCAGGCTGTAGTGCAGTGGCGCAATCTCAGCTCACTGCAAGCTCCACCTCCCAGGTTCACGCCATTCTCCTGCCTCAGCCTCCGGAGTAGCTGGGACTACAGGCGCCTGCCACCACGCCCGGCTAATTTTTTGTATTTTTAGTAGAGATGGGGTTTTACCATGTTAGCCAGGATGGTCTCGATCTCCTGACCTCGTGATCCACCCGCCTCGGCCTCCCAAAGTGCTGGGATTACAGGCGTGAGCCACCACGCCCGGCCGCCCCCTCCAAGTTTTATACCTGTAGCTCTTACATTTAGGTCTATGAGCTATTTTGCATTCATGTTTGTGTATAATGTAAGGTAGGGGTCCATTTTCATTCTTTTGCATGAGTATCAGGTTGTCCCAGCACTATTTGTTGAAGAGACTATTCTTTCTTCATTGAAGTGTCTTGGCATCCATGTTGAAAATCAGTTGACCATGATGTAAGCGTATGCCAGTACCAGACTATCTTGATTACTGTAGCTTTATCGTAAGTTTTGGAATCAAGATGTATGAGTCCTTTAAATTTGTTATTTTTCAAGAATGCTTGGGCTATTCTAGGTCTATGGCATTTCCATATGAATTTTGAGATCAGCTTCAAAAGTTTTTTCTTAAGACAGGGTCTCACTGTGTCACCCAGGTTGGAGTGGAGTGGCGCGACGCTAGAGTCCACTGCACTTTCGACTTCTCAGGCTCAAGCGATCCTCCCACCTCAGCTCCCCAACTAGCTGGGGCTACAAGCACGAGCCACTACACCCAGCTAATTTTGTATTTTTCGTAGAGACGGAGTTTCACCCTGTTGCCCAGGCTGGTATCGAACTCCTAGCTCAATTGATCCACCCGCCTTGGCCTCCCAAAGAGCTGGGATTATAGGCATGAGCCACCGCACCTAGCTAGCTTGACAATTTTGACCAAAAAGATTGCTGGGATTTTGATAGTAGCAATATTTTTTTAAAAAAAGGACTGGTGATTTTAGTGAACTGTGTTCTCCGTATGAAGCACTGGTGTGATGGAGTTACAAAAGTCGCTCTTGGAAATATAATATCCTAAATTAGGGAAACAGTAGATCATACCTGAAGTGTATTGGGGTAATATAGAGAAGGGACTTGTACTGCATGATAATTGCTTTAGGAAACTGAAAGCATTTATGGGGGAGGGGTGGGGAGCAGAGGACCATAACTACCTTTCTTTTTTTTTTTTTTTTTTTTTTTTTTTTGAGATAGAGTCTCACTCTGTCACCCACACTGGCGTGCAGTCTTGGCTCACTGCAACCTCCGCCTCCCAGGTTCACGTGATTCTTGTGCCTCAGCCTCCCAAGTAGCTGGAACTACAGGCATGCGCCACCACGCCCGGCTAATCTTTTTTTTTTTTTTTTTTTTTGAGACGGAGTCCCACTCTTTAGCCCAGGCCAGACTGCAGTGGCACAATCTCGGCTCACTGCAAGCTCCGCCTCCCAGGTTCACGCCATTCTCCTGCCTCAGCCTCCCGAGTAGCTGGGACTACAGGCGCCCGCCACCGCGCCCGGCTAATTTTTTGTATTTTTAGTAGAGATGGGGTTTCACCGTGTTAGCCAAGATGGTCTCGATCTCCTGACCTTGTGATCCGCCCGCCTCGGCCTCCCAAAGTGCTGGGATTACAGGCGTGAGCCACCGCGCCCGGCCCTGTGTGGTTTTTTTTTTGTTTTTTTTTTTTTCAGTAGAGACGAGGTTTCGCCATATTGGCCAGGCTGGTCTCAAACTCCTGACCTCAGGTGATCTGCCCACCTCGGCCTCCCAAAGTGCTGGGATTACAGGTGTGAGCCACTGCACCCGGCCCATAACTACCTTTAATAATTGAAAAGCTGTCATGTGGAAGATGGCTTGTAAAACCCAAGAGGAGGCCAGGTGTGGTGGCTCACGCTTGTCATCCCAGCACTTTGGGAGGCTGGGGCAGGCGGATCACCTGAGGTTGGGAGTTCAAGACCAGCCTGACCAACATGGAGAAACCCCGTCTCTACTGAAAATACAAAATTAGCTGGACATGGACATGGTGGCGCATGCAGGCAATCCTAGCTACTCGGGAGGCCGAGGCGGGAGAATCGCTTGAACCCGGGAGGCAGAGGTTGTGGTGAGCCGAGATCAAGCCATTGCACTCTGGCCTGGGCAACAAGAGTGAAACTCCATCTCAAAACAAGCAAACAAACAAACAAACAAACAAACAAACAAAAAACCCAAGAGGAAGACTAGGACAGTGAATGGAAGCTACAAGGAGACATGTTGCCTCGAACTACTGAAGAACTTTTATTAAAAGCTGTGTAAAAACCATAATGACTTCCTATTGAGTTCCCCATCACTGGAAATCATTAGGCATTTGCTGATTGACAGTGTAGCATATATAGTGGCTAATGGGAAAGGCTTGAGAGTCAAACATAGATTTCAATTCTAAAACTGCCTGATTTTAGGATATATACCCTTGGAGTTAATCTATCCATACTTATTTTCAGCTGAGCATAATAACGTGTACCTGATGGGACTGTTGTAAGATAATGCCTTTAATTTGCTTATTATAGAGCCTATTTCAGAAAAATATTCAGTGATTAATATTAAGATCAATGTAGCACTGATTTAGTTCTGAACGAGTTCAATCCTTAGACTAGGTCGACATAATCTTAAGCATCTGTGGTTCTCGCCTGTAATCCCAGCACTTTGGGAGGCCGAGGCAGGCAGATCACTTGAGGTTGAGGAGTTTGAGACCAGACTGGCCAAAATGGTGAAACCTCGTCTCTACTAAAAATACAAAAATTAGCCAGGCGTGGTGGTGTGTCTGTAATCCCAGCTACTTGGGAGGCTGAGGCAAGAGAATTTCTTGAACCCGGGAGGCAGAGGTTGCAGTGAGCCGAGATCGGGCCACTGCCCTCCAGCCTGGGCAACAGAGCAAGAGTCCATCTCAAAAAGAAAAAAAAAAAAAAAAGAATCTGTTATTCTCTCTGGGTATAGTGGCTCGCACATGTAATCCCAACTACTCGTGAGGCTGAAGGGAGAGGTTGCATGGCCAGCGGTTTGAAACCAGCCTTGGTAACATAATGAGACCCTGACTCTAAGAAAAAAAAAAAAAAGGGCCGAGTGTGGTGGCTCACACCCGTAATCCCAGCATGTTGGGAGATGGAGGCAGGACGATCCCTTGTGCCCAGGAGTTTGAGACCAGACTGGGCAACATAGTAAGACCCTGCCCTGTCTCTACAAAAATAATAAAAATAAATTAGCCAGGCGTGGTGGTGTGCACCTGTGGTCCCAGTTACTTGGGAGGCTGAGGTGAAAGGATCATTTCGGCCTGAGAGTTCGAGGTTGCAGTGAGCCGTGATCACGCCACTGCACTGAAGTTTTAGCACATAGTCTTTGGGATACCTTTCTAAATTTGGCACAGGCTGTTTCTGACTTCCTTCTGAAGTTACATTTGGCCTGTCTAGGCAAGAATACTCTTTTTGTTGTTTGTTTAAAGAAAGATAATTTGGCCAGGTGCGGTGGCTCACGCCTGTAATCCCAGCACTTTGGGAGGCCGAGGTGGGCGGATTGCCTGAGCTGAGGAGTTCAAAACCACCCTGGGCAACATGGTGAAACCCCATCTCTACTAAACACCAAAAAATTAGCCAAGTGTGGTGGCATGCATCTGTACTCGGGAGGCTGAGGCAGGAGAATTGCTTGAGCCCAGGAGGCAGAGGTTGCAGTGAGCCAAGATTGTGCCACTGCACTCCACTTGGGTAACAGAGTGAGACTCTGTCTCAAAAAAAAAAAAAAAAAAAAAGGGAGAGAGAACTCTAATACTCTAACACTACCTAAACAGTTTCATCAGAGTAGCGGCAGAGTTTTACACACAATAGTGTGTAAGAATCTGTGGTTTCTTACAGATTATTACAAATACAAAAAAATGTCTTTTTACATGCATTTGGAAAAGCTTCAAAAGACTAAGGCAACTATTTGGGATTTGTTTATCTACATTTTATTTTGTTTTTTAATTGTTTTTAAGAGACGCAGTCTTGCTATCTTGCCAGGCTGGTCTTGAACTCCTGGGCTCAAGTGATCCTTATACCTCGGCCTCCCAAAGTGTGGGCATTATAGGTGTGAGTCACCTCATCCAGCCATTATCTACATTTTAAATAAAGACTGTGGTTGGAAGCAGAACTCTTTTGTCTTGGAATACTTGAGGCAGATAATGGGGAAAAGCTCAGAATGATGGCAGTTGAAAAATATTGGAGAAGTATTTTATTTTACTTTATATTTTATTATTATTATTATTTTGAGACAGAGTCTCACTCTGTCGACCAGGCTGGAGTGCGGTGGTGTGATCTCAGCCCACTTCAACCTCCTCTTGAACCTGGGAGGGTTCAAGCAGTTCTCATGCCTCAATCTCCCAAGTAGCTGGGATTATAGGCATGTCCCACCTCGCCCATCTAATTTTTGTATTTTTAGTAGAGATGGGGTTTCGCCATGTTGACCAGTACTCCTGACCTCAAGTGATCTTCCTGCCTCAGCCTCCCAAAGTACTGGGATTACAGGCGTGAGCCACTGCGCCCGGCATGGAGAAGTATATTAATGACATTTTTGAGAATTTTGTTTGTTTTGGCTTCCTATTAGGCTGGAGATAATTATCATTCATCTTTAATTTTTACCATAATTTTTTTTTTTTTGAGATGTAGTCTTGCTCTGTCACCCAGGCTGGAGTGCAGTGGCGCGATCTTGGCTCACTACAACCTCCGCATCCCCGGTGCAAGCGATTCTCCTGCCTCAGCCTTCCGAGTAGCTGGGACTACAGGTGTGCACCACCATGTCTGGCTTTTTTTTTTTTTTTGAGTCGGAATTTCGCTCTTGTTGCCCAGGCTGGAGTGCAATGGCATGATCTCGGCTCACCGCAACCTCCACCTCCTGAGTTCAATCATTTTTTGTATTTTTAGTAGAGACAGAGTTTCACCATGTTAGCCAAGGTGGTCTCGATCTCCTGATCTCATGATCGCCCGCCTCGGCCTCCCAAAGTGCTGGGATTACAGGCGTGAGCCACCACGCCCGGCCAACCATCAGTCATTTCTCATAGGAAACCTGTCCCTTACCTACCGTCCAGTTACAAGCAAAATGTTTAACTTGTGTTCTGCAGAGAAGTGTTCAAATGACATGAAAAGACTGAAAACAGAAATCAGTACGCAATTTTTCATAGTATTAGTGGCATTCAGCCTTATCTTGCAGAGTCCTGATTTGTATATACCCTGGAAAATAGAATAAGCAAACATTCCTCTCTTTTGTGTTGATTTGGCTTGTTGATAGGATTTCTCTGCTTATAGATTTTTTGTTTGTTTGTTTTTTGAGACAGAGTCTCATTCTGTCGCCAGGCTGGAGTGCAGTGGCACGATCTCGGCTCACTGCAGCCTCTGCCTCCCGGGTTCAAGCAATTCTCTGCCTCAGCCTCCCTAGTAGCTGGGATTACAAGGTGCCCACAACAACACCCAGCTAATTTTTTGTATTTTTAGTAGAGACGGGGTTTCACCATCTTGGCCAGGCTGATCTTGAACTCCTGACCCCGTGATCCACCTGCCTCGGCCTCCCAAAGTGCTGGTATTACAGGCATGAGCCACCGCGCCCGGCCGGCTTATAGGTATTTTAAAATATTTTGAAATGTGATTTAGTCTAGGTTGTCTGCTTTAGGGTGAGACTTTTGAGATTTCTTTCTCTCCTTACCCACCTACCTGCAACTTTGTTTTTGTTTTGTTTTTTGTTTTTGTGGAGGCAGGATCTCACTCTGTTGCCCAGGCTGGAGTGCGCTGGTCACTGCAGCCTTGAACTCCTGGGCTCAAGTGATCCTCCCTTCTCAGCCTCCCAAGTAGCTGAGACTACAGGCACAGACCACCATGCCTGGCAAATTAAAAAAAAAAAAAAATTGTAGAGTTGCAGTGTGGCCACGTTGCCGAGGCTGATCTCCAACTCCTGGCCTCAAATGATTTTTTCCGGCCTGGGCTTCCCAAAGTGCTAGAATTATAGATGTGTGCCACTGCACCTGGTCCTTCCCCTTCTTCTTAAAGTATCTTGTTATTCCCATATAGAAGGTATATCTTTTTTTTTTTTTTTTTTACTTGAAAACTAGTGAGGGCCAGGCATAGTGGCTCACACCTGCAATCCCAGCACTTTGGGAAGCCAAGGCAGGAAGATCACTTGAGGCCAGGAGTTAGAGACCAGCCTAGGCAACATAGCCAGACCCCATCTCTATAAAAATAAAATATAGCCACGAGGTGGTTGCACGTGCCTGTAGTCCCAGCTGCTCAGGAGGCTGAGGCAGGAGGATTGCTTGAGCCTAGGAGTTAGAGGCTGCAGTGAGCTATGATCGCCACTGCACTCCAGCCTGGGCAACAGACTGAGACCCGATCTCACAAAATAATAAAGTAGTGAGGAAATACTGAAGAATTTTAAGCAAGGCTTCAGTGGAGAAAATGTTTAAGTCTGGATGCTGGTAGATCATTTATTTTAATTTGGGTTCAAGATGATAGTGTCCTGGAACAGAAGCTGATTACACGTTCTGACCGTCATTTCTCATAGTGTCTATAACATAGGCAAAATAATAGCTCCAGTGTCCACAGGCACGCCTATGGAAAGAAGGGCATCTGGACCATGTCACACACTCCTTCCTCTCCAGTACCCAGCCTGCTTCCTAGTCCACAGCTCTTCCAGTAGTGGTTGTGCCGGGGAGCATTGAGAAGATCTGGGGAGCACAGTGGGGCAGGTCAAATACTATTGGAGTGACATTGCACTCTAGAAAAGGAGCCCTGAAATCCCACAAGTAAAAAGGCAGGCAGGCCAGTAGAGACCACCCCAGTCTTATTCACCACTATAGACTCTGTGTAGTGTGGGCGTGTGGAAGCATGTCATATGCTTCTTGAATGACTGAGTTTAGGAGTGCTTTGGCGTCTTCATTAAGTAGTATGGCTGTGCAGGTGGCTCACGCTTGTAATCCCAATACTTTGGGAGGCCAAGGCGGGAGGATCACTTGAGCCCAGGAAAGACCAGCTCTGGCAACATAGCGAGACCCTGTCTCTACAAAATATAAAAGCCAGGTACTGTGGCTTGCACCTGTAATCCCAACTACTTGGGAGGCTGAAGTGGGAGGATCGCTTGAATACGGGAGGTTGAGGCTGCAATGAGCTGTGATTGTGCCACTGTACTCCAGCCTAGGTGGCAGAGCAAGACCCTGTCTCAAGAAAAATAAAAAATAACAAACTTGAGGCAGAGCATGGTGGCTCACACTTGTAATCCTGGCATTTGGGAGGCTGAGACAGGAAGATCGCTTGAGCCCAGGAGTTCAAGACCAGCCTGGGCACCATAGGAAGGCTTATCTCTACCAATAAAATAATTTCTTTTTTTAATTAACCAGGCAATGGGCATGTATGGTCCCAGCTGCTTGGAAGGCTGAGGCAGGAGGATCACATGAGGCCAAAAGTTCAAGGCTGCAGTGAGCTGTGATCTTGCCATTGCACTCCAGCCTGGGCAACAGAGTGAGAGCTTGTCTCAAAAAAAAAAAAAAAAAAAAAAAAGAAAGAAAGAGGAAATAAAATTTAAAGGAATTTATATGAGTCTGTACCTCTCTCTCTCTTTTTTTAGACAATATCTCACTGTATCACCCAGGCTGGAGTGCAGTGGTGCGATCATAGCTCCCTGCAGCCTTGAACACCTGGGCTCAAGTGATCCTTTCGCCTCAGCCTCCTATGTGGCTAGGACTACAGGCATGTGCCACAGTGCCAGGTTTTTTTTTTTGTTTTGTTTGTTTGTTTGTTTGTTTGTTTGTGGAGGTGGTCTCACTGTGTCATCTAAGCTGGTCTCAAACTCCTGGGCTCAAGCAGTCTTCCCACCTCAGCCTCCAAAAGTGCTGATATTACAGGCATGAGCCACCATATCCAGCCTATGTGATTCTCTTGACTGTACTTTAAGTTCCTTGATTATAAGGTCAGGGACTATAACAGTTTGTTCACCATTGTATTCACAGGGCCTGGTACATAGTAGGTGCTCACTAACTATTCGGTTAAATGGGTGCAACTCTGTTGTTGCTTTAAAGATTTTGGTTGCAAGAAAAGTGAAAATGAGGGACGGGCGTGGTAGCTCACGCCTGTAATCCCAGCACTTTGGGAGGCCAAGGCGGGCGGATCACGAGGTCAGGAGATCGATACCATCCTTGCTAACACGGTGAAACCCCGTCTCTACTAAAAATACAAAAAATTAGCCAGGCGTGGTGGCGGGCACCTATAGTTCCAGCTGCTTGGGAGGCTGAGGCAGGAGAATTGCTTGAACCCGGGAGGCGGAGGTTGCAGTGAGCTGAGATCGCGCCACTGCACTCCAGCCTGGGTGACAGAGCGAGACTCCGTCTCAAAAAAAAAAAAAAAAAAGAAAAGTGAAAATGATAGCCAAAATGAACTAATCAATTACATAGACATTTAACTTAAGTTATTCTATAACTACTGGATATTGAGAGTTACATTTAAGTATTTTTAAATCTCTTTTAGCTCCAAAAGATTCAGGCTTTTTAAGTATTTTCAGCATGCAAAATAATTAATATAATACACATGTTATAAAAATAATAAAACAAATACTCATGTATCCATTATCCAGTGTTAGTTAATAGCTTATTATCAGTTTCCTTGTGTGCCTGCCCCCATCTTTTTCCTTTCTCCCTAAGAGTAACCATTATTCTATTTGTTGTTCTTATCATTCTCTTGCCTTTTTGTTTCAGTTTTCCTATATATATATCCCCCAAATAATCAATGAAGTTTTTTGGTTTTTTATTTTACATGTCATACTATGCTAGATGTAGTGTTCACTCAGTATGCATTTTTGAGATCCATATTGATGAATGTAATGGTAATTTGTTCTTTGTATTGCTTTCCAGTATTCCATTCTATGACTGTATCTATCCAATGTTCTGTCAATGGACATACGGACATTTGTTTTTTTTACAGTCTTTTTATAATTTGTACTCTGCTAATATGAGCATCTTTATTTCTATTTCTCAGTGTACATGTAGAAGTTTTTTTCTTTCTCTCTCTCTCTGTCTTTTTTTTTTTTTTTTTTGTTAGAGACAGGGTTTCACCATGTTGGCCAGGCTGGTCTCGAAATCCTGACCTCAGGTGATCCACCCGCCTCGGCCTCCCTAAGTGCTGGGATTACAGGCGTGAGCCACCATGCCTGGCCCTGATTTTTTTATTTTTGTAATAAGGTGGCTTCAAATGGTATCTCATTTTCATGGTTTTAATTAGCATTACCCTGATTTGTAATGAGGTTGAAAAATATTTTCATGGGTTTGCTAGCCATTTGTGTTTCTTTTCTGTGAAATGCTTGTTTGTGTCTTTTGCTCATTGTTCTTTATTAGGCTGTAGGCATGCTTTATATGTTCTAGATATTACTCCATATTATTAACCCATAATAATCCATTGTCAGTTTCCCATGTTGCAAATATTTTTTCCCATTTGTGCTTTACCTTTCACTTTTTTTTTTTAAGAGTACAAGGACAATGCTGAAAGGAATAACAAGGCTTATCTCTAGGATCCATAAGGTGAGTCTGGACTGACGGCTGATCTGAACACTTTGTGCATACTGCCTTTTATTATTATTTTTTTAACTCAGTCTTGCTCTGTCACCCTGGCTGGAGCGCAGTGGCGCAATCTCGGCTTGCTGCAACCTCTGCCTTCCAGGTTCAAGCAATTCTCATGCCTCAGCCTCCCAAGTAGCTGGGATTACAGATGAACACTATCATACCTGTCAAATCTTTGTATTTTTAGGAGAGATGGGGTTTTGCCATATTGGGCAGGCTGGTCTCAAACTCCTGGCCTCAAGTTATCCACCTGCCTCAGTCCCCCAAAGTGCTGGGATTACAAGCATGAGCCACTATACCCAGCCTTGAATACTGTCTTTAAGTAGATTTCTTCTTTTTAGATGGATTCATGGTATCTAGAGTCAAATGCTCTGGAGAACTTTGTCTATAACAAGTTTCAGTAGAATAACTGTGTTTGGCCGGGCGCCGTGGCTCACGCTTGTAATCCCAGCACTTTGAGAGGGTGAGGCGGGAGGATCACCTGAGGTAGGAGTTCGAGACCAGCATAGCCAACATGGGGAAACCCCGTCTCTACTAAAAATACAAAATTAGCCGGGCGTGGTGGCACGCGCTGGTAATCCCAACTACTCCAGAGGCTGAAGCAGGAGAATCCGTTCAACCCGGGAGGTGGAGGTTGCGGTGAGCCGAAATTGTGCTGCTGCACTGAAGCCTGGACAACAAAGTGAGACTACGTCTCAAAAAAAAAAAAAAAAAAAAAAGGCCGGGCGTGGTGGCTCACGCCTGTAATCCCAGCACTTTGGGAGGCCGAGGCGGGTGGATCACGAGGTCAGGAGATCGAGACCATCCTGGCTAACACGGTGAAACCCCGTCTCTACTGAAAATACAAAAAAATTAGCCGGGCGTGGTGGCGGGCGCCTATAGTCCCAGCTACTTGGGAGGCTGAGGCAGGAGAATGGCGTGAACCCGGGAGGCGGAGCTTGCAGTGAGCCGAGATCGCGCCACTGCACTCCAGCCTGGGCGACAGAGCGAGACTCCGTCTCAGAAAAAAAAAAAAAAAAAAAGGAATAACTGTGCTTGAGAATTTACCATGGGATAGGATAATTAATATTTTTCCATAACACATAACTAAGATTGACTGTAATTTTTATTAACTTTATTTCTCTAGTTGAATTAATGATAATTCTCCTTTAATGAAGTATCGAAAATAACAACTAGTTGCCAGGTGGGCGCGGTGGCTCACACCTGTAATCCCAGCACTTTGGGAGGCCGAGGTGGGTGGATCACTTGAGGCCAGGAGTTCGAGACCAGCCTGGCCAAAATGGTGAAACCCCGTCTCTACTAAAAAAAATACAAACATTAGCCAGGCGTGGTGCCAGGCGCCTGTAATCTCAGCTACTCGGGAGGCTGTGGCAGGAGAATCGCTTTAGCCTGGGAGGCGGAGGTTGCAGTGAGCCGTGACTGAGCCACTGCACTCCAGCCTGGCAACAGAGTGAGACTGTGTCTCAAAAAAAAAAAAAAAAAAAGTTGCCAATTTACAATTTTAGCATCTAAAATGATTAAAAAACAAAATTGTACGTGAAAAAGACCATTCTGCTGGTTTACTTCATTTTTTCATTTATTTACCAAATAGTTTTTCAGTACCTTCTATATGGCAGGTACTCAGAATTCTAAGATGCCTCATTTCACTAATAATAGTTATTATTTGTTGGGTATTATTATGTGCCAGGTACTACACTAAGTGCTTTATTTTTTTAATCCTCATGATCAACTCATGAACGAGATAATATCCTTGTTTCACAGATGGAGAAACTAAAGATGAGACTGGCTAGGTAACTTACCTGAGGAAATAGCCTGTGAGGTTGCAAAGCCCGCACGAGATGCCAGGTCTGTCTGACTTCAAAGCCTGTGGCCTAAACACTGTGCTCTATTGCATTTTATGGTCCATGTTCTCCAGAAGCTTACAGTCCAGTAGAATCATGAAAAAATGACTATTTCAGTATGGTGCTCTTACAGCACCAAAGAGGAGCACCTGAGCGGGATTAGTCGAGTCAGCAGGAGATCCTGAAAGGCTCAGAACTGAGCCAGAAAGACTTGGTCATTTTCAGCTGATTATTTAATTACAGATTAGATTTCCTAGAAAAGGAGCCCTTCCTCCTATATGGCTCTCCCTGCATGTGCCCCCTTCCCTCAGGCCTATATATTAATACATAAAATAACCCATTATTATAAAATGAAACGAAAGCAAGGATCAGCAGAGGGATGGATTCTGGACTCAACTGATCATATTACAAGGCTAAAATAAATTTCCTCTCGGCCGGGCACGGTAGCTCATGCCTGTAATCCCAGCACTTTGGGAGGCCAAGGCGGACAGATCACCTGAGGTCGGGAGTTTGAGACCAGCCTGGCCAACATAGTGAAACCCCGTCTCTACTAAAAATACAAAAATTAGCTGCGTGTGGTGGCACACACCTGTAATCCCAGCTACTCGGGAGGCTGAGGTAAGAGAATCGCTTGAACCCAAGAGGTGGAGGTTGCAGTGAGCCGAGATCATGCCACTGCACTCTAGCCTGGGCAATAGAGCGAGACTCCATCTCAAAAAAAAAAAAATTTACTCTTTCTTAATAACAGATGAGAAAGACCTGAGGCCAGACTGCTGTTGGTAAGAGAAAGTTTTGGTGTTTTTTTTTTTATTAGTTTGGTTCAGGGTGACTGTATTAGTCAGGGTTCTCTACAGGGATAGCACTAATAGGATAGAAGTATATATGAAGGAGAGTTTGTTAAGGAGTATTGAGTCACACCATCTGGCGAAGTCCCACAGTAGGCCGTGAGCAAGCTGAGGAGCAAGTAAGCCAGTCCAAGTCCCAAAACTTCAAAAGTAGGGAAGCTGACAGTGCAGCCTTCAGTCTGTGGCTAAAGGCCTGAGAGCCCCTGGCAAATCACTGTTGTAAGTCCAAGGGTCCAAAAGCTGAAGAACTTGGAGTCCAGTGTTCGAGGGCGGGAAGCATCTAGCTCAGGAGAAAGATGAAGGCTGGAAGACCCAGCAAGTCGGCTCATCCTACCTTCTTCTGCCTGCTTTATTCTAGCTGCCCTGGCAGGTGATTAGATGGTGTCCACCCACACTGAGGGTGGGTCTGCGTCTCCCAGTCCACTGACTCAAATGTTAATCTCCTTTGGCAACACCCTCACAGACACACCCAGGAACAATACTTTACAGCCTTTAATCCAATCAAGTTGACACTTAATTTTTTTTTTTTTCACTAACAAAACATGCTTTATTTGGTAAAAATGTGAGTGTAAAGGGGGTGAGGCGGGGCGGGCAGGACAGAAGGGTGCAGTGTTGGAGGTGGGGGCGGGGGTCTACATAGCTGGGACCTGACCCTGCAAGGTGGACATCCAGGACGGAGGAGCCAGAGGTCAGAAGTTCCGGAGGTAGGCAGTCCTTTGTTAACAGATCACTTGCTTTTCCATGGGTGAAGAGAGGAGCTCCAGAGGCCTGAGTACGATGGGGGGCAGCTGTCCAGCGACATCTAGGGAAACCCAGCCCCCAGCAGCAGCAGGAACTCTTGGGGACAGTCTGTCTTGTTGCAAAGGCCAGCACAGCAAGCAGCCTCCACATTAGTTCCACAGCTTGACTGGCTTCTAAAATGGGCATGTCAAGATCCAGAATCTCAAAGCATCCCCTCTTTGGCTCCATCATCCAAGGGTGAGAAACAGCAGAACCTAAGTGGGAGTCTGAGTCATCTTCTTGGTTCAGTTTTTAAATGAATTTTAAATACCCTCAGTCAAAAGAAAAATAGAAGGAGGCAGAAACAAAAGATATGAACCCATCCCAAAGCTGTTGGGCACTGCCACTTCTGGATGGCTCTAGTGCCAGCGGAGCCCCCATTCACTTCCATGTCAGACGTAATTCTTGGTAGGGTACTCAGAGGTCCCCCGAGAGATGGCAGGGGCAGATGTCCAGTAGCGGGCCATGTAATGGCTGGGGCCCCGTGACCCCCCGGAGGGGCAAGTGCAGCACAGCAGCCTGCCACCCAGCAACAAAAGGCCTGAGGCCGCCCAGCCCAAGTAGAGGGAGGCCCCCAGCTCCCACTTTTGGGCCTCAGCCACCAGGGGGTTATAGAAGTCCCAGATGATGGCATGCGCCGTCCAGCAAACGGGGATTAGTGTCAGGACCCCTGAGGTGACAAAGACAATCCCAGAGGTGAGCACCAGGCGGGCCTTGGAATCCTTCTCCTCCACACAGGTGGTACACTTGGCCCCAGCAAGGTAGACCAGCAAGCCGAACAGGGCCACAAGGAGGGTGATGACACAGACGGCACGTGCAGCCTGCAGGTCCTGTGGCAGCGCCAGCAGTGAGTCGTACACCTTGCACTGCATCTGGCTAGTGCTCTGCACCACTCAGGACATCCACAGGCCCTCCCACACCACCTGGCCACCACGATGCTGTTGCCGATGAAAGTGGTCACTTTCCACATGGGCAGGACGCAGGAGACCAGGCCATTCACCCAGCCCAGCAGTGTCAGGACGACTCCCAGGATCTGCATTCTGGCAGAGGCCATGGTGAGATTGAAGGAGCTGCACTGCGAAGGAGATATGCGAAATTCCTAGGCCAAGTCGACACTTAATATTAACCATCACGGTGATCTTCTAGATTGGCCCACAAATGCTGTTTCAGAAACTGCAGGATGTTCATTCTGGAACTGTACAGAGGCAATAGTACAGATGGTTGTTTTCTTTGGAAACAACAGTCTACTTAAGTGATATCATATATAAAACTTTAAGAACTAAAGATTTCATTTTGCTGTAGGCCAGGTGTGGTGGCTTACACCTGTAATCCCAGCACTTTGGGAGGCCGAGGCAGGCGATCACCTGAGGTTGGGAGTTCAAGACCAGCCTGACCAACATGGAGAAACCCCGTCACTACTAAAAATACAAAATTAGCCAGGCGTGGTGGCGCATGCCTGTAATCCCAGCTACTCGGGAGGCTGAGGCAGGAGAATCGCTTGAACCCGGGAGGCAGAGGTTGCAGTGAGCCAAGATCACACCATTGCACTCCAGCCTGGGCAACAAGAGCGAAACTCCGTCTCAAAAAAAAAAAAAGATTCCATTTTGCTAGCTTCTAATTTGCTTCAAAAAGTACCTGTAGTTTCAGCTACTTGGGAGGCTGAGGCAGGAGGATCATGCGGGCCCAGGAATTTGAGACTGTCCGGGGCAATATAGCAAGACCCCACCCTATGTCAAAAAAAAAGTATAACAAAAATTTCATCACATTACTGTAGAAATAGCACCACCTTGTGGCCCTTGAATAGTTTGTTTTCCACTCTGCTTTGTAAAGAGGCATGGTGCTTTCTCTCCGGTAGATAAAATTGAGTAGCGTTTAAGTAGTACTAGTGTGTGTTATTCAGATTGCTATGCTGAAGTAACAAGCCTTGTATTCTCAGTGGCCTAACACAAAGGATATTGTTTGTGTTGTGTGCATGTGTTTTGCTTTGTTTTTGCTGTTCCTGTCTTTCAAAACGGCTTTGCAAGCAAGATTGAAGTCTGGATGGAGGGACAAAAGTTTACCTTCTTGGGATACATCGCAACATGTAGCTTTTAAGGTGGGGAGGGAGAGATAATTTATACCTCACACTTAATTGGCTCTGATTAGAAAGGACACAATAACACAAGTTATTTCCATTCATAGGTGTTTAGCCAAAGGAATCACATGACTCCTCCTGTTTCTGCAAGGGAGGGTGAGAAGTGTAGAGAATGATTTGGATATTTGGATATTTCCCAAGCATTGCTGCTTCTGCTGTAATTTACAGTTATACATTCTCAGACAAAGCTGGAGTAACTCTAGTACTTGACAGTTACTTTTTTTTTTTTGAGATGGGGCTTCACTCTGTTTCCCAGGCTGGAGTGCGGTGGCACAATCTCGGCTCACTCCAACCTGTGGCTCCCGGGTTCAAGTGATTCTTGTGCCTCAGACACCTGAGTAGCTGGGATTACAGGCGCCTGCCACCATGCCCCGGCTAATTTTTGTACTTTTAGTAGAGACAGCGTTTCCCCAAGTTGTCCAGGCTGGTCTCGAACTCCTGACCTCAAGTGATCCACCCGCCTTGGGCTCCCAAAGTGCTGGGAGCGAGCCACTGTGCCCAGCTTACAGTTACTTTATATTAAATGGTTCAGAGGTTTCTGTGTATACCTAAATTTCCTACAGAGCAGTTTACTTTCTTTTTTTTTTGAGATGGAGTCTTGCTCTGTCTCCCAGGCTGGAGTGCAATGGCACGATCTTGGCTCACTGCAACCTCCACCTCCCAGGTTCAAGCAATTCTTCTGCCTCAGGCTCCCCAATAGCTGGGATTATAGGCGTGCAACACCACACCTGGCTAATTTTTTTGTATTTTTAGTAGAGACAGAGTTTCACCATTTAGGCCAAGCTGGTCTCAAACTCCTGACCTTAGGTGATCTGCCCACCTTGGCATCCCAAAGTGCTGGGATTACAGGCGTGAGCCACCGCACCTGGCCTACTGTTCTTAGTGGATGCTTTACATACTCCTTCACTGCATGTCTTCAATGGCAGATTCTTTATTCGAGGGCAAAAGACTAAGTACTTATAGTGTGTTAAGTACTCAGAGAAGGAGATACGAAAATGAATGAAATCTGATTCCTTCTCTTCCAAGCATGTAGCCAAGAAGACAAACATGTGTAACGTAACATGATACAATTCTAAAAAATAGATATTTTAAAGTGAGACAAACTTGGATGTGAATTCTGGTTCACCATCTACTAACTCTGTGACCTTAATCAAAATTACTCAACTTCCCTGAACCTTGTCTTCCCCATCATAACACAGGGTTGATAATATTCTGCCTATCTGCTAGGATTTCTAGGTTTAAAACTAGTGCATGTACAATACTGTATTGCCTAACATCTAATAGATACTCAGTTAACAGTAGGCATGAGTACAACACAAGGCAGTGTAATAAAATTGCCATTCGGGCCGGGTGCGGTGGCTCACGCCCATAATCCCAGCACTTTGGGAGGCTGAGGTGGTCAGATCACGAGGTCAGGAGATCGAGACCATCCTGGCTAACACAGTGAAACCCTGTCTCTACTAAAAATACAAAAAAACTAGCCGGGTGTGGTGGCAGGCGCCTGTAGTCCCAGCTACTCGGGAGGCTGAGGCAGGAGAATGGCATGAACCCGGGAGGCGGAGCTTGCAGTGAGCCGAGATCATGCCACTGCACTCCAGCCTGGGCAACAGAGCGAGACTCCGTCTAAAAAAAAAAAAATGCCATGCAATGTAAAGAGTGCTATTAGCAGTAAGGAAAGAGAATTACTTTTGACTGGAGGTGTCTGGCAAATTTTCACTGAGGATGTGACATTTGAGTTGAGACTTGATGAATGGGTAAGATTTAAATGGGGACAGAGGGCCAGGTGCGGTGGCTCACACCTGTAATCTCAGTACTTTGGGAGACCGAGGCGGGTGGATCACATGAAGCTAAGAGTTCGACACCAGCCTGGCCAACATGATGAAACCCCGTCTCTACTAAAAATACAAAAATTAGCCAGGCGTGGTGGCAGGCGCCTGTAATCCCAGCTACTTGGAGGTTGAGGCACGAAAATCACTAGAACCTGGGAGAGGGAGGTTGCAGTGAGCAGAGATCATGCCACTGTACTCCAGCCTGGGTGACAGAGTGAGACTCTCAAAAAGAAAATTAAGTAAATAAATAAGTAAATAAATGGAGAGAGAGGGAAGTTGAAGTAGAATGAGCAGAAGTATCGAAGCAGTAAAATGACATGTTTTAGCATGGTCCTATGGCTATAAATGAAACTAGAAACTTGAATTGAAGTCATCACAGTGGCCTTGTCATGCTGAGGAATTTGAGACTTATTTTGACATCATTCTGGAACCACCTAAGCCGTGTTTCTCTCTCTCTTTTTTTTTTAATGGGGTCTCACTGCATTGCCCATCCTGATCTCAAACTCCTGACCTCAAGCACTCCTTCCACTTTTGCTCCCAAGTAGCTGGGACTACAGGAGTGGACCACCACACCTGGCTCCCAAGTTTTTTGATTAGCTGAATGTTAAACCTATTATTTGGTAAGCTGAAAGACTATGAAAGATGAAACATCAAAGATTTAGAGATAAAGATGCTAATTAAAGGCTAGGCGTGGGTGGCTCATGCCTGTAATCCAAGCACTTTGGGAGGTCAGGGTGGGCAGATGACTTGACATCAGGAGTTCGTGACCAGCCTGGCCAACATGGCGAAACCCCGTCCCTACTAAAAATATAAAAAATTAGCCAGATGTGGTGGTGCATGCCTGTAATACCAGCTACTTGGGAGGCTGAGGCATGAGAATTGCTTGAACCCAGGAGGCAGAGGGTGCAGTGAGCCAAGATCATGCCACTACATTACAGCCTGGGCGACAGAGCGAGATTCTGTCTAAAAAAAAAAAAAAAACGCTTTCCTGCTTCAGGTTTGTTGTTTTTTTTTTTTTTTTTTTGAGATGGAGTCTCGGTCTGTCACCCAGGCTGGAGTGCAGTGGCGCAATCTCGGCTCACTGCAAGCTCTGCCTGCCGGGTTCACTCCATTCTCCCACCTCAGCCTCCCGAGCAACTGGGACTACAGGTGCCCACCACCATGCCTGGTTAATTTTTTTGTATTTTTAGTGGAGACGGAGTTTCACTGCGCTAGCCAGGATTGTCTCGATCTCCTGACCTCGTGATCTGCGTGCCTCGGCCTCCCAAAGTGCTGGGATTACAGGCGTGAGCCACCGCGCCCGGCCTCAATTTCTTTTTCTTTTTTTTTTTTTTTGAGATGGAGTCTTACTCTGTTGTTAGGCTGGAGTGCAGTGCTGTGATCTCTGCTCACTGCAACCTCCACCTCCTGGGTTCAAGCAATTCTCGTGCTTCAGCCTCCCAAGTAGCTGGGATTACAGGCACACACCACCACATCCAGCTAATTTTTATATTTTATATTTTTAATAGAGACACAGTTTCACCATGTTGGCCAGGATGGTCTCGATCTCCCGATCTTGGCCTCCCAAAGTACTGGGATTACAGGCATGGACCACCACACTTGGCCCAGAATCCAATTTTTCTAATAACCAATCTGGTGCTATTTTGCAGTTTTGTAAGTGGATTTCCTAGGGTCTGGAGAGGGAACTAACTTGATTTGTTATGAGAAGAGCAGCATTTAAAGTGAATTTTGTCTGCAGAAGCCAGGATTCCAGCAGTATCTAGTGTTGCATTTTCTAGTCCAGTTCCCTATTAGACTGGATATTAATTTCTTTTTGTTGCTGCCTCTCGTAAATGAAATTAATTTGTGGTCTGTGCTGTAATGTGAGGAACCAATAGCTTTCTTTCCCTGCCCCTACCCTCTGAGTCTTCCCATCTTAATATAGTCTGTGTGGAAAGAAAAAAATAATCACCCATTACCCAAAACATGATCTCAGCAGGGTGTGTTTTAAATATATCTCTAGCTTTCACCTATTTTCACAAACACAAAATGAAGTAGAATAAACGAATCAAGCCACTGAAGTGTCTTTCAGCTTTCTCTGTAATTGCAGTCCTTTTATCTGCCAATTCCTCTGGGGTTTCTATGGAAACAGCAGCATGCAGATGATCTTGTCACATGACTGGAGCATCTCTATACACAGCACAGAATAATCCAGATGGCAAGAATTGTCTCTGCTACCCCTACATCTACGGTTTACTTTGATGAACAATTGGCATCATCATTTAGGCCACCTTTATATACATACTGGGTTTGGGGACAGCAACCAGCATTCTTGGCTAAGATAAAAAATGAGGCTGGGCACAGTAGCTTATGCCTGTAATCCCAGCACTTTGGGATCCCGAGGTGGGAGGATCACTTGAGCCCAAGAGTTCAAGACTAGCCTGGGCAACATAGAGAGTCCCCAACTCCACACAAAAAAATTTTTAATTAGCAGTGCACAGTGGTATGTGCCTGTAGTCCAAGCTACTCAAGAGGTTTAGCTGTAAGGATCACTTGAGCCCAGGAAGTCAAGGCTACAGTCAGCTGAGATTGGGCCACTGCACTCCAGCCTGGACAGCAGGCTGTCTCAAAACAATGGGAGATATCTTTTCCAGCTTTAAGAGATGAATGGTCCAGTTGTGGTGGCTCATGCCTGCAATCCCAACACTTTGAGAGGCCAAAGTGGGAGGATCCCTTGAGCTCAGGAGTTCAAGACCAACCTGGGCAACATAGCAAAACCTCATCTCTATCCAAAAAAAGTCAAAAAATTAGACAGGTGTGGTGGTGCACACCTGTGGTCCCAGCTACTTGTGAGGCTGAGGTTGGAGGATCTTATGAGCCTGGGAAGCCAAGGCCTCAGTGAGCGGTGATTGCACTACCGCACTCCAGCCTGGGCAACTGAGCAAGACCCTGCCTCAAAAATACAAAAGACAAAGACATGAGTGAATACCAGACCTTATCCACTTTTCAAAGTCTTGGTCACAGATGAGAAGACAAGGTTGTGCATGGTGGCTGACGCCTGTAATTGCAGGATTTTGGGAGGCCAACGCAGGCGGATCACCTGAGGTCAGGAGTTGGAGACCAGCCTGGTCAACATGGTAAAACCCCGTCTCTATTAAAAACACAAAAAATTAGTAGGGCATAGTGGCGGGCGCCTGTAGTCCCAGCTACTCGGGAGGCTGAGGCAGGAGAATCACTTGAACCTGGGAGGCCGAGTTGCAGTGAGCTGAGATCACGCCATTACACTCCAGCCTGGGCAACAAGAGGGAAACTAAATCCTAACAAAACAATTGGATTGATGTAGGATTTGACAGGTAATTGCAAACTTTTTTTTTTTTTAGAAGAAGTCTCACTCTGTTGCCCAGGCTGGAGTGCAGTGGTGTGATTTCGGCTCACTGCAACCTCCGCCTCCCGGGTTCAAGCGATTCTCCCGTCTCAGCCGCCTGAGTAGCTGGGATTACAGATATGCGCCACCACGCCTGGCTAATTTTTGTATTTTTAGTAGGGAGGGGGTTTCACCATGTTGGTCAGGCTGGTCTCGAACTCCTGACCCCAGGTGATCCACCCGCCTTGGTCTCCCAAAGTGCTGGGATTACAGGCGTGAGCCACAGCACCCAGCCACTACTTTTTGTCTTTTTTTTTTTTGAGATGGAGTTTCAGTCTGCTGCCCAGGCTGGAGTGCCGTGGCGCGATCTCGGCTCACTGCAGCCTCTGCCTCCTGGGTTCGAGCGATTCTCCTGCCTCAGTCTCCCCAGTATCTGGGATTACAGGCACGCGCCACCACGCCCAGCTAATTTTTTGTATTTTTAGTAGAAACAGGGTTTCACCATGTTGCCCAGGCTGGTCTCAAACTCCTGACCTCAGATGATCTGCCCATCTCAGCCTCCCAAAGCACTGGGATTACAGGCGTGTGCCACTACACCCGGCCAGAATTTCTTTTTTTTTTAGATGGAATTTCACCCTTGTTGCACAGGCTGGAGTGCAATGACGCATCTCAGCTCACCACAACCTCTGCCTCCCTGGTTCAAGCAATTCTCCCGCCTCAGCCTCCAAAGTAGCTGGGATTACAGGCATGTGCCACCACGGCCAGCTAATTTGTATTTTTAGTAGAGACAGGGTTTCTCCATGTTGGTCAGGCTGTTCTCGAACTTCTGACTTCAGGTGATCCACCTGCCTCGGCCTCACAAAGTGCTAGAATTACAGGTGTGAGCCACCGCACCCGGCCAGGATTTCTTTAAAAAATATAAACACTGGCCAGGTGCAGTAGCTCACTTGTAATCCCAGCACTTTGGGAGGCCAAGGCAGGCAAACCACTTTTGGCCAAGAGTTCAAGATGAGCCTGGTCAACATAGTGAAACTCTGTCTCTACTAAAAATACAAAAATTAGCCAGGCGTGGTGGTACACACCTGTAATCACAGCTACTTGGGAGGCTGAGGCAGGAGCATCCCTTGAACCCAGAAGGTAGAGGTTGCAGTGAGCCAAGATCACGTCACTGCTTTCCAGCCTGGAGAACAGAGCGAGACCCAGTCTCAAACAGCAAGAACAACAAAAAAAACATAAGTACTGTTGACAGTACAAGTGACCTTTCTAGTCACCTTGTAGTCACGTTTTCTTTAACAACATATATTTTAGATGGAGAGAAGGGAACCGGAAAAACACTCGGTCTTTGCCATGTTATTCATTTCTGTGCAAAACAGGACTGGCTGATACTACGTATTCCAGATGGTAAGAACTTCCTGTCTTGTCTTCTCTCTGTTAGGTTCAGTTATCTTGTTACCGTGGTAGTCTTGTAGCTTTAATTTTCTAACGGGGATCTGATAGCTAAAGGAAAAGCCTTTGCCAGTCACGATGGCTCATGCCTGTAATCCCAGCACTTTGGAAAGCCGAGGCAGGCGGATTGCCTGAGCTTAAGCCCAGGAGGAGGCTGCAGTGAGCCGTGATCGCACCACTGCACTCTAGCCTGGGCGACAAAACAAGACGCTGTCTCAGAAAAGAAAAAAAAAAAAGAAAAGCCTTTACTCCAGATGTAGAGCAGTCTGAGCTCATCCATCATGATTTCTTCGTGATATTACTGCCAAGCAGGTTACAAGGTGAAGTCAATGTGATGAAAGGAAATTGGGCTAAAAGCTTCCTGAAGCCTTTTGATGCTAAGCAGTCCTTCTTTTGATATTTAATACCCATGAGCATAAACTCCTGCCTTAGAGGTCACCACGGGGTTTTTTTTGTTTTTTATTTTTTGCCATCGGTTAACAATTCTGAGTACCCACAGAGCCTTTTACTATTTATCAGCATTCTAGAGTCATCAGTATAGGTTGTCAAAACTTAAGGGATATTACACTTTGCATATGAAGGGGTGGGTTGCCCCTCCACACCTGTGGGTGTTTCTCGTAAGGTGGAATGAGAGACTTGGAAAAGAAAAAGACACAGAGACAAAGTATGGAGAAAGAAATAAGGGGACCAGGGGAACCAGCGTTCAGCATATGGAGGATCCCGCCAGCCTCTGAGTTCCCTTAGTATTTATTGATCATTCGTGGGTGTTTCTCCGAGAGGGGGATGTGTCAGGGTCACAAGACAATAGTGGGGAGAGGGTCAACAGACAAACACGTGAACAAAGGTCTTTGCATCATAGACAAGGTAAAGGATTAAGTGCTGTGCTTTTAGATATGCATACACATAAACATCTCAATGCTTTACAAAGCAGTATTGCTGCCCGCATGTCCCACCTCCAGCCCTAAGGCGGTTTTTCCCTATCTCAGTAGATGGAATGTACAATCGGGTTTTATACCGAGACATTCCATTGCCCAGGGACGGGGAGGAGACAGATGCCTTCCTCTTGTCTCAACTGCAAGAGGCATGCCTTCCTCTTATACTAATCCTTCTCAGCACAGACCCTTTACGGGTGTCGGGCTGGGGAACGGTCAGGTCTTTCCCTTCCCACGAGGCCATATTTCAGACTATCACATGGGGAGAAACCTTGGACAATACCTGGCTTTCCTAGGCAGAGGTCCCTGCGGGCTTCCGCAGTGTTTTGTGTCTCTGGGTACTTGAGATTAGGGAGTGGTGATGACTCTTAACGAGCATGCTGCCTTCAAGCATCTGTTTAACAAAGCACATCTTGCACAGCCCTTAATTCATTTAACCCTGAGTTGACTCAGCACATGTTTCAGAGAGCACAGGGTTGGGGGTAAGGTCATAGATTAACAGAATCTCAAGGCAGAAGAATTTTTCTTAGTACAGAACAAAATGGAGTCTCCTATGTCTACTTCTTTCTATACAGACACAGTAACAATCTGATCTCTCTTGCTTTTCCCCACAGCATATGTCCCTTTTTTGTTAAATATTGTGTGCATCCATATTTTTTCTTTCTTTTTTTTTGAGATGGAGTCTTGCTCTGTCGCCCAGACTGGAGTGCAGTGGCACGATCTCGGCTCACTGCAACCTGCATCCCCCGGGTTCAAGCGATTCTCCTGCCTTAGCCTCCCCAGTAGCTGGGATTACAGGCATGCACCACCACATCTGGCTAATTTCTGTATTTTTAGTATAGACAGGGTTTTGCCATGTTGGCAAGCTCCGCCTCCCAGGTTCATGCCATTCTCCTGCCTCAGCCTCCCAAGTAGCTGGGACTAAAGTCACCTGCCACCACGCCCGGCTAATTTTTTGTATTTTTAGTAGAGACGGGGTTTCACTGCGTTAGCCAGTATGGTCTCGATCTCCTGATCTCGTGATGCGACCGCCTTGGCCTCCCAAAGTGCTGGGATTACAGGTGTGAGCCACTGTGCTAGGCCTTTTTTTTTTTTTTTTTTTTTTTAAATAGAGATGGAGTTTCACCATGTTGGTCTGGCTGGTCTCAAGCTCCTGACCTCAGGTGATCGCCCACCTCGGCCTCCCAAAGTGCTGGGATTATAGGCTTGAGCCACCGCACCCAGCCTTGCTTGTATATTTATTCCTTTTTTTTTCTTTTGAAATGGAGTCTCACTCTGTTGCCCAGGCTGCAGTGCAGTGGTGTAATCTCGGCTCATTGCAACCTCCGCCTCCCAGGTTCAAGTGATTCTCCTGCCTTAGCCTCCTGAGTAGCTGGGATTACAGGCACCTGCCACCACGCCCGGCTATTTTTTTTTGTATTTTTAGTAGAGACGGGGTTTCACCATGTTGGCCAGGCTGATTTTGAACTCCTGACCTCAAGTGATCCGCCCGACTTGAGCTCCCAAAGTGCTAGGATTACAGGTGTAAGCCACTGTACCTGGCCTGATTTATATATTGATTCTAAAGATAATGTTTAGTCTAAGATGGACCTGACAAGGCCAGGCACAGTGGTTCACCAGCAATTTGAGAGGCTGAGGCAGGAGGATCGCCTGAGCCTAGAAGTTCAAGGTTACAGTTAGCTGTGATCTCACCACTGCCTTCTAGCCTGGGCAACAGAGCAAGACACTGTCTCAAAAAATAAAAAAAAGAAAAGAAATATATATTGGAAACTAAAGTCATTTCCCATAACTTAAAGAGGCTGGAATATTTCCAGTTCAATACAGTTTCTGCCTGGTTTTCTTCTGCCTTTTATTTATTTATTTTATTATTATTATTTTTTGAGACGGAGTCTCACTCTGTCACCCAGGCTGGAGTGCAGTGGCGCAATCTCGGTTCACTGCAAGCTCCGCCTCCCGGGTTCACACCATTCTCCAGCCTCAGCCTCCCAAGTAGCTGGGACTACAGGCGCCTGCCACTATGCCCAGCTAATTTTTTGTATATTTAGTAGAGACGGGGTTTCACTGTGTTAGCCAGGATGGTCTCGATCTCCTGACCTCGTGATCCGCCCACCTCAGCCTCCCAAAGTGCTGGGATTACAGGTATGAGCCGCCGCGCCCGGCCTCTTCTGCCTTTTTTTAAGCTCATCTTTGGGTGAAAAATTGCCGGGATGTTCTGCAGTCCAACTACAACAAACAGCGCTTTGATCAACCTTTAGAGGTTTCAACCTAGCTGAAGAATTTCAAAACTACAAATGAGCACTTCCTGGCCGGGCTTTGTGGCTCACACCTGTAATCACAGCACTTTAGGAGACCGAGGAGGGTGAATCACTTGAGGTCGGAAGTTCGAAACCAGCGACCAACATGGAGAAACCCTGTCTCTACTAAAAATACAAAATTAGCCAAGTGTGGTGGCACATGCCTGTAATCCCAGCTACTTGGGAGGCTGAGGCAGGAGAATCGCTTGAACCCAGGAGGCAGAGGTTGCGGTGAGCGGAGATCTTGCCATTGCACTCCAGCCTGGGCGACAAGAGCGAAACTCCATCTCAAAACAACAACAACAGCAGCAACAACAACAAACAACAAATGAGTGCTTCCTGAGCCAGGTGACAAGACTCCCAGAATTTGAGTGCTAGGTAGTCTTTATATGGATTCTGTCCTCCTTGTGCCCTGGGTACCAACAGACTATGGAGAACTGATACTGGAGTTGGAATAACTGTATCATTTTTAATTTCTTTCATACGTTTTGCTCACAGTGGACTCATAACTTGAAACTCATTTATCCATGTGAAATAAATAGGCAACAGTAAGTTGTTCCCATTTTGTGGGTAGCAAAGTGAAATCCAGTTGATTCATTGACTTTTCAAGGTACAGCCTCCAATCCCTCGCAAGCACATTTCCAACTACATGATTTTCTCCAGACAATATCTTTTTAGGGAACCAGAAATGTATTGGAAAAATTCTTCTTTACCCTGGTGATTCTTGGATACCCTGTCTAGACCAGGGGCCTTCAACTCTGGATATAAAGCAGAGTCACCTAAGAGCTTGTTAAAAATGCAGATGCCAGAGTCTCATTCTGGACATTTTCATCAGAATCCCTTATGTATGTTTTTTCAAGGCTCCAAGCAGAAATGGATTAGAAAGCATTCACTTTGGTCAGGCACAGGGGCTCATGCCTGTAATCCCAGCACTTTGGGAGGCTGAGTTGGGCAGATCACTTGAGGTCAGGACTTTGAGACCAGCCTGGCCAACATGGTGAAACCCCATCTCTACTAAAAATACAAAAATTAGCTGGGCGTGGTGGCGTGCACCTGTAATCCCAGCTACTTGAGTGGCCCCATGCATGTAATCCCAGCTACTCAGGGGGCTGAGGCAGGAGAATCACTTGAACCTGAGAGGTGGAGGTTGCAGTGAGCTGAGATCACACCACTTCACTCCATCCTGGGCATCAATGAGACTCTGTCTCAAAAAACAAAAGAAAATAAAAGAAAACAAAAATTACAAAAAGAAATAGAATATCATGGTTACAGAATTAATATACTTCAGTAATTGGTAAAAGAGATAAAAGAATTGGTAAGAACATAAAGATTGAATAGCACGATTAACACACTTCTCCTAATGGAATTATTTTTAAAGATGAAGTCCCAGACCTGGCACAGTGGCTCACGTCTGTAATCCCAGCACTTTGGGAGGCCAAGGCAGGTGGATCACCAGAGGTCAGGAGTTCAAGACCAGCCTGGACAACATGGTGAAACCACATCTCTACTAAAAATACAAAAACTAGCTGGGCACGGTGGCAGGCACCTGTAATCCCAGCTACTAGGGAGGCTGAGGCAGGAGAATCGCTTGAACCTGGGAGGCAGAGGTTGCAGTGAGCTGAGATCACGCCACTGTACTCCAGTCTGGGTGACAGAGCGAGACTCTGTCTCCAAAAGAAAAAAAAAATTAAATCTCAAAACAACAACTTTTTTTTTGGTAGAAGTTCTTTTACATTCACATAATATATTTTATTTTTGACAGTCTAAATACAGTCATCCTTTTTAACCCAGGAAGACAGAGAGAAAAGAGAGCAACTTTAGTTGCCTAAAGCTGAACTTGGATATCACCAAGCCTCTAGAAAGATGGAAGATTATGAAATAATGCTTTAATAAACATATTATTAATTTAATAAGCACTTGTTCTACAAAGTAGAAAATACATCAGGTCATTATATTTGACCCCTGAGCAACAACGTTTTTGGACTGCATGGGTCCACTTATTCACAGATCTTTTTCAATAGAAGTTATACGGAGTGGACCTGCCTTTCTGGCCTCACCTTCCACCTATCAAATCCCAAAACTTCTGAATGTACTTTCTTTTCAAGCACATAAAGAACCTGTTCAAAACTGACTGACAATGGACCATAAACCAGCTCAATATATTTCAAAGAATTTAAATCATACAGCCGTGTACTCTGATTCTAACGCAATTTAAACTAGAAACCAGTAACAAAAAGAGAAGTAGAAACTCCTCACGTGTCTGGAAATTAAAACATACTTTTCTGATGTGCCCATTGGTCAGGAAAAAAGATCAGAATGGAAATGAGAAAGTAATTCAAATTAAATGATTGTGAAATTACTAAACACAAAACTTAAACAAAAATTTTGTACGTTGAAAATACTGGCTGGCAGGGCACGGTGGCTCAGGCCTGTAATCCCAGCACTTTGGGAGGCCGAGGCAGGAGGATTGCTTGAGCCCAGGACTTCAAAGCCCGTCTGGGCAACATGGTGAAACCTCATCTCTACAAAAAATGCAAAATTAGCTGGGTGTGATGGTGCACGCCTGTAGTCCCAGCTACTTGGGGGGCTGAGGTGGGAGGATGGCTTGAGCCCAAGAGGTCGAAGTTGCACTGAGCCATGTTTGTGCCACTGCACTCCGGCTTGAGTGACAAAGTGAGATCCTATCTCAAAAAATGATAAAATTAAATATTTAAAAATATTAAAATTGATAAAAACTGATTTACTATTGACACAAAACAGATAATTTTTTGCCTTTAAAACAGACAATATTGGGCTGGGTGCGGTGGCTCACGCCTGTAATCCCAGCACTTTGGGAGGCTGAGGCAGGCGGATCACCTGAGGTCAGGAGTTCAAAACCAGCAGGGCCAAAATGGCGAAACCCCATCTCTACTGAATATACAAAAATTAGCCAGGCATGGTGGTGGGCACCTGTAATCCCAGCTACTCGGGAGGCTGAGGCAAGAGAGTCACTTGAACCTGGGATGTGGAGGTTGCAGTGAGCTGAGATTGTGCCACTGCACTCCAGCCTAAGCAATAGAGCAAGACTCCATCACAAAACAAAACAAAACAAAACAAAACAAAACAAAAACAATATTGAAAATAAAAAAGCACATCACCACAGATCCTGCAGACATGAAACAGTTTAAATGAGTTCACCATAAACAACTTGGTAGTAATAGCTCTGAATTTGTAGATGAAATGGACAAATTTCCAAAAAAATATGGCTTACCAATATTGACACAAAAAAATAAACTTTAAATACTCCTATACTAATACAGAACTTGAATAATTCATAGGTGAAAACTTTTCTGCAAACACTGCAGGCAGGGCATGGTTCACTCCTGTCATCCCAGAACTTTCAGAGTGGGAGGATGGCTTGAGTCCTGGAGTTCGTGACCAGCTTGAGCAACATAGACCTCCTCTCTACAAAAAAGGTTTAAAATCATGTAGTCACAGCTACTCCGGAGGCTGAAGTGTGAGGATCGATTGAATTAAGGGGTTCAAACTGCAGTGAGCTCTGATCCAGCCATTGCACTCCCTCCAGCCTGGCTGACAATCAGATAATGTCTTAAAAACAAAAACAAAGAAATAACCAACTCTAGGTCTATATAACTTGGCCTGTAAACTCCAGCAAACATTTAAAGAAATGATGCCAATCTCATATAAATTCTTGTGGAAAATAGAAAAGGGAAAATACTTCCCAACTTGTTTTTGAGGCCACTGTTATGCTAATATCAAATGCTGACAAGAACATTAAAGAAAAGGAAAATTAGCCAATCCCATTCACACATATGGATGCAAAACAAAATATCAGTAAGTAGATCCAACTTTTTTTTTCTTTTTTTTGACAGAGTCTTGCTCTATCACCCAGGTTGCACTGCAGTAGCATAATCTCAGTTCAGTGCAACCTCCACCTCCTGGGTTTAAGCAATTCTCCTGCCTCAGCCTCCCGAGTAGCTGGGACTACAGGCACTGGCCACCATGCCCAGCCTTTTTTTTTTTTTTTTTTTTTTTTTTTTTTTTGTATTTTTAGTAAAGACGGGGTCTCGCCATGTTGGCCAGGCTGGTCTCGAACTCCTGGCCTTAAGTGATCCGCCTGCCTCAGCCTCCCAAAATGCTGGGGATTACAGGTGAGAACCACTGTGCCTGGCCAAGATACAACTTTTTTTTTTCTATTTTTTCTTCTTCTTCTTTCTTTTTCTTTTCAGACGGAGTCTCACTCTGTCTCCCAGGCTGGAGCGCAATGACATGATCTTGGCTCACTGCAACCTCCGCCTCCCAGGTTCAAGAGATTCTTCTGCCCCAGCCTCCCGAGGAGCTGGGACCACAGGCGCGTGCCACCACTGCCAGCTAATTTTTGTATTTTTAATAGAGATGGGGTTTCACCATGTTGGCCAGGTTGTTCTCAAATCCTGACCTCAGGTGATCGCCTGCCTCAGCCTCCCAAAGTGCTGGGATTACAGGTGTGAGCCATCGTACCCAGCCTTTTTTTTTGTAGCAACAAGATCTCACTATGTTACCCAGGCTTGTTTTGACCTCCTGGGCTCAAGTGATCCACCTGCCTCAGCCTTCCAAAGTGCTGGGATTACAGGCATGAGCCACTGCAGCCGGCCCAGATCCAATATTTTATATTTATTTATTTTTTGAGACAGAGTCTCCATCTGTCGCACAGGCTGGAGTGCAGTGGCCCCATCTTGGCTCACTGCAACCTTTGCCTGTCGGGTTCAAGCAATTATCCTGCCTCAGACTCCTGAGTAGTTGAGATTACAGGCACGCGCCACCTCGTCCTGCTAATTTTGTGTTTTTAGTAGAGATGGGGTTTCACCATGTTTGCCAGGCTGGTCTCGAACTTCTGACCTCGTGATCCGCCCGCCTTGGCCTCCCAAAGTGCTGGGATTACAGGTGTGAGCCACCACACCCAGCCAGATCCAATATTTTAAAAGGATAATCAACATAAATGAATTTAGGTTTTTTGTTTGTTTGTTTGAGTTGGAGTCTTTCTCTGTCACCAGGCTGGAGTGCTATGGCGCGATCTTGGCTCACTGCAACCTCCGACTCCCTGGTTCAAGAGATTCTCCTGCCTCAGCCTCTCAAGTAGCTGGGATTACAGGCACGTGCCACCACGCCCAGATAATTTTTGTATTTTTAGTAGAGACAGGGTTTTCACTATGTTGGCCAGGATGGTCTCGAACTCCTGACCTTGTGATCCGCCTGCCTCGGCCTCCCAAAGTGCTAGTATTACAGGTCTGAGCCACCGCGCCTAGCCGAGTTTAGGTTTATTTGAGGAATGCAAGATAGTATTACATGATAATCTAACGATGTAATTTATTCATTAGCACAACAAAGGAAGGATAAAATAATGTAATTATCTTGGTTTGGAGAAAGCTGTAAAAAACATTCAAATCTATTCATGATCAAAACTCTTAGCAAATCAGGACAGAGAACTTCCTTAAACTGTCAGAGTATCTATAGAAACTTTTCAGCCCACATCATACTTAGAAAAGTGAAATAGTAGCCGGGCATATTGGCTCACGCCTGTAATCCCAATATTTTGGGAGGCCGAAGTGGGCAGATCGCTTGAGCTCAGGAGACCAGCCTGGGCAAGATGGTGAAACCCCTTCTGTACAAAAAATACAAAAATTAGCCGGGTGCAGTGGCCTATGCCTGTAATTGCAGCTACTTGGGAGGCTGAGGTGGGAGGATCGCTTCAGCCCAAGAGGTTGAAGCTTCAGTGAGCCGGGAGATTGCACCACTGCACTCCAGCCAGGGCAAAGAGAGTGAGACAGTCTCAAAATAAATAAACAAAACTAAATATAATACATGTGAAAATACAAAGAGCTCAGAAGAGATAAGAGCATCTAACCTTTATTTCTTGAAAAAATTTCAAACCTACAAGAATGCTCAGAGAGTACTGCAAAAGAACACCTATAATCTTCACCTAGATTCAATTAACATTTTGTCACTTTTTAAAATTTTGAGACAGGGTCTCCCTCTGTCTCTGGCTGCAGTGCAGTGCTCCAATCATGGTTCACCGCAGCCTCTAATTCCTGCGCTGAAGCGATCCTCTCACCCTAGCCTCTGGTTAGGACTACAGATGTGGGCTGCCTAGCTAATTTTTTGAAAAATTCTTTTATAGAGAGGATAGGGGGAGGGGGAGTCTCACTACATTGTCCAGTCTACCCTCACATTCTCGAATTTCTGGACTCAAGCGATCTTCCTGCCTCAGCCTCACCAAAACGTGGGAATACAGGCGTGAGCCTCTGCGCCCAACCAATATTTGCCTTATCTCTTTTTTTTTTTTTTTTTTTTTGAGATGGAGTCTGGCTCTGTTGCCCAAGGTGGAGTGCAGTGGCGCGATCTCGGCTCACCGCAAGCTCCGCCTCCCGGGTTCACGCCATTGTCCTGCCTCCGCCTCCCAAGTAGCTGGGACTACAGGTCGCGCCCGTCACCACGCCCGGCTAATTGTTAGTATTTTTAGTAGAGACGGGGTTTCACCGTGTTAGCCAGGATGGTCTCGATCTCCTGACCTCGTGATCCACCCGCCTCGGCCTCCCAAAGTGCTGGGATTACAGGCTTGAACCGCGGCGCCCGGCCTTTTTTATTTTTATTTTTATTTTTTTATTTTTTATTTTTTAGAGAGGAGTTTTGCTCTTGTTTCCCAGGCTGGAGTGCAGTGGCGTGATATCGGCTCACTGCAACTTCCACCTCCCAGGTTCAAATGATTCCCTGACTCAGCCTCCTGAGCAGCTGGGAGTACAAGGGCCCGCCACCACGCCCGGCTACATGTTTTGTATTTTTAGTAGAGACCGGGGTTTCATCATGTTAGCCAGGCTGGTCTCAACCTCCTGACCTCAGTTGATCCTCCTGCCTCGGCCTCCCAAAGTGTTGGGATTACAGGCGTAAACTACCGCACCCGGCCCTTGCCTTGTTTCTAAATACACACAAGAATGTTAATCATAGCACCTAATAGCCCAAAAATTGGAAACAATCCCAAAAGCTATTATCAGCAGTATATATATATATATATATATATATATTTTTTTTTTTTTTTTTTTTGAGACAGAGTCTCGCTCTGTCGCCCAGGATGGAGTGCATTGGCGTGATCTCGGCTCACTGCAAGCTCCGCCTCCCGGGTTCACGCCATTCGCCTGCCTCAGCCTCCCGAGTAGCTGGGACTACAGGCGCCCGCCACCACGCCCAGCTAATTTTTTTTTGTATTTTTAGTAGAGATGGGGTTTCACCGTGTTAGCCAGGATGGTCTCGATCTCTTGACCTCGTGATCTGCCCGCCTCAGCCTCCCAAAGTGCTGGGATTACAGGCGTGAACCACCGCGCCCAGCCTATTCTTTCTTTAGAATAGATCAGTGGTGGCGTATTCATACAATGGACTATTCCGCAGTGATGAAAATGAATTATAGATATTTGCAAAAATATGAATTACATAAACCATATTGAGCAAAAGACGCCAACAGATACATACTCTCTTTACATAAGGTGTTAGATACACAGAGATAGATAAATACGTGTAAATGATAGAGATATGATAGCTAAGCCAGTCCACAGGTTATTAGTCGTGGTCCACGTGACTTCTGAAGAGATGAAGGGGCATGGGAGGCTTTAGGGGAGCTTCCGCTTTTCTGGCAAGGTTTTCTTTTTGCCCGGGGAGCTATCAGCCAGCGGAGAGATCTGTGAGAAGGGATAAGACCTCAAGACAAGTAGGAAGCAGAGCCTTCCACGGCCCGCGCCCTGGCGGCCCCAAGTCAGCGGCGGAGACGGCGCCCACCCCGCTCCAACGTGGAGCAGGAGCAACGGCGTGGCCCGTGGAGCCCCGCCCCTCACAGGCAACCACAGAGAAGCCGGACTGGGCCACGTCTAGGAAGAGGTAGGAAGGGATCGGCGCATCGTTTCTCCAATGGGAAAGGATGTGTTTGCGGGCCAATAAGTAGCCGAGAATAACACCCGCCCACGCGCCTGCCAAGCCAATCGGCTAGGAGCAGCGAGCGGCGCGGCTGAGGCGCGGCGGCCCCGTGGAGCAGCGCAGTATGGCGGGCGGGGCCCGGGAGGTGCTCACACTGCAGTTGGGACATTTTGCCGGTTTCGTGGGCGCGCACTGGTGGAACCAGCAGGTGAGGTCAGCCGGCAGCTGCCCCCGAGGAGCCCTTCGGGATCTACAGTCCCGACGTTCAGCCGGCCTGCCTCGTCCTCTCTGCTTCCCCAGGATGCTGCGCTGGGCCGAGCGACCGATTCCAAGGAGCCCCCGGGAGAGCTGTGCCCCGACGTCCTGTATCGTACGGGCCGGACGCTGCACGGCCAGGAGACCTACACGCCGCGACTCATCCTCATGGATCTGAAGGGTGAGGTGGTGGCAGAGTTAGCCGATGCCCCTTATTTCCCTTCCGCGTGCCTAGTCCTTGCGCTGCCGTTATCTTCAAGACCCTCCCACCTTACCGAGCTCCAGGACCGGAGATGAGGAGCTGAGCACAACATGCCAACACTCGAGGGGCCCACGACAGTTGCTCAAGAGCCATTTCGGGAATAGGCTGCTAGGCCCTGGAGACAGTGAGGACTTGAACTGCAGCACTCCTGTCAGACCCCTGGATGTGGTTCCCCCCGCGTCCCACAGCTAATGACTAAGCTGGGAACCGAAAGATGGAATCTAGATTCTCCTAAGCCAAGGTTTTTCCCCCAACTAGTGTATATCCCAGAAAGCTTGGAAGAGCCAAGTGCTGGAGAGATGGTGACAGCAGGTTGTCAGGTGATCAGAGGAAGGTTAGCTAGAGGGGAAGGGTGCCCAGGCTTTGACCTAACATTGTCTCTGTTATTTCTGTACAGGTAGTTTGAGCTCCCTAAAAGAGGAAGGTGGACTCTACAGGGACAAACAGTTGGATGCTGCAATAGCATGGTGTGTAACTGATGTATGGATAAGGGTGGGGATCGTGTATGTACGCAGAACGCTGGATAACTCTGATCAGAGTGCAGTTTCTTTGATCAATCTCCAAACTCTTTCAGGCAGGGGAAGCTCACCACACACAAAGAGGAACTCTATCCCAAGAACCCTTATCTCCAAGACTTTCTGAGTGCAGAGGTGAGGGCCTCTGTCCTGAACTTTTTAACCCGGTGCCACAACCCGAGGGTCTCCATAGGGGCAGGTAAACGGGGATTTTAATCATTTTAAGTGTCTTAGAATGATATTTTGGGAAAAAGCACTCCTTTTCCTAAGGACTGCGACTCGGTGAACAGAAAGGAGGCTATGCGGTGTGGCCAGCCAACTCAAGGAGGACGAAGCAACCTTTGCCTCTAAACTGCCTGGAACTAAATGTCGATTTTTCTGACCCCTCCCAGGGAGTGCTGAGTAGTGATGGTGTCTGGAGGGTCAAATCCATTCCCAATGGCAAAGGTGAGACTTCTCCAGATACTGATGGATGGGGGCTTGGGTAGAGCAGAAACATGGAGAAAGGTACATTTCCTCTGCTTGTCTTCAGGTTCCTCACCACTCCCCACCGCTACAACTCCAAAACCACTTATCCCTACAGAGGCCAGCATCAGGGTCTGGTCAGACTTCCTCAGAGTCCATCTCCATCCCCGGAGCATCTGTATGATTCAGAAGTACAACCACGATGGGTATGGGGACCCCAGAGGCTTTGAGGCAAGAAACATGGGTCCCCACCAATGCAGGATGAGGCTCTTGAGGCCATCTTCCCTGCCCTTCCCCAGGACAAGAGGCTGAGGAGTTGAGGGAAGAGATGTAAGTCTTGGATCATGTTTACTTGTGGCAGGGAAGCAGGTCGGCTGGAGGCTTTTGGCCAAGGGGAAAGTGTCCTAAAGGAACCCAAGTACCAGGAAGAGCTGGAGGACAGGCTGCATTTCTACGTGGAGGAATGTGACTACTTGCAGGTAGTGGCGTGGCAATGTGCACTCCAGGGTGGAAGCTCTTCTCATCCTGCTAACTATCTTTTGTCACTCACCCCCGTCCAGGGCTTCCAGATCCTGTGTGACCTGCACGATGGCTTCTCTGGGGTAGGCGCGAAGGCGGCAGAGCTGCTACAAGATGAATATTCAGGGCGGGGAATAATAACCTGGGGCCTGCTACCTGGTCCCTACCATCGTGGGGTGAGTGGAACTTAGAGAAGTAAACAGTCACACAGTGGGGAGGGAGAAATCAGAATCCCAGTGGGAGAGCTGCTTAATACAAACTACTCTTTCTTCACCAGGAGGCCCAGAGAAACATCTATCGTCTATTAAACACAGCTTTTGGTCTCGTGCACCTGACTGCTCACAGCTCTCTTGTCTGCCCCTTGTCCTTGGGTGGGAGCCTGGGCCTGCGACCCGAGCCACCTGTCAGCTTCCCTTACCTGCATTATGATGTAAGTCTCGGTGCTCTTGTTCTGACTGCGGCAGGCTACAGGGCCTCCTCATGCTCCCAGTCAGCCGCTGTCTGTTACTGGCTCTGTTCTTGAGGCCCGAGCTTGAACTCAGCTGTGATGTGGCCTCTCAGATCACACTGTCCTATGCTTGTCCAGCCTGGGGTCAAACATACCCCTGATTCGTCCCCTGGGTCTCTCTGGTGTTAATATTCTGCCTCCACACATTCTTTTCCAGGCCTGAGGCCAAGTGCCCATCTTGGTGTCTTCTTACAGGCCACTCTGCCCTTCCACTGCAGTGCCATCCTGGCTACAGCCCTGGACACAGTCACTGTTCCTTATCGCCTGTGTTCCTCTCCAGTTTCCATGGTTCATCTGGCTGACATGCTGAGCTTCTGTGGGAAAAAGGTATGAAGCTTTGTAAGGGGTTGGGTCAGTGCTGAGAAAATGTCCTATAACGTGTTCTCTTCCATCTCTTTAGGTGGTGACAGCAGGAGCAATCATCCCTTTCCCCTTGGCTCCAGGCCAGTCCCTTCCTGATTCCCTGATGCAGTTTGGAGGAGCCACCCCATGGACCCCACTGTCTGCATGTGGGGAGCCTTCTGGAACACGTTGCTTTGCCCAGTCAGTGGTGCTGAGGGGTATAGACAGAGCATGCCACACAAGGTGAGAGCTGTTGGTCCTTAGGAGTCCTTGTCAGATTTTTGTCTCATATCCATCTTCCCCTAATTTCTCTGGGGCATTCTAATGATACTGTTCCCTCCCCACCCCTTAAAAAGGAAAAAAAAAAGGGCTTTGAATATCTTGATCCAGCTGATGGCCTGAGAACATAAGAATTCTGTTTCTTATTCATGCAGCCACAGACTAATGGTGGTTTTGGCTTTGTTCTGGCAGCCAGCTCACCCCAGGGACACCTCCACCCTCTGCCCTTCATGCATGTACCACTGGGGAAGAAATCTTGGCTCAGTATTTACAACAGCAGCAGCCTGGAGTCATGAGGTCAGTGTAACGGTTGCTCCTGCCCTTCTTGCCAACCGCAACCCTCCCTTGACTTCTTACGCACTTAATGGCTGTTCTCTGCCCCCACAGTTCTTCCCATCTGCTGCTGACTCCCTGCAGGGTGGCTCCTCCTTACCCCCACCTCTTCTCAAGCTGCAGTCCACCGGGTATGGTTCTGGATGGTTCCCCCAAGGGAGCAGGTATGTAGGAGGTGAAGAAAACTGAGATTTCAAGTATGGGAGAGTTTTTACTATCTCCATTCCTGGATTAAAAGTGCTGAAAAAGTCCACAGTTAAACATTCCTTTATTCACCCTATGGCTCCCAAGAAAAGCATTCTTCCTCTGGAGTACTGGTGTACTAAGGGGACAATACACCAAATTTGTTGAGTTTACAATCAAGTCTACTAAGGTTGGACTTCCTTATCAGTTTGGCAGAGTCCCAGGGCAGAATAATCATCCATCTACAGGTCTCTGTTTCCTCTCCCTCCACAGCAGTGGAGAGCATCCCAGTGTTTGGGGCACTGTGTTCCTCTTCGTCCCTGCACCAGACCCTGGAAGCCTTGGCCAGAGACCTCACCAAACTCGACTTGCGGCGCTGGGCCAGCTTCATGGATGCTGGAGTGGAGCACGATGACGTAGCAGAGCTGCTGCAGGAGCTACAAAGCCTGGCCCAGTGCTACCAGGGTGGTGACAGCCTCGTGGACTAAAGTTCCCAGTGTGGGAGAAAGGAGCTAGTTTGCAATAAAAACAGCTGGATGCAGGAGCCCAGTGTCTTCATGCAGAGGAGCTCAATGTCGCGGGACTAGCTACACCAACATATGCACTTTTTACATTTAGAAACACTGTGATTAGACCACAGAACAATAAATATGTGCCATCAGACCAAAAAAAAGTAGAGAAAGGAGCTGAACTCCACTCTCGATGCTACTTACAGAGGACATCTGTAAAGTCTTCATAAAAGACCTTGAATGATGCCTAGGATGGCAGAGCCCCTGGGTCCTACTCCATCCTCCAGCCTTTGTCCTTGTCCTGGCCTCCTGCTCTCCAGATCTGTAAACTGGGCTCAAGGACTGTACAAGCAGAGTACAACTACCCGCCTCCCCGGTGCCAGGGCGCCTGTTGGGTTTGGTCCTGTGTAGATGATTCCCAGAGTCTCATTCATCCAGCTCCTCTTCAGACAGAAGGTCCCCATGGTCAGACAGCTGGTCTGCATTGCTGGTACTGGTTGCATCATCCTCATCCTCAGAGCTGGCTTCACAGGCAGTGTGGAAGAGCTGCATGAGTTCTCGAAAATGGTGGGAAACCTAAGAAAGGAGGAGGGCTGTATTCACTGATCCTTAGTAACATGTTAACATTTATGAAGCACTATATATTGATTTGCAAAATCTTTTGTTTATTCCACACAGCAAGGTTGAGAGAGCTATGTCACTATAGATAAGGAAACTCAAGAGGCTAAATGTTTTGCCCAAAGTCACACGACTCCTAAAAACAAAACTAGAATGGCCGGGCACAGTGGCTCACACCTGTAATCCCAGCACTTTGGGAGGCCGAGGCAGGTAGATCACTTGAGGTCAGGAGTTCGAGACCAGCCTGGCCAACATGGTGAAGCCCTATCTCTACTAAAAATAGAAAAATTGGCTGGGTGGTGGGCACCTGTAATCCCAGCCACTCGAGAGGCTGAGGCAGGAGAATTGCTTGAACCTGGGACGTGGAGGTTGCAGTGAGCCACGATCATGCCACTGCACTCCAGCCTGGGCGACAGAGCAAGACTCTGGCTCAAAAAAAAAAAAAAAGCTAGAATGGAAACGGGCTTCCACCTAAAAATGCAGTGTCCTTTCTCTTCTCCTAGAACCACTACCACCCTGATGAGTCAAGCCTTTCCTTAGATCAAACCTTTACAAAAACCACTTATCTTGGATATGAAAACTCCTTCTTTGGCCTTTCTGTCTCTTAGTTGGCCACCTTGACCTCTTTTTGCCAGGTCTTCACCCCAACCCGCACCTACCTCAGCAGGGGTCTTATTTCCCAGCTGCTGGGAGATGATGCTGAAGGTCTGTGGCTGTGCCCCTTGCTCCTGGCACATGGTGAGGATCACACGGTCAGCTTCCCTGTAACCCAGGTATCATGATTAACCCTAGGGAGCCACATGGATGTGGTCTATGCTCTTTTCCAAACACACATCATCCACCCTTACCTACCTTGTCCACAGGACAACCTTTTCCCCAGTGGAGCTGACCTTGCTGTTATTGGCACACACCGTAGCTTCTGTGGCCTTTGGCTGCTGTTCCCCCTCTGGACCCTTGCCCTGTGTTCCACTGTCTTTAGCCAAACCCCCTCTAGGGGCTTTGGGAGAAGTCTCTGAGGTGTCAATTCCTGATGGAGATTCATGGACAGGGCACGTCCTGTCTCTTGTCTTCACCCTAGCTCTGCTTGAGGGCAGCCATCTCTCTTGAGTGTCTGGTTTCCCGGACACATGTCTTCTCCCTGCATCTCTGGTCTTTGAGGAAACAGGACTCAGGAAGGAAGCAGGGGGTTCCACGGTACCAGGCAATTTCTCAGTTTCTGATGCATCCCAGACCAGCATCAAAGCCTCTGACTCACTCACTGCCTTTTGGCCCTCCCTCTCTTTCTGAAGTCTGGGGGATGCCTTGGGGCAGGAGCGAACCTCAGGCCCAACCTGGTTTCTCTTAACAGTGTACAGTACAGCTCCAGTTGTGGGGGGAAATTGAGGAGTCTCTGGTGAATGAGGTGGTGGGCCATCCAGGAGGAGCCGTTCTGTAAGAGTCACTTCTCGAGGGGATGGCAAAGTGCCCCCCACTGCCAATCCTGCTTAGGAGGAAAATAAGGATCCCAGGGTACTGTGAGGATCAAGATGCACCTAAGCACGAGAAATTACCTGTGGCCAGGTACTGTGCAAAAATTCTAATAAAAAAGAGTGCTGGGCATGGTGGCTCACACCTATAACGTCCGCACTTTGGGAAGCCAAAGTGGTGGGACTGCCAGGAGTTTGAGACTAGCCTGGGCAATATGGTGAGACCCCATCTCTGCAAGAAAATATAAATAATAAAGGAGTTGGGTGGAGATGGTGGGCATAATGTCACTTATGCAAAGATATAAAGTCCTACTGCCAAAGCTGAGAACGGCCCAGTCTTTAGGATGTAGATTACACTAGATTTAGAGATGGGGGAAGGGTTTTAGGAATAAAACACAAGACAATGTTGAATCATGTGAAATTTGTAGCACTTTTTTTTTTTTTTTTGAGAGATTTTTGGTCTTGTTGCCCAGGCTGGAGTACAGTAGCGTGATCTCAGGTCATGGCAACCTCCGCCTCCGGGGTTCAAGGGATTCTCCTGCCTCAGCCTCCCAAGTAGGTGGGATTATAGGTGCCCACCACCGGGCCCAGCTATTTTTTTTTTTTTTTGTATTTTTAATAGAGATGGGGTTTCACCATGTTGGCCAGGCTGGTCTTGAATTCCTGACCTCAGGTGATCCACCCACCTCGGCCTCCCAAAGTGTTGGGATTACAGGCGTGAGCCACTGCGCCCGGCCACACACTCTTAATTCTGCAAGAGGAGTGAGGCCATAGGATAGAAAAAGCCTGAACAGGAGAAGGGCTTCTTATGGGTCCATCAGTGAAAGAGGTGGTATGTCCATCCCTGAAAAGGGTGTTATTTATCCAGGCTCATGGAGGTTCCTGTCTGGGGTATAGAAGAACGAGACTGAAAAACAGAAGGGCTGGGTTGGCAGATCACTCACCTGAAATAGGCATCTCTCTTTCTGGTGGTCCTGACAGTCCTGTTCTGGGTGGCTTCATGGGGCTCCTTGCTCTTGTAGGATTTGCTGTCACAGACCCACAGGGATGATCTTCTGGGTCAAAGGTGTCCTGACCGCCTATGCCTTTGGGGCCCACCAAAGGAAGAAGCCCTGCCTGATGCTCACCAAGTCAACCCACATGCATATCTGCTCCAACAATTTTGTTTTTTTAAGAGAAAGGGTTTCAGTTGGGTGCAATGGTACATGCCTGTAAACCCAGCTACTTGGGAGGCTGAGGTGTGAGGATCACTTGAGCCCAAGGGTTCAAGATCAGCCTGGGCAACATAGCGAGACCCTGTCTCAAAAAGAAACAAACAAAAAGAGGCCAGGTGTGGTGGCTTACACCTGTAATCCCAGTACTTTGGAGGCCGAGGGCAGGGATCACTTGAGGTCAGGAGTTCCAGATTAGCCTAGTGAACATGGTGAAACCCCATCTCTACTAAAAATACAAAAATTAGCGGAATGTTGTGGCGGGGGCCTGTAGTCTCAGCTACTTGGGAAGCTGAGGCATGAGAATTGCTTGAACCCAGGAGGCAGAGGTTACAGTGAGCTGAGATTGTGCCACTACACTCCAGGCTGGACGAAAGTGAGACTCCACCTCAAAAAAAAAAAAAAAAAGAGACAAGGTCTCACAGATAACACAAATTATCTTGCCCAGGTTGGAGTGCAGTGCCTGTTTACACAGGTATGACCATAGTGGTACACTATAGCCTCAGACTCCTGGGCTCAAGTAGTGATCTTCTGGTGTGAGCCTCCTGAGTGCCCCTTTGCCTAGCTACTGCTCCAAAGATTTTATTTTGTTTTATTTATTTATGTATTTATTTATATATTTATTTTTTTAGCTGGAGTTTCGCTCATGTTGCACAGGCTGGAGTGCAACGGTGCGATCTCCACTCACCGCAACCTCTGCCTCCCAGGTTCAAGCGATTCTCCTGCCTCAGCCTCCCGAGTAGCTGGGATTACAGGCATGCACCACCATGCCCAGCTAATTTTGTATTTTTAATAGAGACAGGGTTTCTCCATGTTGTTCAGGCTGGTCTCCAACTCCCAACCTCAGGTGATCTGCCTCCCAAAGTGTTCAGATTACAGGTGTGAGCCACCACATCCGGCCAGGGGAAGGGTATTAATACTGGATTTGATTCCTAATGATTCCACTCTCCACTCCACCCTACTGATCTCCAGCTAGGGCACTATTCCAAGCAGAGCAAGGAGGTAAGGCCCCTCCCAGGTCCCAGAACCTCCTTCGCTGAACATCCCTTCCAGCACATCCATGGCATTCCTGAGCCTGTGAAGATCAGACAGGCTCCGGTTTCAGGTAGCAATCCCTCCCTATCCCAGTGCTTTATGCTTTGGGTGAGCCTGAAAAGTCCTTGCCTTTTTCATCTCCTCCAGGAAGCCCATGAGCCTCCAGAGGCAAAAAGGTATGGAGTAGGTTGGGGAAAGAGACAAGGGAAAGGCCTAAGGCCCGGAAGACAACAGGAAGAAAGCAGGACAGGAAAGAATACCTCGGTGATCTCCTGGGGAAGGCAGTCTGCACAGCCTTGGAGGACCTTGATAATCTTCTGGTGGTGTGAGGGGTTCTCTGCAAAGCAAATCTCCAGCTGCCGAAGGAACTTGCGGCTCTTCTCAAAAGCCTGCTGCTCCTCAAACTACCAGAGTGGAAAGTGGGCAAAAGAGGAGTCATGATACAGCTAGAGCAGGACTTGAGGGTTCTAAGGATAAGAACTAGTGGACTAGGACACAAGAGATGACAGAACCCTGGTTTAAAATTCTAGTTTACAACTATTGAGATCTAATTTAAAACCCTAACCTCCATCCACCTTGGGCCACTGGTGGGTAGCCACCCAAAGCAATTAAGATGTGAGCAACAGCTTCAAGAGATGTATATATTTCATGTTGTTTGCTGTATTATGGATGTGAAATGAGACACTCAAACTCATGTAATACTTTAGAGCTTACATTACGAAGAATTTTCAGGCCTTGCAAGGTGGCTCATGCCTGTAATCCCACCATTTGGGAGGCCAAAGCAGGAGGATCGTTTAAAGCCAGGAGTTTAGCCGGGTGCGGTGGCTCATGCCTGTAATCCCAGCACTTTGAGAGGCCAAGGTGGGTGGATCATGAGGTCAGTGGTTCGAGACCAGCCTGGCCAAGATGGTGAAACCCCGTCTCTACTAAAAAATACAAAAAAATTAGCTGGGCGCGGTGGCAGGTGCCTGTAATCCCAGCTACTCAGAAGGCTGGGGCAGGAGAATCACTTGAACCCGAGAGGTGGAGGTTGCAGTGAGCTGAGATCACACCACTGCACTCTAGCCTGGGTGACAGAGCAAGACTCCATCTCAAAAAAAAAAAAAAAAAAGCCAGGAGTTCAAGACCAGCGTGGGCAACATAGCGAGACTCCATCTCTACAAAAAAACTTAAAAATTAGGCAGATGTTGTGGTGTGCACCTGTAGCCCCAGCTATTTGGGAGGCTGAGTCAGGAGGATCCCTGGGGCCTGTGTTGCCCAGGCTGGTCTCAAACTCCTGGCTACAAGGGATTCTCCCACCTCAGCCTCCTGGAGTGCTGGGATTACAGGTGTGAGCCACGTGCATGGCCGAGACACTGTCTCTCTCTTTTTTTTTGGGGGGGGGGGGACAAGTTCTTGCCCTTGTCACCCAGGCTGGAGTGTTAGTGGAGGAATCATGGCTCAGTGAAGCCTCAATCTCCCAGGCTCAAGCAGTCTTCCCACCTCAGCCTCCCAAGTAGCTGGGACCACAGGTGTGCACCACCACACTCAGCTAATCTTTTTATTTTTTGTAGAGGCGGGGTTTTGCTATGTTGTCCAGGCTGGCCTTGAAACCCTGAGCTCAAGCCATCCATCGGCCTTGGCCTCCCAAAATGCTGGGATTTCAGGTGTGAGCCAAAATACCCGGCTGACATTATCTCTTTATTTTTATTTTGTTATTTTTTATTTATTTTTTTGACATGGAATCTCACTCTTGTTGCCCAGGCTGGGGTGCAGTGGCACGATCTTGGCTCACTGCAACCTCTGCCTCTAGGGTTCAAGCGATTCTTCTGCCTCAGCCCCCCTAATAGTTGGGATTACAGGCACATGCTACCATGCCCGGCTAATTTTTGTATTTTTAGTAGAGACGGGGTTTCACCATGTTGGCCAGGCTGATCTCGAACTCCTGACCTCAGGTAATCTACCCACCTTGGCCTCCCAAAATGCTGGGATTACAGGCGTGAGCCACCACGCCTGGCCTATTTTTTTATTTTTTATTTTGAGATGGAGCCTATCTCAGCTCACTGCAACCTCCGCCTCCTTGGTTCAAGCGATCCTCCTGCCTCAGCCCTGCTAGTAGCTGGGATTACAGGCACATGCCACCATACCTGGCTAATTTTTGAATTTTTAGTAGAGATGGGGTTCCGCCATGTTGGCCAGGCTGGTCTCAAACTTCTGACCTCAGGTTATCCACCCGCCTTGGCCTTTCAAAATGCTGGGATTACAGGCATGAGCCACCGCGCGTGGCCTATTTTTTTATTTTTTATTTTGAGATGGAGCTGATCTCGGCTCACCGCAACCTTTGCCTCCTGGGTTCAAGCAATTCTCCTGCCGCAGCCTCCCAAGTAGCTGGGATTACAGGCACCCACCACCATGCTGAGCTAATTATCTCTTTTTTTTTTTTTTTCTGAGACAGAGTCTCACTCTGTTGCCCAGCCTGGCGTGCAGTGGCACAATCTTGGCTCATTGCAACCTCCACTGGGTTCAAGTGATTCTTCTGCCTCAGCCTCCTGAGTAAATGGGATTACAGGCATGTGCCAACACACTCGGCTAATTTCGTATTTTTAGTAGAGATGGGGTTTCACCATGTTGGCCAAACTGGTCTTGAACTCCTGACCTCAAGTGATCCACCTGCCTCGGCCTCCCAAAGTCCTTGGATTACAGATGTGAGCCACCACACCCAGCCTTAATTATCTCTCTCTCTTTTTTTAATCCTGTTTACCTCTCTTCGGATGCTCTAGGGGCCCTCTGTAGCTGTAGCATTCAAAAGCCAGGGGTCAGGAAAGAGAATCTTGCAACTGAAATTTGATTTTGGGAAGCCTGTTGAATATGTTACAGGTTTTTGTTTTTGTTTGTTTTTGAGACAGAGTTTTGCTCTTGTTGCCCAGGCTGAAGTGCTGTGGCACAATCTCGGCTCACTGCACCCTCTGCCTTCCAGGCTCAATCTATTCTCCTGCCTCAGCCTCTTGAGTAGCTGGGATTACAGGCATGCGCCACCACGCCCAGCTAATTTTGTATTTTTAGTAGAGACAGGGTTTCCCCATGTTGGTCAGGCTGGTCTCCAACTCACGACCTCAGGTGATCCACCTGCCTCGGCCTCCCAAAGTGCTGGGATTATAGGCGTGAGCCACCATGACTGGCCCTTACAGGTTTAAAACTCTTGATATTATGAAATAGAATTTTAGATTACCATAAGTCATTTGTTTTGCCAAAAGGATGACTCAAAAATTTGAAAAAGCAAAATGCTTTGATTAGCCTTTACTATTACATAAAAATCCTGTTCAAGAGAGAAAGCCAAATTTTACCCTTGCATAAGTCTGCTATTAATGTTAACCCCAATTTTAATGAAATCCTATAGACAATTCTATTTAATCTTTTTTTTTTTTTTTTTTTTTGGCAGTGGCAAGATTTATTAAAGTGAAAGTAAAGTTTCCACATGGTGGAAGGGGACCTGAAAGGGCTGCCATTTTTGGCTTGGGTGTCTTATACTTATATCCCCTTATGACCCCTCCCCTTTTTCTTTTTCTGTCCTATAGAATTAGCTTATTTTCTATCCACTTGTGGGTAGGTGGGCATGATTGGTTAAAAACATCAGGCTGCAGCTAGAGCTTAAACTCCCTATATGATTGGTTGAAGGTTCAATCCCTTAGTTTGCAGCTATAACTCATTTTGGCTTAGGGGAAAGTTCCCTTAGGGAAGTCCCTATTGACCCAGGAAGTCCAGCCAACTTAGCCACTTAGTCCCTCAGTCCCTCCTCTCAAAAGGAAAGCCCAAGTGCCGTTGGGAAGTTGGGCAACAATCATTCTAGCTACTTCCTGCTGAGCTGGGGTGTAGAAGGGGCTCTGCAGTTGAGCCTTCCTCAGGAGGGGAGTCTTCAGTGTCATGGTGCAAGAACAGATTGGTGGGTCAGTCTAGGGGTCCTCGATAGCAGGTGCTAGTGGTGGTCATTTGGGGCTCCATCTGTAGAATCATTTGCAGTTTCATGGATTCTATTCTGGAAGAGACAAATTTTACAAGGAGGTTAAAAATGCAGGGTCCAGAGATAAGCAACATCACAATAGCCACCAAGGGTCCCAAGAAGGGGAGAAACCAGGGCATCCATTGGTTGACAATACTCCAAAGTCCTGTGTCTTGGAGCTCTTGTGCCTGGCACTGTATCTGGTCTCGAAGCTCCTTAACCTTTTTTGGTGACAATTCTGTATTGATTAACAAAATAGTAACACTCTTCTCCTAGAAAAAGACAGGTTCCACTTCTTTCAGCTGTTAATAAATTTAAGGCTTTCCAATTCTGGAGGGCTACTGCTGCTAAAGAGTTAAGCTAGCTTTGTAAGGTGACCAGTGAATCTGCAACTCGTTCCATGTCATCATTTAACTCTTGTGATAATTTGTAATATGTTGGGGTGATCAGACCCAACACCAGGCTGTGGGGGCTACGAAGTCCGGCGGAGTCAAAGGAATGAGATAAGTTAAGAGTGCAAGAAGTGGGACCAGGGGGTCAATGCTAGTATGGAGGCTGTGAAGGCCCTGAGCTCTTGAAGCCTGCACTATTTATTGGTGATCAAACAAAGAAGCAGGTGGTGAGGATGTGGGGGTTCAAAGAAAGCAGTGTATCAAGTGTGTGATCTACAGCTGTGACAGTTTAGCATTTTCTTTGAAGCATATGGAACATGTTCTGCTACTTGAGATAATGGGGAACATGTTCTTCTAGTTTAAGACACAATCGATCTATGAGCCTGGGAGGGCTAGAAACAAGGAGCCAGCAAATCTAGACACATTCCAGAGGCCACAAGGGGTTTTATGCCCTGAGCCCTGGATTCCATTCAAGCCATGAGGGGTTTTATGCCCTTGGCTTAGAGTGTGGTGCAGCAGGGCAGCCTTTCACCCTTTGGCACAGAGCTTGGTGTTCCAAAGGCCACAAGGGGTTTTAGACCCTGGACCCTGGACCCTGGACCTGTTCTAAGACTCTTTTACATTATATCAGACATGCAAGCCCTGCCTCAGCTTTTTCCCCAACACTCAGCTTTTTTCCCAACACTCAGCTTTTCCCCAACAGTAAGAGAATTGGGTGGAGGTGGTAATGCCTCCAATGCCAGTTCCTAGACCTCCTAGTATCCTAGCCCTGAAAATGAATGGCAGGATAGTCGAGGTATGCTGAGATGCTGGGTTTGACAGATCTTTAAAGGCAAATAAAAATTGCGAGTTAGGATGCAGAGGGATGCAGAAGAAAGCGTCCATAAGATCTAGGACTGTAAACCATTCTGCTTCCTCTGGTATCTGGGAGAGTAGAGTATAAGGATTAGGTACAACTGGATTGTTGGGAACAAGCCCCTCCAAATCTGGTCATAAACTGGCCCCAAAACTGGCCATAAACAAAATATCTGCAGCACTGTGACATGTTCATGATGGCAATAAAGCCCATGCTGGAAGGTTGTGGGTTTACCGGAATGAGGGCAAGGAATACCTGGCCCACCCAGGGCAGAAAACCACTTAAAGGCATTCTTAAGCCACAAACAATAGCATGAGTGATCTGTGCCTTAAGGACATGCTCCTGCTGCAGTTAACTAGCCCAACCTATTCCTTTAATTTGGCACATCCCTTCATTTCCCATAAGGGATACTTTTAGTTAATTTAATATCTGTAGAAACAATGCTGATGACTGGCTTGCTGTTAATAAATACGTGGGTAAATCTCTGTTCAGGGCTCTCAGCTCTGAAGGCTGTGAGACCCCTGATTTCCCACTTCACACCTCTATATTCTGTATGTGTGTCTTTAATTCCTCTAGTGCTGCTGGGTTAGGGTCTCCCTGACCAAGCTGGTCCTGGCACTGGATACAGGGGAACAACTGCCTCAATGATAATTCAGAGGTCTTTCACTAACCTCCACTGTCTGTTGGGTTTTTGTATGCCTAGAATAGGACTGTTGCCTGGACTGTTGCATGGCTTTACTAATCTCTGTGCTTGTAGGTCTTTGACAATCTTTTGTAACCCTTGTTGGGCTTCTGGTCAGAGGGGGTACTGCTTTGATAAGGAAAGAAAGTAGGATCCTTTAATTTAACTTGAACTGGACAAGCATTTTTTGCTTGTCCATACTGCTCTTGCTCTTCCTCTGCCCAGACTTCAGGATTAACTCCCTCCTTGAGTAGGGCAGCAAACAGGTATTCCTTCTCCTATATTCAAGTATATAATGGCCCCTGCTTTAGCTAATATGTCTCTCCCTAGTAAAGGAGTAGGGCTCTCAGGCATAATAAGAAAGGCATGTGAGAATAATAAGGTTCCCCAGTCACAATTTAGGGGGTGGGAGAAATACCTAGTGACTGAGTGTCCTAAGACCCCTTTGATGGTGAAAGACCTGGAGGATAGTTGTCTGGGACAGAAGAGTAAAACTGACAGGGCCACGCCATTGTCCAGGAGGAAGTTAGTTTCCTGGTCCTCACTGGTTAAGCTTACCTGGGGCTCTGTGATGGTGATGGCATTGGGCTGGTGCCTGCCCTGGGCACCCTCAGTCTTGTTGGACCATCTGGTTAGTGGCCTCTGGCCCAGAGGACCTTCACCCTAAGGGGCAGTGTGCCTTCCAGGGATCTCCCTGGCACAAGGGACATGGACAAGGGGGTGGCTTATTGTTGTTTGGGCAGTCCTTTTTGAAGTGACCCTGTAAGCCACACTGATAACAAGCCCGGTTAGGTGGGTTGCCTGCCCAGCCTTTCTTTCTTTCAGAGCCACTGAAGCTCGTCTGCCTGAGAGCCATGACTAAGGTGGCAGCCTTTTTCTTGTCTCGTCTGTCTCGTTCAGCCTGCTCCTCCTGATCCCTATTATAAAACAACAAATTTGCCAAATTTAATAGAGTTTCCAAATTTTGCTCGGAGCCCAGGGCAGACTTTTGAAGTTTTTTTCTAATGTCTGCAGCTGACTGAGTGATAAACTTATCCTTTAAAATTAGCTGGCCTTCAATAGAGTCAGGTGACAAAGAGGTATGTTTTCTTAATGCCTCCCTTAGCCTCTCTAAAAATGCCGTAGGGTTTTCTTCCTTTCCCTGTGTTATGGTGGACATAATTGAGTAATTCATTGGCTTTTTTCTGGTCTTTCTTAATCCCTCTAGTATACAAGTCAGTAAACGCCTGTGACTCCAGTCTCCATGCTCCGAATCGAGGTCCCAGTGGGGATCCACACTGGGAACTGCCTATTGGCCTGTGGTGAATTGTTCCCTTTCTTCTGATGTCGTTTTATCATTTACCTGGCTTAGGTACCAGAGATCCCCAAACTCCTGGGCCGCAGCTAAGGTGGCCTCTTTTTTGTTAGGAGTTAATGTTTGACCTAAAAACAACAGAATATCTCTCCATGCTAAATCAAAAGATTGTCCTAATCCCTGTAAGACGTCTACATATCCATCAGGTTATCTGAGAATTTTCCTAGGTCCAGTTTGATCTGTTTTAAGCCTGAGAGGGAAAAGGGGACATGTACTTGTGCTGAGCCAAAGTCTCCTCCTCCCACGGCTTGGAGGGGGCACAATCAAGGTCCATTGGTGCCTTTTGGTTCCTTGACTATCTTTTTGTCTGGTTCCTTTTGGGCTGATAAGGCCAAAGGAGAGTCCTTACTAGTGGGATGGGGAGCCATGGGGAGACCTGGGTATGGGGATAGGCTTTGAGGACCCCTGGTAGGATGTAAATTACATTTTTTACATAATTGTGGGTTATCCCTTAGTGAGAAAAAAAACCTGTAGATATGGCACTTCACTCCATTTGCCCTCTCGTTTACAAAAGAGATCTAGCTGTAGGATGGTATTATAGTTTACACTTCCCTCGGGTGGCCATGTCTCTCCTCTGGAAAGAGGATACTGTGGCCAGGTGGTGCTGCATAAAAATATAAGTCACTTCTTCAGCATTTGAGGGTCAAATTGGTCCCAATTATCCAGAATACACCTCAGGAGTGGCTTCACTTTTGAAGGAATGTCTCCCATCTGAAAGGAGAACATAGGAGTGCCCGCACCTCTAGTCATCCCCTAGTGAGCACTAGCCCTAGGGCATCCCTGTAGGGGTGGGTTGCCCCTACACACCTGTGGGTGTTTCTCGTAAGGTGGGACGAGAGATTTGGAAAAGAAAAAGACACAGAGACAAAGTATAGAGAAAGAAATAAGGGGACCCGGGGAACCAGCGTTCAGCATATGGAGGATCCCGCCAGCCTCTGAGTTCCCTTAGTATTTATTGATCATCTGTGGGTGTTTCTCAAAGAGGGGGATGTGTCAGGGTCACAAGACAATTGTGGGGAGAGGGTCAGCAGACAAACACGTGAACAAAGGTCTTGGCATCATAGACAATGTAAAGGATTAAGTGCTGTGCTTTTGGATATGCATACACATAAACATCTCAGTGCTTTACAAAGCAGTATTGCTGCCCGCAGGTCCCACCTCCAGCCCTAAGGCGGTTTTTCCCTATCTCAGTAGATGGAGCATACAATCGGGTTTTATACCGAGACATTCCATTGCCCAGGGACAGGCAGGAGACAGATGCCTTCCTCTTGTCTCAACTGCAAGAGGCATTCCTTCCTCTTATACTAATCCTCCTCAGCACAGACCCTTTACGGGTGTCGGGCTGGGGGACGGTCAGGTCTTTCCCTTCCCACGAGGCCATATTTCAGACTATCACATGGGGAGAAACCTTGGACAATACCTGGCTTTCCTAGGCAGAGGTCCCTGCGGCCTTCCGCAGTTTTTGTGTCCCTGGGTACTTGAGATTAGGGAGTGGTGATGACTCTTAAGGAGCATGCTGCCTTCAAGCATCTGTTTAACAAAGCACATCCTGCACCGCCCTTAATCCATTCAACCCTGAGTTGACACAGCACACGTTTCAGAGAGCACGGGGTTGGGGGTAAGGTCATAGATTAACAGAATCTCAAGGCAGAAGAATTTTTCTTAACACATAACAAAATGGAGTCTCCCATGTCTACTTCTTTCTACACAGACACAGTAACAATCTGATCTCTCTTGCTTTTCCCCACATTTCCCCCTTTTCTTTTCGACAAAACCGCCATCGTCATCATGGCCCGTTCTCGATGGTCGCTGTCTCTTCGGAGCTGTTGGGTACACCTGCAGACTAACAACAGACAAAACAGGCACACAAGGATTAATATGAGATTTATAATCGTAGTACTTCCAATGGTCTTAACCCAAGTGACAGGGTTAAGATTTGCGAGGCCATCAGCAACTCCTGCAATTGCCTCAGTTCCTGGCACCAAATTTAAATGGGCTTTTGATGCTTCGAAAATTTGTTCTTTTAATTTGGAAATGTCTAAAGTGAGATTATCTTCTCTTCCCTGTAGATGGCGTCTAACCATGTCCCAGTGATGCTCAGACTCATTATAAATTTGGGGTGTAATACAAAAATCTGACGTATTCCAGTCACATTGTAACTGGAAACGATGTTCTAAGCTCATGAGTCTGTCTCCCATCCAAATGACAGTTTGTCTAAGATCATTAATTTGATTTGCCAATTTTTGATCAATACTAGATTGTGAATTCCACAATCTTGTAGAATTCTTTTGCCAATCATTAACAAAGTTTACTGACTGAACAGAAGAGTGCAATGCAACTCCTGCTACAGCAGCCGTAGCTGTGACTGCAATTAATCCCATAATCACTGCAATTAAAGTAAAAATGAATCTTTTGGATCTATTTAAAACACCTTTTAATACTTCAGTCAAAATATGGACGGATGGTGAGGCCTCCCATGGTCGGTCCATGGACACAGGGATCCACACGCCCTCTCTTGCTCTCACCAGCAGAATACGGTGTTGCCAATTAAAAGTTGAATCAATGCAAGTAAGCAATCTACAATTTTCACAGGTTATAGTCTGGGAGTCTGGTTTAATAACTATATTTCCTACAACTAGCATATAAGGGGGCTTTACGCAACTTTGTAAAGGAACTGTTAGACTGGAATTTAGGTCGATAGTATAAAATGGCTTACAATCTCTTGTTTCTAAAGTTTGATTTCCAGACCAAATTCTAATGTGGTGTGAGGCCACAGTAAGCCTCCATAATTCTGGATGTTCAGGACCAGAAACAGGACTTACTATTTTTGGTCTTGGGGTAGAGATTCCTTTTTCTCCCCATTCCCAAGGGTAGAAAGACTGCAATTTTTTATGCTTATGTTTGTCTAAACTTTCTGTTAAGTCGCTATCAACAGCTGGACTCACTTGTGCACTTGGACACGACTGAGTTTGTCCTGAGCAATTGTGGTAGAATTGACCTCGAGGTGCCCAATCTATAATAGTTCCAAATTCATTGTTTTGTAATATCACCGCACTATTGGCCACACATTCTTCCCAAACTAAAACTTCTGTATTTTTTGATTCTTTGGGAATTTCCTTGGGGCAAGGTTTCCCTTTAGGTCTAAATTTTAATGATCTTTGATAAGAAAAGTCTTGTAAATAATTTACCCGTGGCCTGAGTGACATCCCGCTTACCATGTGATAAGTGAATCTACTGATGGGACTGACAGTAGGTACTTCTACCAACCAATTTTGGACTGCAGGCATTAAACATCCTGGTGCTCTCCCTAGGCAAATAGGAGGATAACGATACCCAATGGAAATATTTATCATCATCCCTTCTTCCTCAGGTTTGGCAGGGCAGCGATCATCTATGGGGCCAGGTACCCATACACTATCATTAACATATATTTCTATAGGATTATCCATCCATGTGACTGGTGTTACCATCTCCGTGGAGGCCCTTTTCTTTGCATCTCCAATGGGTTCATTGTAGAACTTCAAATGTCTAGTGGGTATCCAAACAGGAAGCTGATTTTCTCCTGGTGAAACACAAGCAAAACCTCTCCCCCACGTTATCACCTTCCCTATTTCCCATGTCTTATTTTTATTATCTTTCCACCAAATTAGTTTTCCTTCATGTGGGCTGTTCTTTTTACCAGTAAGATGTTGTTCTGCAGAAGTAGTAGTCTGATTTCTATAAATGTTTAAAAAATTTAAAGTATAGAGTGCTAGATTAAGTTGCATCTGAGGAGTGGTACACTCCTTACTGTCTCCCCCTTCTTTTTGTTTAACTAATTGAGTTTTGAGTGTTCTATTAGTTCTTTCAACTATGGCCTGTCCTTGGGAATTATAAGGAATTCCTGTTGTATGTGAAATTTTCCACTGACTTAAGAATTTTTGGAAAGCTTTACTACAATATCCTGGTCCATTGTCAGTTTTGATTTTTTCTGGAACTCCCATTACAGCAAAACAAGACAATAAATGTTTTTTAACATGGGAAGTACTTTCTCCTGTTTGGCAAGTTGCCCATATGAAATGTGAATAAGTATCAACTGTTACGTGAACATATGATAATCTTCCAAATGAAGGTACATGCGTGACATCCATTTGCCATAATGCATTAGGACACAGACCTCTGGGATTAACTCCTGCCTCTTGAGTGGGCAGGTGTAAGATTTGACACTGGGTGCAATGTTGTACAATATCTTTTGCCTGTTTCCATGTGACATCAAATTTGTTTTTTAATCCTGCTGCATTTACATGAGTCAAAGCATGAAGTTCTTGTGCTTTTATGAGTGCAGATGATACCAGTAAGTCAGCTTGTTCATTTGCTTTAGTCAAAGGCCCTGGTAAATTAGTGTGTGCTCGAATATGAGTAATATAAAATGGGAAATTTCTTTTTCTTACAGTTTGTTGTAATAAATTGAATAGCTGGTTTAACTGATCATCCATGCTATATTTAATTAGAGCTGTCTCAACATCCCTTGTAGCCTGTACTACATATGCAGAATCTGATATAATATTGATAGGTTGGTCAAAATCTTGTAACACTGTAATGACTGCAACCAACTCTGCTCTTTGAGCCGATTGATATGGAGTTTTGATTACTCGTTCTTTCGGTCCTGTGTAAGCTGCTTTTCCATTGCTGGAACCATCAGTAAATACTGTTAGAGCATTTTCTAAAGGTTCACGTCTGGTAATTTTAGGTAGAATCCAAGTAGTCAGTTTTAAGAACTGGAAGATCTTTGTTTTTGGGTAATGATTATCAATAATTCCCACAAAATTAGCAAGACCAATCTGCCATGCACCAGAATTGATAAAGGCTTGTCTAACTTGTTCCTTGGTTAAAGGGACAACTATTTTGTCTGGGTCATTTCCACATAATTTTATTATTCGTAATCTTGTCTGACCAATTAATGTAGCTATTTGATCCAAGTACAGTGTAAAAGTCTTAACTGTACTGTGAGGAAGGAATGACCACTCCACAAGATCAGTATTTTGAATAATGATACCTGTTGGAGAATGTGCAGTGGCAAAAATCAAAAGTTGGAGTGGGGCTAAGGGATCTATTCTATTTATTTGCGCTGACTGAATTTTTTCTTCCACTAATTTAATTTCTTTTGTTGCCTCTGGGGTTAATATTCTTTTACTATTTAAGTCTGAGTCTCCTCTTAAGATAGAGAACAAATTTGACATGGCATAAGTAGGAATGCCTAGAGTTGGCCGAATCCAATTAATATCTCCTAGTAATTTTTGAAAATCATTTAGTGTTTTTAATGTGTCTTTTCTTATTTCTATTTTTTGTTGCTTAATTTTTCTATTTTCTATCTGCATCCCTAAATAATGAAAAGGAGTAGAGGTTTGGATCTTATCAGATGCTATTGCCAGTCCAGCATTGGCAACCTCTGCTTGCAGAAATGTATAACAGTCAATTAATTTATCTCTCGTTTCTGCAGCACATAAAATATCATCAATATAATGAATAATATAACAGTCTGAAAACTTTTCTCTAACTGGTTGAAGAGCTCGACCTACAAAAGTCTGACAAATAGTTGGACTATTAAGCATTCCCTGAGGTAACACTTTCCACTGAAACCTGGTGGCTGGTTCTTTATTATTTATGGCTGGTATAGTAAAGGCAAATTTTTCGCAATCCTGCTCTGCCAGAGGGATGGTAAAAAAGCAATCCTTTAGATCAATTATAATTAAAGGCCAATCTTTTGGGATCATGGCTGGAGAGGGCAACCCAGGTTGGAGAGGCCCCATGGGTTGAATTACGGCGTTTACAGCCCTTAAGTCAGTTAACATACGCCATTTGCCTGATTTCTTCTGAATTACAAACACAGGAGAATTCCAAGGTGAGAACGAAGGCTCAATGTGACCCTTTTCTAACTGTTCATTTGCTAATAAATGTAAAGCCTCCAGTTTTTGTTTTGGTAGCGGCCACTGATTTACCCACACCGGTTTTTCTGTTTTCCAAGTTAGTGGTATGGGTTTAGGAGGCTCTACAGTGGCCGCCCCTAAAAAGGATAACCTATTCCTTCTCTTTCTTGATTTATTTTAGCCTCAACTGGAACTTTAATGCCATCTTCATTTTTCCCTAGTCCCTTTCCTGGTATATATCCCATCTTGGTCATGATTTTTTGACTCGTGGGGCTATATAATGGGGCAGGCATGGTGATTTCCGCACCCCATTGTTGTAATAAATCTCGACCCCACAGATTAAGAGGAATTGAAGTAATCATTGGCTGAACAGTACTTTCTTGATTATCTGGCCCTAAGCAATGTAAAATCTCAGTACTTTGATACACTTCTGAGGCTGTGCCTATGCCGACAAGTCCTGTAACAGCCTTTTGTTTAGGCCAATTTTTTGGCCACTGATTTAAAGCAATGATAGAGACATCTGCTCCAGTGTCTACCAACCCTTCAAACTGTTTTCCTTGAATAATGGCCTTACACACAGGTCTGTTCTCTGAGACCTGACTTGCCCAATATGCAGCCTTTCCTGTTGGATCAGTGCTTCCAAGCCCTCCTATTCTTTTTATTTCACTATTTCCACCCTTAATATATGGCAGGAGTAATAATTGAGCAATCCTGTCTCCTGGACTGGCACTCCAAGGAATTGAAGAGCTAATAACCAACTGAATTTCGCCTTTATAGTCTGAATCAACCACACTAGTATGAATTTGAACTCCTTTTAGATTTAGACTTGATCTTCCCAAGATTAGTCCTACAGTCCCCTCAGGCAGTGGGCCATATACCCCTGTAGGGATTTTTTGTGGGGGCTCCCCTGGAAGCAGAGAGACTGCTTGTATAGTATATAAATCTACTGCTGCACTGCCGCTTGTGGCGGGGGACAATTGTTGTATTGTGGTAACTGGCTTATTCCCTGAAACACTTGGGACAGTGGGGGTTGTTGTTCCTGAAAACCCTGAGGAACAAATGGCTGAATTGGGAATGCCCCAGTTTGTTGTGGGGCCTGAGGCTGGCCCCTTTGCTCATTTCCCGACAATGGTTGCCCATTTTTATCAAATTTAGAACGACATTGACTAGCCCAATGTTTTCCTTTTTTACATCTTGGACATAAGTCAGGTGGCTCTCTACCTGTTGTAGTTGCTTGAATAGTTATATTCTGTTTATTTAAGACTGGACAATTCTTTTTTAAGTGACCAATTTGACCACAATTATAACATTTTCCTCCAAATGTTCTAACTTGTCCTCCTAAAACAACTCCTGTTATTGCTTGAGCCATAAGCATAGCTTTATGCATAGCTCCTCCGATTCCATCACAGGCTTTTACATATTCTGAGATTACATCTGATCCTGCAGGAACCTTTCCTTTTAATGGCTTAATGGCTGATTGACACTCAGGATTGGCGTTTTCATATGCCATCAACTCCACTATGACCTTACGGGCTTTTTCATCGGCAATTGACTTTTGAGCAACATCTTGGAGCCTTGCCACAAAATCAGGATAGGGCTCTTTTGAACCTTGTCTTACTGTATTAAATGAGGGGCAGGTACTTCCTGGGTCTTGGATTTTTTCCCAGGCTCTAAGGCAGATAGCTCTAACTTGCTCAATGGCCTCATTTTGCATTAATGCTTGTTGACTAATAGTACTCCAATTTTGACCTATTCCTAATAGTTGATCTGCATCTATGTTAACTGGAGGATTGGCAGCCCTATTTCTTCGGACCTGTTCTTGTACCCCATCAATCCACCAAGTCTTAAATTGTAAAAATTGAGAGGGTGAGAGAGACGATTTTGCCAGAATCTCCCAATCATAAGGAATGAGTCTATGTCCATGAGCAATGGAATCTAATAATGTCCTCATATAAGGGGAGTTGGGTCCATACTGTTTTACTCCCTCTTTCATATCTTTTAGCATTTTTATCGAAAAAGACTTGTATCTGGCCTCAACTGTGGGAGGCTCTCCCTCTTGGGCTCCTTCTCCAGGTGGCATCGGTTCTAACGTTACTGGGAATTGCCATGCCTCAGTATCTCCTTCCTTTCTTGATTTATCAATAATTTCATGTAATTCACTACCCTGTCTACTAGGTGGTGCCGTAGGATTAAGTCTCCTAGTGGGCGGCTGAGGGTATGGCGCCCTGCCCTGTGGTGCTGGGGGCATTCCTGGATATCCATACTGACTTTCTGGGGGTGGCCGATACTGAAGTTCAGCCGGAGGCCAGTATTGATAGGCTACTGGCGGTTGGGTCTTATTTTCTTTAACCTGCTTTTGAGGTTGTAATGTTACGGGCACCTGACCTGCTGGAAGATGACTTGTGCCTCATGGTTTAGACTCTGATGGCCCCACTAATTCTGGACCTTTTCCTTCTAATTTTAACGTTTCAGGATATATCACCTCCTGTAATTGATTATAGTCAACATTTTGCGTTGACTGAGCCATTACCGGCTCTGCTACATATTCGCAATGTAAACCTTCCGTTTCTTTCTGGGATTTTTTCCTTGTGTTTTCATTACAATCTATTATACAGCTTCCAAGGGCATCAGAAACTGAAACGCTATCTTTTTCTGTTTGAAATGGTTCTAAAGCTGCTTTAATAATGGCCCAATCATTCCATACTGTAAGTGGAATGATATTACCCTTCCTACCTGCTTGTTTTAGTTCCTTACCAATTCTTTTCCAATCTTTTAGATCTAAAGTTCCTTGTTCTGGAAACCATGGGCAAAATTGTTCTATTATTTGAAATAGCTTGATTAGATTTTTTGTAGATACTTTAACTCCCCCTCTTTTTAAAAGAATTTTAATAAAGCTGAGATAAGAGGCATATTTACTTTTAATTTTACTTTTAGTTTGCCCCATTATCACCCTAGCTTCTTCCGAGCGCACAAGCTTACCGTAAGGCTGACTGTAGATGTACTCGGGATCTCTCGTCGACTTGTCCTCAATGACCACGCTCGAGCGTACCTTCACCCTAGAGAAAAGCCTCCACGTTGGGCACCAGATGTAGGGGTGGGTTGCCCCTACACACCTGTGGGTGTTTCTCGTAAGGTGGGACGAGAGATTTGGAAAAGAAAAAGACACAGAGACAAAGTATAGAGAAAGAAATAAGGGGACCCGGGGAACCAGCGTTCAGCATATGGAGGATCCCGCCAGCCTCTGAGTTCCCTTAGTATTTATTGATCATCTGTGGGTGTTTCTCAAAGAGGGGGATGTGTCAGGGTCACAAGACAATTGTGGGGAGAGGGTCAGCAGACAAACACGTGAACAAAGGTCTTGGCATCATAGACAATGTAAAGGATTAAGTGCTGTGCTTTTGGATATGCATACACATAAACATCTCAGTGCTTTACAAAGCAGTATTGCTGCCCGCAGGTCCCACCTCCAGCCCTAAGGCGGTTTTTCCCTATCTCAGTAGATGGAGCATACAATCGGGTTTTATACCGAGACATTCCATTGCCCAGGGACAGGCAGGAGACAGATGCCTTCCTCTTGTCTCAACTGCAAGAGGCATTCCTTCCTCTTATACTAATCCTCCTCAGCACAGACCCTTTACGGGTGTCGGGCTGGGGGACAGTCAGGTCTTTCCCTTCCCACGAGGCCATATTTCAGACTATCACATGGGGAGAAACCTTGGACAATACCTGGCTTTCCTAGGCAGAGGTCCCTGCGGCCTTCCGCAGTTTTTGTGTCCCTGGGTACTTGAGATTAGGGAGTGGTGATGACTCTTAAGGAGCATGCTGCCTTCAAGCATCTGTTTAACAAAGCACATCCTGCACCGCCCTTAATCCATTCAACCCTGAGTTGACACAGCACACGTTTCAGAGAGCACGGGGTTGGGGGTAAGGTCATAGATTAACAGAATCTCAAGGCAGAAGAATTTTTCTTAGCACATAACAAAATGGAGTCTCCCATGTCTACTTCTTTCTACACAGACACAGTAACAATCTGATCTCTCTTGCTTTTCCCCACACATCCCCTATGGTTCTAGTGTCCTTTACTTTCCAGGGTGCTCAATCACCCATGGAACCCTGCTTAATGAATTTAATTGTGCTTACCGACATAGCAGTTTTGCCTGAATTTGTTTCCTGTCCTTTTTTAGCCACAAAGAAAGAGGTCCTGGGCTGCTGGATTTTAGTGGCTCCTTAACAGCATGCCCACAATTGCCTTTGCATCTGCAAGTGGGTCTTAGGTTTGGGGTGTATTTTGAGTTTAGAGACCAGGCACCAGTTAGCATATTTCTGGGCTTGGAGCTGTCCCAGCAAGATAAATTCCTTGAAAATGGCACTATAGCACAACAGTTTTAGGGAAGGCAGCGGCAAATTGGAGGACCAAAGTTGGAACTGTGCTTTTCATACCTGAATCTTCTGTCCCCTATTTGCCCTCCTAAGAATATTCATTGACCTTTGGACTTGAATCAGGGGACCTATTGTCTATTATATTGTTTTTGGCCCATAAGTATGACCACTTCAAGTGGAGAAGTTCTACAGTTCTAATCGCTGATTCCAGACAGGAAAGGTGGTAATTAAAGGAGTCTCTACAATCTGGAGTAAGTTTAGGGCAACAAAAGGAAAAATGTCTTAGGCCTTCTATCAGCCACTGACATGCCTTTTGATGTTCCAGATAGTACCTAGGGTACAGGTTATGAGGGACAGGTCCCGTGTAAGTATACTGATACCCATTTGCATAAGAATAAGCCTGGGGACACCATGGGCAAAGGTCTTTGGATTACCTCCCCACTTGACTTAGGCTCCTAGCCAAAAGATTCTTAGACTTGATCTAGGAAAGATCCTAGAGGATAGGACCTCAAGAAAGTCTTCTCTGAGGACGTTAGGACCCAGGAGGCATGGGTCAGAAAAGACATGAAATGCACGCATGGGCAGCTGCAGTGTAGAGGCTTCTCGCTGTGCCATGATCTCAACTGGGTCAGTGCTGGGAGTTCAGGACGACAGTTTTCCGCCTCTAGCCAGCCCTCAGCTTTTCCCAGGAAAGGTAGAGAAAGGTGGACCTGGTTCCAGGCAAACCAACACTCCCAGCCCAGAGGGCCGGGGGTTGTTAGAGAGCCCTTTCCCAGAGAGCCTCACACCTGTGTCTTAAGCCTGGCGGCTGCGCTTGTCACTTTTTTTTTTTTTTTTGAGATGGAGTCTTGCTCTGTTGCCCAGGCTGGAGTGCAGTGGTGCAATCTCAGCTCACTGCAAGCTCTGCCTCCTGGGTTCCCGCCAATCTCCTGCCTCAGCTTCCCGAGTACCTGGGACTACAGGTGCCCACCACCATGCCTGGCTAATATTTTTTGTATTTTTAGTAGAGGTGGGGTTTCACTGTGTTAGCCAGGATGATCTCAATCTCCTGACCTCGTGATCCACCCGCCTTGGCCTCCCAAAGTGCTGCAGTTACAGGTGTGAGCCACTGCACCCGGCCGCTTGTCACATTTAAATGGCTGACAGGTGCCTGGTGTTTTCTTCCAATTTCTAATGAGAAGATAGAACAGAATAGCAAGCAAGAGGGGTTCAATGTTACTCACTGCTTTGGAGAAATCCTGAATGTGTCCCCAGAAATGAGACGAGAAGTCTTCTCCTGATCAAAGGTCTTTTCTTGATTGAAGGGTTCGTGGTTTCACAGGCTTCAAGGAAAGAAGCCATGGACCTCAGTGGTGAGTGTTACAGCTCCATTAGAGAAACATGCAGACCCAAAGAGTGTGCGGTGGCAAGATTTATTAAAGCAAAAGTGAAAGTAAAGTGAAAGCGAAAGTAAAGCTTCCATATGGTGGAAGGGAACCCAGAAGGGTTGCCCAATCCTTTTTTTTTTTGAGATGGAGTCTCGCTGTGTCGCCCAGGCTGGAGTGCAGTGGCGCAATCTCGGCTCACTGCAAGCTGCGCCTCCTGGGTTCACGCCATTCTCCAGCCTCAGCCTCCCGAGTAGCTGGGATTACAGGCGCCTGCCACCACGCCCGGCTAATTTTTTGTATTTTTAGTAGAGATGGGGTCTCACTGTGTTAACCAGGATGGTCTCGATCTCCTGACCTCGTGATCCACCCGCCTTGGCCTTCCAAAGTGCTGGGATTACAGGCATGAGCCACTGCACCCGGCCAAGGGTTGCCCAATTCTATTCAATCTTAATCAGTTTGACCATGAGGTGAGATTTTTATGAACCTTTCATAACCGTTTACAAATCTTGCTAAAGAGGAGTAGCATCTTAAGAAAACCTTGTTGTGCTTTTCTTTTTTTCTTTTTTTTTTTTTTTTGAGATGGAGTTTCACTCTTGCTGCCCAGGCTGGAGTGCAATGGCGTGATCTAGGCTGACCACAACCTCTGCCTCCAGGGTTAAAGCGATTCTCCTGCCTCAGCCTCCCAAGTAGCTGGGATTACAGGCATGTGCAATGACGCCCAGCTAATTTTTTGTATTTTTAGTAGAGATGGGGTTTCTCCATGTTGGTCAGGCTGCTCTTGAACTCCCAACCTCAGGTGATCCACCCTCCTTGACCTCCCAAAGTGCTGGGATTACAGGCGTGAGCCACCATGCCTGGCCATGTGCTTTTATTTCAGTGCTCCATTTTCAGAAAAACCCTTTTGAATTTAGTCAATATGTTCACAGTTTCCTTTTGGAAGATTAATTTTTACAGTCTTTCCACATTTGCTTAAACTTTTTGTTTTATTTTATCTAATTTAAGACAATCCTGTATCCCTAGGCAAAATGTGCATTTCCATGCCTTCTTATAATCTTTGACTAAAAAGATACTTTACTGTTCTTGCACACCTTGCATGTAAATCTATTTTCAGTAGTCTAAATTACATGTTATAACAGTAACTCTTAGCAATTTTCAACTTCAATGTAAAACCTGGTAAAGTTGTTTTAATTATGTGCTAGGTGCAGATAAAGTCTGACTCCTTCCAGCATAGTTAGGGGAATGGTTACTTCCATATGTCCCCAGGTCTTACCAATTGTGAAGCAGGCAAGTTTAAAGGCCAAAGAAGAAGTTTACAACCTTAAAACATTCAGCAAACCTAGTATCTGACCTGCATAATTTAGACCATATATTTACATCTTGAAGACATCTACACTTTACCAATAATTTTTAAGGCTGTTTTTATTTTTCAAAAATTAAAGTCACATGAACTGAAAGGTACCACAACCTTCATTATCCCTTTAAAAAATATTTAATCCAAGCACTTACCCTTCAAGTCAATTAATTAGAGGTCTTTTTTAACAGACATCACACACATAACCCATATAGGACTATATAGATAGAAGAAGATCCAGCAGCTCAGGATGGAGCTATTTAGGAATAGGGCCAGAAAAGCATGTAGTTTTTGGAGCCTAATAAACATGCACAGTTGGAAGACAAAAACAGATTTTAAAAGGGATTCCAGGGATTCCATGTGGAAAACAGATTTTTTTCCTAAATGGGATTTCTGGCATCTTGTCTGTTTTCCCAAGGAGTCCCAGGCCACCAGAAGTCATCCTAGGGCCTTTCATCCATGCACCAAGAATGGCAAGACAGAGTGGGAAAAAGTAATTCAGTTGCCAGAGAAAAAAAGCCTTTTCCAGAAAAACAAGATTTATGGAGGGAAAAACATAAAGGCCTCTTGAATATACCTATAGGTTGGATACTCAGTTTCAATTAAGCCAAGTGCTCTTCATGAAAATTGTTTTTCATTAATCAAAACTTTACAGAGAATATAAACAGTGATCCTTATCATTTCTTTTACTGGTTTGTACCACTACCTGTTCACAATCATGTTCAGGTTCCCCAATTTCCTCTGGGAGAAAGTGGCTGGGTTTAGGCAAGGGCAGGTTTTCAACTGGACTGCAGATTCCTCTAGCAGCAAAGCTTGATTTTTGATGAGGCGATTTTTCTGTTAGCCAGAGACTTCCCTTAGAGGACAGCAGTCCTGCTATACTGTGTGGGGTGCAAACAGTTAAGTTATTCCCCATGTTTAACCCAGTGGTTTCTGCCACCAGCAAAGCCACTGCTGCAACTGCTTGGAGGCAGGCTGGCCATCCTTTAGCCACGAGGCGAAGTTCCTTGCTTAGGTAACCTACTGGCTGTTGAGTTGGACCTTTAGCCTTAGTTAAAACTCCCAGGGCCAGCCAGGCATGGTGGCTCACTCCTGTAATCCCAGCACTTTGGAAGGCCAAAGCGGGTGGATCACAAGGTCAGGAGATCGAGACCATCCTGGCTAACACAGTGAAACCCCGTCTCTACTAAAAATACAAAAAATTAGCTGGGCATGGTGGCGGGTGCCTGTTGTCCTGGCTACTCGGGAGGCTGAGGCAGGAGAATGGCGTGAACCCAGGAGGTGGAGCTTGCATTGAGCCGAGATCGTGCCACTGCACTCCAGCCTGGACGACAGAGCGAGACTATGTCTCAAAAAAAAAAAAAAAAAAAAAAAAAAGACACACACACAAAAAAACAAAAACAAAAAAACTCCCAGGGCCATTCCCTTCCTTTGTGATACATAGAAACTAAATGCCCTCCCTATGGGAAGACTGAGGGATGGATGGTGTATTAAATAAAGCTTGCTTTAACTGGTTAAAGGCTTTTGAGTTTTAGGTTCCCAAGTTAGGGAGTGAGTTTTAGCTGCTTGAGTTTCTTTTGTGAGGTGGTATAAAGGGCAAGCTATTTCACCATACCCAGGCACTCACAGTCTGCAAAATCCAGTAATGCCTAAGAATACCCTTAACTGTTAAAGGAAATGGGCTTAATCCTTTCCTTACCTGGTGCTCTGTTCCCTTCTGATAAGACCAGACCCAGATACTTTACTGAAGTTTGACAAAGCTGAGCTTTAGATTTTGAGACCCTATATTCCCTTTCAGCTATGAAATTGAAGAGAGCCTTAGTACCTTCCTGAGACCTCCTTGGTTGGGGCACAGAGGAGAGTGTCTTTACATACTACAAAGTTTCAACTTGAGGGTGACAAAAACTAGAATGATCTTTGGACAGGGCCTGTTTCAGCAACTTGCGTCTGCTATCAGGTGCTGCCTGAGTAATGAACCTGTTCTTTATTGAATTGAGAGACAGGGAGGTGTGTTTCACTAAAGCTTTTTTCAGCCTTTCCAAAAAGGCTGAGAGATTTTCATTTGGTTTCTGATTCAACAAGGACAGTTTACAGTAATTAAGAGTTTTGGTTCTGATTCTTTGCAAGCCTTTTAATATGCACATCAGAAAGTGTTTTCTTTTCCACTTGTCTATGGGATCACCAGGACTCCAATTAGAGGTTTTTTTCTTTTTCGGAGTTTTGCTCTTGTTACCCAGGCTGGAGTGCAATGGCCCAATCTCGGCTCACCGCAACCTCCATCTTCTGGGTTCAAGTGATTCTCCTGCCTCAGCCTCCCGAGTAGCTGGGATTACAGGCATGCGCCACCATGCCCAGCTAATTTTGTATTTTTAGTAGAGACGGGGTCTCTCCATGTTGGTCAGGCTGGTCTCAAACTCTCAACTTCAGGCGATCCACCCGCCTCGGCCTCCCAAAGTGCTGAAATTACAGGTGTGAGCCACCACGCCCAGCCCCAATTAGGGTTTTTAAGGGGCATAGTTTCTCTTCCTGTTGGGAAAGGGGATTCTGTCTCTTTTTTACCATGTTTCCCCTTTTGACTGGGTTTTTCTTTTGACTGGTTATAGGAGACATGCTGTTCATCTCTGAATATCCCTGCTGTCTGTAGGGCTTCTTGTTTCTCTGCAACAGTTAGGGTTTGGCATAAAAGTAGCATAGCATCTCCCCATGTAAGATCAAACACTTGGATTAGATTTTAGAAAGCCTCTATATATCTATGAAGGTCATCAGAGAACTTGCCTAGCTATCCCTTTATTTGTCTAAGGTCCTGCAATGAGAAGGGAACTTGAAACCTAGTAGCACCATGTCCATTCAGCATTTCCTGCAAAGGCAACAGCGAAGTTGGCAGCTTTTTGGGTAGCATAGCTGGAGGGGCTGATGATATGGCTATTGGGGGCCCTGGATACAGGAGGCAGTTAGGGCACTGAGAAGTTGCATTAGAGGGTTCCTCAAGGGTTTGCCTCTCTGACTTTGGGGAATTATATTCTGTAGACTTGCCTGATATGACTGCCAAGAGGGAAGGGTTAATTTTACAACACTTACAAAGATGGGGGTTGTCTCACTGGGAAAAATAAGATCTAGTTGTTGGATAGTATTGAAATTAATGCTTCCCTGAGGAGGTTAGACCTCCTGTCTGTAAGAGGGCCTTGCCCTTGTGCAATAGAATATAAGCTGTTTTTTCTTCAGAGTCTCACAATCAAAGGAGTTCCAGTGTTTCAGAATGCACTTGAGGAGAGTGCAGACTTCAGATGGTTTGTTATCGGGGGAACCCACCGCCAATATTTCAACGTAGGTTCTTTCTATTTTCCATAAGTGTCAGCCAGCTGAGAAATAAAGAGAAAGAGTACAAACAGAGGAATTTTACAGCTGGGCCTCTGGGGGTGACATAACATTTCTGTAGGACAGCGATGTCCACCTGAGCGCAAAAACCAGCAGGTTTTTATTAAGGACTTCAAAAGGGGAGGGGGTGTACAAACAGGGAGTAGATCACAAAGATCACATGCTTCAAAGGGCAAAAAGGAAAAAGGAGAACAAAGATCACATGCTTCTGAGGCCAATAAAGATCACAAGGCAAAGGGCAAAATCAAAAACTCCTGATAAGGGTCTATGTTCAGCTGTGCACGTATTGTCTTGATAAACATCTTTAACTACAGAAAAAAGGGTTCGAAAGCAGAGGACCAGTCTGACCTCAAATTTATCAGGGAGTGGTTTTTTCCCCATCCTAATAAGCCTGAAGGTACTGCAGGAGACCAGGGTGTATTTCAGTCATTATCTCAACCGCGTAAGACAGACACTCCCAAAGCAGCCGTTTATAGACCTCCCCCCAGGAATGCATTCCTTCCCCAGGATATTAATTATTAACATTCCTTGCTGGGAAAAGAATTTAGCAATATCTTCCCTACTTGCACTTCCGTTTATAGGCTCTCTGCAAGAAGAAAAATATGGCTCTATTCTGCCCGACCCTGCAGGCAGTCAGACCTTATGGTTGTCTTCCCTTGTTCCCTAAAATCGCTGTTATTCTGTTCTTTTTCAAGGTGCACTGATTTCATATTGTTCAAACACACGTTTTAAAATCAATTTGTACAGTTAACGCAATCATCACAGTGGTCCTGAGGTGACGTACATCCTCAGCTTACGAAGATAACAGGATTAAGAGATTAAAATAAAGACAGGCATAAGAAATTATGAAAGTTTTATTAGGGAAGTGATAAATGCCCATGAAATCTTCACAATTTATGTTCCTCTGCCACCACTCCAGACAGTCCCTCTGTTGGGGTCCCTGACTTCCTGCAACAGTTTGTTACCCATCTAGAAAGAGAAGGGATATAAGGCACCCCTCACTCCCTTTCCTGCTTTTGGTGTGACCAAGGGTCGAGGGAAAGAGAGGCATGGGGTCCTCCTTCTCCTCCTTCCTCCACATCCTCTAGGTCTCGGCTATCGTCATAGATGCTACCCATGAATGCAAGCATGACCTTCATCCACACACCCAGAGGAGCTAGTCAGCATAACTATTCATGCTCACCTGCAGAAGGCCCTAGCTTTCCACCCTGTTGGTTTCCTAGACCAACTCAGCCCAAAAGGCTCCCAAGGTACCTCAGAGTCTCCATAATGGAGAATGTGTCCCAATACTGCCTCTGGCTTCCCTTGCTATGGCCCCAGAGAAACATCAGAATCCCAGAGAATGGGACAGGTTGACTTCCAAACATAAAATCCCTTTTTGTTTAAATCCCATCCCAGTGTTGTTGGATGCAGAACAGGTGCCTCAAAATAATGTAAGGATTGAATGCTGTCCTTCCTTTGGGGGGACAATATTGAGGCTAATTCTGTCTTGCCAGGATGGCTTCCTCCTGGGTGCTGGAAGTGTAGTTTTCTTGTCTACAAATAGGGCATGGGGCCTGATCACTGATAATGGGACATAAGAGGGAAAATAATTGAGGAACTGTAAGTTTCGGACAAAGAGTTAACAAGGCTCCCCACAAAGAAAAATCCCATTCCACTACGTGGCACTGTAGGATTAGAAATGCTAGGTAAAAACTGACTCCAAATTCTTTCCGACAACAGTTAGAAAGAGAGGTTTGGGGTTTGCCTGGCTGTCCCCACAGTATGCCTCCCAGCAGAAGAAAATTAACTTGTTTTATAGAAAGGCAGTCTAGTTCTCCTGGACAGTGCTGGCTTCTCACATGGGTGAAGAAACAACCTAATGAAGTGGGGGATAGTTTCTTGGGGAGAAATAACCCCCATCCAGTCCCACTGAGTGCTATCATTGGGAGATAAATAGGTGTTCAGATCCAGGTCTTGGAATACCCCTATTTCAAGGAAACCACAGAGACAATTCATTGAATTACAGTCCTAATTCCTAAGGCACTGACTGACTCTATCCAGCAAGATTGTAGTCCTAGGCTGTAGAAACACCCGCAACATTGCATACAAAGAAGGGATAGGATGGCTGGGCACAGTGGCTCACATCTGTAATCCTAGCACTTTGGGAGGCTGAGGTGGGTGGATCACCTGAAGTCAGGAGTTCTAGACCAGCCTGACCAACGTGGTGAAACCCTGTCTCTACTCAAAATACAAAAATTGACCGGGCATGGTGGCTCATGCCTATAATCCCAGCACTTTGGGGGACTGAGGTTGGCTGATCACCCGAGGTTGGGAGTTTGAGACCAGCCTGACCAACTTGGAGAAACCCTGTCTCTACTAAAAATACAAAATTAGCCAGGCATGGTGGAGCATGCCTGAAATCCCAGCTACTTTGGAGGCTGAGGCAGGAGAATCACCTGAATCCAGGAGGTGGAGGTTGTGGTGAGCCGAGATTACGCCATTGCACTCCAGCCTGGGCGACAAGAGCAAAACTCTGTGTCAAAAGAAAAAAAAATTAACCAGGCCTGGTGGTGCATACCTGTAATCCCAGCTACTCAGGAGGCTGAGGCAGGAGAATCGCTTGAACCCAGTAGGTGGAGGTTGCAGTGAGCCGTGATTGTGCCACTTCACTCCAGCCTGGGTGAAAGAGTGAAACTCTGTCTCAAAACAAAAACAAAAACAAAGAAGGGATAGGAGACATGATAGCCATGAAAAGAAAGGAGGAAAATAATGCAATAGAAAAAGACTGGAAGACCTTGTGCTGATGCCCTGACAGGCTGTCAGGGACCAGATTTAGGTCAAGGGCCTTCAGGTAAACCGAGCTGTAGCCTCAGCCAGGAACCTTTAGTTGCCCTAGGACCTCCTTCCAATCCCACATGATGGCTAGGCCCTCTGTGAAAGGAAACTGAATTGGAACAGAGCCAAAATTCCCAACACCCAAGGGCAAATGGGGATTGCCAAAGTCCTCTCCAGCAAGCCTGTCTGCTAAATCTTAAGGCTGGCAGGCATGCTAACTGTTTTAAAATGGCTGACAGGAAGCCAGTGTTCTGTTTGCTTTTGAGAGACAAAACTGAGGACAAGAAGCCTCAGAAAGTAAAGAGTTAAAGGTCCACTCCTATTCACCCTTCTGATTAATCCCTATCTTCCCAGCCAATGCACCAGAATATGTTGTAGTCTCGCCAGTGCACCAAGATGTAGCAGTCTCTCGTTGTCTGAGATAATACTTGGAGTTATTCATCTCATGTTCAAGAACATAAAGGAGCATGGTAACACGGGTGAGGTTGGAGCAAAAGTTTAATAAGTTGAAGAAGAAAGCTCTCTGCAGTGGAGAGGGGGGCTCGAATGTGTTGCCCACTATGAGGCTGGTGTCTGGGGTTTTTATGGACTACGAAGGGGAAATAATGTGCTTAGTCTGTTGGCTGTCTTAGAGAAAGCATGATTTAGCTTAGCCCAGGACCAGTCAGGAGCTGAAGTGAAGATTTATAGGAGCTACTCAGCTTGGCCCAGGACCTTTCAGGAGCTGAAGTGAAAGCTTGGCCCGGGACCTTGGCCTGGGACCAATCAGGACCTGAAGAGATGATTCATAGACGTCAGGCTTACAGTCCAAAATTGAAAGGAAAGTGCCCATCAGAACCCATCAAAGCCCACTGTGTTCGTGCCCACAAAAGGAGAAACATTTTCCTGGGAGCCCACTGATTATACAAAGGAAAGTCATTTCTATGTCTGGCCTTGTTCGCTTATCTGAGTGAGCGAGAGGTTAGTGCAAGTTTTTGTAGGTGGGCTGGAGTTTCTCCTGTCTGTGCAGTTGCGGGCATGTCTCCAGATACAACCCCCTGTGCTAGTTCCCTTATTAGTGCCTGCAGTTTGATTTTTTTTTCCCAGACTGCTTTTTATGTTATGTGAAGATGAGGCACTTAACCTATGGGTTGGAGGCTCTCAGGGGACCCTTCCCTTGCTGTTTACCTGAGGCAAGCTAGCCAACTCCTCTCAGTGGTGGGTACTAACAATAAACATACTTATGATTGAACTCTAATTCTCCTGTGGTTCTCTCACAGAGATCTTTTGCCAGAAAAATTAAAGCAGAGGCGTACAAAGGCTGTTTGTGTAGCCTGAAAAACAGACTTTATTTTTTAAAACATGTCCCTTGAAGGAGAAGCAGCCACATTCATAGAAACTGGCAGTAACAGGAAGCAACATTTGCCTATCCTGGTCAGATAAACTTGGGCAAAAGCCAAGTCCTTCTGCTCCCTGAGGGGGTCTTGCTCAAGAATGTCCTCATCATACAGCAACAGCAGCTTGGAGGTGTCCTTGCTGGCCAGACCCCAACTTCCCCACTTGTTGCAAGCTCTATGATTGTTTCGGCCTTTTCCAGCAGCTTTGATGCTCTCTCCTTGTAGCACACATGAAAAGGATTGTTTCTCTGTCCCTGCAACCCGTGCTCTTCCCATTCCACCACATGCACCACCCCAGCCAAATCCTATTCAATATTATGGAGCAATTCAAGGAAAAAGTTATTGGGAAAATGGTATGAAAACTAAGTCCGTCAAGTCAGCTCTACGCAGAGTCTGCAGTGTAACTGCCTTAATTGGGATGACAACAAGATAATCAGCTACTTCATATTGAGAAAGGAAGTCTAAAGAGCAAGTGTGGCTTCTGTAGCACTTTTGAGATACTATGTCTTGATGAGGAACAAGCAGTGTTTTCTGAAATAAACATAGGTCTTAGCCCCACACATGACAGGTGAGCTAAGAACCAGTACAAGAAAGTGAATGAGGCTGGGTGCAGTGGCTCATGCCTGTAATCCCAGCACTTTGGGAGGCCGAGGGGGACAGATTATCTGAGGTCAGTAGTTTGAGACCAGCCTGGCCAACAAGGTGAAACCCCGTCTCTACTAAAGAAATACAAAAATTAGCCGGGCGTGGTAGCTCTCACCTGTAATCCCAGCTACTCAGGAGGCTGAGGCAGGAGAATCTATTGAAGCTGGGAGGTGGAGGTTGCAGAGAGCCAAGATTGTGCCACTGCACTCCAGCCTGGGCAACGAGAGTGAAACTCCGTCTCAAAACAAAACAAAACAAAAATTAACTGAGCGTGGTGGCGGGCTCCTGTAATCCCAGCTACTCGGGAGGCTGAGGCAGGAGAATTGCTTAAGTCCGGGAGATGGAGGTTGCAGTGAGCCGAGATCGTGCCATTGCACTCCAGCCTGGGTGACAGAGCAAGACTCTGTCTCAAAAAATAAATAAATTAAATAAATAAATAAATAAATAAAAGTGAACGAAGCTAATACAAATCTAGCAATGGATGAGAATCAATTTAAAAATTTTTTGAGTAGGCCAGCAGCTGTGGTTCACACCTGTAATCCCAGCACTTTGGGAGGCCGAGATGGTTGGATCACCTGACGTCAGGAGTTCGAGACCAGCCTAGCCAACATGATGAAACCTCGTCTCTACTAAAAATACAAAAAAAAATTTAGCCGGGCGTGGTGGCGTGTGCCTGTAATCCCAGCTTCTCAGGAGGCTGACGCAGGAGAATTGCTTGAACCCTGGAGGTGGAGGTTGCATTGAGGTGAGATTGCGATGACACTGCACACTAGTCTGGGCAACAAGAGCAAAAACTCTGGCCAGGCGCGGTGGCTCACGCTTGTAATCCCAGCACTTTGGGAGGCCGAGGCGGGCGGATCATGAGGTCAGGAGATTGAGACCACGGTGAAACCCCGTCTTTACTAAAAATACAAAAAAATTAGCTGGGCGTGGTGGCGGGCGCCTGTAGTCCCAGCTACTCGGAGAGGCTGAGGCAGGAGAATGACGTGAACCCAGGAGGCGGAGCTTGCAGTGAGCCGAGATCGCACCACTGCACTCCAGCCTGGGCGACAGAGCGAGACTCCATCTCAAAAAAAAAAAAAAAAAAAAAAGAGCAAAAACTCCATTTCAAAATATCTGCGTATCTGTTCTCCACAAAGATACCACATTAAATGTGTTTTGGGGGAGTGGGGTTGCAGAAGAAATCCAGAAGTTTTCCTCTGGAAATCCTCCACCTGGTTTATAAGCTACCCACCCTGCACACTGTTCTCTAGACAATGAGGTTAAGTGAGAATGGTCCTTCAGTATAGGTTTGCCTAGCTCACCTGGTGGAGTTCTGCTGGTCTCCACTTCTGGAGCAGTCTCAGGTGAGGCAAAAGTAGAAGGAGGCTTCTCAGCAGAGTCTCCAACTGCTTCATCCGTCATTTCATCCTCTTTCTCCAGGCTTTCCATTCCTTCTGCTTCTTCTTCTTCCTCTTCTTCCGGCTCAGAGTTCTCCTCCTGAGAATTCTCTTCTTCAGACTCACCCTCCTGACTCATGCGCCTTTTCAGATGCCAGCCAAGTCAGTTTCTCCATTGTTTCCTGTAAAACCCTCCAAAGAGTACTTACGGCTCCTAGTGGCTCATGAATTGCAGAACAGCACAGAGCTGTATCAGGATAATCTGAAGTTAAACAATGGGGAACCCACTACAGCTGTCAGAGCGGAATTCCCTGAGTTATGAAATCCCAGTGATAGCTGACATTGGGCCTGACAGCAGGAAAGTGGAAAAGATGCCTTTTGAAAACTTCTTCTTTACCCTGAAATTAGTTTTCCTTTGCCTTAGCCCATATTTATGTGCCTCTTCCTTTTTTTTTTTTTTTTTTTTTTTTTTTTTGTCTTGCAACAGCGTCTCACTCCATCACCCAAGCTGGAGTGCAGCGGCACAATCTTGGCTCACTGCAAACTCCACCTCCTGGGTTCGAGGGATTTTCATGCCTCAGCCCCCTGAATGGCTGAAATTATAGGAGCATGCTACCACGCCGGGCTAATTTTTGTATTTTTAGTAGAGTCAGGGTTTCACCATGTTGGCCAGGCTGGTCTCAAACTCCTGACCTCGTTTTGTGATCCGCCCACCTCGGCCTTCTAAAGTGCTGGAACTACAGGTGTGAGCGACCAAGCCTGGACTATTTACTATTTTTTTTTTTTTTTTGAGATGGAGTTTTGCTCTTGTTGCCCAGGCTGGAGTGCAATGGCGTGATCTTGGCTCACTGCAACCTCCACCTCCCAGGTTCAAGCAATTCTCCTGCCTCAGCCTCCCGAGTAGCTGGGATTACAGGCATGCACCACTATGCTCGGCTAATTTTGTATTTTTGGTAGAGACAGGATTTCTCCTTGTTGGTCAGGCTGGTCTCGAACTCCCAACCTCAGGTGATCTGCCTGCCTCGGCCTCCCATGCCTGAGATTACAGGCATGAGCCACCGCACCTGGCCCTATATACTATTTTTTAAGGCATTTAAAGTATGGTCAGGTGATTCAATTTAATGTGTAAACGAGTTTAATATAATAAGTAAAATTTCATCCTTTCCATCTCATTTCACCTCAACTCCACAATCATGTCCCATAATGCATTCACAAATCAAATACAAATGATTTTAGGACTATCCATAGTGCAGCAAGCAAGCAGGTGGCATATCAATAAGTTAAACATATTACTGAGTCCACAAAATACTTGAGAGTATTCTCTAGCTCTCACCTGGAGTTCTGGGACAGAAAGCACAGATTCCTCAGAAGCTGATGACATTTCATCTTCCTCATTTTGGGTGAGGTCATCAAAGTCATCTTCTTCCTCTTTTTCTGGCCTATCTTTCTCTCCTCCAGTTTCTGGTCCAACTGGGGTCCCCACTGACTGACCATCAACACTGGATGAGTCTTTGGGCTTCCCTGGGGGCTACTAAGCCTCACTTCAGGATTCATGGAGGATGAAGCATTATTTGGTGATCCTTTGCCCTCATCTCCCCCCAAGTTTCCTTCATTGGGGGTTCTTGAGAAGATGAAGGGGTTTTAGTTGGCTGAATCCTCTCTTCTTCCTTCTGTAAGATTGTCTGTTTCTTTACCTCTCTAGCACTGCTCAACTCCTCACTTGGGGAGCCAGTGTCTAATTCCACAGTGTGTTCTTCCTTGATGTCATCACAAATACCGTGCTCAGGGTGTTACCAGTGGACGGTCTTGACTACAAGTTGTCCAGGTTCTTGGCGTATTGAACAGAGAATGGAACAAAATGCACAAGCAAAGCAACAAATGAATGAAGCAACGAAAGCACAGATTTATTGAAGTGAAAGTACATTCCACAGAGCAGAAGCAGGCTTGGGCAAGAGGCTCAAGCACCCCAGTTGCAAAATCTTCTTGGGTTTGAGTACCCTTTAGAGGTTTCCTATTGGTTACACCCTTTGTAAATGAAGACGTAGCCCATGACCAATTGGAGGCTGAAGTGAAATTACACCCTATGCAAATGAAGATTTCGCCTGCGACCAATCAGAGGCTAAAGTGAAGGCTCCCTGTCTCCAGATCCTATTCTCCTGCCTCATTCCCCCTTGAGAGACTTAATATCAAATATTTACAGGAGGTAGAGGGACTGACAGTCTTTCTTCTGTAACTGCTTCATGCTGTTTGGGGCACTGTCCCTATCTACTTGGGGACCATGGAACTCTCACCCTGCTCTGTCTAGTGGAGACAGGATGACTTCTTGTTGGCCGGGGCTGGCATCATTCCCTGGATAGAAGCCCTGCTGCATGATCATTTGAAGCTTAATGGCCTCTAGGTGAGAAAAAATACATTTGGTTAAAAGATTTAACAAACATGGTCCAACATGGTCAATGCGAGCATAATTGTTAATAATGTGCCAGCTAAGGGAAGTAGACATGAAGCCCAACTTAGTGCCCTTGACCAGAAGCCCCATGACTCGGACAGCTGTTGTTATATTTTAGAGGCCCCATCAGCTAATTTTCAGGCGGCATCTCTTGCTAATCCTGATTGGTTGACATAAAAACAGCATTCTTCGGTGGGGCGCGGTGGCTCACGCCTGTAATCCCAGCACTTTGGGAGGCTGAGGCGGGCGGATCAAGAGGTCAGGAGCTGGAGACCATCCTGGCTAACACGGTGAAACCCTGTCTCTACTGAAAAAAAAAAAAAAAAAAAAAAAATTAGCCGGGCGTGGTGCCAGGCGTCTGTAGTCCCAGCTACTTGGGAGGCTGAGGCGGGAGAATGGCATAAATCCGGGAGGAGGAGCTTGCAGTGAGCCGAGATCGCGCCACTGCACTCCAGCCTGGATGACAGAGTGAGACTCCATCTCAAAACAAAACAAAACAACAACAACAAAAAACCCCAGCATTCTTCTTTTAGGAAAAGACATATGCCACCTTTTTCAGCAGCTAGGAAATCCAGTCTCCTATTATTTTGTAAAACGACCGTTGCCAAGGAGTCTATCTGATTTTGTAAGGTGACAATACTTTGGGCAATGTCTTCCAAGCTCTCTGAAAGATCCTTGGACAAACGTTGGTAATAGGATAGGAATGTTGCAAGCCTGCTAACTCCTGTTCCTACTTCTGCGGTTATTCCTAGTCCTACCAAAAGGAGTATGAGTTTGATGGTTCATTTGTGCCTGGCGGGTGCAGTTAAAGGTATGAGAGACTGGTTATTGAGAGCTATACAGATTTCAGGGGCTAAATAAAGAAGTGTAGAGGTTTCAGTCCATTTGATTGGTAAACATAACTAGGAACTAGTTCCACACAGGAAAAAGACTCCGTGTTTTTCAAGATAAAAATCATTCTCTATGGTGAACATATGGGTTAGCTTTTTGTTTTTCTTTCCCCAGTGGTTAAGGTCCCTGCTAAGGTGGCTCCAGTTAAAGGCTGGAAAGGACCTTGGGAAGTATCCTCAGTTGTCCTAGCAGTTAAGTTTTCCTGGTGAAGGTAGTTATGCTTAGTGTCCACCAGCAACCACCCAGAGGTATTTTCATACTGGAGAACCAAAAGGCAACTAGCTGTCTTAGGATTACTACAGTCTTCCCAAGTGAAAATGTGAACACAGCTAGTGGTCCTACCTTGACAGTACTTAGACTGTGTGTCCTTTAAAGTGCCCTTAATTAGGAATAGTTTCATGCAAACCATACAGGTTTTCTAAATGATGCAGCCTAGGTAACTGCATAGCTTACATATCATGTGAGAGGTTAATCCCTAGGGTGTAGTTACTCTGATGACTCAAGGTTCCCAGGGTTTGACTAGAATTTTTTAATACAAAGTGGCACCTGGGATTTTAGTTCTTTGTGCGTTCTTGGGCCCCAAATAGGTTTTTGAGGAGATGCAACCCCAGAAATGTTACTTTGGTAGGACTGGAGAAGGTTTACTGCTCATCCTGACATTGTAACTTTTGTTGTTTATGTAATTTTGAAGTCATAGAAGTCATGCAGATCCATTAATTTGAAGGGAGTCCCTCCCTTGTAGTTGAGGTGGTAGGACATTTTTTCAAGGGCCCAAGATAAGCCTGGGTTGCGATGGCAGTGTGTTTTGGTGATGTTGGAGATGAACAAAGCCAACAGTCCTTTGCCAGAGCTGGACTGGTGGTATTTAACAGTCTTTGGGTTAAATTTTAAAGTCTTAATAAATACCCAGAATCCATTAATTGCCAGAGAAGTAAAATAAAACCCTGCTGTAAAATTAAGCTGATTCCCAGTATGCCTGGTCCCAGTATACACAGGCCAGGGCTAACCATTATGGGACTAAAAATACTTATCTGTTATTTTGTTCTTTTGAATGGGAACTTCAGGGGGTGTATACCTATCCTCTCAGGAATAATGTTACAAAAATGAAGTAAAACATTTTGCTTAATTATTACAAAGGAAATGATTCCATCCATTTGGAAGAAGGCAATAAATTATAAAAATATAAAAACTGCTACTATTATCAAACCTACAGTAACTATGCAGCATAGACACCAAGGAGAGTTGGTAGGCATTCACTTATCTTTTGACTGTCTTTAAAACAGGTACTTCAGGTCTTCCACAGGTTCACAGGTATAGTGGCTGACGGAAGCTTCAAGTTACAGGTCTGGGGCTTCAGGTATTGCAGGCTTGACCCTAGAAAGACGTATCCAACTTCTAATCCTGGTACTTTGACTACAGAAGGCGTGGCCAACACCACTGAAAAAGTCCCTTCCATTTGGGTTGGAGTTGTTGAGCAGGTGACCCCTCTTTCTGTGTTTTAACAAATACTTTTCTCTCCTGGCCTGATCTTGGGTTGCTGGTTAGTTCCCAATGCAGAGAACCTTTGAGTTCCAAACTTTTGAAATGCCTGCTGAAATTGTCTCCGGTTAATTACGTATTTTACTAAACTGGCTATTTCTGGATCAGTAATTAGATCATCCATTAAAAATGGCCTTCCCAGCCAGGTGCAGTGGCTCATTCTTATAATCCCAGCACTTTGGGAGGCCAAGGTGGGTGGATCACTTGAGGTCATGAGTTCAAGACCAGCCTGGCCAACATAGTGAAACCCCATCTATACTAAAAATACAAAAATTAGCGGGGTGTGGTGGCTCACACCTGTAATGCCAGCTACTTGGGAGGCTGAGGCAGGAGAATTACTTGAACCTGGGAGGTGGAGGTTGCAGTAAGCCAAGACTGTGCCACTGCACTCCAGTCTGGACAACAGAGTGAGACTCTGTCTCAAAAAAAAAAAAAAAGACTTCTGTATAACATTTTAAATGGGCTCATATTAATTTTTGCTCTAGGGGAATTATGGATCCTTAAAAGGACTATGGGCAGCAAGCTGACCCAAGTTTCTGAAGTTTCCTGACATAGCTTAGCTAATGCCGATTTTAGAGGTTGATTAGCCCTTTCTACTTTCCCAGAGGATTGAGGTCTCCATGCTGAATGTAAATAGTATTAGATTCTGAGAGCCTTAGCAACCCTTTTAGTTATTTGGGAGACGAAAGACATACTGCTCTCACCTTGGAGGCTTTGGGGTAACCCAAACTGGGGATTATTTATCTTAGGAGAACTTTTATAACTTCATTAGCCTTCTTTGTTCTGCTAGGGTAAGCCAGTAAATGTGTCTATTAGTACTAGCAAAAACTTGTATCCCCTACAAGCTGGCATATGGGTAAAATCCAATTGCCAGTCTTCCCCTGGGGAAGTGCCCCTTCTCCGGACTGGTTCTATTAGAGGAGGCATTTTGTTCCTGGGGTTGTTGAATGCTCACAGTGAACAGGTTTGACAGACCTGCTTAACCACGGAAGTTAAGTCAGGCCCAATGAAGAGCCTGTTTATCATGGCAAGAGTGGCATCTCCTCACATATGGAAAGAGTCATGCAGGATTTTTATAATTCTCCATTGGGCTGTTTGAGGGAGATACACTTTTGATACTATATACCACCAGGATCCTTGTTTGTGTCCATCTTCCTCCTTTACTTCGAATATCCCTGAATACATCACAGGGATATTCAGGTTCTATTGGGGAATCATAGAAAGGAAGCAGTGCTAGAATTTGTCGGGATTACACCCTGAGCAGTGCGGCTTTGGCTTATCAGCCTTTCTGTGCCCTTGTGTTACAGGGGTTAGGTTCTTTTGATGCCCCCTACAATGAATTATGGCTATGCTTTTGGCAAGTGTATTGCTTCCAACAGTTGAAGAATTTCAGACCCATGCTTTATGGTGGAAGATTTACTAGTTAGTAGTCCTCTTTCTCTTTCTTTTCAAATTGCAGCATGAGCATGAAACACGAGAAATGCATGTTTGGAATCTGTATAGATGTTAAGCTTTTTCCCTTTTCCTAATGTCAGAACTCGAGTAAGAGCAATGATCTCAGCTTTTTGTGCTGACATACCTGGGGGCAGGGGTTGGACCTCAATAATTGTATTGTAATTTACTGTTGTATATCTGGCCCAGTGTTCCCGTTTGATATAAAGCTGCTGAGGTCTGTGAACCAGTCATCCTCTGAATCTGGGAGAGGTCAACCTTTTAAATCAGGCTGGCTAACATATGTATGTGCAATAACTTGCTCGCAGGAATGATTAATTATTGGGCCTGTGGGCAGCAATCAAGCTGGATTCACAGTGTTACAGGTTTTAAGGGTCACATCTAGATTTTCCAGGAGCATAGCCTGGTATTTGGTTAACCTTTCCCCCATCATACAGTTGTGTCCTTTTATTTCTAGGATTGACTTGATGTGGGGTTAATACTTCCAGTGGCTGACCCAGGGTGATTTTAGCGGCTTCTTCCACTAAAATAGCAGTGTCTGCCATCGACGGCAAGCAGCTTGGCCACCGTGTCCAATTTCTTTGAGAAGTAGGCAGTTGGCACTCCCATGGCTATGCCTTTCCCTTCTGCTACATACAAGGGCTTAGTGAGGTCTAGGATGCTAAGAGCGGGAGGCTGGCTGAGAGCCTGTTTTAACTTGATAAAGCCTTCTCTCATTTCCAAAGTCCATTCAATTGGCTCATTTTCTGGCTCCCTTGTTGCTTTCATAAAGGGGTTTTGCTATGAGCCCAAAATTTGGTACCCATCTTCTGCAAAACCCAGCCATCCCCAGAAAACGACGAAGCTGTTGCTTGGTGTGGGAGGAGCTCCAAACCACATACGGCTTGCACTCATTCTGGGGATATTTGCTGGGCTCTGGGTGTTAAGATACACCTTAAATATTGAACCCGTTGGTGGGCAATCTGAGCCTTCCTTTTGGACACTTTATATCCCATCTGCAGAGAAATTTAAGGTTCTTATAGTATTTTAGTCACCCCCTGGGTTGGGCTACACACAAGAAGGTCATGTACATACTAGAGTACACTCCATTTTCCAATTTTAGATCCCTTAGATCCCCAAGGCTTGTGCAAAAAACAAACAAACATGGTTATCCTGAAAGCCCTGAGGGAGGGGCACTGTCCAAGTGTATTTCTGTTTTAGCCCTACCCAGTTTCCCAGTATACCATGCTAGTGCGTTGACCTATTTATTAATGTGGTCTGGGACATTGTCTGCATTACTATTAGCAATTTTGCTGGGTGGTGCCTAAATCGTAGCAGTGTCCCTATTTTAACTATAATATCCCCTCCCAACAAGGGGACTGGGCAGCTTGTTACTACTAGAAATTCTTGTTGGAAGATTTGTTTCTCAAATTGGCAAGTCAAAAGAGGAATAAAGAATCTTTTTTGTGGCTCTCCTTCCATTCCCATAACGCTTGTGGATGGGGAGGAAGCTTTTCCTACGTAAGTAGTAAGGGCAAAGTAATTTGTCCCTGTATCAAAAAGAAACCAAATTTGGGTGCCCAACATGTCCAGAGTTACCCAGGGCTCCTCAATAGTAATGAATGATGTTCCTGGGCAGGGGTGGTGAGGAAGGCCCTGGGCCCCATCAGTTTTCATCAATTTCTCCTTTTGCACTGTTAAGAGTTTTGACTGACCTCCTCTGTGTAACAGGGGGCAGTTAATTCTCCAGCACCAGGGGTTGTGACTGGTGCCTTTGTACTGCCAACAGGGTCCCAGTGGGGGCTTACTACAGTCCTTTGCCCAATTCCCATTTTTCTTGCATTTGAAGCAAGAGCCTTTGCTGGCATTATCCTTATGGCCCATTGGGATTCCCTTGGGCACTCTTTGGGCATTCAGGGCATCTCCAATGATGGCTATCGTAATTTTGGCTTGCTTCTTCTTTATTCCTTTTCCTTCCTCCAGGTCATGATTGTTATACACCATAAGGCAGTATCAAGAAGTTGATTTTGATTAGTCTGTGGCATCATCTATAGCTTTTGGAGCCTAATGGCTGGAGCGGATTGGCTAATGAAATGCTGTGCCATTAATATTTTGCCTCTGGAGAGGAAGCGTCCAGATTGGTATATTTCCTTTCCCCAGCCTACCATAAAAGATGGCTGGATTTTCCTCCTTGCATTAATATTTTGCCTTCTGGAGAGGAAGTGTCCAGATTGGCATATTTCCTTTCCCCAGCCTACCATAAAACATGGCTGGATTTTCCTCCTTGCCTTGTATAACCTCCCTGATCATAATTTGCTACCTTAAGATATTGTCTTTTTCATTCCTCCAAGGAGAGCCTCAAGAAATTTGGCCCAGTTGTTCATTCCCGCAGGGGTGTCAATTAGGATCAGTAGTAGGGGCTGGGGCTGGGCCCTGGTGATTGCCCTAAAGGCTTCAGGCAAATAAATCGTGGACTTCCTGGCAGGCGGCCTCAAAGATTCGTTCCCAGGGGGTACAACACGTTGCTAGAATTAATTGAACATCCCTCCATGAGAAACCAAAGGCTAAAGTCAAAGTTTGGAACCCATCTGCAAATTTCCTGGGGTTCTCAGAATAGCTTCCAAGCTTTTCTTTACATTGTGTTATGGAGAAGCAGGCCTGCACTCTAACTGGCCCCTTGGCTCCTGCTACTTCCCTCAGGAGTGGTAGGGCTGAAAGGGAGTTGAATAAGGTGTTCCACTGTGAGGGGAACTTGGCAGGGTTCCTGGTTTTTGCTCTTGGGTTTGAGCCTCAGGAACACTTGGCAACAGGCTATACGGGAGAGGTTGCCATTTCCCGAGACAGGTGACCCTTGTCAAAATAGGATCATCTACAATATCTGGTTCTGCCTTAGGACCTTTGATTATGGGACAGGTCCTGGAGTTTTGCACATGGTTGGGTTTTGATATACACCCATGAAGACCTGCACATATGGGATTTCTGGCAATTTACCCTGCATTTTGCAAAATAGGTCTAATTGCAGATGGTGTTAATAATTAAGAATTCCATTGACTGCCCATTGTTCCTGGCTGCTTGTTTGGGGTCCCTAAGGGTGTCCCCCTTTAGGGTCCCATCTTAGTGTGACATGTGACCTTTGATGGGTGCCAGCACTACTTTGGCAAGGTTCTCTCCACCACTGGTGACCCACTATTAACTCCTTTTATTCCTAGATGAAGGCCTTGACTTCTAGCATCTTTTTTTTTTTTTTTTTTTTTTGGAGATGGAGTTTCACTCTTGTTGCCCAGGCTGGAGAGCAATGGACATGATCTTGGCTCACTGAAACCTCCACCTCCTGGGTTCAAGTAATTCTCCTATTTCAGCCTCCCAAATAGCTAGGGTTGCAGGTGTGCATCACCATGCCAGGCTCATTTTGTATTTTTAGTAGAGACGGGGTTTCACCATGTTGGCCAGGCAGGTCTCGAACTCCTGACCTCAGGTGATCTATCTGCCTCAGCCTCCCAAAGTGCTGGGATTACAGGTGTGGGCCACAGCACCTGGCCTCTAGCATCCTTATAATTTGGTAAGGCCATGGTTTCCCACACTTCCTGTTCCACTAGAGTGATAGCTGTGAACCCTAATAAGAGGAACAGGAGGCTGGTAGGTTTCTTTTGTCATGTGGATTATGGGTAATTTCAGGGAAAAAGGTTGATTTTAGGCATGAAAGATAAAATAGGGCTGGCTATTCCATTCTGGCCCTGGGCAAGAGAGGGAATGTTTAAAAATCCACCACCATGGCAATGGGTCCTGTGTAAGGGCAGGCCATTCTATTGAAATAATATGGTGAAGACAAAGGAAACAAGGTCCCCTCAGTGGAGGTCCAAGATGTAGAATGTATTCTAAAGCTTGTGGGTCCCAAAGGTCATCAGCCAGCCAAATGGATCCAGTAGAAGGGTCAAAATATCTAGGAGATACTATCTTTTGCCCTCACTGGCTAACTCTGTAAGAGAATTTGGCCTAAGAAAGGAGGGTTTAAGAGGCCTGAGTGTGAATTCGCCCTGAATGAGCTACCACTGCCAATGGTGTCACGTGTAGAACTCAGAGACTATAACCAGGAAAGATAAAAGAGTCTTTCTCCCTTCCGGGCAGGGAAGCTATCCCGATTCATTCCTTGGCCTTCAGGTAACACTGGAGAGTGGCCCTGTCCAGTTGCCCTCAATTACCAAAGAGCTGTTAGAAAACAGCAGCTGAAAGACTCAAAAAAAGAGAACTCAGGTCTGTCACCCAAACTGGGTGATGGTGATCAGGTGCTTCCACGTGGATACCCTTCAGTCTCACTGGAGAGTGGCCCTGGCCAGAGACCTGCAGTTGCCTCCATGTTCACATGCTATCTGCTGAGTCTCAAGTTGGAAAAGGGAAAGAGAGAGAGGAAAAGGTTCCCCTGTATGGAGTGGAGCCCTGCACAGAGATATAGCTCCAGCCCATGCCGAAAAATGAAGGCTTGACAGGGAAAGAAAAAGGAAAGAAGAAAAGAAAAATAACCGCCCCCTTCCCCTGCACCGCAATTTGGACTTACCTCCAGGCTGGCTTGCCAAAATATGTTACTGTCGGAGGGTCTTGACTACAATTTGTCCAGGTTCTTGGAATGTTGAATGAAGAACTGAACAAATTGCACAAATCAATGAAACAATGAAGCAATAAAAGCACAGATTTATTGAAGCAAAAGTATATTCCACAGAGTGGGAGCAGGCTAAAGCAAGCTGCTCAAGAGCCCCAGTTGCAAAATCTGGGGTTTAAGTACCCTTTAGGGGTTTCCTATTGGTTACACCCTATGCGCCACCAATCGGAGGCCGAAGTGAAGGCTCCCAGTCTCCAGACTCTTATTCTCCTAGCTCAAAGAAATCCACTGATTTCCTCTGTAGCATCTTCAGGTTCCATCTTGACAACTTCCTCTAAATCCCCAGGGGAAGAGTTGTTTAGAGACTCCTGGATGCCCTGAGGGAGCGGCTCCAGAGCTTGCCTTCCCTCCTCTGTTTTCACAACGGTCCAGCGATAGGCACTGTTCTCTGACAATCCTTCTTGGCACTGTTTATCGACTGGTGGAGGCCCTGGGCTATGTTCCACTTTGGGGAAAACAGTAGCAGAGAGAGGAGATAGTTCCTGGGGCTCTAATTTGGGTTCTAGGCCCTGAAAGGCATTTTCCCCATCAGCCACAGCACAAGCAATGTCCACATTCATGTGGGCCTTATCTTCAGGGGTGGATGGTATAGGAAGATTCACAGAATTGCCAGAAACAATTAAGGGTGAGACAGAGGAGGCCACAAGGGGCTGGTTCAATGGACAGGGGAAGGAAGTAGGGTTAACCAAGAGGGTGGCGATGGGAATAGTCTGGGGACTCTGGGCCACAGCCGCATTGACAGGCTGGATCATGTTACAGCCACCGCCAAGGCTCACAATCTTCACAGTGGTAGCAGGAACAGTGAAGATAACAGATGCAGGGTGGATAACAGGGGCAGGTTTGATACAGCGAAAGGCCCTGGCTCCCCTTCTTTTTGAGGGTCTCCGTCTCACATATGGCTTTCGAAACATGGAAGAGGCAGGGGAGGGCATCATTACCTTGGGCACAGGGGCAGAAGAGAGCAAAGTCTGGGACTCAGACAGAGGGAAGCTTGTCCTGGCCTCAGGGGGCATAGCAGGCAGTGCTGCAGGAGACTCAAAACTCTCACCTCCACTGACCCCCAGTGGAGGGACACCTGGAACTGTCTGTAAAACAGTGGCTGGCTGTATTGGGTGAGGAATCCGGAGCACCATTTTGCTCGGAGGGGCTTCTGAATGAGTTGATTGGGCTGGTGTTTTCCCAGGGTTGAAGCTGGGCTGGAGAGAGGGGCTGGGTTGGATAAGGAGGGGTTTCAGGACTGATGAACGCTTCTGTCTCCAAGCCTTCTTGGGGAAACGGTCGGCAACTGGCTTCAGTTTCAGGACTACACCCTTAGGCAATAGCAGTGGGTACCGAGTTTCACTCCCCAACTCTGAGTTGTCTTTTTCTAGGCCTTGATCTGAGTTGATCTCAGTGGTTCCAGTCATATTTCCTACCTCTCTAGCACCATCAGCCATGTGCCGCAGTTCTTCCTGGATGGATGGCAGACTGGCCTATTGGAAATGAGAACACTCTGATCCAGCACATGTCAGAATTTGGGAAAAAGAATAGGACTTTCTAAGTTTAGGGACCTGAGACAAGCTCAAGGCATCTTTCCAAGGGACTCTGCATATGAAATTTCTACAAAGACCACAGTCCAATTATACACTTTAGAAACTCTTCTCTGAATTTCCTTTAGCAAATTACCATTTTACCCATTATTTTGAAAATGTTGTAGAATCACCCGGAGAAGGGCAGAAAAGTAAGGGAAGAAAGGTGAATCAGGAAGATTCCTGAAGTCCTAGTTCTACAACTAAAGCATTAGACGATTAAGGAAGTCCTTGATATTCTCTCAGAACTTTCAGTGACCTTCTGCCTCCTACAGACTTCGAGGAAGAGGGCTGTACCTTTAACCAGAATGGGAGCCGGTGTTCTTCTCTCTCTATAGGTGGCTTCCACTGATGTGGCTGGATCTCTTCACAGCATTTTCCTAGGACTGGCAGCTGTTTGGTCTTCTTATAAAACTTAACATGAAAAAAATGCGCATGAATTACATTCCTTCTGGAAACACTGTCTTCTGTCAGGCTGGTGAATGGGGTGGTGGTGGATCAAGAGAAACACACACACACACACACACACACACACACACACAAGACCACATACACAAACATCCATGAACACACATATACGAATAGCATATGCTGAATACTTGTACATTTCAAATTAAACTAATCTCTATTTAAAGATTTTATAGTTATTCAGTATTTTCTTTTTGAGACGGAGTCTTGCTCTGTCGCCCAGGATGGAGTGCAATGGCGCGATCTCCGCTCACTGCAAGCTCCACCTCCCAGGTTCACGCCATTCTCCTGCCTCAGCCTCCGGAGTAGCTGGGACTACAGGTGCCCGCCACCACACCCGGCTGATTTTTTTGTATTTTTAGTAGAGACAGGGTTTCACTGTGTTAGCCAGGATGGTCTCGATCTCCTGACCTCGTGATCCACCCGCCTCGGCCTCCCAAAGTGCTAGGATTACAGGCGTCAGCCACCGCGCCCAGCCCTATTCAATATTTTCTAACTGATGATCTCCATTCTGGTTGCCAGGAAGGGGAGAGTTTAGGTCACAGAGAGAAAAGGAAGCAGATGCTAAGAGCAATCTTATGTAAGATTTGTTCCTGCTCAACAGCTGCAAAGACAGCATCGTAATCTATAAAATGGACACATCAAAGACTTTAAGCAAATGATGGTGTGAAGGGCATCAGAAGGGAAGGAAAAAAAAAAAGACCGAGGCAGTTCAGTTTTAAGAGTAAATAGGCTGGCCTTGGTGGCTCACATCTGTAAACCCAGCACTTTGTGAGGCTGAGGCGGGCAGATCACTTGAGATTGAGAGTTTGAGACCAGCCTGGCCAACATGGTGAAACTCCATCTCTACTAAAAATACAAAAATTAGCTGGGTGTGGTGGTGGGTGCCTGTAATCCCAGTTACTTGGGAGGCTGGGGCAAAAGAATCGCTTGAACCTGGCAGTGGGGGTGGTAGGGTGGAGATTGCAGTGAGCCAAGATCATGCCACTGCACTCCAGCGTTGGTAACAGGGTGAGACTCCATCTCAAAAAAAAAAAAAGAAGATAAGAACTGAACTTAAACCATGACAATAAGCATCTGTTCATCCAACATGATGAACATAAGATGTTTTCTATATCCTAGGCACTGTGCTAAAAGCTAAGCACACACATAAGGGAAGCAATTCCTGCTCTCATGGAGCTTACAGACTAGTGGGAGAGTCAAGTGGACAAATGGCATCCTACATTAAAAAATGTACAAAGGGCTGGGCATGGTGGCTCATGCCTGTAATGCCAGCACTTTGGGAGAACGAGGAGGATGGATCACTGGAGGTCAGGAGTTCATGACCAGCCTGGCCAACATGGCGAAACCCTGTCTCTAATAAAGTACAAAAAAAAATTAGCTGGGTGTGGTGGTGCACGCCTGTGATCCTAGCTACTTGGCAGGCTGAGGCAGGAGAATCACTTGAACTGAGGAATTAAGAGGTTGCAGTGAGCCAAGACTGCACCACTGCACTCCAGCCTGGGCAACAGAGCAAGACTCCAACCCCGACACCCCGCCCCATCCCCCAACAAAAGTACAAAGGTGTGCACGAAAAATGACACAAAACTAAAACTTAAACACAAATTACTTCTGGCCAGGCGTGGTGGCTTATGCCTGTAATCCCAGCACTTTGGGAGGCCGAGGCAGGCAGATCACAAGGTCAGGAGATCAAGACCATCCTGGCCAACATGGTGAAACCCCATCTCTACTAAAAATACAAAAATTAGCTAAGTGTGGTGGCGCGTGCCTGTAATCTCAGCTACTCGGGAGGCTGAGGCACGAGAATCACTTGAACCCAGGAGGTGGAGAGTGCAGTGGGCCGACATCACGCCACTGCACTCCAGCCTGGCAACAGAGTGAGACTCCATCTCAAAAAAAAAAAAAAAAATTATTTCTGCAGAAGAATAAGGTTTATCACGTGTGCCTTAAAACCATGGATACGCCAGGCATGGTGGCCCACACCTGTAATCCCAGCACTCTGGGAGGCTGAGGTGGGTGGGTCACGAGGTCAGGAGTTTGAGACCAGCCTGACCAACAAGGTGAAACCCCGTCTCTACTAAAAATACAAAAATTAGCAGGGTGTGGTGGTGAGCGCCTGTAGTCCCAGCTCCTCGGGACGCTGAAACAGGACAATTGCTTGAACCTGGGAGGCAGAGGTTCCAGTGAGCCAAGATCACGCCATTGCACTCCAGCCTGGGCAATGGAGCGAGACTCTGTCTCAAAACAAACAAACAAACAAAAACAAAAAGAAAGTACTTTTTAAAAAACCATGGATAAAAATAGACAAATACTAAGGCATATTATCATGCATTTTCAAAATATTGAAGCCAAAGGAAAAATCCTGCATGCTGTCAGAGGTTGAGAAAAACAGGTGTTACACAAAGACTCAAGAGTTAAATGGGGCCATGGCTCATGCCTATAATCCCATTACTTTGGGAGGCCAAGACAGGACGAGCACTTGAGGCCAGGAGTTTGAGACCAGCCTGGCCAACATAACGAGACCATGTCTTAAAAAAAAAAAAAAAAAAAATTAGCTGGGCATAGTGGTGCACACCGGGTTGGAGACACCAGTGAGCCATGATTTAGCCACGCTCCAAACTGGGCAACAGGGTGGGACCCTGTCTCGGAAAAAAAAAAAAAAAGTTAAATGGCATGAAATTTCTTAACACCACACTAGGAGTTAGAAGAAAATGAAGTGAGGCCCTTAAAAGCTTCTTAAAAAAATTATTTCCTATCTAGAATTCTAGATACAGTGACAGAGGAGAGTATTATTTTTTCCTTTTATTTTGAAATAATTATATTCATAGGAAATTGCAAAAAATAGTACCAAGAGGTCCCATGTACCCTTCAACCAGTTTCTCCCAATATAATGTTTTTATGTTACATAGAAACAAGAGCTATACATATAAACAAGGTACACAGTACAATATTACTACCAGGAAACTGGCCAGACATGGAGGATGTGGTGGCTCATGCCTGTAATCCCAGCACTATGGGAGGCCAAGGTGGGCAGATCACTTGAGGTCAGGGGTTCGAGATCACCTGGCCAACATGGCAAAACCCCATCTCTACTAAAAATACAAAAATTAGCTGGGTGTGGTGGCTAATCCCAGCTACTCAGGAGGCTGAGGCAGGAGAATCGCTTGAACCCAGGAGGCAGAGGCTGCAGTGAGCAACAGTGAGACTCTGTCTCAAAAAAAGAAAAAAAATAAAACAAAAACAAAAACGAGGAAACTGACATCGATACAATCAAAAGACCATGAATGGAGATTTTTTTTTTTTTTTTTTTAATACGGAGTCTCGCTCTGTCACCCAGGCTGGAGTGTAGTGGCGAGATCTCGGCTCACTGCAAGCTCCACCTCCCAGGTTCACGCCATTCTCCTGCCTCAGCCTCCAGAGTACCTGGGACTACAGACGCCCGCCACCACACCCGGCTAATTTTTTTGTACTTTTAGTAGAGACGGGGTTTCACCACATTAGCCAGGATGGTCTCGATTTCCCGACCTCGTGATCCACCCGCCTCAGCCTCCCAAAGTGCTGGGATTACAGGCGTGAGCCACTGCGCCCGGCCCCGGAGATGGTTTAAATGTGAAAATTCCCTTCCCAAGCACTCTCCCTCAGGATGCTACTGGAATGGGGCCATGCAGGGTGGCTCATGCCTATAATCTCAGCACTTTGGGATGCTGAAGCAGGAGGATCACTTGAACCCAGGAGTCTGAGACCAGCCTGGGCAAAAAACTGAGACCCCCCCACCTCAATTTTTTAAAATTCAGAAAAAAATTTTTTTTAAAAAAAAGCTACTAGAATGTGTTCCACTAAAGTAAAGAAGTAATACTCACGCCTGTAATCCCAGCACTTTGGGAGACCGAAACGGGTGGATCAAGAGGTCAGGAGATCAAAACCATCCTGGCTAACATGGTGAAACCCTGTCTCTACTAAAAATACAAAAAATTAGCCAGGCGTAGTGGCATGTGCCTATAATCCCAGCTACTCGGGAGGCTGAGGCAGGAGAATTGCTTGAACCCGGGAGGCGGACGTTGCAGTGAGCCAAGATCATCGCGCCTTTGGACTCCAGCCTGGGCAACAAAGCGAGACTCGGTCTCAAAAAAAAGCAAAACAAAACAAAAAACAAGGCCAGGCGTGGTGTCTCACGCCTGTAATCCCCGCACTCTGGGAGGCTGAGGTGGGTGGATCCCCTGAGGTCAGGAGTTCAAGACCAAGACCAAGGTTGCAGGTTGCAGTGAGCCGAGATCCAGCCTGGGGGACAGAGCAAGACTCTGTGTCTCAAAAAAAAAAAAAAAAAAAAAAAAAGTAATGCAAAAGCAAAGATGTGGAATTCAGGAAATAAGAGGATCTAACACAGTATGAGGCAAAAGGAATTCCTGGGATGATGGTGAAGAAAAAGCCCAAGAAGACATCAGTGCAGCAACATGGAGAGCAACACGCTTAAAGTGGAATAATGTCAGAGGGCTCAGGGAGCAATTTCTTCAAGATGAAAGTGACAGAATATCTAGAATACCTGAACACACTGAAAGAAGATGATCTGGGAAACAAAATGTTCAGCAGGAAAGGCAAGGTAACACAGTAACATAGCTGAGCTGTGAAGAGCATTTATACAGTCCTTAAAATCTATTTTTTTTTTTTGAGACGGAGTCTTGCTCTGGCAAGACTGGAGTGCAGTGGCGCGATCTCGGCTCACTGCAAGCTCCACCTCCCGGGTTCACACCATTCTCCTGCCTCAGCCTCCCGAGTAGCTGGGACTACAGGCGCCCGCCACCACGCCCAGCCAGTTTTTTGTATTTTTAGTAGAGCTGGGGTTTCACCATGTTAGCCAGGATGGTCTCGATTTCCTGACCTCGTTATCCACCTGCCTTGGCCTCCCAAAGTGCTGGGATTACAGGCGTGAGCCACCGCGCCCAGCCAACAGTCCTTAAAATCTTACAATGTAAACCCTGAATACAATCTAACCAAAATTCTACCATAACTACTAGTGAGGAGTTTGGAGAGCAGAAAATGTGCATGTTTGTGGTGGGAGTAAGGGAGTGAGGAGAGAGGTAAATCTTCGGCTTCCGTGGTTTATGGTTAATAAGTAAGGCCTAAATCCAATACACCAGGCAGTACCAATTAGAGGCTGAGACAGGAGAATTGCCTAAGGCCAAAAATTGAAGACCAGCCTGGGCAATATAGGGACACCCCATCCCTAAAAAAAAAAAGTTTTTTGCCAGGCACAGAGGCTCACGCCTATAATTCCAGCACTTTGGGAGGCCGAGGTGGGCAGATCACCTGAGATCAGGAGTTCAAGATCAGACTGACCAACATGGTGAAATTATGTTTCTACTAAAAATATAAAAATTAGCCAGGTGTGGTGGCGCATGCCTGTAGTCCCAGCTACTTAGGAGGCTAAGGCATGAAAATTGCTTGAACCCGGTAGGTGGAGGTTGCAGTGAGCTAAAATTGTGCCACTGCACTCCAGCCTGGGTGACAGAGACAGATTCTGTCTCAAAAAAATAAAATAAAATAAATAAATAAATAAATTTAATGGCCAAGCACAGTGGCTAATGCATATAATCCCAGCTCCTTGGGAGGCTGACGTTGGAAGAATGCTTGAGCCTAGGAGTTCAAGGCTGCAGTGAGCTATGACTATACCACTGTACTCCAGCCTAGGCAGGAGAGTAAGACCTTGTCTCAAGAAAAATACAAAAACACAATGAAACCAAAGGCTGGGCATCATGGCTCACGCCTGTAATCCCAACACTCTGGGAGGCCGAGCTGAGGCAAGAGGACTGCTTGAGGTCAGGACTTCAAGACCAGCCTGGGAAACAAAATGACACCCTGTCTTCACACAAAATAAAATAATCGGCTAGCCTTGGTGGCATGCACCTGTAGTCCAAGCTACTTGGAAGGCTGAAGTGGAAGGATCACCCAGGAATTTGAGGTTGCAGTGACCTATGATTGTGCCCATGCACTCCAGCCAGGATGACAGAGTGAGAACCTGTCTCTAAAAAAAAAAAAAAACATAAATAAATATCTAAATAAAAAAGAAGGCTGGGGGCAATGGCTCACATTTGTAATCCCAGCACTTAGGGAGGCCGAGGCAGATGGATCACCTGAGGTCAGGAGTTCGAGACCAGCCTGGCCAACATGGTGAAACCCCGACTCTACTAAATACAAAAATCAGCTGGGCATGGTGGCAGGGGCCTGTAATCCCAGCTACAAGGGAGGCTGAGGCAGGAGAATCACTTGAACCCAGGAGGCAGAGGTTGCAGTCAGCCAAGATCGCACCATTGCACTCCAGCCTGGGGGTCAAGAGCGAGACTCCATCTCAATCAATCAATCAATAAGTAAAAAGAGTTGAGAAAAAGTATATAGGCTGGGCCTGGGCGACAAGAGCGAAACTCCATCTCAATACATACATACATACATACATACATACATACAGACACAGACACACACAAACACACACACACACACACACACACATACATGCATACATACAAACACAAAATTGAGAAAAAGTATATAGGCTGGGCACGGTGGCTTATGCCTGCAATCCTAGCCTCTGGGAAGCCAAAACTGGTGGATCACTTGAGGTCAGAAGTTCAAGACCAGCCTGGCCAACATGGTGAAACCCGTATCTACTAAAAATACAAAAAATTAGCTGAGCGTGGTGGGCACGCCTGTAATCTCAGCTATTTGGGAGGCTGAGGCAGGAGAATCACTTGAACCCGGGAGGCGGAAGCTGCAGTGAGCCAAGATCATGCCACTATACTCCTGCACTCCAGCCTGGGTGACAGTGCAAGATTATGTCTGACCAAAAAAACAAAACAAAACAAAAACCCAAAGCATGTAAGTGGAATACTGCATATCATTTCTAGAAAGTTCAAGAAAGAGAATTATTACAGGGAAACATGGATTTGTGGAATCTTTTAAGAGGATGAAGATACTCCAGAGGAACGTAATGAATGAATCAATGTCCCTGAAAAGGCAACAGGGGAATTAATCTAGTATATAAGTAGGAGAAATTAGCTTTAGATAAAAGAAGGTTCTTCTTTTCTTTGAGAATAACAAGAGAAAAGAACAGATATGTGTTGGTGAGGTGCCTGGATAGTGCATGCAGGAAACACTCACTTTAATGATGTTGTCAGGAGCTCTGTTCATGTTGAGGTTCTTGATTCTCACTGTCAGTTGGCGGGCAGTCTTGCAGGTTAGAAGGTACTTGCTGATTAGAGGGTTAAGAAACTCAGTCCCTTCAAAATGCTTCAGTCCTAAAGCTAACAAACTGAGAAAGGAGCAATAACACTAAATCTCACTTCACAGTCCTTCCTTCTAAAGGGCCTCCCCAGACTAACACATTTTACAATCTACTTTTTCTTACTTGTTCTTAAAACAAGGTCTCACTCTGTCACCTGGGCTGGAGTGCAGTGGCGTGATCGCAGCCCACTGCAGCTGCTACTTCCTAAGCTGAAGCGATTCTCCAGTCTCAGCCTCCCAAAGTGCTGAGATTACAGGCATGAGCCCATGGCGTGTGGCCCAATCTACTTTTTCATTTTTTTCAGACAGGGTTTTGCTCTGTTGTCCAGGCTGGAGAGCAGTGGCATGATTACAGTGCACTGCAGTCTTGAATGCCTGGGTTCAATCGATTCCCGCACTTCAGCCTCCTGAGTATCTGTGGCTATAAACGTTTGCTACCATGCCTAACTAATGTTTTATTTCATTATTTGTAGAGACCAGTTCTCACTTTGTTGCCTAGGCTGATCTTGAACTTCTGGCCTCAAGTGATCCTCCTGCCTCGGCCTCCCAAAGTGTCGTCATTACAGGTGTGAGCCACCATGGCTGGCCAATCTACTTTTTCTACAACTAATTCTTGTAGTGACTACTACAAGTTGGTGACTACTCAGTAGAAAATTTCAGGTATTTAGTGAGTAGTGATTAAGTACTATGAATAAGAATCAAATAGTTCACAATTAAGTAGGAGCAAGAGAAACTAGTCATAAATCATCAATAAATGTCAGATCATGATGAGCTGTATATTAACAACACAAAGGAAGTTCAAAGAGAATACATGGGAAGGAGAATGATTCTAATAAAACAAATATAAAATGAATAATAGGTACCCCGTCAGACAAATTAAACTGGCACCAATACTACCCTCTAACATAACATATATAATCATGGTTACATATATACATATTTGCTGTTAACAGTGTGGCAATACACACAAAGGGCCATAAAAATGTTCATAATCTAGCTGGGTGTGGTGGCTTATGCCTATAGTCCCAGCACTTTGGGAGGCCAGGAGTGGGAGGATCATTTGAGGTCAGGAATTCAAGAGCAGCCTGGGCAACACAGAGATACCCTCACCTGTACAAAAAAAATCAGCCATGTATGGTGGCACACGCTTGTGGTCCCAGCTACTCCATGGAGGCTGAGGCAGGAGGATCACTTGATCCCAGGAGTTCAAGGCTGCAGTGAGCTGTGATTGCAACACTGTACTCCAGCCTGGGTGACAGAGTAAGATCCTGTCTCTAAATAAATAATAACATTAGAAAAGCCAACCTCCTGCCTTGGCCTTTCAAAGTGCTGGGATTACAGGTGGGAGCCGCCATGTCCAGTCTAAAACATTTTAAAAATGTGTGTAACATCCCCCCAAAAAGCAGTATTTGGCACTGCTAGAACAAGCACGTTCTAGAGGACTCTGCTCATCTATACTGCTTTTCCTTTTGTGTCCATGTCTTATTATACAAGTCTTACTTCCCCTAAACTCCTCAAAGGAACTACATCTTCTCCTTGGGATATTTGATCCCCCAGAGTAAACACTTACTTGTCCTCAGCCTTGGTGAAGAGGATCTTATCCTGGGGATTCTTTGCCTTCAGGGAACACACTGGAAGTAACTCTGGATACATGAAAACCTTGCTTGTGGCCAGGATCCAAGCCACTTGCTTTGGCAAACAGGGAAATTCATTGGCTATAAGAAAATAAATCTCTGATAAATCAACTTCTAGGAAAAAAGAGGGCTTCAAAAAGCCTGTGAATGCATTTTTGCATTTAGGTAGAGCTGTCCTTATCTAACTTGATTCCCTCCCATCTGCCTACCACTCCCCAAAGAGTTTCCACAGTCTTTCCTCAACTAACATTAGGTCTAAAGGGAGTCCCATTCACTGGCAATAAAAGTTGACTTTTTTTTTTTTTTTTTTTAGACGGAGTCTGGCTCTGTCGCCCAGACTGGAGTGCGTGGCGCAATCTTGGCTCACTGCAAGCTCCGCCTCCCGGGTTCAGGCCATTCTCCTGCCTCAGCCTCCTGAGTAGCTGGGACTACAGGCGCCTGCCACCACGCCTGGCTGATTTTTTGTATTTTTAGTAGAGACGGGGTTTCACTGTAGACAGGATGGTCTTGATCTCCTGACCTTGTCATCCGACAGCCTCGGCCTCCTAAAGTGTTGGATTACAGGCGTAAGCCACGGCGCCCGGCCTCTCTTACTCTTTCTTACGTGTAACACTTTATTCACAAAGTAAAACAAACACTTAAAAAGTACCTAGTAATACCTGTCACATAGTGTATGCTCAAAAATGTTTTACCTCCTTTCCCCTTTAAATCTCTGAAGGATAACAGACCTTCAACAATGCTTTTTTCTTCCAGGATAAGATTCCAGGCCAGGCGTGCTGGCTCACGCCTGTAATCCCAGCACTTTGGGAGGCCGAGGCAGGTGGATCACCTGAGGTCAGGAGTTCAAGACCAGCCTGGCCAACATAGTGAAACCCCATCTCTACCAAAAATGTAAAAATTAGCCAGGCATGGTGGCACGCACCTGTAATTCCAGCTACTTGGGAGGCTGAGGCAGGAGAATTGTTTGAACCTGGGAGGCGGAGGTTGCAGTGAGCCGAGATCACCCCACTGCACTCCAGCCTAGGTGACAGAGCGAGACTCCATCTTAAAAAAAAAAAAAAGAAAAAAGATTCCAACTTCTTTAATCTCCCTCACAAACCTGGTATTCCAAATTTTACTTTTATTTCATTCTTTCTTAACTTTCATTAAGTTCTCCCAGATTCCTCCTGAGGTTGGGAACAAAAGAACCATAAAAGGAATGAGACAATTCAGTCTCATTCATTTCTGTCTCCCTCTCTCAGCCTCTCAATTTTAGGCACCTCTGCATTTCTAGAGACAAAACTACTATATCCATATTTCTCCTTCCATAAGTGTCATTTTTATATCTCCAGAAGAAAAACACAGGACACTAGATGTGTAAGATAATACTATAATTTGGTATTAAATCACGTTTTCATTACCATTTCATATAATATAGCTATTAAAGTAGTTTGGGATCTGTGTCTATGATATAGTACACTTAAATTCAACTACATTCAATGTAATGATAAGACTTAGGGATTTAAAATAGAATCCAAAGACAAACCCAAATCCAGAACAAACCACAACTAATTTGCTAAGTCAGCAAACAAATCAGAAGTAAATATTTGGCTTAAGTAAATAGCAAATATTTTCTCAAAAAATACTAAACCAATGCAAGGTAGAATCTAAACCGGCAAATTTCTTTAAAATACTGAACACGGCAAATGTACAATCTCTAATTTACGCCTAACTTGCAAGTCAACATTTCATTCAGAATGGAGATATCACCTATGCTACAATCATTATGGTAAATAAAGTTAGTTGATCTTAATGAAGAGAATAAAAAGCTAAACATGACCGAACTTTACCACCTGACTTTCATCTTTACCAGGCCCCAGTTTATCTTGATCTGATTCCTAATACTTACCCCTCATATTGCTGTAGTCCAATTCTTAGCACTGAGCCTCAGATCTCTACCTCCCATATTCCTATACTGTCCACTGCCTCCATGCCTTACCCAGGCCCGGAGATTATCATGTAATTCTAGAACTTGGATAATGAGTACAAAGGGAGGATAAAAGAGAGAAGGAAGAAATTACAAATGTCCTGTGTCCTCCATTCCTAGGCAAGTATCCTAGGAAGTTATCTATGGGATAAGATTCCCACCACCTCTCACCGCAAGTAAAAACTTAAAGCTGACACATCTGTCTCCTACCAGTCTTCTTGACAGTTTTATGAGGGCTGCAGTCAATGCTGACATGTGTGCTGAAGTCTTCAATCAGCTGCATAGCTCCCATCAAGTTACAGGGTTGGAACAGGGTCTGAAACTTGGGGTTGTACTGATGGTGAAGGGCGATGGAGCTTTGAGCAAAGGTTCCCAGCTCTTTCTGGGAAAACACGACACAAGGAAGATCTAAGACAATTCCAGACAATTAATACCAATAGCCTTCAGAATCTAAATGAGAAGCTGACCTTCCTACTACAGGATAAAAACAGGTAAAAATAATCATAAAGTCTTTCACAATAAACTACTGTTAAGATTATGCCTGAGTTCTCAGATATTCAGGGATTATATTCTTGTTTTATTTTTAAACTGTTTCTCACTAAGGAATACATGGTCTAGCTCCCGAGCTAGAATTAAGAGTCTCAAGAATGGGGACTATTACTTTAATTTAATTAATTAATTTATTTTGAGACATGGTCTCACTCTGCCGCTCAGGCTGGACTGCAGTGGCATGATCTCAGCTCACTGCAAACTCCCCCTCCCAGGCTCAAGCCATCCTCCCACTGCCTCCTGAGAAGCTGGGACTATAGGCATACACCTCCAAACCTAGCTGATTTTTGTATTTTTTGCAGAGACAGCGTTTTCCCATCTTGGCCAGGCTGATCTCGAACTCCTGGGCTCACAATCCGCCTGCCTCGGCCTCTCATAGTGCTGGGATTACAGGGATGAGTCACCTCACCCGACCAGGACCATTACTTTTAAAATTGTTTTGTCTTTTGGTCTCAGAATAATGCCTACAACCAAGTACTCCTCATCCTCCTCTGAATACAGTAAGAGATGAAGACATCCTGTTGATCACCAAGGAAGTTTTAGAATACTAGCAAATGTACTCTTCAAAATCCAAAGAAGACTTACTGAAGAAGCTGAGAGTATTATCATTACCTGTCCAAAAGTTTGAGGCAATTTTTATGAGGTAAAGTATGGTTTTGTTTTTGTGAGACAGGTTCTCACTCTGTCACCCAGGCTGGAGTGATATATAAGCACGGCTCCCTACAGTCTCAACGTCCCAGGCTCAAGTGATCCTCCTACCTCAGTCTCCCAAGTTGCTGGGACTACAGGCACTCGGCACCATCCCCAGCTAATTTTTTTATTTTTTATTTTTTTGGTAGGGATGGGGTCTTACTATGTTGCCCAGGCTGGTCTCAAACTCCTGGGCTCAAGCAATCCTCCCACCTTGACCTACCAAAGTGCTGGGACTACAGGCATGAGCCACCATACCTGGCCAAATTTCAAATTTAAAATCTCAAAATAGGCCGGGCGCGGTGGCTCACGCCTGTAATCCCAGCACTTTGGGAGGCCGAGGTGGGCGGATCACGAGGTCAGGAGATCGAGACCATCCCGGCTAAAACGGTGAAACCCCGTCTCTACTAAAAATACAAAAAATTAGCCGGGCATAGTGGCGGGTGCCTGTAGTCCCAGCTACTTGGGAGGCTGAGGCAAGAGAATGGCGTGAACCCGGGAGGCGGAGCTTGCAGTGAGCCGAGATCCCGCCACTGCACTCCAGCCTGGGCGACAGAGCGAGACTCCGTCTCAAAAAAAAAAAAAAAAAAAAAAAAAGCTCAAAATACCTCAAAACGTCATGAGCAAAACTAGCTCTACACATAAAACACTAATATTGAGCTTCATGAATGGATAATGAATTCAACATCTACATGTATATTTACTTCATTATTTAAATTAAAACAAAACAAAACAAAAAAAACACAGACCGGGTCTTACTATGTTGCCCAGGCTGTTCTTGACCACTGGGCTCAAGTGATCCTATCACCTCAGCCTCCCAAAGTGCTGGAATTACAGGTGTGAGCCACTATGCCCAGCCTCAACATCTATGAAATGAATAGCGGTACCAAAAACCTAAGAAGTCAGGGTGAATCTAAAGATGAGGAGGAGGACCCAATAAAAATATCAGAAGGACAGGCCAGGCGCAGTGGCTCATGGCTGTAATCCCAGTACTTTGGGAGGTAGAGGTGGGCAGATCACTTGAAGTCAGGAATTCGAGACCAGCCTGGCCAACATGGCAAAACCCTGTCTCTACTAAAAATACAAAAAAAATTACCCGTGGTGGTGCCCGCCTGTAGTCCCAGCTACTTGGGAGGCTGAGGCAGGAGAATCACTTGAACCCGGGAGGCAGGGGTTGCAGTGAACTGAAATTGTTCCACCGCACTCCATCCTGGGTGAAAGAGCAAGACCCTGTCTCAAAAAAGAAAAGAAAAAATTGAATACACTCTTTGTCCTTTCATGTGAATCAGTGGCTTATGTTCACTCAGCAAACATAGGAAGCCACAGCAATCAAAAATACCTGAGAGAATAACTGTGAGAAATAACCTGCCAAGCTAATTTTATATTCTAGTCTATAGAATTACGGCAATTTGGAAACTTACAAGACATATCCTGGTGCTACTGGCCTCCGGATTGAGATTGGGGTTGCAGGTGGCAAGAAGGTGGATTTGTGTCAAGAGCTGAACATGCTGGGGAGAGAAAGAAAATAATGCAGTGATATGTTATGACACTGCCATTTCAGGAGCCCAGAGATATTTTTTTTTCCCCCTGGAGACAGGGTCTTGCTCTGTCACACAGCTTGGAGTGCAGTGGTGCAACCATGACTCAATGCCCTCTCAACCACCTGTGCTCAAGCAATCTTCCCACCTCAGCCTCCCAAGTAGCTGTGACCACAATGCCTGGCTAATTTATTTTATTATTATTATTATTATTATTTTTAGACAGAGTCTCGCACTGACTTTTGGGCTGGAGTGCAATGGCGTGATCTCGGCTCACTGTAACCTCTGCCTCCCAGGTTCAAGTGATTCTCTTGCCTCAACCTCCCGAGTAGCTGGGATTACAGGTGCCCGCCGCCACACCCAGCTAATTTTTTGTTTTCGTAGAGACGGGGTTTCACCATGTTGGCCAGGCTTGCCTCAAACTCCTGACCTCATGATTCACCCGCCTTGGCCTCCCAAAGTGCTGGGATTACAGGTGTGAGCCACTGTGCCCAGCCTTATTTTTATTTTTTGTAGAGACAGAGTCTCACTATGTTGTCCAGGCTGCTTTTGAACTCCCCTGCTCAAGCAATCCTCCCACCTCAGCCTCCCAAAGTGCTGGGATTACATGTGTGAGCCACTGCACCCAGCCACCAGAGAGTCATTAACTAAGATGTTTGCAACTTTATGACACAAATTTTGCTTTCTGCAAAGAGTGTGAGAACAACGTAGGATCTTGGCATAAATTTCTCAGACATGTTCCCTTGAACAAAATGACAGAACCAGAGGAAGTTTAACCTCTAAACAGAGGAGGAACTGAGATTAGAAAAGGAAAAGGCCGGGCGCAGTGACTCACGCGTGTAATCCCAGCACTCTGGGAGGCCGAGGCGGGTGGATCACGAGGTTAGGAGATCGAGACCATCCTGGCTAACACAGTGAACCCTGTCTCTACTAAAAATACAAAAAATTAGCTGGGTGTGGTGGCGAGTCCCTGTAGTCACAGCTACTCGGGAGGCTGAGGCAGGAGAATGGCGTGAACCCGGGAGGCAGAGCTTGCAGTGAGCTGAGATTGAGCCACTGCACTCCAGCCTGGGTGACAGAGCGAGACTACGTCTCAAAAAAAAAAGAAAAAAGAAAAGGGAAAAGGGAAAAAAAACTACTTGTCACAGTGAAGGTTAAATTTCAGAATAGATTACTGAGGACTCTTTGAAATCTGTAATTCCGAATACCATTAGGGTCCTTATGTGCTGTCTTCCCTGAGCCACAGGACATGAACATGATGACTTCTCAAGCTCCTAACTGATGTGAAGATACTACGGTTTTAATACGTAGTAAGGTAACTATCTCTGACATTTACAAAGCTGCTAATTTTAGATTATACCAAAGCCTCAGAGTTAGGCCTTGGTATAATTCAATATTAATATGACCAAGGAAAGTGTTACCTGCTGCATCTGCTGCTGGAGTCTCTTCCTTTGTGCTGGGTCCAGAATCAGGGTCTGATGAACTTCCTTACACTGGGGTTTAACCTTCTCTACCTCCTTCTGCTGTTTGGCTGAAGGTTTCTTCATCTTCAGCTGTTCAAATAGTTCCTTCGCTATCTGATGTTGTTCATTTAGTAGGTTGGCCAGTAGTTCCTCAAACCTATCCCAAACGGGGATGACTGAATTTGAGTGTTTTCCTAGGTCCACAACACATCCAATTCTTTGCAATGATGAGCAAAGAGCCTGAACAATTTTCATTCCCTACTAATCCCCCCTTTTCACTTTAGCCAACAGTCAAACTCCCAGCCTTACACAAATCTTTTCCCAAAGTAGTTAGCATGCATCAAATGATTCTGTATTACACCCCATCCCATTCCTCTACAATTCCTCTTCCAAATAATATACAAATGAAGAAAAAATTAAACAAAAAACTAGGGACAGAGAAATATATGGGTAAGAAAGCAGCCAAGGAGCTGGTGGGAACTCATCATTCTCATTTCTTCTCTCATTACTTGTTACTCCCTGGGATGTTACTCCCATCCCAGGTCCAGCTTGTCCCATTATCCTATCTACTCAGGCTGCACTGCCCTGCTTTCTTAACAAGTCAAAGACTTTCTAGCATGAAGCAGGAAAAGGATATACCAAAATAACTGAAGTACATGGTAGTTCAAATGAACAGAACGGAGAAGTTAGTTAAAATATTATCCATGAAGGCTATCTTCTTTTAGCCCTTTAAATTCCTCTTCCAAGGTTCCTAACCCTAACTTCCCATCCATACCCTCCTGAAAGATTGTTTGCAGGGCTGAAGCAAAAATTCCAATACCTAGCATGTCAGTTCTATGTATGATTACTATACCTTTTCTATGTTTACATAGAAAGAAATAAAGGGAGAATAATATACCTAAATGATTAAGCATATGCTGATACCCTATGCAACAGGATAAGATCTGCTGAAGTAGCTATAACAAGCAGGTTATCATATTTCAAGGAACCCCCTATATTACAGCAATAGTTAAATGGTAACGTTTTTCAATAGTTTTTGCAGATAAAGATTACGTTTGAATAAGTTTTCTTTTATAGTATTTACTGTAGGTTTGGGTAGCACAGAGTAAAAACCTGAAGACCGTGGGACTGTCTATACAATCTTTACTGAGAACTGAAAATTTGAACATCCGCGCTACCACCACTGAAGGAACAGAAGAGAAGAAGCATAAAAAAGTAGAAAATGGAAACATAGCCTGCACTTAGTTTTAACAAGGATTATTTAGGTAATTGATAAGGGAAGCCCCAGAGTTTTTGTTTTGACTGTCTTTTTCTCCTCTCTCTTCCTTATTGTGTTTTAAGATGTGCTTACTCTCTATGGACTTACAGAGGGATTTTTATTTAGTCAAAGATTAAAACAAAAACAGGTTTGTATTTGCAATCGAAAGAGAAGCAGAAGCTGCCCAAGTACAGTCATGCGCCACAGAATGTTTCAGTCAATAACGAACCACATAGTCAGAGGTGGCTCCATAAGATTACTGTACCTTTTCTATGTTTACATACATATGTACTTACCATTGTGTTACAACTGCCTACAGTATTCAGTACAGTACAGTAACACACTGTACAGGTTTTGTAGCCTGGGAGCAATAGGTATGCAGTAGGCTAAACCATTTAGGTTTATGTAAGTACATTCTACGATGTTTACACAATGATGAATCGTTTAATGATAGATTTCACAGAGGGTATGACCATGAGATGATATATGACTATATTCCATTGAATACCAGAAGGTAACTGGATTCTAACAGGAATTTTAAATTAGTTCTATATTTTCCAAATTTTAAGAAGTTATAAAGAGTTGATCAGCAAAACCAAAATATTTATTAATCAGATCCTATTATACGTTCCCAGGATGAATGGTTCCATTCTGCTATACCAGAATTTTGTTCTATGAACTATAAATTAAAATAATGGGTCAAATACTGACTTAGCAATCTTGAGATTTTTGATGTAGTTGTATTGTGATATTTGTTGTAATGGAGAATGACTAGTAGTTCTAGTTTTTAAGACATTGGTTGGCCTATCTTATCTTTTTTCACTAAATTGGAAAATCCCTAAAGGTCTAGCTTTCAGATGGAACCCAAGCTCTCTGCTTAGTAGTGCTGTTAAGTTCAAACACAGGACTAATTACAGGGACTATTCTCTTTGCTTTGTTCCACTTATGGCACAAACTGCATCCTGACCTCTCGCCATCGACCTAATGATTATATGCTGCTACAACAGAATAAAGTGCAGATGCAAATCCACCACAAAATGAGGAAAAAATTAAAGCCTCTACTTTCTGGATGCTGTAACACAAGTGCCAACTTTAGGCAAAAAGGTCAGCACGTATGTTTCAGACTCCTTACTGCAGGTGCTTCAGGGTTTGCTCCACTAATGCCTAGGTGACTAACAAATTTTCAGTCACATTTAGCAGATATTAATGGCACATAAAAAGAACAAAAGGGACAGACTGGATATTACAATATAGGGTAGTTTGTGTGGCTGGCCACATTGAGTCCTACATACCTCTCCAGCACCACTCACCCGGAGAAGTGGATATGGATGCCAGCTACTGTTTTTTCTCCCTTCCCAAACAGATACAGCTTGGCCTACAGCTGCACTGCCCCATAACAAGGAGACTTCACTTGACACCTAACTCCTGACAGGACTCTGCATCCTTACATCAGTAACAGAAGCTGGCTGGGGATGAAAAATTGTTAACTGCAACTTCTGAAAACCTTTTCAGAAATAAACTCTTCCTCTATTCCAAATCTCAAGGTCTTCAACTAGCCTACCGTAGAGCTTGAGGGGTGTTAAAGTTAGCTTGAGGCTCAGCCACACGCTCCTCCTCTTCTGGGCCATCATCTTCCATGTTGGAGAATCCCATCTCATCTTGGAACTGTGGGCAAAGGAAAGGGAGGGTTTTCCTGGGGAATGGGCTTTTGAATGTTGCTCCAGTGTTGGGAAGGAAAAGTGAAAACTATAAACAATACTTTAATAATGCTGGCACCCAGAAAGAGCCTACATCAGAACCTTTCTCACTTCAGGACTCCTACAAACCCACATATGGAATGACTATTATGCCAGGAAAGAAGTTGCTCAACCAGTCAACTTGTATCAGTAAGCACAGAGCTAGGATAACTCAAAATGATCAATTTCTTAAACAGAAATATCTTTTTAGACAAATTTATGGAAAAGGTAATTATTTGTGTGCAAAATACTTTAAAACTAGTTGGCAATCTTTAAGGACACACCAAATGACAGTAGGGGAAGCCATCAAAAGTTTTCAAGGGGCAAGATGTGCTGGCTCACACCTGTAATTCCAGCACTTTGGGAGGTTGAGGCAGGAAGATTACTTGAGCCTATGAGTTCCAGAACATGGCAAGACCCTGTCTCTACAAAAAAATAAAATAATTAGCCGGGCCTGTAGGTGTGTGCCTGTAGTCCCAGCTACTCAGGAGGCTTAGATGAGAGAATTGTTTTGAGCCCTGGAGGTCGAGGCTGCTGTGAGCTGAGATTTCACCACTGTATTCTCCAGAGCCTGGGTGACAGAGCAAGACTTTGCCTCAAAAAAAAAAAAAAAAAGCTTCAAGGAAAATTTTAGTAAGAATAACCTACATGTGGATAATCAAGAGTCTAGCAGTTAGCAAATTTCTTTTGTCATTATATTCTTTCCCAGGTAGACTAAAAGGAGAATTGGTTCAGTCCCTCTTCTAGAAGGAGCATCACAGAGATCAAAGGACACATTTTGTTGGAGAACCAACTTACAATCCCATGTTCTCACTTGAGGATCATTACTCACAGTTTCAAACAGATCTTCCATCAGCTCATTTGCTTCCTTTTCTGCAAAAAAGCCAAACGTTGTTGGTATAAATTAGATTCATTTTACAATATGGAGGAATTCCATGTAGACAATGTATGATGTTTTCAACAAGGCATCTGACGAATTCTTCATATCTATCCTTATTCCTGAGACAGGGTCTCACTCTGTCACCCGGGCTGGAGGGCAGTGGCTTGATCTCGGCTCACTGCAATCTCTGCTTCCCAGGCTCAAGCGATCCTCCCACTTCAGCCCTCCAAGTAGCTGGGGCAACAGGAGTGTGCTGTCATGCCCGGCTAATTCTTCCATATTTTGTAGAGATGGGTTTTCCCCATGTTGCCCAAGCTGGTCTTGAACTCCTGAGCTCCAGTGATCCACCCACCTTGGCTTCCCAAAGTGCTGGGGTTACAGGCATGAGCCACCACGCCCAGCTATCCTTCATTCATTTATTCAAAAACATTTATTGAGTACTTACTATGTTTCAATCCCTGTTTTAGATGCTTGGGATATATGAGAGAATGAGAGAGAGAGAGAGTTCTAATCTCATTGAACTTAAATTCTAATAGGAAGAAGACAAGGAGAAAATGTGAGCTAGATGATTTTTTTTTTTTTTTGAGACGGAGTTTCGCTCTTGTTGCCCAGGCTGGAGTGCGATGACACGATTTTGGCTCACTGCAACCTCCGCCTCCCAGGTTCAAGCTATTCTCCTGCCTCAGCCTCCCAAGTAGCTGGGATTACAGGCATGCACCACCACGCCCAGCTAATTTTGTGTTTTTAGTAGAGATGGGGTTTCTCCATATTGGTCAGGCTGGTCTCAAACTCCTGACCTCAGGTGATCCGCCCACCTCAGCCTCCCAAAGTGCTGGGATTACAGGCATGAGCCACCATGACCAGCCCAATGATTTTATAATTAGATGGCCTATCCAAACCCACACAATACTGAATGGAATCAAGAGACAAGTCTCCCAACCTGGGCAAAATGTCAACATATCTCTAAAAAAAAATTTATCTGGGCTTGGTCGCACATGCATATAGTCCCATATACTTGAGAGGCTGAGGTGAGAGAATCTCTTTGAGTCCAAGAAGCAGAGGCTGTAGTGAGCTGAGACCGTCCCACTGCATTCCAGCCTGAACGACAGAGCAAGACACTGTCTCCAAAAAAAAAAGAGACAGACAGAGACAAGTTTCCAACAGTGTTTCATAGGACTCTATCTTTGGACCCGACCTATTCAAAAACTCCATCAGTGAATTAGAAGACCAAGAGAACATACTTAACAAATCTGTAGATGATGTAAAGCTGTAAAGCTGAAAGGGACTGCCAATCCAATTGATGGAAAATTCAGAATCATATTTTCTCAAATCAACTGGATGTAACACGTAAGGATAAATTTAAAGTTCTACATTGAGGATTTTTTTTTTTTTTTTTTTTTAAATAGAGCCAGGGACTTGCTATGTTGCCCAGGCTGGTCTTGAACTCCTGGGCTCCAGCGATCCTCCCACCTCATCCTCCCAAAGTGCTGGGATTACAGACATGAGCCACCCCACCTGGCAAGATCTTATATGTGTATTCAAGATATTACACAACTCACTAAGTCTCCAGATGAAAACCAGAATCTCTAAATATAGTTTGACAGTTTGACAATGCCCAATGACAGACTAAATGAGAAATTAGGAGGCAGCTTGATTTTTTTTTATTTCCTCAGAGATCTTTGTTCTGAGTTCTGACTCTTGTTCTACAAATATTCAAAGTCGAAATGATTATCATGTTAATGGGTAAAGAGCTTCAAATCTTTGGCTATCTCATTTTTTTTTAATTTTTATTCATTTGTTTTACCTTATGTGTTCCTCTACAATGGTTATCTAGGAAGTTAACAACCATTCTAGCTATCTAGCATTCTGGTTCTTGATATCATGTAAAATGAGCGTTCTGATCTCTGACACACAAAGCTATTTAGAAGATAAAAAATAGACATTTTTTTCAACAATCATTTTACTTTTTTCTCTACATCTACATACTCTACATGTCAGAGTTTTTGTTTCTGTTTTTTCGAGAGTAGCTGGGATTACAGGCACCTGCCACAACACCTGGATAATTTTTTGTATTTTTAGTAGAGATGGGGTTTCATCATGTTGGCCAGGTTGGTCTCCAACTCCTGACCTCAGGTGATCCACCTGCCTCAGCCTCCCAAAGTGCAGGGATTACAGGCATGAGCCACTGCACCCAGCCAAGTACTTTGATTCTTAATGGAGGATTTAATCCACTGACATCCCAAAGGACAAACTATCCAATGGAATTCCTGGATAAAACACAGGCACACAGTGTCTCTTCCTCAGAGGAAAGAAATTTTTGTCAACAGAAGAATTTTGCTCTTCTGGGCGTGGTGGCTCCTGCCTGTAATCCTAGCACTTTGGGAGGCTGAGCCTGGAGGATCACCTGAGGTCAGGAGTTCGAGACCAGCCTGGCCAACCTGGTGAAACCCTGTCTCTACTAAAAATACAAAAATTAGCCTAGCGTGGTGGCTAATGCCTGTAATCCCAGCTACTTGGGAGGCTGAGGCAGGAGAATCGCTTGAACCCGGGAGTCGGAGGTTGCAGTGAGCCGAGATTGCGCCATTGCACTCCAGCCTGGGCGACAAGAGCGAAACTCCATCTCAAAAAAAAAACAAAAAACAAAATTGATTTGCTCTAGCAGAAAAATAATTATATTTCAGGAATTCCTTCAGGAATCCTATACCAGTACTAAAAGATCCTATATTGGAAAATGAAAATGCCCAAATTAATAAGTCCTGAGATAGAGGAGAAGGGATCTTGTTTTGTCCATCACTGTATCTTAGTACCTGGAATAGTGCTTGGCACATAATAAGCATTAAATACATACATGGCAGTCTTGTTTCTGAACCAAAATGAGGTGGTTTAATGAAAGAGATGGGTTTGGCTAGGCGTGGTGGCTCACACCTGTAATCCCAGCACTTTGGGAGGCTGAGGCAGGTGGATCACTTGAGGTCAGGAGTATGAGAACAGCTTGGCTACTGGCTAACATGGTGAAACCCTGTCTCTACTAACAATACAAAAATTAGCCAGGTGTAGTGGTGCGTGCCTGTAAACCCAGCTGCTCAGGACATTGAGGCAGGAGAATCACTTGAATCCGGGTGGCAGAGGCTACAGTGAGTCAAAATCCTGCCACTGCATTCCAAACTGGGCTACAGAGCAAGACTCCATCTCAAAAAAAACAAAACAAAACAAAAAAAACAACAACAAGTGAAATACTGAAATACTGATCAGCTTTAAAAAGAGAACTGTCATAACCACCCCAATTTAGTTCCAAGACTTAGGCTTCCCCACCAAGGCAAAATTAACACAGTAAGAAGGCTATTCCAGTTCATTTTGGAGAAAATCTTGGATTTGGTAAGCAGGTAAAAAGAGCTGGGCATGCTGGCTCACATCTGTAATCCCAGCAAACTGGGAGGCCAAGACAGGAGGATGGCTTGAGGCCAGGAGTTCAAGACCAGATTGATCTACATAGCAAGACCTGGGCCAGGTGCAGTGGCTCACTCCTATAATCCCAGCACTTTGGAAGGCCGAGACGGCTGGAGAACTTGAGGTTAGGAGTTCGTGACCAGCCTGGCCAACGTGGGGAAACCCTGTCTCAACTAAAAATACAAAAATCAGCAGGGCGTGTTGGCACGCGCCTGTAATCCCAGCTATTTGGGAAGCTGAGGAAAGAGAATCACTTGAACCTGGGAGGCAGAGGTTGCAGTGAGGCAAGATTGTGCCATTGTACTCCAGCCTGGGCGAGGAGAGCGAAACTCTCTCTCAAAAACAAAAACAAAAACAAAAAACCATAGCGAGACCTAATCTCAATTAAAAAAATAAAGAAATTGTATACACATACATGCACATATATGCACACTACACACACATATCACATGTACGTTTTGAGAAAAATAACACCATGAACCTACTACCCGTTAAAAATTAGAGAAAATATTAAACTTTTCACAAATTTACATAGCATTCTTATACAGGGGCCATGTCAATAGAAAGAAAGGACTATCAGACAATTTTTCCTAAAACTTCTCCATTATCTCACTGAATCCTATAATCTGTCCTATTAAAACACCTTTTTACATTTCTTGCTTTTTTTTTTTTTTTTG